>NC_000022.11:18709564-19959564 GCF_000001405.40 Homo sapiens
AGAGGCATATTGATCTGTTGTTTTATTTTCTTACAGTGTTTTTGGCTTTGGTATCAGGGTAATGCTGGCCTCATAGAAAGAGTTAAGAGGTATTCACTCCTCTTCCACTCTTTGGAAATGCTTGAAAAGAATCAGTGTTAGTTCTTCTTTAAACGTTTGGCAGAACTCACCAGTAAAGCTATCAGGTCCAGGACTTTTCTTTGTCATGAGATTGTCTTATTACTGACTCAATTCCCTTACTAGGTTAGGTCTATTCTGACTTTCTGTTTCTTTATAATTGAGTCTTGGTAGGTTTTGTGTGTCTAGGAATTCATCTATTTCATCTGGGTTATCCAATTTATGAGCACACAATTATTTATAGTAATCTTTTATAATCCTTTCTAGGCTGGGAATGGTGGGTCATGCCTGTAATCCAACAATTTGGGAGGCCGAGGTGGGAAAATTCCTTGAGGCCAGGAGTTCAAGATCAGCCTGGATAACATGGCAAGATCCTGTCTCTTAAAAAAAAAAAAAAAAAAAAGAGCTGGCATAGTGGCGAGCCCAGGAATTCAAGGCTGCAGTGAGCCGATTGTGCCACTGATTCTGGTTGCATCTGATTGTTGCCAGGGCAATAGAGCTAGACCTTGTCTCTAAAACATAGACAGGCAGACAGACAGACAGACAGACAGAAATATATAAAGATATTCTCAAATACATTTCTGTTTTAAGTAATTTAGATTGTTTCCCTTTTCCTTAGTCTTGTCAGTTTTATTAATCTTTTTGAAGAACCAACTTTTGGTTTTGTTTTTTATTGTTTTTCTATTCTCTTTTCCATTTATCTCTGCCCTGATCTCTATTGTTTCCTTCCTTCTGCTAACTTTGGGTTTAGTTTTATTCTTCTTTTTCTAGTTTCTTAATGTGTAAACTTATGTTGTTGAATTGAGGTGTTTCTTTTTTTAATGTGTTTATAGCTATAAATTTCCTCCTTAGCACTCCTTTCACCACAACTCATAAGTTGTGTTTTTTTGTTGTTTCTTTGTTTTTTGAGACAGAGTCTCATTCTGTCACCCAGGCTGGAGTGCAGTGGTGTTAGCTCAGTGGTGCAACCTCTGCCTCCTGGGTTCAAGAAATTTTCATGCCTCAGCCTCCTGGGTAGCTGGGACTACAGGCACGTACCACCACTCCCAGCTAATTTTTGTGTTTTTAGTAGAGACAGGGTTTCACCATGTTGGCCTGGCTGATCTTGAACTCCTGACCTCTAGCTATCCACCTCCCTCAGTCTCCCAAAGTGCTGGGATTACAGGTGTGAGCCACCACAACTGGCCACAGCCCATAAGTTTGGATATAGTGTGCTTTCATTTTCATTTGTCTTTAAGAATTTTATAATTTCTTTGTGATTTCTTTGATCCATTGGTTGTTTGAGAGTGTGTTGTTTAAATTCTACTAATTTGTGAACTTTTTTAAATCTTCTGTTATTGATTTCTAACTTTATCCTGTTGTGGTCAGAGAAGACACTTTGTATGATGTCTATCGTTTTAAATCTACTGAGCTTTTTTCCTTTTTTGGGACAGGGTCTCGTTCTGTCAGTGGTACAATGGTACATTTTCTTTGTCATGAAGTACAGGCTGGAGTACAGTGGTACAATCTCTGCTCACTGCAGCTTCAACCTCCTGGGCTCCTAAGCAATTCTCACGCTTCAGCCTCCCAAGAAGCTGGGATCACAGGCACGCACCACCACGCCCAGCTAATTTTTGTATTTTTAGTAGAGATGGGGTTTCACCATGTTGGCCAGGCTGATGTCAAGCTCCTGGCTTCAAGCAATCCACCCGCCTCAGCCTCCCAAATTACTCTGGGATTACAGATGTGAGCCACTGCACCCAGCCCCTATTGAGAATTAATTTGTGATGTGTTATATGGTCTATCCTGAAAATGTCCCATGTATACTTGAGAAGTATGTGTATTATGTTGTTGGGTAGAATATCCTGTGTATGTCTGTTAGGTCTAGTTGTTTTTTCAGGTGTTGTTCAAGTGCTGTATTTCCTTACTTATGTCTGGTCTGGTTGTTTTATTCATTTGTGAAATGAAGACAAGGGACAAAATCCTAAGACATCCCCCTTAAAAGGGAAGGACCACCCACAGAAAAGGACTGAGAGACCCCCAGAATCTATAGCTTAGCTAATTGATGGTCTTTCTCTCCTGAAGTTAGTAAAGAGTGGAAAAGATGACTCCTTCTTCAAACATGAAGAAAGCAATCTAAGTCTTCAAAGAACAGGAAGCATGAGAAAATATGACACCACCAAAGAAACAAAATGAAACTCCAGTGGCTGACTCCAAAGACATGAAGATCTACAAATTGCCTGACAAAGAATTCAAATAATCATCTTAGGGTGACATCAGCAAGATGGCAGAACAGGAGGCCCTCCACTCACCTCTCCCCACACAAACAATGATCTGGCAGCCATTCATGGACAAAACTGCCTTTGCAAGAGTTTTAATATCCAGGCAGGAGGTGGCAAAACTCTAGCAAAGCCCAAAACCAAGGAGAGCTGCTTTGAGAAGGCAGGTCCACACACCAGTGACAGGTTACCAGTTGCAGACTGAAAGCAGCTTTGTCCTCCTATGGACTTGGGTCCAGCTCCACTAGATCATGGTCTTGCAACTAGCCCCATCCACTAAGCACCTAGGAGGAACCATGACCATTTATGCCCCCAGTAACAGGCCTTCTAACCATGGTCCTGACTGCAGAAACTAAAGCAGCCCTGACCTGGCTTCAGCCCCACTCTACCACAGTCAGTCATGCCTGCCCAGGAATTCAGTGATGCCTTTACATACCCTTGGTAACAGGCCTGCTGATCTCAGTCTCAGCTATGGACACTAAAGTAGCCCTGTGACTCCATTCCAGTCTTGCTTTGCCACAGTCTGGGCACAGTCCAGCCCATCCTGGGACCTGGTGAAAGACATACCATCCATTCTCCTAATAAGAGGACCACCAATCTTGAACTCAAATGTGGTCACCAAAGCTGTCCTGTGACTTGGCTCTAGCCCTGCTCTACTGTGGTCTGGAGGCAGTCCTGTCTTCCCATGGACCTACCTAGTAAACCAGCAGGAGCTCAATCTGGGACCCACAGGGAGCTATACCAGTCCATGCCCTTGGTAATAGGCCTGATATCTGAAGACTTGACTGTAGAACTAGAAGTGGCCCCATGACCTGGCTCCAGTCCTGTTCAATCAGGGTATCAGAGGCAGTCCAGTTCTCCTGAGGATCCAGCAGAAACTGCATCACCAACCTATGCCTTGATAGCGGCCTGCCAATCAGAGATTCAGCTGCAGACCAGGCAGCAGCCATGTAATATGGCTCCAGGCCCACTTGACTGTGATCCAGTCAAGGGATCCAGCAGGAAAAGGTTTGTACCTGCTGAAACCAATCTATAAAGACAGAAAGAGATTGGGCATGGTGGCTCACACCTGTAATCCCAGCACTTTGGGAGGCCAAGGCGGGCAGACCACTTGAGGCCAGGAGTTTGAGACCAGCCTGGACAACACGGTGAAACTCTGTCTCTACAAAAAATACAAAAAAATTAGCCAGGCGTGGTGGCACATGCCTGTGATCCCAGCTGCTTGGGAGGCTGAGGCAGGAGAATCATTTGAACCTGGGAGGTGGAGGTTACAGTGAGCTGAGATCACACCACTGCACTCCAGCTGGGTGACAGAGCAAGACTCTGTCTCAAAAAAAAAAAAAAAAAAAAAAAAGAAGAGGTATTTGCTTCTTCATAGACATTAATGAAAGTCTGTAGATCATGAAGAATCAGCAAATATGACACTACCAAAATAAACTCATAAATCTCCAGTAATCAACCCCCCAAAAATAGAGATCTACAAATTGCCTGACAATTCAAAATAATTAAGATAGCTCAGTGAAATTTACTAGAATGTATATATCAACTCAATAATATCAAGAAAATAGTAGATGAGCAAAGCTAAAAGTTCAATAAAGATACAGAAATAATAAGAACCAAACAGAAATTCTAGAACTGAAGAATACAATGAATAAAATGAAAATGCAAGCTGGGTGCCGTGGCGGACGCCTGTAATCCCAGCACTTTGGGAGGCCGAGGCAGGCGGATCACTTGAGGTCAAGAGTTCAAGACCAGCCTGGCCAACATGCCAAAACCCCATCTGTATTAAAAATACAAAAATTAGCCAGGCATGGTGGCATATGCCTGTAATCCTAGCTACTAGGGAGGCTGAGGCAGGAGAATCGCTTGAACCGGGAGGTGGAAGTTGGAGTAAGCCAAGATGGCACCACTGCATTCAAGCCTGGGTGACACAGACTCTGTCTCAAAAATATATAAAAATAAATAAATGAATGAAATGAAAATGCAATAGAGAATTTCAATTGCAGACTTGATCAAACAGAAGAAAGAATCTGTGAAATTAAAGACAGGACATTTGAAATATCCCGTCAGAAGACCAGAAAGAAAAAAAAGTTTATAAGTAAAAACCTTTGGGATTTATAGGACACCACCATGAAGTGGGTCAAACATATTATGGACTTCCTAGAAGTAAAAAAGATAGAAAAGGCCTGAAAGTATATTTGAAGACATAATGGGTAAAAACTTTCCAAATTCTTAGAGGCAAGTGGGCTTCCAGACACATGAAGTTCAGAGGCCCCAAAAAAGGCCAGCCCAAAGACCATAATACCAAGATGTATTATAATTAAAATATCAAAAGTCAAAGACAGAGACTTTCAAAAGCAGCAAGAAGAAAGGAATTCATCACATACAAGGAAACTTCAATAAGGCTATCAGTGAATTTCTCAGCAGAAACCTTATAAGCCAGGAGAGAATAGGATGCTATATTCAATGTATTGGAAGAAAAAAACTGCCAATCAGGAAGACCACAACTTGTAAAGCTGTCCTTCAGAAATGAAAAAGAGATGATAAGGTCTTTCCCAGACTCCCACCAAAAAAATTCTAAGGGAGTTCATCACCACTGCACCTGCCTTATAAGGCAGTTTTTCAAGTTGAAATAAAAGGATTCTGATTAGCAACATTAAAACATTAAGATATTAAGTTCACAGGTAGGCCGGGCGCAGTGGCTCACGCCTGTAATCCCAGCACTTTGGGAGGCCAAGGCGGGTGGATCACAAGGTCAGAAGAGGGGGATCATGCTGGCTAACACGGTGAAACCCCGTCTCTACTAAAAATACAAAAAATTAGCCAGGCGTGGTGGCGGGTGCCTGTAGTCCCAGCTACTCGGGAGGCCGAGGCAGGAGAATGACTTGAACCCGGGAGGCAGAGCTTGCAGTGAGCCGAGATCATGGACACTGCCCTCCAGCCTGGGCGACAGAGCGAGACTCTGTCTCAAACAAAAAAGTTCACAGGGAAAGGTAAGTATATAGTCACATTCATAACACTGTAATATTGCAGTGGTGGTGTGTAAATCACTTTTCACTGTAGTATAAAAGTTAAAATGTAAAAGTATTAGGCGGCCCGGGCGCGGGGCAGCTGCTGCGGGGAGGCGGGGAGGCGGGGGGCCTGGCCGGACACCCCTGCGCCCCCTCCCCGCACCCGGGCGGAGGGCGGCCTCTTCCCCCTCCCCCTCCCCCACCACCCCCGGCAGCCGCCTCCCCCAGGACGCAGGAGGCGGGCGGAGGCCGGGTCCGCCCAGCGGGCGACTTGCGGCATGGGCCGGGTCGAGGTGGGGGGGCGGTTTCGGGGGCTGGGAAGCTGGGGTGCCGGGGACAGGAGGGTGGGGGAGCTGGGGAAAGGAGGGCTGGGGGGCCGGGGACAGGAGGGCCATGCAGGCAGTGGCAAGCGGGCGGCGAGGGCTCCGTGGGGCAGGTGGACGGGGATCAGCGCCTGGGGCTGCTCCGTTCCCCAGGCGGGTGTCGTGGCTCTGGCCTCCATGCAACTCCAGGTCTGCGCGCCCCGCGCTGCTGGAGCCCCAGTCAAAAGTCTATTTAAAAAGCAGAGAGAGGATGCTTCCCTCTGAGTGGAGCGATGAAGACCTGATCCCTGGGCCATTTGGGAACACTAGCTGCCTTTCATCACAGTCAACCTGGACTCAGAGAATGTCAAGAGCTTGTTGGTTGGGTCAAGAATGAATCTAGGCATGACGTCATAGTTTATAGTCATCCTTTTAAACCTGCAAAGAAGCATTTGCAGGTTTAAAGTTATTTCACGGGTACTGCTTGCCAATCTTTGGAGGATGTGAAGCCTGCAGAGAAATAAAGTGTCGCCCCTCTGCGCGTCGCTCCCCATCTGCCAGAATGTTTCTCATGAATGCTCCTCCAGTGGTTGCTCTCCAGCCCAAATGGGAGGCCTCTGTCCCGCCAGGGAGCTTTAGGTTCCCCGGGTGCTTCTCGGAGGCTGACAAGGGCGTGGAGAGCATGTCGGTGAGCACCCGGGTGCAGATGCTCATCAGCACGCTGCAGAGCGACAGGGCTGCTAGGGGCACCAGCGATGAGCGCACTGCGCAGAGGGGGCAGAGGGATGCCACGACGCCAGGCCTGCTGCCAAGCCCACCATGCACAAGGAGCTGCCTGCGTTGGCTGCCTGTGGTCTTGTTGCTGACTTTGACCCCGTGGGGGAGGAGGAAACTGCAGACTTTGGCCCATTGGTGCTAGATTCAGACAGTGACGATTCCGTGGACCGGGACATTGAGGAGGCCATCCAGGAGTACCTGAAGGTAAAGAGTGGAGCGGCACAGCCCGGGGCCAGCGGGGCCCAGCCATGCACAGCCTTCCAGGGCTGCGGGCGGAGGCAGTAGATGTAAGCGGGAACTGGCTCACAGCAGTGCCCAACTGCCCTGTGTTCCCCAAAACTTGTACCTGGCTCAGGTGGTGTGGCCCTGGCAGCCAGGTGGGATCCAGCAAGGACCAGGGCTCTGCCTCCCCAGTCAGCATGAGCAGAGCAGACTCCTTTGAGCAGAGCATCAGGGCAGAAATAGAACAGTTTCTGAATGAGAAAAGACAGCATGAGACCCAAAAATGTGATGGGTCAGTGGAGAAGAAACCAGACACACATGAAAATTCGGCGAAGTCACTCTCGAAATCCCACCAAGAGCCGGCTACAAAGGTGGTGCACCGGCAGGGCCTGATGGGCGTCCAGAAGGAGTTCGCCTTCTGCAGACCTCCCCCGGTTAGCAAAGACAAACGTGCAGCCCAGAAGCCTCAGGTCCAAGGTCACGACCACGACCACGCAGGAGAAGGAGGGCAGCACAAAGCCAGCAACCCCCACCGCCCTTCAGAAGCAGTACAGAATAAAAGTGGGATTAAAAGGAGCGCCAGCACCGCAAGGAGGGGAAAGCGAGTCACGAGCGCCGTACAGGCTCCCGAGGCGTCCGACTCCAGCAGCGACGACGGCATTGAGGAGGCCATCCAGCTGTACCAGGTGCAGAAAACACACAAGGAGGCCGACGGGGACCCGCCCCAGAGGGTCCAGCTCCAAGAGGAAAGAGCACCTGCCCCTCCCGCACACAGCACAAGCAGCGCCACAAAAAGTGCCTTGCCAGAGACCCACAGGAAAACACCCAGCAAGAAGAAGCCAGTGCCCACCAAGACCACGGACCCTGGTCCAGGGGATCTGGACGCTGACCATTCCCCCAAGATCCCAAAGGAAACCAAAGCTCCACCTCCAACGAGCCCGGCTTCCAGGAGCAAGTTTGTGGAATGGTCCTCTTGCCAGGCAGACACCTCCGCTGAGCTGATGTGTGTAGAAGCAGTCCTGGACATTTTCAAGACGATCCTGCCGGCCCTATGGAGGGCAGCGATGGGTCCCTGTCCGCAAGCCCACTCTTCTACTCCCCCAACGTGCCTTCCCGCTCTGATGGTGACAGTAGCTCCGTGGACAGCGACGACAGCATTGAGCAGGAAATCTGGACGTTTTTGGCCCTCAAGGTGCAGTCTAGAAGTTTGCTGGCCAGAGGTGAGAGCTGCCCTCAGGCTGCCCAGGGCCCACTTTCACCACCTGGCCTCAGCAGCCAGACCGGCAGCCCCAAGGCCCCTCTCTCTAAAACACTGGACCCACTCCTGGCTGCAAAAGGAAGCATAGAGGCGGCTGCCAAGTGAGGCCATCCACTCCCAAGAACATGCGGGTGGTGGGGAAAGAGGGTGGCCAGGATGCCGACCGCAGCCAGGGGAGAGCCGGGCCCGGCCATGAGGGGCGGGACCTTTCCATCCAGGGCACAGCCAGCGAGGCCCCGGGATGGGAGGGCGCCGCTAGGGTGGGACCTTTCCATCCAGGGCACAGCCAGCGAGGCCCCGGGAGGAGAGGGCGCCGCTAGGGTGCCCGGTGACACTCGCACGTCACAGGGCCAGGGTAAGACAGACGAGGCAAGGCACCTAGACAAGAAGAAGAGCTCCGAAGACAAAAGCAGTTCCCTGGACAGTGACAAGGACCTGGACACAGCCATCAAGGACTTGTTAAGGTCCAAGTGAAAGCTCAAGAAGAGGTCCAGGGAGCCCAGGGCTGTGTGCAGGAAGAAGGTCAGGTTCAGCACCTCCCAGACGCACTTCCAGGAGCGGCTGGGCAGGCTCCTGAGAGAGTGGAAAAACAGGCACCTGCAGGTGCTGAAGAGCTGCCTAAGTCCAAGAGAGACAGCTGCGAGGGCTCCAGGAAGAAACCCCCCAGTGTCTTTGGCAGCAGGGCCGAGAGGACGAAGCCCCGGCCTTCCTGGTGAGGAGACCCGCTTCTGCCTCCGCCTCCGAAGAGAATCTATTCCCCAGAGAGTCCCAGGGCCCAGCTCCCAGCCCTGGCTCCTTGTCTGACAACAGCAGTTCAGTGGACAGCGACGATAGCATCGAACTGGAGATTAGGAAGTTTTTGGTGGAAAAGGCCAAGGAGTCGGTGAGCAGTTCAGAAGTTCAGGCAGAGGGCCCCACCGCTCTCGGGACAGGGGGCCCAGCCAGGCCAGAGGTACCTTGCAGGAAGGAGCCGGCCCCACTGCCTGGCATGTGCACATTTGGCTGAAGGGCATCGAGGCGTAGGGAGCGCAGGAGCACAGGGCGCAGCGTGCCTGCTCAGCCAGGGTGGGAAGGGGCTCCCCACTGATCCGGCGGAGGGGATCATGCGCCACCCAGGAGGACCAGCGGCAGTGTCTCCGCCAAGGTCTCTCAGTGAGCAAGAGAAATGTTTACGTTTACAAAGACCAGAGCCCACGAGGGGCTGAGCCTGCTGCCAAAAGTGCTTTTGGTCAGCGGCCCAGCTGTGCCACAGCGGGCACCGAGGCAGGAGGAGCCAGGGGGACCTTTCACGTGGACTGCAGGAACCGGAGCTTCCTGACCCCCAGCCCGGGAGCTGAGAGGGATGCTGGAGCCCAGGCCAACCGCGCCCCGCCCTGGAGTGACTTTGCCCACCACAGTCGGCTGCCCAGCCCATGGGCACTGCGCTCCAAAGGTAGAGATGCGGCGTGGAGGGGGCGGCATTGGGAGAGAGAGACAAGGGGTCCGAGGGCCCCGCCCGGGGCCTGCCCAGCCTGCCCCTTGCGGGCTTCTCCCCGCTGCTGTCCACCCAGCTCTTCCACTTTGGAAAGGGTGTCTCCTGGGGGGGCAGGGAGACCGGCCTCTTCAGCCCCTACCTGGGGCTGCCTCTGCAGGGCCTGTCCTTCTCGGCCTTCAGGGAGTCCCAGGCCAGGCCCAGCCCTGTCTTTGGAAGCCCACACTTGCTGGCGAAGAAGGACTGCGGTCACCGGCCAAGCAGGAAGGTACAGACGGGGCTGAGTTTGCACAACAGGAAGAGCTCTGGCTCGGAGGAAAGGATTTTAGACCTGAGGTATCCACGAAGGGTCAATCAGTAGAGTTGACCAGGACCAGGACACCTTGGGCAGGGACACCAGTGACTTCAGCAACACCTCCGCAGAGGTGTTGCTGCTGCAGTGGCGGCAGCTCAGTAGTGAAGGTATAAGACCTCGAGCTGTGGGTTCGCGTCCTGGGTTCCATGCATTCGTGGAAAGCGGCATAGCCGACGTGTATCTGTGCCTGTGTGTGATGGTTCTGTGGTTGCAGGGAGGGGAAACAGTCTGTTATACATAGTCTTGTATATATGTATACCAACACGAAACAATGCTTTTATTTAACAGATGTGTCCTGGTAAATATGATTTTTGTAGATTTTGTACATTATTTAAAGTGATGAAAAATGTTTTTGGAAAATACTGTTGGTCAATTTTGTAGGGTGTTCCTTAACTGCAGTTTTCTGTGTTCTGCATACAAGTCTTAGATTAGAAAACATTTGGTTTTTATCATCACAACCAGGTTTACAGGGACTCTGATGTTTTTTGGTTGGTTGCTGGTGAGAATGGCCAGCGCTGGCTGCAGGGGTAGCCTTAGGAAGGCCGAGGTGCCCTCCCCAGGAATCGCTCACATGCCCCAAAGTGTCCGTCAGGAAGTTCCTGGGACAGCACTTTTTATACAGAGGACACCCCCCCACCACCGCCTGGCTTCATGGTCCTTGGAGGCCAGAGCACATCTGAAAACTACAGGAACGGAAAACCAAACTCCGCATGTTCTCACTCATAAGTGGGAGTTGAACAATGAGAACACTTGGACACAGGGCAGGGAATATCACACACTGAGGCCTGTTGGGGGATGGGGGCAAGGGGAGAGATAGTATTAGGAGAAGTACCTAATGTAAATGATGGGTTGATGGGTGCAGCAAACCACCATGGCACATGTATACCTAAGTAATAAACCTGCACTTTCTGCACGGCTACCCCAGAACTTAAAGTATAATTAAAAAAAAAAAAAACAGAAAAAATAAGTAGAGATTAAACCAGTAATGAAAAATCTCCCAACAAAGAAAATCCCAGGACCAAATGGTTTTACTGGTCAATTTCAACAAACATTTAAAGAATTAATAACAATCCTTCTCAAACTCTTCCAAAAAGATTGAAGAAAAGGGAACACGTTGAAACTCATTCTAAGAGGCCAGCATTATCCTGATATCAATGCCAGATAAGAACACTACAAAATAAGAAAACTATAGGTCAATATCCCTGGTTAACATAGATGCAAAAATCCTCAATGAAATACTAGTAAACCAAATTCAACAGTGCATTAAAAGAATTATTCACCATGAATCCAGTCTCTACCAAAAATCCAAAAAAAAAAAAAATTAGCTGAGCATGCTGGCGGGTGCCTGTGGTCCCAGCTACTAGGGAGGCTGAGGCAGGAGAATGGCGTGAACTTGGGAGGCGGAGCTTGTAGTGAGCCGAGATCGCGCCACTGCACTCAGGCCTGGATGACAGAGCGAGACTCCATCTCAAAAAAATAAATAAATAATAAATAAATAAAAAACAAAAAAAGAATTATTCACCAGGATCAAGTGGGATTTATCTCTGGCATGCAAGGATGCTTTAACATACAAGAGTCACTAAATGTGATACACCACATCAACACAATAAACGATAAAAATCCTTTATTTTTATTATTAAAAAGCACTTGATAAAATTCAACATCCTTTCATGATTAAAAAAAACAACAAACTGAGCAAATTAGGTGCAGAAGGAATGTACCTCAACATAATGAAGACCACATGTAACATACTCAACAGTGAAAGACTGAACGTTTTTTCCTCGAAGATGAAGAACAAGACAAGAATTCCTACTCTCACCATTTCTCCTCAAAATAGGACTGGAAGTCCTAGCCAGAACAATTAAGCAAGTAAAGAAATAAGGATGGAAGTAAAATGGTCTCCATAGATGACATATTTTTATGTATAGAAAACTGTAAAGACTTCACTAAAAGACTGTTAGAAGTAATAAATTCAATAAAGTAGCAAGATACAGAGTCAACATCCAAAAATCAGTTGCATTTCTATGCATAGATGGACTGGAGGGCATTATGTTAAGTAAAATAAGCCAGACACAGAAAGTGAAATATTGTACAATCTCACTTATGTGTGGAACCTAAAGACGTCAAACTCAGAAGAAGAGAACAGAATGGTGGTTGCTGGGAGCTGGGGAAGAGAAGGAAATGGGAAGTTGATGGTTAAAGTGTACAAATTTCAGTTATGCAAGATAAGTAAGTTCTGGAGAGCTATACAGCATAGTACCCACAGAAAATGTTACTATATTCTTAAATTGTTTAATTAAAAACTTTTATTATTATTATTTTTTTTTAGACAGATTTTCACTCTTGTTGCTAAGGCTGGAGTGCAATGGTGCTGTCTCGGCTCACTGCAACCTCCGCCTCCCAGGTTCAAGAGATTCTCCCACCTCAGCCTCCCAGTACTTTGCTCAGATTATAGGTACCCGCCACCACGCCCAGCTAATTTTTGTATTTATAGTAGAGATGGGGTTTTGCCATCTTAGCCAGGCTGCTCTCCAACTCCTGATCTCAGGTGATCCGCCTGCCTCAGCCTCCCAAAGTGCTGGGATTACAGGCGTGAGCCACCGCACCTGGCCATTAAAAACATTTTTTTATACAATAATAATAATAAAGAGGCAGAAGGAAATTTTAAAAGGTGATGGATATGTTTATAGGCTTGATGATAATGGTTTTATGGTGTAAATTTATCAAGATGTGTACGTTAAATATGTACAGTTTTTATGTAAATCATTCCTCAACAAAATGGTTTAAAAAGTAATAAAGTAATTACTGATAAGGGGGGACTTACTTCTGGCATTTTGCTATACATTTTCTATATGCCTTACAGCATTTTTGTCCATTTCCTGCATGATCTCATTTGTATTTAGTTGATTTTTTGTAGCGAAGTGTTTTAATTCCCTTCTCATTTACTTTTTTATGTTATATAATGTTTTATTTGTGGTTACCATAGGGATTACACTTAACATTCTAAAGTTATAGCACTCTAACTTGAATTCATACCAGCTATATTTCAATAATATGCAAAAACTCTCCTCACAGTTTTGCCACTCCTCTTTCAGTTATCAATGTCACAAAATTACATTTTTGTACATTGTGTGTCCATAAACATAAACTAATAATTGTTTTTAATGCATTTGTCTATTAAATTATGTAGAAAGCAAAACATGGAGTTTTAAACCAAAGTTACGATAATACTAGATTTAATATTTTCCCATATATTTACTTTTACTGGCATCTTTATTTCTTCATATGGCTTTGAGTTACTATCTAGTGTTCTTTCTTTTCAACCTGCATGATTCTCTTTAAGATTTCTTGCAGGGCAGGTCTAATGGTAGCAAACTTCTCAACTTTGGTTTATTTGGGGATTTCCCAATTTCTTCCTCACTTTTGAAGGACAGTTTTGCTGGATATAGGATTCTTGGTTGAGAGGTAGTGGTTGTTTTTCTTTTAGCCCTTTACATATGTCATCCCATTGTCTTCTGTTCTCCAAAGTGTCTGATGAGAAATCTACTTATAATCCTATTATATATTCCTAGCATGTGACTAGTTGCTTCTCTCTTGGTGCTTTCAAGAGGCCCTACTGGCTAATTATAATGTCTCAGTATGAGTCTTTTTTTTTTCATCCTACTTGGAGTCCATTGAGTTTTCTGGATATTTATTTTCATGTCTTTCATCAAATTTGGGAAGTGTTCAGCTTTTTTTTTTTCTTTTTTGAGACAGAGTCTCGCTCTGTTGCCCAGGCTAGAGTACAGTGGTGTGATCTTGGCTCACTGCAACCTCTGCCTCCTGGATTCAAGCGATTCTTCTGCCTCAGCCTCCTGAGTAGCTGGGACTACAGGTACGTGCCACCACGCCCAGCTAATTTTTTTTTTTTTAAACGGAGTTTCACTCTTGTTGCCCAGGCTGGAGGGCAATGGCACAATCTCGGCTCACTGCAACATCTGCCTCCTGGGTTCAAGCGATTCTCTTGCCTCATCCTCCCAAGTAGCTGGGATTACAGGCATGCACCACCACACCTGGCTAATTTTGTGTTTTTAGTAGAGACGGGGTTTCACCATATTGGCCAGGCTGGTCTCGAACTCCTAACCTTGTGATCCACCCACCTTGGCCTCCCAAAGTGCTGGGATTACAGGTGTGAGTCACCGTGTTCAGCCTCAGCCATTATTTCTTCAAATGATCTCTCTGCCCCTTTCCCTCTCTTCTTTTGGGACTTCCACAATGTCTGCTTGCTATTCAACAATCGTCCTTATTTCTGTTCCTCTGACTTGATCATTTCAAGTGTCCCATCTTCAAATTCACTGAATCTTTCTTCTGTTGCTCAAATCTGCTTTTGAATCCCTCTGGTGAACTTTTATTTCAATCACTACACTTTTAGTTCCAGAATTTATTTATTTTTTTTCTTTTTAGGTTTTCTATCTCTTTATTGATATTCCCATTTTGTTTACACATAATTTTACTGACTTTCTCCACATCTTCCTTCAGTTCTTTGACCATCTTTAAGAAAGTTGTTTTAAAGTATTTGTGTAGTAGGTTACCATCTGGTCTTTCTCTGGAACAGTTTCTGTTGTTGTTTTTCCTTTGAAATACCATATTTTCTTGTTTTTTGTATGCCTTGTGTTTTGTATTGAAAACTGGACACTTAAATCATGCTGCTATAAAGACACATGCACACGTATGTTTATTGCGGCACTATTCACAATAGCAAAGACTTGGAACCAACCCAAATGTCCAACAATGATAGACTGGATTAAGAAAATGTGGCACATATACACCATGGAATACTATGCAGTCATAAAAAATGATGAGTTCATATCCTTTGTAGGGACATGGATGAAATTGGAAACCATCATTCTCAGTAAACTATCGCAAGAACAAAAAACCAAACACCGCATATTCTCACTCATAGGTGGGAATTGAACAATGAGATCACATGGACACAGGAAGGGGAATATCACACTCTGGGGACTGTGGTGGGGTCGGGGGAGGGGGGAGGGATAGCATTGGGAGATATACCTAATGCTAGATGACACATTAGTGGGTGCAGCGCACCAGCATGGCACATGTATACATATGTAACTAACCTGCACAATGTGCACATGTACCCTAAAACTTAGAGTATAATAAAAAAAAAAAAAAAAAAGAAAACTGGACACTTGAATATAATAATGCAGTAACTCTGGAGATGAGACTCTCCTCTTCCTCAGGGTTTGCTGTTTTGGGGTTTTGTTATGTTTTACATTGTTGTAGGTTGTCTCCATGCTGAGGATCAACCTGAGTTGTAAGCTTGAGGTCTTCTCAGGTCTGAAGCTGCTCCTTTCCCTGGGCACACACTCCTCTCTCCAAGGATGTGTGGTAACTTTAATTTCCTCTGTGTATGCCATTGCTTTTGAGTGTCCTAGTCTTTAATGTTTGGCTCCCAAAAAAGGAAAAGAGAACAACGAAGGGGAAGGGAAATGGGGTTCTGGCCTTTTCTATCTCCTAGAAGTTGCTTCAGTCTGGTAAGGGCTTGCAGCAGTGGAGTGGGGAGTTGTGAGCAATAATGGCTGCCGGCCTCTGTGTTTGCCCTTCCATAATCAAAAGTAGCAATCAACAACCAGAACGCAGATGCTAACACTTGGAGGACAGAGTGCTTATCGCCCATGATTGTTCCCACAAGTCTTAGCCCAAGAAGTTAGAAGTGGTGCTCAAGTTTGTTTGTCTGACAGAAACTGTGAATCCACACTGGCCTGCTTATTTTGAGGTTGTGTTGCCAGAGCTTTCCTAGCATAATAAAGAGAGGTGCATACAAAGGAATAGGAATAGTAGGAGGTGGGGGTAAAAATATCAGGTGTGATCCACATGCCAAGCCGACCCGCACTGTGTCCCACAGGAAGCCCAGAAGATGTTTCTGTAAGAAATTAAGGATTCGTTTGTTGGGGAGGGCTGCTGGCATGCTTGAAAAGTACTGTGACGGCTGAATTTTGTGGGCTTGGGGAGATTGCAGATTCTCTGATTTCAAGGGGAATGATGTGATCCTAGAGTTGCAAAGAACAAGTGACAGTGGAGGCGCTTATGCTTTGTGACTGCACTAGAGACAAGGAAGACACAACTAGAATAATGGGGAGCAGGAATGGAGCGGCCAACAGAATATGTGACTGTTAGGGATCTTTGATGAAGGCTGATTCTCAGGGAGTGAACTAGATCAGTGACCAACTATTTGTCTTTATATAACTGGGTAATGTGGATGGATTCTAATAAAGGGACTACTTACAGCACAGCAGGAAAGTCACAAAGAAACCAGACAGAAGAGTGTAAGTAGTAAGGGGCCAAGCAGTCACCTGACTAGAGACAGTGCCAGCTTGCCAAGAAGGCACCAGACAGAAGCTGTGATCTTCAGCAAAGGGACACAGTCTGCCTGTGCTGACCCTGCAGGGGCAGAGGTGGGGGATACACACACTCTTCTCTCACCTATCTTCTGCCACCCCCTCCATTAGCTGAACCCCAATAAAAGCATGAGGGTAAGGGAGATCTCTGAAGTATCCAATTCAGGTGAGCCTCCTAAGGAACAAAGCAGAATGCAGAAAAATTAAGAGTGGGTCTAGGGAATAAAATAGAGATATGCACCAGAGTATGATGATGTGTCTGGGAAAGAATATACAAATACTTTTAAAATTACTAGACAATAAACCTGAGATGACACTAATACAGGTAAATCTCATTTAATGGTAATATATTCCAAGAAATGCATCATTAGGTGATTTTGTGGCTGTGCAGACACCAAAGAGTGTACTTTATACAAACCTAGACAGCGTAGCCTACTACATACCTAGGCTATATCGTACAGCCTATTGCTCCTGGGCTACACACCTGTGCAGCATGTCACTGTGCTGAATACAGTAGGCCAATGGTCCCCAACACCCAAGCCATGGACCAGCACCGGTTCGTGTCCTGTTAGGAACTGGGCACAAAGCAGGAGATGAGTGGCTGGCCAGCCGAGCATTACTGCCTGAGCTCCGCCTCCTGTCAGATCAGCAGCAGCATTAGACCTTCACAGGAGCACAAACCCTATTGTGAACTGCCCATACAAGGGATCTAGGTTATGTTCTCCTTATGAGAATCTAACTAGGCTGGGTGCTGTGGCTCACGCCTGTAATCCCAACACTCTGGGAGGTCGAGGCAGGTGGATCACAAGGTCAAGACAATCCTGGCCAACATGGAAACCCCGTCTCTACTAAAAATACAAAAATTAGCTGGGTGTGGTGGCGCATGCCTGTAGTCCCAGCTACTCGGGGGACTGAGACAGGAGAATCACTTGAACCCGGGAGGCAGAGGTTGCAGTGAGCCGAGATTGTGCCACTGCACTCCAGCCTGGCAACAGTGGGAGACTCAGTCTAAAAAAGAAAAAAAAAAGAAAAAAAAGAATCTAACTAATGCCTGATGATCTGAGGTGGAAGAGTTTCAGCCCAAAGCCATCCCCACTCCGTGGAAAAATTATCTTTCACAAAACCAGTCCCTGGTGTCAAAACTTTGGGGCCCACTGCTGTAGGCAGTTATATCACAGTAGTAATATCTAAACATGGAAAAGATACAGTAAAAACACAGTACATTGGGAGACCGAGGGGGGCGGATCACCTGAGGTTAGAAGTTCGAGACCAGCCTGACCAACATGGAGAAACTCCGTCTGTACTAAAAATACAAAATTAGCTGGGTGTGCTGGCGTGGGGCTGTAATCCCTGCTACTCGTGAGGCTGAGGCAGGAGAATCACTTGAACCCCGGAGGCAGAGGTTGCAGTGAGCCAAGATCGTATCATTGAACTCCAGCCTGGGCAACAAAATAAAACTCCTTCTCAAAAAAAACAAAGAAAAATATATATATATATATTACAAAATTTAAAGAGAGTGGTACACCAGTAAAGGACATTTAGCATGAACAGAGGTTGCAGGACTGGCAGATGCTCTGATGAGTCAGGGAGTACTTGGTGAGTGAATGCGAAGGCCTAGGATATTACTGTACATAACTATAGACTTTATATGCACTGTACACTTAGGCTACACTAAATGTATTTAAATTTTTTCTTTCTTTAACAAGTTCATCTTAGCTTATCATAACTTTATAAACTTTTAATTTTTTTAATTTTTTGATTCTTTGATAATAACACATCTTAAAACAAAAACACATTGAACAGCTGTACAGAAATACTTTATATCCTTATTTGATAAGCTTCATTTATTTTGATTTTTTATGTTTTAAACATTTTTGTTAAAAACTAAGATACAAACACACACACTAGCTTAGCCCTGTAAGGGTCAGGATAATCAATATCACTGTCTTCCATCTCGAAATCTTGTCCAAGTGAAAGGTCTTCAGGGTCTTCAGTGGCAATAACATACATGCAGCTGTCATTCTCTATGATAACAAGGCTTTCTTCTGGAAGAACTCGTGGAAGACCTTCCTGAAGCTGTTTTATAGTTAATTTTTTTTAATGAGTAGCAGTACTACACTCTAAAATATGAATAAAATCTATAGTATTATACATACTGTTGATCCTTGAACAGTGCAAGGGTTAGGGGACCAGCTCCTGTGCAGTTGAAAATCCATATATAATTCTGGGCTATCCCCAAACTTAACTTAATATACGATATATATCATATATAATATATATGATATATATCGTATATATTACATATGATATATATCGTATATAATATATACGATATATATCATATATAATATGTATGATATATATTATACACAATATGTATGATATATATTATACACAATATGTATGATATATATTATACACAGTATGTATGATATATATTATACACAGTATGTATGATATATATTATACACAATATGTATGATATATATTATACACAATATGTATGATATATATTATATACAATAAGTATGATGTATATTATATACAATATGTATGACATATATTATATACAATATATGATATATATTATATACTATATGATATAGATTATATACAATATATATGATAGAGATTATATCCAATATATATGATAGAGATTATATACAATATATATGATACAGATTATATACAATATATATGATACAGATTATAAACAATATATATGATACAGATTATATACAATATATATGATACATTAGATACAATATATATGCTAGATTATATACAATATATGATATAGATTATACACAATATATATGATATAGATTACATACAATATAAATGATATAGATTATATACTATATATGATATATATGATATATCATGGTATATCATATATATACCATGGTATATCATATATATATCATGGTATATCATATATATGATATATACGGTATATCGTATATATGATATAGATGATATATCGTATATATGATATAGATGATATATCGTATATATGATATAGATGATATATCATACCTGATATAGATGATAAATCATATATGATATAGATGATAAATCATACATGATATAGAAGATATATATCATATATGATATAGATGATATATATCATATATGATATATCATATATTATATAATAAATGAAAAATATTATCTATAATAAAAGATATATATTACATAATAAATGATATATATTATGTAAAATATATGATATATATTATATATTATATCTGATATATATTATATATTATATATTATATCTTTTATCTGATATATATTATATATTATATCTGATATCTGATATATTATATATTATATTATATATAATTATATTATATTATATTATATATTATATATAAAATTTATGATATATATTATATATTATATATAATTTATGATATATATTATATATTCTATATAATTTATGCTATATATTATATATTCTATATAATTTATGATATATATTATATATTCTATATCATATATATTATGGTATATTATATATAATTATATTATATATTATATTATATATAATATACCATAATATATCATATATTATATAATATATAATATAATATAATATAATATAATCATATATAATATATAATATATTATATTATAAAATATATTATATTATGATATGCTATATATTACATATTACATTATACAATATTTTATATAATATATAATGTATATTATATATTATACTTTATTATATTACATATATAATTATACATTATTATATTTCATATATAATTATATATATTATATTATATATAATATCTGTATAATAATATATATTATACATAATATTATATATTATGTTATATATAATATTATGTATAATATATATTATACAGAATATTATATATTATATTAAATATATTATATATTGTATTAAATATAATATTATATATTATATTAAATATAATATTATATATTATATTAAATAAAATATTATATATTATATTAAATATAATATTGTATATTATATTAAATAAAATATTATATATTATATTAAATATAATATTGTGTATTATATTAAATATAATATTATATATAAGGGATGCAGGATGTAAAAGGAAATTATATATATGTTATATATTATATATATTATATTATATATAATATATATATATATTTGGGGGTGCCCTATTTCCTATCTCATAACTTATTTTAAGAAGCACAGCATAATAATGTGTGGACTTGGGATTCAGTTTTTGAAACGAAACACTGAGCCTTCGATGACCTTCCTGTACATCTGAAAGCACACCTGTCTGCATGGCAGCAGTTGGACCTCACAGTGTGGATTGTGCCTTCACCCTGGAATGTTTATGCCCTATCGCCATGGTGATGGGATTAGGGATCTGCTGCCCTTGGTCCTAAGTGCCACTATCTGTGCTGAGTTTTTCAAAGGTCAGAGCAGATTGAACCATTGTGGTTTCATTTTCCCTGATTTTGATTTTTCTTATGGGGAACCTGTGTGGCTGCATTCAAGGTATGTTCATACTGGCCTGTCAAATGCGATCTTTTCAAATTACTAGTTAATGCTTTCAAAATATGTTATATAAAAAATTAGCCTCCGTATTTTCCATATGCAGTTATAAATATGTTTCATGATTATGTTTTATTCCTCAATTTATATATTTGATTATTGTACCAAGCAGAGTATCTTTGAAATTTTTCTTCATTTAAAAAATATGTATCTTGACTCAGGCCTGTAATCCCAGCACTTTGGGAGGCCAAGGCAAGAGGATCACAAGGTGAGGAGATCAAGACCATCCTGGCCAATACAGTGAAACCCTGTCTCTACTACAAATACAAAAAATTAGCCAGGCATGGTGGCAGCTGGTGTAGTCCCAGTGTGGTGTAGCCCCAGCTACCTGGGAGGCTGAGGCAGGACAATCGCTTGCACCCGTGAGGCAGAGGTTGCAGTGAGCCAAGAAGGCGCCATTGCATTCCAGCCTGTGCAACAGAACAAGAATCTGGTCTAAAAAAAATTATACATATATAATGTATATTATATGTACTATATATTATATATATCATATAATATATAATATATATAAAATATAATATACATTATATATAAATAATATATATTATATGTCACGTTATATATATAATATATTATATATAATATATTATATATAATATACATTATGTACATAATATATTATATATAATATATTTACATAATATACTGTATACATAAGATATATTATATATAATATATTATATAAATGTATTATATATAACATATTATATATAATATATTATATACCTAATATATATTATATATAATATATTATATATAATAAATATATTAGGTATATAATATTTACTATATATTATATATAATATATGTAATATAACATATATAATATATGACATATATAATATATATATTTTATATAGAATATATAATATAGATAATATACATATTATATAATATGTATCATATATTACATAAAATATATATCATATATAATATATATAACACATCATATATATTATATATAATATGTATGAAACATATTACATAATAAATGACATATATAATATATGATATATATTACATATAATATATGATATATATTACATATAATATATGACATATATTATATAGTATGTGACATATATTACATAAAATCTGTGACATATATTATATGTAATATATGATATATAATATATAATATATGATATATAATATATAATATATGATATATGATATATGATATATAATATATGATATATGATGTATAATATATAATATATGATATATATGATATATAATATTATATTACATATAATTATATTATATTACATTATATTATATATATCATAATATATTATATAATATATAATATATATCATAATATATTATAGAATATATAATATATAACATAATATCTTACATAATATATAATATATTATATAATATATATCATAATATCTTACATAATATATAATATATTATATAATATATATCATAATATCTTACATAATATATAATATATTATATAATATATATAATATCATCACATTCCCATAAATATATTATATATTATATTATTATAAAATACATAAGCCTATATAATGTTATATATAATATAATGTTATATAATATTATAGAATATAATATTATATAATATAGAATATTATATTATATAATAATATATGATATTATTTTATATAATAATATATGATATTATTTTATATAATAATATATGATATTATATTATATAATAATATATGATATTATATTATACAATAATATATGACATTGTATTATATAATAATATATAACATTGTATTATATAATAATATATAATATTGTATTATTTAATAATATATAATATATTATATAATAATATATATTATATTATATATTAATATATAATATTATATAATATAATATTATATAATGTTATATAATAATATATAATATAATATTATATAATATTATATAATAATATATGATATATTATATAATAATATATGATATATTATATAATAATATATAATATTATATTTAATAATATATAATATTATATAATAATATATAATATTATATAATAATATATAATATTATACTATATAATAATATATAATATTATACTATATAATAATATATAATATTATACTATATAATATTATATAATATTATATTATATAATATTATATAATATTATATTATGTAATAATATGTAATATTATATTATGTAATAATATGTAATATTATATTATGTAATAATATATAATATTATACCATGTAATAATATATAATATTATACCATGTAATAATATATAATATTATATCATGTAATAATATATAATATTACATCATGTAATAATATATAATATTACATCATGTAATAATATATAATATTATATCATGTAATAATATATAATATTATATTATGTAATAATATATAATATTATATTATGTAATAATATATAATATATTAGATTATAATATACATTATCTTATAATATATTATTGTATAATATATTATATATTATATTATATATAATATTATATTATATATAAAATATATATTATTTTATACAATATATTACATATAATATATTATATAAGATATTATATATATCTTATATAATATATTATATGTAATATATAATTTATATTATATATTATCTTGTATATATAATTATACATATTATATTATATGTAATAATTATATATAATTATATATTATATTATACGTAATAATTATATATAAGTATATATTATATTATATGTAATAATTATGTATAATATATATTATATTATATGTAATAATTATATATAATTTATGTATTATATTATATGTAATAAATACACATAAATATATATATTTTATTATATATAATATATATAATTGTATATTTTATTATATATAATAATTATTGATTATATTATATATTAATTATATTTTATATTATTTTTAATATTAATTGATATTAATTAATAATAAATTTAAAATATTAATTATTATTTTATATATTATATTATATTATATATTATATTATATATTATATTACATTATATATAATATATGTTATATTATATTCTTATATATTATAATATATAATATATTATAATATATATTATATTATATTCCTATATATTATAATATATGATATATTATAATATATATTATTATCTAATATAATATATTATATTATATTATATTATATATATTATATTATGTATAATATATAATTATGTATTATATTATATATAATTATATATAATTATATATATATTATATTATATTTTATTATTATATATATTCATATATATTATATTATATATAATACATATTATAGTATACGTAATATTATATATAATATAAGGATGCAGGATGTAAAAGGAAATTATATATATGTTATATATATAATATATATTATATTATATATAATTATATGTATATATATTTGTGGGTGCCCTATTTCCCATCTCATAACTTATTTTAAGAAGCCAGCATAATAATGTGTGGGCTTGGGATTCAGTTTTTGAAACAAAACACTGAGCCTTTGATGACCTTCCTGTACTTGTAAAAGCCCACCTGTCTGCATGGCAGCAGTTGGACCTCACAGTGTGGATTGTGCCTTCACCCTGGAATGTTTATGCCCTATCGCCATGGTGATGGGATTAGGGATCTCCTGCCCTTGGTCCTAAGTGCCACTATCTGTGCTGAGTTTTTCAAAGGTCAGAGCAGATTGAACCATTGTGGTTTCATTTTCCCTGATTTTGATTTTTCTTATGGGGAACCTGTGTGGCTGCATTCAAGGTATGTTCATACTGGCCTGTCAAATGCGATCTTTTCAAATTACTAGTTAATGCTTTCAAAATATGTTATTTAAAAAATTAGCCTCTGTATTTTCCATATGCAGTTATAAATATGTTTCATGATTATGTTTTATTCCTCAATTTATATATTTGATTATTGTACCAAGCAGAGTATCTTTGAAATTTTTCTTCATTTAAAAAATATGTATCTTGACTCAGGCCTGTAATCCCAGCACTTTGGGAGGCCAAGGCAAGAGGATCACAAGGTGAGGAGATCAAGACCATCCTGGCCATTACAGTGAAACCCTGTCTCTACTACAAATACAAAAAATTAGCCAGGCATGGTGGCAGCTGGTGTAGTCCCAGTGTGAATTGGGATTCAGTTTATTCAGTTTATTCCCAAATTCCAAATTATATATATATATATATAATTTCCTTTTACATCCTGCATCCTTCAACGTTCCATCCCCCACCCCACAGATTAAGTTATTCCCCAGGGGAGAATATGGCAAAGTCTATTTTAATGCAGTTTTTAACCCAATTAAGAACCTATGAAATCATTACTTTCCAAAACTTTGGAACAAAGCCACAGTAGTATGGATCCGTTGGAGGCTTTTCACACAATAAAATGTACATCTCTTTGTTTTTAACATGTTTTTCCCTTCCTCTCTTCTTTTTTTGTGAAATGTGTATTTACTTTAATATATTTGTAGTAAGTCACTTCCATGCACATATTAATTTTTTAAAGTAATAAGTATGTGTATTGTCTACGTGTGAAAGAAAACACACATTTATTTTTATGCCTTGGAAGTTATCCAGAATCATGGAATTGTCAATCACAGTCAATCACCCAACCTACTCACCTTTCCAGTGTAATCTTAGTCAAATTTTTTTTTTGTTATCCAATGAGATGCAGTATTTCAACTCAGAAAGATAAATAGAGTGAATTTATAGAGACTATTAACTAAGAACATACAGTTTTATTTATACTCAGAAGCAAGTAGATTATGTACATATATATGAAGATAAAAATTAAAAGGATAATTGTGTAAATTTGCATGTAGAGGGCTTTGAAAACCTGTTTACTTGTTAATGCTGTTTTGATGTATTGTGTCTTTGTTCTCCCGACCCATCGTCCAGAGCTCTCTGCAGGAGCTAAGTGCTCATCAGTTCCATGACTTGGAAACTGTCTAAGTTTAGAGGCACTTGTATTTGTTAGTAAATAAGGCAAGATGATATTGTTTCACAGGTTTTAGTGCCGAAGACTGAATAGATAAGCTGCTCCACCCAGTACACTGGTGTTCATTTCATGGTCATCTCATCTGTTAACCATGGATATAAAACATTTATCTTCAATGATGGGGTTTTACCATGTTGGTCAGGCTGGTCTCGAACTCCTGACCTCAAATGATCCACCCACCTCCACCTTCCAAACTGCTGGGATTACAGGTGTGAGCCACTATGCCTGACTGATTATTTTCATAACCAAGAAAAGAAATAAATACAATTAATGCTGGTGCATGGTATTAAATCTAGTTTTTAAAAAATTCACACATAAACAAGGCAGAACCCTATACCCTCCATGATAAATGCAGTAGCAGTGTATGTGGGTCTGTGGAGGTTGAAAGGGACTTGGTAGATGTCAAGAAGGTAGTGGCAGTCCTGCTGGGCTTTTAAAGGGTCTGAAGAAGTGACAGGATGCTGTGGTTGAATCCTAGCATGTATTTTAGCATTTGTTCATTTGGAGTTGATTATTTCACGTTGCTTTCATTTGCCATTACCTGGAAAGCCAAGGGCTCTACTCTCATTTCCTTGCTGCTCTTTCTTTGCCTTCCTTGGTCCGTGAAGAAGATGGTCCAGGAGAAGCTCATTCCATGCTTGTTAACCAGGCACGCCCCTAAGTTCCAGTCCCTGAGTCATTCATGAGTAGCACTGCCAATGAACTGACAGCCATGCTGTGTCCCTCCACATCCCCTAGGTGACTCGAAGAAGCCTTCCAAAAAGCGTGTGAAAAGGAAGCCCTACTCTACTACCAAGGTAAAGTAGCCTGTCTTTGCCTAAGATGTAAATGTTGTTTTCTTGGATCCTTTATTTTTCAGTTGATATCAGCTATGGGAAAATTCTCCACTACATTATAGGTGTTAGATAATATTTCCTTGGGGATGGAGGAGGTGTATTTTACCAACTGACACCTGATTCCAGAGGACGTGCAAAATTGGCAGTGTCAGATAGTACACTGGGTGTTAAGGGATGTTTTCTTCAGGAACAAGCTTTCCACTTTAGATAAGAATTCTGCAATTGCTACTCAAAAATTACCTAGACAGAAACATTCTTCAAGAAAAGCTCCTGTGCTTTCCTAAGGGAACTCTACTCTAGAGTTGGGGCTTTTGACTTGAACCTTATTTCCAGTCTTGGTTACCCAGAGTTTCCAAGTGAACAAAAGACCTGTGTGAGCCATCCATAGCATAGCCTGATTCTCAGAGTGTTTTCCTTCTCTAATTACAGGTGACTTCAGGGAGCACATTCAATGGTACGTATTCTGGAATCACTCACTGGTTGTTAGAAAAGGATTCTACAGGAAATCTGGAGCTTAACTGCTGGCTTTTGTCTGGAGAGCCTCCATGATCCAAGACATCTGGTGGGAATGAGGATGTAGGGTATAGTAAAAGAAACTGGTTTTCCTGGTGACATACTCTTTTTATCTATGTATAGTTTCTGGGAACATGTTCACATTAGGTTGTGTGTGGGTATGTGTGTATTAGGGCGGGGGTGGGGTGAGGTGGTCTGTGTGCAAGTCTGCATGATTTGCTTGTGAATGTGTGTCTATGTGTGTTTCCCCTAGGAAAAAAATGTTGTGTTTACCCAGCACAACTCTCAGTGCCATGTTTCTTAATTTAACAAATCAGACCACATACTTTACTTACATTAGTTCACACCTCATCATCATCATGCCCATATGTTGTGAGCTTGTTTATTGAGCCCACATGCCAGATGGAGAAACTAAGCCACATAAATAAATGTGCCCTGGTTCACTTGCTGCATAGTGAAGAGTCAAAATGTTTACTCAAACGGTGCTAATGTTGAAGGCCTGAACTACAACCTCTATTTATCAGCCAGTGAAGAGATCACTATTCACCATGCAAGGGAGTTCCAGCACCCTCTATGCCTGGAATTACCCACGCCTGCAGAGATCCCAAACGCCATCCCTCACATAAGACAGCCTCATGATCTCATAATCCAGGTAGCTATGTAGACATCTTCCTGCAGGTGTCACATAGTCCTTAGTGTGAAACCAACATAGAAAGCCCATGTTTCTGATCAAATCACAGGTTCTGAAACACTAAGGGAGGCACTAAGTAGGACAACGTGGTGCCTGCGTGTCATAGCTGGGTCTCCTCAAGACATGGATCAAGTCCAGTAAGAATTGGGGAGATGCTTTAGAGTCTTGATGGAGTTATCACCACAAGCCCTCTGAGCTACACACTTTAGGGATCATGACCATTAAGTACTCAAATTACCATTTGGTTGTTATCCGGGTATCCGTCGTCCTTGTGGCAACCCTCTTGTGAAGCTGGTGTGGACAGCCTCAGTGCTGGAGCTGTGCCTGCCTTCTGAGTGGACCCTTTCTGTGTTAGCAGGTGGGTACAAGCGTGGGGGTCAGCACACTCAGTGGATTTACACACACAGCGTTGAAGAGTAAGGCTGGGCTTCGTTATTTATACATTTTCAATAAATGATGATCTTCATAACATAAAATCAATGATGTAGTACACTAGAATACTGTCCCTAGTATTGAATCTTGTCTCTCAGCAAAGGGTTGCTTAAAGTCACGTGACAGATTCCATTCAACTGATGACACATGCTGTAGCAGCAGTTAAAGCAGTCATTTGAAAAGGCTTTTACTATAAACTTATGTGTGAGCCTGAAGTGGGGGATAAAAGAGGTGATTAGCTCCCCTGTGCCATGTTTCTGTTATGTGCGTGGTGGAGGAAAATTACACAGGAAGGTGATGGAGAGAACAGAGCAAAGGATTGGACAGGTCCATTGAACCCATAAGACTATGGTGAGGTTAGTGAATGAGACTGGTCATTTTAGGTCAAATTTTACCCAGAGCTGGTACAGCCACTGCCGATTCTTAGCCAGACCTTATTGCAGGCAGCTCTGATCAATAGTCAAGGAGGCAGTGGGGGTTGCAGACTTTATTCATTAAATCACCAAAGCACCAGCCCACACGGCCACTTTTCCAGTTAATTCACAGTAGCTTGCATATTCAGGTTTGATCAGTGGAAGGGAAGTTACTCTTTGCAGACTCATTTTTGACAATCATTTTGCGGTGTCAGAAGGTCTGAGCAGCCTCGGGAGGCAAGCAGTCCCTGGTCCCTCAGTGTAGTCACTGGAGGAGACAGTCACTGAGAGGCAGCTGGCAGGGTGAAGGGAAAGGGGAGGCAGGCCACAGAGATGACAGTCTTTAAGCTGTCATACTGGTGAGGTCAAGGATCTGAAAGAGGAAGGAGAATTCTTTATCATTAAGGACCTGTCCTTATCTCAGGCATTTCCTCCAGAGCATCACCTTTGTCCACCCACACACCTTGGGCTAGGAGGACTGGAGAAAGACAGTGAGGGGTCTCTTGGGTCTCTGGCACAGGGCGTGATGAAGAGGTGGCAGTTTTTCAGGAATCTCTCTCTCTAGGGAACCAAATACATTTCCCATCTCAGGTCCTTCACTCAGCGGGGTTGAGGTTCTGCTCGTCACTTATCATCTCTGAATGTCAGCACCCTCAAGTGTAAAATCTCAGCCACAGCCCCTCCTCTGCACCCCCTGCAGGGCTGATGTTCTCCATAAACCATAAGGCGTCATGCCCACGGAAAAGCCGAACAGGAAAGCATGCTCCACTGCCCCGGAGCCATCCAAGTTCCCCCTCCATATTCCGCCACTGCTAAGTGTCCAGCTTATTCCTCCTGGCCTGTAGTAAACACTTAGAGAACATTACTGAAGTACCAGTCCTCTCTAAGGTTTTCCTGTATTTAGTGATTTTTTAGCCCTGTACTGTGATACTAAGAAGTAGGGCCTAAATAGGGCCTAAAAAGTATTGCTAAAATTACATTATGACAGTGCAGAGAACTGAGGGCAGAGGGAAGACATGAGCTTGCCAGGTCCACATGGCTTAGTGGAATTTGAATCCGGGCCCCCACTCTGCACCAGCCCTGCACTCACAGTCATCCGGCTGTGTTCCCCTCTCCAGGAAGGCACTGCCCACGCAGTCTGTCTGATAGAGGTGTTGAGTGCTCACTGAACTCCGTGATCTTCCTGAAACCCAACTTTGATTCAGTGGGCTCTGCTTGGAAGCCTGTAAAGAAAAGGATCATAAGTTTAAACTTAGAACAGATTATCACTATTTTCCCTCTGGCCTTCTGTCAGCAAGATGTCAACAGCCCTATCTATTGTCAATGCATTAACCAGCGTCTTCTCTGATAGAGAATACAAGAAGATATGCTGTGCACACCAACCAGTGTAGGAGACCTCATGGCTCCCGGGTAAAGAAGAAGAGGTACCCACAAGAAGGTACTGTGGAAGTTCATTAATTAAGTTGATTCAAGAATTGCAGTTGCGGGGAGTATTCAGTGTCCCATATGTAAGAGGAAACTATGAAGAGACTAAGCCATATTTTTTAATGTGTCAGGATTCTAATTTGCCTGGTCAGTAAATATTGCTACCACCACAAAAGTAAATATCTACTTAAAAGTCAATTTTGGTTCATGTTTAATGATAGACAATGTTTCAAGCTAATGTCTAGAACTTACCTGGTTGTTAAACAAAAGCATAGATCTCCCTGAAAGAGTGGTGCTATATTATTACTTTTCAATTAATATATTTCTTTAGAGAATTTTAAATTGACATAAAAACTGAGCATATGGCCGGGTGTGGTGGCTCACACTTATAATCCCAGCACTTTAGGAGGCCAAGGCAGGCGGATCATCTGAGGTCAGGAGTTGGAGACCAGCCTGGCCAACATGGTGAAACCCCATCTCTACTAAAAATACAAAAAAATTAGCCGGGTGTGGTGGCAGGCGCCTGTAATCCCAGCTACTCAGGAGGCTGAGGCAGGAGAATCGCTTGAACCCAGGAGGCAGAGGTTGCAGTGAGCCAAGATCATGCCATTGCACTCCAGCCTGGGTGACGAGTGAAACTCCATCTCAAAATAAATAAATAAATAAATAAATAAAAATTGACTATATAATACACGAAGTTCCCATATTATTCTGACTCCTCACCCTCACTTCCTAATTTCACCTATTAGTAACATCTTACATTACTGTGGTACATTTGCTAGAATAATGAGAACATATTGATACATTATTATCTGAAGTCTACATTTGCATAATGTTCATTCTTTCTGTTATACATATATATGAATTTTGAAATATTTAAAACATTATGTTCACCCTTATGGTCTCATAAAGAAAATGTTCACTTCCCTAAAAATCCTCTCTTCTCATTAATCTCTGTCCTCTTTCTCCAGAAACCTTGGCAACTATTAATATTTTTACTATCGCTTCAGCTTTGCCTTTTCCAGAATGTCATATAGTTGGAATCATATATTATGTAGTTTTTTCAGATGAATTTATTGCACTAAATTGATGTATGCTTTAGCTGCTTTCATGTCTTTTTTATGCCTTAATGGCAAAAAATGGCACATTAAATCACCAAATAATATTGCATTAAATGAATTTTTGTCTTTTTATTCACCTGTTGAAGAATTCGGTAGATTTCATGAGAGAAACCATCTGGGCCTGGTGCTTTCTTTTTCGGAATGCTCTTAATGTGAATTCAACTTATTTAATAGACATAAGTTTATTCAAATTAGGATTCTAGCGTGACCTTGGGAAGATTGCCTTTCAAGGAATTGATACATTTCACTGAGGTTATCAGACTGCGGTCATAGAACTGTTCATAATATTCCTTTTAATGCCTAACAGTTCAGTAGAGATGGCTCCTCTTTTATTTCTGAAATTGGTCATTTGTGTTATCTTCTTTTTCTTGGTTAGCCTGCATATCAATTCATTCATTGTAATGAGCATATCAAAGAACCAGCTTTTGGTTTTATTGATTTTCTGATGATTTCAGTGTTTTAATTTTATTGATTTCTGTGATGTTGTTTATTACTTTTACTTGCTTTCCATTGCATTCCTCTATTTTCTATAGTTCCCTAATTGAAACATGATATTACTGATTTTAGGTCTTGTGATTTTTAGTATATTGCATCCAATGCTGTAGATTTCCCTCTAAGGACTGCTTTTGCTACATCCAGAAATCTTGCCAAGTGACATTTTCTTTTAATGTAGTTAAAAGTATTTTTAATTTTCTATTGAGACTTCTTCTTTTACCCATGAGTTATTTAAAAGTGCATTGCTAATTTGCAAATATTTGGGGATTTTGTGGCTCTTTTACAGTTGTTGATTTTTTGTTGTCAGGTGTGTGTTGCAAAAGCAGTCGTCTACCTCATCTTGCCACCACCCAAGATGGCCCAGGATGTGGGCTCTCCCTGAGTGAATCTTTGGCAATCTGCCAACCTGATGTGTTCGGCCTCCTTCTTTAGTCTGAGCTTGCCTTCTGCTTAGAAAGGGCCATTCTCAGTTCTGGCAGGGAGTTTTCCCAACATTGAGAAGGTGGCATTCTTACTCCCCACTGCAGCCTGCACCTCTGACCGGTGGTCAGCAGACAGGACAGAGGTCCTCATTAGACAGAGTTCAGCAGGGTCTCTGACCAAAGTGCATCTTCAGAGTCTGCACCTACCCACTGTGACCACGGGCAGGCTCTGAGTCCTAAAGCAGGAGGAACTGTGCGACCATCCTGATTGGAAATTTGTGAGGATCACCGTGTTACTCAAGTAAGGTCTTTGGAAAGTGTCGTATTACTACTGTTTGTGAACTGCTTGTTGGTGGCCTGGCTGAGCCACACACTTTATGAAAACCAGGACCCCTCAGCTGGTGTGGGTGTCTATGCAGCCTGAGACCCTCATGTGAACAGCCTCGTGGCAGCTGTCTTTGCCCCTTGCCACCATCAGTGCCTCCTTGTTCCTGGGCACTGCTTTCTCTGATGGTGCTCCATTGTTTTCCTGCACCTCAGTGTCTACAGCTGGATGTCTCTTCCACAGTCTAGGCGAGGGGGCATCAATGGCAGTTCTGCTGTGGCACTGCCCTCCTTCTTAGCTTGTCTTGCTCTGTCTTAGGCTCCCTCAAAGATCCCACCCTTCGGGTTCTTCCACAAGTTTCTTATTGAAATCCGAGCAGAAAACTATGACCAATATGACCAATCCTATACCCACTGAAGACATGAATGAAGAATTAAAACAATTCTCCATGGACTCTACCATATAGATCCCTAGAAGTAATTTCTAAAAAAAAAAAAAATCAAGGAAGATGTAATAGTTTTCCATAAATTAGAATACCCTACATGTACAATTAAATGAAATGGCTAGTATAGTCTTGAAACCAAATCCAGATAAGGTAAATTAAATTCTGTGATATTTTAAAATACTTTAAATTCTGACTAATGTGAGTTAATCTCAACATATGAAATAGTAGATTAACATTGAAAATGCAATAAATAAAATTAGCTACCTCAAGAGTTTAATGGAAAAAAATGTGATTATTGCAATAGATTCAGGAAATTCATGAATAACATTCACCCTATATTTGTAGGACAACTATCTGATTAACTTTAAGTGACCTGTGACAACCACTTGAATTAATGCTGCTTTCACAGCATATCTCTTGGCTTGTTAAAAACCCGACAAGAATTTCCGTAACATTATTTTTAACACCTATATTGGGTGTGAACCCACCATAAAGTTTGCCCACTGAAAAGGTCTAGAATTTGATGCTTTATTAAATTGATACTGTGTGCACCCAACACCACGATCTAATTTAAATATGTTTCCCTCACCCAAGTTCTCTCTTGCGCACTGGCAGTTAATCCCCACTCCCATCTCCAGCCCTAAGCAATACTGCTGTGACATTCCATCTCCATAAATTTCCCACTTGCTTTATAGAAATGGACATATATATATATTTGGAATCTGACTTCCCTCATTTAGCATACTATGTTTGAAGTTAATTGACGTGTTAGCACGTGCTGGTCATGTGTTTTCCTTCATAGTCTGCTGTGTTTATTCATACAGATAGTGTTTATTCATTTATCAGTTAATGGACATTTAATTGTTTTGTTATTTTCTTTGATGAGTAATGTAGCTTTGTGCATTCATATACAGTCATGTAATGCATAATGACATTTTGGTCAAAAAAAATTTTTTTTTTTCTGAGACCCAGGCTGGAGTGCAGTGGCACAATCTCGGCTCACTGGAACCTCCATCTCCCAGGTTTAAGCAATTCTCATGCCTCAACCTCCCGAGTAGCTGGGACAACTGGCACACACCACCACGCCTGGATAATTTTTGTATTTTCAGTAGAGACAGGATTTTGCTGTGTTGGTCAGGCTAGTCTCAAACTCCTAGCCTCAGGTGATCCACCCACCTCTGCCTCCCAAAGTGCTGGGATTATAGGCATGAGCCACCACACCCAGCCTAATTTTTTTAAGAAAGAAGGGAACTATTTTCTAAATTACTTTTGCCAATTTATATTCCTACCATGATGCATAGCACTAATTTCACCGTACAATGTATGGTAGGCCCCAATATGTAAGAAATGATGAAAGTAACACATAAAGATTAGTATAAGACAAATGAGATTATCGTTGTTGCTATCATCTTTGTCAAATTCTGAAAACAATCTGAGTATATTTTTATATAAATATGCTTGGCAACATAGCTGAAAAAAGCATTATCAGTTACATTTATCAGTAACAAAGACATAAATTTGAAGGGGGAAAAACACTTGTACTAACAATGCAATGTCAGAATTAACATAAAAATTCTGCTGGTCACTTTGGAATATTTAATTGCCTGGGGCAGTGTTTAGTAGACACATGAGCATCTATGGAGCACCCAAAGTAGGGGAATCAACAGAACTTGGGTTTCAAAAGTTATCTGGGTTTAGAGCGTGAAACTTTGTTAGAGGACACACACCTTGCATGAGTGAGGTGCCTTGGTGTGTGTGGACGTATCATTATGCTTGGAGGTACAGCATAATGGTGGCTTCCTCCAGAAAGGGACATTTGGGGTAGATTCATGCCATCTAGACAACACAGCCTGATGTGGCATGGACATGAATGGAGGTGAAATGGTCAGTAGTTGAGAGGATCAGTCCTGACAAGGGCCGAGGTGAAAAACCTGGGAACCCCTTCAGGTGCAAAGTCTTCAGTTGAAAAAGGAGGTGGTCACAGGAAATACTGAGATGGGTCAGCAATGCATGGGAGACAGAGTTCTTGGCCCTGCAGGGTGAGTAGTGTGGATTCTCAAGTTTTCTCCTCTCTCCATTAATTTCTTTCCCAATGCAGATGACTTCCATCATACAGTCTTCAGCAACCTTGAAAGATTGGACAAGCTTCAGCCCACTCTTGAAGGTAAAGGAAGGCAGCTAACAAGACTGGCATCTGGGCTTGGCTGTGCATGTTTTCTATCGTGGGGAAATATATATAACACATTATTTATCATTTGAACCTTTTAACCAAAGTGTGCACTCCGTGGCATTCAATATATTCACAGGGTTGCATAACCAACACCACTATCTACACCCACAATTTTGATGATTTCTTACAAAACCTTGTCCACAATAAGCAATATAGCGCCTTCCCCCTATTTCCAGCCCATGGTGATTCCTATCCCACTCTCTCGTATGAATTTGACTATTCTAGGCACTTCATGTAATTACAATTATACAATATATTCCTTTTGTGTCTGGCTTATTTCACTAAGCATAATGTTCTCAATGTCCACCCATGTTGTATCATCTATCAAAATGATGTTCATTTTTTACAGATGGATGATGTAGCATTGCATGCAGACCACCTTGCTTTTATTACATTCATTTGTTCACTGATGGTTGGATTATTTCCACCTTTTGGCTCCTGTGAAAAGTGATGCTACAAACATTAGTATACAAACATCTGTTTGATTTCTGTTCTCTATTCTTTGGGGTGCCTAGGAGTAGAGTTCCTGGGTCCAACAGGGGTTCTATATTTAACCTTCTGAGCCACTGCAGACTGTTTTTCACAGTGGCTGCAACTTTATCCATTTCTACCATCAATGTATCAGGGTTACAATTTCTTTACATCCTTGTTCACACTTATTTTCCTTTAAATCATCCTAGTAGGTGTATATTGGTGGCTGCTTGTGTTTTTCATTTGCATTTCCCTAATGACTAATGATCCTGAGCAGCTTTTCCTGTGCTACTATTTGTGGCTATATCTTCTTTAGGGAAATATATGTTGAAGTCTTTTGCCCATTTTTAAAGAGTTGTCTGATTTTTATTTAGTTAGTTTGTTGCTGTAGATTTTTGAATATATCTTAAATATATTTAAAAATATTCTAAATTTTAGTCTCTTACAAGATAAATGATTTGCAAATATTTCCCCCTTTGTGTAGAACTTTAGATTCACAAACTTCATTAATTTGTATGAAATCCTCAGCAGTTGACCCCAAACAGATAAGACTGAAGCAGTATTTTAGGAATAGTTGAAAGTATGATCACCACAAAACATAAGCGTAATCAAATCCTGCAAGCTACATGTAAGGCACAATGACAAATAAGGCAGCAAAGGGCCATCTGGTGATTAGTTCACCACACTTGTTGCAACTGTTTGCGCTGCAGAGTTAAAACATACCAGCATTCAACCCATGTCTCCTGTCTTGAAGTAAACTGTCGTATGTTGGCTGGCCTGAACAAGCGTAGATATTCTCCATCCTCAGTTAATATGCATGCATGACAAAGAAAAGGAGGCCTGGATGAAAAAATATTGTGTGATTAATAATTATGCTTTAATTAATTTTAAAGGATATAATTTCAGTACTTCTAATTCTCCCATCAGCAGTTATAACAAAGGATTAGTGAATAAATACCATAGACTGTTTTGCCTAGAATTGAATCCAATCTGTCTATTAAACTTTGCTTTTATTCAAGTGCAAAATGCTAAAACACATAATAACTGCAGTGACAGCCACTGTGGATCCTCAGAGGTAAAAGTAGTCTTGGGACATAAATCCTGCAAGTAATATTGTTTTTACAGGTTTAGAAAACCATTTAGCTGGGTTTCAAACCTCACAGTGTGAGCAGTGGGACTCTCATCAAACTATAGCATGTGCTTCAGTACCATTTGTAGACTGACTCATTCCCATTGCCTTAAGTTGCCATCAGCAAAATGCCAGGGACTCTATTTCTTGCTCCTTAGCTCCTCGTTCTTGCCTGTCTTTCCACGAGGGAGGATTTTCTAGCAGGAGCTCAAGCTGTGCTTTTAATGAAACACATCCACACACACTGTCCTGTTGTCCACATTAAGCAGAGCTCCCTGAATAGCTCATGAACAAAAGCATCTATGACTAACTGTTGCTCTGTGTCCTCCTAGCCTCTGAGGAGTCTCTAGTTCACAAGGACAGAGGAGATGGAGAGAGGCCAGTCAACGTGAGGGTAAGGTTGCCTTGCTTTCTCTGAAATAGAAATGTTCCTTTCTTGTTGTCTTTCTTTTTCAACTGACTTTACATGTGAAAAGATGACAATGTCCATGACAGGTATTAAATGCAGTTTTCTGAGGGGGAGGAAGAAGTGACTCTTAGCAACTGATATGTAATCCAAAATGGCATTTAGCTATGATGGCTTCAGGTTGTAGACTGTATCCTTGGGGTCCTTGTCCTTGGAAGCAATGTCTTCTCCTTGGATTCAGTATTTTGCACTTGCCAACCTACGTGGACCTGAGAGATCCGCCATCCAGAAGCTGATGTCTTTTCCAGTGTGTATCCTACCCTTGTTTTGGAGGCCTTGAAGTTGACTACACTTTCTGATCAAGTTTTCAATATTCATTGAGAGAAACACAGCCTTGTGCAAACAATCCACAACATGACATACCCCTCAAAAAGCTTTGTTTCTGTATTGCAGGTGGTGCAGGTGGCCCCTCTGAGGCGTGAATCTAGTAAGTATTCTGGAATCACTTACCAAGAAAACAATCTGGATGCCAAGAAAGGTGTGGCATCCTTGCCTGGTTTCAATGTGAAGAGCCACCCTGATCCTGGGATTGTGATAGGAATAAGTATAGGGGAAGTGTTTTTTTAAAACCTGAATTCCCCAGGGAAAAATTATGGCCAAATTTTGAGGAAGCAGCTGTGCTCCCTTTTGGGTGGTGCTGAGTTGGGTGCTTGAGGATTGGTGGTGTCTTGTGTGAGGCTGCATCGTGTGGTGTGAATGTGTGTGTTTCTGTACAGGTGAGGCTGTGTGTTTTCTCAGGAGAGATTTCCCACTTATACAACCCAATCACCAGTGTCCACTTCTAACAATAAAATCCACCCCCGCTCTACTCTCTCTGTACAGTGACTCCTCCACCCTCACCAGAGCCATCCCCGGGTCTGCCTTATTATCCCCACTGCTCAGGTGGAGAACCTGAAGGGCCAAGGGAGTGGCCCCAGCTCCCGAGTTCCTGAATGAAACAGTGAAAACACGAACCCAGGAGTGTGGGCCAGTGCTGACGCTGACATGCACTTAGTCATGGGGTGTTCACCACCACACAGGGAGTCCAGCATTCATGTATAAACCCTAAGGCACCGAGCCCAAAAGGCCCCAGGCACTGCCCATCATCATAAAGTGGCCTCCGTGGTCACACAACCCAGGGCAGTTATAGGTTCATCTCCCCACGGACAGGCATAGTCATCAGTGTGTCAAAAGCACAAAGATCCCCAGGTGTTTGGCTCAGCTCACCGATCCTTTTTTTTTTTTTTAACTTTTCAGTTCAGGGGTACATGTGCAGGATGTGCAGGTTTGCTACATATATAAATGTGTGTCATGAGAGTTTGTTGTACAGATTATTGCATCACCCATATATTGAGCCTAATATCAGTTATTTTTCCTGATCCACCCTCTCCTCCCACCTCCCACCCTCCAGTAGGCCCCACGCTCACAAATTCTAAGAGGAGTGGGGGACCACAAAGGCCAGTGTGGCCCACTTCAGTTGTGAAGTTAATTTGCTCAGCAACTGGCCAAAGTCTATAAGGATGGGTGATGTATTTTAGTAGATTTAGTAATACTATCTTCCCAAGCCCTAAAATGCTCAAATCCTGCCAGCCAAAAATGGTGAGGAGGGACAGATAGGAACTCTGTGTGGCACTTGGTTATTAGCCTGGCTTCCATCCCTTAGTGGCAACTCTCTTGTATATGTGGGTTAAAGACCCTCAGCCTCAAGCCAAGCCTCCTCCATGAGGAGCCATCTCACTATTGACCGGCTAGTGCCGGGTATGGCCACCAGCCCAACTGAAACAAAATGTTGCTTTAAAACAAGTGTAAATCTCGTACATACAACAGGCAAATGCAGAAGCAGTGTGGTCTCGCAAGTTGTAAAGAGGACAGTCGCAATTTTGCTGGACTTCAACCTGGGTAGAAGACACGAGGGAACTCTGTCACTAAATCACGGCAGAGTTCAAGGCCGCTTGTAGACTATTTCGTGTTATAGAAGGTGGCCTTTAGCTACTAGGCAAAGGCCTCTGTTTCTCATTTCTTTCCTGTTCATCTCCTTGGTCATCCTTCTTCCGCAAGGGAAACGAGCCCAAGCAAAAGGCAGTTTCAATATTAATTTGACCGAGGTTTTGTGCAGTTAATTATCATCCAGGTAATCAGGTGCAACCCAGTCTGCCTAGCAGCCCCCCTATCTCTGCTCTGTGTTTTCATTTAATAAACATTTTGGTCTACTTACTATGTGCTAGATTTTCTCGAGACCAAGTAAATGAGATAGAATCTTTATGTTGGCAGCTAAGTTAGATTTCACATAACTGACAAAAATTAAAATTTCTGATTTCTTGTAAAAATATTTTGTATGTGTGAATGCATACTGAATGTAAAGTGGATAAAAAACTCACACTTGCACTCATGGAAGGCTTTTCATGAATTTGTCAATTTTTATTTTTTATATTTCCCCACTTCACTGGATAATGCATACCTGAACCTGGAAACTGATGCCCACTGCAGAAAGTGTTCTGAGCCACATCCCTTAGCTTCACTAGTGCAGGTCCACCTGGGAGGATGTCCCAGCATCAGCTTGGCCCATGCTGTGATCAGCCACCTCCATGCACCACACCAAGCAAGCCCCTGGGTGATTCACAGTCTCCACTACCAGGGCACTGACCTTAACTCTGTGTTCTTCTAGCTCCCCATGAGGACACCGTACACAACATCACTAACGAGGATGCCTCACACGATATCACTAACGAGGACGCTGTCCACGGCATCGCTAACGAGGCCGCCGCCCAGGGCATCGCCAACGAGGACGCCGCCCAGGGCATCGCCAACGAGGACGCCGCCCACGGAATCGCCAGCGAGGACGCCGCCCAGGGCATCGCCAACGAGGTCGCCGCCCAGGGCATCGCCAACGAGGACGCCGCCCAGGGCATCGCCAACGAGGACGCCGTCCATGGCATCGCCAACGAGGACGCTGCCCACGGCATTGCTAACGAGGATGCCGTGCACGGCATCGCTAATGAGGACTCCGTATACGACATCGCTAATGAGGATGCCATATATGACATCGCTAATGACACCGTACAAGGCACGCTAACGAGGATGCTGTACACGACATCGCTAATGAGGACACCATACAAGGCATCGGTAATGAGGACGTTGTATATGACATCGCTAACAAGGACACTCTACAAGCCGTCGCTAACAAGGACACTGTACACAACATCGCTAATGACGGCACCGTACAAGACATCACCAATGAGGGCGCTTTATACGACATTGCTAATGATACCGACAAGGCACGCTAACGCGGACACTGTACACGACATCGCTAATGAGGACTCCGTATACGACATCGCTAATGAGGGTGCCGTATATGACATCGCTAATGACACCGTACAAGGCACGCTAACGAGGACGCTGTACACGACATCGCTAATGAGGACACCATACAAGGCATCGGTAATGAGGACGCTGTATACGACATCGCTAACGAGGACACCATACAAGCCGTCGCTAACAAGGACACTGTACACAACATCGCTAATGACGGCACCGTACAAGACATCACCAATGAGGGCGCTTTATACGACATTGCTAATGATACCGACAAGGCACGCTAACGTGGACGCTGTACACGACATTGCTAATGAGGACACCGTATAAGACATCGCTAGTAACTATCGCAAGAACAAAAAACCAAACACCGCATATTCTCACTCATAGGTGGGAATTGAACAATGAGATCACATGGACACAGGAAGGGGAATATCACATTCTGGGGACTGTTGTGGGGTGGGGGGAGGGGGGAGGGATAGCATCGGGAGATATACCTAATGCTAGATGATGAGTTAGTGGGTGCAGCGCACCAGCGTGGCACATGTATACATATGTAACTAACCTGCACAATGTGCACATGTACCCTAAAACTTAAAGTATATATAAAAAAAAAGACATCGCTAGTGAGCACGCTGTATACGACATCGCTAATGAGGACACCATACAAGGCATCGCTAACGATGACGCTGTACACAACATCACTAATGATGACACCGTATAAGACATCGCTAATTATGACGCTGTATACGACATCGCTAATGACACCGTACGAGGCACGCTAACAAGGATGCTGTACACAACGTCGCTAATGAGGACAGTGTACAAGCCATCGCTAATGAGGACACTGTATATGACATTGCTAACGAGGACACTGTACAAGGCATTGCTAACGAGGACGCTGTACACAACATCGCTAATGAGGACACCATATAAGACATCACCAATGAGGATGCTGTATATGACATCGCTAATGACACCCACAAGGCATGCTAACGAGGACGCTGTAGACGACATTGCTTATAAGGACACCGTACAAGACATCACTAACGAGGACGCTGTATACGACATCGCTAATGAGGACGTTGTATATGACATCGCTAATGAGGATGCTTTACAAGACATAGCGAATGAGGTTGCTGTATATGACATCGCTAATGAGGACATTGTATATGACATCGCTAATGAGGACGCTCTATACGACATCACTAATGAGGACGCTGTATACAACATCGCTAATGAGGACGCTGTATATGGCATCGCTAATGAGGATGCTGTATACGAATTCGCTAATAAGGACGCTGTATATGACATTGCTAATGAGGACACTGTACAAGACATCTGTAAAAAAGAAGATGCTGCCAATGTAAGACACTTTTCTTTGTCTTGAACAGAAATGTTACTTTCCTGGCTTCTTTCCAATCAGATGTAGACATGAACATCTGCCAGTGTGCATTATCGATGTCATCTGCAGTTTAATCAAATGTAGACATGAACATCTGCCAATGTGGACTATTTATGACATCTGCAATTCCCTTGGTGTGGTGCTATTGATTGGCGGCCTCTCACCAACCCATGCCAGGCACACTGGGGTGTGGTAGATGGCAGCATCCACGATCCACTGCAATGCAGAGGTGTTTCCCTCCACAGCAGTTTTCCCCCATGGATTAAGAGTTGTGAAACTGCCAATCTAGATACACTTTAAAGATAAATTCTGTGGGAAAAGGTCTTGTCTTTTCCACAGGTGTCTTCCGTGCCAGTTTTGGGGGACTTCATATTTTCTCTCTCAAGTTGTCGAGAGACTATCAGATCTGTGTGACGTGTATGGCATCATTTCACCCTCCTAATGTTTTCTTTTCTATAATTGCAGGAGCCATTGACACTGGAGAATGATACCTACCCTGAAATAACTCACTTCCTGAGAAAAAAGCGCCATCTCTAGGGTACAGAAACCTGATTCTGGGCTCCTTTTGGGAAGGAGGATTTGGGGTCTGGTGAGAGCAAATGATTTTGCAAGTATAAAACCATGTCCAGAGAGGCTGTAGGGATATCTGTGAGCCCAGAGGAAACACCAGGGGATCCTGTGCGAAGCACCATGGCTTCAGCTAGGGTGGGAGGAGTGGGTGGGCCTCTCTCTAATGACTTATCCTGGTGTTTGTGTTTCTAAAGATTTGATTGTGGAGAGCATATCTGATGATGGGGATTTGTAGGTAGGTAACTACTTTCCACGTAAGATCCAATTGGAGAGAGTTCCCAGGGGCCTTCGGGGTATCCATGCTGCTTGGGAGGTTAAGGGAGGGGGCATGAAATCAAAACAAAACAGGAAATATGTGTCATATTGGACTTGGTCTTTTCCGGGTTTATTGGCATAATAGTTAGAACTGTCTCTCTGGGCTATGAGGGTGCTGTGTTATTTAAAGGTGGTCTTTCCCAGAACACCTGGCCTTTTCTTTTCTGCCTCTGCCAAACATCACAGCCTTTGGGTTGGATTAGTCAGCACCCCTTGGGATTGTGCAGAAGAGGTTTGGGGTTGCATCGAGTGTCACCTGTGGTGAACAGAATCTGAGGGACACAACTCTCTCACAGGCACTTCCTCCAACCTGGAGACAGAATTCTCCTGGTGTGTGCCCAGGGGTGGAGGAGAAATTGACAGTCTGCCTCTGAACTTTCAGGACTTTAAAAAGCACTCATGTTTCCATCCTCACTGTTGACTCCTGGCTTAAAGGGATCTCCCGGGGTGAGTGAGGAGGCGGGATCGGACCCTAGCAGTCTGACGGCAGCACCTGTGTTCCTCTGCACTGGGCCGTGGATGACATTACACACCTTGGTGAGAATCAGGAATTGAGGCTAACCACATCTGAAATTGAGATGGGCCTTGAGTCATATAAATAGTTTGGAAAAGATGCATTTTACTACGCTATTGAAAGAAACCATTTATTTCTCACTCCAGCAGGATAAATGGTTTTCAGTATCCATTTAACTGCTCATTGACTCTTACTGTAGATGAGGAGGTGGCCAGCAGCCCCTGCCCTCCCCCAGTTGGTAGGCCCAAGGTAACCAGCAATTGACTGGATATAATGGAAGAGTGGTGCATTCGGAGGTATCTGTATTAATGGGACCCACATGATATGGATGAGAGCTATTAGGGTGAGAAAAAGCCTGGGAGCACAATGAAATATTTAAATATTAAACAAAACATTGTTGAAATCTCCATTGTACTTTAGTAGTTGAAGTCATTCTTGTGGTCATCACTGCCTTTCCCAAGCATAACAAGCTACTTAATATCACATGGACCCGTGCCATGAGGAATGATGATCAGTTTGTAAAATGCCAATAAAACAATTGCCTATATAAGCCACAATGTTTCATCCATATATTTCAATTTCCATGTATAAGTATAGTTCAAATTTCAGAAATTTATTATTATCTAATAGAATATGCATGGTATATCAATGAGCAATTATCATACTGTTTCTATTAACAATTATTTGTATGATGAAAAAAGCAGACTCCCATTCTTGGATTTTTCTCAGTTTGCACACATTAGCATGACAGCCCCATTTCCACCTGACATGTGCCAGCAAGAGGCCAGGAACAGAGGCTTTTCTTATTAACTAAGATTTCTAAATGTATTACGTATTCACATTTAGAAACTCTAAATATCATAAAAGGTTAGCAAGGAAGTTTCCCTTCCACTCTGAACTTCCAAACACCAAGTCAACATTTTTGTTTGCATATCATCCCTGCAATCTATGTGCAAATAGAAGCATGCACCTGGAATGCAGGCTGATGTGTGATCGTGTTTACACAAAGTCCTCTGCACCTCTGCATATATCACTGGGCAATGCACCTTAGTTATCATTCCACATTTCAAATGTAAATCCATTGTATTGTTTCAGAGCTATAAAGTACTGCACCCCATGACTATTCCCAAAATTACTTAAGCACCCCGCTATGGGTATCCATTTGTTCTGTTTCCAGTCTTGCTCTTATAACCAATGCTGTAGTGAACAGCACTGTGTTGAGAAGTGGTGAACGTGGGCATCTTTGTCTTGTTCCCTTCCTCAGGGGGAATGCTTTCAACTCTCCCCCATTCAGGAAAATGTTGGCTGTGGGTTTGTCATAGATAGCTTTTATTACCTTAAGGTATGTCCGTTCTATGCTGATTTTGACGAACGGTTTTAATCATAAAGAAATGCTGGATTTTGTCAAAGGCTTTTTCTGCATCTATTCAGATTATCATGTGATTTTTGTTTTTAGTTTTATTGATGTGATGTATCACATTTATTGACTTGCGTATGTTAAACCATCCCTGCATCCCTAGTATGAAACCCACTTGAATCATGGTGGATTATCTTTTTGATATGCTGTTGGATTCAGTTAGCTTGGTTGTAGCATTTCTTATTATTCCATCTGTGGAATGTATTGGTTGAAATAATGAAAACATGTTCTATCCTCACTGCTTAGCACTTTGTGTTTCTTTAATAGCCTTCCCAACAGGGCAACATAAAAGCAGGAGCCCTGCTAGTCTCCCCTTAACCCGGAATCCCCCCTTCTCCACAGCTCGCTCATTGGACAGGATAGACTGGGCGCCCAGGCTTCAAGGTAAGGACATGCTCTGTCACCTAGAGGTGCAGTGCTTGGGAAGGCCAACCTTGGAGGGTTGCCTGCCAGCTTTACAGTGACAGAGGTGTTGAGAGGGACTGACCACCAGTGCAGAAGGCTGTGCTTTGTTGGTGACATAAAGGATTGTTTCACAGATTGTTGGGGAGGGACAATCCCAAGGCCTCCCCTGGCCCTGGTGCTGGCTCTGCACAAAGGCAATAAGAGAGGGATGCTGGTAAGGGCTGACCTGTTGCTGTGCTGGGGAGGAAGGTGCTGGGCTGAAATTCAGGAGGCTGAGGATGCAGCAGTCCCATAGGAGGTACATGACCTTCAGGATACATTTTCTTCATTGATGATCAATGGAAATGAGAAATCACTGACTATTTTTTCTATCATTGGAATCTACTCTCCACTGCTCATGCTGTTCCTGTCTTTTGGGGAAGATGGAGGATCAATCAGTGTGCGCTGCCCTGAGTGGAAGGAAGGAGAACTGTGACAAAAATTAAGGAAGGATGAGAGACGGGAGGGCCCTTCATCCAGCTGCTTGCAGAGTCCTCCTGAGGAGGAAAGCCCCGTGGCTCCCTGGCGAAGGAGCAGTGAGGGCTGCGTGACTCCCACAGTGAAGTGTGTGGTATGTCTGAGGACACCCAGGCTGGTGGTCCATGAGGAGCCAGTGGCAGAGTGAGAAGCAGAAAGGCCAGGAGGGTGGCTGGAGGCCAGGCTCTGAGTCATTCTCCATGTGATGGAAACAGCCGGAGCCCAGTGGGCTTGGAGGTACAGGATGCGGTGGCTGATGACAGAACAATGTGGAGAGAGGTGTCATTTGTCAAATCCTTACTTTGTTCTGGGCATTGTGCTAAAAATTCTGATGGCTCATCCCATTTAGGGGCTGAAAGTTGCAGAGGTTTAGGAAGCTCACCCACGATACTGGAGCCCCCATCTCCTGCCCTAGTGCTGTCCACCTTCTCACCCAGCCACCACCTGTTTCGGGGGAACACACAGAAGTGGTAACCTCTTATGGAGAGGCAAGTAAATTCTGCTGTTTTTGTTATTCACAGAAAAACACTGGCTCGTGTGGGTTGGGAAGGTGAAATACCAGAAGTATTTCATCTGGTTATTTCTACCCATGCGACTCCTATAGTATTGAAATGCATAGGTTAGCATTTTTGGCCAATTTACTCAGCATTCTGGGTTAAAGGCTTTTATTTATTTTATTTATTTATTTATTTACTTTTGAGATGGAGTTTCACTCTTGTTGCCCAAGCTGGAGGGCAATGGTGCGATCCTGGTTCATTGCAACCTCCGCCTCCCAGGTTCAAACTATTCTCCTGTCTCAGCCTCCCAAGTAGCTGAGATTATAGGCACATGCCACCACACTGGGCTAATTTTTTTGTATTTTTAGTAGAAATGAGATTTCACCATGTTGGTCAGGCTGGTTTCGAACTCCTGACCTCAGGTGATCTGCCCTCCTCGGCCTCTTAAAGTGCTGGGATTACAGGCGTGAGCCACCACGCCTGCCCTAAAGTCTTTTAAAATTCACTTGTATAAGTTGACTTAGTTTTCTTTAACCTTGTAGAAAAATACAAAAATGGCAATCTCTTTTATCACACAAATAATGTCTTTTTAATGGAGTGATTTTTTTTCTAATTGAGGTATTATGTACTTTTCATTTACTAATTATTGTTTACATTTGAAGTGTTTTATGAATTAATATTTAATTGCATAGATGAAGATTACTAGTTATAGGCATTTTACTAACCAATACTCATTAAGCATAGCGTGGATTCATATGACATCAAGGAGCTATTTTATTTGGTAAAACGAAAAAGCACAAGAATGAACGAACGCAAGAACTGAAACAGTGGAGACACCTAGAATGACTTGTCTAAGATCTAAATCATTTTGTTGTCTTCCCAGCGTACTTATTATCCTGATCATTGTCATCAGCATTGTTTGGGTCCTTTTAGCACAGATTTCTCAAAATGGGTAACTCCATAACAGTTGGAAGCTTACGAATTCATATAATTTGTAAGAGGTCAATTTGGAAGTACCTATCTATTTTAAAATTCCAATAACCTGGGAATTTCATCCCATGTCTAGAGTCTTTTATGTAAAATATTTCCACAATTAGGAGAAATATGTGCATGGGGATTTTCTATGTAGCGGTGTTTTGATAGAATAGAAAATTGGGATAAACCAAATTTCCATCACGAAGGAAATAGTAATATGCTGAATAATAATACAGCGAATATTATGCAGGCTTTAAACATCAAAAAAGAGTTCAACTTCTGACTTCCGATGATGGTGTTGAAGCAGGTCACTGCTGGTTTACATTTGATTTTCATGTGGGAACTCTGGAAGTCCGCCTTAGTGATTTTACATGTGGCTAAATTGAGCTAATGACAAGCTGTTCGAAGTATGGCAAAATGGAACTTTAAAACAGTATCTTGTCAACAACCAAGAGGACCTGTTTCACATAAAGCCCACGCATTCATCTGCCTGTCCATCATTCTGTCTGTCCACACGGGCATCATTCGTTAGTGGAACTGAGTGCCCGCTGTCGAGCTGACAAGCCCATAACCTCCCTGTTCCTAGTCACACATTAATTCTTCAACAAGTCCCTTTTGATAGATTGTGATTAAGCTTAGCTACTATTTCCAATTGCTTCCCCAAACGTACTTCTCACTGTTCTCCCATCACACCCTTCAGCCCATCCATGCGGGGTTCCTTTGCTTTTCCCACCTTACACCAAACTCCCTATTTTTACTCCCACTTTTACCTCCTCTCCAAGACAAAACAAACAAAACTAGCATTTTAAAACTTAGTTGTAATCTTTCTTCCTTCATGAAAATTTCTCCAACAGCCACTCCCACGGTCCTGTGTGTTCCGGATATTTTAAAATAATGGCTATAAGGCTGAGCACTTCAGGATATGCTGTTTTGCTGTGTGCAGATGGAGGCAGTGGCTGGAGTGAATGAACGGCAACACTTGCTGGCAACCGGCAGAAGCTGAGAGACAGGGAACAGGCTCTCCTCCAGAGCCTCCAGGAGCCAGGCCTTTGGACACCTTGAATGTGGGCTTCTGGGAGACCATGCGTTTCTGTTATAAGCAGCCCAGTCTCTGGCAGTTTTTACGGCTGCCCCGGAACACTCATCTATACCTGTCTGACAAGGTCAAGCTCCAAGGAAGGGATTCTTTACATATCTACATTGTTTGCAGATTTTACAATAATCATTTATTCTTGCATGGCTGATCATTGTTAACCAATACAAATAAAATAATAAAGAAATGACCCACATTTTATGTTGGGAGTTTGATCTGCCATTTATCAAGTATGGAATCTTGAACAAGGGGTTAAACATCTGAATGTCTCCATCACTTCATCTCTAAAGTGGGGGTGCTCACACCCACTGGGCTCCCCCGCCCAGGTTGGTGCCGGACTCTCCCTGGGCCCCCCTGTTCTCTCACCAGCCACATCCATTCTCCCCCCAGAGGCGCTAGTGACTGTGCGTGGCTTTCCATTCCCACCACGTTTGTCTCTAACCCCAGTGGCAGATCAGTGTAAGAACACAGCTGAGTGCTCCTCGCCTCCTTGCCCCTTCAAGGGCTCCTCACCACCCACCAGATCAGGTGCAAACTTCCAAGCCTTACTGGATCCCTTTCCACATTCTGAGCTCCGCCTGCCTTCCCATCGCTATCCTTCCCCACCTGCCTCCCTGGTAGAGAAAAGCAGAGTGTGTGATGCTGTCTGAATGCTGAGCACGGCCTTTTGCAGCCAGTCCACTGTGTACGCTGCCCCTATCGGAGACCTCCACCTTAACCCTTTCCAGCCTGTAGGCTCCTCCCAGGGCCCCACAACAGAAGTGACTTCCCTTGCCTTTGAATTTCTATAGCACAAGCCCTACTGCCCCCCGTTAAAACTGCAAAGTCCTTTTGTGGAAAATAACTTTATTCATGACTGTGTTTATCACACTATCTTATGGAGAAGAGATGATCAATAAATATTTGCTGAATAAATGAATAGCAGTTACAAAACACTAGATTCATATGGAATTAATGTTGGTTCTCAAAGTGAAAAATTACAAACAGCACTGATATTCAGCCAGTATACAAGTCTGGTCACAGCAGTTGTATAATACTGAAATACCCCCTGCCACTGACCTTTGGCCCCCAGATGCCTCCCACTGCCACTGCTCTCCCCACTGGGAACCCCTGAAGTTCCCACAGGCTCATAACTAAAGGGCTAATGTCTCGCACAGCAGCGAGCACCCAGGACCGAGCAGCCACATGGCCGGGTCTGCTGGTGAAAGCATCCATTCTGACTGATCAGGACCTGAGGGGCCTCATGGTTACATATTTTGATAATATCCCTAATTATAAATAAGGCTCAGTTATATAGTTTGAAAACAATGCTTCTCCTCATTGCAAAATCTCTTAGAAGACTCCGTAGATCCAGGAACGGAAATGGAAAATGACAGCGTGTCAATCTCTGAAGGTTTTGGGCATTTCCATTAGCACTCCATCTTCATGTAAACCAGAAGATATGCAGTTTCCTGCCTAGAGAGAAGAGAAGACACATCAGCACAGCGGCATGAAACCTTCATCAGAAAACAATGCTTCATTAATCCGTGACAGGACAAGCGTCAGCAAACTTCCAGGCGGCTGGATTAGGCCTTCATCTATCCATCACCTTGGAGAGGAACAAAATAGGTGGCCTGGGAAGTTAAGCACTATGTTTCTATTAGTTAATATCTAAAGCGGAGGTTAACAAGCTATGGACACACAAGCCAAACCCAGCCCTCTTGGGGTTTTTTAAATCTACTTTCAACTTTTATTTTAGATTCAGCGGGCACATGTGCAGGTTTGTCACGTGGATATGAGCATACTCCCCAACAGTTGGCCTTTCACCCCTCCCCTCCCTCCCCATCCAGCAGTTCCCAGTTGTTGCCATCTTTAAGTCAATGAGTCCCCATGTTTAGCTCCCATTTATAAGAGAGAACATGCATTATGTTTTGTTTGGTTTTTGCTGGTTTTTTTTTTTTTTTTTAATGGAGTCTTGCCCTGTAGCCCAGGCTAGAGTGCAGTGGCACAATCTTGGCTCACTGCAACCTCCGCCTCCCAGGTTCAAACGATTCTCCCTCCTCAGCCTCCCGAGTGGCTGGGACTACAGGCGCCCGCCACCACGCCCGGCTAACTTTTTGTATTTTTAGTAGAGACAGGGTTTCACCGTGTTAGCCAGGATGGTCTCAATCTCCTGACCTCATGATCTGCCCACCTCAGTCTCCCAAAGTGCAGGGATTACAGGCGTGAGCCACCGTGCCCAGCCTTTTGTTTATTTTTTGACGAGACCGTTCTTGCTCTGTCACCAGGCTGGAGTGCACTGGCACAATAATAGCTCACCACAGCCTCGTGCTCCTGGGCTCAACTGACCCTCCTGCCTCAGTTTTAGCTTCCTGAGTAGCTAGGACTACGGGTGTGTACCACCATGCCTAGCTATAATAATTTTTATTTTTTTGTAGAGATGGAGTCTTGCTTTGTTGCCCAGGCTGGTCTTGAACTCCTGGCTTGAAGTGATCCTCCTGCCTCGGCCTCCCAAATTGCCGGGATTAAAGGTGGGAGATCGCACCCAGTCTCCAACCCTCTTTTTGCAAGTAAATGTAACTGGACCCCAGCCATGCTCATCTGCCCATGTACTGTCTGCGGCTGCTTTTGCTCTACAGGGCAGAGTTAAGTGGTTGCAACAGACACCGCACAGACCACAAAGTCTGAAGTACTTTCTCTCCAGCCCTTTACAGAGAAAGTCTGCCAACCTCTAATCTCAATAACAGGGAAATCAATGACAACCACAAAGTGACAAAGATTGGGTGTCTAAGATGGATGCTCAGAATAAACAAGAGAGAAAGATGAAAAGTAGAAGGAGGATTTCAAACGCAAGCTTCACCTAATCCGTTATTTTTCAAATGACCAGGCCTATCTCTGTAGCTGAAAATCACCTCAAATAAGATCTCTGATATACAGTCTCCAAAAGCTCAGCTAAGAAACTTACAAAGTCTCTCTGCCTTAACTTCATCCACCTTTTTTCTCTCCAGCTTTTCCTCGGTAGTTAATGATTATAAAAATATTTATTGGCTCATGCCTGTAATCCCAGCACTTTGAGAGGCCGAGGCGGGCAGATCACGAGGTCAGGAGATTGAGACCATCCTGGCTAACACGGTGAAATCCCGTCTCTACTAAAAATACAAAAAATTAGCCAGGCGTGGTGGCGGGCGCCTGTAATCCCAGCTACTCAGGAGGCTGAGGCAGGAGAATGGCATGTACCCACAAGGCGGAGCTTACAATGAGGTGAGATCCCACTACTGCACTCCAGCCTGGGCGACAGAGCAAGACTCCATCTCAAAACAAACAAACAAACAAACAAAAAAACAGTGTGATGGCCAGGCGCAGTGCTCATGCCTATAATCCAAGCACTTTGGGAGGCTGAAATGGATGGATGGCTTGAGCCCAGTAGTTTGAGACAAGCCTGGCAACATAGCGAGACCTCATCTCTACAAACATCTTTAAAATATGCCAGGCATGGTGGTGCATGCCTGTAGTCCCAGCTATTCAGGAGGCTGAGGTGGGAGGATCACCTGTGCCCGGGAGTTCAAGGCTGCAGTGAGCTATGATCACACCACAGTGCTCCAGCCTGGGCAACAAAGCAAGACTCCATCTCTAAAAATAAAATAAAATTAAAAAAAAAGATCTTCGCTGTAAAAGAGGTACGCTCAAATGCAATAAAAGCATATAAGAAGGCCGGGTGTGGTGGCTCATGCCTGTAATCCCAGCACTTTGGGAGGCCGAGACGGGCGGATCACGAGGTCAGGAGATTGAGACTATCCTGGCTAACGCGGTGAAACCCCATCTCCTCTAAAAGTACAAAAAAATTAGCTGGGCTAGGTGGCAGGCGCCTGTAGTCCCAGCTACTCAGGAGGCTGAGGCAGGAGAATGGCATAAACCCGGGAGGCAGAGCTTGCAATGAGCCTAGATCGCACCACTGCACTCCAGCCTGGGTGACAGAGTGAGACTCCGTCTCAAAAAAAAAAAAAAAAAGAAAAAGAAAAGAAAAGTTCTTCTGACATTTGTGTATGAAATCAGCCTTCACTACATGGATAGGACCAGCACGCTTCTGCGGCACGACTCTGCAATCTTACTACATTTTTTTTTACTTTGTATTTTATTTATTCCTTTTGAGACAGAGTCTCACTCTGTCACCCAGGCTGAAGTGCAGCCGAGATCTCGGCTCACTGCAACCTCCACCTCTTGGGTTCAAGCAATTCTCTTGTCTCAGCCTCCCAAGTAGCTGGGACTACAGGCACACGTCAAAACGCCCGGCTAATTTTTGTATTTTTAGTAGAGATGGAGTTTTGCCCTATTGGTCAGGCTGGTCTCAAACTCCTGACCTCAGGTGATCGACCTGTCTTAGCCTCCCAAAGTGCTAGGATTACAGGTGTACATTTATTTATTTATTTGAGATGGAATCTTGCTCTGTATTTATTAATTTATTTATTTGAGATGGAGTCTTGCTCCATCGCCCAGGCTAGAGTGCAGCAGTGCAATCTCGGCTCATTGCAACCTCTGCCTTCCAGGTTCAAGCGATTCTCCTGCCTCAGTGTCCCAAGTAGCTGGGATTACAGGTGCCTGCCACCACAGCTGGCTAATTTTTGTATTTTTAGTAGAGACAGTGTTTCACCATCTTGGCCAGGCTGGTCTCGGGCTCCTGACCTCATGAACCACCTGCCTCAGCCTCCCAAAGTGTTGGGATTACAGGCCTAAGGCACCATGCTCGGCCATATTTATTTATTTAATTATTTAGAGACAAAGTCTTGCTCTGTCACCCAGGCTGGAGTGCAGTGGCGCCATCTCAGCTCACTGCAGCCTCCGCCTCCAAGGTTTAAGCAATTCTCATGCCTCAGACTCCTGAGTAACTGGGACTACAGAAACTTGCCACCACGCAGGGATTTTTTTTTCTATTTTTTTGTAGAGACACAGTTTCACCATGTTGGCCAGGCTGGTCTCGAACTCCTGACTTTAGGTGATCTGACAGCCTCGTCCTCTCAAAGCACTGGGATTACAGGCATGAGCCCCTTGCCCGGCCTCTCACTACATTTAAGTGACGCCATGGCTCATGCCTGTAATCCTAGCACTTTGGGAGGCCAAGGCAGGTGGATCACCTGAGGTCAGGAGTTCGACATGAGCCTGGCCAACATGGGGAAACCCCGTCTCTAGTAAAAATACAAAAATTAGTCAGGTGTGGTGGTACAAGCCTGTAGGCCCAGCTACTTGGAAGACTGAGGCAGGAGAATCACTTTAAGCGGGAGGCAGAGGTTGCAGTGAGCCAATATCATGCCACTGCACTCCAGCTTGGGTGACAGAGTGAGATACTGTCTCAAAAAAAAAGAAAAAAAGAGAGAAAAACATATGATGCCGGGGCATCTCGGCCTCAATACCTGGGTGAGCACAGTCATGTCCAGGCCAGGGCTGCTGGTCGAGGTCCGGCCCCATCTCTTCCAGCAGAAAGGGAGTAAGCTTGCAGGGCGGCTGGGGGACAAGATCCCAGGATCTCAGCCTCTGCTCATGGATCAGCTCTGAGACCCCGAGTGAGCTGGGGGTGCTCTGTGCGCATTGGTTTCCCCAGCTGTCAAGTAAAGGGATTGGATGAGGAAGTCTTGTCAAGGTGGAATGATCTCAGATTTGGGGCAGCAGTGAATGATCCCGCTCCCTGGGCCATGCCAGTGGCCCGGCCTCGGCTGAACACAGCCCCAACACTCTGGAATGGGGATGAGGGGGCAGTCAGCTCTTGCTCCTAGTAAGAGAGATGCAACAGGGCTCTGTGGCTGAGCTGGGTGCCTTGCCTCACACCTGTAATCCCAACCTTTGAGAGGCCGAGGCAGGAGGATTGCTCGAGACCGGGAATTTTGAGAATAGCCTGGACAACATAGCCAGACCCCATGTCTACAAAATAATAATAAAACACACAGCTATAGTCCAAGCTACTTGGCAGGCTGAGGCAGGAGGGTCCCTTGAGTCCAGGAATTGGAGGCTGCATTGAGCTATAATCGCACCACTGCACTCCAGCTTGGGTGACAAAGTGAGACCCTGTCTCTAAAAGAAAAAAAAATTGGCCTGTGAGCATGGGCTTGATTTTCAAACAGGACCCGGAGGGTAGGGTAAACGTGTGGGTAAATCTAAATGAATGTTATTGGTATAAAATTACAGTAGTATAGAAAATGATATCTTGTGGGGTTTAAAAGAAATAAAACATACTGAAATATGTATGGGTACAGTTATATATCTGGGATTTGCACTGAAATAATGTGGGGTAGAGGGAAGCAGGAAAGAGTATACATGAAATGAGCTTGGCCATAAGATTGTTGTTGAAATTGAATGGATACTCGGGGCTTCATTACACAATTCTCTTTACTCTTACATAGCTCTACACTCTCAACATAAATAAGAATAAAAACACAAAAAACACACAGATACATCTATGCACACACACATATTTAAAATACACAAAAATATTAGCATATAAGTCACTGGGGGTAAATTTAGTTCCTGTTCCAAGGTTCTTGTACTGACTAGGAAGAGGATAGAAGTACTAACTCATAGGCTGGGTGCGGTGGCTCACGCCTGTAATCCCAACACTTTAGGATGCCGAGGTAGGCAGATCTCTTAAGGTCCGGAGTTCAAGACCAGCCTGGCCAACATGGTGAAACCCTGTCTCTACTGAAAAAGAATACAAAAATTGGCCGGGCATAGTGGTGCACACCTGTGGTCCCAGCTACTCAGGTGACTGAGGCAGGAGAATTGCTTGAACCCAAGAAGTGGAGGTTGCAGTGAACCAAGATTGCTCCACTGCACTCCAGCCTGGGCAGCAGAGGAAGACTCTCTCTATCTCAACCACAACAAAAAGTACTAGCTCATGTTAGACTTTGATAAGTGAAGGATGCATGTTGTAAGCTCTAAAATAATCCAGTCATCTTTTAAAATAACTCTAAGACTGCACAGTTATGAAACTAATAGAGAAGGAGGAAATTAAATAATAAAAATAATAAATCCAAAACAAGATGTGAGAGGAGATAAGAAGAAATAGAATAGGCATGGAAAACAAATTGGTGGTGGGTTTCAACCCAAATAAATCATTAGTTACATTTAAAAGGACAATAAAAATTAAAATAATTGAAAATAAAGTAAAACCCAACTAATGCCTTTTATATAAGGATACAGAGAGGTGGAAGATCATGAAAAATATGTCATGCATGTACTAACCAAGAAAGCTGTATAACTTTTTTTTTTTTTTTTTTTTTTTTTTTTGGGAGATAGAGCCTCACTCTGTCTCCCAGGCTGGAGTGCAGTGATGTGATCTTGGCTTACAGCAATCTCTCCCTTCTAGGCTCAAGCGATTCTCCCACCTCAGCATCCCAAGTAGCTGGGACTACAAGTGTGCCAACTTAGAATTATATTAGCCACACCCAGCTAATTTTTGTATTTTTTGTAGAGGCAGGGTCTCGCCATGTTGCCCAGGTTGGTCTTGAACTCCTGGGCTTCAGTGATCCACCCACCTCGACCTCCAGCAAAGTGCCAAGATTACAGCCATGAGCCACCATGCCCAGCATAACTATTTTTAATGAAGTAGACTTTAAGAAGAAAAGTATTATTAGAGGTAAGAGACACATCACAGAAAAGAAGAATTTACTAGGAGCCAGGCGCAATGGCTCGTGCCTGTAATTCCAGCACTTTGTGAGGCCAAGGCGGCGGATCACCTGAGGTTGGGAGTTCAAGACCAGCCTGACCAACATGGAGAAGCCCTGTCTCTACTAAAAATACAAAAATTAGCCAAGCATGGTGGCACATGCCTGTAATCCCAGCTACTCAGGAGGCTGAGGGAGGAGAATTGCTTGGACCCAGGAAGTGGAGGTTGCGGTGAGCTGAGACTGTGCCATTGCATTCCAGCCTGGGCAACAAGAGCAAAACTCTGTCTCAAAAAAAAAAAAAAAAAAAAAAGAAGTTACTAGCTAGTTTCGGTAATTCTTAACAACCAGGAAACTGGAATGTGAAAGTTTTTCAGAGAAACTAAACCAATAGATTATACATAGAGAGAGATTTATTTAGGAATTGGCTCACATGATTGTGGGGACTAGCAAGTTTTAAAATCTGTAGGGCAAGCCAGCAGGCTATAAATTCAGGTAAGAGTTGATCTCGAAGTCTGGAACCTAAAATCTGTAGAGCAGTCAGCAGGCCAGAAACTCAGGCAGGGTTTGTGTGTTACAGTCTTGAAGCAGAATTCCTGCTTCTCTGGGAAACCTCAGTTTTTGTTCTTAAGGCCTTCAACTGATTGGAGGTGGCCCACCCATATTATGGTGGGTAATCTGTTTTACTTAAAGTCAATTGACTGTCAGTGTTAATCACATCTATGAAATAACCTCCCAGCAAGATATTGACAAGTATTCGACCAAACAACAGGACACCATAGCTTAGCCAAGTTGACACATAAATTAACCATCAGGAGCAAGTAGAATATCCAAAAAACAACATACTAGGGGTATTATATCTTATATAGCTATTATAATTATATAAAACATATAATTATAGAATGACGATATTAAGATAACCATTAGAACAAAAATATAAACTTTTCTTTCCTTTTTTTTTTTTTTGAGACCAAGTCTTGCTCTGTCACCCAGGCTGGAGTGCAGTGGTGCAATCTTGGCTTACTGCAACCTTTGCCTCCTGCGTTCAAGTGATTCTCCTGTCTCAGCCTCCCAAGTATCTGGGATTACAGGCACCTGCTACCATGCCCAGCTAATTTTTGTATTTTTAGTAGAGACATGGTTTCACCATGTTGCCCAGGCTGGTCTCCAACTCCTGACCTCAAGTGAGCCACCCCCCTCGGCCTCCCAAAGTGCTGGGATTACAGGTGTGAGCCACCACACCCAGCCAAAAATCACCTTTTTTACAAGGATCAAAACAGTCATTATGCTGGAGATGACAGACCTCACTGTCACCATGCTCCTTTTGTATGTCTACTAGGCACGGTGCTGGGTCCACACTCACAGAAACCTTAGGAACTCGCACCCAGGGGCTCCGGCTGTAGCAGAATCCCAAGAATAAAACCTGGTGCTGAAAGAGTAGGAGATGAGGCCGGGTGCCATGACTCACTCCTGTAATGCCAGCACTTTGGGTGGCCAAGGCGGGTGAATCAAGAGATAGAGACCATCCTGGCCAACACGGTGAAACCCCGTCTCTACTAAAAATACAGAAATTAGCGGGGCGTGGTGGCTGGCACCTGTAGTCCCAGCTACTCAGGAGGCTGAGGCAGGAGAATCATTTGAACCGAGGAAGCAGAGGTTGCAGTAAGCTGAGATCGCGCCACTGCACTCCAGCCTGGTGACAGAGTGAGACACCGTCACAAAAAAAAAAAAAAAAAAAAAAAAAAGCAGGACACTGAACTCTGGGAGGGCCTCCTGGTGAGAGGTGAGCACAGAGGGGAGAGATGGAGGCAGGAGCATGGGCTTCTGGTGGCCCCAGCAGACCCTGTGGCAGCGTGGCCAGGGTCCTCTGCAGGGAGGAATCTTGGCCAGGATGACGCTGTAGCAGGCCTCTTCCTGAGGCCTCCAGCCAGCCCGGCCAGGGTCCCAGCGTCCAGTGACCCCTGTTTCACAGCAGCAGCTGGGGCCAGCCCCAGGCTCTCTTCCACTCCCAGCTTCTTAAAACTGGAAGTGGAGAGAGTTGTTTGATAAAACACTGGGGCAAACCACATCCTCTCTTCACCAAGGGAGAGTTCGAGGGGATGCCGGCAGAGGGAGCTTTAGAGTAGAGACCCCTACCCAACCAGTGACCGTCACGCACACAGCAGGGCATGCTATGGAGACCCCCAGACAGTCACTCGGGGAGACCCAGCAGGTCCAGACTCTTCAGAGATCTGTGGCAGCAGGTCCCCACTCCCAAAAGCCACGTGCCCACGGGTGGTCTCTGGTGCCTGAGACCCCAGTCTCATTTGCATCTTTGCAACTTCGAGTTTAAGTGGGTGTCGCATCTCTGTATGTCCTCCCGAGCAGAGGAGGGGCACAGCCTGGGGTGGCAGCTGACGTCAAACCCTCAAATCCCCTGAGAGCCACTGGGGAGACTAAGCAGTCCCCAGCCCCCACTTGTCCCTGAGCTGCCATTCTCAGCCCTGTGGGAGGAGACAGAAAGCCCTGAAGAGAAACCAAAGGACCAGGTCAGGAGGGGCTGGGGGGGTGGCATGAGCAATCAGGGCAGGGAAGGATGGACAGATGGGGGAATGGAGGGAAGAAGGAATGAATGAAAAGGTGAATGAATGAACAAAGAGAGAGAACGGCCACTCCTCCCTTGCTTTAGTTTACAAAGTACTGGGATCCTCCCAACAGCCTGCAAGACAGAATTTCTGGGAAGCAGACCAGGTGGCTGGCAGGGAGGGGAGGCTTGCCCTGGCTTTTGTGGGCCCAATGGGAGGCAGGGGGCAAGAAGGGGCATCCTGTGTGTGTCCTCCCTGCAGCGGCAGCAGCACCTTCCTGGAAGAGGGTCAGGAAACACCCGCTGTGGCCCCTCTCCACCACGCCCTCATCCAGGACACCAAGTATCAGTCACTCAGCTCACGAGACCCAGGCCCTGACTCAGGGAGAGAGGATGTGAGGGGTGGGGCACCGGGCTCCTCAGGACTGAGAGACCTGAGATGTGGCCCCGGGCTGGGTGTAGGGGCAGACTGGCTATGGCAGCATTGTGTGTACCCCAGCAGGCCAGTACCCACGCAGGGAGCCTCCAAACCCCTTCACCCATGACCCTGGGAGAAGACCGCAGCCTTGGAGAATTGGCCTCACTGAAGGGGCCTGCACCGGCCAGCAGGGTCAGGCGGGGCCAGACAGGTTCCCACCTGGGATATGCAAATGGGCCTCCTGAATCCTGGAGCCAGGTATGGACTCACACACCACCATTGTCCCCAAGTCCCCATCTGCCCCACGGGCACACCCTGCCGCCTGTTCTGTGCAAGGGCCCTGAGGCTGTCTCCTTGCGCTCAAGCCCTGCAGGTGCTGAAGCCCACACACACGGCTCCTGCTTACTGGGCCAGTGCACGTGCACACACACACACGTGCACACACACACACACCCACAAATATACCCACACACAATCACACACATTCACACATACCCACCCCCCATACTCACACTCACACATTTACACACACCCACACACCCACACTCACACACTCACAGTCACACACACCCTCACACAGCGAAACACAATCACACACATTCACACCCACCCACACCCCCACACACTCACACTCACATATACTCACACACACCCACACACACATACACAAACACAATCACACACATTCACACACACCCACACTCACACATACACACACCCAAACACGATCACACACATTCACACACACCCACACCCCACAAACACACTCACACATATACCCACACACACTCACACATAATCTCTCACACACACACATGCTCACACACACACGCCTTCTCCAGGAGGGGCTGGCTGCCAAAGGCCACCCAGCTTCCTCCCACGTCTCACTCACCGTACAATATTTGAGAAGACCTTGGAGTCAGCAGCAACAGCGGTGTGGGCAAAGGCCGGGGGTCAAATGGGGCCTGGTGTCGAGAGAGGACCACAGCCAGCACAATGACAGCCAGCGCCAGCCCCAGCCCCAGCCCCAGCAGGACCAGGTCACCCATGGCTCCGTAGTCCTGGGCCATGGCTCTGCGGCCCAGAAGGAGAGGGGAGGCCGGTGGGCAGATGGAGGGACAGATGGGTGGGCAGATGAATGGACAAGAAGATGCATAGATAGACTCACAGGTAATTGGACAGATGGACAAACAGGTGGGGGCTGAAGACAGACACGAAGATGGATCGACAGACAGGCCAGATAGCTAGACAAAGAGGACAGTAAGAGAAAGATGGTCAGATAGACAATGGGACAGAGATGGGCTTACAGATGGGCGGACAGACAGACAGGTCTGAACAGCGGGCTGCCAGATGGACAGATGGGTGAATGGACAGATGGCTGGCAGCTGTGGCGAGCTGCTGCCCTCACCAAGTGCACACTACGGAGTGGCCAAACTCATGCCTCAACTTCTAGTTTTCAGCTCCTGCTTGTTCCTGGCAGGAGGCCAGGCAGCAAAGCGTCTGAGGGGAGTTTTCTTTGCCTAGAGAAGTCAGCTGCTGTGTTAACTCCCTCACTGCTGGTAGGTCCAAAGGCCCGACCTACCGCCCACCAGAGCCCATGGTCACACTGTCGCAATGTGCAGGAGAACTTGGTGCGTGCTGCACTGCGGTTGCCAGGTAGGGGCAGGGCTCCCTGGAACCTCCACACCATTCCCCAGGTTCTCAGCAGCTCTGGGAAAGCAGAGCTGGGGCCGCTTAACTCTGCCCTGGATCCGGCAAGGCTGCCCCCCTCCCAGAGTGGAGCCCTGCTCCCCAGCTCCCATCTCTATCCCCTAACCCTCTCCGCATGGCCCAGCCTAGTCAGCATCAAGGTGGAGCTGAACAGAGGCAGAAGGAGGAGGACCCAAGGTGGTGTCACTCAGGACCCGGGTTCAAGTCCTTATGCTTCTGCAGCCTGGCCTGGGTCCCCCAACTCCCCCAGGGTGACCAAGGGCTTCCCAGTCTGCACAGAGGACAGGGGGTCTTGACAGCATCAAATGCTAGTGACTACGAGACACTTACGTGGGAAATGCAGACAGACCATGCCTCTAGCCCTTGGCACCAGGCACCATCCATCCCTGGGACTTGCTGTCCTGGAAATGCAGCATGGTCCTCCAGGGAGGGGGGCTGTGCCATGTGGGGGCCCCACCCCACCTGCAGCTCTTTCCCACCCTGGCTGCAGGTCTGCTTCCCTGAATCCAAATCCGCTACTACTGTGCTGGCAGCGCAGCCTCTCTGGGGACACTGGCCTGGCTCTGTTCTCCCCAGGCCTCAGGGTGCCTAAATGGGAGGCAACCAGGGGAGTGAGGACCCACTGAGGGGCTCCGTTGACCAGGCTCAGCAGGGGTGCAGGTGATGTGGGGTGGAATCCTTCCCACATGGCCCCCACAGTCCTCCCCGCTTCCTCCCCAACTGAACACTGCCTGCTCCAGATGTCTACACCTGGAGTCTGGGCCCCTCCATCTGGGCAGCAGAGAAACTGAGGCACAGAGACAGACTGTGTCCTTACAGGGCACACAGCCTGCCAGGCCCCTATGTCCGGCCAGAGCCCCTGGCCAGCCTGGGCTGCAGTGATTGTTTAGAGGTAGGCTGTTCCCACGGCTGCCTCTCACGGTAGGGGGGCCTGCGGACGCCTCCTCCCGCCCCCACCCGACTCCCAAGCCTCAGTGACATTGCTCAACCAGGAGCTGAAGTGCATTCCTGGGCTCAGGCCAGCCCACCCACCGACCCGCTGCAGTCCTGGAAGCCCAGAGGCCTGGGCAGCAGGAACAGTGGAGACAGCAGTGTGGGGGACGTCCCCCTCCTCTCCCCACCATCCTCGTCAGGCAGAGGCCAGGGTGCAGGGACCGCCCGAGCAAAGGCCCAGGGAAATGAATGGGTGTCATTCTGGTCCTGACCCGAGGCACAGCCAGGAAGGTCCCTGTGGGGAAAAGAAAGAGATATCAGACTGTTACTGTGTCTATGTAGAAAGAAGTAGACGTAAGAGGCTCCATTTTGTTGTGTAGTAAGAAAAATTCTTTTGCCTTGAGATGCCGTTAATCTGTAACCCTAGCCCCAACCCTGTGCTCACAGAAACATGTACTGTGTCGACTCAAGGTTTAATGGATTCAGGGCTGTGCAGGATGTGCTTTGTTAAACAAATGCTTGAAGGCAGCATGCTTGTTAAGAGTCATCACCACTCCCTAATCTCAAGTAAGCAGGGACACAAAACACTGCAGAAGGCCGCAGGGACCTCTGCCTAGGAAAGCCAGGTATTGTCCAAGGTTTCTCCCCAGGTGACAGTCTGAAATATGGCCTCGTGGGAAGGGAAAGACCTGACCGTCCCCCAGCCCGACACCTGTAAAGGGTCTGTGCTGAGGAGGATTAGTAAAAGAGGAAGGCCTCTTTGCAGTTGAGATAAGAGGAAGGCATCTCTCTCCTGATCGTCCCTGGGCAAAGGAATGTCTCAGTGTTGATTGTATATTCCATCTGCTGAGATAGGAGAAAACTGCCTTAGGGCTGGAGGTGGGACATGCTGGTGGCAATACTGCTCTTTAATGCATTGAGATGTTTATGTATATGCACATCAAAGCACAGCACCTTTTTCTTAACCTTGTTTATGACACAGAGACATTTGTTCACGTGTTTTCCTGCTGACCCTCTCCCCACTATTACCCTATTGTCCTGCCACATCCCCCTCTCTGAGATGGTAGAGATAATGATCAATAAATACTAGGGAACTCAGAGACTGGTGCCAGCGTGGGGCCTCCATATGCTGAGTGCAGGTCCCCTGGGCCCACTTTTCTTTCTCTATACTTTGGCTCTGTGGCTCTTTCTTTTCTCAGTCTCTTGTCCCAGCTGATGAGAAACACCCACAGGTGTGGAGGGGCAGGCCACCCCTTCAGGTCCCTGAATGTCCTTCCTCAGGAAATGATGGGGGAAGGGGCGATGAGAATGAAGGAGACGATTTAAGTCCCTCACCCCCCGAGGTAGTCCTGGGCTGAGCCCCATGGGACCTAGAGAACCAGGGTGTACCCCACCAGCATGTCGGGTCCAGGAAGCCTCGTGGCCAGCTCCCACTTCTCTTCCTGCTGTGCAACCCAGAGCAAGGCCTGCCCCTCCAGCTTCAGTCTTCTCCCCTGCAAATGGGGCCACGGCCTTTCCTCTCAGGCCAATATAAGGATTGAGGCCGGGTGCAGTGGCTACCCCTGTAATCCTAGCACTTTGGGAGACTGAGATGGGGGGACTGCTTGAAGTCAGGAGTTAAGACCAGCCTGGTCAACATAGTGAGACCCCATCTCTATTGGTTTAAATTTTTTTAAAAAAAATTAAATAAATAAAATAAGGATTGAAGAGTGACTTGTACACCAGTTGAGCCCACCTCCATCTCACCCTTGCAGAGCCCCAGAGACACAGCCCTCCAGAGCTCAGACCCAGTGGGACTTGACTCCACAGGCATAAAACCCTGTTTGTCTATGGGCCCTTTGGAATCACCAGGTTTTCGGGGCTCCTGAAGGATAGCCCCGACCTGGCCTCACCTGGCCCCTGGCCCCAGTGCCCCTGGTGATATCCAGGTGCTGGGCTGTGATCACCGCCTCCCACCAGCCCACCTCCACCAGCCCTTCCCAGAACCCTGCTCCAGGTGTTGGAACTGTGCACAGAGGAGGGAGCAGGCCCCGAGGGAGGCCTGGAGGGGCTGCCAATGGTGAAGGCTGCTGTGTCGAGCTGTTTCCTTCCGGACCCACTCCCTCTGGGCTGCGTCCCCGGCTGGTCCAAGCCCTGATCCCTGGGATCTGGGGACATCTTCCCGTTTGCTGTTCCCTGAGAACCAGGCCTCCCTCTGGAGAGGATCACAAGCTTGGGTTTCACTCTGGGCTTGCTCTTGGGAACCCCCCAGGGGCATGGCTCTGACCGAGATGTTTTCCTCCAGCCTGTTGCCCAGTCCCCATTCCTCGGACCCTCAGCTTCACCTCCAGTGTCATCGGCAGGGTGAGCTGGACGCCTACGGGTCTGAGAAGGCGCCCGGGTTCCCAGCATCGGCTGGCCACCCTCTGCCTAAGAAAGCGCCAGGGTCGTGACACCCCCTGGTGGCTGATCCTAGGTAGTGTCACTGCCCAGCCCCAGTAAGGGAGGGCCTGGCCCCAAAGTCTGAGGGATCAGGGTGGGAAGGGGCAGGGTTTGGTGTGAACCTTCCCCTGGCCCCCAGCCATGTGCCTTGCTCTCCCCATGCTGAAGATGCTGAGGCTAGTTCCAGTGCCCGCATTGTGAAGATCTCCGAATCCCACCTCTCTGTTCCTCCCCAGCCAGATGGCTCCATTTCACACACAATACACTGAGGCCCAGAGAGTGGGGAGACAGGCCAGGGAGGCCACCTGGAGCCTGGCACAGTGGCCTCATTTATTATGCTGCTCTGCTGCTCACAGGGGAAGCCCGTCCCCCAAAGTCCTCTTCCTCATCCTGGTGAGTATCTTGTCCCTGGATTGCTTGTCAGCCTTGTCTGCCTGGAGCACTCAGTAGCCAGCAGGTTCCCCGCCTTTCCTGGAGTCCGAGGCAGCTGCCCAGCCACCAGCCGTGCGGACGATGGCTTGCACCACAGCGATGAAGGTGGACGCGATCTGGGTGTGATGGTGCCGGGTCTCCAGGGCTGCAGTCACTGCCTGGGGGTGGGAGGAGAGGGGAAGCCTGAGCAGGGCTCCAGATGCCACCTGAACCACACCTGTGTGGTCACAGGCCTCAGCCCAGGTGGTGCCATTTCAGGCCAGGTCATCAGGAAGAGCAGGTTGGGGCCTGCTGGGTCTCACTGGAGCAGGGGGCTTGGCCCTCATGTCACAGGGGCTCCAGATGGCCCAGGCACTAGAGAGAGGACACCAACCATTGTCCACTCTGTGATGATCCAGGCCTCCAGCCCAGGATGCCCTGGGACCCCACACCGTGACTCAGTTTCTCCAACCCCCGGCCCACCTGGTCAATGTTTCTCTCCACTGTCGTGACGTTGGGCAGAAGCTTGTTGTGCAGCCGGGGCTCCTCCACGGCCCTCTTCACGTCATAGCCGAACCAGAGGTTGTAGATGATGGCCTGGGGCATGGGAGTGTGATCAGCGTGGCTTGGGGGCTGTGCAGAGTGGGCAGGGCCAGGGAGAAAAGGGGTGACACATACCAGTGCAGTGTCTGTGGTGATCTGCGTGCCCCCAGCAGCTCCCACCACCATCCGGACCTGGCCGTCCTGGCCCACCATGATCGTCGGGCACATGGACAAGAGCGGCTGCTTCCCTGCGGCCGATGGGAGAAGACAGGGATGCCCGTCAGCTGCCTGCCCAGGACACCCGCCCCTCTCCACCCCAGTCCCCCACCCCCCGGACCTCCACCCCATACCTGGCTGGATGAAATTGGCAGGTGAGGGGGGTGCCCCAAACTCATTGGTGATGCTGGGAGAGCTGAAGTCGTCCATTCATTATTGAACAGGATCCCACTGACCGGGGAGCAGACCTTGGAGCCAAAGCTACCGCCCAGCCAGGTCAGACAGCACCCGACCTTGCCTGGCCCAGCCTGGTCCCTATCCACCCACTGAGGCTCAAACATACTCACTGAGAGGCCCAGGATAAGCTACCAAGGTTGGGCCTCAGTTTCCCACCAGGAAAAGAGGTGATGGAGCCACCTTACTGGATAAGTGGGCAGTCCCTGGGCCACCCGCCCCTGGCCCTTTCCCACCCAGGCGGCCCAGCAGCCCCTACTAGAGGTTGATGGTGCTGGTGGCGGACACAGCACTGCCGTCCTCTGCGACGACAGACAGGTGAGCAGTGCCCCCGTCATCCGGCGTGTAGAACTCGGGCTTGTAGTAGGAGATCGGGTGAGTGGTGTGGTCAGAGATCTGGGACCGGAGCTGGGCAGCGAAGAACTCAGAGGTCATGTTGCGGACCACCTGCTGAGACCCCAGAGCTGGCCTGAGGAGGTGGGGAGGGGGCACAGGTCTCAGAAGGCCCTTGACTGTGACTCTGACCGCAACCCTCTGGCACCCACAACCTTCCGTGGCTCCCCAGGACCCAAGGGCAGGCCCAGGACCTTGCATGACCAGTCTGACTCCCTGTCTCTGTCGCGTTCCAGCAACTCTGAATGTCTGTCTGCCTGGTCCTCAGCCTCCAGACCCTTGCCACATTCAATCACTCATTCTTTCATGCAAAAAATATTTCTAGAATTTGCACTGCATGCCTGGCACTGGGGAATCAACAGGGAACAGACACTTAAGTCCTGCCCTCATGCCAAGAAAAACAAACACACACAGGGAAAGTGCTGAAACCACAGGCCAGGTAAGGGGAATCAAGAGGCATGAGGTATGGGCAGAGTGGTCAGGGAGGGCTTCTCAGAGGAGGCAACGTGTGAAAAGAGCCTGGAAAGTGGCCTAAATGGTCAGTGCAAAGGCCCTGAGGCAGGTGGCATAGGCTGGTGAGCGATAGGCAGAGAGTGAATGGAGTAGGGTGGGGAGAAGAGGATGAAGATGCAGGCTGGGGCCCATCCCACAGGACCTCCTAGGTCCCATAACAACTGGCTTTTGCTCTGTGCCATGCAGGCTTAGGGCAGAGGAATGAGGAGGCTGGGGAGTGTTTTCACAGGGTCCCTCTGGCAGCTATGACGGGGATAAGGATAAAGCCCAAAGGGGAGGCTGTGGGTATCAACCAGGCAAGAGATGATGGCCTGGGTGGGAGAAAGAGAAGAATCAAGCATGGTGCCGACTAGCGAGGCCGGCAGAAGGGGCCGGTTTGGGGATGGTCAGGAGCTTGATTTTGGATACTTCATCAGACCCAAAGAGCATGGGTGCACGTATAAAAAAAATAAATAAATAAGCATGGGTTCACGGGCAAGGGCGGGCTGAGAGATGAACATGGAGGTATTGACATTGAGTGGCTGCTGGATGCCATGAGCCTGGCCAAGGTCCCCAAGGCAGTGGCGAGGAGGAGATGAGGAGGTCAAAGAGGAGACAGAGAGGATGGACCCGAAGGCCGAAGAAAATGCCTCAAGAGAGTTTCAACACCGGGCGCGGTGGCTCACGCCTGTAATCCCAGCACTTTGGGAGGCCGAGGCCTGTAATCCCAGCACTTTGGGAGGGCGGATCATGACGTCAGGAGATCGAGACCATCCTGGCTAACACAGTGAAACCCCGTCTCTACTAAAAATACAAAAAATTAGCTGGGCGCGGTGGTGGGCACCTGTAGTCCCAGCTACTTGGGGGGCTGAGGCAGGAGAATGGCGTGAACCTGGGAGGCAGAGCTTGCAGTGAGCCGAGATCCCGCCACTGCACTCCAGCCTGGGGGACAGCCTGGGGGACAGAGCGAGACTCCGTCTCAAAAATAAAATAAAATAAAATAAAGTTTCAGCAACACCCCACGGATTAGCTGACCAATCCCAGGGAAAGGTGTTCTGTCTGAATCTGCCCTCAAGGAAACAGAAAGGCAAATCCACGATGTGGGACATTTTCCAAGACTACTGCCCTGGGCTTTAAAAATCAACAAAACAGGCCAGGCACGGTGGCTCATGCCTGTAATCCCAGCACTTTGGGAGGCCGAGGCAGGCGGATCACGAGGTCAGGAGATCGCGATCACGGTGAAACCCCGTCTCTACTAAAAATACAAAAAATTAGCTGGGCGCAGTGTCGGGCGCCTGTAGTCCCAGCTACTCGGGAGGCTGAGGCAGGAGAATGGCGTGAACCCAGGAGGCAGAGCTTGCAGTGAGCCGAGATAGCACCACTGCACTCCAGCCTGGGCAACAGAGCGAGACTCCGTCTCAAAGAAAAAACACACCTGTAATCCCAGCGCTTTGGGAGGCTGAGGTGGGAAGACAGTTTGATCCCAGGAGTTTGAGACCAGTCTGGGCAAGACCCTGTCTCTAAAAAAAATACAAAAATTATCCAGGTTTGGTGGCACCTGCCTCTGGTCCCAGCTGCTCAGGGGGCTGAAGTGGGAGGATTGCTTGAGCCCTGGAGGTTGAGGCTGCAGTGAGCCAAGATCACACCACTGCACTCCAACCTGGATGACAGAGACTCTGTGTACAAACAAAAACACAACAAAAACAAAACAGCCAAGGGAGCCTACTGTAGGTAAAGAGAAGGGACAGCAGGTTGTGTCACCCCGACATCCTGCTGTGCTATGTTCAAGTCTCACTTTTGAGACACACCCTGAGGTGCGACATCAGTAACCTACTGTGGAATCCCTCAGAAAAACACGAATCCCAATAGATGTGGGTGGAGACGGAGAGAGTTAGGAAATCCGGCAGAAATGTCCACACTGCAGAATCCAGGAAAAGGGAACATTGATGCTTGGGCAGTTTTGGGTTTTTTTTACATTTTTGTAGGTGCGAAAATTTGCAAAATGAAAACTCGAGGAGAGTGTGGTGAGCTGTGTGAGATGCTGCTGAGTGGGGCCTGATGGGGAAACTGAGGCTGGACATGGCGATCTGGTGGCATGGGGATAGAGCAGGGGAGGGGATACCCTGAAGGGAGAGAGGACATAGCCCAGCCATGTTTGCTCTAAGAGGAGCAAAGGACAGAAGGAGGCAGCAGATAGAAGTTTCTAGAGCAACAACAGCTGCCTTTTTTTTGGGAATAATCCGTGATAAAGAAATAAATCATCAGAGGCAGACAGGAGCATTGTAGGAACAGCACCCCGAGCCAGCGAGTAGATGAAGGAGCTGGCCTTAGCCAAAAAGGAGGGCAGAGGGACACGCTGCAGTGGCTCTGTCCCCTCAGAGAGACAAGACACCAGGTCACTGGCTGCAGCGGGAGTCAGAGGTGCAGAATGCTCACAGGGAAAGAGAAGACACCACCCGGGCAGCTGACGCCCCTCCTGGGAGGTCACTGGTCAGTGTGGGGGGGTCTGCAGATCCGCCCAGGAATGCCAAGGACCCAAGTAGGTAAGGAGGGATGTGAGGATCCTCAGCGGGAAGGGATATGACAGGGTCTTATAGGGACCCAGCATGGAGCTGGGGCAACTACTGGGTGAGTGGGTCAGGTGGTGCAGGGCTGAGGGTGGCATCTGGGAAGCGTTAGTTTGGAGTGACAGGGAGTGGGTGGCCGAGGTCTCTGTTCACCTGGCCCTCTCCCTTTCACCCATCCATCTCACCATGCCCGAGGGCTGCAATGCCCCCATGCATTCCTCATCTCAGCACTGAGCACTCAAGAACCACAGCATGTGCAAAGGACCTGAGGTAGGAGGGTGGCCACTAATTCCCCACACTGTCAGTTCTGTGGGGCAGAAGCCAAGACTGGGGGTCACCCACAAGTCCATCCGAGCACACAGTAGGCCCGCAATCAAATTCTGTGGCAGGAATGGATTCATAAAGCATATGTGAGGCTGTAGCCACCCTGGGGAGCCCACCTGATGCCTCTACGGCAGGCCCCACACCCACAGTGGGCCAGCCCCTGCCCCTTACCTCAGTCACATCCACAAACTTGGGGTCCCCAAGCAGGGTCCTCTTGGCGTAGGCAAACCGGAAAGCCTCTACGATGCGGTGGTACGTCAGGCCCTTCTGCTCGGGGGTCTCCACGCTCTCCCGGGAGAAGTTGTACCCTGGTTGATCAGAGCCAGGTGCATGTTGCTGAGCCCCAGAGGCTCTGAGGGGCTCAGAGGGTTAACACCTGCCTGAGCCACTTTGCCCACCTCAAGGAGCGTTTAATAATCAATAGCAGCAGCTGCTTCAGAAGGCTGTGGTGAGAGTGAAGTAAGGTGAGGGCTCCCGAGCCTGGACCTCACGTCACGCATCAGCTCTGGCCATTCAATGACCAAGTGGCAGGGTCACCCACTGGACTGGGGTACCCTCTGGACCGGCCCTGCAGCCCTGAGCTCCTGCACCTCTCTCCCTCCTGATGACTCCTGTTCCTCCTCCAACCCTTGAGCATTGCCCGCTTCAGCCCTGTTGCTCTGCACTGCCTCCTTCAGGACATGGTGAGCTGTGACGCAGGGACACACCTCAGGAGCTCAGTGATGGAAAGACGTGGCATGGGGGGCGAGCAGAGATGCAGGAGGGGTGGGGCGTGGGGAGAGAGAGGCAGTGTCATGGGTCCTACCACACGGCTGTGGTGCGACCACTCACCTTTGAGGATGTTGAGGATGAGGGCCAGCACGGGCCCGCTGAGCCGCGCACTGGGCATGTACAGCACCGCGTCTCCCAGGCTGATGTTCAGCGGGTGCTCGATCAGCTCAGCACAGTAGTTGTTCAGGTCCTCAGCTGTCACAATGCCCCCTGCAATGGGACAGCAGCTCGAATGGGCGCTGGGATGGGGCTGCACCACTGCGTGGAGGATGGAGCTGCACCAGTGGTGTTGGGGGCAGGCATGGCTGCACCATGGTGGTGGGGAAAAGCCTGTACCTACCAGGGAGGACAGAGTGCACTACTGGAGGGGTGGGACTGTGCCCTGGGAGGGGGCCACAGGCAACCTCACCTCCTTGGGAACCTCACCAGCTCCGGCACTCCTGTCTCCCTGACACTGCTCACCACCCGACAGCTGGGCTGGGGCCACCTGCCCTCTGCCTGCTTGGCTTACTGGCTTCCTGTCTGCCTTCTCTCATCTGTGGCCAGAGAGTGTTTTCTTTTTTCTTTTTTTTTTTAGAGATACGATCTTGCTCTGTTACCCAGGCTGGAGTGCAGTGGCTTAATCACAGCCTTGAACCCCTGGGCTCAAGTGATCCTCCAGCAGACCCTCCCCAGTAGCTGAGACTAAAGGCACAACTACACCCAGCAAATTTTAATTTTTTTGTTGTGTTTTGCTATATTTCTTTCTTTCTTTTTTTTTTTTTTTTGTGAGACGGAGTCTCGCTCTATCGCCCAGGCTGGAGTGCAGTGGCGCGATATCGGCTCACTGCAAGCTCCGCCTCCCAGGTTCACGCCATTCTCCTGCCTCAGCCTCCCAAGTAGCTGGGACTGCAGGCACCCGCCACCACATGTGGCTAATTTTTCTGTATTTTTAGTAGAGACAGGTTTCACTGTGTTAGCCAGGATGGTCTCGATCTCCTGACCCCGTGATCCACACGCCTCGGCCTCTCAAAGTGCTGAGATTACAGGCGTGAGGCACCATGCCCGGCCGGGTTTTGCTATATTTCTTTTCACTATGCTTTGAATTTTTTGTTTTCTTGTTCCCCACCCCCACCCCCACTATATTTATGTAGATTCTCAATATTTTTTTTGTAGACTCACTATGTTGCCCAGGCTTGTCTTGGACCTCCTGACCTCAACTTCTACCTCAGGCTCCCAAAGTGTTGGGATTACAGGCATGAGACACCAAGCTTGGCCTCAGAGGGCCTTTTCTCTCTTTTTTTTTTTTGAGATGGAGTCTCACTCTGTGGAGTGCAGTGGTGCAATCTCGGCTCACTGCAACCTCAGCCCCACAGGTTCTAGCGATTCTCCTGCCACAGCCTCCCAAGTAGCTGGGATTACAGGCACAACCCACCATGCCTGACTAATTTTGCATTTTTAGTAGAGACAGGGTTTCACCATGTTGGCCAGGCTGGTCTTGAACTCCTGACCTCAGGTGATCCACCCGCCTCGGCCTCCCAAAGTGCTGGGATTACAGACGTGAGCCACCGCACCTGGCTCAGAGGGCCTTTTCTAACTGGAGAATTCCTGCCGGTGTCCCTGCTGCTTGGCCTCTTCTCCTCACGATGAATGGATAGAGGGAGGGAGGGAGGCTCTTAATTCTCCTGGAGTCAGCTCCAGACAGGGTATTGGCATGCCAATTTCCAGCCTCAGTGGTAAAGGTCGACACGCTAATCACCCTCCTCCATGAAACAGTGACAAAAATTACCTGAAGAAAGCCACAGCCAAGCTCCAGGCCCCTGCCCCACAAATCCCCTTCCCCATGCCTCTCTCAAGGCGACCCTCATCCCTTGTAACCCTCTTGGTGAATCAAAGCGCCCTCTACTGGGCCTTAGCCCAGCTGTTCCTCTGCTAGGAATCCCTTCCTCTCTCTGCCTAACGAAGTTATCTGCAGCCCAGCCGCCACCTCCTCCAAGAAGTCCTCCTGGATCTTCAGGCTGTATTCTAGTGCTTCCCTAGCCCTGGCTCTTGCCTACACCTGCATTTACCCCAACAGGGACTTGCTCTCCTGGACTGTGTGGCCTCTCTTGGTTTTGATATAAGCAGGAGCTGTGGACCCACATGGCCAGTCACTGACCCTCCTCCACCAGGAACTTCCTGCAGGCTCAGGCAAGACAGGAGGACCCCATGGCTCTGGGCTACAGCTCAGGGTTTCCACTGCAGAGTTCCTCACCCAGGTCCTTGAGGTTACCCACTCACCAGCCGCCTGGATGTCCTTCACAATCTGGGCCATGAGGCTGCCGTTGTAGAAGGCCTGGGCACCCTCGATGGCCAGCATCTCGTAGGTGTCAGCCAGCCGCGGCAGGGTCAGTCTCTCCCCCTCCCGAAGCACCTTTCTATCCCGGCAGAACACCTCACTGGGGCAGAGGGGGCTCATGTGAGGCAGCAGGTGGGGTGGACTCAGCTAGACCACCCCCCACACCTGCCCACACAGGAGAACGGAGCAGAACAGGGGCAGCGCCTGTCACAGGTGGGTGGCCCTGTCACTCAGCGCTCGTCCTCCTAGTGTCCCTTCCGGGAGCCTCCTAGTGTCCCTTGCCACTCAGGACACGTGGCCAGCCACAGTGGCCACTGGGACCCCACGCTCAGAATGTGTCCCCACACGTGGTGGGAAGGGTCTGTATCTCCTCATCCCATTATCAGCACAGGGTCCTGAAGGCAGAGGGCCGCTCCACTGCTGCTACGGCCTGCAAGGTCCTTGGGCTGTGCCTGCCCTGCCTGTGTCAGGGGGCCGCACCCACAGACATACCACAAGACAGGCTGCTGCTCGATGACGGTCCGCTTGTTTTCCAGGACTGCCGCCAAGCCCTTGCCCACGGGGAAGCCCTGGCGGGCCAGCTGGATGCTGGGCTGGAAGAGGCGAGCCCAGGGCAGCCGCCCATGCCGCTGGTGTGCCAGCTCATAGCCTCGGATCTCCCCAGGCACCGCCACCGACAGCCCTCCTGGGGAGAGAGAGCCACAGTTAGTGACCCTGAGTGGGGGACATCGGGATCTCTCGCAGGCAGCATCCCAGGCACAGTCCCTGACTCGCTTTACAGATGGGGCAATGAGGCTTAGGAGGAAAGATTTTTTTTTCTTTTTTGAGTTGGGGTCTTGCCATCTTGCCCAGCCCAATCTCGAACTCCTGGATTCAAGCAATCCTCCCACCTCAGCCTCCTGAGTCGCTGAGATTACAGGTGTGAACAGCACACCTAGCAGAAGGGGATTTTTAATTTTTAAATTTATTTTTTAATTTTAATTGTTTTTTTTTAGGAGGGGATGTTTAATTTTTTTTTTTAGGAGGGGCTCAGCAGGTAGGAGTGTACATGGACCAGGGATGTCTGAGGAGGGCACAGCAGGGGAAGCAGTAGCATGCGGCTGGGTTTTGCTGTCCCAGGATGAGGTGTCTGTCTGTGCAGGTGCCTGCATGTCTAAAATCCTGTGCCAGGCCAGACCCCCTCCCATCTCGCTGACCACAAGGCCTTATCCTGTAAGACTCATGGGCTCCACCAGAATGTGCCAAAACAAGAGCAGATCCCACCTTGACCGAGGTCAAGCACAGGCCACCTTCAAGACACAGCCAGCCCCAAGAAAGGGCTCCCTGCCTCTTTTCTACTGCCCCAGAGAGGCAAGACTGAGCCTTAATCTCCGTCCTGTCCCCTCTCCCAGCCTCAGTTTCTGCATCCAACTATAAGGGTTTTTGTTTGTTTGTCTGTTTTGAGACCAGGGTCTCATTCTGTTGTCCCAGCTGGAGTGCAGTGGTGCAATCATGGCTCACTGCAGCCTTGGCTTCCCAGGCTCAAGCGATCCTCCCACCTCAGCCTCTGAAGTACCTAAGACTACAGACATACCCCACTGCACGTGGCTTTTTTTTTTTTTTTTTTCTGAGATGGAGTTTCACTCTTGTTGCCCAGGCTGGAGTGCAATGGCACAATCTTGGCTCACTCCAACCTCCACCTCCCGAGTTCAAGTAATTCTCCTGCCTCAGCCTCCCAAGTAGCTGGGATTACAGGCATGTACCACCACGCCTTGCTAATTTTTGTATTTTTAGTAGAGACGGGGTTTCACCAGGTTGGTCAGGCTGGTCTTGAACTCCTAACATCAGGTGATCCATCCTCCTCAGCCTCTCAGAGTTCTGGGATTACAGGCGTGAGCCACCACTCCCAGCCTAATTTTTTATTTTTATTTTTTGTAGAGACAGGGGTCTTGCTACGTTGCCAAGACTGGTCTCAAACTCTGGCCTCAAGCAATCCTCCCACCTCAGCCTCCCAACATGCTGGGATTACAGGTGCACTCAGCCTATAAGGGGTTTTGCCTTCCAGTTCTGACTTTTGAGGAGGTCATTGGAAACAGACCCCTGGGCCTGCTTCCCCCCGAGCCCCACTGCCCATATGGACACTACAGACACTGACCCTTTGCCCAGAAAGGTACAACTATGGCCTCTGCCCCCAGGGACTCTCCTGCTCTTGCGAGAGATGATGGGGCCATTTGCCTTGGCTTGGCGGCTGTGGCTCTAGAACTGCCTCTCCCACCCTGAAGCCTGGCACAAGTTTCCAAGAGCTGGTGGTTTCAATTCCTAGAAGCTGCACATATATCCCGGAAGGTCTGACACCCAGCATATGATTCCTTCCACCTTGTAGTTAGACAGAAGTTCTTTTTTGTTTTGTTTTTTTTTTCTTTGTTTGTTTTTGAGATGGAGTCTTGCTCTGTCTCCCAGACTGCAGTGCAGTGGCATGATCTCAGCTCACTATAACCTCCGCCTCCCAGGTTCAAGCGATTCTCCTGCCTCAGCCTCCCGAGTAGCTGGGATTACAGGCACAGGCCAGCACGCCAGGCTAATTTTTGTATTTTTAGTACAGATGGGGTTTTGCCATGTTGGCCAGGCTGTTTTCAGACTCCTGACCTCAGGTCATCCACCCACCTCAGCCTTCCAAGGTGCTGGGATGACAGGCGTGAGCCACCGTGCCCAGCCAAGACAGGAGAAGTTCTAATCTTTGATAGCAGACCAGGGTGACGATGCTTAGCAACAGTATTTTGTATATTTCAAAGTAACGAAGAGAGCACTATGGTGCTAACACCCAGAAATGAAAAATATTCAAGGTGACGGAGACTCCAAATACCCTGCCTTGATCATTATACACTCTATGCATGGAACAAGCACTCACATGTACCCATAAATATAGAAAATATCATGTATCAATATCAGAAAAAAATCTCCTCCTGACCTCAGCCCAATCAGGCTCTCATGCCACCACACTTGCCAAGTTCTCTGGTGACCCCCACACTGCCAGACCCAGTGCCCCCTCTCAGCTTTACTGGGCTCATCACTCTCCCTGAGAGCCGCCCCTGCATCCCAGCACCTGGCTCCACCCGAGTCTCCCCCGCCTGCCATCCTAGCTCCTACTCTCCCCTCTGTCTTTGCTCTCTCTCCTGGTGGTCTGCTTGACATCTGAGCTTCAGCCTCCATTTATGCACTGACAACTCTCAAATTGACCTGCTGGCCTGGACTGCTCCTCCGATCACCAGACCTGAGGATCTACCTGCCTGCTTGAAGAAAGCATCTCAAACTTCAACGTGCCCAAAACCGAGCTCCTGAGTGTCTGCTCAACCTGCTTCCTGAGAACCCTGCCTGTCTCCATTAGGGTCACCCCATCCTTCCAGGTACAGACAAAAGATCAGGGGTCCCCGGGGACTCCCTACACAAGCGTCACACCCAACCCATCCTCAAATCCACAGGCTCCACTTCCAAGTGTGTCTGTGCAGCGTCAGCCACTTCCCAGCACCCTCTCCACGAATTACTGCAGTGACCTCCGGACAGGTCCCCACATGCTCCCTGCCCCTTACACAGCAATCCAAGGGGTCCATAGACCAGATCCATCCCCTTCCAGTCACACACTCCACGAGCCCCCACTTCCCTCAGACAGGAAGCAGAGGCTTCACCATAACCTAAGAGATCCCGCACAACCTGGGCCATTCCCCTTGGATCACTTGCTGCAGCCTCCCCAGCTCCCCACAGGGCTCTGTCCCTGCCATCACACCTGGATAGCAGACCAGGAGATAACTCCCCTGACCCCATCTCTGCCTCTGGGTCTTTGCTCAGATGTCCCCTTCCCTGACTAGGTCACCCTCCATAGAGTCCCAGATTTTGAGGCCCTCCAGGTCTGTTTTTCTACAGCCCGTAACACACCCGCACTTGCCTAGTTTCTCCTCCCACCTGGAGTGTCACAGATTTCATCTGCCGTCTTTGTTTTTCACCCCAGCTTCAGGAACAACAGCTGATTCTTTAAGACAATGCTCAATACATTCTAGTCAAATAAATGGTTTTAAGCGTCCACAAGGTGCCAAGCCTATGATTCCCGCATTCTCTTACCCTCAGCAACTTCATGTCTACAGATGCTGAGTTTCTCAGTGAGTATTAAAAACAAATGAAAGATTGGTCGGGCACAGTGGCTCACGCCTGTAATTCCAGCACTTTGGGAGGCTGAGGCAGGGGGATCACGAGGTCAGGAGATCGAGGGACCAGCCTGGGCAACACAGTGAAAACCCGTCTCTACTAAAAAATACAAAAAATTAGCCGGGTGTGGTGGCGGGCGCCTGTAGTCCCAGCTACTCGGGAGGCTGAGGCAGGAGAATGGCGTGAACTCAGGAGGCGGAACTTGCAGTGAGCTGAGATCGCACCACTGCACTCCAACCTGGGCGACAGAGTGAGACTCCGTCTCAAAAAAAAAAAAAGAAAAAAAAAATCAAAGATTGAGTATGTTGCAGAAGACTCCAAAGGGCACCACCCAGGACCCCCACCTGAAGTCTAAGACCTGCTATGGTGAGTGTGTCCTGCCCCTCCATCCTCCAACTTTTTTTTTTTTTTTTTTTTTTTGAGACGGAGCTTCGTTCTTGTTGCCCAGGCTGGAGTGCAGTGGCATGATCTCGGCTCACAGCAATCTCTACCTCGTGGGTTCAAGCGATTCTCCTGCCTTAGCCTCCTGAGTAGCTGGGATATTACAGGCCTGTGCCACCACGCCCGACTAATTATTGTACTTTTAGTAGAGAAAGGGTTTCACTATGTTGGCCAGGCTGGTCTTGGACTCCTGACCTAGGTGATCCATCTGCCTCAGCCTCCCAAAGTGCTGGGATTACAGGCGTGAGCCTGTGAAAAAAAGGCCCAGCCTTTTTTTTTTTTTTTTTTTGACAGGGTCTCACTTTGTTGCCCAAGCTAGAGTGTAGTGGTATAATCATGGCTGACTGCAGCCTCAACCTCCTGGGCTCAAGTGATCCTCCCACCTTAGCCTCCCGAGTAACTGGGACCATAAGCACACACCGCCATACCTAGCTAATTTTTTTTTCCATTTTTTGTAGAGATGGAGTCTTGCTATGTTGTCCAGGCAGGTCTCCTGGGCTCATGCGCTCCTCCTGACTTGGCCTCCTAAAGTGCTAGGATTAGAGGTGTGAGTTGTTGAGACCCTCCCATCCTCCAACTTTTATCTCACACTCTATTGTGCCTCCTTTGGGGACAGACAGTGGCTTCCTGGATGGACAGTGGCTTCCCCTCAGGTACCTGGGGAATTTGGGGGCCTCCTCCCCACTTAAGACCAGATTAGAAAAGAGAGACTCCACCTCACATTCTAGAGCGCCATCCCCACAAATGAACAAATGAGTGAATGGGATGCCTGTTGAAAAGGCAGGATATAGACAGCCTGGGTTCAATTTTAGCTTCACCACCTCCCAGCTGTGTGACCTCAGCTGATTTGCATGACCTGTCTGAGCCTCAGCATCCCCACCCTGTAAAATGGGAATCCACACAGCATCCCCTTGCCCAAAGGAGCAGGGAGGGTTGTGAGAGGCTCGTGGGTGAAAAGCACAGAGCAGAGCATGGGCCCCAGTGAGCCCTGATCCATGAGGTCTGCTAGCATAATAATTATTCTTTCCATGTGCTGCACAGAGTGGCCCCGGAGGCCTTAGCAGAAATAACAGAAGCTCCCGGCCCTTTACCATGGTGATGATGGTCCTGACCACTCACTGTGGGAGGGTGCTATGGGGACAGGAAGGGATGGGGGGTGCTAGAACTGCCCCTGAACCCTGACGGGAGCAGGCTCCTGTGGGCAAGGCCCCTTCCCGGTGGCTCAGCCAGCTCTGCACCCACGCCCCAAGTCTGCCGCATGGCTTACCCTTCTGGGACTGCTCCGAGCTGTTGAACATGCTGGCAAAGGCCAGCCTGGGGGCCACCTCGCGGGCATTGATGACCTCAGCTTTTCCTAGAAGAAGCAGGTAGGCAGGCCCACCCACCAAAACCCTTTATGCCACGTGAGCCTGGGGGCCACCCAGCTGTGCCTCGGCCCAACCCACACCCCCTGCCCCTCTCCCTCTCCGCTTCCGAGGCACTCATGAGTGGTGCTGTTGTAGATGGTGAGGAAGAGGCCAACCCCGATGCCCATGCTGTGGGCATTCATGAGCCCCACACACAACAGGGCTGCAATGGCTGCATCCACTGCAGAGCCACCGTCCCGCAGTGTGTCCCTGCCATGTGGCACATAAAGGCATGAGAACCTGCAGGCTTCCACCCTGGCCCCGCATACACACCCTGCTGCCCACCTGCCCAAAGGAGGATGGAAGAGAAGTCCATTCGAGTTTTGGGGTTTTTGTTTTTAGTTTCTTTCTCTTTTTTTTGAGATGGAGTCTTGCTCTATTGCCAGGCTGGAGTGCAGTGGCACGATCTCAGCTCACTGCAACCTCTGCCTCCCGGGTTCAAGCCATTCTCCTGCCTCAGCCTCCTGAGTAGCTGGGACTACAGGTGCATGCCACCACGCCCAGCTAATTTTTGTATTTTTAGTAGAGACGGGGTTTCACCATGTTGGCCAGGATGGTCTCTATCTCTTGACTTCATGATCCACCTGCCTTGGCCTCTTTTTTTTTTTTTTTTTTTTTTTGGAGACAAAGTCTCTCTTTGTTGCTCAGGCTGGAGTGCAGTGGTGTGATCTTGGATCACTGCAGCCTCAGTCTCCTGGGCTCAATTGACCCTCCCATCTCAGCCTCCCAAGTAGCTGGGACTATGGGCACATGCCACCATGCCCAGCCAATTTTGTTTGTTTGTGTATTTTGTAGAGATGGGGTTTCATCATGTTGCCCAGGCTGGTCAAGAACTCCTGTGCTCAAGTAATCCACCCACCTTGGCCTCCCAAAGTGCTGGTATTACAGGCATGAGCCACTGTGCCCAGCCTTTGTTTTATGAGACAGGGTCTCACTTTGTCACCCAGGATGAAGTGCAGTGGCACAGTCTTGGCTCAATGCAGCTTTGACCTCCTGGGCTCAAGCAATCCTCCCACTTCAGTCTCCTGAGTAGCTGGGACTACAGGTAAGAACCACCACACCGGGCAATTTTTTGTCTTTTTCGTAGAGATAGGGTCTTTCTATGTTGCCCAGGCTGGTCTCAAACTCATGGTCTAAAGCAATCCTATCGCCTCAACCTCCCAAAGTGCTGGGATTACAGTTTCTTCTTTTTCTTTTCTTTTTTCTTTTTTTTTTTTTCTGAGACAGAGTTTCACTCAGTTGCCCAGGCTGGAGTGCAGTGGCATGATCTTAGCTCACTGCAACCTCTGCCTCCTGGGTTCAAGCGATTCTCCTGCCTCAGCCTCCTGAGTAGCTGGGATTACAGGCGCACACCACCATGCCCGGCTAACTTTTTATATTTTTAGTAGGGACAGAGTGCACCATGTTGGCCAGGCTGGTCTCGAACTCCTGACCTCAGTGGTCTGCCCGCCTCAACCCCCCAAAGTGCTGGGATTACAGGTGTGGACCACCTTGCCCAGACAGTTTCCTCTTTATTAAGCAAACAAATGTACATGACTTTTATAATTGGGACAAAAAGGGAAATTGCTATACTTTATTAATAACATTTTTTTTTTCCCTGCTAGAGATGGTGGCTTACACCTGTAATCTCAGCACTTTGGGAGGCCAAGGTGGAGGATCACTTGAGGCCAGGAGTTCAAGACCAGCCTGGGCAATAGAGTGAGACCATCTCTACAAAACAGTCTTTTTTAATTAGTCAGGTATGATGCACGCCTGTAGTCCTAGCTACTCAGGGGGCTGAGGTGAGAGGATCGCTTAAGCCCAAGAGTTCAAGGCTGCAGTGAGCTATGATCATGCCACTGCACTCCAGCCTGGGTGACAGAACAAGACCCTGTCTCAAAATATGAAAAACATAATATTTTTTCTGTTTAAGTCTTTAGGAGGGAACTTATCTTTATATATAACATGAGATAAGAGTCTAAAATAGAATAACACAGTAGAAGCCAGGCACCATGGCTCACACCTGTAATCCCAGCACTTTAGGAAGCTGAGGCGGGAGGATCACTTAAACCCAAGAGTTTGAGGCTGCAGTGGGCTATGATCGCTCCCCTATACTCCAGCCTGGGTGACAGAGTAAGACTCCACCTTAAAAAAAGAATAAGCCCTTCATGTCCCTGTTTGGGCAACAGCGTTCCTTGGGGGGAGGGGGGAGGGGGGAGGGATGGCATTGGGAGATATACCTAATGCTAAATGACGAGTTGGTGGGTGCAGCACACCAACATGGCACATGTGTACATATGTAACAAACCTGCACATTGTGCACATGTACCCTAAAACTTAAAGTATAATAATAAAATAAAATAAAAAAAAGAAAGAAAGAAATTGTCTCCTAACCAAAAAAAAAAAAAGAAAAGAAAAGAAAAGAATAAGCCGGGCGTGGTGGCTCATACCTGTAATCCCAACACTTTGGGAGGCCCAGGTGGGTGGATTACCTGAGGTCAGGAGTTCGAGACCAGCCTGACCAACATGGTGAAACCCCATCTCTACTAAAAACACCATAATTAGGCCAGGCGCAGTGGCTCACACCTGTAATCCCAGCACTTTGAGAGGCAGAGGTGGGAGGATCACAAGGTCAGGAGTTCAAGACCAGCCTGGCCAACATAGCAAAACCCTGTCTCTACTAAAAATACAAAAATTAGCTGGGCATGGTGGCACATGCCTGTAGTCTCAGCTACTGTGGAGGCTGAGGCAGGAGAATCACTTGAACCTGGGAGGTGGAGGCTGCAGTAAGCCAAGATTGCACCACTGCCCTCCAGCCTGGGTAACAGAGCGATACTCTGTCTCAGAAAACACACACACACACACACACACACACACATATACACACACACAAATTTGTTGGGCGTGGTGGCGCACTCCTATAATCCCAGCTACTTGGGAGGCTTAGGCATGAGAATCGCTTTAACTTGGGAGGCGGAGGTTGCAGTTAACTGAGATTGCACCACTGCACTCCAGCCTGGCAACAGAGCAAAACTCCATCTCTAAATAGATATAGATAGATAGATAGATAGATAGATAGATAGATAGATAGATAGATAATAGATAGATAGATAGATAGATAGATAGATAGATAGATAGATAGGAAGAAATAAGTAAAAATAACAACCAAACAACAAAACAGTGGAGTTTATCCAAAGAAACAGAGACTCTTAGAACTGAGAAAAGGGGCCCTGTTTGGCTCTAGAGACCCACACCCTGCTCTCGGAGTCACCGTCCCCTTCCCAAAGGCTACTGAGAGAGTCCAAGCGAAGCTTACATGTGGGGAAACTGAGTCTCAGAGGGGTGAAGGTATTGCTCAGGTCCACTTGCCCAGTTTTCAGGGCCCATGTCCCATGCCCTGCCCCGCTCACCTCCCAATCTCCAAGCACTGCTTGGCATCCGCGGCCACGGCAGCCCTGGTGTACACATGGTTGTCAGGTTCCTTGGAGGCCGAGGGCAGCCAGAGACAGAGGCCGACAATGACCAGCACCAGGACCACGGCCAGCAGGCCCAGCACCACTAACTTCTTCTTCATGGCTCTGCTGCACCCACGGGGTAAGGAGCAGGGTCAGGCCCAGCCTCAGACATGCCCTGGCCCCTCCCCAACAGGGCACAGTCTAAAGTCAGGCCTCAGAAACACAAGGCCTGTGTCTCCTTCCCGCTTCCCAGAATACGTGCAGGCTGTCCGGCCCCCAGACCTTTGCGCAGGCCATGCCCTCTGCCAGAAGCTCTGGGCCTCATCTCTGCCCTCCCAAATCCTCCCTGCTTATCTTCAGAGCCCATCCTGGTAAGAACCCCATCTCCAGCAGCGGCCCTTCCTGGGAGCCCCCAGATTTCCACACCCCTCTTTCTGCAGGGCCTGGCCTACCTCCTCACAGTGGCTGAGCCTCCACTGCTTAGGGAGAAGCTCCAGCAGGGATGGGCCTGGCCTGGTTTCTCCTGTGTCCCCCACCCCAGCCTAGAGCCTGGCACTGTCCAGGAGTCCTCTGAAGACCCTCCACCCCACCTGGAGCATGGGGTTTAGCTTCCATAGTGCCCACAATCAGAGCGCCCCACAGATTCACTGCCACGGGGCCAGGACTTACCGTCCAGCAGCAGACGGGGGCCCCAAGCCTTGCCTGGGGTGTTGGCCACGAAAGACAGGAGGATTTGGTGGAAACAGCTGAGGAAATAACCGGGGTCTCCCTCACACTCTGCTGAAGCCTGTAGCCACAGAATCTTCTTCAGAGACTCTCTGATCAGGCAGCCTTCTCGTTCTCCTGAAGGTCAAGGGAGGTTACCTGAAGCACGCACAGCCCAGACCTTTCTGGGGGACTCCGTGTTACCTCCCTCTGCCTCTAGCTGGTTTCTCTGTCTCCAGTTGAACTCTGGAGGCAAAGAGGCTGTCAGTAACACATTTGTTTCCATGAATTCTCTCAGCATGTCTCCCAGGCACAGGGTTTTGCACGGAGCAGGGCAGGTAGGGGACAGGGCATTCCTGCACAAGCCCAGGATGTGCATGCGGTAAGCATGGCAAAGGGGGCTCAGGGGGCACCGCCAGCCTGCCCTGCTCTGACGCTGGACTTGCCACTCACCTGCTGTGGGGCCTCAGGCAAATCACTGAACTGTCCAGCCTGGATGACGGCAGCACCTCACTTGCCTTGCTGCTGGGAGTGTTGTGAATAGAGTAGGTTAGACTGTGGGCAGGGCTTGGTGAATGGTAGCTGTGATTATCATCATGGCTGCACTGGGGACACCCCCAGGAGGCCTGAGTGGCACAGGTCTCTTGCTCACTGTATGTCCCCTGTGGACTCCCTTCCAGGCTGTGCAGTGAGTGGCAGCAGTGACCCTTGGGAAGTCTCATGGCTACGGCAGCAGGTGACAGGTGTGACAACAGGGAAGAGGGATGTGGTGACAGAGGTTGGGGTTCCCCTCTCCCACAGTCAGTTTCCCACAAAGGGCGGTGTCTGCCAGCAAGCCCCTCCAATGAGCCCCAAGCTTGGTTTCCCTCCACTCCACGCTGTCCCAGTGCAGAGCGTCTGACCTCAGAGGCAGACACACTGTCCCAGAGGTGGTCTATGAATGGAGTCCCCGTGCCCTCCCCACACACAGGGAACATCCAAATGCCATCATGGAAGGGTGGCCACCTCCCCAGGCTTGGTGGGCCTGGGGCCGATAGTGTGATACATTTGACCCCCTCCCAGCCCTGGATGCAGACACCAAGAGCAGAGAGACCTGGCAGTAGTCATGCAGCAGCGCACCACCCCACATCCTCAGCACAATCCAAAGCAGCCCCTCATCCCCACCGTGACCACCACAGCCTGAATCCAGGCGCCACCTGTTTCTGACCTGAACTCCCTCACAGCCCCCGCCTGCACTCCCTCCCTCCAACATCACCTGCCCTTCAGTCTTCCAGAAAGCAGCTAGAGGGCTCTGTCTGTCCAACTGCAGAACAGGCCCTGCCTCCTCCCTGCCCCGTTGGACAGCTCACACCCTTCACCAGGCCTGACAGCGCTCTTGCCACTCCAACACCCTGGGTCCCAGCTGGGAGTCCGGGTCAGGGTTAAGGGTTCCTGATAGAGACACCGATTCCTGGAGGTCCAAAGAGCCTCAGGAGCTGGGCCAGCAATATGCAGCATCTATTATGGACACAGAACATTCCCATCACATGGCCGGGTGCAGTGGCTCACGCCTATAATCCCAGCACTTTGGAAGGCAGAGGCAGGTGGATCACCTGAGGTGAAGAGTTCGAGACCAGTCTGGCCAACATGGTGAAACCCCCATCTCCACTAAAAATACAAAAAATTAGCCAGGCATGGTGGCAGGTGCCTGTAATCCCAGCTACTCAGGAGCTGAGGCAGGAGAATTGCTTGAACCCGGGAGGTGGAGGTTGCAGTGAGGCAAGATTGCACCACTGCACTCCAGCCTGGGCCACAAGAGTGAAACTCCGTCACACACACACACACACACACACAAGAAAAAAAAGGTCTCCTGCTGGGACACAGACTAGTTAGAGAAAGGAAAAATAAACAAATGATAGTATGTGTATTAATAAAAGAACTAGCAACACCCACTGCTTAGTTGTGATAATAAAAACTGGACATTAATATAGGCAGAAAAACAGAACAGCCTTGATATGGTTAACCCTTTGACACTGGCAAACACTGTGACCAGTGCTGCCCACACTGGAAGCTCCTGCATCCCTCTTCCTCATGTTTCCTTCAGCATTAAGGAGCAACAAGGGAGACAGCCAGTTCATAGTTCCTTACGCATGGAGCCAAAGGACCTTCAATGTACAAGGTCTGAGCAAGGACCCGCAGCCACATGTGCTTCCTGCTTCAGCAGTGCCCCGTGGGTCTCAGAGCTACCCAAAGGCCTATCCTTCCGAGAGGTTTCTCCTCTCTCCCAACTGATGTCATACGTCTCATCTTCCTTGTCATTCAGATCATCAACCACAAACGTCCTTGCCTTATATTTTCATATCCCTTTTCACCAGTTACAGGGTTAGTTAACTTACGAAATTCTTAACATCTGCATTAGATCTTTTTAAAGTTTCACCCTCAACCACCTATTATTTAGAAGTGAACACAGAAATTTAGTTTCCTTGTGCTATCTGTTGACCCCTAAAATATGCTGGGAGTTTTGGGATTTTTTTTAAAGTCAAATGCATGGCATAAAGCAAAATTACACTACTAAAGAACTGAGTCAGGCCAGACGCTGGCAACGTGAAGACAGCTTCTCCTTACCCACTAGGTTCATCTTTGCACTGTTAACTCCCAAAGTATTGCTTCTCGGTGCTGGGTGTGTGGCATTCATATTCCCCGGCATCCCGGGCCTGAAGATCTGTGATGTGCAATAGGGTTGGGTTCCCCTGGACTCTTTCTATGAAGATCTTCCCTCCGCGGACGCGCTGGGTGTAGATGGCATAGGGGAAGGAAGAGTCCATGGTGCTGACGATCTGCACCTCTCGCTCTGGCGACGAAGGCAGGTAAATGGACCACTGGAAATTCTGTTCAGAAGGTCCCTGGTAGCCACTCACATTGCACCAGATAGTGATGTGGGAGCCCTCCGTGCGGTACAAGGGTCCTTCCTGAACGGTGACCTGCCGCTGTGCTGACACCACACCTACGAGGGAGAGAAACACACGCAACATGCTCACTTACTTCTCAGACCAAAATGCAAAGTAGGCAGCAATCTCCAAAGGGTTTGTTATTTGTGTGACATGATAATAATATAAACAGCTTACTGGCCCTTTCAAAGGCACTCTGTGATTTATAAATATTAATTAAAACACTCTGTGGTAAAGCACTGTCCCTAATTTGCATATATATGGGAATTTGATCATGCCAAGATGTGCTTTTGTTACTTATTCAACAGCTGACCCTTGGGAATTTCATTTAGCCCCTCTGTTTGTCATGTATACGGCAGTTTTATATCTATTTATTAATGCTGTGTATAAAGTTTTTAATAAAATAAGCAGGAAAAGTTGAATCCTTGGCACAAATTCAGATGAAAACAAATAAAAGCAACCATCTAGGAATCTGGCTGAAATTAAATGCTTCTTCCTTGGTCCGAGTGCTGGTGGGAGGGAGTCCTGGGAGCACCTTTTTACTGGTGCTGCACCCTTCATTTTCCCATGTAGCTGCTCCCCAACACCACCCCAAGGAGCATTCCTTAGTTTCTCTTCCCTCCATAAATGGAGGCAGGGCTGAGCTCCTGCAGGCTGCTATCGTTTTAAGCTGAGCACACCCAAATACAAATGTGAAGGGCTGAAACAGATCCCTGATGCCCAGATTCCCACAAACTGACAAAGGGGGGAACTAACAGTGCCCAGCTAAACCTGTGACAAGGACAGTCAGGCTACCCTTGAGTTTCCCACTCAAGACTCCCCCGCTGACCTCCTGCCTTCTGGCTCAGATACTGTTCTCCACGGTCACTTCTGCCTGCCTTCTCCATGTTCTTCTTAAAGTGGCATGGTGAGTTTAATTTCTCATTTCGTGCCAACTCAACATTGATTGTGCCTGAGCCACTCAGAAGGTGGGAGGGGGCACACCCCTGCCTCTTCATTTCGGCAGTGGTCACGTACTGCAGGTTGTGAAAAGCGCAGGTGAGTTATAGGTGCAGCTTTGCCACCAATTAGAGCTGGTTGTGTCATCTCAGACAACTTGCTTTTCTTCTCCAGACCTTGATCTTCTCATCTATCACATGATTTCTAAGAACGCTTTAGAGAGCACTAGCATGGGTTCCGATGCTGGCTTTGTCACTTATTAACTGTGATCTTGGATAAGCTGCTTAACCTCTCTAAGCCTCAGTTTTCTCATCGGTAAGATGGGGATAATAATGCCTGTCTCATAGGGTTATTGAGAAGATTTAGTAACATCTGTAAAGACCCTAGCACAGAGCCTAGCCCACAATCAGTCCTCAATAAAGAGCTGCTGGCTAAGACATATTTCTGCTGGAACATTCTGTGGCTCTGGATCCATAGAGGACAGGATTTGGCCAATGACTGCTTAAGGACATTTCAACGGCCCCTTGACAATGACACCATCACTGGGCTGCCCACCTCATCCCACAGCTGCAGCCCATTCTTGTGATAGCTTCCCTTTTCCCCCACAAATGGGAATGGCGGCTGCCCTGGCTATGCCTATCTGAAGTGGATCCAGCTGGTGAACAGCCGGGACAGCTCAAATACTAGTGGAGTGCAGCTCTCTGCCCAGCCCAGCAGGTGACTGTGCCTCAGTGTAAGCTAATCTAATCTGCAAGATGACAGACCTCAAAACGGCCCATACAATGAAATGCCCATGGCTTGCAAAACTTTAATTCATGCAGAACCTTTCCTCACAAACAAAATCTTACACAGCACCCCATCTTGGCTTCAGCAGAACCAGGAAAAATAAAAAATTGGCAGGGGAAGGAAATAAACAGAACAAGTGGTATCTGAATTTATTTGATATATTCTGGTTGATGGCATTAATTATGACATTTAAAGTCACCATGAGGACAACTCATTAGTAACATCAGTATGTTAAAATATGGTGCATAACATTTTTAATATATGTACAGTCATGCACTGAATAACATTTCAGTCAATGAGGAAACACATGTGCAACAGTGATCCTGTAAGATTATAATGGAGCATATATAGAGATCTAATATATGGCACTTAATGTTGGCATGGCAGATCAAGTAGGGGAAATGACTGATATTTAGTAACAGTGCTGGGACATTTGATTTTCCATAATAAAATATATAAATGAAAATATATATCCCATCTAGGTTTGTTGAAATACACCCTATGATGTTCACACAAGAATGAAATTGCCTAATGATGCATTTCTTAAAACATGTCCCCATCATTAAGTGACCCATGACTGTATACACACACACATATGGTGACACTTAAATCAAATGATTGCAGTATTCCTGAAACACAGAACATTTTGCAAACAATTTACCTACATTCATAACATTAGGCATCCTTAGAATTGCAGTGTTCTATGACAGAGCAACTACAACCAACCCCCATCCATCTCCTGCAAAGAAGGCTGGAGGCAGGTCAGGGTACACCAGCATCTTCAAGAACTGCTTCTCAATCCTGGACCTACACTGGAATCACCTGGGGAGCTTTAAAAAAAATAACAGTGCCTGGACCCCACCTGACATAACTGGTCTTAGGATTAATTAGGGTTTTTTTTGAAGCTCCACAGATGATTCAAATCAGGTGTAGCAAAGCACTGTTACTTTAAAGTGTCTCTACCTACGTGGTGCCAGCCAAGTGCTCAAATGAAATATCTTAAGGCTCTCACTGGCTTTAAGTTTCTCTCTTTGGTAGAGACCCAATCACTGGTTCAAGGAAGTTTCATTCTCCTCCAGTCTTCCCCAGTGCAAAAGAAAACAGCTGAGACCCATCAGATACTGGCTTTTGTGATGCAATAATGAGTTTAACCAGAATGCATCCGATTTACAGACCTTACAAAGGCACTAGGCCAGCGGATCATGCACGTCCTCCCCACCCAAAGGTAAACAGTGTTAAGTGGCCTGAATGAGCCAGGACAGCAGGGTCAAATCAACTTGTCTAGGCTGGAAGCAGGTTATAAACAATCTGGACAAATAAATAACTACTGGATTGCACTTTAACCACACACATTCAGCTGCACCTGTTTATTAAATACCTCCTTATTTTCCCTCTGCCCCACAAAGGGCTTCTGACCCCTGAAAATAATGCTTCTCAACATAAAAAGAATTGTTTTCTTCTTGGCAGTTTAATTCCCCTTCCACACATCCCACCCCACCATTTCCCTATAATGGTAATACCCCGCTGTGCAGACCTCTGCTGCCTCCAAAGAGACACAGGCGCCCAACCCTGACCAGGGCATCCTCTGACCCACAGCCCCTCTATCTCCCCTCTCAGCCTACAATAGAAAGTTCCTCCCAGGCAAGGATCATTTTTTTTAAATAACTTTTTTAACTTTAGACATTCTGTACTCTTTGGATTACTCTGCAATAAGCAAATATGACTTCTGTAACATAAAAAGAAAGATCAAAATGTTATATATAACTGCATGAAAAGAACTAGAAAGAAAATACTAGGTGACAGGATGGCAAGTGATTTTTATTTTTTTCTTAATATTTTACTCCTTCCCCCAGTCCTCTGCAATGAGTATGTACCAGTTTTATAACTAGAAAAAAATTTTAGCCAAAAAGAAAAATAATGCATGTTTGCTATATAAAATTCACTACTGTAGTATTTATATATATATATATATATATATATATATATATACACATACATATTTGGTCTTTGTCCCCAGTTCCTGGCACTGAGCTCCTAAACCCCTTGGAACTTCCTAAGCAATGGGAGTACCTTTTGTTATTTATAAGAAGCCCCTTTTGGCCATCCCAGAGTTTATGCTAACGAGGTGACTGAAGGTGAGCACGGAGGCAGTTTCAAGGAAGGAGCTGGCCACGCTTAGAATTGTGGAGTTTTCAGCCCCGCCCTTAGACCTCCAAGGACAAGAGGGGGACCGCAGATTGATCCAATCAGCATTGGTCAGTGATTTGATCAGTCATACCCACGTAATGAAATCCCATATGAAAACCCTAAATAATGGAGTTAGGAGAGCTTCTGGGTGCTGGAAGCGGCGTGCACCAGGAGAGGGCATGGGCAGTGAGCACTACTCCCCTCTCAGACCTTGCCCTATGCACTAAATAGGACTGACCTATGTGACCAATAGGAAATGCACAAATGGTGGAATGTGACTTCCAGGGCTAGGTCATAAAAAGACAAGCACGATGTTATGAGGACATCAAAGCAGCCATATGGGGAGGACCCCATGAGGCCTCCTGCCAGCAGCTAGCACTAACTTGGCTAGCATGTGACTGGAAGTAGATTCTCCAGCCTCAGTCAACTCAGTCAAGCCTTCAGATAATGTCAACCCCAGGCATCTTTTTGTTGTTGTTGAGACAGGGTCTCACTCTGTCACCCAGGCTGGAGTGCAGTGGTGCAATCATAGCTCACTGAAGCCTTGACCTCTGAGGCTCAAGTGACCCTCCCACATCAGCCTCCTGAGTATCTGGGACCACCAGCACACACCACCATGCCTGGATAACTTTTTTATTTCTTATAGAGATGGGATGATATGGTTGGGGTCTGTGTACCCACCTAAATCTCACGTTCAATTATAATCCCCAATGTTAGAGGTGGGGCCTGGTGGGAGGTGACTGGATCACAGGAATGGATCTTTCATGAATGATTTAGCATCACCCTTTTGGTGCTGTGCTCGTTAGAGTTCTCCCAGTATCTAATTGTTTAAAAGTGTGTGGCACCTCCCCCCTCTCTCTCTTGCTCCTGCTTTGGCCATGTAAGGCGTGCCTGCTTCCCCTTCACCTTCCACCATGATTGAAAGTTTCCTGTGCTTGCCCCAGAAGCTGAGCAGATGCCAGCATTAAGCTCCCTGAACAGCCTGTGGAACTGCGAGACAATTAAACCTCTTTTCTTTATAAATTCTCCAGTCTCATGTATTTATAGCAATGTGAGAACTGACTAATACATAGGGTCTCACTGTGTTGCCCAGGCTGGTCTCAAACTCCTGGGCTCAAGTAATCCTCCTGGCTTTGCTTCCCAGAGTGTAGAGATTACAGGCATGAGCCACTGAACCTGCCCCTTTCCCCCCAACAACATCTTGATTGCAACCTCCTAAGAGACTCCGAGTCAGAAGTATCCAGTTAAGATGTTACTGACTTTCTGAACCACAGAAACTGTGAGATAATAAACATCTATTGTTCCTTTAAGCCTTAAGTTTGGGGCTTTTTTTTTTACACCAATATATAACTAATGTAGACACCTGCAGTCCCTAAGATTGAATGCAAAATTGTGTTACATACACATGAGTGTGTTCTTCTGGGAAAAGAGTCCATAAACTTCAAAAGATTCTCAAAGGAATCCAAGACCCAAAAAGATTAAGAAACATTGCATCAGACAATAAATTGTCAATGAGCAAGGTCCTGTCCTTTTAGATTGGGTTTTGAAATCACCCATCCCACAAATATATGATACCATTTAACTAGTTTTTCAAGATATTCCTTGTTCAAAGATGCTCCCACTTTTTCTTTGTGCTCAAGTCCTAGATAAACTTGGCTAGGGGCAGGAGGTATGATTCAGGAGTTAGTGAGCCGGGAGGGCTCACTGTGCCTGGGAAAGCCAGCTTCTCATGAATTTTTGGAATATGCCTTGGCTCAGAAACCTACCTCTCTAGGCACAGGATCCAACTTATATGTTCAAGATGTGTGACTGAGCATGTGAAAGTGTCAGAGGGATCGACCTCACCATTTTACATCTACTTTTCCAGTTGTGGCCCCTACAATCATCAAGGCTCATTCGGCACCATGCTCCTCCAAATTCTGCATGCGACTCAGCCACACTAATATCTTTCTTCATCTATAAGATGAAAGTAATACAATGCACCATGTAGCAAACTCACAGGAGACCCTAGAGATCAAATAACACTGTGAAAGCCACCAAATGAATATTTTAAAATTTTATCTCATTTCTGCCAAGGTGAGATATCAATCTAAAAACAGGATAAATCTTTGTAAGTACAAGAACATTAAAAAGAACATTAAGTTTGGGTTAAAAATGCAAAACTGCATATGCAGGAAAATTACGTTAAAAAAAAAAAAAAATCCTACACCTACAAAAACAACCAAACAAAACATTGATGATACTGGGCTGATTCACTGAATGGTGAGAATATGAGTGATTTTCTCCTCTCCTATTTTTCTCAATACCTTTTCTCTATTATCTCCTTTTTTAAATAAGCAAGTATATATTGTTCTAAACCGAAGATAAATGATCATGAGCAGCACTTTCCCAGGCACTGTCCTAGTTGCTCTGCATACATCATCGCATTTAATCCTCACAACAGTGAATGGGGTCGATTTCATTACAGCCACATTTACCAGACAAGGAAATGGTTTTCAAGGTTAAGTAACCTTCTCATGACACAGAATGTGACTAAGAGTTTTCTTATTCCATGGCTCACACTAAATGTGCTCTGTGAATATCAGTGAGAAGTAATAAAGCACTGACTGGATTTTCTTGGTCACCGGGTCCTAAAAGAAATGATGGGGAATCTATGCAGTCCCAAGTTAAAAATGGGAACTGAACTGAGCTGCCACAGCATGCTGAATAGGTGGAGTCCAGGCCAACTAAGTGCTTCATGGAACTTAAAGGCTCCAGAGGGAAAGCAATCGGGAAGGCACTTCCACAGGCACATCGGTGACAACTTCTGGGGATTCTTACCTGTCAGCCTTCAGCCAAGGAAGGACAGGAAGTGGCATGGGCTAAAAGATCCTTTGTTTGACCTCTTTCCAGATCAGGTGACAGGAAAACACAACACTTGAACCTTTCCAATAAGGACAGCCAGCACTTACTGAGCCCCAGCCAGGTAACTGACACTGTTCCAAGTACTCTGCTTGTATAACCAGCTTTAACCTTGCAACAGCCCTCTGAGGTAAATACTCCTAGTGACCTCACTTTACGGATGCAGAACCTGAGGCAAGGAGTTAGGGAGTAAATGAAGCTGGCTAAAGGCACTTGCACTGGCCAGGCACAGTGGCTCATGCCTGTAATCCCAGCACTTCCAGATGGATCACTTGAGGTTAGGGGTTCGAGACCAGCCTGGCCAACATGGTGAATCCCCAGCTCTACTAAAAATACAAAAATTAGCCGGGTGTGATGGCACACGCCTGTAATCCCAGCTACTCAGGAGGCTGAGGCAGGAGAATTGCTTGAACCTGGGAGATGGAGGTTGCAGCAAGCCGAGATCACACCACTGCACTCCAGCCCACTCGGTCAATGTCACTGCCATCAAGGGACAGTCTAACCAAGGTCCAGATGGCACAAGTGGAGCCATAAAACCAGGACAGCTTGAGGTTCAGCTTCCTGAGCCCACAGGTGCAAGGACCTTATCTGGATCCATACTTTCATCAAAAATGTCCCTTGAGGCCAGGCACAGTGGCTCATGCCTATAATCCCAGCACTTTGGGAGGGCGAGGCAGGTGGATCACCTGAGGTCAGGAGTTCGAGACCAGCCTGGCCAATATGGTGAAACCCTGTCCCTACTGAAAATACAAAAATTTAGCCCAGCATGGTGATGTGCGCCTGTAATCCCAGCTACTCCGGAGGCTGAGGCAGGAGAATCGCTTGAACCCAGCAGGTGGAGGTTGCAGTGAGCCGAGATCATGTCATTGCACTGTGGGCTGGGCAACAGAGCAAGACTCTATCTAAAAAAAAAAAAAGGTACCTTCAGGATTCCTCGAGCCTGGGAGGCCAAGGCTGCCATGAACAATGATTGTGCCACTGCACTCCAGCCTGGGTGACAGAGCGAGATCTTGTCTCAAAAAAAAAAAAAAAAAAAAAAAAAAATGGCTCTTGAAACAGCCATCAACTCCCATGTGATAAATGCACTGCCACAATCCAGCAGCAAACCTAAAGTTCGGAGTGAATTCCTAAGTCTTCGCCTTCACTGACTTCCCACAGCATGGGCAGTAGCTGTGAGACCTTGGGCTGGTTACTTAACCTCTCTGCACCTCAGTTTCCTCATCTGTAAAGTGGTATAATCGTCACAGTGTTATGGAAGGATTTAATGAGTTGCTACATTTAAAACTTAATTCCTGGCACACAATAAGTGCTCAATAAATGTTTAGCCGCTAGTTGCAGTAGTAGCAATAGTAGTGATATTAACTCTAGCTGTGGAACTAATTTCTCCCACACACCGTGGCAGGTTGTATTCTCCAGACACAGCAGTAACAATATCTCCTTCCCACACGCTCTTTTGCAATGTGACCATGCCACACACTCCCATCAAGAGGTGGAGTTTAGAATAATTCCCTCCTCTGTGGATCTGGGCAGGAAGTCACTGTGTGACTTCCAGTCCTAGGTCATGAAAAGTGATGTAGCTTCCATTTCACTCAGGGTCCCCTGAACCACCACATAAGAAAGCCAACGGTCCTGAGGCCATGCTGTGAGGGGGCCCAAGGCACATGGAGAGGCCCTGGGCAGGTGCTCCAGTCCAGAGCTGGCTCCAGCCAGGTCCCCCTGCCACCAAGTGAGTGAATGAGCCAATCACCACCCAGCTCCACCTGCCACCATGTGAGTGAACAAGCCTCCCCTGTGAGCTGCCCCCAGCCTCGGAACTTCCAGCCATGCCTGCCGTGCCTGTAAATTCTCAACCCCCAGATTCTGTGAGCATAACAAAATTGTTGTTTTAAGCCACTGAGGTTGGGAAACATTTGTTACATAGAAAGGTAACAAGAACATATGCTATGGCTTCAATCAACATTTTTTTCAGTACCTATTATGATGGACACTAGGACAGAAACTGAGGGAGAGATTAATAAGACATAGTTGACAAGTTGTCCTAAGCTGACAATCCTAAAATAAATACACATAACTAATCATTTTAATGGTATACGATAGCAGTGAGGTGCAAAGTGCAAGGTTAAGCCCTTTCAGAAAGTGAAAGCATTCAAAAAGCCTTCAAAAAAGTAGTGACATCTGAATTGGGTCCCAAAGCGCAAGGGAAATATATACCACATGAAAACACCGCAGTGCATTCCAGGATTAGCAAGAAGTTTGCGGAGGTCGTTTTGTCACATGACTGGAGGGCACATCAGTGCCAGGCGGAAAAGGGCACCGAAAGGCACATTAATAAAGTCAAACACCTCCTCTGGGACAGGGGAAGTTGAGAAAGAGCCTAACAGAGGTAAGGAAGAAGATGGATCAGATTTACACTTTCGAATTATCACTCTGGTGGCAGGTGAAGGACAGAGCAGAGGGCAGGACTGGAAGCAGACAGACCAAATTCACAGTCAAATGCGACAAGATGAGGGCCTGGCCTAGTTTTAAATCCAAGGACAAAAATATCATTCATTCACTCTTTCATTCTTTCTCTTATCTGAATCCCCAGTGGTACCTAAAATAGAGCTGGTCTAAAGATGATGATTAATGAATGTTAAATTATTGATACTACTTCTAAGAAGATGTAACTGCCAGCTACAGAACCAGCCAAAAGGACTGCAAACCCAGTAATTCATTTCATCCCAACCTGACTGATCTCTCTGATGTCTGCACTGCTGTGTCACTAGACTGCCTGATTGTCCTAGGTTGAGACATTTACCTACTGAGCCCCAGGGATGGGTGGCTGCTTCTAAGCTGCTGCCTAATTCCCTCATTACTAAATGTTGACGCTGCTTCCTTAGAGGACTGCTAAACCATAACTCAAAAATGTTTTAAACATGCTACTATTTACTTAGATTAGAATATTTACTTAAATGTTTTAAAAAATACAGTATTTTAAGTCTTTTATCTCTTCTGACTACTACCACTAACCCTGCTTCCCCTCATTTTTCCAGAGATTAGCACTACTGTGATTTAAGGATAGAGCTCTCCAGACTTAAAAAAAAAACAAAAAACTGCTTTTATATCTAGATATATGTAACCACTGAAAAATATACATTATTTTTCAGCATTTTTTACATAAACATTATCATCCCTTTCATTGAGTTATGTTCCTCAGTTTTCCTCCTCAAAGTTTTTGAGATCAAATATAGTTCCCATTTTTCTTCTTTATATAGCTGCACAGTATTCCATCATAGGATTACACCACATTTTATTTATTCCAATATTAATGAATATTTAGGTTATTTATAGTTTTTTTTCTATAACCAACAAGCCCATGCCTTCTACTGCTTATCCTTTCCCCACCTGAATTTGTACAATCCCCAGCTTCTCTTATCCATGACCACTGAAACCCCAGGGAAGACCTTATCACTTTCAGGATGTCCATGGCTCTTTCACCCTATGCCATGCTTGGAACCAGGAAAGCCCAAAAGACCCCACTTCCTGCCCTTCTATTCTGCTCCTCCTCTCCTATCGCTCATTTCTTTGCCTCTATCCTCCACTCCTCCCAGCAAAGGTAGGGATAGCACCTGAGTCCTGCCACCCTCTCACCTGCATTCCCCCTCACTCTCATGCGAAGGACAGCACAGAAGCAGCATCAAAAAAGAAAGGCAGCGAGGGAGCCCTGCAGCCTGCCCTAGGCCAGCCATGCCCACAGCCACAGGAATAGACACTGTTTTCAGCCCCACCTAGATTCAAGGCAGCATCTAATAGAAATGCTTATAAGTAAATATAAGTGCCAGTATTTGCCTTCTATTTTCTAGAGGGGAAAAAAATTAAAAGGCAAGATCAGATTACTTGCCTGGAAATGTTCTCCCTGTAATTACTCTGACCGCTCTTTCTTTCCCTCCGGTTTTGGAGATAATGGAAATAGGCTGAGTGTTGGGCATTTTTTTTTTTAAAGAGGGCAGCTTCATGGCAACACTCCCTCTGAGAAGTCCAGAGGCTCAGTGAACCGCAGCTTAGAGTGAGTTCCAGTAAAAGGACCATCACTTGAACCAGTAAGTGCCTCATTCCTTCTCACAGCATACATTTCACAGCAATTACTGTTGCTATTATTTTACGCTTCATTTCTGGACCTAGGATACCTCAGTTTCTCCAGACTCTCAGTCTGGTCCCCAGGTTTTCAGTCTGAGAGAAAGGTGTCTGCTGGATTTCAAACAGTCCCTCTACTGGCCGCCACCACCACCCTCTCCTAAAGAGGACTGGAATAACTCTTCCACAGCTCCCGCCACACTCAGCACTGCCTGCACCTCCTCCTGGAGCTGGCAGGGCCCCAGCTGTGCACCCCTCAATGCTCTCACAGCTTCAGGAAGAGGACTGCTAAGCCCAGGGCCCTGCTGACAACATGCCGGGAGCGCATCTGCAGGCAGGGTCAGAATGTCAGCTACCAGGCAGCAGAGAGATGCGGGGCACCAACAGCAAAAGCACTTGGGGGGCTTTTTCAAGTGGCATCAGAACTAGACCTGGATACAAAGGGGTGGCCCTGGCTTCAGGAAGCCCATGATAAGTCAGTCTGCTGTGTCCTTCAACACAGTGTCCCCACCTTCTGTCTCCCAACACTAGGCCATGGAGACACAAAACTAGAAAATGGGGCTGCCTAGCTACGAATGCCCAGGCTGTGAATTGGGGTCTCCAAAGGAACCTCAGAGCCGTGTCCTACTCAGAGCAGCTCCTTCAGCTCTTCACCCTGGAAAGCACTCCGGTACAAAACAGGAATATTCCTCTTCTCCTGACTCTGCCCAAGGCACTGCTGTGACCCTCTCAGCAGTGGAAGCACTAGCCAATGTGCCATCCTCTTGGACGATAGCTGGATAATCGCAATAAGCAGAGCTCCAACAACTAGCTCTAGTGTGTGGGGAGAAGTGGGGAGGATGGAGAAAGGATACAAAAAGACACTGTGGGATTTCAGGGCAACCCATGAGTGAGGATCACAGCAGAGCTATGCCTTGCAAGGACCAGAACTGGAAAACCTTTGTGACTTAGACCACCCTCCTCAGGACAGCTCCCGCCACTCTTCAGGGACAAAGTTCCTTTACTCAGCCATAGTTTCTGTGCTCCAAATACTCAGCTTACACATGCCTGTTGCTGCTGCACTCACCACTGTGGTTCTCAGTGCAAATTCCCCAGAAAGCAGTCTGACTGGCTGGGAGACCTTTTTTTTTTTAACCAGGCCCCCAAAGTTGTAGATTTTGGGGTCATTTACAATATGCATTTCCCCAACACACTCAGATCTAGGTGGACTTGACCAGATGGGCATCTGTATTCCATTACCCAGCATATAACCACTTTGGGCAACAGGGAATGTGAAGGGCCCCAAACCGTTCCCCACCAAGAGTGTGGGTGGCAGGCACCCTGAAATATGTCTAGCACACTCATAAAGCATGAACATCTACACACAACTAAAAATAAATAGTGAGAGCCCTGACACTGCTTCTGGGGGTTTTCCCAAGCACCTGTTACGAATGATAACAATGGATGGCCGCTCCTTCTCCCTCAGCTTTGACTTTCATTGCTGGTGGCTCAGGCTCCTGTGCTTGGCTGTCATCGGTGGGTAGCCCTGGATTGGACATTTTCCCTATTCAATTCAAGGACCATGTTCTTGAGCATAACTATGACCAGGCAGTAGGCAGTGGGCCCTGCTCTTTCTTTCCAGGGAGGCACAGATAAGCCAGCATCACAGATGCAAAAAACAGAACCGTGGAGGTAGAGACTAATTCTTCAGCAGCCCAGAGAAGAGAACTGGGAAACAGGGCCCTCGCAGATACACAAGACCAAGCTGGAGAGTTCAGGGACTTCCAAAAGAAGGTACAAGAATGAGCACTATACCATAGTGGGGTGGGTCACAAAAGCAGGAAAAGGTCCCCAAACAAAGAATCCATCAGTCAGTTACAGCACTCTCCCCATGTGGTGAAACAGTACGCAACCATTTAAAAACTGCAGAGAACAATATTTATGAACACCTAAAAATGCTGAAAGCACACTACTAAGTAAAAGGGGAGAAAGGCTATAAAAGGATTTGAAAGTATTTTCGTAAAGATAAACACCCACACACACCCACACACCTCTATATATGTGTGGAAAAAGGACTGGGCTAGTATATTTAAAAAACGCTAAAGGGAGGTCGGGTAATAAGGGATTGTTTTTTCCTTGCACTTTGTGTTTTCTAAGTATTCTATAGTCTGAATGAATTAGATTCATAATTAGGACCAACAGTCATAAGCAATTTCTCAGACCACCTGCCTCATAAAACCCAAAAAAAGAAGTCAGAGAGGGGTGAATATTTTGGTACAGATGAATTCAGGTTGTGTAAGTGGAGAGGAGGGAGGTGGCCAAGGAGCCTGAAGTGGGGGAGGGGGGCTGATGGTGAAATAGGGAATGGGTGGAGAGAGAAAATGATTGCAAAATTGGCTGGAGCCAGCCTGGTCAGGTCAACTTTGCAGGTGTGTGAAGTGTCAAATGGTTAATCAGTTGCCCTCTGTTTGAGCTGCTTAATGCACAAGGGCCTGGTTGAACAGGTTTGACCTCATTTACTTTTTCTTAAAGCTGTTTAGCCACTTTCCTAAAAACTCCTATTTTCTGAGTTATTAAACTTTCCATTCCATGTTGATCCCTTCCGAGCCCTCTAACGCATCTCTTCTCTTGCTTCTTCCAACTGGATGCCTTCATGAGGCATTAACAGATACTGTGAGCCCTGATGAAAATCATCCTTTCAGGGTACAAGGAAGGCACCTGAATGACAGATGGTTGGAGGAATCTTGAGAAAGCAGTTTAGGCATTAACATGCAGGCTGTCGCTGACTTACACAGAGCCAAGGACGTGACATACAGCATGGGGCCATTTCTAAATCCCCACTGAGGACAAGGGTCCTGGAGGGAATGGGATTTGGAACAAGATTTGGGCTTTGAACATTCGCTACAGGCTCTGACAAAGCAGTGATGGTTCAAAAGCCTCTGCCCCCTGGTGGCAAGCCCTGCCCAGATGCTGTTAAGGGGCTCTCCAGGCACGCCCTCCTAATTAGGGGCAAAATCAGAGAAGCCTCTTTGGAAGAAGACAAAAGGCACAATGAGATGCGGTCTCCTGAAGTAGAGGCTTTCTCTCTGGTTATCACCTGAAACAGGAAATAAGGACTGAGTACCTGCTCAATTCCAGGCACTAGCCAAATCTGCAGCAAACTAGCATTTCCAAAGGTGTCTTCTTACTTTAATCTCACAGCCACCCTGTGAGGGAAGTGTACATTCCCCATTTCGCTGATGAGATGAGCAAACTGAGGCTCGGAGAAATTGTCAGTGGGATACAGAGTTGGCATCCAAACCCACAATCTCTGACTCTAAGCTTCTGTTTCATTCATTCCACAAATATATATGGTGTCTCCTCTTTGCTGGACACTGTACTGGGCTGATGAGCTACAAGACCCAATCTTTACAGTCTAGGAGGCAGAGATAGATAAGTAAACAGAGGCGGCAAAGCGTGGCACTGTGAAAGATGCACTGAGGACACCGAGCTAGGTGTTCCACAGGCGTCAGGAAAGGCTTCACACAAGAGAGGTTGCTTGTGCCCAGTTCTAATTAGGATGAGTAGGTATTTCTGCTAGATCGTGGTGGGGTGGGGAGGACATCACATAGGACCTCAGCAGAGAGCAGCTCGAATCTATGCAGAGCTGCACGAGGAGCCGGAGGTCCAGAGTACTGCAGCAGTTTGACATTGATGGGTGGTAGGGTCCATGAAAGTAGAGGAAGACCAAGAGGAAGCAGCAGACAGGGGCCAGGCCAGGGCAGGGATAGGGTGCTCTACTAAAGAGCATGGGCTTTGAACTATGAGCAGTGGAGAGCCACTGGGGGTGTAAATAAGGAAACAGATATTCCAAATCCTGCCTTGGGAAGATTGTTCTGGCAGGAGTGATGGGAAAGGGGCCCTGGCAGAAGATTCCTTCATGCTCCTGCGGTGATCCAGGTGAGAGCTGCTGAGGACCCCAACCAAATCAGATCACTGGACCTCCACTGGGAGTGAAAGGGGGTGGTCTGGCCAGAGAGATAGTAAAGAGATGTAGTTAACAGGCAAGAGAATGTGGGGATATCCAGGGAGCTGTCCACAATTCGCAGGTCTTAGGCAACTGCTTGGGAGAAGTTGATGAGGTCATCACTGGACAGAGAATCTATTCCCTGGGCCCAACCAACTCTCTAGACCATCCTGCCATGTGCCTCTGAGAAGTGAGCTTCCCCAGCCAAGCCCACAGGAGGACATATGGAGCAAAGGTCAACAGTCACTCAGCTGATGGATGGCAAGCATTCAGATGGGAGGTGCCTCCACAGGCCATGATAACCCATGGATCCATTTGAGAAAGATGCCAAAAAACAGTTAATTCAAGGCCACTTTAAAATACCTGGCATTCAATCCTCCTCAATGTCTCCATCAACTGTAGACCCTATAACTACCAAATGAGCTCCACTCGCCACAAAGCTCAAGACACAGAAACGGTCAGAGAGCAGAGCCTATTCCTGAAAAGCAAAAGACTCCAAACTTCCACAACTCAACCAGTGAAGGGCTGGGGAAGACTGACAGGTTCACTAAGAAATGAGAGGAAGGACAAACAAGGTGTTCAAATTAGAAAATGATTCCATTAATGAGGGCTCTGATGATATAGTTGTGGAGGTTATCAGTTTGCCAGAGCTGCAGATTTAAAATACTTACATGGTCATCGAAACCAAAAAATGCTGACCATCCCCCAAAACCTCCCACCCCACCTAGTGCTGATAACAGGAGTTATCAGTTGCCTTTTGTGTACAGCTAGATGAGATATGGATCTGTGGGGGGAAGAAGGGGTGGGCGTGCTAGCATCTCTCAGCTAGACTGTCATCGGATGGTGACATTCCCCAGGACTCAAGCAGCATCTGAGAAGCCACTTTCAGTATGACTATGGAACAGCTAACCACACAACACAGCATACTGAATGAGGAGCCTCGCAGGCTGAGAAGAAAGCAAACCCGGAAGGCAACAAATGGATACGTGCATGCTGAAGGACTCGTGTTTAATTCTTCCCGGTAATCCTTTGTCAGGCATATATTTTTGTCTCCTCAAACTTAAGAAAGAAATCCATGCTCTGGAGGGGAGAAAGAGAGGCTGTACTCATTAACTCAGAGCTGACCTCGTCTGGCAGGATTAACTCGCCATACCTGTCCAGCCCACAGAACCTGGCCTGGAGCATGGAGGGAGAACCACAGCCAACTCCAGAAAAATAAAAGGCTGCAGCGAGAAACAAGTGGGGCCACAGAGAGAAAGGGGTTTTGAAAAAGTTCTAAATCCCCATGGCTAGGGACAGTGACATCAGTGTGTTTACCAAGTATTTGATTTACTTGCTCAGGCAAAATTCCAGAAGAGACACTGGGACCTGTGTGGAGAGTTTCTTCACTGCAGCTATCCTGCCAAGCTCATTGTAAAGTGACGAATTTTGTGGACACTTACAGAGAAAAAATAGCTTCAAATGCTATAGACCAATGCTGCACGCTGCAGAGACACAGTCTTTGGGTTCTGTGAGCTGTATTTGGGCATTACGCAGAGTTCAGCTGCCATCTGTCCCTTTGAAGGCCAGCTAAGAAGTTGGTCCCAGCCTGGGCATGGTACCACTGTCCTACATTCCAGCCATTTGGGATATCCTGGGTTCAAGCATTCCCTCCCATTGCTGGATCAAGCACTTCCCACCTCCTGCTCTGGGAAATCAGATCTCAGTAGGTCATCAACCATCCCAGAAAGTCCAGCAGAGTTGGTTTTGGTTTGGGGGTGTTTTTTGAGTTGGGTGGAAGAAGAGACCTTATATAATCTTTTAACTTTTTCTCTAAGGCTGAATTCCCTATAAGCAAAATTTTAAAATTTTTTTTAAAGAAGAAAAACACCCAGACAATCCTTAAAATCCCCTTTCAGCTCCAAGACTGTGTAATTCTGTGATACCAGTATTGAAAGCCCCTGCATTTCCCTAACTATATATTCCCCTATGCCAGGGAAAGGTGCATGTAAGTGAGAGAACAAAAAATTTCACAATCGTGGGGACCTCTTCTTTCGGCTTTGGAGCCCCCTTCCCTCTGTCTCTGTACGGGGCAGCTTTTTCCTTCTGTCTTCTCCCTTCCTTCTTGTCTACTAAACTCTCTGCGCCTTAGAACCAAAAATAAAAAATAAAAATTCAAAATCATGATCTTAGGGGTGAAAGAACACTGAGAAACCATAGAAAGCAAAAATGAAAAGCCAACATAGAAAAAGTCTGACTTGAATTAGAAGCAGCACTTAAAATTACAGGTTCAGAAAAAGCTTGAACAGAATCCAGGGCTGAGGTCAGCCCTGAGTCTGCAGGCTCTGCCCTCTCACAAAGGTGAGTAGATGGGTCTGGAGAGGGCTGTTCATGCTATGGAAGGGCCTCTATGCCATCGAGGCTAAAACCAAAGCAGGAGCAAATCAGCCCTGCTAGTGTGTACAGTCGGCATCAAAGAGGCAACAACGGTAGAGAATATTTTCTGAAAGACACACATGAAACCAGTAACGGCGATGGTCTCTGGAAGAATTAGGTCAGAAGCAGACTTAATTTGCACTGTGTACATTCTTTGGTATCCTTTTTAATTGAACGCATGTGAATGCATTACCTATTCAAAAATAAATGTGTAAAAACACGTGCCACGACAAAGCAAAATGAGGAGACAGTATAAAAAAGACAAGGATAATTTTAAATTTCTCCTAATAAAACGCTGTTTAAAAATCTAAGAGGAAAAAAGGGTAGGCTCCAGCTAGTGGAGAGAACAACTGAAAAACAAGAGCCACGTGTTCCCATGGTCCTGGCCAACCCCACTTCTTTCCCATCCTCACTCGTTCACATCTGCCTTGGAGCACCCACAGCAAGCCTGGCTTCATGCCCAGAACATCGCCTGGCTTTCCTCCTCTCTCCCTGCCCACATCTCCTCAGTCACTCGCTGCCTCCTCTCTTGCTTCTCTCCCAGTTCTCAGTTTGCCCATCAAATCTCAGGTGGTACTCTCCATTCTCTGCTATGAGGGAGTTCATTTGTTCATGCAATTTCCCCACCGGAGACAAAATGTATTTCCCAAAGTTGGCTTGCAATGACATCTCCCATGCCTGCTCTGCTTACCCATGACTTTGACACTCCTTCCATCGAGAGGGCAGAACCTGTGTTTCCTCTCTCTGAATCTAGGTGGGCTACAGCTCTGGTAGAAGTGACACTCTGTGACCTTAAGGCTAGGTCACAAAAAGGGAATGCAGCTTCTGCCAGCAATCCTGGGACACACACTTGGAGCCCGAGCTGCTGTGTAAGCCATCTGCCTGCTCTGAGCCCACCACACTATAAGGAAGCCCAAGCTAGCCCACAGGAGAGACGAGGTGAAGAGAATGAGATGCCAGTCTCCACTGCTCCAGCTCTCTAGTGTCCCAGCCCCAGCCACTATCTGACTGCAACCCCATGAAAGACTGAGCCAGAACCACGAGCCCAGCCCTTCCTGATGTTGACATACAGACTTCATGAAAGAGAATAAACTAATTTTTGCTTTAAGCCACTATGATTTGGGATGATTTGTTATGCAGCACTGGATAACTGCAACACCTGCTTCTAAACAGTAGAATCCCAAACGTCTAGGCCCCATCTCTAACTTACTTCATGTTCCTGTTCTCACTGATTTTTTGCCACTGAGCTTGACCAAGCCCTTGAGTCACCAATTCCAGATATTTGTTTAAACAAATTCACTGTGACTGTCTACACTATCCATTCCTCCAAAACAATCCCTGTTATAGTTGGCCTTCCCCAGTTCTCTTCCTGGCATAGAGTAGTCTGTGCCCTTCTCTCATTTCTTAATATGACCCTCACCCATGGAGTGTTCCTAGATTCTGCTCATTCATAATGCTTCTTCACCCACCCTAACCTCTCCCTCCTGTAGCCACAGATCATCCACTTTTCCAGGCCTCTGCACTGGAGGCTGCATCAGCCACCTCCCAGTACGTCATCCTTTCCAATGCCCTACAACACGGGGCAGAAAGGACTCTTTTTTGCTGCACATCCAGGCTGTTTAAGAAAAGGCTTAAGGCAGCTTAAGCACAAAGAATGTCATCTTCAAACATTGTAACGGCATCTTCTTTTTGGGACACTGAAGTATTCCCATGATTCCAAGAATCAAATGAACAGCATCTGGTTATGGGGTCTCTGGTCTCTGCCAAGGCAAACTCATAAAGCATTTCAGAGCCCTTCATCTGGAAAGGCCTTTTCTCCACCCCACGCCCAGCCAATGCCCACTCATACTTTAAGGCCCAGCTCATCCGTCATCTCTGCTAGGGAACCTTCCTCAGTCAGTGCCTTATGCAGGCAACCATTCCTGCCTTGTGTTGTGTTGTGTTGTGTTGTGCCTTAAGTCAAATCCTTAACTCATCTTTGTGTGTCCCCTTGCATTTCAGACAGTAGGTGCCCAATAAATGTTTGTGGGATGAATCAACTGGTAATTCTCCTGGAACACCCTTTCCCAGTACACCTCCACTCGCCAGAACAACTGTCTTCCTCACAGGTGCCAGCCATCACCCCGACCACACCCTCTCAAAAGGCCTTTGCCAGTCATCAAACAAAGCCTCTTGTCTCCTGAGAGCCGCTCCACAATCACCTTCCCAAGAAGAATTCCCCATACCGAGTCCACCATTCCTTCCCTGATCAAAGTTGCTTTCACAGGCATCTTTTCAGCTATCCACTCTTCACGGCTTGGTTTTCATGCACTCTGAGTTGGCCCTATCTCCCCTTTTTGGCCTCAAGCACGTCAAGAGGAAGGCTGGTGACAGCCTTTCCCGAGCTCAGGACAGTTTTCATGCAAACTCGTTCTTCCAGGTTCTTATGCCTGGAAGAACTGCTGCTCTCCAATAGCATGAAGTAGACAATGATGTTCTTAGCATCCAGTCTTAAAACTAGAAAAAGTATTGGCACTGCTGAATCCCCAGCTCCTAGAACGGTGTGTGGCACCTAAACAGAGCTCAAAAATATTAGGTGAATGGAGGAAAGAATGAACAGTCATCTGGCCCAGACTTGGAGAAGCTGTGATCTGTCTAGCCCTTCTACACCAGGAGCGAGGCCTGAAAAGCTGCATGACTCACCCAAGGTCACGAGCAAGCCAGTGAAGAGGGGCTGGAACCCTGTCTTTTGCCTCAAAGCACAGGGCCCTCCTTCTGTCCCACCCAGCTTTCTCACCACCCACCCCACCCCTTCCACACTCCAAAGACAGCATCTCCGTGAGAAGCGTTGGGCAGTGTCCAGGAGTGTTTTTCTTCCTGGCTTTAAAACAAATTGTGACAAATGGCTCCACAGATCTACCGGGCCGTGGAGCTGAGCAGATGGGACTGCAATTCACGCTATTAACTCAAATTCTACTTGACTTTCTTTCAAATCAGGGCATTTTATCTAGAAATTATAAAAAATTGTTGGGGGAGTGCCTTTGTAAGGAAGTTTGCCAGCACATTCATTTACAAATCGACTTGCTCCTGGCCACCCTCACTGATCACGGACTTTTACTCACGCTCCCTTACTCTCTCCCATCAAAGAGTCCAGCGCATGGAGAGAGTGATGGAATCTTGAGGCCCACCGGTCTAACCACCCACCTAAGCTTGACTCCCCTGTGCCTGTGGACATCCTGCGTGCAGATGCACATTCCCACTAATGGCAGCCAGGGGAAAGCACTATTCGAAAGTTCTTCTTTACTTTGAACTCAAATTGGGCTCAGGGGTCCTGGATACAGGACAACCCCAATCTCTTATTTATTCAATGGACAACAGGTGAGCACATACTAGGCCTGGACACTGATGTAGGTAGGCACTAAAGCTTCAGAGAGATGCAAACGAGCAATCTTTACCCTGAAGGAGCTCATGTTCTATGGGTTCATTTCCTTTCCCTGTGTCTTACAAACAGGTTCCAGTTTGTTTCCGTCCTTCAGAGTGTACTGCCTAGAACTGCATGCTATTCTCCACAAGTGGCCTGACCAGCTTGTGGACAAGGATGAAGCAAGCAGACCACCTTCTTTCAGTGCAGACAAGATGGCTGTTTAGAGGCCACATCACGTGGCAGACACCTGCCAACTAAAACCCTCCATCCTTCCCACAGCCTCCCCCTCCTACACTTTGCAGCTGGATTCAAAACCTTGCATTCACCCTTGTTCCATCAACAGGGCCAGGCCATCAGTCTGTCTCATCCGGACTGTTTTTTATCTTACTTGCCAACCTACACACTTGCTGTTCCTTCTTGCCTTAAAGTCATACAGATGACTTTAGGTGATTCAGATGAGTGTGACCTCTACTTTCACCAAACACAATAGTCAATTCAGAAAGGTCAAGGACAGAACCCTCCAGCATGCTAACGCAGCCAAAGAAGTCTGAAAACAATACTTGGCCACACTGTTTTCCTGCTTACGGATGTGGGCTGCTCTTGTCCTGCCTGTAAATATATCGGATCGCTCTCCTTCTTGCTGGCATCCACAGTAACTATACTCAATAAACACACCAACTTTGATGCCAAATCCTAGGCCATCCCACACATCTTAAAAATAAAACAAAAATATGTTATTCCAGCTACCCTCACTCTTTTTGTGGTTTCCTGCAGTCCAACTAGCTACAAATCTCAAAGCCAAAGATTGTAGCTCCCTCTCTTTTGTTCTTTCATCAAGCCAAGGAGTCCTGCTCCTCTCTCTCTAGTCTCTCCTGTGTCAGTGCCACTTGTCAACTGCCTAATCCAGCCACGCTGCTCTTCAATATTAAAGGTCTTCAGCATATTTTAAAGTTAGTCTCCTACTGCCACTCTTTTCCCTACTCTTGCCAGTCCACTCAGTAAACTACTGCCATACAGGTCTCCCACAGCAGTTTCTCACCAGATAAACAATGGCCGGAGATTCCACTTTGCCAATCACATCAAGTCCAAACTCCGTGTCTTGGTATCCAAGGCTTCTAAAGTCTGGCCCCACTCCACCTACTCACTCTGACACCCACCACTCCCTCCAAACATTCCCGGTACGTCTTACTGGATTTTGCCATTTCCTCCAAGTTGACCAGGAGTCATTCACACCTAAAGGCTATGCTTACATCGTTTTCCATCTCTTGTGTTGGTGAGCTAAAAACAAGATGGAAAAGAAAAAAGAAGAGGAAGAGAGAAAAAGAGAAAAGGAAGAAATGGGGAAAACAGCAATAGGACCAGCTAACTCCTACAGCAGAGTCTTGCCAGGCCCTCCCCTAATTGCTTTATATGTGTTACAATGTTTAACCCTCACAACTACAACAGGAGTTGGGTACCATTCCATCCCCACCTGCAGATGAGTGTGGCACCCCAAGATTAAGTATCTGCCCAGGGTCACGTGAAAAGTCTGCATGCATGCTGAACCATTCCAGCTGCACCACTGCCCAGGAAAAAAGTCACAGGTAGGAAGACAAGTATAGAATTAAGAACAAGGCAACTAACTGTACCAGGTGCTACAGAAGGGTGGTCAGCCTGGAAAATCAGGAGGTGCATTCCTTGGGAGATTGCCGCAATCAGAGTCTGGGAGTATGCAGGAGCCTGGCAGGCAGCCCAGGGACAGGTGAGGCACAGGCACTCATTCCCTTCCATGTGAGAAGTCAGGGCACGTGCAAAGCCAAGGCCAGAGGACAAAGGTGAGCTCGCCAATAGGGCCAATACTGGGTCTGGCTGGAAGGGGAGGGTGGACAGAGATGGGTACTAAGAAGTGAAGATGGACAGGCAGGACCAGGTCTTAAAGGGTTTGTGTCTTGCTAAAGATGGGCCCTTAATTCCGTGACACATCTATTCAACCACTCCTCATTATCTACCTAAATTCTACTGTGCCTTTACAAAGCCCAGTTCAAGTCCTTTTTCCTCTCAGGCCTGTCCTCCCTACTCCTGAGCAAACCACAGGTGTGGAGACAGGTCCCAACCACCTGCAGATGACAGAAGGAAGCTGCATCTAGGATCGGTCTACACAGAGGCAAGAAGGGATCCTCCTCCTCTGCCTTCTCCTTTCATGCTGTTCTTACCTTCTCTCAAAAAGAAAGAAAATACAGTGTCATTGCTTCTTCCCTAAGCTTGTTAAGTCAAAGCAAGTCAAAGCATCAGAGCTTCATTACTTGGCTTTTTCTAGCTATAAGTGTCTGGAAAATATCAGGAGTCACTGGCCTCTAGGAATCCATTAAGTTAAAGGAGCTCCATGATCTACTATCATAAGATGACAAAGAAAATATGCACTTTCTTTGGGAGGCCAAGTTGGGCGAATCACTTGAGGTCAGGAGTTCAAGACCAATCTGGCCAACATGGTGAAACCCCGTCTCTACTGAAAACACAAAAATTAGCTGGGCTTGGTGGCAGGCACCTGTAATCCCAGCTACTCAGGAGACTGAGGCAGGAGAATCGATTGAACCCTTACCCAGGAGACAGAGGTTGCAATGAGCCGAGATGGCACCACGGCACTCCAGCCTGAGCAACAGTGTGACTCCATCTCAAAAAAAAAAAAAAAAGAAAGAAAGAAAGGAAGGAAGAAAGAAGAAAATATGCATTTTCTCAGGATTAAATAACAAAAAATGCCAAGTTTCTTAGCTCCAGTCAAGAAAATGACATCATGTGACAACAGCAGCCATTGCAAGTTTATCAGAAGATGAACAATTACAGATTTTTCATTTCTGAATAAGGAACCATTTACACAGACACATGTATAACAAATGTCTGTGCACATCCCGGACTTGTCAAATCTTAACATTTTGCCACACCTGGTTTAGTTTTTTTATTTTTCCTTTCAAGAAAGAAAGCATTACAGGCTGTGCTTCAATCCCTATTTCACCCCCTTTCAAGCCCCACTATTCCACCCATCCCAGAAATGACAACATCCCGAATTTGGTATTTACCACTCTTGCACATTTATTTTTATGCTTTTACTACCTATGTATGTAGCCATAATATATAGAGTTTTTGGATGCTATAAAACTGTTTAAAATGGCATCACACTGTATGCACCCTTTTGCATCTGTTTTAATTGACAAAACATTTTTGAGGGTAATCCTTGTTGACATATGTCACTCCAGGGCATTCCTTTCAACTGCTTTATACCATGGTCCACTGTCTGGATAATCATTATCTATAGCACAATGTATTCATTTTCCTACTGATAAATTTTTAAGTGGTTTCCAACTTTTCATTGCAATAAATATTCTTGTAAATCTTCATCCAAGGGTATCTTCAACCACACTAGGCATTGCCCAAATTGCTCTGCAACATCAGTGCACCAATTTACATTGCCAAGATCAGTGTTTAAGTGTTTCTATTCTTTGATGTCTTTGTCAACCTTGGTACTATTTGACTACTACACTTTTCACCAATCAGATATAAGGATGAAATGGTGCCTTCTTGGTATTCTGAAAATTAATTTTAAATGGGAAAATAAATTACTAATAAGTGCAGCTTAATCAACAAGAGTTTTCATTAACATGTGGGAATACACCAGGTGTTCCTTGGATTTTCTTGAAAATTCTACAGGGAGGGTACGGGAGTGACGGTACAGATAAGATTGGACATGAGCTGATAATTGTTGGAACTAGGTGATGAGTGTATGAGGGTTAATTATCCTGCTCTCTCCACTTTGGTACATATTTGAAATTTTTCACAATAGAAATTAAAAGAAGAACAGGGCGTGGTGGCTCACGCCTGTAATTCCAGCACTTTGGAAGGCCATGGCAGAGGATCACTTGAGGTCAGGAATTAAAGACCAGCTGGTCAACATGGGGAAACCCCACCTCTACTAAAAATACAAAAATTAGCTGGGTATGGTGGTGTGTAATCCCAGCTATTGAGGAGGCTGAGGCACGAGAATCGCTTGGACCCAGGAGGCAGAGGTTGCAGTGAGCCAAGATCGTGCCATTGCACTCTAGCCTGGGCAACAGGGCAAGCCTCTGTCTCAAAAAAAAAAAAAAAAAGAAGAAGAAGAAAGAAAACAAAGAAGAAAGAAAGAAAGAAAGAAAATTAAAAGAAGGAAATGCCATAAAGCATCTGGGCAAAGAACATCCAAAGAAGAGCACTGATCACTGCAGCAGACAGCCGTTCAGAATGGGCAGAGAGCAGAGCTGGCAGGAAGAGAGGACAAAAGGAAGACCAGGAAGGGAAGCCAGGAAAAGAGATTTTGCATTGTGTTATTATTTCAATCAGAAGACTTAGGAACATTATTTAATTATCAAATTTGTGTGTCTGATGATCCTTTACAACACTGCAGCATCAAATAAAGTGTTATCAGATTTCTTTCTTTTTTTTTTTTTTGAGACTGGGTCTGATTCTGTAGCCCAGGCTGGAGTGCAGGGGTATAATAATAGCTCACTGCAGCTTCAAACTCCTGAGTTTGTTTGTTTGTTTGTCTGTTTGTCTGTTTGTTTGTTTGGAGAGACAGCGTCTCGAACTCCTGGGCTCCAGTGATCCTCCCACCTCAGCCTCCCAAAGTGCTGGGATTACAAGCATGAGCCACTGTGCCCCAGCCCAACATCTGATTTCAAAAGTACTATTGATATTATAATCACCATTAAAAATCACTGAAGTTTTTGTCACCCAAAGTTTTACTTTGAAATATAGAACATTTCATTTTTTTCCCACACACCTCACATCTGCTTTTGATTTTTAACATGTGCATGAATTACCTCTTATTAGAAAAAAAAACACAAAATTTTTTGGTAAAAGAATTATCTTAAGTGGGTATTTTTTCCCTAAGTCTGAAATGACTTAGTAAGGATAAGAGGTCAAACCATATGCTTTGTAGTGAAACTGCAACTATGATGAATAACATTAGAATTCTGGATGCCTTCCAGCAGCTGGAACAGGGCAGACCTGAGGCGGGAGTCCTCATGCTTAGGGGAAGGGGCTCAGGCACTGGGAGTCGGTCAGGGCTCCCAGGATGTAAAAGATACACATGAAAGAAACAAACAGTGGGACTCGGGCCAGTGCAAAATTTGGCCTGGAACTGAGCTAAAAACTGTCATACTGGTGGGAAGAAGCAGATTGGTTCAACAGGGTAACCAAATGTGAAAAAGAAAAGCCTCACAAGAATTAAAATTGATGGTTGGAACTGGGCGCTCCGAGGCTGTGGGCCGGTGTCCTGCCCCGAAGGGTTTGGCTGCCAGCAGGTGCAGCGCTGCCCTGGGATACCAGCTCCTGGGATGCGCTGTAGTATCATCAATCACCGGTGCTGCTCGCTGGGCCTTGGAAGCACACAGTAGTAGCAGATGTCAGCAGGGGGCCACCAGGGCCACCTGCCAGTGAGCCCACTGCTTAGCTGAGTCATGGTCAAGTTTCTCTGCAGATTGTTGCCTGAAAATATTTCACCACCTGGAACCTCCCTGTCCCACCCATCTTCACTTGCAATACTCACTCCCCTCACCTCTGCCCCTAAAGCAATTATTCATTAACCACAGGGATCCACCATCCAGGAACAAAAGAGGCTTGAAAGCTCTATCTGTGCCTGCACTTCTTGGTCCAAAAGGCGCAGGGGGATGGGGGAGAGGCACCGGGGTCATGGTGCAGGCTCAGCTGTTGAGCCTCATTCCCCAAACACAATGTGACAGGTATCAATAGTTCTGGAGTTGATCATTTCACAGAAAGGAAACTGCTGTCAACCTGCCCAAGGCCACACAGCTAGTCCTGGATAAATTGACTTAAAGAACCCAGGTCTCTGATTCCCAAATCAGTGCTCTTACCCCTCCCACGCCACCTCTCTCTTCTAAAGATCCACCCAATGGAACTGCCCCAGGGCTGGTATCCCAGCTACTTCTCCATTCATGCCGCAGGTCAATGATTCAGGGCGGACACTCCTCAAGTGACCTTCAGAGGCCCTGACTCACTCCTCCGACAGTCCTTTGTGTCTGGACTCCCAGCCGCTCCTCAGCAGCTCTGTCCTCTTTTGTACATTTATTACTGTCAGCCTGAGGCTAGCAGGAGGTCTCAATGCCTGGTGATCTGAGGCCAGCCTGTCCCAGGCCCTCCCAGTCCCGTGAGGTCCTCCTGGGGATGCAGGCACAGCGACTGACAAGGATAAGGAGCAGAAGGGCAGGTGGCTTTCTGGGTGTGAGCTTGGCCTTCTGCCACACCCATGCTCAGAAAGGTGTTTACGGGCACGTCTTGTGTTGTCACAGGTGTAGAAAGGGCTTTGACACGCGGCAGATCCTCCAATCCCTGTGAAAGAGGGATCATTCTTTCTATTATACAGTGAGGACGCTGAAGTCCAGAAAGGTCAGGTGACTGATGAAAGGTCATAAAATTAGCAGGAATCAGGGAAAGGGCAGGAAAGCAGAGCTTCCAGTTGCAAGGTCAGAACTCTTCAGCCCAGCAGGCGAGTTTGCCAGCCAGTCTGTGCCCTGGTCTCTGCCCTCCCCAAACACGTGCACCAATTTGGAGGGGCTGCTCCCAGCACGCATGCTGCAAGATAAACTTCAGTGCTCAGCCCTCTCACTGTGACAACAATCCCTTAGAAAGGGGTCCACGCTGTCCATCTGGGCCCCTACACCAAAGAACACCTAATTATCAGTGGTCCTCACTCAGGAAACATGCCCACAAATAAAGACAAAAGTAAACCCAACTACACATTCCTCAAAATCCTCCTCTCCATTTCACAGAAACACCACAACAGAGCAGAACTGCAACCTGATAGCATCCCTGTCTGGTTTTGACTCTTTCAAAACATCAGGGACCTCACAGGAAAGCAATGCAGAAAACTGCAGTCATTTGGCCGCTTGTTAAGGAGAGCCCTGAGCAGCAAGCTCCAGACCGGAGATGCGCATATAACAGCAGCAGTTCCACACAGCCCTGCACAGCAGCAATTCAGCCTCTGGCAGCTGTGATGATGCTGAGGCAGTGTCCCCACTGCCCCAGTGGCTTCTGCATGCAGGTTCATTTGGGACAGGACACCTCTAACTCCATCTCTGGCCAGGAGCCAGCATAGTAGGTGCCATGAAAGCCAGGAAGTGAACTGCACAGAATGGACTGTTCCAATGTCCATGGGCTGCAAGTGGGTCCCACGTCACCCACAGGTGAATCTTAATTATGAACCAAGGTGACGGCAGAGAGGATGGGCAGCAAAGGAGGGTGTGTGTGGTGATCAGCCATCAGAGGAGACGGCCCTGTGTGATGAAAGGACCTCCTCAGGAAACCTCCCCACCAGCAACTGGCTCCAAATGGTCAGACTTTCCAAGAAATTCCTGTGAAAAGGACAGGCTCAGGGCATGTGAATGTGATAGTCAGCAATTCGCACCTCAGCAGCCAGTGACACTATGGTATAGGGAAAAGAACCTAGATTAGGCATCAAAAGTACCCGGTCCCCTTCATACATGGCTGGTGGGGAGGTAGGATGGTGCAGCCACTTTGGAAAACAGTCTGGTAGTTTCTTTCAAAGTTACCAAATGACCCAGCAATCCCACTCCTAAGTATTTACCCAAGAGAAATAAAACCTGTGTCCACACAAAGACTTGTACACATCCTAATAGCTGTATTCATAGTAGCCCCAAACTGGAAACAACCCAAATGCCCATCAGTTTGTGAAGAGATGGACAAAATGTGCTATATCCATAAAACGGAACCCTACTCAGCAATAAAAAGGTGTGAACTAGATACACACAAGAACATGGAGGGATCTCAAAAGCACTGTGCTGAGCGAGAGAAGCCAGATTCAAAGGGCTACACACTGTAGGATGCCATGTGCATCACATTCTGTACAGTGCAAAACTGTAGTGGCAGGATTCAGGTCCCCTGAGGCTGGGGTCCTGGAGGCAGGAGAGGGGCTGGTAGCAAGGAGGCACAAGGGAACTTTTTGGGGACAGAGGAGTGGTCCATATTTGATAGGTGGTGGTTGTGTGGCTGCTCATGTTTGTCAACAAAGAATTACATATTTTAAACTGGTGAGTTCCGTTGTATGCAAGCAAATTATACCACAATGAAGCAAATCTTTAAAACACTAGGTTCCTTTTCTTTATCTAGAGCTCAAAGTAGTGGCCCATGCTGGCTATGACTTGGAGAAATCACACAAGCTTACTGGGTCTCAACTGCTTCATTTGTACAGGTGGCTGCATAACACTCCCCGGGCAGGGGAACTGTAGGGATGAAATCAGCAAATGTGAGTGAACACACAGAGGAAGCAACACATAGGCCTTCCCCAAATACCCACTTCTGTTTTCTTTCCTCAGTGTGAGTAAGTGGCTCTAATGATCCACAAACCTTCCAACCAGCCAAGTCAAGGACCAGCAGGAGGACTCAGGAAAGTACTGAAATGCTGGGGAGAACCAGGACAGCGGCTGAGCACAGCCAGACAGGGAGGGCAGCCTGGTGGGGCCCTGGGAGCCATGGACGCGACTGCGCTGGGAGTGGGGATGGGAGATAGCAGGAGTTGGTGGGTGGGGCACAAAGTGGGAGCCAGGGCCAAATTGCTGCTGATTTGACCATTTTGCAAAAGGCCAGCCTGGCTGTGGCCTCAGGCCTCTCATTTCCTCTACCATAATGAGGGGTCACGGAAGTGCCTTCCCACAACTGCAGCATCTCCCTCCACATTTGGGCTCAAATACAGAGTGGGGCCGGAGACAGAAAAAGTCTCCGTGACACACTGTGATTTGTTTCTGCACTGTGTGAACCCTTGGCTCTGTGACACAGAACACAGGTTTCAGCAGTTCCTGTCACTTCCCACAGGCGAAACAGACAGAGCATTCTTTTGTCCGGCTTCTGGTGAAACGCCATTATCGTTATTTTTAGGAGGAAGATGGAGAATTGGGGTGGGTCCCCACAAAGAGGATGGATTCAGGAGACTTCCAGGAACCTTAAACGGCTTGGAAACTAATTGTGCCAGTTCTTTTTGATGTCTAATTTTACTCTAAAATTTCCTCTCAGCACAATATATTAATACTGATCAGCCAAGAGAAGGTTAGGTTTTGGCTCACAAATAGTCAAGGAGAGAATCTCCTTCATTCATTGAGAAGGCAGAAGATGGCGTTAAAGAGTATTCACAGGTAACTAAGATTGCCAGAGGGAGAATCGAGTGAGTTGTCAGTGGTGAAATACAGAGGAGGTAGAGAGAGCTACACTGAGACAACAAAGGCAGCTTAAGGGAACAAAGCCAGCTAAGGGAACAAAGCCGGGGTCCCTCAGGTCTGTGGCCACCGGCTCCAGCCAGGACAGCCTGGTAGCTGAAGAGCACGTCCTTGCCCGTTACATGCCTGTGTTTCAAGTGATGCTAACTTGCTAATGCAGATATCTCCCCAAACCCTGCCCCTGGCTCACCACCCAGTGAGCAATCACTCACTTTCCCCAGGACACCTTCAGGGAGGTACTCTGCCAGCACCGCACACTTAAACAGCTACTGCAGGTTCTTCTCTCAGACGCAGCACGGTTCCTGAGATGACGTCAGCGCTGCTCGCTGAAAGCACCAGGCAAGGAGGCAAAACAAAGGAAATCCTAAAGAGCAGGCGAGAGAACAGTGGAACTGGCAGAGAGAGGCACTGGTGCGGATGGAGAGGGCAGCAATAAAAACTGGGGGACACTTAGAGGCAAAGGTATGGCAGGTGACAAAAAAGATGAGCTGAAGCTCAGGAGAGACCCAGGCAGCGATGCCCAAATGACCGGCTGAGGAATCACCTCACTGCTGCTGATGCCCTTGACAGCAATGTCTGAGGCTGGCGTGAGTGCTCCATGCTCAGAGATACCTAGAACCCAGCTACAATGGCCTTATCAGACTGAAACAAGAACACCAAGATATTCCAAGGGAGGTGACAATGGGGTCCAAAGGTTGTGCATTTATGGATCACAACTATGTGCTGAGTGTGGCCCAAATCCCAGCTCCATATGGTCACACCATGTCTACAGCCAATCAGCTGACCGGGGTGGCAACCCCTGGCTCTGCTCAACAATAATGACAACCATCATTTACTGAGCACTTACTATGTGCCAGACCGATGCTAAGTGCTTTCCTCAGATGTTTCCATTTAACTCTTAGAATCACCCTAATGAGTATCTCCTATTATTTTACAGATGAGGAAATGAGAGTTTAGAAAAGTAACTTGCAAAATCATACTGCTGGCTCCATAACAAATGTTGATTGAATGTTGTCTGGGTGGACAGAGGCAAGGATGACCGGAACGAGACAAACAAACAAAAGGCTGACTGACAGACCATTCGGGTAGCACTTTTCCTGGGATTAAGCTTAGACCTTGTAGGCCTATCAGCCAGAAGCAGTGTGTAAAATAAGAGTGGCTGACTGGGCACGGTGGCTCAAGCCTGTAATCCAAGCACTTTGGGAGGCCAAGGCGGGAGGATCACCTGAGGTCAGGAGTTCAAGACCAGCCTGGCCAACATGATGAAACCCCGTCTCTACTACAAATACAAAAATTAGCCGGGTGTGATGGCACACGCCTGTAATCCTAGTTACTCGGGAGGCCGAGGCAGGAGAATCGCTTGAACCCGGGAGGCAGAGGTTGCGATAAGCTGAGATTGGGCCACTGCACTCCAGCCTGGGCGACAGAGCAAGACTCCCTCTGAAAAAAAAAAAAAAAAAAAAAAAGAGTGGCTACCCAAGAACGCAACAGCAGCAGCAAACACTGATCTGATGACACCCCAGTTTTGCAGAAGAGGAAGGAAACATAAGAATGTCAACTCTCCATTCAACAGAGAAACAGTGCCACCACTGTCTTTAAATTTTCAAACTTATCAAGAAAAGCTCCAGAGAGGCCAGTGCCAGCAATGCCGGCTGTCTCCCAAGTCTGAAGGGTTTTCCTCTGGGTATTAGGAGTTGAGGTGTTTGGTTAGAGAAGAAACAGGATGCACGGGAGATCACACACACAGATTAAGAGGTGCCTCTCAAATGCCTTTCCCACGTTTCTAACTCTGCTTTTTTTAAAGCACGATCAGACCCGCCATCTGCACTTTTACCTGCTGCCTGACGAAAACCAGATGCCAAAGGCCTCCCAGCACTCACGGGGCCCTTTACCCTTAGGAAAACACCGTGATTCAGCCAGGCCAGATTGATGCAACATTGTAACAAAGCGTATGCAAAGTGCCTAGCTCCGGACTGCTTGCAGAAAAGGCACATTTTGACTCTTCTGAGAGTGGGAAAGATTTGAAAGATGGGATTTGCACCTTATTCTTATTCAAGTCTGGAGATCTGGAACTTCTTCCTGAAGCTCCACGTTTAGCCAGATAATTGAGACGCTCCACCTGGTCACCACTGGACACCAGCCACCCAAACATTCTCCTCTGCAAGGCACTTGGCATTCTGGTGCCTGTGGAGAGAGCAGCCTTCTCACTAGCACAGCTCATGAACAAGGATCCCCTTCCCTGGACAGCCAAGATGTAAACCTGCCCCCAGAAACACTGAGAGTCCTAGAGGTAGAATGAGTCGGCCAGCAAGCTCCAGCCCATTGAATGCAGACCCCTGAGCAAATCAAGTCAGGAGAAGGTGGACAACTGTACCCTGAAGACCACATACCACCCAGACCCAACACAAATAGCTGTCAGCACTGCCACCCATTACAGCTTCAGATCTCGCTTCTACCAGCATTTCCCAGCTGAGCAACAACCGTCAAAGTCTGGTCCTGGAAGGACAGCCCTCCCCGTCTTGGCAGCCACACTTTCTGGCCCTAGCCCAAGGCTGCTGTGGCATGGGAGGAATCAATGGAGGAATACATGGCTCTTCCCTGGTTCCTTCCTCTCCCACTTCATTGACTAACACTAGTCACATGGCCCCAACTGAACTGTGAGGGAGGCTGGAAAATCTGGAGTATGTGCATGCCTAGTGAGTTGCCTCTACCACATCCTCTTAACCCTTGGCCTCTCATTCCCAAAGTCTAGCCCTATTTTCAAATGAATTCAACGCCTCATTACTTAGATCTTTCCTCATTACCTCAAAGCCATAGTGGCAAAAAGCAAACAGCATCTTCCTAAAATCTTCCTCTTCCATCTTCCTCTCCTAGATATCCATCTTACCCTTCTTTGCCAGTTAATTTATTACAATCTTCCTTTGACAGCTTCACTCCCTCCCCGCACTGCTATCAACTCAAATGTGAGTTATTTCAGTAGCTTGAGCTTGTCACTGGCCTTTTACTTTTTTCCCCTTCCAAAGAACCTGGTACCCAGCTACTTAATCCTTATCCTTCTTCCCAAGGCCCACTTTCATTCCTTTCTCCCCCATTCATGAGCCTGCAATACTTTTCCCGCTGCATAAGTCACGTGTCACCATATAAACTCACAATTTGAGGTGCTCTAGAATCTGTCCATGGAATTAGTCAGGACATAATCTCCCTGTTTTTCGGCAGTGCCACATCCATACCTGTCTTCACAGGTTTGCTCATGCCACCATTCCTTTCCCCAGAACGCCCTTCTGCTCCTCCCACACAAATCCTAACCCTCCCTCAGGACCCATTTAAAATACAATCTCCTCACTCAACTCTTTCCTACCAACTTGCTTTCCCCTCTCCTTTCTGCCTTACCACAAAGCTAAGCTCTGTCTCTGAATAATGTGCTTTTTGATGATAATCTGAATGGTACAAGAAGAAATCCTATTTCATGCTCCTTTGAGGGAGTGTCTAATATAGGTTGCCTTCGACTATAAGTAATAGAAAATTCCCACTCAACTGGCTTCAACAGTGAGGACAAAATGTATGGAGATTGGACGGTTCAGTCTTCAGGGGCTTGGCCCTCAGGGTTTTTCCCATCTCTTCCCGTCTGCTGGCCTCAACAAACCTGCTTTCCTCATTGCAACAAGATGGCTGCTTCACGTCCGAGAATCTAGTGAAAGAAGCTGTCCCTTCTGCATTTCCTTTTACAAGGAAAAACATCTTTCCCAGCATCTCCCAGCAGACTTCTCATACCTCAGTGGCCAAAACCATGTCTAAACTACGGGCCTCCAGGATGGGCTCAGCTCAATCAGCACATACCCTAGAGCTGGAGGCAGGGTCACCTTTCCTTGAGTGGCGTGTGGGAGAGGTGTGGCATCCAACCCAACTGGGTCCTGCCAGCAGGAAGAGAAAACAAGAGCCACTGTAGGTAACCAATCACGTCTACCACAGGCAGGGACCAATACCACATATCTGTGTTTCCCCTCACTTGCCACCCCCATCCTGTGCTGGCAGATGAGGATGCTCAACAAATAGCTGTGGAACTACAAATTATCCTGTGGGTGTGAGAAAAGAGTGTGCATTATAATAGGGTGGTACAATTGGACATGTGTGCACGGAAAATGGAAAAACAGCCATGAAATCCAAACAGATGCAAAAACGTTCTTAACACAGAAGGTTTGGGAAGCTCTGATCTAAGCCCTAGCCTGGGCCCTACTCCCAGTTCCACAGATAGGGAGCAGGCCCCAGGCCAGAGTGCTGGGCTTCTCCCAGCAGGATCCAGCTGGGGCTTTCTCCTCAGTTCAACCCTTGCCTCTGAGGACCAGTGGTCTACAGTCCAGCCCACAACCCTTCAGACAGAAGTTCCAGGCACAAAAAGGAAGCTCACAATAAGGAACGCCCATGCCTAGCCATAACTGAGCGCATCACAGACTCACACAAATCTGTGGAATGAGTGCATGATCTCATGAGCTCTGGTCTGGAAAAGTAAGTCTCCCTACACTAGGACTTAAAGGGAAGGCTTCTTTGGCTATGCCAATATCTTTCCTGCCACTTTCTTCTTCAGGCCAAACAGCTCCTATCCCTGCCTTCCATCTTAGCTTTCCAGCATACTCTTCCCAGGTTCTTTGGGCTACTGACAAGCACTCCAGACCCAAATACACATGCTCCCACCTGAGGCTGGGAAATGTACCAAGAACTGCATAGAAAATATACTGGACAAAAGGCACTCCAGTCTCACAGATCTCCAGTCCCACAGTCTATATCACCAGTTTTAGCTGTTTGAAGTTTTAGAATTCCTTTTCAAAACCATAGCTAGCATTTCTTTGGCTAGAGAAAACTGTGTGAAATGCAGCCTACCATAGGATCACTGATTACAACATGCATTCAACATTCAATACATATTGACTGAGCAACTATTAGGTTGAACTATGTGACATTATTGACATTCGACTGCTTCTGACCTATCAAAATGGCAATAAAGCTCAACTTAATATTTACTCTATGCCAGGCAGTAGGCTAAGGAAGGATTTGGGACACCATGACAAACAACACAGAAGTAACCCCTATCTTAATGGAACTTAAAATCTAGTTGATTAAACCATTACTTACAAAAGTACAATCTAACTTCAGGATTGTAATTAATTATAAATGCATTTATTTGTTTACTGCCTGACTTCTTTGCTAGCCTATAAACTACACAAAGATGAGGGTTATGTCTCCTCCATTTCACACACTGGCAAAGCATATAGCAGAATACATCATATATTTGTTAAATGTATTGATTAGTGTTACAACAGACAATTGCATGTGCTATGGAAGCGTTTGGCAGAGAGATCTAATCTAATCTTGGAAGGTGAGGATCCTGGCCATCACTAACTTGGAATTTCTGATACTGATGATATAAGGTTGAGTTATGTCTTCATGAAACAGGTCTCTATACAGCATATAAACAACTACCAGCATGCACAGGGGTTCCGTAGGGACTATTTAAAATACTTAAGGGAACAAACGGTTTTCAAGCTCAGTCTAGTATTTCAGAAATTCCATTTACATAAACAATTGGTGCACTAATTGCAAATCATTCTTATTTCTCTCCTAAAGCAGGATCCCCTAAGGATCTTTATTAGGCATTCTATTAGCCTAGTTTGAGTTACAGTATTTACTTAAAAGTAATAACAGTGAAGTTCTTGAAAAATATTTGGTAATTCAGACATTTTACTAATTCAAACTAATCTTCCTCATTAGTCTACGTTGTTAGAGGTTTAACCATTGTATTAAGAGAAAGTATCAAAGGCTTCACTTAGAGTAATAGTCACCAAATTTTTTTGCAAGACACCTTGGTAGCAGGAACCTGAGCTAACATCAGGAGGTAGGTAGAAATAGAAAATAAAGGAATGACAATTTGAAGAGCAACTGCAATCCAATTTAGTCCAACAGATGACACACATATGAAGTCACATTCAAATTATAAGCAGAGCACAAAAATATTTTAGATCCTTATCTTTTGATTAACCTGGTATCATTCAGGGAAAAATGTCAGGGAACACCACTGACCAGCAGTCCTCTCTTATCTATTTTGCAGATCTTATCTATTTTTCTCCCTGAGAACCAGCCCTGGACACAAACTGCATAAACATCAATGAGCCTAGACAGGGTCTTCATGTGTGTTTGGCCTGCCATTGTTCTCTGTACCAGTACGGAGATTTAGTAACACACTGGTCACATTCATGGGGCATCTTGAACTCTCTTGACATGGTAAATGAACAGCAGGTCCTGTTCCCATGCCAAAAGCAAACAAAAACCTGTCACCAGCAAGGAAGACACCCAGTCTCTCCAAAGGATGCCAAAGTCCACATCCAGCCTCCTTTGCAGAGCCTCACAAATCTCTCGGATGCAGGCAGGATGATCACGGGCTAGGGAAGATTATGCTCTGAATGTCTTAAGAGATTAGTTACTTAAAATCCTCCACATGACTTCAGTCATCCCCGTTGCAGATCACAGAGTAAAAAGCCTACCTGATTAAAGCTGAATGCCTATACATTTGCAAAAGGGAAAATATGCAGAAGAAAACGAGAGTCAGATACTGATGGGCATAGCACCAGCTCTAGGACATCAGAGGTGTTGAATAAATGATGACAAGGAGACACACATAGTTCTGATATATTCACCATAAATACCACAGTCCTCAAGGCTCTCTCAATTACTTACTTCCCCCCAAATCAGAGACTGAATCTGGCCTTATCTTCAAATGAGGCCCAGCTCTCCCCAAATTCCAAATATGGGAAATTACAGCTCCTCTGTGGTAGGGGGAAGAGTGGGAAGGCGAATGTTTGTATTGCATAACGTTTTAATTAAAACAAAGATGACGTGCACCAGAGTCTCTTTCTCATCTCCTGTTAGGGGCGTTTTCCAGTACTACTTCCACCCTTTACCCACCCAGGTCACCATGGTCTTTTTCTTCCCTCTAGGACAATTCACCTTTAAAATAAGAGGATTGGGCAAGAAATCTACAAAGATTTTTCCAAAATGAACTCAGGCCTAGAGGCATATTAGTTCTCTATCTTGTTGCTCCCTTCTAGAAGTGCACAGTTCAGAGGGATGCCCAGCCACAGAGGTGCCAAAACGCAGAGCTGGAACCAATCACCTGCTCCAACAGAGACAAGGTGAAAGCACTGGGCAGGGTGCTCAGAATGTGCTCTTGCTTCTTTGTAATGAAATATCAGAAGACAGATTGTAACATTGTTCAGCAAGCTATTTTTTGTACTGAAACATCAGAAGGCATTATGAAACTGTTCAGCAAATCATCTCTAAACAATGTCATAAAGGGTTACCTAGTTTGGGGTAAGCCCGGAATGAATATCTGCACCATCATTCCTCCCGCTAACAAACATGTCCATCTATGTGAAGCATAATTCCCAACACACCACCATCTCCAAACCAACACCAAACCACTGCCAAACAAAGCTGAAGAGGAAAACCAGAAAGGTCTCCGAGAAGTGCTGCTTGCAGGGAGAAGAATGGCCCTGCACAGAGGCTCCTGAGGGCAGCAGGTGCCTGCTTTGGAGCCTTGGCAATTTCCACCAGGCAGAATTTACAACCGTCTGGGACCTGCAGTCTCAGAGGGCTCACGGAGAAGGGGGAAGCTCTTGGCTACCCGGGAGGTCACCAGTGACTCTGAGCAAAGTGCAGATCAATGCCTGCTTAGGGTTAACCCCAGGCTGGGAGAGGGCATCTGGCAAGGAACAGACCTGGAAGAGCCTGCCCCTCTTTGAGCTGCTACAGCAGCTTCTGGGAATTTGTAAGAGCCATACTGATGAGGGTCCCACACCCTCCCTTGCCAGGGCGCCCTCAGGGAGGCCACACTGCAGGAGGCAGAGTATGAGGTGGGGAAGATGGATCGGCCTTATCCTCACCACCCCCCATACGAGTCTCCTCTGGTATGGATGGTGTCTCCTCTCTGGTGGGAAGTATGTGATTTCTCTATTTCTATTTCTCTTTTGTTCGGGCTTCCTAGAAATTCAGAGCTAGGTGTGAAATTCCCAATTCCCACAGACAAGCAACATCCCCAGCAGTAATAAGGACGTTCCACACACCCAGGACTTGGGATATTTGTGTATTTTCAAGAATAAAAGTTTGCCCTTTAGCCTCCTCAGAGCCCCCTCCCTTCTCCTCGCTCTCCCCTTACCACTGCTATTCATCATCTTACTCCTACAGATACCCCCTCTTCGTGGTGGCACCGGGCACTAGTAACTCATGGCTGTAAAGGAGAGCTGAGAACAAAACAGGAAGAAAAGAGGTTAAGTAATGGCAAGAAAAAAGATGTACCTTAGGAATAAAAAAGAGTTCCCGAATGTCACAGTGTATTTAATTAATGCTTCTATTTATTAAAGATTAAAAATACATATCAGGTGACGACTTAAAATGTTAGTCATGATTTTAACTGTGAATTCTGTGGCACCGGAGATAACAGAACAATGAGTGCTTGTAGAAGGCACTCGGTTATTTGTTGAATGAACTTCTTGGGAAAGCCTTCTTAGGAAAGTATTAGAAGTAGATTCTGCTAAAACAGGGGCTACCCTCAGAGGTCTCAGGACAAGGGATAGAAAGTCAAACACTGATGTTTAAGAAGGGATGCCTATGACACATGAATCCCACAGCCATCTCTCCAAAAGAGCAACTATTTTGACTGCGCATGCGGGAAGATGGCGGGCCGGGCGACTTGAGATCCGCGGGTCTCCCTGCTCCTTTTCCGTCTGCGTCGGGAGCTCCCGGGCACGTGAGGCCGTGCCGCGTTTACTGGCGGGAGGGACGGCCTAGCCGGGCGACGCCTCGGAGGAGGCCGCGGACCCCTTAGGTGCTGGGCCCTTGGAAATCGGCGCGTGGGGGGCGGTGCTCGAGCTGAGCGCGAGAGGGCGGGAGAGCTCGTGGGGTGCGAGAGGAGCAGGACGCCCGGCCGGGCAGCATGAGTCAGCAGCGGCCGGCGAGGAGATTACCCAGTCTCCTCCTGCACCCGACGGAGGAGACCCCATCAACGTGGAGGGCCTGCTGCCATCAAAAATAAGGATTAATTTAGAAGATAATGTACAATATGTGTCCATGAGAAATCTGCTCCCGGGGGTATTCTTGACTTAAACAAGGTTGCAACGAAACTGGGAGTCCGAAAGCGGAGAGTGTATGACATCACCGATGTCTTAGATGGAATCGACCTCGTTGAAAAGAAATCCAAGAACCATATTAGATGGATAGGATCTGATCTTAGCAATTTTGGAGCAGTTCCCCAACAAAAGAAGCTACAGGAGGAACTTTCTGACTTATCAGCAATGGAAGATGCTTTGGATGAGTTAATTAAGGATTGTGCTCAGCAGCTGTTTGAGTTAACAGATGACAAAGAAAATGAAAGACTAGCATATGTGACCTATCAAGACATTCATAGCATTCAGGCCTTCCATGAACAGATCGTCATTGCAGTTAAAGCTCCAGCAGAAACCAGATTGGATGTTCCAGCTCCCAGAGAAGACTCTATCACAGTGCACATAAGGAGCACCAACGGACCTATCGATGTCTATTTGTGAGAAGTGGAGCAGGGTCAGACCAGTAACAAAAGGTCTGAAGGTGTCAGGACCTCTTCATCTGAGAGCACTCATCCAGAAGGCCCTGAGGAAGAAGAAAATCCTCAGCAAAGTGAAGAATTGCTTGAAGTAAGCAACTGATGGCATTTGAGAATTTATGTATCACTGAGTTTTTTGGGAATATCTTCGTGGAGAATTACGCATCAAATTTGATTCTCAGAGCAATAAATTATCCATGAAGTGCTCTCGTTCTCAGTAGCGGCATCATGGCCAGTAGTGTCTTTGAGGAGTTCACCACTTAGATTACTGAGTAATTGTGGTTTCCACATTTGAAAACAACTCCTTTTATAATTATTCACTGCTTTTTGTCAGTGAAATAGACATCTTGCCTCCTGAAGTAGCTTCATCACAGAGTGTCATGAAGACAGACAGTCAGGCTGAAAAGGACAGTTCTTTGTGGACTCTACCCTTCCCTTCAAGGAGTATGTCATATGTCACAAAAGAAATTGCCTTACACTGGTTCATGTTTGCAGTTACTGTTGTACATTGCATAGATGTACACACGAATTTAAATGTGATGTCTTTGTATATATCTGTATAATGTTGAGATTACTTACGAAATATGTCTGAGTGACACTTTTCACTCTTGTACAGCCAAAATAATGTATATATGGAAAATGACAGACAAATTCTCTAATCTCTTTGGTATCTATAACTTATTAGAATCCTCTGGATGAGGGTTAGAAGAGACTTTTTCCAAACTTCTACATGTAGAAGTATCATAAATGTGCTACACATTTATGTTTGTGGATTTAATTAAAGTATTTTAATATGGTTTTCAGTGCTAAAATTGGAGTCAGATACTTCTTGGTTTTAAGCTGTCTACCTAATTGCTGTCTCCCAGCAGATCGGTGGCATGCCCAGTGGCTTTGGGGGCAAGGATAGAAATGCCATCAGGAAATAGCTGAATTCATTGTGAAACATGAATTCAGTCATGGTGATAATTGGAAACTCCTTTCAGGTTTTTGCAAGTAGATTTTGTAATGTTTGTGTATGCAGCCTTGCTGTTGAGTCAGTCCAAGGGGTTTTACTTAGGACAAGTTGTACCTTGCCCTCTCTCCAGCTCTGCTCCCACATTTTCACATACCTAGCTATTTCTACCTCATTGGGTAAGTCATTTACCACTCTGTGCCTCAGTTTACTCTGTAGTTTACCATTAGACTGTGAGCTCCTTGAGGGACTTTGTCATAATCACTGTTACATCCCAGTGCCTCACACTATGCCTGGCCCTTAAGAAGTGCTCAATAAATGTCTGAACAAAAAAAAAAAAAAAAAAAAAAGAGCAACTATTTTCAAAATCAGGTCTAAAGATGAGCCATCCAAGAAACTGCTCTTGCTCCCAGAGGTTTTAAAGAAAGTCATTCCCATGAACGTGAGAAGTAACCCAACACTTTGAAATGATAATCTTTTTACAGCAATAACTGTTGCTGCAGGGCTTGAGAAAAAAAGTTCTCTTCCTTTGGGTTAAAGTCTTAAATGCTGAGCCCGTAGCCAGCAACCTTAAAGACTACTCGGGTCCAGTTCATTCTATCTGGAGGAGTCACTTGGGAATTGAAAACACAGGAAAACTTTTTTTCTGGTCCATGAACAAACAAGAACACTTAACTGAATTAGACACAAAACTAAGTATTTATGGTTGTCATCTTAACAGGTTTCAAACAGGCTTCATTTTAATTTAACATAATTTCAAAATTATAGCAAAATAGTCAATAAAATACGAACGTGCTTAATTTGATGAATTTATGTGTTTTTTGAAGAAAATATGCAGAATAAACAAGTCAATTATTCTCACTAAATACATTAAAATTTAAGGGTAATATTTTTATTATGACTTGCTCTCCTGATACAGCAAAATTTATTGTTATGTAGTTATGGAAGGAGGCTCACTACTCCCCAATGATTTCACAAATTACAGCTTCAGCCAGCTATAAAATAACCAAATCAGTTCTGATATAGCCATAAAATTAAGCCTGAAAAAATAGTGAAGTAAATCATCCCTTTAAAATCAAGTTGTTGAACAATATGTTCTGCATGATTCCATTTATGTCAGAAAAAATATATTTGTGTAAGTATATACACAGAAAAGGGTCTGGAAGAATATATACCAAACTATAAAGAATCTATATCAAAGTCAATAAGGGGCATAGACAAGGAGGGGAACTTTCACATTTTACTTTCCACATTCTTTTTTTTTTTTTTTGCCGGAGTCTCACTCTCTTGCCCAGGCTGGAGTGCAGTGGCGCAATCTTGGCTCACTGCAAGCTCCGCCTCCCGGGTTCACACCATTCTCCTGCCTCAGCCTCCCGAGTAGCTGGGACTACAGGCACCCGCCACCACGCCCAGCTAATTTTTTTATATTTGGGGTTTCACTGTGTTAGCCAGGATGGTCTCAATCTCCTGACCTTGTGATCTGCCCACCTCAGCCTCCCAAAGTGCTGGGATTACAGGCGTGACTTTCTACATTCTTGTAACAGAATTATAGTCACCGTTACCTCCATCAAAAAATTAAAATTCAAAAATTAGGCCAGGCACGGTGGCTCACGCCTGTAATCCCAGCACTTTGGGAGTCTGGAGCAGCAGATCACCTGAGGTCAGGAGTTGGAGAGCAGCCTGACTGGCCAACATGGTGAAACCCCATCTCTACTAAAAATACAAAAATTAGCCGGGCGTGGTGGAGGGCACCTGTAATCCCAGCTACTTGGGAGGCTAAGGCAGGAGAATCACTTAAACCCGGGAGGCGGAGGTTGCAGTGAGCCAAGATTGTGCCACTGCACTCCAGCCTGGGTAACAGAGCGAGACTCCATCTCAAAAATGAATGAATGAATTAATTAATTAAAGCAAACAAATATAAGCTACCACCTGAAGTAGAAACCAGTATCTCTTCACCTTACATTTACATAATACTTTACCCTAATGCATTTTATCTGCTGTTCTAAATCATGACTTACTTCAAATCAAATCTTAAGTGAAAATCAAGATTTCCTTTTGGGGGCATTATACAAAAAAGACTGTAAAATTTCATTCTCTGAAAGTCTTTTTAAAAAGGGATAGATTGTATCTGGCTGGGATAGGGTAGGTGTGATCGGACCCGGAGGAAATGACGGCTGCTCAACTCTGCATCTCCTTTCCTCACCCTGCTGAAAAGTGCCACCTAGCATGGTCAATCAAGGTCACCAATGCAAAGCAGTAGTGGGCAAACACCACCCAGGTTATCCAAAGCAGCACATGGGGTTGGGAAACTGATGACCTTGGAGATTTCAAAATCACCTAACAATAACCCCACCTTCCCTAACCACAGGGCTAAGCAACCTAATGGATCGAACATATGTGTGCTTTGGTCATCCGCAACCCAGACCACTAGACTAATTTTGCTTTAGAACTGGACTATATCAAGTGTGAACGATCATACTTGTTATCATGTGGGAAAAAAGGTTTAATTACTCCCTAATTGTCTGGGAAACAAAAGATTTCAAAATACGGAGCTCCTGGGGGAAGGAGAGTTAATAAAATGGGTCCTTGAGAAGTGAAGTGGGAAGCCTGCCTCATGCCATGGCACCAGCGATGCCACAGGTGTACCCAGTGCCCTGCCGAGAGCAGAGACGGTGTTCTCAGAGTTGCTATCAAAAAGGAGGCAGCAGACTGCATTCTGAAGCATCAGACAATGGGTCACATGCGAAAACAGAATTAAATACACAAAAATAGCACCAACTTAAGGCAAGCCTGGGCAAACTGCACTACATCAAAGAAAGAACACACAACTGGTATCAGATTTTTTTTTCTGTTTTAATAAAGAGAAGGCCTGGACACCTGAAAGTTGACGGGAAGCAGGCATCACTAATTTCTCCGAGTTCACAGTTTTGTTAGAATGTCTTTGCTCTGATTATGGTTTTATTTATTTATTTTTTTGAGATGGAGTTTTTTTTGTTTTGTTTTGTTTGCTTTTGTTGCCCTGGCTGGAGTGCAGTGGTGCAATCTCGGCTCACCGCAAACTCCGCCTCCCAGGTTCAAGAGATTCTCCTGCCTCAGCCTCCCAAGTAGCTAGGATTACAGGCACCCACTACCACGTCTGGCTTCTTTGTGTTTTTAGTAGAGATGGGGTTTCACCATGTTGGTCAGGCTGGTTTTGAACTCTTGACCTCAAGCGATCCACCCGCCTCAGCCCCCCAAAGTGCTGGAATTACAGGCATGAGCCACCACGCCTGGCCTGATTATGTTTTGATGGATATACAGAAGCTCTTGCTTTGGTACAGAAACAGGCCCCGCTTTGCTTCGACCTCTGGGCCCCCCACCTTCAGAAATGTCTGGTGCCATTCCTGGCTCCTCCTCTCAGTGGTCTTCCAGGGTATCCACTCACAGCTTTCTGATGTCGCCCACCTGTCTCTAGCCCAGATACCCAGTCCTCATGGCAAGTGACTGCAGCAATTTTTACAAATCTACACCCTTAGGGTTCCCATCCCAGGACGTTCAGGTTTCTCCACCCCTTTAGAAGTGCCCAGAATATCCCCTACCCCACAATTCCAACAGGACGTCACTCTCCTCTTACTTAAGAAAAATGCCTAAAATTCCAGCCCTTCCAAAAGGCCTTTCTAGATTGACCACTCAGGAGTTACTCTGGCCTCCCCTTCACTCCTGCTAGACTGAAAACAAGGACAGACTTGCCTGGCCTCTCTCCCCGAGTAGACACCTACCCCCAGTGAACACATCCTGTCAGTGTCCTCCCGTCTATTTGCAAATTGATTGACTGTTTCATTGCTGGCCTTGGATGACCTCTCCTAGAGGGCAGGGACGGTGGTGTTCGGCAAAGCCTTGGTCGTCTGGATAATGGGAAATGGGGTCTTCTGGTGAATTTAATTACAGGGTTAGGTGGAAACTTTGCTTCAACTCTCATTATTAGAAAGTCTATTGTAAAGCTTTTTAAAATACAACTGACCACTTTCCAGCGAGGGTAGAGTTAATATGCCTTAATCTTTGATTTAGGATCTTGCAGTGCCCCAGGCTCACCATTCTCTTCTGCTACTATAATTATAGATGCGGAAGACATACAGACTGGGCTGACGACTGCTTGGAAGCTAATTTCTAGAATAAACCCTTGCTACCACATCTTGTGATTTTTGCCCTTCTGAAGGTGGAGTTCCAAAATAAAAACAAAATCCCGCTTAACTGAGGGTTCCAGTTGAGGGAGGTCTGCTGCCATGGTCTTTGTTAAGTGCCTGCCACCATGGCCCACAATTAGTCAGTTAATAAAGGGTTCTTGATGAGAGAATTTGGCAACATGTGATTTTCCACAAATATAAGCTTGATTTTGATGCAACCACTCATTTCTTTGAAAAATCAGGGGGCATTCACACACAGGTGTTCTAGATTTCCTTACAGTAAAACCTACCCTTTACAAGGAATAGCTGTGTTCACTTTGAAGCAGTAAAGAAGCAGGTGTCCACTCATGGCAAATGAGGAACTCCCTTTTTTTTTTTTTTTTTTTGAGACGGGGTCTCACTCTTTTTTTGTGTGTGTGAGATGGGGGCCACCCAGGCTAGAGTGCAGTAGTGCAATTACAGCTCACTGTAGCCTCAACCTTCTGGGCTCAACCAGTTCTTCCCACCTCAACTTCTGAAGCAGCTGAGACTACAGGTATGTACCACCATGCCCAGGTAATGCTTTTGATTTTTAGTAAGATGAGGTCTTGTTATATTGCCCAGGCTGGTCTCAAACTCCTGAGCTCAAGTGATCCTCCTGCCTCAGTGGCATGAGCCACTATGCCCAGCCAGAAGCTAAAAATATTAATCAAGGAGTCATAACTAAGGATGCACTGCACACCCGAAGCCAGGGACCACAAGAGGTCAGCAACTGGGACTGCTTCCTCCAGTTCCCAGGCTGGGGCTCAGCAGCAGTGGCCTGGGCTCTGGGGACTTACTTTAAGCCGAAATCCCAAACTCATTATCATTCAAACCAATTTTCTGTGTCCAGCATCATCCCACCTAAACTGGTCCTTAAAACCACTGACAGTCATTTCTCCAATCTGTAAAAGGCCTGCTGAGGCCTTTGCATTATCAGGACTTAACTGGGAGTAGAATGCCCTCCCCATCCAAATCCTGACCATTTCTGAACACTCAGCCCATGTCCTCTTCCTGAGTGTCTTCCCCAACAACAACCACCTACGCTGAACTTTACTTTGATCTCTGCAGCAAACTGTAGATAGAGATGGGATCTCACTATGTTGCCTAGCTGGTCTTGAACTACTGAGCTCAAGTGATCTCCCTGCTTCTGCCTCCCAAAGTGCTAGGATTACAGCAGTGAGCCACCACACCTGGCCTATGTATGCCTTTTTTTTTCTTTTCTTTTTTTTTTTTTTTGAGACAGAGTCTTGCTCTGTGGCCCAGTCCGCAGTGCAGTGGTGCAATCTCGGCTCATGGCAACCTCCAGGTTCAAGGCATTTTCCTGCCTCAGCCTTCCAAGGAGCTGGGATTACAGGCACGCACCATCACGCCCAGCTAATTGGCCAGGCTGGTCTCAAACTCCTGACCTCAGGTGATCCACCCACCTTGGCCTCCCAAAGTGCTGGGATTACAGGTGTAAGCCACCACACCCGGCCACGTGTGCATTTTAAAACGTTATGCTCAGACGGGGTCTATAGGTTTCACCAGACTGCCAAAAGGATCCATGACACAAAAAAAGTACTCTCAGTTGCATCCTTCGGAACCTTTCAACACATACACATATACCTCACTCATCCTTTTGTGAAGAGTGTCTATTAATCACTAGATTAAGAGGATTTGGATAAAATTTATAAACGTACAAACTTTGCTACCAAGGACTGACACATTTACTTTTCTAGCTCATCAGTTTATGTCCTAGAAAAATTCCAGAGCCATATTAACCAGCTGTTTCCTATTTTTCATTTTACGATGGTGTTTCCACTTTCACCTGCAAAGTGACTAATAGTAATACCTATTACAGTAATTTAAGTAACACCATTTAGAGTAATTTCATCTTTAGTACTGTATTTATACTACTAAGAAAGCCGCCAACGATTCAAGCTGCACTCACTGGTGAAACCCTATGCTATATACGTAATTAATTTATTTCCTAAATTCTTACCTCCCTCCACCCCCTCCATTGGAAAATAAACTCTAAGAATGCAAAAGTTTTTGTGTGTTTTTCTTCAACGCTTAGAGCAGTGCCTGGCACCTAACAGTCAATATCTGCTAACTTTGATGAATGAATGGTATATTTATATTATGCAATATTACTATGCAGCCATGAAACACAATGAGTTAGAGTGGTACCAGCTAATTTAATGGAATTTCCAGAAGTATGAAATTAAGAAAACAAGAAGAAAAGTGTCAAAAATATCATCCCACTTTTTTTTTCTTCCCTGAAACGGAGTCGTGCTCTGACACCCAGGCTACAGTATAGTGCTGCCATCATGGCTCACTGCAACCTCAACCTTCTGGGCTCAGGGAATCCTTCCACCTCAGCCTCCCATGTAGCTGGGACTACAGGTGTGTGCCACAACGCCCAGCTAATTTATTTTAAATTATTTTTTGTAGAGACAGGGTCTCCCTATGTTGCCCAGGCTGGTCTCAAACTACTAGGCTCAAGTGATCCTCCCACCTCAGCTTCCCAAAGTGTTGGGATTACAGGTGTGAGCCACTGTGCCCAGCCTAATCCCACTTTTTAAAAAGTATACCCCCAAATCCATACACTGGTGAGGAAGTGGAGAACGTGGAATCCTCACACACAGAATGTAAAATGGTACAGCTCTGGAGAACATTTTAGCAGTTTCTCAAAATGTTTAACGTAGCTACTACATGACCCAGCAATTCAACTCCCAGATATACACCTGAGAGAACTGAAAGGATATGTCCACACAAAAATTTGCAGAGGAACTTGTACACACTTGTTCACAGTAGCATTATTCATAATAGCCCAAAGTGGCAAAAACACAAATGTTCATCAACTGATGGACAAATAAAGCATGAACAACTGATGGACAAATAAAGTATATCATTCAGCATATAAGAAATGAAGTGCTAATACATGCTACAACAGGAATAGACCTTAATAACATTTTGCTAAATGAAAAAAGCCAAACAAAAGGTCACATGTTGTATGATTCCATTTACATAAAAATACCTAGACTAGGCAAATCCGTAGAGACACAAAGATCAGTGACTGCCCAGAGCCAGAGGGAGTGGTGAATGTGAAATGGCTGCTAATGAGTACAGACTTCTTTTTGAGGTATTGAACATGTTATGGAATCAGATGGTGGTGATCAATGCATAACTTTGTGAATATACCAAAAACCACATGAAAGGTACACTTTAAAAGCCTGAATTTTAAGGTATGTGAATTGTATCTCCATAAACCTGTGATTTTGTTAATATACGCTTATTTGCAAACGAATACATGGATAATGAGGAATAATATGAAAGGTTAATGACAACCTTGGTGATAGGGTACAGGAGACTGGGAGAGGAAGATAAGTGTTGAGGTAGAAGAAGACAAAAAATAAAAGGCTAAAACAATAATCCAGGGCCAGAGGCCATGAGTTGGGAGATGGAGCAAGACGAAGTGTACAAAGAAATGAGCATAAATCATAAAAATGAGGGAACTAGGGTTGAAAACTCCAGCAAGTAGTTTGTAATGGGGGAGATGAAGCAAACCTAAGTAACTGCAATGATTCAACGGAATTTGCAGAAAATGCAGAAGGGCGAGAAAACAATGAAAAAATGGATCAGAAGATTTAAAATTGGCTCTACCCCACCAAAGTTTTAAAAAGCAAGCAAGAAGAAAATTCAGTTGCTCCTGGGCAAGAATTCTTGGGCCCAGTGGGGTAGAACCAAACCATGATAAGGAGACACCAGTGTTTTGTAAGCAAGAGAATATATTAAGGAGAGAAAAGGGGCATTTATTGGGAGAAAAGTTCTCACTGTGATTGTTCTGGACTAAAGTAGCCCCATCGGACTGCCTCAGGAACTCATGGTGGAAGAGGTGCCACTGGAAAATGGCTAAGTCGGGATCTTCCCCAAGAACACTAGAAGAGACAGAGGAAGAATAGAAGAGCTTTAAATTTTAGCAGATATTTCTTTTTCTTGTTTAATTAAAATAAATCTTATTGACCTAATATTTTTGAGACTGGGCTCTTGCAATGCTCCCCAGACTGAACTCAAACTCCTAGGCTCAAGAGATTCTTCCACTTCAGCCTCCTGAAAAGCTGGCACTACAGGTGCACACCACTGGGCCCAGCATAATGGCTATTTCTTGACAAATCTTGACAATGCCACCAGTATGTTTTTCTTTAGAGACAGAGTCTCGCTTTGTAGCCCAGGCTGGAGAACAGTGGTGTGATCCTAGCTCACTGCAGCCTCAAACACCTGGACTCAGGAGATCCCCCTGCCTCAGCCTCTCAAGTAGCTGAGACTACAGGTGCGCACCACCACACTTGGCGAATTTTATTTTATTTTTTTTATTATACTTTAAGTTCTAGGGTACATACACCTGGCTAATTATAAAATGTTTATCTGTACAGACAGGTTCTCGTTATGTTGCCCAGGCTGGTCTCGAACTCTCGGCCTCAAGCAATCCTCTCCTCCTCACCTTCCAAAGCCCCGAAATATGCCCACATCCAGCCTGCCACCAGTTTCTTTGCATACTTCTTTCCTAGGCTTGACCAAGACCTTTACTTTCTTCTGTGTACAGCTCAGCATTAAAAAAAAACAAAAAAGTTTAGGCTGGGCACAATGGCTCACGCCTGTAATCCCAACACTTAGGGTGGCCAAGGTGGGAGGTTTGCTTGAACCCAGGAGTTCCACACCAGCCTAGGCAAGATGGCAAGACCACGTCTCTCCAAAACAATTTTTGTAAAATTAGCCAGGTGTGCTGGCGTGGGCCTGCAGTCTCAGCTAGTGAGAAGACTAAGGCAAGAGGAACCCTTGAACCCAGGAGTTCAAGGCTACGGTGAGCTGTGATCACCTCTCCAGCCTGGGTGATAGGGTGAGACCCAGTCTCTGAAAACAATTAAAAATAAAAAAAGTTGAATAATGAGTCTTCTTTTTAGAGGCAATGTATTTTTCCTCTTTAACTTTTTGTTTTCCTTAGGCTATATGCACAATAGACAAAGTTGAAATTTAATCTTAATCTCGTAAACCCTTACTGTCCAAACACATCAAACTCAAAAAAAAAAAAAAGACAAAAACAAAAAAGGTGAAAGGTGTACAAGAGAAAAAAGGGAAGTAATCTGTGCCAAATGTACATTCCTTCCACAATTTGGGACAAAAATGATGTCTACCTGGTCTCTGGGTGCCAAAATAAGACATTAGAGACACTCCCCTCCTTCAAGAAATAAAATTGGAATCAGACACTAAGATACAATTAAACAGACTTTGAAAGTTGGTATGCACTACTGGGAGGTGTCTCACAGCTGGCAGGGTCAACTGCAACTAGAAGAAAAGCTCCTAAGGGCAGAAACTAAGTGGCTCACTTCCTCTGTAACACTGCCGTGCCCAGCACTGTACCAGCACCCCAGCAGAGTCAACAACTTTCCGTCAAGCCACACACTTACGGTCTCATCGTCCAGTGGAGGCCGCAGATGAGACATAGTGTGCCAAATCCCAAATGCACAGGGTGCCAGACAAGTCTGCGGGAGGCAGGAGGACTAGGGAAGCCTTCCAGGCAAGGTGATGCCTGAGCTGAGTTGTTTTTCTTTTGAGTTTGGAACATTAATTTAATCGGAGGAAAACAAGGGACATGAAAAGGGCAAGGAAATAAGAAAATGAGCTGAGTTTTGAAGGCAATGATCGGATGAAGTGAGAGAAGAATATTCCAGCAGAGGGAGACAAGGAGACTGCAGAGATTTCAAGGGGCCAAGAGCTGTTCGGTGCAGCTCAGTGAAGCACCTAAACAGAGGTGGGGGAAGGAGAACAGGGGTCAAAGCCCAGTATTGAAGTGTTCTGGATACCAAGCTAAGGAGACCTTATTACGAAGGTACTGGGGCTGCTGAAGGGTTTAAATGGGAGAGTGATTGTGAACAGATTAATAGTTTGGAAAGATACAGGCAGAAGTAAACCTCTGGATTTAACCAAAAAATAAAGGACAGAACCACAATGAAGATGTTGGAAAAGATCAGGAAAAACACTGTTAAAAGATATTCACTCTCGGGGCCGGGCGCTGTGGCTCACGCCTTAAATCCCGGCACTTTGGTAGGCCGAGGCGGGCTGATCACGAGGTCAGGAGATCGAGACCATCCTGGCTAACACGGTCAAACCCCGTCTCTACTAAAAATACAAAAAAAATTAGCCGGGTGTGGTGGCGGGCGCCTGTAGTCCGAGCTACTCCAGAGGCTGAGGCAGGAGAATGGCGTGAACCCGGTAGGCGGAGCTTGCGGTGAGCCGAGATCAGGCCACTGGAATCCAGCCTGGGCGACAGAGGGAGACTCCGTCTCAAAAAAAAAAAAAAAAAAAAAGAGTCTGGCTCTGTTGCCCAGGGCTGGAGTGCAGTGGCGCGATCTCGGCGCATCGCAATCCCTTCCCAGCCCCCGGGTTCAAGTGATTCTCCAGTCTCAGCCGCCGGAGTAGCTGGGACTACAGGGGCGTGCCACCATGTCTGGCTAAATTTGTATTTTTACTAGAGACGGGGTTTCACTATGTTGGCCAGGCTGGTCTCCAACTCCTGATCTCGTGATCCGTCTGCCCCGACCTCCCAAAGTGCTAGGATTATAGGCATAAGCCACCACGCCCGGCCTCTTTTTTTTCTTTTTCTTTTCTTTATCTGGAGACTGAGTTTTGCACTTGTTGCCCAGGCTGGAGTGCAATGGTGCGATCTCAGCTCACTGCAATCTCCACCTCAGCAGGAGAGCAGGAATCTTCAGTGATCCACGGGCAGATCTGCCGCCATTGTGGGCACCTGTTCCTCCCGCGACCTTTGTGCTCGCCTCTCTCCTTCCAGTACCTATTGCATGACCCCCCACGTCCGCCTCCCGCCATTGCCAGCAAGCGCCTCGCGCGGGTACCTGGCTGCGCTTATTAATCCGTTAAGCTCGCTCTGTCACGGGCGCCGTGATGTGCTCACGCGCCCGCTCCCTCAGGTTTAAAAGGCGCGTTGCCCGGCAACAGAAGAAACTGCTGGCTTAGCCGTTGGCCGAGTTGGCGGCTGGACGAGGACGCTCAGAGCCCAGCTCTCGAGAGTTCAAGCAACCGACGGTTCCCCACTGCTCCCAGGAGCGGTTACCTGGGCACTCTGTGCCCCTCCTTCCTGTTCGGGCCCAGGCCGAGGACCTGCCAGTAGGGCTCAGTTGCCTGGAGCCCGTTCAGCCCATCCCCCAGTTCACTTTGCCTGTGGGATCTCCCCGTTGCTCCTGCCCGTGGACTGAGTGGCAGGCCATCCTACAAGCACCCGGACACTTGACATCAGTGGTGTCAAGACAACTCTAAGAAGGTTTTCCGTGATCCTGCAAGCCCTGCCTTCCTTCCTGGGATCCTGCCTTCAATTTGATTGCACAGGTACCACAGCAAGCCAGTGCTGTGTGCTCCGAGTTCCAGGGCGTCCTCCAGCTCAGCCACTGCACTGAGAACATGGACTCTCTGTGGGGCCCAGGAGCCGGGAGTCACCCCTTTGGGGTCCACAACACCCGGCTGTCCCCAGACTTGTGTCCAGGGAAGATAGTGTTGAGGGCCCTCAAGGAGAGCGGGGCAGGGATGCCTGAGCAGGACAAGGACCCTAGAGTCCAAGAGAATCCTGGTGATCAGAGAAGGGTCCCCGAGGTCACCGGGGATGCACCGTCTGCATTTCGGCCCCTGCGGGACAATAGAGGCCTCTCTCCCTTTGTGCCCGGGCCCGGGCCTCTGCAGACAGACCTCCATGCCCAGAGGTCAGAAATCAGATATAACCAGACATCCCAGACCTCCTGGACGAGCTCCTGCACCAACCGAAATGCCATCTCCAGCTCCTACAGCTCCACGGGAGGCTTGCCGGGGCTAAAGCGGAGGAGGGGGCCAGCCTCATCCCACTGCCAGCTGACCCTCAGTTCCTCAAAGACAGTGAGTGAGGACAGGCCTCAGGCTGTCTCTTCAGGTCACACCCAGTGTGAAAAGGCAGCAGATATAGCACCAGGGCAGACACTCGCCCTCAGGAATGACTCCTCCACATCCGAGGCCTCTAGGCCCAGTACACACAAGTTTCCCCTGCTGCCACGCAGGCGAGGGGAGCCTTTGATGCTGCCACCTCCCTTAGAGCTGGGGTACCGGGTCACTGTTGAAGACCTGGACCGGGAGAAGGAGGCGGCATTCCAGCGCATCAACAGTGCACTGCAGGTTGAGGACAAGGCCATCTCGGACTGCAGACCCTCACGACCTTCCCACACTTTGTCCTCACTTGCAACAGGGACTTCTGGTCTGCCTGCCATTTCTAAAGCACCCAGTATGGATGTACAGCAGGAGACACACAAGTCCCAAGACTGCCTGGGCCTACTGGCCCCCTTAGCATCTGCTGCAGGTGTCCCCTCTACAGCTCCCATGTCTGGGAAGAAGCACAAACCACCAGGCCCCCTGTTCTCCTCCTCAGATCCCCTTCCTGCCACCTCTTCCCATTCCCAGGACTCAGCCCAGGTCACCTCGCTGATTCCTGCCCCCTTCCCAGCTGCAAGCATGGATGTGGGCATGAGAAGAACAAGGTGTGGCACTTCTGCTCCTGCAGCTGCCGCAGCAGCCCCTCCCCCCTCCACATTGAACCCCACGTTGGGGTCACTACTGGAGTGGATGGAGGCCCTTCACATTTCTGGGCCTCAGCCACAGCTGCAGCAGGTGCCCAGAGGTCAGAACCAGAGATCCCAGACCTCCCGGACCAGCTCGTGCCCCAAACGAAATGCCATCTCGAGCCCCTACCGCTCTACGGGAGGCCTCCCGGAACGAAAGCGGAGAAGGGGGCCAGCCTCATCCCACTGCCAGCTGAACCTCAGTTCCTGAAACACAGTGAGTGAGGACGGACCTCAGGCTGTCTCTTCGGGTCACACCCAGTGTGAAAAGATGGCAGATACAGCACCAGGGCAGACACTCGCCCCCAGGGGTGGCTCCCCCAGATCCCAGGCCTCTAGGCCCTGTAGATGCAAGTTTCCCCTGCTGCCACGCAGGCGAGGGGAGCCTTTGATGCTGCCACCTCCCTTAGAGCTGGGGTACCGGGTCACTGCTGAAGACCTGGACCAGGAGAAGGAGGCGGCTTTCCAGCGCATCAAGAGTGCACTGCAGGTTGAGGACAAGGCCATTTAGTACTGCAGACCCTCACGGCCTTCCCACACTTTGTCCTCACTTGCAACAGAGGCTTCTGGTCTGCCTGCCATTTCTAAAGCACCCAGTATGGATGCACAGCAGGAGAGACACAAGTCCCAAGACTGCCTGGGCCTAGTGGCCCCCCAGCATCTGCTGCACAGGCCTGTAGTCCCAGCTACTCAGGAGGCTGAGGCAGGAGAAGGGCATAAACCCGGGAGGCAGAGCTTGCAGTGAGCTGAGATCGCGCCACTGCACTCCAGCCTGGGTGACAGAGCGAGACTCCGTCTCAAAAAAAAAGAAAAAGAAAAAAAAGTTATTGTGACATTTCTGTATGAAATCAGCCTTCACTACATGGATAGGACCAGCACGCTTCTGCGGCACAACTCTGCAATCATACTACATTTTTTTTTTTGTATTTTTTTTATTCCTTTTGAGACAGAGTCTCACTCTGTCACCCAGGCTGAAGTGCAGCCGAGATCTCGGCTCACTGCAACCTCCACCTCCTGGGTTCAAGCAATTCTCCTGTCTCAGCCTCCCAAGTAGCTGGGACTACAGGCACACGTCAAAAGGCCTGGCTAATTTTTGTATTTTTAGTAGAGATGGAGTTTTGCCATATTGGTCAGGCTGGTCTCGAACTCCTGACCTCAGGTGATCTACCTGTCTTAGCCTCCCGAAGTGCTAGGATTACAGGTGTATGTTTATTTATTTATTTAAGATGGAATCTTGCTCTGTATTTATTAATTTATTTAGTTGAGATGGAGTCTTGCTCCATCACCCAGGCTAGGGTGCAGTGGTGCAATCTCGGCTCACTGCAACCTCTGACTTCCAGTTTCAAGCGATTCTCCTGCCTCAGTGTCCCAAGTAGCTGGGATTACAGGTGCCTGCCACCACAGCTGGCTAATTTTTGTATTTTTAGTAGAGACAGTGTTTCACCATCTTGGCCAGGCTGGTCTCGGGCTCCTGACCTCATGAACCACCTGCCTCAGCCTCCCAAAGTGTTGGGATTACAGGCCTAAGGCACCATGCTCGGCCATATTTATTTAATTATTTAGAGACAAAGTCTTGCTCTGTCACCCAGGCTGGAGTGCAGTGGCGCCATCTCAGCTTACTGCAGCCTCCGTCTCTGAGGTTTAAGCGATTCTCATGCCTCAGCCTCCTGAGTAACTGGGACTACAGGTACTCACCACCATGCAGGGATATTTTTTTCTATTGTTTTATAGAGACACGGTTTCACCATATTGGCCAGGCTGGTCTCGAACTCCTGACCTTAGGTGATCTGACAGCCTCGTCCTCTCAAAGCACTGGGATTACAGGCATGAGCCGCCAAGCCCGGCCTCTCACTACATTTAAGTGACACCATGGCTCATGCCTGTAATCCTAGCACTTTGGGAGGCCAAGGCAGGTGGATCACCTGATGTCAGGAGTTCGAAACGAGCCTGGCCAACATGGGGAAACCCCGTCTCTAGTAAAAATACAAAAATTAGTCAGGTGTGGTGGTACAAGCCTGTAGGCCCAGCTACTTGGAAGACTGAGGCAGGAGAATCACTTTAAGCGGGAGGCAGAGGTTGCAGTGAGCCAATCTCAAAAAAGAAAGAAAAAAAAAAAGAAAAACATATGATGCTGGGGCATCTCGGCCTCAATACCTGCATGAGCACAGTCACGTCCAGGCCAGGGCTGCTGGTCGAGGTCCGGCCCCATCTCTTCCAGCAGAAAGGGAGTAAGCTTGCAGGGAGGCTGGGGGACAAGATCCCAGGATCTCAGCCTCTGCTCATGGATCAGCTCTGAGACCCCGAGTGAGCTGGGGGTGCTCTGTGCGCATTGGTTTCCCCAGCTGTCAAGTAAAGGGATTGGATGAGGAAGTCTTGTCAAGGTGGAATGATCTCAGATTTGGGGCAGCAGTGAATGATCCCGCTCCCTGGGCCCATGCCAGTGGCCTGGCCTCGGCTCAACACAGCCCCAACACTCTGGAATGGGGATGAGGGGGCAGTCAGCTCTTGCTCCTAGTAAGAGAGATGCAACAGGGCTCTGTGGCTGAGCTGGGTGCCTTGCCTCACACCTGTAATCCCAACCTTTGAGAGGCCAAGGCAGGAGGATTGCTCGAGGCCGGGAATTTTGAGAATAGCCTGGACAACATAGCCAGACCCCATGTCTACAAAATAATAATAAAACACACAGCTATAGTCCAAGCTACTTGGCAGGCTGAGGCAGGAAGGTCCCTTGAGTCCGGGAATTGGAGGCTGCATTGAGCTATAATCGCACCACTGCACTCCAGCTTGGGTGACAAAGTGAGACCCTGTCTCTAAAAGAAAAAAAAATTGGCCTGTGAGCATGGGTTTGATTTTCAAACAGGACCTGGAGGGTAGGGACAGACAGTGCTGTCACCCTTAGGTGCTGAACACTCAGAAACGGGCCAGCGGCAGCCCTTCCCTCACCTGCAGACACCAGATTGGGCAGAACAGCACATGGCACTTGCAGCTCTTGCAGTGAGGGCAGAACCCAGTGTCAACCCTTCTGCCTGTGGGAGGGGCTGCTGAGGCCTGCGGAGAGGCCAGGGTGGAGGCTCGTCCCCTTGTCCAGCCCTTGGCGTGGTCTCCACCAGGTCCCCAGCCCACCAGTGCAGGGCGCCCCTGAGCCTGCTGCTGCCATGGGCCCTGTCTCTACCCAGGACGTCCCCACACCCTCGCAGTGTCAGGGAAATGATCATGGTGGCGGTGACACTCCGCAGGCAGGGCTGCTGAGAGAAGCTGAGAAGGGTCACACTGCAGGCAGGGGCCCGTGTGACAAGCCCCTCTCACCCCGAGAGAGCTGACCAGGCAGCTCACGAGCAGAGCCACATCCCGGGAGTCCGAGAAAGGTCCTGGCTGGGCTCAGCCACCTCATTGGCCACGGGCAGCCTTTGTCATGTGAGCCTTGCTCTCCTGGGGAGGCTCAGGCTGACAGCTGATGTGGGCATTGCCGAAGGTAACCCGTGGCCCAGTGTATATGGCCGGGTCTCCTCAAGCTGCATTCATTCAAGTAGGACCCAGGGTGCGTGCCCATCTCCAGCCCAGGGCAGCTCCCCTGTAAGCTGGGTGAGCTACTGAAGCCAAGGCGGGAGGCAGCTGACAACACCCACAGCCCATGCGGAGGTGGTGGAAAGGCTGAACTCAGCAGCAACACCAAATCCTGGACCAGGCAAAAACCACCCAAGACTGAGGGGCTCGTGCCAGAGCGGTGGCCACAGGTAAGAACCCGGGCCCAGGCTGTGTGGCAGGAATCCTCCATGTCCCAGGGCTTAGCATAGCAAAGGAAGACCAGCCGGGTCACCCTGGTGGCCATCTGTCCCTGTCCCACCTGCAGAGTCAGAACAGCCTCTCCCCAGTGGGGATCATCTCTCTCTGCCAAAGCAACAGCGGTCCCTGCCCCAACCAGACTACCCCACTCAGTGGAGTTACGGATGCTGCTCCAGCATCCTAACACTGCCCAGCTGGTGCCTGCCTGTGCTCACCCACACCCCCCAGGCCGGCCTTCCCTGCAGCCTGGGCTTGGCCACCTTGGCCTGATTGAGCACTGAGGCCTCCTGGGCACCCAGCCCCATCACTGCACCTGCTGCTTCCAGCCCCACCCCACCGGCTCAGGGGTTCTTCCCAGCGGCGCTGATCATGAAGTCAACATGCACGCAAGTCGTCTCAGGAAACTTCTTAATGAAAGTGTCGGCCACGGTGGTGTGTAGGTGGCTGAGCTCAGATTGCAGCTGCTAAGACACCAGCCACTTACCAAGAGAAAGCCAGGCTGCTTCAAACCCAGGGCCCACGGCAAAAAAGCATCACTTCCGGCCGGGGAGTCTGGAAGCCACGCCTTGTGGGAGGTCACACTGGCATCTAGGCCTTCGCCTGCATTGCAGAAGGAGAGCCGGGTCCCCCTCCTGGAGAACGCTGCGTTCCCCAGCCCCACACCGGCTTTGCCACCACACAGGCTGTTGAGGCAGGAGGCGGGTAAGACGTAGCTGTAGACCCAAAGCAACCACCAGCCCTGGGACCCTGCGGGAGAGGAGCACTTTTAGAACATGGAAAAGTGTGGTCATCCCATCATTAGACAGCACACATCCTACATAAATAAAAAGTCGTATGGGGAAGGAGGTTGGGGAGGGAATAAAAAATTGGCACAGACATTGATAGACTGGTTTCCAGTTTCAAGGTAACAGATGCACATCATGAGACCAGAGGAGGCAGAGACAAGGCTGGATTTGGCTTTTCTAAGCAACATGTGTTCCTGCGCAGGGCTGAATGGTCGCTGAGACAGAGATGGAAGCCAGGACAAGGGAGCCCACCGGGCCCAGATAGGTACAGAGAGCAGAGGCTCCTGTTCTGTCCTCGCCACCCACGAGGGTGACACTGCTTGTAAATGGTGGCTGTGCTCTCCCAGCAAGAAAAAAGCACAACTAAATCCACACTGCACACAGACGCAGACAGAAAGCCTTCAAGTGGCTCTGTTTTCTGCTCCCTGCCTTGCCAGGTCCACAAGCAGAGAGGAGTGTCAGGCACATGGCCCCGCTGTCAGGCTCCCCAGTGAGCTGCGGGCTCAGCAGGAGCTGCCCACTGACACACAGGGGACACCCACTCCTGCCACCTTGGGAGCGGTTGCCAGACAGAGCCGCACTGGGTGCTGGTGTCATCCAGGGACCCCACACACTTCCTTAAATGTGATCCTGCTTCCCTCTGCGCAGCTGCATCCTCTCCTCCTGCAGGACCGTCTGGAAACTTGGCTCTCAGTTTGCTCTCCCTTCTCTCCTCTGCCTGCCCCAAGCCCCTCTTTCTAAAAAAGTGATGCCATGTTCATGGGGTTATTTCTTGAAAATACTTGGCGGCCTCCATGCTTCTGTTTTCTTTGAGCCAGGTGGTCAGGAGGGCTTACAAACAATGCCTGGGCTCCCCCGCAGCTGTCGGCAGATGGGGTAGCGAATGGTCCTGTGCCTCCACCTGCTCCGGGAGGGAGTCTCCCGTCTCTAGGCCTAGCCCCTTCCTAACCCTCCACGTATCCTGTTCTCCAGAGACTTCAGAACCCACTCCTGAGAACAGCGGAGCCAGGCGCTTAGAGGAAGACCAAATGCTGCCAGGACACGGATTGTCCAGGATTACATTCCAGCATCTTATTAGGTATCTGGATCTGTTGGGGAAAAAATTAGAAACTATGTATAAAACTTAAAAATATTCAAGCATCAAAAGGTTATTTAGGATGAAAGTTTTAAAACAAGTCATCAGCAAGCTGCTACCACCAAGTGGAGACTTATACAAAAGTTGAGCGAGTCCACTGAGCTGAGAGGACAGAAATGAAGTCACCTGTGCTGGGGCAGGGGCAGGGACACTGGGGGCAGGGAGTGTGTGGGCAGAGAAGCCAGAGAAGTCCAGGCCTGTGGAAGCCAAACAGGAGAGCGTGGGCCGGAAGGGCGGTCAGGATCGGGGGACGAGGTCGCTCTCCCTGGAGAACGAACCCTAAGGTGCATAGCCTGGGATTCCCTCCCTGGAGGTCCTGTCCCCCGACATTTCACGGGCCTTCTGAGCTGCCTTCCAAGGAGGACTAACACGGCAACAAAAGAACCATTTCTGCACAAAAATCCTTCTGGGAAGAAAAAGAAGAAAGCCAAGAATGGAGTCAAAACGCTACCCAGTGCTGACTAAGCCTCTCAAACCCTGTTCTAGGTGGACTGTGGTTTCTAAGTCAGGGAAATGGAAGAGGCCCCACCCACACAGGGACAGGGCCATGGCCCCCACAGGATGAAGCAGCAGCGTTTATTCAAGATACAACAGTGAGGGAATCCGGTCACGTTCCCTTCTCCCCAGAGAGGGCGCTTCTTGACAAGTGATTCAGTAGAAATCTTTTAGACTCTATAAGTTAAGTTCATAAAAACCACTGCTTTCACCCTGTCTCCCAGGGCCAGGCCTGGACTCCGAGATGAACTGGTTTGGGGCGCCCTCGGGTGGCCACATAAAAAACCCACAGTCTGAGGCCAGCCTGGGGCTTTCAGACCTGGGCGGGATCTGCCCAGGCCACCTGTCCTTCTGCTTTGGGCCGCTGTCTCTTGGCAGATGGCCTGACACCTGGGGGTGGCCCAAGGATGCCTCAGAAAATCTTGATTCCCACTCTACAGATGGCCTGATTAGCCAGAGGTTTCCAGGCCGTCTGTCCGCCTCCAGGAGATGGACTGGGACCTTTAGACATCGGTGGAGAACAGGATGCTCTGTCCCTTGCTGTCCAGGGCAGGGATGGCCTCCAGCCGCAAGAAGTACAGCAGCACCTCGACCTGCCCTCGCGGAGTGGGGAAGAGGAGAGTGGCTCAGAGCGGGGCTCACAGCTGCTGGTGGGGAGGTCTTTGGGGCCCAAGCTCCCAAGTCCACCTCAGGTGCTAGAAACCCCTGCTGGTGTCATGAACCCCTTACAGTGGGACGGGGGTGGGGTGGGGTCCTGACAAGGCATGACTTGTTGGGTGAGGGGTGGTTATTTATTTTAGAGATGCACAGGGCCTTGCTCTGTCCCCCAGGCTGGAGTACAGTGGCTCCATCATGGATCACTGCAGCCTCTAACTCCTGGGCTCAAGCAATCCTCCTGTGTCAGCCTCCCAGATACCTAGGATTACAGATGTGTGCCCCAATGCCTGCCTAATTTTTCTTTGTATTTTTTCTGGAGATGGGGTTTGCTACATTGCCCAGACTGGTCTCAAACACCTGGGTTCAGTTGTCCTGCCTCGGCCTCCCAAAGTGCTGGGATTACAGGCATGAGCCACCACACTCGAACACTTGGGGTGGTTTTAAGCCCCCAGCAAGGTGCACCAGCAGGACCAGGAGGTGGCCTGGGCACCCCCTATCACTCCCATCCATGCAAACCTAGGCAAGTCCCTGTCTCTGAATCTCAGCCACCACCACATACAATGCAAGTGGGAAGATGGGCAGGACTGGGGGTGGGGCAGGCAGAGGCCACCTCTGTCAGGCTGGGGTTGCATGGGCTGGAGGCTGTCTTCCCATACCTGGGACATGACCTCCAAGGACCAGCTGTCAGTCATGGTGATGGGCTGGCTGGGGTTGGCAGGGAGCTTGCTCTCCTTCTCGGAGGGCCGGAGCAGCGTGGGGCCAAACACCGTGCCAAGGTTGTGCAGGGACATCTTATTGACTGCCTCCTTCTCTGCCATCCTGTAGAGGACCGAAGCAGAGGGTGCTGTTTCAACGCCACCACCAGGAGAGAGGCAGAGGGGCTGTGCCGTGCTAGAGTCCTCAGGGAGGGAGTGACCTCGACCCTGGCTGTGCTGCAAGCTGACTCCAGCCTTGGTACTTCTGGGTCTCAGTGGCCCAGGACAAGGGGCCAGCTCTGGGCTGATGGGGAGGTCTTCATGATGTGCTTGGGAGGGAAGGGGGGGCGGTCCAAATGCACTGCTGGCCACGGCCAAAGCTCTGAGCTCTTTGTTAAGGCCACAGTGCAGAGGGAGGAGGGTGGCAAAGAGGAGAGGCAGGGGCGGGGGTGGCAGTGGTGCTAGTCCTTAGAAGCAGTGAGTTACTGCAGACAGGGGTCAGGGGATAGGTCCGTGGTGCTGGGGGTCTGGTGGGAGCAGAGGGGCACCCCACGGCCTGGAGACCTGGTGTCCTGGGCAGCCACAAGAGAGCTGGGCTACCTTTCCAGGCGGTCTAGAAGGAAAAGGAAGGTGAGCAGGTTGGCCTCCGGCAGGGACGACAACAGGTTGAGCATGCAGCTCTTCTTTGCAACTGGGTCTGAAAGAGCTGCAGGAGGCAGTGGGTCACTCCCCTGGGTTACGACAAGCCGGAGACCTCTCCCGAGGTGGTCACATGGAGCGCCCGGGACACGAGTCCTTGCGCAGTTTAGGCTTGTCATCATCGTCACACCCACAGCGCTGGCCGCCAGTGAGGACCCTGTGAGGGGCACCTGTGTGGGGTGTGAACCACCTGAACGCCTTTTCTCTGCCTCGCAGGGGTCAGCAGCACCCGGCAAACAGCAGCAGGAGGAGCCGCTAGAGCAGCTGCTCATGGGCAGAGCTGCCCTCGGGCAACTCCTGCCACCACCCCCTCCCCAGGGAGCCCAAGGCAGGGGAGGCTCAGCATGGAATGAAACAGGGGAGTGAGGGACACAAGGAGGTGGGAAGTGGGAGGGTCCCAGCCCCACCAAGTACGCAGAGAACCCCTCGTTGTCCTGGACACCACAGGGGCACCTGCAGGCTGGGAGACCAGGTCCTCTGTGCATGGGCCCGGGAGGCAGACCTGCCCTAAGGGTGATGCACAGGCTACAGGTGCTGCACGCTCCAGCGCCCACTCTAGACATCAGCCTCCAGGTTGACTAAGGGTCAGGTCATGTTTGAAACCATGCTTGGCTGGACCAGGACCCATGGCAAGAGCACCTGGGCACCAGTGTTTAGCCCTGGTCTGCAGGAAGGAGGACAGCAGACTTTAGGACCCCACAGCACGGCAGTGCTGACCATTTCACCCACTTGGCCTCCTTGAGAAATATGGATGGGGACCCCTCTGGGGATGGGCAAGGCCTTCCAGGATAGGCTCAGTTTTGGTCCCCTGCTTTTTGAGGTTGGGTTAAAATTCCGACCATGGCAGAGGAAGCACAGCTCAGGTTCCCACACCTCACTTTTCACAGCCTCTGAGGGCAGCAGTGCACGTGGAGGAGACGTCTCCCATGAGGCCAAGGCCTCCAGTGCTCACCGATGCCCTCTGCGAAGTTGGGGTAGAACTCGTCAGTGAAGAGGGGCTCGGGCAGCTCACGGAAATACAGCTTCAGCGTGCCTGCGATGGCGTTCACGTCCATCTCGCTCATCATCACCGACACGTCCTTGTTATCTGGAAAGAGCACGGAAATGCAGCGGCCTCCTTGAAGATCCTGAGTGAGTCACCCACCATCCCTGCCTTGGCTAAAGCACCGTCCCTGCCATCCTGACCACTGTGTGGGTCCCTCCTGGGCTTTGAGCAGCTCATCTGACTCCTCCCAAGAGCTGTGCATGGTTCTGTGTCTGCAGAGTTGATAGGGGTGCGTGGGCATTCCCATTCCTCTCCCCTGCTTGGCCTGATGTGATGGCCAGGAGGAGGCCAGCATGGCAGGACACAGCGCCTGCGTGGGGATTGGGTGGCTCTGCCCTGTACATAGCAACCACCCCTGCACCAGTGTCATCTGATAGCAGGAAGGCCGTGGGAGAATCTGATTGGTTTCAGTGTTTGAACCGGTGTCTTCCTTTGGACCCAATTGGCCATTGGTGCTTACATCCTCACCACAGGCCAGGTTCATTCTGGGCCCTCAGAGGGAGCTGAAACTACCACAGGGCCCTCCCAGGGATGCTGGGCATTCTAGGGGTCCTGGTCAGGGTGGGTGGTCTGTGCTGCAAAGAAGGGTCTGCAGGCACAAAATCCTGTTGCTTTGAAGATGCTGGGAAGGACCCTCTGGGGTCTCAGTGCCCTCCCCTGGCATTTGAGGCAGGTCCGGGTCCTTCAAAGCCTGTGAGGGTTGGTGAGATGGAGGCGGAGAGGCTGCAGCCCCGGCCTGCGCTGAATTTCATCAGTGCCCTCTGCCCACCACATCCTCATACAGGGCAGTGGACAGACCGCACTGAGTCCTGGGCTTCCACCTCCTGTCCAACCCCAAGGCAGGAAGGCCAAGGCCCCGCAGAAGCCCCTGGTCCACTGCACCAAGTGGCACGAGTGGGTACGATGGTGTAAAAACTGGCTTCTATAGAAGCTGTTTGTACAACTCTTGTTTTCTCTTTTTTAAAAATAATAAAACAGTAAATGAAGAAAAGACACAGAGAAGGATGTGACATGCCTGGGCCGTGGAGCACTCTGAGATCTCATCGCGGACACCACTGCCCACACCTCCATCCCGTCCTGCGCAGGCCGACACTCACTGACGTTGAAGGCTGCCTTCAGTGCCTGGATGTCTGCGGCCACCCCAGACATGCGGTAGATGCCCACCTCCTCCATGCCTCGGCGCTCGATCTCCTCCACGCACTGGCGCACGATGTAGGGCACCTTGGACCTCTCTCTCCTGCGGGAGGAGGGAATGTTCTCAGTGTCCTAACAGCCCTGCTTGGGCCATAACACAGGAGACCTGCTCCCTATGTGCACACCCGGAGGTGGGGTGAGGACGGTGATGAAGGTACCCAGGTCTGGGGCTGCACACAGAGCCTTCTGCATGCCTGTCCTCCCTCTGCAAGCTCTGTCCTCATTGCATGTGCTTTCTCAGGAACCTTTCAAGCGGCCAGAACCCCTGCAAATCACACATGACCTTTGTGGGAAGGTCAGGAGGCCTGTCTAAGTCAAGTCAGCACGGGAAGGGCATCTGACAGATTCCAGGCCTGGGGTGAGCAGCCTGTGCCCCCGGCTGGGAGGTCAGACCCGGTGTTGGTCCTGCCACCCACGTGCTGTGTGAGAGGAGAATCCGTGACCCCTGCCCTGGGCCTTAACACACATCCGACGAATGAATGAAGGGTTGCCTCAGCACCGGTGCTCCAAGTCCTGCGATGCTAAGTGCTTTTCTCCTCTGAGTCTTAGCAATGGACAATTCCAATACCTCCACACAGGACACTAGAGTAAGAATCCTTCACAGTTAGAACGCAGTGCTGTGCGGAGGCCTTAACTTGAGTTCTGTTTTGCACCTGGATTTACCAGCACATCAAAGCTGCTTCGCAAGCCCCCTCATCAGCAGGGCTCATGTGGGGGAGCTGCTGATGGAGTCCTCGCTGCTCATGCCCACAGCCCTCCCAGAGTGCTATGCGAGTGGCTGCCGTGCAGTTGGGGGTGGGGCGTGGTGTTTAGACACAGATAGGAGTCCAGGGTATGACTGATGGAGGCCCCGGCCCACGTGACCAGCAAGGTCAGAGGCCCAGCCAGATTCCATCCTGAGGAAGCAAATGAATTCTCAGAGGAAGTGGTCTGTGTCTGCATGAACTGCTCTCAAACCAACAAATAGGCTTCTCTTGGCAACTGACTCGTGACAAAGGGTTCAAGATTGTTTGAAAAAAAAAAAGGGGGGGGGGGGACAGGGAGGCAGTAGGTCCTGGAAAAGTAAATTCTTTATTTTACAATAAGAAAGTGATTACATATTTTATTTTTTTTTACAATGGTGGAAAATTAGAAGTGATTGTGAAAATGATGTCTACCCGCCTTGCTGATGAGTAGGATGTGATTTGGCTCTTTAGGAAACTGAATTTGCAGAACTTAAGAATATTGATTTATAAAGGGCATGGCCATTGACCCAGTCCATCTTATGCAAATCTGGATGCCATAAATAATATTTAAAAATGAAAGTATTGGGGTGGAGGTTGCAGTGAGCGGAGATCGCCCCACTACACTCCAGCCTGGTCAACAGAGTGAGACTCTGTCTCAAAACAAAAAAAAAAAAAAAAAAAGAAGAAGTCATTCCCAACATTGCTCATCAAATTATGACCATAAATTTCCAGGATCAGACTAACGGCTAAAGAGACTGATGCATCAACACCAGGCAGAGAATAAAGCAGATTTTTTTTGTTTTGTTTTGGAGAGCCTCTAGGAACTTGAAAAATACATATGCCACACTCTTAAGACCCGGTGGTTCTTAATCAGGGATGTTCATTAAAATGCTGGAAAACTCTAAAGATTTCCAGGTCCCATCCAAGGAGATTTTGCTTCTGATTGACTGGCTAGTGGCCTGGCCATTGGTATTTTGAAAAATCCCTCCAAGTGATTCTTTTACATCCCAGCTAGAAAACCCTAAATTAAAGGTGAAAAACCAGACACCAAGTGGCATTTAAATAAATGTCAACTTTAACTCCACAAAGCATCTGGTTGCATGTGGACAGAAAGAGAAGGAAAGAGGGCCCTATATCTGGATAACTTGGAAATGTGCTCCCCCTAGCAAGATATCTACCAAAATTAAAACCATATTTGAGGATGCTGGCACTGTGAGCAATATATAAATGATGCATGTAACATCATTTAATATGATCTTATTTTTAAAAATGAGTAGAGTGGTGTTTTCTAGCTGTTAGTGTTTCCAAATATCAATGTAGAAATTAGCCTTCTGCAGCTGCAGAGGCAATTCAGTTTGCAGCTTGCTTGCATGTGGCCTAGAGCCACCCAGCCTGATATGTACTAATTTTTTATGTTTAACTTGCCAGAGTAGAAACTCAGTTTCTGGGCGAGGCATAGTGGCTCATGCCTGTAATCCCAGAACTTTGGGAGGCCAAGGCAAGCAGATCACAAGGTCGGGAGTTCAAGACCAGCCTGGCTGACATAGTGAAACCCTATCTTTGCTAAAAATACAAAAATTAGCCCGGCATGGTGGCAGGCACCTGTAGTCCCAGCTACTTGGGAGGCTGAGGCAGGAGAATCACTTGAACCTGGGAGGCAGAGGTTGTGGTGAACTGAGATCATGCCCCTGCACTCCAGCCTGGGCAACAGAGTGAGACTCCATCTCAAAAAAAAAAAAAAAGAAACTCAGTTTCTGGTTACATCTGATCTTTATTTTTTATATATCATCTAAGCTATAAAGTTATATTCCCTATTTGTGATCTTAAAAGAAGGACTCCAGGAAAGTGTTCAAATATTCATATATCTAAACTGGAACATATGTTTATATTTTTAAAAGTAGCCTGAGAGGTTGGCAACTAAAGTCATATGTTGAATGATCATTTCTCAAGAGTTTCATTTTATGGTCTTTCTCTTGTTCTGTAAAATGTGGGCATGGATAGATATAAAGTGCCTGGTGTCCATGCTTTTGTGAAATCCCTTCCTCTTCCATGTGAATGGGACCTGTGACTTTCTTCTAACCCAGAGAACACAGCAAAAATGATGTGATTTATCTGAGTCCATTGATGACATTGATTACGACTTCCCTTCACCACATTATTTAGGACTGCGTCGTAGGAGACTGGGACACATATCCACTTTGCTGGCTTGATGAAGTAAACTGCTAAGTTGAGGAAGCCCACATGGCAAGGAACTGTGGGCAGCCTTCAGCCAACAGGCAGCAAAAAGCTGAGCTCCTCGGAGCTACAGCCTCAAGGAAGTTACTTCTGCTAACAACCTGAAAAAGCTTGGAAGCTAGTTTCTCTCTAGTGGAATTTTTAGGGAAGAGCATGGCCCAGGCAAGATAAATAATGTAAGTGGAAAAACCTGTCAACAATAAAGGTTTTAAAGGAAAAAACAAAAAACATGTAATTTAGAAAGTAACTGCCAGGAAAAAAAAAAAAAGAGACTGGGCCAGTGGCTTACTACACCTGTAATCCCAGCACTTGGGGAGGCTGAGGCGGGTGAATCACAAGGTCAGGAGATCGAGACCATCCTGGCTAACACGGTGAAACCCCGTCTCTACTAAAAATACAAAAAAAAAAAAAAAATTAGCCGGGCGTGGTGGTGGGCGCCTGTGGTCCCAGCTACTGGGGAGGTTGAGACAGGAGAATGGCGTGAACCCCGGGACGTGGAGCTTGCAGTGAGCCGAGATCATGCCACTGCACTCCAGCCTGGGCAACAGAGCGAGACTCCATCTCAAAATAAATAAATAAATAAAATATAAGGTCTCAGGAACGTAAAGATTGACATTTACTCCCAAACTATTAATATATGTCCACCCACCTTTCTTGTAGCAAAATCTTAACTTGACGTTTGTTTCAATAGTTATTAAATTTAATTATAATGTCCTAGCCCAAAATACAGTAGAGGTAAACATCCAAGGTACTGGCTTGAGGCCACTGGCCCTGTATCTATAAAGGAGAGGGAGACCATCAGGGGAGGGAGGGTAAGAAAGGGAGGAAGAGGGCAAACAAGTTATCAAAAAACAACAGTAGGCAGGGCACTATGGCTCATGCTTGTAATCCTAGCATTTTGGGAAGCCAAGGTGGGCAAATTGCTTGCACTCAGGAGTTCAAGACCAGCCTGGACAACATGGCAAAACCCCATCTCTACAAAAAATCGGCCAGGCCTGGTGGTGTACGCTTGTAATTCCAGCTACTTGGGAGGCTGAGGTAGGAGGATCACTTGAGCCTGGAAGGCAGAGGTTGCAGTGAGCCGACATCATGCCACTGCACTTCAGCCTGAGTGACAGAGTAAGACCCTGTCTCAAAAACAAACACATCAGTTATTCATATTTCAGAGTAAGGACAAAACATTTTTAAGTAGCTGGCAAAGGACATCACTATATTTCAGAGTAAAACAAATAGGAAATGCTTATCATTTGACATATTTTTAAACATTGTATCTGAAAAGTGAACAAAGAAGTGAATGTGCTTATGATTAAATTGACTTTGTTACTTTGTAAACTTGTAGCTTTAGACCTGTCTCTTAGCATCACCAAGCCTTGATCTTTTCATCTATAAAATGGGCATGGTAATGCCAGCCTTGCTATGTTTATAGGTCACTTAGGAATGAGGTATGTATGGTGTTGACCATGGTTTCTGGCAAGTGGCATATATTCATTATACCATAGCTCTTTTCAGAAAGCTAAGTCACCACGTACATGTTAATGCAACCTGCTGAAAATAGGCATGGAAAAACTAGAAAATCTAGAAAAATTAGAAAATCACTGAAGAGGATTTTCTTTAAAAAAATACATACTTTAAACTCGGGAGGCTGAGGAGGGAGAATCGTTTGAACCTGGGAGGCGGAGGTTGCAGTGAGCCAAGATTGTGCCACTGCACTCTAGCCTGGGCTACAGGGCAAGACTCCATTAAAAAAAAAAAAAAAACCAGCAAAAAACAAACAAAACATAATGCATGTTCTCTCTTATAAATGGGAGCTAAACATGGGGACTCATTGACTTAAAGATGGCAACAACTGGGAACTGCTGGATGGGGAGGGAGGGGAGGGGTGAAAGGCCAACTGTTGGGGAGTATGCTCATATCCACGTGACAAACCTGCACATGTGCCCGCTGAATCTAAAATAAAAGTTGAAAGTAGATTTAAAAAACCCCAAGAGGGCTGGGTTTGGCTTGTGTGTCCATAGCTTGTTAACCTCCGCTTTAGATATTAACTAATAGAAACCTAGTGCTTATCTTCCCAGGCCACCTATTTTGTTCCTCTCCAAGGTGATGGATAGATGAAGGCCTAATCCAGCCGCCTGGAAGTTTGCTGACGCTTGTCCTGTCACAGATTAATGAAGCATTGTTTTCTGATGAAGCTTTCATGCCGCTGTGCTGATGTGTCTTCTCTTCTCTCTAGGCAGGAAACTGCATATCTTCTGGTTTACATGAAGATGGAGTGCTAATGGAAATGCCCAAAACCTTCAGAGATTGACACGCTGTCATTTTCCATTTCCATTCCTGGATCTACGGAGTCTTCTAAGAGATTTTGCAATGAGGAGAAGCATTGTTTTCAAACTATATAACTGAGCCTTATTTATAATTAGGGATATTATCAAAATATGTAACCATGAGGCCCCTCAGGTCCTGATCAGTCAGAATGGATGCTTTCACCAGCAGACCCGGCCATGTGGCTGCTCGGTCCTGGGTGCTCGCTGCTGTGCGAGACATTAGCCCTTTAGTTATGAGCCTGTGGGAACTTCAGGGGTTCCCAGTGGGGAGAGCAGTGGCAGTGGGAGGCATCTGGGGGCCAAAGGTCAGTGGCAGGGGGTACTTCAGTATTATACAACTGCTGTGACCAGACTTGTATACTGGCCGAATATCAGTGCTGTTTGTAATTTTTCACTTTGAGAACCAACATTAATTCCATATGAATCAAGTGTTTTGTAACTGCTATTCATTTATTCAGCAAATATTTATTGATCATCTCTTCTCCATAAGATAGTGTGATAAACACAGTCATGAATAAAGTTATTTTCCACAAAAGGACTTTGCAGTTTTAACGGGGGGCAGTAGGGATTGTGCTATAGAAATTCAAAGGCAAGGGAAGTCACTTCTGTTGTGGGGCCCTGGGAGGAGCCTACAGGCTGGAAAGGGTTAAGGTGGAGGTCTCCGATAGGGGCAGCGTACACAGTGGACTGGCTGCAAAAGGCCGTGCTCAGCATTCAGACAGCATCACACACTCCGCTTTTCTCTACCAGGGAGGCAGGTGGGGAAGGATAGCGATGGGAAGGCAGGCGGAGCTCAGAATGTGGAAGGGGATCCAGTAAGGCTTGGAAGTTTGCACCTGATCTGGTGGGTGGTGAGGAGCCCTTGAAGGGGCAAGGAGGTGAGAAGCACTCAGCTGTGTTCTTACACTGATCTGCCACTGGGGTTAGAGACAAACGTGGTGGGAATGGAAAGCCACGCACAGTCACTAGCGCCTCTGGGGGGAGAATGGATGTGGCTGGTGAGAGAACAGGGGGGCCCAGGGAGAGTCCGGCACCAACCTGGCGGGGGGAGCCCAGTGGGTGTGAGCACCCCCACTTTAGAGATGAAGTGATGGAGACATTCAGATGTTTAACCCCTTGTTCAAGATTCCATACTTGATAAATGGCAGATCAAACTCCCAACATAAAATGTGGGTCATTTCTTTATTATTTTATTTGTATTGGTTAACAATGATCAGCCATGCAAGAATAAATGATTATTGTAAAATCTGCAAACAATGTAGATATGTAGAGAGTCCCTTCCTTGGAGCTTGACCTTGTCAGACAGGTATAGATGAGTGTTCCAGGGCAGCCGTAAAAACTGCCAGAGACTGGGCTGCTTATAACAGAAACGCATGGTCTCCCAGAAGCCCACATTCAAGGTGTCCAAAGGCCTGGCTCCTGGAGGCTCTGGAGGAGAGCCTGTTCCCTGTCTCTCAGCTTCTGCCGGTTGCCAGCAAGTGTTGCCGTTCATTCACTCCAGCCACTGCCTCCATCTGCACACAGCAAAACAGCGTATCCTGAAGTGCTCAACCTTATAGCCATTATTTTAAAATATCCGGAACACACAGGACCGTGGGAGTGGCTGTTGGAGAAATTTTCATGAAGGAAGAAAGATTACAACTAAGTTTTAAAATGCTAGTTTTGTTTGTTTTGTCTTGGAGAGGAGGTAAAAGTGGGAGTAAAAATAGGGAGTTTGGTGTAAGGTGGGAAAAGCAAAGGAACCCCGCATGGATGGGCTGAAGGGTGTGATGGGAGAACAGTGAGAAGTACGTTTGGGGAAGCAATTGGAAATAGTAGCTAAGCTTAATCACAATCTATCAAAAGGGACTTGTTGAAGAATTAATGTGTGACTAGGAACAGGGAGGTTATGGGCTTGTCAGCTCGACAGCGGGCACTCAGTTCCACTAACGAATGATGCCCGTGTGGACAGACAGAATGATGGACAGGCAGATGAATGCGTGGGCTTTATGTGAAACAGGTCCTCTTGGTTGTTGACAAGATACTGTTTTAAAGTTCCATTTTGCCATACTTCGAACAGCTTGTCATTAGCTCAATTTAGCCACATGTAAAATCACTAAGGCGGACTTCCAGAGTTCCCACATGAAAATCAAATGTAAACCAGCAGTGACCTGCTTCAACACCATCATCGGAAGTCAGAAGTTGAACTCTTTTTTGATGTTTAAAGCCTGCATAATATTCGCTGTATTATTATTCAGCATATTACTATTTCCTTCGTGATGGAAATTTGGTTTATCCCAATTTTCTATTCTATCAAAACACCGCTACATAGAAAATCCCCATGCACATATTTCTCCTAATTGTGGAAATATTTTACATAAAAGACTCTAGACATGGGATGAAATTCCCAGGTTATTGGAATTTTAAAATAGATAGGTACTTCCAAATTGACCTCTTACAAATTATATGAATTCGTAAGCTTCCAACTGTTATGGAGTTACCCATTTTGAGAAATCTGTGCTAAAAGGACCCAAACAATGCTGATGACAATGATCAGGATAATAAGTACGCTGGGAAGACAACAAAATGATTTAGATCTTAGACAAGTCATTCTAGGTGTCTCCACTGTTTCAGTTCTTGCGTTCGTTCATTCTTGTGCTTTTTCGTTTTACCAAATAAAATAGCTCCTTGATGTCATATGAATCCACGCTATGCTTAATGAGTATTGGTTAGTAAAATGCCTATAACTAGTAATCTTCATCTATGCAATTAAATATTAATTCATAAAACACTTCAAATGTAAACAATAATTAGTAAATGAAAAGTACATAATACCTCAATTAGAAAAAAATCACTCCATTAAAAAGACATTATTTGTGTGATAAAAGAGATTGCCATTTTTGTATTTTTCTACAAGGTTAAAGAAAACTAAGTCAACTTATACAAGTGAATTTTAAAAGACTTTAGGGCAGGCGTGGTGGCTCACACCTGTAATCCCAGCACTTTAAGAGGCCGAGGAGGGCAGATCACCTGAGGTCAGGAGTTCGAAACCAGCCTGACCAACATGGTGAAATCTCATTTCTACTAAAAATACAAAAAAATTAGCCCAGTGTGGTGGCATGTGCCTATAATCTCAGCTACTTGGGAGGCTGAGACAGGAGAATAGTTTGAACCTGGGAGGCGGAGGTTGCAATGAACCAGGATCGCACCATTGCACTCCAGCTTGGGCAACAAGAGTGAAACTCCATCTCAAAAATAAATAAATAAATAAATAAATAAAATAAATAAAAGCCTTTAACCCAGAATGCTGAGTAAATTGGCCAAAAATGCTAACCTATGCATTTCAATACTATAGGAGTCGCATGGGTAGAAATAACCAGATGAAATACTTCTGGTATTTCACCTTCCCAACCCACACGAGCCAGTGTTTTTCTGTGAATAACAAAAACAGCAGAATTTACTTGCCTCTCCATAAGAGGTTACCACTTCTGTGTGTTCCCCCGAAACAGGTGGTGGCTGGGTGAGAAGGTGGACAGCACTAGGGCAGGAGATGGGGGCTCCAGTATCGTGGGTGAGCTTCCTAAACCTCTGCAACTTTCAGCCCCTAAATGGGATGAGCCATCAGAATTTTTAGCACAATGCCCAGAACAAAGTAAGGATTTGACAAATGACGCCTCTCTCCACATTGTTCTGTCATCAGCCACCGCATCCTGTACCTCCAAGCCCACTGGGCTCCGGCTGTTTCCATCACATGGAGAATGACTCAGAGCCTGGCCTCCAGCCACCCTCCTGGCCTTTCTTCTTCTCACTCTGCCACTGGCTCCTCATGGACCACCAGCCTGGGTGTCCTCAGACATACCACACACTTCACTGTGGGAGTCACGCAGCCCTCAATGCTCCTTCTCCAGGGAGCCACGGGGCTTTCCTCCTCAGGAGGACTCTGCAAGCAGCTGGATGAAGGGCCCTCCCGTCTCTCATCCTTCCTTAATTTTTGTCACAGTTCTCCTTCCTTCCACTCAGTGCAGTGCACACTGATTGATCCTCCATCTTCCCCAAAAGACAGGAACAGCATGAGCAGTGGAGAGTAGATTCCAATGATAGAAAAAATAGTCAGTGATTTCTCATTTCCATTGATCATCAATGAAGAAAATGTATCCTGAAGGTCATGTACCTCCTATGGGACTGCTGCATCCTCAGCCTCCTGAATTTCAGCCCAGCACCTTCCTCCCCAGCACAGCAACAGGTCAGCCCTTACCAGCATCCCTCTCTTATTGCCTTTGTGCAGAGCCAGCACCAGGGCCAGGGGAGGCCTTGGGATTGTCCCTCCCCAACAATCTGTGAAACAATCCTTTATGTCACCAACAAAGCACAGCCTTCTGCACTGGTGGTCAGTCCCTCTCAACACCTCTGTCACTGTAAAGCTGGCAGGCAACCCTCCAAGGTTGGCCTTCCCAAGCACTGCACCTCTAGGTGACAGAGCACGTCCTTACCTTGAAGCCTGGGCGCCCAGTCTATCCTGTCCAATGAGCGAGCTGTGGAGAAGGGGGGATTCCGGGTTAAGGGGAGACTAGCAGGGCTCCTGCTTTTATGTTGCCCTGTTGGGAAGGCTATTAAAGAAACATAAAGTGCTAAGCAGTGAGGATAGAACATGTTTTCATTATTTCAACCAATACATTCCACAGATGGAATAATAAGAAATGCTACAACCAAGCTAACTGAATCCAACAGCATATCAAAAAGATAATCCACCATGATTCAAGTGGGTTTCATACTAGGGATGCAGGGATGGTTTAACATACGCAAGTCAATAAATGTGATACATCACATCAATAAAACTAAAAACAAAAATCACATGATAATCTGAATAGATGCAGAAAAAGCCTTTGACAAAATCCAGCATTTCTTTATGATTAAAACCGTTCGTCACAATCAGCATAGAACGGACATACCTTAAGGTAATAAAAGCTATCTATGACAAACCCACAGCCAACATTTTCCTGAATGGGGGAGAGTTGAAAGCATTCCCCCTGAGGAAGGGAACAAGACAAAGATGCCCACGTTCACCGCTTCTCAACACAGTGCTGTTCACTACAGCATTGGTTATAAGAGCAAGACTGGAAACAGAACAAATGGATACCCATAGCGGGGTGCTTAAGTAATTTTGGGAATAGTCATGGGGTGCAGTACTTTATAGCTCTGAAACAATACAATGGATTTACATTTGAAATGTGGAATGATAACTAAGGTGCATTGCCCAGTGATATATGCAGAGGTGCAGAGGACTTTGTGTAAACACGATCACACATCAGCCTGCATTCCAGGTGCATGCTTCTATTTGCACATAGATTGCAGGGATGATATGCAAACAAAAATGTTGACTTGGTGTTTGGAAGTTCAGAGTGGAAGGGAAACTTCCTTGCTAACCTTTTATGATATTTAGAGTTTCTAAATGTGAATACGTAATACATTTAGAAATCTTAGTTAATAAGAAAAGCCTCTGTTCCTGGCCTCTTGCTGGCACATGTCAGGTGGAAATGGGGCTGTCATGCTAATGTGTGCAAACTGAGAAAAATCCAAGAATGGGAGTCTGCTTTTTTCATCATACAAATAATTGTTAATAGAAACAGTATGATAATTGCTCATTGATATACCATGCATATTCTATTAGATAATAATAAATTTCTGAAATTTGAACTATACTTACACATGGAAATTGAAATATATGGATGAAACATTGTGGCTTATATAGGCAATTGTTTTATTGGCATTTTACAAACTGATCATCATTCCTCATGGCACGGGTCCATGTGATATTAAGTAGCTTGTTATGCTTGGGAAAGGCAGTGATGACCACAAGAATGACTTCAACTACTAAAGTACAATGGAGATTTCAACAATGTTTTGTTTAATATTTAAATATTTCATTGTGCTCCCAGGCTTTTTCTCACCCTAATAGCTCTCATCCATATCATGTGGGTCCCATTAATACAGATAACTCCGAATGCACCACTCTTCCATTATATCCAGTCAATTGCTGGTTACCTTGGGCCTACCAACTGGGGGAGGGCAGGGGCTGCTGGCCACCTCCTCATCTACAGTAAGAGTCAATGAGCAGTTAAATGGATACTGAAAACCATTTATCCTGCTGGAGTGAGAAATAAATGGTTTCTTTCAATAGCGTACGTAGTAAAATGCATCTTTTCCAAACTATTTATATGACTCAAGGCCCATCTCAATTTCAGATGTGGTTAGCCTCAATTCCTGATTCTCACCAAGGTGTGTAATGTCATCCACGGCCCAGTGCAGAGGAACACAGGTGCTGCCGTCAGACTGCCAGGGTCCGATCCCGCCTCCTCACTCACCCCGGGAGATCCCTTTAAGCCAGGAGTCAACAGTGAGGATGGAAACATGAGTGCTTTTTAAAGTCCTGAAAGTTCAGAGGCAAACTGTCAATTTCTCCTCCACCCCTGGGCACACACCAGGAGAATTCTGTCTCCAGGTTGGAGGAAGTGCCTGTGAGAGAGTTGTGTCTCTCAGATTCTGTTCACCACAGGTGACACTCGATGCAACCCCAAACCTCTTCTGCACAATCCCAAGGGGTGCTGACTAATCCAACCCAAAGGCTGTGATGTTTGGCAGAGGCAGAAAAGAAAAGGCCAGGTGTTCTGGGAAAGACCACCTTTAAATAACACAGCACCCTCATAGCCCAGAGAGACAGTTCTAACTATTATGCCAATAAACCCGGAAAAGACCAAATCCAATATGACACATATTTCCTGTTTCGTTTTGATTTCATGCCCCCTCCCTTAACCTCCCAAGCAGCATGGATAACCCGAAGGCCCCTGGGAACTCTCTCCAATTGGATCTTACGTGGAAAGCAGTTACCTACCTACAAATCCCCATCATCAGATATGCTCTCCACAATCAAATCTTTAGAAACACAAACACCAGGATAAGTCATTAGAGAGAGGCCCACCCACTCCTCCCACCCTAGCTGAAGCCATGGTGCTTCGCACAGGATCCCCTGGTGTTTCCTCTGGGCTCACAGATATCCCTACAGCCTCTCTGGACATGGTTTTATACTTGCAAAATCATTTGCTCTCACCAGACCCCAAATCCTCCTTCGCAAAAGGAGCCCAGAATCAGGTTTCTGTACCCTAGAGATGGCGCTTTTTCCTCAGGAAGTGAGTTATTTCAGGGTACGTATCATTCTCCAGTGTCAATGGCTCCTGCAATTATAGAAAAGAAAACATTAGGAGGGTGAAATGATGCCATACACGTCACACAGATCTGATAGTCTCTCGACAACTTGAGAGAGAAAATATGAAGGGGTATAGTGATTGAGTCAAAGGTCGAAGTCCCCCAAAACTGGCACGGAAGACACCTGTGGAAAAGACAAGACCTTTTCCCACAGAATTTATCTTTAAAGTGTATCTAGATTGGCAGTTTCACAACTCTTAATCCATGGGGGAAAACTGCTGTGGAGGGAAACACCTCTGCATTGCAGTGGATCGTGGATGCTGCCATCTACCACACCCCAGTGTGCCTGGCATGGGTTGGTGAGAGGCTGCCAATCAATAGCACCACACCAAGGGAATTGCAGATGTCATAAATAGTCCACATTGGCAGATGTTCATGTCTACATTTGATTAAACTGCAGATGACATCGATAATGCACACTGGCAGATGTTCATGTCTACATCTGATTGGAAAGAAGCCAGGAAAGTAACATTTCTCTTCAAGACAAAGAAAAGTGTCTTACATTGGCAGCATCTTCTTTTTTACAGATGTCTTGTACAGTGTCCTCATTAGCAATGTCATATACAGCGTCCTTATTAGCGAATTCGTATACAGCATCCTCATTAGCGATGCCATATACAGCGTCCTCATTAGCGATGTTGTATACAGCGTCCTCATTAATGATGTCGTATAGAGCGTCCTCATTAGCGATGTCATATACAATGTCCTCATTAGCGATGTCATATACAGCAACCTCATTAGCTATGTCTTGTAAAGCATCCTCATTAGCGATGTCATATACAACGTCCTCATTAGCGATGTCGTATACAGCGTCCTCGTTAGCGATGTCTTGTACGGTGTCCTTATAAGCAATGTCGTCTACAGCGTCCTCGTTAGCATGCCTTGTGGATGCCATTAGCGATGTCATATACAGCATCCTCATTGGTGATGTCTTATATGGTGTCCTCATTAGCGATGTTGTGTACAGCGTCCTCGTTAGCAATGCCTTGTACAGTGTCCTCGTTAGCGATGCCATATACAGTGTCCTCATTAGTGATGGCTTGTACACTGTCCTCATTAGTGATGTCGTGTACAGCATCCTCGTTAGCGTGCCTTGTACGGTGTCATTAGCGATGTCGTATACAGCGTCATAATTAGCGATGTCTTATACGGTGTCATCATTAGTGATGTTGTGTACAGCGTCATCGTTAGCGATGCCTTGTATGGTGTCCTCATTAGCGATGTCGTATACAGCGTGCTCACTAGCGATGTCTTTTTTTATATATATATACTTTAAGTTTTAGGGTACATGTGCACATTGTGCAGGTTAGTTACATATGTATACATGTGCCACGCTGGTGCGCTGCACCCACTAACTCATCATCTAGCATTAGGTATATCTCCCGATGCTATCCCTCCCCCCCCACCCCACAACAGTCCCCAGAGTGTGATATTCCCCTTCCTGTGTCCATGTGATCTCATTGTTCAATTCCCATCTATGAGTGAGAATATGCGGTGTTTGGTTTTTTGTTCTTGCGATAGTTACTAGCGATGTCTTATACGCTGTCCTCATTAGCAATGTCGTGTACAGCGTCCACGTTAGCGTGCCTTGTCGGTGCCATTAGCAATGTCGTATAAAGCGCCCTCATTGGTGATGTCTTGTACAGTGCCCTCATTAGCGATGTTGTGTACAGTGTACTTGTTAGCGACGGCTTGTAGGGTGTCCTCGTTAGCGATGTCGTATACAGCTCGTTGGCGATGCCGTGGGCGGCGTCCTCTTTGGCGATGCCCTGGGCGGCGTCCTCGTTGGCGATGCCCTGGGCGGCGTCCTCGTTGGCGATGCCCTGGGCGGCATCCTCCTTGGCGATGCCCTGGACGGCGTCCTCGCTGGCGATGCCGTGGGCGGCGTCCTCGCTGGCGATTCCGTGGGCGGCGTCCTCGTTGGCGATGCCCTGGGCGGCGTCCTCGTTGGCGATGCCCTGGGCGGCGTCCTCTTTGGCGATGCCCTGGGCGGCGCCCTCGTTGGCGATGCCCTGGGCGGCGTCCTCCTTGGCGATGCCCTGGGCGGCGTCCTCCTTGGCGATGCCCTGGGCGGCGTCCTCGTTGGCGATGCCCTGGGCGGCGTCCTCCTTGGCGATGCCCTGGACGGCGTCCTCGCTGGCGATGCCGTGGGCGGCGTCCTCGCTGGCGATTCCGTGGGCGGAGTCCTCGTTGGCGATGCCGTGGGCGGCGTCCTCCTTGGCGATGCCCTGGGCGGCGCCCTCCTTGGCGATGCCCTGGGCGGCGTCCTCCTTGGCGATGCCCTGGGCGGCGTCCTCCCTGGCGATGCCCTGGGCGGCGTCCTCGCTGGCGATGCCCTGGGCGGCGTCCTCGCTGGCGATGCCGTGGGCGGCGTCCTCGCTGGCGATTCCGTGGGCGGCGTCCTCGCTGGCGATGCCGTGGGCGGCGTCCTCGTTGGCGATGCCCTTGTCGGCGGCCTCGTTAGCGATGTCGTGTACAGTATCCTCGTTAGCGATGTCGTGTGTGGCGTCCTCGTTAGTGATGTCGTGTACGGTGTCCTCATGGGGAGCTAGAAAAACACAGAGTTAAGGTCAGTGCCCTGGTGGTGGAGACTGTGAATCACCCAGGGGCTTGCTTGGTGTGATGCATGGAGGTGGCTGATCACAGCATGGGTCAAGCTGATGCTGGGACATCCTCCCAGGTGGACCTGCACTAGTGAAGCTAAGGGATGTGGCTCAGAACACTTTCTGCAGTGGGAATCAGTTTCCAGGTTCAGGTATGCATTATCTGGTGAAGTGGGGAAATATAAAAAATAAAAATTGACAAATTCATGAAAAGCCTCCCATGAGTGCAAGTGTGAGTTTTTTATCCACTTTACGTTCAGTATGCATTCACACATACAAAATATTTTTACAAGAAATCAGAAATTTTAATTTTTGTCAGTTATGTGAAATCTAACTTAGCTGCCAACATAAAGATTCTATCTCATTTACTTGGTCTCGAGAAAATCTAGCACATAGTAAGTAGACCAAAATGTTTATTAAATGAAAACACAGAGCAGAGATAGGGGGGCTGCTAGGCAGACTGGGTTGCACCTGATTACCTGGATGATAATAAACTGCACAAAACCTCAGTCAAATTAATATTGAAACTGCCTTTTGCTTGGGCTCGTTTCCCTTGCGGAAGAAGGATGACCAAGAAGATGAACAGGAAAGAAATGAGAAACAGAGGCCTTTGCTTAGTAGCTAAAGGCCACCTTCTGTAACATGAAATAGTCTACAAGTGGCCTTGAACTCTGCCGTGATTTAGTGACAGAGTTCCCTCATGTCTTCTACCCAGGTTGAAGTCCAGCAAAATTGCGACTGTCCTCTTTACAACTTGCGAGACCACACTGCTTCTGCATTTGCCTGTTGTATGTATGAGATTTACACTTGTTTTAGAGCAACATTTTGTTTCAGTTGGGCTGGTGGCCATACCCGGCACTAGCCGGTCAATAGTGAGATGGCTCCTCATGGAGGAGGCTTGGCTTGAGGCTGAGGGTCTTTAACCCACATATACAAGAGAGTTGCCACTAAGGGATGGAAGCCAGGCTAATAACCAAGTGCCACACAGAGTTCCTATCTGTCCCTCCTCACCATTTTTGGCTGGCAGGATTTGAGCATTTTAGGGCTTGGGAAGATAGTATTACTAAATCTACTAAAATACATCACCCATCCTTATAGACTTTGGCCAGTTGCTGAGCAAATTAACTTCACAACTGAAGTGGGCCACACTGGCCTTTGTGGTCCCCCACTCCTCTTAGAATTTGTGAGCGTGGGGCCTACTGGAGGGTGGGAGGTGGGAGGAGGGGGTGGATCAGGAAAAATAACTGATATTAGGCTCAATATATGGGTGATGCAATAATCTGTACAAAAAACTCTCATCACACATTTATATATGTAGCAAACCTGCACATCCTGCACATGTACCCCTGAACTGAAAAGTTAAATAACAAAAGGGATCTGTGAGCTGAGCCAAACACCTGGGGATCTTTGTGCTTTTGACACACTGATGACTATGCCGGTCCGTGGGGAGATGAGCCTATAACTGCCCTGGGTTGTGTGACCACGGAGGCCACTTTATGATGATGGGCAGTGTCTGGGGCCTTTTGGGCTCGTTGCTTTAGGGCTTATACATGAATGCTGGACTCCCTGTGTGGTGGTGAACACCCCATGACTAAGTGCATGTCAGCGTCAGCACTGGTCCACACTCCTGGGTTCGTGTTTTCACTGTTTCATTCAGGAACTCGGGAGCTGGGGCCACTCCCTTGGCCCTTCAGGTTCTCCACCTGAGCAGTGGGGATAATAAGGCAGACCCGGGGATGGCTCTGGTGAGGGTGGAGGAGTCACTGTACAGAGAGAGTAGAGCGGGGGTGGATTTTATTGTTAGAAGTGGACACTGGTGATTGGGTTGTATAAGTGGGAAATCTCTCCTGAGAAAACACACAGCCTCACCTGTACAGAAACACACACATTCACACCACACGATGCAGCCTCACACAAGACACCACCAATCCTCAAGCACCCAACTCAGCACCACCCAAAAGGGAGCACAGCTGCTTCCTCAAAATTTGGCCATAATTTTTCCCTGGGGAATTCAGGTTTTAAAAAAACACTTCCCCTATACTTATTCCTATCACAATCCCAGGATCAGGGTGGCTCTTCACATTGAAACCAGGCAAGGATGCCACACCTTTCTTGGCATCCAGATTGTTTTCTTGGCAAGTGATTCCAGAATACTTACTAGATTCAAGCCTCAGAGGGGCCACCTGCACCACCTGCAATACAGAAACAAAGCTTTTTGAGGGGTATGTCATGTTGTGGATTGTTTGCACAAGGCTCTGTTTCTCTCAATGAATACTGAAAACTTGATCAGAAAGTGTAGTCAACTTCAAGGCCTCCAAAACAAGGGTGGGATACACACTGGAAAAGACATCAGCTTCTGGATGGTGGATCTCTCAGGTCCACGTAGGTTGGCAAGTGCAAAATACTGAATCCAAGGAGAAGACATCGCTTCCAGGGACAAGGACCCCAAGGATACAGTCTACAACCTGAAGCCGGCATAGCTAAATGCCATTTTGGATTACATATCAGTTGCTAAGAGTCACTTCTTCCTCCCCCTCAGAAAACTGCATTTAATACCTGTCATGGACATTGTCATTTTTTCACATGTAAAGTCAGTTGAAAAAGAAAGACACCAAGAAAGGAACATTTCTATTTCAGAGAAAGCAAGGCAACCTTACCCTCGCGTTGACTGGCCTCTCTCCATCTCCTCTGTCCTTGTGAACTAGAGACTCCTCAGAGGCTAGGAGGACACAGAGCAACAGTTAGTCATAGATGCTTTTGTTCATGAGTTATTCAGGGAGCTCTGCTTAATGTGGACAACAGGACAGTGTGTGTGGATGTGTTTCATTAAAAGCACAGCTTGAGCTCCTGCTAGAAAATCTTCCCTCGTGGAAAGACAGGCAAGAACGAGGAGCTAAGGAGCAAGAAATAGAGTCCCTGGCATTTTGCTGATGGCAACTTAAGAAAATGGGAATGAGTCAGTCTACAAATGGTACTGAAGCACATGCTATAGTTTGATGAGAGTCCCACTGCTCACACTGTGAGGTTTGAAACCCAGCTAAATGGTTTTCTAAACCTGTAAAAACAATATTAGCTTGCAGGATTTATGTCCCAAGACTACTTTTACCTCTGAGGATCCACAGTGGCTGTCACTGCAGTTATGTGTTTTAGCATTTTGCACTTGAATAAAAGCAAAGTTTAATAGATAGATTGGATTCAATTCTAGGCAAAACAGTCTATGGTATTTATTCACTAATCCTTTGTTATAACTGCTGATGGGGGAATTAGAAGTACTGAAATTATATCCTTTAAAATTAATTAAAGCATAATTATTAATCACACAATATTTTTTCATCCAGGCCTCCTTTTCTTTGTCATGCATGCATATTAATTGAGGATGGAGAATATCTACGCTTGTTCAGGCCAGCCAACATACGACAGTTTACTTCAAGAGAGGAGACACGGGTTGAATGCTGGTGTGTTTTAACTCTGCAGCGCAAACAGTTGCAACAAGTGTGGTGAACTAATCACCAGATGGCCCTTTGCTGCCTTATTTGTCATTGTGCCTTACATGTAGCTTGCAGGATTTGATTACGCTTATGTTTTGTGGTGATCATACTTTCAACTATTCCTAAAATACTGCTTCAGTCTTATCTGTTTGGGGTCAACTGCTGAGGATTTCATACAAATTAACGAAGTTTGTGAATCTAAAGTTCTACACAAAGGTGGAAATATTTGCAAATCATTTCTCTTGTAAGAGACTAAAATTTAGAATATATTTTAAATATATTTAAGATATATTCAAAAATCTACAACAACAAACTAACTAAATAAAAATCAGACAACTCTTTAAAAATGGGCAAAAGACTTCAACATATATTTCCCTAAAGAAGATACAGCCACAGATAGTAGCACAGGAAAAGCTGCTCAGGATCATTAGTCATTAGGGAAATGCAAATGAAAAACACAAGCAGCCACCAATATACACCTACTAGGATGATTTAAAGGAAAATAAGTGTGAAGAAGGACGTAAAGAAATTGTTACCCTGATACTTTGATGGTAGAAATGGATAAAGTTGCAGCCACTGTGAAAAACAGTCTGCAGTGGCTCAGAAGGTTAAATATAGAACCCCTGTTGGACCCAGGAACTCTACTCTTAGGCACCCCAAAGAATAGAGAACAGAAATCAAACAGATGTTTGTATACTAATGTTTGTAGCATCACTTTTCACAGGAGCCAAAAGGTGGAAATAATCCAACCATCAGTGAACAAATGAATGTAATAAAAGCAAGGTGGTCTGCATGCAATGCTACATCATCCATCTGTAAAAAACGAACATCATTTTGATAGATGATACAACATGGGTGGACATTGAGAACATTATGCTTAGTGAAATAAGCCAGACACAAAAGGAATATATTGTATAATTGTAATTACATGAAGTGCCTAGAATAGTCAAATTCATACAAGAGAAAGTCGGATAGGAATCACCATGGGCTGGAAATAGGGGGAAGGTGCTATACTGCTTATTGTGGACAAGGTTTCGTAAGAAATCATCAAAATTGTGGGTGTAGATAGTGGTGTTGGTTATGCAACCCTGTGAATATATTGAATGCCATGGAGTGCACACTTTGGTTAAAAGGTTCAAATGATAAATATTGTGTTATATATATTTCCCCATGATAGAAAACACGCACAGCCAAGCCCAGATGCCAGTCTTGTTAGCTGCCTTCCTTTACCTTCAAGAGTGGGCTGAAGCTTGTCCAATCTTTCAAGGTTGCTGAAGACTGTATGATGGAAGTCATCTGCATTGGGAAAGAAATTAATGGAGAGAGGAGAAAACTTGAGAATCCACACTACTCACCCTGCAGGGCCAAGAACTCTGTCTCCCATGCTTTGCTGTCCTGTCTCAGTATTCCCTGTGACCACCTCCTTTTTCAACTGAAGACTTTGTACCTGAAGGGGTTCCCAGGTTTTTCACCTCGGCCCTTGTCAGGACTGATCCTCTCAACTACTGACCATTTCACCTCCATTCATGTCCATGCCACATCAGGCTGTGTTGTCTAGATGGAATGAATCCACCCCAAATGTCCCTTTCTGGAGGAAGCCACCATTATGCTGTACCTCCAAGCATAATGGTACGTCCACACACACCAGGGCACCTCGCTCATGCAAGGTGCGTGTCCTCTAACAAAGTTTCACGCTCTAAACCCAGATAACTTTTCAAACCCAAGTTCTGTTGATTCCCCTACTTTGAGTGCTCCATAGATGCTCATTTGTCTACTAAACACTGCCCCAGGCAATTAAATATTCCAAAGTGACCAGCAGAATTTTTATGTTAATTCTGACATTGCGTTGTTAGTACAAGTGTTTTTCCCCCTTCAAATTTATGTCTTTGTTACTGATAAATGTAACTGATAATGCGTTTTTCAGCTATGTTGCCAAGCATATTTATATAAAAATATACTCAGATTGTTTTCAGAATTTGACAAAGATGATAGCAACAATGATAATCTTATTTGTTTTATACCAATCTTTATGTGTTATTTTCATCATTTCTTACATATTGGGGCCTACCATATATTGTACAGTGAAATTAGTGCTATGCATCATGGTAGAAATATAAATTGGCAAAAGTAATTTAGAAAATAGTTCCCTTCTTTCTTAAAAAAATTAGGCTGGGTGTGGTGGCTCATGCCTATAATCCCAGCACTTTGGGAGGCAGAGATGGGTGGATCACCTGAGGCTGGGAGTTTGAGACTAGCCTGACCAACACAGCAAAATCCTGTCTCTACTGAAAATACAAAAATTATCCAGGCATGGTGGCGTGTGCCAGTTGTCCCAGCTACTCGGGAGGTTGAGGCACGAGAATTGCTTAAACCTGGGAGGTGGAGGTTCCAGTGAGCCGAGATTGTGCCACTGCACTCCAGCCTGGGTCTCAGAAAAAAAAAAATTTTTTTGACCGAAATGTCATTATGCATTACATGACTGTATATGAATGCTCAAAGCTACATTACTCATCAAAGAAAATAACAAAACAATTAAATGTCCATTAACTGATAAATGAATAAACACTATCTGTATGAGTAAACACAGCAGACTATGAAGGAAAACACATGACCAGCACGTGCTAACACGTCAATTAACTTCAAACATAGTATGCTAAATGAAGGAAGTCAGATTCCAAATATATATATATGTCCATTTCTATTAAGCAAATGGGAAATTTATGGAGATGGAATGTCACAGCAGTATTGCTTAGGGCTGGAGATGGGAGTGGGGATTAACTGCCAGTGCGCAAGAGAGAACTTGGGTGAGGGAAACATATTTAAATTAGATGGTGGTGATGGGTGCACACAGTATCAATTTAATAAAGCATCAAATTGTAGACCTTTTCAGTGGGCAAACTTTATGGTGGGTTCACACCCAATATAGGTGTTAAAAATAAATTAATGTTACGGAAATTCTTGTCGGGTTTTTAACAAGCCAAGAGATATGCTGTGAAAGCAGAATTAATTCAAATGGTTGTCACAGGTCACTTAAAGTTAGATAGTTGTCCTACAAATATAGGGTGAATGTTATTCATGAATTTCCTGAATCTATTGCAATAATCACATTTTTTCCATTAAACTCTTGAGGTAGCTAATTTTATTTATTGCATTTTCAATGTTAATCTACTATTTCATATTTTGAGATTAACTCACATTAGTCAGAATTTACAGTATTTTAAAATATCACAGAATTTAATTTACCTTAACTGGTTTTGGTTTCAAGACTATACTAGCCATTTCATTTAATTGTACATGTAGGGTATTCTAATTTATGGAAAACTATTACATCTTCCTTGATTTTTTTTTTTTTTTAGAAATTACTTCTAGGGATCTATATGGTAGAGTCCATGGAGAATTGTTTTAATTCTTCATTCATGTCTTCAGTGGGTATAGGATTGGTCATATTGGTCATAGTTTTCTGCTTGGATTTCAATAAGAAACTTGTGGAAGAACCTGAAGGGTGGGATCTTTGAGGGAGCCTAAGACAGAGCAAGACAAGCTAAGAAGGAGGGCAGTGCCACAGCAGAACTGCCGTTGATGCCCCCTCGCCTAGATTGCGGAAGAGACATCCAGCTGTAGACACTGAGGTGCAGGAAAACAATGGAGCACCATCAGAGAAAGCAGTGCCCAGGAACAAGGAGGCACTGATGGTGGCAAGGGGCAAAGACAGCTGCCACGAGGCTGTTCACATGAGGGTCTCAGGCTGCATAGACACCCACACCAGCTGAGGGGTCCTGGTTTTCATAAAGTGTGTGGCTCAGCCAGGCCACCAACAAGCAGTTCACAAACAGTAGTAATACGACACTTTCCAAAGACCTTACTTGAGTAACACGGTGATCCTCACAAATTTCCAATCAGGATGGTCGCACAGTTCCTCCTGCGTTAGGACTCAGAGCCTGCCCGTGGTCACAGTGGGTAGGTGCAGACTCTGAAGATGCACTTTGGTCAGAGACCCTGCTGAACTCTGTCTAATGAGGACCTCTGTCCTGTCTGCTGACCACCGGTCAGAGGTGCAGGCTGCAGTGGGGAGTAAGAATGCCACCTTCTCAATGTTGGGAAAACTCCCTGCCAGAACTGAGAATGGCCCTTTCTAAGCAGAAGGCAAGCTCAGACTAAAGAAGGAGGCCGAACACATCAGGTTGGCAGATTGCCAAAGATTCACTCAGGGAGAGCCCACATCCTGGGCCGTCTTGGGTGGTGGCAAGATGAGGTAGACGACTGCTTTTGCAACACATACCTGACAACAAAAAATCAACAACTGTAAAAGAGCCACAAAATCCCCAAATATTTGCAAATTAGCAATGCACTTTTAAGTAACTGTTGGGTTAAAGAAGTCTCAATAGAAAATTAAAAATACTTTTAACTACATTAAAAGAAAATGTGACTTGGCAAGATTTCTGGATGTAGCAAAAGCAGTCCTTAGAGGGAAATCTATAGCATTGGATGCAATATACTAAAAATCACAAGACCTAAAATCAGTAATATCATGTTTCAATTAGGGAACTATAGAAAATAGAGGAATGCAATGGAAAGCAAGTAAAAGTAATAAACAACATCACAGAAATCAATAAAATTAAAACACTGAAATCATCAGAAAATCAATAAAACCAAAAGCTGGTTCTTTGATATGCTCATTACAATGAATGAATTGATATGCAGGCTAACCAAGAAAAAGAAGATAACACAAATGACCAATTTCAGAAATAAAAGAGGAGCCATCTCTACTGAACTGTTAGGCATTAAAAGGAATATCATGAACAGTTCTATGAGCGCAGTTTGATAACCTCAGTGAAATGTATCAATTCCTTGAAAGGCAATCTTCCCAAGGTCATGCTAGGATCCTAATTTGAATAAACTTATGTCTATTAAATAAGTTGAATTCACATTAAGAGCATTCCGAAAAAGAAAGCACCAGGCCCAGATGGTTTCTCTCATGAAATCTACCGAATTCTTCAACAGGTGAATAAAAAGACAAAAATTCATTTAATGCAATATTATTTGGTGATTTAATGTGCCATTTTTTGCCATTAAGGCATAAAAAAGACATGAAAGCAGCTAAAGCGTACATCAATTTAGTGCAATAAATTCATCTGAAAAAACTACATAATATATGATTCCAACTATATGACATTCTGGAAAAGGCAAAGCTGAAGCGATAGTAAAAATATTAATAGTTGCCAAGGTTTCTGGAGAAAGAGGACAGAGATTAATGAGAAGAGAGGATTTTTAGGGAAGTGAACATTTTCTTTATGAGACCATAAGGGTGAACATAATGTTTTAAATATTTCAAAATTCATATATATGTATAACAGAAAGAATGAACATTATGCAAATGTAGACTTCAGATAATAATGTGTCAATATTTTCTCATTATTCTAGCAAATGTACCACAATAATGTAAGATGTTACTAATAGGTGAAATTAGGAAGTGAGGGTGAGGAGACAGAATAATATGGGAACTTCCTGTATTATATACTCAATTTTTATGTATTTATTTATTTATTTATTTATTTATTTATTTATTTTGAGATGGAGTTTCACTCTTGTCACCCAGGCTGGAGTGCAATGGCATGATCTTGGCTCACTGCAACCTCTGCCTCCTGGGTTCAAGCGATTCTCCTGCCTCAGCCTCCTGAGTAGCTGGGATTACAGGCGCCTGCCACCACACCTGGCTAATTTTTTTGGATTTTTAGTAGAGATGGGGTTTCACCATGTTGGCCAGGCTGGTCTCCAACTCCTGACCTCAGATGATCTGCCTGCCTTGGCCTCCTAAAGTGCTGGGATTATAAGTGTGAGCCACCATGCCCGGCCATATGCTCAGTTTTTATGTCAATTTAAAACTCTCTAAAGAAATATATTAATTGAAAAATAATAATATAGCACCACTCTTTCAGGGAGATCTATGCTTATGTTTAACAACCAGGTAAGTTCTAGACATTAGCTTGAAACATTGTCTATCATTAAACATGAACCAAAATTGACTTTTAAGTAGATATTTACTTTTGTGGTGGTAGCAATATTTACTGACCAGGCAAATTAGAATCCTGACACATTAAAAAATATGGCTTAGTCTCTTCATAGTTTCCTCTTACATATGGGACACTGAATACTCCCCGCAACTGCAATTCTTGAATCAACTTAATTAATGAACTTCCACAGTACCTTCTTGTGGGTACCTCTTCTTCTTTACCCGGGAGCCATGAGGTCTCCTACACTGGTTGGTGTGCACAGCATATCTTCTTGTATTCTCTATCAGAGAAGACGCTGGTTAATGCATTTACAATAGATAGGGCTGTTGACATCTTGCTGACAGAAGACCAGAGGGAAAATAGTGATAATCTGTTCTAAGTTTAAACTTATGATCCTTTTCTTTACAGGCTTCCAAGCAGAGCCCACTGAATCAAAGTTGGGTTTCAGGAAGATCACGGAGTTCAGTGAGCACTCAACACCTCTATCAGACAGACTGCGTGGGCAGTGCCTTCCTGGAGAGGGGAACACAGCCGGATGACTGTGAGTGCAGGGCTGGTGCAGAGTGGGGGCCCGGATTCAAATTCCACTAAGCCATGTGGACCTGGCAAGCTCATGTCCTCCCTCTGCCCTCAGTTCTCTGCACTGTCATAATGTAATTTTAGCAATACTTTTTAGGCCCTATTTAGGCCCTACTTCTTAGTATCACAGTACAGGGCTAAAAAATCACTAAATACAGGAAAACCTTAGAGAGGACTGGTACTTCAGTAATGTTCTCTAAGTGTTTACTACATGCCAGGAGGAATAAGCTGGACACTTAGCAGTGGCGGAATATGGAGGGGGAACTTGGATGGCTCCGGGGCAGTGGAGCATGCTTTCCTGTTCGGCTTTTCCGTGGGCATGACGCCTTATGGTTTATGGAGAACATCAGCCCTGCAGGGGGTGCAGAGGAGGGGCTGTGGCTGAGATTTTACACTTGAGGGTGCTGACATTCAGAGATGATAAGTGACGAGCAGAACCTCAACCCCGCTGAGTGAAGGACCTGAGATGGGAAATGTATTTGGTTCCCTAGAGAGAGAGATTCCTGAAAAACTGCCACCTCTTCATCATGCCCTGTGCCAGAGACCCAAGAGACCCCTCACTGTCTTTCTCCAGTCCTCCTAGCCCAAGGTGTGTGGGTGGACAAAGGTGGTGCTCTGGAGGAAATGCCTGAGATAAGGACAGGTCCTTAATGATAAAGAATTCTCCTTCCTCTTTCAGATCCTTGACCTCCCAGTATGACAGCTTAAAGGCTGTCATCTCTGTGGCCTGCCTCCCCTTGCCCTTCACCCTGCCAGCTGCCTCTCAGTGACTGTCTCCTCCAGTGACTACACTGAGGGACCAGGGACTGCTTGCCTCCCGAGGCTGCTCAGACCTTCCGACACCGCACAATGATTGTCAAAAGATGGGTCTGCAAAGAGTAACTTCCCTTCCACTGATTAAACCTGAATATGCAAGCTACTGTGAATTAACTGGAAAAGTGGCCGTGTGGGCTGGTGCTTTGGTGATTTAATGAATTAAGTCTGCAAGCCCCACTGCCTCCTTGACTATTGATCAGAGCTGCCTGCAATAAGGTCTGGCTAAGAATGGGCAGTGGCTGCACCAGCTCTGGGTAAAATTTGACCTAAAATGACCAGTCTCATTCACTAACCTCACCATAGTCTTATGGGTTCAATGGACCTGTCCAATCCTTTGCTCTGTTCTCTCCATCACCTTCCTGTGTAATTTTCCTCCACCATGCACATAATAGAAACATGGCACAGGGGAGCTAATCACCTCTTTTATCCCCCACTTCAGGCTCACACATAAGTTTATAGTAAAAGCCTTTTCAAATGACTGCTTTAACTGCTGCTACAGCATGTGTCATCAGTTGAATGGAATCTGTCACGTGACTTTAAGCAACCCTTTGCTGAGAGACAAGATTCAATACTAGGGACAGTATCCTAGTGTACTACATCATTGATTTTATGTTATGAAGATCATCATTTATTGAAAATGTATAAATAACGAAGCCCAGCCTTACTCTTCAACGCTGTGTGTGTAAATCCACTGAGTGTGCTGACCCCCACGCTTGTACCCACCTGCTAACACAGAAAGGGTCCACTCAGAAGGCAGGCACAGCTCCAGCACTGAGGCTGTCCACACCAGCTTCACAAGAGGGTTGCCACAAGGACGACGGATACCCGGATAACAACCAAATGGTAATTTGAGTACTTAATGGTCATGATCCCTAAAGTGTGTAGCTCAGAGGGCTTGTGGTGATAACTCCATCAAGACTCTAAAGCATCTCCCCAATTCTTACTGGACTTGATCCATGTCTTGAGGAGACCCAGCTATGACACGCAGGCACCACGTTGTCCTACTTAGTGCCTCCCTTAGTGTTTCAGAACCTGTGATTTGATCAGAAACATGGGCTTTCTATGTTGGTTTCACACTAAGGACTATGTGACACCTGCAGGAAGATGTCTACATAGCTACCTGGATTATGAGATCATGAGGCTGTCTTATGTGAGGGATGGCGTTTGGGATCTCTGCAGGCGTGGGTAATTCCAGGCATAGAGGGTGCTGGAACTCCCTTGCATGGTGAATAGTGATCTCTTCACTGGCTGATAAATAGAGGTTGTAGTTCAGGCCTTCAACATTAGCACCGTATGAGTAAACATTTTGACTCTTCACTATGCAGCAAGTGAACCAGGGCACATTTATTTATGTGGCTTAGTTTCTCCATCTGGCATGTGGGCTCAATAAACAAGCTCACAACATATGGGCATGATGATGATGAGGTGTGAACTAATGTAAGTAAAGTATGTGGTCTGATTTGTTAAATTAAGAAAAATGGCACTGACAGTTGTGCTGGGTAAACACAACATTTTTTTCCTGGGGGAAACACACATAGACACACATTCACAAGCAAATCATGCAGACTTGCACACAGACCACCTCACCCCACCCCCGCCCTAATACACACATACCCACACACAACCTAATGTGAACACATTCCCAGAAACTATACATAGATAAAAAGAGTATGTCACCTGGAAAACCAGTTTCTTTTACTATACCCCACATCCTCATTCCCACCAGATGTCTTGGATCATGGAGGCTCTCCAGACAAAAGCCAGCAGTTAAGCTCCAGATTTCCTATAGAATCCTTTTCTAACAACCAGTGAGTGATTCCAGAATACGTACCATTGAATGTGCTCCCTGACGTCACCTGTAATTAGAGAAGGAAAACACTCTGAGAATCAGGCTATGCTATGGATGGCTCACACAGGTCTTTTGTTCACTTGGAAACTCTGGGTAACCAAGATTGGAAATAAGGTTCAAGTCAAAAGCCCCAACTCTAGAGTAGAGTTCCCTTAGGAAAGCACAGGAGCTTTTGTTGAAGAATGTTTCTGTCTAGGTAATTTTTGAGTAGCAATTGCAGAATTCTTATCTAAAGTGGAAAGCTTGTTCCTGAAGAAAACATCTCTTAACACGCAGTGTACTATCTGACACTGCCAATTTTGCACGTCCTCTGGAATCAGGTGTCAGCTGGTAAAATACACCTCCTCCATCCCCAAGGAAATATTATCTAACATCTATAATGTAGTGGATAATTTTCCCATAGCTGATATCAACTGAAAAATAAAGGATCCAAGAAAACAACATTTACATCTTAGGCAAAGACAGGCTACTTTACCTTGGTAGTAGAGTAGGGCTGCCTTTTCACACGCCTTTGGGAAGGCTTCTTCGAGTCACCTAGGGGATGTGGAGGGACACAGCATTGCTGTCAGTTCATTGGCAGTGCTACTCATGAATGACTCAGGGACTGGAACTTAGGGGCGTGCCTGGTTAACAAGCATGGAATGAGCTTCTCCTGGACCATCTTCTTCACGGACCAAGGAAGGCAAAGAAAGAGCAGCAAGGAAATGAGAGTAGAGCCCTTGGCTTTCCAGGTAATGGCAAATGAAAGCAATGTGAAATAATCAAACTCCAAATGAACAAATGCTAAAATACATGCTAGGATTCAACCACAGCATCCTGTCACTTCTTCAGACCCTTTAAAAGCCCAGCAGGACTGCCACTACCTTCTTGACATCTACCAAGTCCCTTTCAACCTCCACAGACCCACATACACTGCTACTGCATTTATCATGGAGGGTATAGGGTTCTGCCTTGTTTATGTGTGAATTTTTTAAAAACTAGATTTAATACTATACACCAGCATTAATTATATTTATTTCTTTTCTTGGTTATGAAAATAATCAGTCAGGCATAGTGGCTCACACCTGTAATCCCAGCAGTTTGGAAGGTGGAGGTGGGCAGATCATTTGAGGTCAGGAGTTCGAGACCAGCCTGACCAACATGGTAAAACCCCATCTCAACTAAAAAAAAAAAATAAAAAACCCAGCTACTCAGGAGGCTGAGGCAGGAGAATCCCTTGAACCTGGAGGCAGAGATTGCAGTGAGCTGAGATTGCACCACTGCACTCCAGCCTGGGTGACAGAGACTTCATCTCAAAAAATAAAAAAATAAAAAATCCGGCCAGGTGTGGTGGCTCACGCCTGTAATCCCAGCACTTTGGGAGGCCGAGGCGGGTGGATCATGAGGTCAGAAGATTGAGACCATCCTGGCTAACAGAGTGAAACCCCGTCTCTACTAAAAACACAAAAACTTTGCCAGGCGTGGTGGCACGTGCCTGTAGTCCCAGCTACTCGGGAGGCTGAAGCAGGAGAATCACTTGAACCCAGGATGGGGAGGTTGGAGTGAGCTGAGATCATGCCACTGCACTCCAGCCTGGGCAACAGCGCAAGACTCTGTCTCAAAAAAAAAAAAAAAACCTCCCCTAAAAATAATCAATTATTAAAGATTAGAAAATACTGAAATGCTTATATTTTAAAATAACCACTCTAACCGTACATTTTCCGTTCAGTCTTCCTTTGCCCTGTGTTTGCAGTCATCGTGTGAGGGGCTGGCCATGTTCAGCCCAGGCAACCCACAGCCAGAGAGGGCAGAGCGGGGAGATGGGCCCTGGTGAGCACTGAGGCTCTTCAAACCAGCTGCCAAGGGAGTTGCAAGCTGGGTGACACATGAGGCTCATTATTTAGTGGTATTTTATGTTCTTACTTGTCCCCAGTTTGTGTAGCTCACAGACTTTTTTTTTTTTTTTAACATTTCTATAGGGGTCATTTGAAGTTCATAACGCCATCAAATATCAGTACAGGGTCTTCCCATTATTTACCGGCTTTGGGATATGTGCTGAGGAGTGGCCGCGCACTGAAGGAATGTGACCGGTTGTCCCAAGTGTTGTCCTCCAACTCAAAATCCGCAACCAGTTCAAAAGCATTTGGGCTTTTATGTGCCTTTCACATAAAGACTATGACACAGCTAAGCTATTCATGTACTAATACCTGCCCTGAGCTGTGTGACCACAGACACCACCCTATAATGTGCCCAGTGTGTAGGAACTCTACAGGCTCAGATCATTCCACACATACATGCAGATGTTGGAACTCCCTTGCACAGTGACTCATGATCCCAAGGCTGAGTGCTGAGGGCAGGTCAGTAGTTCAGAGCCTCAGCATTGGGGCTGTATGCTTGGGTTCCCATCTTGGCTCTTTTGCTGAGGGGCTCATAAGCTTGGGCACATTCATCTCTGTCTTTTTCTGCCCAGCGAAAGGTGATAGTAAATCAATCATGCCATTTGTCTGTGGTGATGGCCGAATGATTTGATGTAGGTAAAGTGTACAGTATAAGTGCTCATGAGGCTTAATTATCAGTGAAATGTCTTGCTTTAGATTTCACAGCTTAATAAGGCTCAGAGGCTTATTCACGCCCAGGATTCTGACCTCCCAAGTCATTGTTCTATGACATACACCTGCTTGGCCTAAAACCGACCACTTTATCATAATGCAGACCCAGTTTTGAAAGAAGCAGATAAAGTTGTCAAAAGTACTGTGTCTGCCTCAGCGCACACTCAGTGCGCTCCACACAAAGGGCATCACCATCTGCCACAATGGCCCAGTGGCCTGGCTGGCACAGACAGTGGCAGAGCAAAGGGCAACAGATCCCTAATCCAATCACCATGGTCGATAGGGCATCATAGACATTCCAGGGTGAAGGCACAATCCACATTGTGAGGTCCAACTGCTGCCATGTAGACAGGTGTGTTTTTACATGTACAGGAAGATCATTGAAGATAAGTGTTTTATATCCATGGTTAACAGATGAGATGACCATGAAATGAACACCAGTGTACTGGGTGGAGCAGCTTATCTATTCAGTCTTCTGCACTAAAACCTGTGAAACAATATCATCTTGCCTTATTTACTAACAAATACAAGTGCCTCTAAACTTAGACAGTTTCCAAGTCATGGAACTGATGAGCACTTAGCTCCTGCAGAGAGCTCTGGATGATGGGTCGGGAGAACAAAGACACAATACATCAAAACAGCATTAACAAGTAAACAGGTTTTCAAAGCTCTCTACATGCAAATTTACACAATTATCCTTTTAATTTTTATCTTCATATATATGTACATAATCTACTTGCTTCTGAGTATAAATAAAACTGTATGTTCTTAGTTAATAGTCTCTACCAATTCATTCTATTTATCTTTCTGAGTTGAAATACTGCATCTCATTGGATAACAAAAAAAAATTTGACTAAGATTACACTGGAAAGGTGAGTAGGTTGGGTAAATGACTGTGATTGACAATTCCATGATTTTGGAGAAGTCCCAAAGCATAAAAATAAATGTGTGTTTTATTTCACACGTAGACAATACACATTTTTATTACTTTAAAAAAATAATATGTGAATGGAAATGACTTACTACAAATTTATTAACGTAAATACACATTTCACAAAAAAAGAAGAGAGGAAGGGAAAAACATGTTAAAAACAAAGAGAGGTACATTTTATTGTGTGAAAAGCCTCCAACCCATCCATACTACTGTGGCTTTGTTCCAAAGTTTTGGAAAGTAATGATTTCATAGGTTCTTAATAAGGTTAAAAACTGCATTAAAATAGACTTTGCCACATTCTCCCTTAGGGAATAACTTAATCTGTAGGGTGGGGGATGGAACGTTGAAGGATGCAGATGTAAAAGGAAATTATATATATATATATATATATATAATATATATACGTATATATTATGAAGATATATGTATATATATTATATATAATTATATATATAATATATATATAATTTGGGAATTTGGGAATAAATTGTATCCCAACTCACACTGGGACTACACCAGCTGCCACCATGCCTGGCTAATTTTTCGTATTTTTAGTAGAGACAGGGTTTCACTGAATTGGCCAGGATGGTCTTGATCTCCTCACCTTGTGATCCTCTTGCCTTGGCCTCCCAAAGTGCTGGGATTACAGGCCTGAGCCAAGATACATATTTTTTAAAGGAAGAAAAATTTCAAAGGTACTCTGTTTGGTACAATAATCAAATATATAAATTGAGGAATAAAACATAACCACGAAACATATTTATAACTGCATATGGAAAATACAGAGGATAATTTTTTAAATAACATATTTTGAAAACCTTAACTAGGAATTTGAAAAGATCGCATTTGACAGGCCAGTATGAACACAACTTGAACGCAGCAAGACAGGTTCCCCATAAAAAAATCAAACACAGGGAAAATGAAACCACAAAGTTTCAATCTGCTCTGACCTTTGAAAAACTCAGCACAGACAGTGGCACTTAGGACCAACAGCAGGAGATCCCTAATCCCATCACCATGGCGATAGGGCATAAACATTCCAGGGTGAAGTCACAATCCACATTGGGAGGTCCAACTGCTGCCAGGCAGACAGGTGTGCCTTTACATGTACAGGAAGGTCATTGAAGGCTCAGTGTTTTGTTTCAAAAACTGAATCCCAAGACCAAACATTGTTATGCTGTGCTTCTTAAAATAAGTTATGAGATGGGAAAGAGGGCACCCCAAATATATATATATAATTATATATAATATAATATATATAATATACATAATTATGTATAATATAATATATATAATATACATAATCTCCTTTTACATCCTGCATCCTTATATTATATATAATATATTATATATAATAATATATAATAATATATAATTATTATATATATAATATATACAATTATATATGATTATATAATTGTATATAATTATATATATAATATAATAATATATAATATCTATTATTATATTATATATAATATAATATTATAATATATATCATATATTATAATATTATATGTAATATAATATAATATCATAATATATAATATATACTATAATATTATATATAATATAATATATTGCATAATATATAATATATACAATATATTATGTATAATATATAATATATAATATTATATATAATATGTCATACTATAATATATATTACAATATAATATATATAATATTACATATATAATATAAAATATTACATAATATATAATAATAATATAATATAATATGTAATATTATATAATATGTAATAATATAATATATAATATATTATGATATATATAATATAATATATTATATCTTATGATATATTATATATAATATAATATATGATAATATATAATATATTATGATACATTATATATAATATAATATATGATATAAGATATTATATATGATATATGATGTAATATATATAATGTATAATATATAATATATATAATATGTAATATATATTATATATTATATATTATATGTAATATATATTATATATTATATATTATATGTAATATGTATTATATATTATATGTAATATATATTATATATTATATGTAATATATATTATATATTATATGTAATATATATTATATATTATATGTAATATATATTATATATGATATATAATATGACATTATATATGATATGACATATAATATATATTATATATTACATGTATACTACATATATTATATATGGTATATAATATATACTATATATAATGTATATAATAGATATAATATATAATATATAATACATTTTATATAATATATAATATATAATATATATAATATATAATATATATTATATATAATATAAAAAATATATGTTATATAAAATATATATAATATATATTATATATATATAATTTTTTTGAGACAGAGACTTTTTCTGTTGCACAGGCTGGAATGCAATGGCGCCATCTTGGTTCACTGCAACCTCTGCCTCACGGGTTCAACTGATTGTCCTGCCTCAGCCTCCCAGGTAGCTGGGACTACACCACACTGGGACTACACCAGCTGCCACCATGCCTGGCTAATTTTTTGTATTTTTAGTAGAGACGGGGTTTCAGTATATTGGCCAGGATGGTCTTCATCTCCTCCCCTTGTGATCCTCTTGCCTTGGCCTCCCATAGTGCTGGGATTACAGGCCTGAGCCAAGATACATATTTGTTAAAGGAAGAAAAATTTCAAAGTTACTCTGCTTGTTACAATAATCAAATCTGTAAATTGAGGAATAAAACATAACCATGAAACATATTTATAACTGCATATGGAAAATACAGAGAATAATTTTTTAATAACATATTTTGAAAACATTAACTAGGAATTTGAAAAGATCGCATTTGACAGGCCAGTATGAACATACCTTGAATGCAGCAAGACAGGTTCCCCATAAGAAAAATCAAAATCAGGGAAAATGAAACCACAAAGGTTCAATCTGCTCTGACCTTTGAAAAACTCAGCACACACAGTGGCACTTAGGACCAACGGCAGGAGATCCCTAATCCCATCACCATGGCGATAGGGCATAAACATTCCAGGGTGAAGGCACAATGCACATTGGGAGGTCCAACTGCTGCCATGCAGACAGGTGTGCTTTTACATGTGCAGGAGGATCATTGAAGTCACAGTGTTTTGTTTCAAAAACTGAATCCCAAGCCCACACATTATTATGCTGTGCTTCTTAAAATAATTTATGAGATGGGAAATATGGCACCCCCAAATATATATATATATAATTATATATAATATAATATATATAATAGATATAATTTCCTTTTACATCCTGCATCCTTATATATATTACATTATATAAAATATAATAATATATAATTATATATAATATAATATAATAATATAAAATATATATTACTATATTATATATAATATATAATATATATTATATATTAAACAATACAATAACATATAATATATGTTATATATAATACTATATATAATGTATAACATATATAATATTACCTATGATATATAATAATATATATTATGTATAATATATCATATTATAATATATATAATATAGTATATATAATATGTATTATATAATATCTAATATTATATAATATATAATATATCATATATAATATATTATGATATATTATATATAATATAATACAATATAATATATTATATATTATGATACATTATATATAATATAATACAATAAAATATATTATATATTATGATACATTATATATAATATAATACAATAAAATATATTATATATTATGATATATAATATGTAATAAAATATAATATAATTATATATAATATAATATATAACATATAATATTTATGATATTATATATATATAATTTTTTTGAGACAGAGACTTTCTGTTGCACAGGCCAGAGTGCAATTGCGCCATCTTGGCTCACTGCAACCTCTGCCTCATTGGTTCAAGCGATTGTCCTGCCTCGGCCTCCCAGGTAGCTGGGACTACACCACACGGGGACTACACCAGGTGCCACCATGCCTGGCTAATTTTTTGTATTTTTAGTAAAGACAGGGTTTCACTGTATTTGCCAGGATGGTCTTCATCTCCTCACCTTGTGATCCTCTTGCCTTGGCCTCCCAAAGTGCTGGGATTACAGGCCTGAGCCAAGATACATATTTGTTAAAGGTAGAAAAATTTCAAATGTACTCTGCTTGGTACAATAATCAAATATATAAATTGAGGAATAAAACATAACCATGAAACATATTTATAACTGCATATGGAAAATATAGAGGATAATTTTTTAAATAACATATTTCAAAAGCATTAACTAGCAATTTGAAAAGATCGCATTTGACAGGCCAGTATGAACATACCTTGAATGCAGCAAGACAGGTTCCCCATAAGAAAAATCAAAATCAGGGAAAATGAAACCACAAAGGTTCAATCTGCTCTGACCTTTCAAAAACTCAGCACAGACAGTGGCATTTAGGACCAACGGCAGGAGATCCCTAATCCCATCACCATGGCGATAGGGCATAAACATTCCAGGGTGAAGGCACAATCCACACTGTGAGGTCCAACTGCTGCCATGAAGACAGGTGTGCTTTTACATGTACAGGAAGGTCATTGAAGGTTCAGGGTTTTATTTCAAAAACTGGATCCCAAGCCCACACATTATTATGCTGTGCTTCTCAAAATAAGTTATGAGATGGGAAATAGGGCACCCCCAAATATATATATATATATTTATAATTATATATAATATAATATATAATATATATAACACATATATAATTTCCTTTTACATCCTGAATCCTTATATTATATATAACATATTATATAGAAGATATATAATATATTATTTTGTACATAATATAATATATATAATTATATCTAAATATATAATTATATATAATTATATCTAAATATATAATTATATATAATTATATCTAAATATATAATTATATATAATTATATCTAAATATATAATTATATATAATTATATCTAAATATATAATTATATATAATTATATCTAAATATATAATTATATATAATTATATCTAAATATATAATTATATATAATTATATCTAATATATAATATATTATGCTATATTATACATAATATAATATAATGATATATAGTATAATATAATATATATCATATATATCATATATTATATATCATTATATTATATTTAATAGATATCATATATTATATATAGTATATATCATATATTATATATAATATGTAACATATAATATATAATATATATCATTCATTATACTATATATTATATATAATATATATCATATATTATATACATAATATATGATATATATTATATATAATACATGGTATATATTATATATAATATATGGTATATATTATATATAATACATGGTATATATTATATGTAATACATGGTATATATTATATGTAATATAGTATATATTATGTAATATATTATATACTATATGATGTATATATTATATATTATAGAATGTATATTATATAATATGTTATAGAATGTATATATTATATAATATATAATGTATATATTATATAATGTATATATTATATAATGTATATATTATATAATGTATAATGTATATATTATATAATATATTATATGTTGTATAATGTATATATTATATAATATATTATATGTTATATAATGTATAATGTATATATTATATAATATATTATATGTTATATAATGTATAATGTATATATTATATAATATATTATATGTTATATAATGTATAATGTATATATTATATAATATATTATATATTACATATCCAATATATAATATATTATATATATCATATATCATACATTATATATTATATATGATATATAACCTATAATATATAATATATATTATATATGTCATATAGTATATATTATATGTCATATTATATATATTATATATTGTTCATATAACATATATTATATATGATGTATATTATATATTATATATAATATATTATGTATATAATATATTATATATTATATATAATGTATATAATATGACGTATAATATATATAATGTATATAATTTGACATATAATATATATAATGTATATAATTTGACATATAATATATATTATGTATATTATGTAATATATCATTATATTATATATATTATATATTATATATACATAATTTTTTTTTAGACAGAGTCCTGTTCTGTTGCACAGGCTGGAATGCAATGGCGCCATCTTGGCTCACTGCAACCTCTGCCTCACGGGTTCAAGCGATTGTCGTGCCTCATCCTCCCTGGTCGCTGGGACTACACCACACTGGGACTACACCAGCTGCCACCATGCCTGGCTAATTTTTCGTATTTTTAGTAGAGACAGGGTTTCACTGTATTGGCCAGGATGGTCTTGATCTCCTCCCCTTTTGATCCTCTTGCCTTGGCCTCCCAAAGTGCTGGGATTACAGGCCTGAGCCAAGATACATATTTTTTAAAGGAAGAAAAATTTCAAAGGTACTCTGCTTGGTACAATAATCAAATATATAAATTGAGGAATAAAACATAACCATGAAACATATTTATAACTGCCTATGGAAAATACAGAGGATAATTTTTTAAATAACATATTTTGAAAGCATTAACTAGTAATTTGAAAAGATCGCATTTGGCAGGCCAGTATGAACATACCTTGAATGCAGCAAGACAGGTTCCCCATAAGAAAATTCAAAATCAGGGAATATGAAACCACAAAGGTTCAATCTGCTCTGACCTTTCAAAAACTCAGCACAGACAGTGGCACTTAGGACCAACGGCAGGAGATCCCTAATCCCATCACCATGGCGATAGGGCATAAACATTCCAGGGTGAAGACACAATCCACATTGGGAGGTCGAACTGCTGCCATGCAGACACGTGTGCTTTTCCATGTACAGGAATGTCATTGAAGGCTCAGTGTTTTGTTTCAAAAACTGAATCCCAAGCTCACACATTATTATGCTGTGATTCTTGAAATAAGTTATGAGATGGGAAATAGGGCACCCCCAAATATAGCCAATAGTGAGAGTTTCAAATTGAAGAGAGGCACAACTGATACGTTGAGAATAAACAGAGATTCCATTCTGCTTTTTCTTTTTTAACTTTTATGTTAGATTCAGGGTGTACATGTGCAGGTTTTTTCCTGGGTATATTGTGTGGTGCTGAGGTTTTGGGTGTGAATGATCCCAACACCCAGGTACTGAACATGGTACTCAGCAGTTTTTCAACCTTTTCCTTCCTCCCTCCCCCTCCTAGCAGTCCTAGTGTCTATTGTCACCATCTTCATGTCCATGGGTACTCAGAATTTAGCTCCTACTTATAGGAACATGAGGCGTTTGTTTTCTTTTACTGCATTAGTTCACTTCGTGGATTCCAGCTCTAGACATTTTCCCTCAAAGAACATAATTTCATTCGTTTTTGTGGCTGCATAGTATTCCATGGTCTATATGTACCACATTTTTATCCAGTCCACTGTTGATGGGCACCTAGGTTGATCCCATGTCTTTGCTAATGTGAATAGTGTTGCAATAAACATATAAGCGCATACGTCTTTTTGGTGGAATGATTTGTTTTCTTTTGGATACATATTCAGTAATGAGACTGCTGGGTTGAATGTTAGTTCTGTTTTATGTTCTTTGAGAAATCTCCAAATTGCTTTCCACAGTGGCTGAACTAACTTACATCCCCACCAAAGGTGTATAAGCATTCCCTTTTCTCCTTATCCTTGCCAGTATCTGCTATTTTTTTTTTTTTACTTTTTAAAAATAGCCATTCTGACTAGTGAGAGATAATATCTCATTGTGGTTTTGATTTGCATTTCTCTCGTGATTAGTGATGATGAGCATTTTTTTCATGTTTGTTGGCTGCATGTGTGTCTCCTTCTGAGAAGTGTCTATGTCTTTTCCCCCTTTTTAAATGGGGTTGTGTTTTGCTTGTTGAATTATGTTCCTTATAGATTCTAAATATTAGACCTTTGTTGGATGCATAGTTTGTGAATAATTTCCCCCATTCTGTAGGTTGTTTACTCTGCTGATGGTTTCCTTTGCTGTGTGGCAGCTCTTTAGTTTAATTAGGTCCCATTTGTCAACTTTTGCTTTTGTTGCAATTTCTTTTGAAGACTTAGTCATGAATTATTTCCCATAGCCCATATCCAGAATGGTACTTTTGAAGTTTTTCTTCTAGGATTATTGTAGTTTGAGGTCTTAAATTTAAATCTTTAATCCAACCTGAGTTAATTTTTGTATATGGTGAAAAGGTGACCAGTTTTTTGTTTTTTGTTTTTGTTTTTTGTTTGTTTGTTTGTTTTTTGAGAGGTAGTCTTCCTCTGTCACCAGGCTGTAGCAGAGTGGCGCCATCTCAGCTCACAGCAACCTCCACCTGCCGGGTTCAAGCGCTTCTCCTGCCTCAGCTTCCTGAGTCGCTGGGATTACAGGCACGTGCCACCACACCCAGCTAATTTTTGTATTTTTAGTAGAGACAGGGTTTCACCATGTTGGCCGGGCTGGACTTGATCTTCTGACCTTGTGATCCTCCCACCTTGGCCTCCCAAAGTGCTGGGATCACAGTCGTGAGCCACTGTGCCTGGCCAATAAGGTGCATTATTAACATCAATAAAGCTCAGGAAACAGCTTTCACCATATTTTTGTTTAATTTACAGTTTTTCCCAGAGTCTTTGGAATAGATTCCTCCCTCCATGAGCCAGAGAACTTACAATGTTCACTACAGTGTCTTTAAATGTAGCAGTAGCAGCTGTGGGTTGAGAACACAAGTCTTCGACTCTTCCTTTTAGAGCCAGCCATTCACGGTGCTCTGTGTTCTTATTCGGCATTGGGTAGGGGCATCTGGGTGCTGGGCATAGCGCCAGTGCCCCATGGAGGAGGGAGGCAGGAAGCCCCTTTCTTCCTTCTCTAAAACCTTTTTTCTTTATGTAGATCCAAGTTTTTAGCCTATATCATTTTCTTCTCTCTGGATAACTTCTTTTAACATTTTGACAGATCTACTGACAGCAAAATTGCATTTCTCTGAGAAAGTCTTTATTTTTCTTCACTTTGGAAAGATAATTTTGCAGGATACAGAATTTTAGGTTGGTGGAATTTTCTTGCTTGCTTGCATGGGTTCTGAAGAAAAGTTTGATGCAATTTTTATTCTTATCCTTACATGTGTTAGGCCCTGCTAAAGCCCAAGGTGGTTAGACTCTTGTGAAATAGTTTCCCTGGGGCAGGCTTTTGCTAAGGGAACGGAACACCCAGGGTGTATTTCAAAGTAGTTACTTTTCCCCTTCCCTGTGGGAAGCAGGAGGGAATTTTTCTCTGATGTGCATAAGAGCGTCTGGCAGAGCTCTTGGAGGTTCATGAAAGTGTAGGGCCCCCTAAGACCGGGCTCCCTTAATTCTTAATTCTCAAGTTTATGTACACGTGGCCTCCAGAAATTTGTTGTTTACATGTAAGTCTTCCCACCGTGGTTCTGGCTCCAGTGGCAGCCTCCGATCCTGTTAGGCTGGGACTCACTGCCTCTCCAATTTGGGGGATAATGGTTTGGCGTGTTAACCTCAAGTCTCTGATGGATCTAAGAAAAGTTGTTAATTTTCAGTTTGTTCAAGGTGTTTTTTGTTGTTGTTGTGAGGACAGGAGTGACAGCTTCCAAGCTGGAAAACAGAAGTCACATTTGGGTTTTGTTTCAAGATATTTTTCCAATGACAGAGAATGATGCCACACACATTTCCATAGATGTCTTTTGATGCAGACGTGCATGTGTTTCTGTTATCCTAAGAGTGAAATACCTGAGTCCTGAATGTGCTCCTTTCTAGAACCTTTATTCAATGCCAAACACAGTATCCCCTCCAGCAGTGATGAGAGTTCTTGTTGCTCCAGATTCTCTCCAACACTTGGTGTTCTGTCTTTTACATTTTAGCCGTTTTGGAGGATATGTTATCCTGTTGTGATGTTAATTTGCATTTACATGAATATTAAGAAAGCTGAACACATTCAAGTATTTGCTTTTATAAATTACATGTTTAAGTGTTTTACCCATTGTTCTTTCTCTTAGTGATTTTTTTTTTTTCCCAAGGCAGAAGAATTTTTCTTAGTACAGAACAAAATGAAAAGTCTCCCATGTCTACTTCTTTCTACACAGACACGGCAACCATCCGATTTCTCAATCTTTTCCCCACCTTTCCCCCCTTTCTATTCCACAAAACCGCCATTGTCATCATGGCCCGTTCTCAATGAGCTGTTGGGTACACCTCCCAGACGGGGTGGTGGCCGGGCAGAGGGGCTCCTCACTTCCCAGTAGGGGCGGCCGGGCAGAGGCGCCCCTCACCTCCCGGACGGGGCGGCTGGCCGGGCTGGGGGCTGACCCCCCCACCTCCCTCCCGGACAGGGCGGCTGGCCGGGCGGGGGGCTGACCCCCACCTCCCTCCCGGACGGGGCGGCTGGCTGGGCAGAGGGGCTCCTCACTTCCCAGTAGGGGCGGCCGGGAAGAGGGGCTCCTCACTTCTCAGACGGGGCAGCTGCCGGGCGGCGGGGCTCGTCACTTCTCAGACGGGGCGGTTGCCAGGCAGAGGGTCTCCTCACTTCTCAGACGGGACAACCGGGCAGAGGCGCTCCTCACATCCCAGACGGGGCGGCGGGGCAGAGGCGCTCCCCACATCTCAGACGATGGGCGGCCGGGCAGAGATGCTCCTCACTTCCTAGATGTGATGGCGGCCGGGAAGAGGCGCTCCTCACTTCCTAGATGGGATGGCGGCCGGGCAGAGACACTCCTCACTTTCCAGACTGGGCAGCCAGGCAGAGGGGCTCCTCACATCCCAGACGATAGGCGGCCAGGAAGAGACGCTCCTCACTTCCCAGACGGGGTGGCGGCCGGGCAGAGGCTGCAATCTCGGCATTTTGGGAGGCCAAAGCAGGCGGCTGGGAGGTGGAGGTTGTAGCGAGCTGAGATCACGCCACTGCACTCCAGCCTGGGCACCATTGAGCACCTCTCTTAGTGATTTTTAAGAGCTCTTTACATATTGTTGATGTGAGCCCTCTGTCAGTTCTATGTGTTCATAGATCTGTTCCCACTCTGCAACTTGCCTTGTCACTTTCTTAGTCTCTTAATAAACAGAAATTCTTAATTTGAATACAGTCTAATTTATCAATTTATTCCCTTAAAACTATGGCTCTTTGTGAACTGTTTAAGAGATCTGTCCCCATTCATGGTCATAAAAATTGGCTGGGCATGGTGGCTCACACCTGTAATCCCAGCACTTTGGGAGGTCAAGGTGGGCAGATCACCTGAGATCAGGAGTTCGAGACCAGCTGGCCAACATGGTGAAACCCTGACTCTACTAAAAATACAAACATTAGCCAGGTGTGGTGGCGGGTGCCTGTAATCCCAGCTACTTGGGAGGCTGAGGCAGGAGAATCACTTGAGCCCAGGAGGTCAAGGCCGCAATGAGCAGTCATTGTACCACTGCACTCCAGCCTGGGTGACAGAGCAGGATGCTCTTTCAAAAATAAACATAAAAGTAAATCTAATGAGCTCTAGGATTTCTAATTTGAAGATAGAAGCGATAAACAAAATAAGAAACCAAAATACATTCTGTTTTGATTAAAGCAGAGGTCAGCCATAACTCTGAACCTAAAAAGGAGGTCACCTGAAGCAGCTGTGAGTAAGCAGGGTAAGATAGGAAGCAGAGAACCGATGCTCATTGCCAGATCTTAGGAAAAAAATAATAAATTAGGATGACATACTTTTGCAAAATTAAAGAAATCCCCTGAGGTGCTAATACAAAATTTCATTTGTGATAGGACTAATAAAGAAATTCAGCTAGTAGTGGGATCTGTCGTGGACTGAGTTTGATTCCAAGAACAGAAGAGGCAGGACCAGTGAGAAATAGCACAGACATATTTGCAAAAGCAGCCCTCCCACGTTAGGAAGAAGGGATACTTTTGCACAGTGAACAGCACTACAACTGCTCATGTCTTTCATGTACTATCACACATGGAATGACTGAGATAATCCTGTGTTCCACACATAGTCCTCCTCCCATCCCCCACCACTTAGGCAAGAGCTGTGCCCAGGAAATGTCACCCGTAACTGGTCTGCACAGACCCTGTCTTCTAAAAGGGTGCTGTGCCTCCACCAGACCCCATGAGCAATACATTTGTCAAGCACACGCGAGACATGCCAAGGCCAAGGCCTGACTGATTTGACAGTAAAGACACAATGAGCCCCTCTCATTCAGAGCTTATTACTCACAGAGTGAAAATAAGAGAAGTCTGAGGTGGCAGCTCCCTGCCATCCTGGTGCCACACACTAAAAAGGACAGCACCGAAACAAAAGGGGTCAGAGGGCATGCATTGCAGGACACCCAATGCAGAGGAGCCCCTTGAGACTGCAGCTGGGTGGTGTCCTCATCTGCAGCTCTGTTGTGAGGGCCAGGGGCAGGGCAGTGAGGAACCCTCACCAGGGCCAGTGAGGCAGGCAGTGAGGAACAGTCTTGGGAGACAGAGGAAGTGACCAGTGGCCTGGGTGCAGCCTGATGTTCTGGGAGGAGCAGGCTTAGGTCAGGTGCTGTGTGCACCTCTGTGTGGCCTATGGGGATCCTGCAATGGCTCAGGGTCTCACGGCAGAGCTGTTTCTCTGCCCACACAATGGACTCACAACCTGACACACGAAAATTCACAGAGAAACACAGAAAGGCACACGTGACACTCAAAGACAGACCCACACAAAAGCCATGCAGCAAAGCCTTTTGCCACACATGCACATGCACACACACACACACAGGCTCCCATCCTTTCAAACCACAGACTTGGTGTTTGCCCAGACACACCTGTGTCAGAGAAAGGGGATCTGCAGCTCCCCAACATACACCAGTCACTCCACACTAACCCAAGGTGTCACCAGCCAGCCTGGAGGACTTGGGAAGCTAAGTGGAGGTGGACAGTGGCCACAGAGCAAAGGCCTTCAGTGGATACCACCTGATGTAAAGAGCCATGGGGTCCACCATGTGCACGCACACAAGGGGCACACATGTCTGCGCACCAGCTCCCCCATTCCTACACACATATCACCCATCCCTAGGGCTCTGGGGGATGAGACCCCTCCCTGAAGACCCACAGGAGTCCCCATGCCTGAGTGACCCACTGCTCACGTCCATGCAAAAGAAAAGAACTTTTTATCTGAGGAATGCGAGACCCCTTTAATTATCTGGCCCAGAGAGTCACTGGACTGAAACAGCAGTCACATGTCACTCCCACTTGAGCTAACGACCTCTTGAAGCCAATTGCTCTGTGGGTTCCAGACTGACACCAAGTAGACATAAAAAGCCAGACGCTGGACACCATAACTCTTCCCCTGTAGTCCAACACCTTATAGCCAGTCACTAAGGTTCTCTCTGGAAAGCAGTCAGAATTCCTGCTGACTTCATATCAGCCCACTCCTTGTCCCCTTCAGTCTTTAAAAACTTGCTTGTAATAAGGCTGAATGAAGTACTCCCAGGGCAACTTGGTGTGTCCTGGGCAGCTCTCTCAGCCTTGGTCCAGACAAACTCTCTATATGAACTGTGGTTCAGTTTGTTTCTTTAGGTCGACATCCACATTAGGGGAGCAGTGCTGCTGGGCTGGGGAAGCTGGTTCAGGTCAGATGTTGCACCAAGGGTTGGAGAAGGGGCCTTCCTGCATCAGCACCCGGACAAGGCAGAGGAGCAGGTGTCCAAACCCAGGCCTGGTCTGCTGCTGCTGTGGCTCACAGCCCCCACCCCACCTGGCAGACCTGGCAGACCCCGGAGCTGGCGACAGTGTTGCCCAGCTGGCCACAGACATATCATCACGTGGGGCTGCCCTATATGCTCCCAGTCTCCACACAGACACCCTTCATGGACTGGGGGACTGAGGGCAGGGACACTGGTGAAACAGGCAGGCATCTTCACCCAGCTACTCATCCCACTCACCACCTCCGGGGGAGGTGACAGTGACCAAGCCCAGCCCCAGCTGGCTCCTGGTCACTCACTACAGACTCAGCTCCCACAATCTCGAATCCCACCTCCAGCTCCTGCCATTCCGAGGGACCTGGAGGCCAGGGTGCCCGGCGCATGACCAGCTCTGGGTTGTGGACCGCCCTCCACGGCAGTGGCCTGAGCGCTTGTTGTCATTATTCACTTTATTCACTCCTGGTTTCTGTCTGGAAGGGATCACAAAGACATGGCTTGCAGGGGAGCCAATCCTGCCAGGGACTGAGGAAACAGATCCTGGAGAAAACCAGAGACTTTGCTGGCACTTCAGGGGGACCCCAGTTGGCTCAATGCCCCCCTCTCCCCCATAGCCAACTGCTAACCAATGTTCTCTCTGGAAACCAGTCATAATTCCTAACCTGGTCAAAGCAGGGTCATCTCACACAGCCCAGCCACCCATTCTTTAGCACCGCAGGCAGCTAAAGAATGCCTGGTGAAATGCAAGTCTGATCGTGTCTGCGTCCCCAAGCCCTTCCGTGCCCCCTGCTGCTCTTTGGACAAGCCCCCAGCAGCCTCTGTAATGCACAGCACCCGCCCTTGTCTCCTGTGCTGGCTTCCGCAGCCTGGCCACACTGGTCCTCTCGCCCATCCACCTGACCTGACTCTGGCAGGGCCTTTGCAGGAGCCATTCCTCCACCCGAACCCCTCCTATTAAAACGTGTTCCTAGCCGGTTCAGCCCCAGCCTGTAGGGACCAGCCCCACATGGTCGGTGGGTCTCTCCCCGTGTGCCGCAACGAGAGAGTGTAGAAATAAAGACACAAGACAAAGAGATAAAAGACAGCTGGGCCCGGGGGACCACTACCACCAAAGCGCGGAGACCGGTAGTGGCCCCGAATGTCTGGCTGCGCTGTTATTTATTGGATACAAAGCAAAAGGGGCAGGGTAAAGAGTGTGAGTCATCTCCAATGATAGGCAAGGTCACGTGGGTCACGTGTCCACTGGACAGGGGGCCCTTCCCTGCCTGGCAGCCGAGGCAGAGAGGGAGAGGAGACAGAGAGAAAGATAGCTTATGCCATTATTTCTGCATATCAGAGACTTTTAGTACTTTCACTAATTGACTACTGCTAGCTAGAAGGCAGAGCCAGGTGTACAGGATGACTAGGCATAATAAAGGCAGACTAGGAGCGGGACCACTGAAGCACAGCATCACAGGGAGATGGTTAGGCCTCCGGATAACTGCAGGCAAGCCTGACTCATGTCAGGCCCTCCACAAGAGGTGGAGGAGCGGAGTCTTCTCTAAACTCCCCCGGGGAAAAGGAGCCTCCCTTTCCCGGTCTGCTAAGTAGCAGGTGTTGTTCCTTGACACTTTTCACTACCGCTAGACCACGGCCCACCTGGCAACGGGCATCTTCCCAGACGCTGGCGTCACCGCTAGACCAAGGAGCCCTTCTGGTGGCCCTGTCTGGGCATAACAGAAGGCTCGCACTCTTGTCTTCTGGTCACCCCTCACTGTGTCCCCTTAGCTCCTATCTCTGTATGGCCTGGTTTTTCCTAGGTTATGATTATAGAGTGAGGATTATTATAATACTGGAATAAAGAGTAATTGCTACCAACTAATGATTATTGATATTCATATATAATCATATCTAAGATCTATATCTGGTATAACTATTCTTGTTTTATATTTTATTATACTGGAACAGCTCGTGTCCTCGGTCTCTTGCCTCAGCGCCTGGGTGGCTTGCCGCCCACACCAGCCACCAGAAGCTCCCCAGCCCCGGCCCAGCAGCTGGTCTGGGGAGCGGGGAGAGGGCAGTCTGGGCTCGCGGTTCCGGCTGGGGGCTGGGCACCCCGGGGCGACCACGGCAGGCCCAGATGGGGACTCCGGTTCCAACTCTCCTGGCCCAGAGGCTCTAGGGTGGTCTTGTCTGTCTCACTCCGGGGGCAGAGAGGACGCAGACAGACCCCAACACCACTGCTCGGCCGCGATGGTGCCTTAGACCCAGGTCCTGTGGGCTCTGGCCCGAGACCCCTCCCTCTGGGAAGGCCGGTGACCGGGACAGTCCACCTCGCAGGCGCGCCGGCGCGGAGCCCGGACCTCAGCCCGCAATGACTCAGCAAGGGCCGGTGGGATTCTACATGGTCCTGCGATATCCAGGCGACGGAGTCTCGCCTCTAAAGTGGCCCGGGGAGCAGGAAGGTATGAGCCTCAGCTGAGCGAAACCCTCCTTGCAGCCACCACGGAGGGACGGGGCGCGTCTCCTTCTGAATGACGCAAGGGGCGGGGCGCGTGGTGGGGCGGGGAAGGCGCGAGGCGCGCCGCGATCGGGGACTGTCCTAAGACGGGCGGGGCGCGCTGCGCTAGGGACTGTCATAAAAGGGGCGGGACGCGCCGCGGTCGGGATGACGTGAGCTGGGGGCGCTCGTCGCTGCAGCCGGCGGCTAGCGGGCGTCCGCGCCATGGAGCGCTACGCGGGCGCCTTGGAGGAGGTGGCGGACGGTGCCCGGCAGCAGGAGCGACACTACCAGCTGCTGTCGGCGTTACAGAGCCTGGTGAAGGAGTTGCCCAGGTACGCGGGCGGGGCGGGCGGCGGCCTGCCGAGGCCGCATCGTGTCCCGCCGGGGCTCACCGCGCTCCTCTACCCCGCAGCTCATTCCAGCAGCGCTTGTCCTACACCACGCTGAGCGACCTGGCCCTGGCGCTTCTCGACGGCACCGTGTTCGAAATCGTGCAGGGGCTACTGGAGATCCAGCACCTCACCGAAAAGAGCCTGTACAACCAGCGCCTGCGCCTACAGAACGAGCATCGAGGTGCGCGGGGGCAGCGGGAGGAGGTGCCGCCTCCTCGGGGTCGGCGCCTCCCGGCAGCTCTTGGTATCTGTGCAGCTCGGCTCCTTCCTTGGGAGTGTTCGGAAGAGGTCCCTAAGATTAACAAAATCAAGGGCGCAGAGACTGAGACAGCGCCTTTTTGGTGACCAATGTGTCCAACGAGTTTTGTTTTCAGTTGCGCAGCACCCACCTTCTTAGCAGAAACTCCCTGTTCGGGCTTCCCTGTGCCCCACCCCCTTCCAGGCCTGATGGCCCTAGGCCTCCGTGCTTGGTTGGCCGGCAGGCTGACTCTGGTGGTAGATCTGACTGCGTTGCCCTCCGGTAATTGGAGTTCTGTTGACAGGTGAGCAGCGCCCTTGGGTAGTTGGAGGTCTGTTGACAGCTGTGCGCGCCCTTCAGGGTCAGTTCCCTCTCAGGCCTGCAGGGCCTCATTCTAGTTGCACATCAAATTCCTAAGCACTGTCTCCTGTGGCGCCCTCCCAAACCAGAAGAGCTTCCCACTTGAGCCGCATGCTTCCTGGGCTTCGGAGCCCTTTCCTGCAAATTATATAGGGCAGGTCCCCCTGCACCATCAGATTTCCACCTTTGCTGTTTTATTTTTCCCAAACTTCTTATTTTAAAAGTTCAAACATTTGGAAAAACTGAAAAGACAGTGTAGTGCATACGCTTGTGCTCTCCACCGAAAGTTCAGTAGTTAACATTTTGCTCTAGTTCTTGACATCCCAAAATACATACATGTGACAGCATAGAATTCACCAAGAGTCTTCAGCATTCCTGGAGACCAGGATTTTCAACCCAGCCATGCTGACATTTGTGGCTGGGTAAGTCTTTATGGTGAGATGCTGTCTTGCGCATTGCAGGATGGCAGGGGTACCCTCCCTAGTCGTGAAAACCAAGAATGCCTCCAGACAACCTGGGTGGTGGGGTCAACCTTGGCCTTGGATTGGGAGCAAGTGCTCTAGAACAAGAGCGGTCTCCTACACAGCTGCAGAGGGTAGCCCCCTGAGAAATTAACTGTTCCAGGTGTCTCCTGACTTTCAGTGCATGGCCACATCATGGTACCTAACTTGTGGCAAATTGTTGCTTTATAAGTAAGGATCCAGTCCAAGTTCATGTACTACAATTGGTTACTTTGGTCTCTTTGCTTCTGGAACAGTCCCCAACATTTATTGTGGCATTGACTTTTTATAGAGTCTAATTCTATAATTAGAATGCCCTGCTCTGGATCTATCAGAGGAAATGCTTCCTCGTGCATTTAACCTGCTTCTCCACTCTCTGGGTTTACTGTACACTGGACTCCTGGTAGGAGCCTGATTAGAGGCAGGTTTAATGTGGCAAAAATTCCTCCTAGCGGGGCAAGGCCCCCTTCCCCAGAAGGCAGGCAGTGTCCATCTGCTCCAGGATTGGTGTGTTTCTATCAAGAATGGATGTTGGATTTTGGCAGTTTCCTTTTTGGCAGCTCTTGAGATGATCACGTGGTGAATCATTTTCTATTACTACAGTGAATTACAGTCACTTGAATTCCATCCTACTGGGTCGTGCTGTAGTATCCTTTTTATGTATGCTGGATTTGATTTGCTAAAATCTTGTTAAGAATTTTTTTGTCTATGTTCATGATAAACTGTGGTCTATAGTTTTCATGTAATACCTGGTTTGGGTATCAGGGTTTTTGCCAGCCTTATAGGATGAGTTTCGAAGTGTTCTCTCCTCTTCAGTTTTCCAGAAGAGTTTGTGTAGAATTGGCATTACTTCTTCCCCTAAATGTCTGGGTGACTGTCTTTTTAAAAATTTTATTGAGCTGTAAGATGCATGCAGTTTACTAATCCCAAGTGCATGGCTCATTATTCCTTAATGCTCAGACTGTGCCATGTGTGGCCAGTTGGGGGCGCTCCAGGCACCTTTAGATGCCGCCCCATCATTCTGTGAGCACTTTCTTGCTTTCTGGTTCAGGTATGTGTTCAGGCTCATCTTTTCTTGTTTTCTCCGTGTCTCAGTCCTGGAATCGGCCATTTTTCCACAGAGTTGTAGTTCTTTCTAGCAGGATGGGGAGTTTCAGTAACTGCCTGGGCCCAATGCTGTTTGTGCTTCAGAAGGTTTGGGCCAGGTCCTGGTTCCACCAGCAGCAGGCATGCCTGCGTTGACTTTCTGCTTCTCCTGCTGATTTGGCAGGGGTGACTGGCTGCTCCTGCCTCCTTTGTGTTCCCGGTCGTGTCTAAGGCCAGGCCCCTTCTGCCCAGGCAGCCGGCGTGGCTCTCTTCTTGCCTTTTGGTTGCATATCTAGTGGAATCTCGTAGTGGACCTGGCACTTGTAGCAATGTTTGATCAGTAGAGTGAAGATGATGACATTTCCCTGCTTCCCTGTGTTATGGAGCTGTCTTGAGGGGGGCTTTTGGTAAATACCATCGTCGAGGTGTGTACAGAATGCCAAGAAACAGGAGATTGGGGAAGGCTGTAGGCACAGCTGGAGCCAGGCTACCTGCAGGGGAGCCTCAGGGGCCGTGGAGTTCCCTGGAGACTTGCCACCAGAGAAGAGCTGCAACATCAGGGCTCTTCCCAGGAACAGAGTGTTGGATTTCACGTTTTGTTGTGGCCAGGGACCCCTCCTTCCTGGGGAACTGTAGCCATTTGGCACTTAATGCACTGGCGCCAGCTGCGGGGTGCTCCATGTTCCATTTTGCCATGATGGTTTATGTCCCATGATCGCTTCCTCTGTACACTCCCTTCAGACTAGAGTTTGCACATCTGTGTTTGTGCACAGTTTAGCAGGGACCGTGGAGCTTTGCTTGGTGGCCGAGGGTGAGCCCCTCAAAGCCACACAGACTCCCTGGCCCAGAGCCTCACAGGCTTATGACACCCCAGGTTCATCCCAAACTTGGGCCTCCCAGGTCAGCTCACCCTTCTCCCTCTGGTGCTGTGTAGGGGCTGGGAGCTGCAAATGGGGGAGGGGGCTGCCCACCCTGAAGGGCAGCACCAAGGGTGGAGGGGCCAACCACACACCTGGTAGGCAGAGGCCCCACGCTCAGGGTCAGCGACCCGGCTCCTCCTGCTCCTTTCCCATGCCTTTGCCTGAGGTGGTCTCCAACACTTGAGTAGATGTCCTATGGCCTGTGGCCACGGGGGCCCTGAAGCCCTCAGACTGCAGCCTCCCTCCCGCCTGCCCCCTCCAGCTGCCCTGGGTCTGGGGCTGCAGCTTTGGCCCCACCTGGCCAGTCTTCCCCACCCCCACTCTCTTTCAGTGCCCCGCACCTTCTGGAATCCCCTGGAGACTTGCCGTGACAGTGGGGTGGGAGGATGGAGGAGGCTGGCGTCCTCCCCAGTGCAGACACCCCTTTGGCCTGGCTGCTCTGCTGGGTTGGTAAGGCAGGTGCCCATGGGTGAGGGCTGCTGCCGAGTCCCACCGCCTGCTGACGGGCTCTCATCCCTCCCAGTGCTCAGGCAGGCGCTGCGGCAGAAGCACCAGGAAGCCCAGCAGGCCTGCCGGCCCCATAACCTGCCTGTGCTTCAGGCGGCTCAGCAGCGAGAACTAGAGGTACTGGGGACGCAGGCAGGGTGGCCGGCCCAGCTCTCCTGTGGGCACCACCTGGCTCTGCTGACTGGGCTGAGCTGAAGGGGTGTGGGGGGCTCAGGTGTGGGTGGCTACCCTGGGCCTGAGTGGGACACTGGAGGCCTAGTGAGTCCCACCAGGTGGCTCCTCGCTGAGGGTGCCAGGTGTGCTGGGACTGGGTGGAGGGTGAGAACCCACCAGTGCTCCCCTGGAGTCCATTAGTGCCCCTCGTGGGTTGGGGTCTCCGCAGAGCAGGTGGCCTCGGGGGGTACAAAGGCAATGGTGGGGTGATGGGGCCAGCCAGGAAGGGGCCCATCCTTCTCCCCGGGAGCACAGGGACAACCAGAGACCGGCATGTAACCAACAAGTCATGGGGCAGGGTGTGCCTGCGGAGATGTGTGTGTGGTCCCAAGGCAGTCCCAAGTCAAAGCATTCGTGGAAGCCCCTTGGGGCCCCCTTCAGGGGTTCACTTGGCCGAGGAGAGGCCTGGGTGTGGTGAGGATGCATTGGTGGTGTCAGAGCTGGTGCTGTTGGGGACAGCAGCAGGAGCATGTGTTTGAGCTGCCCTCACCTCCCCCGCCGCCCCCGGCCCCACGGCAGGCGGTGGAGCACCGGATCCGTGAGGAGCAGCGGGCGATGGACCAGAAGATCGTCCTGGAGCTGGACCGGAAGGTGGCTGACCAGCAGAGCACACTGGAGAAGGCGGGGGTGGCTGGCTTCTACGTGACCACCAACCCACAGGTCAGTGCCTGGGCCTGCTCTGTCCTAGCCCGAGTGCCCCTGGGCCCCATTCCATCTGGGATTTCACTGCTGGTCCCTGGGGAGCCAGGCTCAGGGTATAGGGGGTGAAGTGGAAGGATTGAGGCTCTGGAAAGGATTTCTGTGCCATTCCCAGCATGGAGGCCAGGCCCATTCCCTACAGGGGGGTGAGCCAGCCAGCCATGGGCACTGCCCACCCTCCCCAGGCCTGCTGTGCCCCACAGGGCCCTCTTCTGCTCCCCTCCCGCATGCCATTCCAAGTGGCCCTGCTGGGTGCAGAGGCTCAGATTCCGAGTGGCCCTGCTGGGGGCAGAGGCTCAGATTCCGAGTGGCCCTGCTGGGGGCAGAAGCTCAGATTCCACCCTGTCGTAGCAGGCCATGACCAGGCTTCACAGGATGGTCGCCCCGTGGGCTCACTGCCTGGCACCTTTGGGCCGGGATGAAAGGGGCCTGGGGGTCACTCTGGCCTTCATGGGGCCCCTCTGTATCCCAGGAGCTGATGCTGCAGATGAACCTGCTGGAACTCATCCGGAAGCTGCAGCAGAGGGGCTGCTGGGCAGGGAAGGCAGCCCTGGGGCTAGGAGGTCCCTGGCAGTTGCCTGCTGCCCAGTGTGACCAGAAAGGCAGCCCTGTCCCACCATAGCCACAGGCAGCAGAAGTCTGGGCAGAGTTCATCTTCTTGACCTTTGGCCACTGCCTTCCCAGCTGCCCGCAGGGGGTTCCCCCTGCTGAGGAGAGACCAGGTGGACCCCAGCTGCCTGTCACCCTTCATCTGGGACTTGCTGTCAAACCCTAGGATAGTCTCATAAAGGGGAGGCTGGGCCAGCCTGCTGCTGTCTGCTTCAGGGCCAGGCAGAGAGTGAGGCTGGGGGTTCTCACACCTTACTCCACCGGGCACATCCCAACCTGCACTGGGGCCCACTCGAGCGCTTGTTCTGGTCTCAGCCGCTCCCTTGGCAGCTGCAGCCCCCATGCAGAAGAGGCTCCCAGGCCCAAGCTCTGTGTGACCCAGAGAAATAAAGATGCCTCAGTGTGGCCCGCATGTGGCTTGTGTGATAGCTGCAGGTTCTGCCATAACCGGGGCCCTGGTAGGGCCCCCACCTCTGTTGCAGCAGAGGCCTCTACCTGGGGGCCCCTTCCTGGGCTGTGTGCCCAGCCCACCACCCCTCCCCCTGCCTGGAGACTGGGACCCTCCAGCCTTTCCTGCCCCAGCCCTGGTCCCAGGATGCTGTCACTGCCATCTGTACAGGGGCCCCCATCCAAGCCCCAGGGCATGAGGACCACATCCAGCCTGCTTTGTGGGGCTGGGGGCTGGAGAGCATGGGAGAAGGCCCGAAGTGCAAGTATGCGCCTGCCGCAGCCTGGTCAGTGTCCTGTGGGAACCACTAGGAGGAGCCTGATGCAGGTCACTGGGGTAGAGGACTCAGGGTGGCAGGAATGGCCTGAGGAGGAGCCCTGCGGGGAGGCGTGCCAGGCCCACCTGGGGAGCTTGGCCTCTGCATCTGCATGAGTCCCCTCCGTGCTGGCCTGGGCCCATGGGCCCTGCTGGGTCCTTGTGGAGTCAGGGTTGGGGGTGTCCAGCACCCTGGGTGGCCAGGTCTGCGCAGGGCCTGGCCCCCAGGAACAGATGATGCTGGAAGCCAGAGTCTGGGATGAGACTTCTCTGACCCTGTCTGAGCCACTCCCTCTTTGTTGCCCAGAGCTGACCCTGTGTGAGGGCAAAGGGCTCTCAGCTGCAGGAACAGTGGTTTATTGACCAGGCAGGCCTCCCCAGCCCGGCCACTGCTCCCCAAGGGGCTCGGGCTGTGTGGGCTGGCCTTGGCAGAAGGTGGACAATCCTCTAGGTCCAAGGACATGGGGGTCACAGAGGTGGGGGCCTTGGGCCCACACATTCGAGGAGAGTTCCCAAAAGTTTCCAGTGGCTGTCCCAGGCAGGTATCAGGTTCGGCCCACACCTGAGTGCCCATACTCTGGGCAGGGCTGGGAGGCACCTGACCTCACCTCCAGCAGCTCTGCAAGTGTGGGGTGAAAAAAGGTGAATCTGTGTGAGGATGGGGTTGGCTGCAGCTGTGGTGATGGCCTGGGCGGGGGCGGGGGGTGCTGGAGGCTAAGGGTGTGCTGGCGGGTGCTAGGCAGGGCGATGGAAGAGGTTGCCAGTTCGGAGCCGCCTCAAGAGCTCCAGCCACAGCAGCTGCCGCTCCCGATGGGTGCCCTTCATGAGGCTGCTGTTCTCCAGGGCACGGCGGGACAAGTAGGGCAGCACCTCCATCACGGGGCCATAGGGCACGTACTTGTACACGGGGTAGCCGGCCTGGCCTGCATGGGGGCAGATACACCATGAGGCCCAGGCCCAGCACCGTACCCCATCGCACCAGGGAGGGCCCCACTCACCCAGCGGGAAGCTGATCTGGTCACACATGCCTAGCAGCTGTCCAAAGTACACCCGGTGGTCAGCAGGATGCAGGCCCAGCTCCTCCATCCTGTGCAGGTGAAGCCAGGAACTGAGGGCCAGTTCCAGGACACTGTCCCCAGTGCAGGGATACAGGGCTCCTGTCCCAGCTCTGAGCCTGTCCTGCCATCCCAGGTGCCCCATCTGCACTCTCCAGACTTCATCCCCTGCAAGGTGGGGCTGGGGTATGGGCTCTGCCTGGCCCTGCCCCAGTGAGGCCTCTTCCCAGCAGGACTCTGCTGGGCTGCCCTACTCGTCTCCCTGGGGAGGCCTCAGCCCTTGGCCAACAAGGCCTCCCACCTGCTTTCCCTCCCCTCTCCTCTCTCACCTCTCCTCTAGCTCCCTTCTTGGAGGTGCAGCCCTTCCTCGGGCCCTGACCCACCCAGCAGCCTGCCCCACAGGGCAGAGAAGCTCCTCAGCTCTCCTGCCATCCCTTCCTCAAGCCCCTCCAGGGTTCTGTGGTATGACTGGTCTCCGGCCCCTGCCCTCGCCCTCTGTGGGCTGCTGCCCTGCCCCATCCCCACAGCTGCTGTGTCCCACACAGCTGCCACCAGCCCCCGAGTCCTCGGAAGGCGGCTGCTCTGAATCGAGATGTGTTGCAAATGTCAAATACACACGGGATTTAGGAGACTTTGTAGAAAAATAATGCACGATGCCGCGTTGCTTTTCTAAAAGCAACTGGAATACAATTTGAAGTAATATTTTGAATATTTTGGGTTAATTAAAATTATTCTTGAAATTCATTTTATCTTTTTCCTTTAACGTAGCTACTAAATTTTAAATTACAGATGTGGCTTGCATTATATATCTATTAGCACTGCTCAGATACTGGGGTGGGGCCTCCACTCTGTCCTGTCTTCACACCACCCCGTATAGCGTCTTACAAAGATTCTCAGGGTCTGAAATATCCACGCAGTGGCAGTTCTCAAGTTTCATCTCCAGCTTACTATATCCAGGTATCCCGACTTCGCTGGTCTGCAAAGCACTGGGGTCCCCACCCTGGGGTGAGTTCCGCCTGCTGCTCACGCATCACCCGGGACCACCCAGTCTAAAGCAGGCACCCATCTCTGCCACATCGCCCTGGCTTCCATCTTGTGTCTTCCTCAACCCCAGGACATGAACCCGAGAGCCGGGTGCCACTGCTGGCTGCCCCCTCCCCTGCTGGTGTGCACAGCCTCTGCCATGTGACTGCGGCTCCTCCCAGCACAGGACAGTGGCTCACTCCACCTGGCATCTGGGCTTGGCCTCGTGAGGCACTTTGGCCAGCAGGGAGGTACCAAAGGTGACACAAGCAGAGGCTTGCCCTCTCCAGGCCTTCTGGAAGCCTGAGCCCACCACGTGCTCAAGCCTGGGCTGGCCTGTGGGACGCTGGACCCGGGATGCAGTCTCCTTTACTGCCCCAGCCATGAATGAGCTCATTAGGCCCCACCGGCCCCAGATCACAGACGCAGGAGGGACACAGGCACAGCCAGCAGCAGAAGCATCAGCTGAGCCAGCCCACCCCTGGCCTACAGAACATGCCACTGTTCCAGCCTCTAAGTTTGGGGCTGGTTTGTTCCTTGGCCAAAGCCAACTCCGATTGTTTGAGGGTGGGTGGTGTGGCAGTCTGGGCCCAGCACAGGACAGAGCAGCTGCCATAGTCTAGAACCACTTACCCATGGGAGGGGACCCCAGCTCCCCAGAGCTCCCCAACCACCCACAGCAGGGGCAGAGCTGAAGCCTGCAGGGGTCCAGCCTCTCAGGCAGGGATGTGAGCGTGGTACTGGGGGAGCCTGGCACAGGGCCCTTGGGGCCAAGAGGAGAGAGCCCGGCTGCCACTCAGGGGAGGGGGAAGCTGTGTCCACTGGGGAAGCCACTGCCACAGCAAGATAGTAGGGACAGACAGGTGCCGGGCGGAAGCTGGAGAGAGGAAGCCCTGCTGAGGGCAGGCTGTCCTTTCGGAGTTGGATGGTGATGTGTCTAGTCAGGCTGTGAGTCCACCAGCATTGAGAGTCCACCCAGAGGCTGGGAGTCCTGATTACAAGCTGAGAGGAACCCCCACCAGCTCCCGAGTGCTGGGCAGTGCTGGCCACCAGGCCTGTGCGTGTGGAGAAAGTGAGTCTGTCCCATCACCGACACATCTATGACAATTAGCAGAGGATCAGGGCACAAAAATGGGTGTGCTGCAATTTCAGGCCATGAAAAAGTAGCAGCATCGTAAACAAAGGCTGAATGTGGACATCACTGAATGATTTCAGAGCCGTGAGTCAGCTCCCGAGCAGCACCAGGATGTGTCCTGTTGGCTGCAGCCCTGGCCCCAAGCCTGGCCCTGTGGCTTCACAGCTTCTTGGGGAGCCCCCTCGTGCCACAAGCCCTGGATCTGGGGCACCCTGCCCTGCTGAGAGTGGAGCTCCTGCTCAGCTCCTAGGAAGGCGAGAGCCAGCGAGGCCACTGCCCAGGCCCCCGAGGGTTCTAGGGGGTCCCATCCCTGGGAAGGCGGAATCTGGGAGGGGAGGGGGACCTAGGACCCCATTGTGTGCATAGCTTGGACTAAGGCATGAGATAAGACCAGGGTGACAGTACAGGAGTATCCAAGAACTGACTTCACCTAACTTCTGCATTTGACTTGTTAGAATTCTACCGAAGTTGTGCTCCATGGGACAAATGTTTAAAGAGAAAACAAACCGTTACATTCCAGATGTAGTTAAAATGTTAAGGGCGTATTAATGAGGTGGCACTGTGGAGGCCTCCTGAGGGACTGGCCTCCAACACTGCATTTGTACCTTTCAGGAGCCATCCGAATACCCTGATGAAATTTAGTTTTTTAATTGTGAAGTTTAATAAGTCAGATGTTAATTTTTAAAAGTCTGGGTACAGTGGCTGATGCTTGTAATCCCAGCACTTTGGGAGGCCAAGAAGGGAGGATCACTTGAGGCCAGGAGTTTGAGACCAGTCTGGCCAACACGGTGAAACCCTGTCTCTGCTAAAAATACAAAACATTAGCCAGGCGTGGTGGCACATGCCTGTAATCCCAGCTACTTGGGAGGCTGAGGCATGAAGAATTGCTTGAACTTGGGAAGCGGAGGTTGCAGTGAGCCGAGACCACGCCACTGCACTCCAGCATAGGTGACAGAGCGAGATTCTATCTCAAAAAAAGAAAAAAGTTAATTTTAAAAACCAACGTAACTGCAAAAAGCCATTGTGCTCTCACAGTCCGATGTCCAGAACGCCAGCGGGCCTGGGCCTGCCCACTGAAGCCACCCTCCAGCTCATTTCACCAGCCTTTCCCCACAAATGCCCGACCACCCAGCAGGTCGCTCTGCCCACCCTGAGCTCTGCGCTGCTGCCACCTCTCCCCAGCCGGAGGAGACAACGGCTCAGGTTGGGGTTTCGGTGCAGGGTGGGGCACACCTACCTGCGCAGTGCAAAGCGCACTGTGTCCTCATTGTGGGAGGCCACCATCACCTTGGCCTTGGCGTTGTGCTTCAGCTCCTCCAACACGTAGTCCAGGCACCTGTGGAGAGTGCCATGTGAGCCCAGTTCCAGGCCTGTGGCTGCCTGCACCTCTCATTACCAGCTGCACAGAGAGGAGGCCGAGGGCAGACCCAGATCCATCCATTGAGCTGGCTCTTTCCAAGGGTATCCACAGGATCAGGAGGAACAGGAGCAGCATCTGCCCCTCCCAGCACCTCATGAAAAAGAAAGACCAGCAACCAAGCAAAAGCGATGTCTGGGACCAGACAATTCACGCAGAACCAGCTGTGGGGGCAGAGTCCCTGCATCAAACGTGCTGTGACTCTGGGGACCAGCCCAAACATGCCCATGAGCCTCATGACAGACACAGCTTTGCTTCTGGGGAGGGATCGTACAGTGCACCCCTGGCCCTGCAAGGAAATAAAAGGGAAGCAGGTCCCTGTAGGGCACAGTGGGGGTGGGCATCCCGGTGCACCAGGAAGCCCGAGCAGTACGGCCCTCCTGCAGCGAGGTCACTCAGCAGGCTTGACCACACGCACGTTCTCTCTGACCCAGCAATTCCATTTCCAGCAACCTAGGACAGCTGCATCCTCAGACACAAAACCCCTGACGGCCCGTGTGTACCACAGAGGGTGACGGTATGTCCAGCGAGTCCATTACAATAACCAGACTAAAAACCAATAAGATCAAAGATGCTGGACACATAGCCCCGGGCACTCCATGCTGGCTGTTGACAGCACCACTCTGCAAGCCCACACAAGAGGACCCAGATGGAACGCGAAATGAAAAACACATCGGGCAGAGGACACGCTACAACGCAAAAAACAATGGCGGAGATGTGTGCGCTGTGGCACGACATGCACAGCGGCTGCAGGAGGGGAGCTGGAGCCAACCAGGAGACACTTGGGGTCTCTCTGAATTTGCAGCATGCACACACGCCTCTAAGAGGAAAAGCCCATGGTTGGCCAGCCTGTGCTACATGAAAAGATCACCAAGAAACTAGAGCAGTAAAAGCAGGTGCAGAACAGCTGATGGGCGATCCCACTGTGTGAACTGAAAAGCAAACAGGCTGAGCCTGCAGGGTGGGGAGGACCGGGTGTTCATGCACATCTCTGGATCTAAGTGTCTGCAGGAGCAAGCTCAGGGAACTGTGGCCAATTTTGCTTTGTTCAATAGGCTTTTCTATATTTATAAAAGAATAACCTTAATGCTTTTGAAAAAGTAACACATGACATAAAAGCTGAGGAAATACCAGTTCTGACCTGGGGACACATGTGGCTGACAAGTTCAGTCTCCAAGCCTCTCCCTCAGGCCTGGTTTCTTGGCGCCCTGCCCTGAGAAGACAGAGGGGTGGGAGAGCTGCGCACCTGTGGTACATGGCGTTGGTGGCCTCGTACGTGGGGTTGATGGGGTCCTCATAGCCGATCTCTGCCGCACGGGCTCGCTCCTGGGCCAGGTATGCGCCCCGCACCAGCTTGGCCCCAAAACACCAGCCCTCACGGCGAGCCAGCTCCACGTCCAGGGTCACATTGTCATAGGCATCCTGTGGGGCCAGGGCCAAAAGTCACAGGGAGCCTGGGCAAGCCCAAGTGACAGCAGGATGGGGCCTTCCTGGGCCCAGGTGCAGTCACCAGGGCTGGGCAGCAGCTGCCTGGGGAGGTGCAGCTCAGGGCACCTGGAGCAGGTGTGGGTGAGGATGGGCCTCCAACCTCTGTCCCCAAGGAGCAATGGCAGTGGGGACGTCTGCAACTTCCTGTGTGGCCTGTGGACGGCCCTGTGGGTGCAGCCCAGGCGCCAGCAGCCATCATGTGCTCCAGACTCCCAGGCCGACCGGGAGGGGTGCATACTGCATGCTCCTGCCTGGACCCCTCCCCATGCCACCCTGTGTCCTCTGGGCATCCGGCTCACCCCTGAGAGCTCTGGACCTGCTAACATCCCTGAGCAGTTTGGGGCCCAAAGGCTAGGGTGGGCTCCCTGAATACATGTGACATCCTGGGTGAGTCTTTCCGGGGAGGGCCCAAAGCTTTCAGGAGGTTCTTAGGGGCGCTGAACTGAAAACACGCTGGAGGAAATGGTCATGTGACACCTTCCAAGTTTGGGGTGTCGGGTACATCTAGTGGACCCTCATAAAGATTGTTGTCTTCCTCCTGCTCCTTAGACACTCTTGGCTGGTTCTGAGAACCAGGGGAGAGGTTGCGGGCAGCGGGTCTTTCTTGCTACTCTGAGGCAGTCACCCTGGCCTCAGCCTCCTCTGCAGGCCTGGCTGTGGCCACCACCTAAGGGGCTCTTTCCTGGACCCTGGGGCCCGCTGGGTGAGCTGTGCTGCAGAAGACCCCAACAACCCCTTGGGGGCACGGCCCACTCCCTCCTCCATCCCATGAGCTCCCTGGTGGGTGCTGAGTGTAAAACCAGCCAAATGCCAGGGAGCTCAGATGAGAGGAGCCCCTCCTGTGGGGTCTCCAAGCCCCAGGGCAGGCAGGGAGGGGCTGAGCGGGGGCTTGCCTTGAGGTAGCACTGGTATGTGTTGAAGATGAGCGGCTTCTCCACATTGAACTTCCGCTGCATCTCCAGCGTCAGGCGGCTGATGGCCGGCTGGAAGTAGGTCTGCTCGGCATCCACCATCAGCCGCACGCCCATCTCTGTGGCTTTCTGAGAGGCGCAGGGGGTGGGAGAGTGGGAGCAACTGTTGCTCAAGTGAGGCAGGTGCCCTCTTCTCCACGAGTCCCAGGTACCCTCTGCCCGAGCGGGACAGCTCACCTTGGCCAGGACATCCATCCGCTGTAGCATCCTGGTCATCTGTAGCTCCTCCTCCTCAGTGAACCGGGACAGCAGGGGCTCCAGCTGTCCTGTCTGGGGGTGCAACACGCGGTCAGGCCACAGCAAGGGCGGGAAAGTGCCACCCTGAGGCCCAGGCTAAACCTCTCTCAGTATTCCCAGCCCACAGGAACCCTCTCACCCGTCTGTGCAGGGCTGGGAGGGAGGGCCACCTGGACAAGCAGCACAGTGCCCCTGAACCTCCAACGCAGCCAGTGCACTGCCCTATGCGGGGCCTAGGGGTACCACGAGGGAGCTCAGTGCCCATGTCAGTGGGCCCCAGGCTCAGTCCAGGCCTGCACTCCGAAGTGTGTACTCCCCAGTTCCCACAGAGGCCCCACCGTTGTGGGAGAGCCCCCTGCAACTCCCATGTGACATTGAACAAGTGAACACTGATCACCCAATCGTCAAACAGAAGGGCTCCACCCGGAGCAGGCAGAGGGCCCAGGAGGAAGACCCCTGGCTACAGGCAGACAGGGCAGTTGTGCAGCACGTGCTGACACGTAGCCAGGGACCAGGGCAACCACCAGGATGAGGCCTTCAAGTTGCTGGTGCTCAGAGGCCGTGGGGACCCATCCCGCAGGGCCTCCCGCTCACCCCTTTGCTGGCCCCAGCAGCCTTGCCTCACTGGGCACAAACAGTACCACTCTATCCCTTGCTACACCATGCTAAAGTCTCCAACAGCTGGTGGCCTTGGTGCACAGCCACACTGTACGCACTGCGCCCCGAGGCTCTGGGTCGGGGGCTCTAAGTTTGAGGCTGGGCCCTTAGTGGACTGGGGCTAGATGTGTCATGGAAAGCTGCCTCTGCAGGATGTTTTCTGAAGGTGCTTCTGTTCTTTCTTTGAATCCCAGTTTAAGCTGTGGTTTCAAGCAGTCTGCCAGGTCCTGGGCCCCCCTCCCACAGGCAGATGAGTCTCATTCCTCTCCCCGCTGTATACAGGCTGGCCTGGTGACATGCTTCTAACAAACAGAACTTGCCAGAAAAGACACCGTGTGACTTCTGAGGCGAGGCAGGAAAAGGTCACCCAGCTTCTGCCTGGCTCTCACGTCTCAGGTGACACTGGCCCTTAGAGCCCAGCTGCCATGTTGGGAAAAAGCCCAAGCCACAGCCAGCACCAACTCCCAGACATGTGAATGGGTGCCTCCCCCAGGTCCCAGCGCCACCACTCTGTGAGTACAGCTACCCAGGAGACCCCAGGGGAGGACTGCCCAGCTGAGCCCTGTCAACCCCAGAACCATGAGGCAGAAGCAGAGTGGCTGCTGCCGTTTCAGGCCTCTGAAGTTTGGGGTGACCTGATGCACAAGACAGATGACTTGGGGAAGGCCCCCAGACCCCCTCTCCTTGTGGTGTCTTAAGGCTCCGCGTGGGTCTCTGTCCCGCCAAGCACTCTGTGGACACTAGTGGGCTTGTCTTCTTCCCCCTGGACCACAGGGGGTCTGTGGGGCCATAGTGTGCAGTGATTTTGGTCATGTTAAGTTCCCAGGGTAGGCAACAAGAGACACACGTGGCAGGCTGAATTCCCTTCTTAGCGCAGCGCCCTGCTGAGCTGGGCCTCACTGAGGAGCGGAGGTGTTACCTGTGCGTTGGGGACTACCAAGTGCTTGGACAGCTTGGTCCTGCTGTCGATGAGGCTGCTCCAGTCCAGCAGGTCCATGGTGCTGAGGGAGGAGGCGCATCAGCAGAGGGGGCACCCCCACCTGTGGGTGCTAGGGTCGGGTGGGGGATCGAGGCCCAAACCTGTCCGTTCACCACCCACCACAAAACCCACCTCGGTGTTCAGTTTTAAAAGACAGAGGAAATATAAATATTGTTTTCTGTTTAAAAATTTAAAACCAGTGGCATGCGGGGGCTCAAACTTATAATCCCAGCACTTTGGGGGCTGCGGCGGGCAGGTCACTTGAGCCCAGGGGTTTGAAACCAGCCTGGGCAACATGGTGAGACCTGGTCTCTATAAAAAATAAATTAATTAAATAAATTTAAAACCAAAACACAAACAGTCCTGCATCTAGGCGGCTCTGAAAACACTGAGTACCCTAGGCTGTTTTGGGCTTGTGGAGGGGCCGAGCACAGGCAGCCAGGCAGGAGGCGGACACAGCTCCGGGCGGCCAGGGAGGACACAGTGGGCAAGGCTGGCAGTGTGTGAGGGGATGGCTCACTACTGCACCACCCCAGTCACCTCCCCACTTCAACTGGAGGCTCCTGGTGATCTGGGTCCCAGCCCCTGGCTCCAAGGATGGGGCATGGGGCTCTGATCCTTCACCTGCCGGCGTGGACTCCAGGGAGGGCTGAGAGTGCCACCTTTGCTCTGGACCCAGATAATTCTATAAAGAGCCCTCTATGGGGTCTGTGCTGGCCCTGTGTCTCCCCTGCCCAGCCCAGCCCCAGCCTCAGGGACTCCTGAAGCCATCAAGTCCTGCTGTGTGAAAAGCAGTTCCTTCAGCACTGTCATCCCAGGGCCCACCCTCTCAGGCAGGGCAGCCAGGACTGGGAGACGTCACTGGGGCTTGGCTGGAACCATGGCTGATGCTCGTGTCCTCTCAGCCTGGGGGCTGCTCTCACCCAGACACTCCCAGGGTCTCTGCCGTGAACCAGTCCTCAATCTCAGCCCTGGATGCGATGCCCAACTTTGCGACACTTTCCTTGAGAAGTGAGAAGGCCTGGATCAGCCCCATTCACTCATATTTTATCCTTCCCCCCACCCATTGGCCTCTGGTGCTGTTTCTGGCTTTATTACATCGTTAGTAAGAACAGGATCCATGTCTGGTTTGTTTCTACTGCATAGACAGGTCTATTCCCACCCCGCTGCTGATGCACGCCCACGCCCTGCAGGGCTGGGTCTCCAGCCCTCCTGCCAGCATCTCCCCTCTCTGTTCAGAGTCCCTCTGACCTCCTCCTCCCCACCAGGCCAACCCCAGCAGCTGCAGAGTGAGCCACATGCCCTGGGTGAGTTCCCAAAACCACCTCCGACCACTGCCCACCATGCCCCGTGTGACCCCACGGTGCCCACCCCCTCACAAGCCACAGGAGTGGGGAAGGGGAAGGCTGCCCCACCTGCAGCACCGCCACCTCCAGCTTGGTGTCCATGGCAGCCAGGCCCGCCTGCCCTTGCTCCACAGCCATTTGGTGAAAGAAGCACCTCCACTTGGCCAGCACCTCTGAGAACTGCAGCTGCAAACGCAGGCCTGAATGCCATCTGCACACGCCCCTGCCCACCCCAGTCCCCCACACAGCCCCTGTGGCCAGCTCAGGCCTCTAAGGCATGGGCACCTGTGTTTTTGGTGGATGCCCACAGCTGCCCTGAGATCTCGCACAGCACCAGACTCTGCAGGTGGAAGGTTCTAGCACTTACCAGAAACTGGGGTCTCCCCAGTGCTGTGAGCTTAATGGCTATGAAGCCGTCATCGCTGACTCTACCTGTCAGAAGCCACAGGAAAAGCCATGACAGCCCTGAGAGGTGCATGGAGGCAGCGCAGGGTGCGACAGGGAGGGCCAGGGCCTGGCCAGCCCACAGCAGGCTCCTGACCCCACCCCACCCCGCCCATGAAGTCCTTGCACATGGCGCTCTAGAGGCCCTGTGGAGATGGGAGGGGGCTCCGTGGCGGGGTTTCTGTTTCCATGCAGGTGTGGGACAGCAGTGGGCACAGGAGCTGCCTGTCCCCTGCCAAGCAGCCCCCACAGGCTCCCTGCCTCGGTTTCCTTCCCTGTGCCACCAGCACCACAGGCTGCTCACACGTGGGTCACAGGACCCAGAAACACCGAGCGTGGCTAAGACAGAGACACCCCAGCGAGGTCCCCTTGCTCAGGCCTCTGCCCCAGAGACCGAGTCTCTCAGGAACCTCTGACGCAAGCGCAGGCTCCTGCCCCCGTGCAGCCAGCCCGCAGTCCCACCCTGTCCTCCAGGCCAGCCCTCCTGCAGCATTCTTGCCCCTGACACTTCTTTCCAAGCAACAACCAGAAATGTTCCTTTAAAGTGAAAGCAGATCTTACCATCTCATCTTGTTTCACGCCACCCCAATGCAGGGCCTTCCCCTTCCACCTGCCCTGGGAGAACAGGCAATGGACGAGGAGAAGACGCCCCTCACCCTGATGGCCCAGCATTCAGCTGGCCACTCTGACCCTCAGCCCCCATCAGGAGGCGGCTTCCAAGCACTGCTCAGAAGTGCCAGGTGCAGCGGCATGCACCTATAATCCCAGCACTTTGGGAGGCCAAAGTGTAAGGTTCGCTTGAGGCCAGGAGTTTGAGACCAGCCTGGGCAACATGGTGAAACACCATCTCTACAAAAAATATGAAAATTAGCTGGGTGTGGTAGTGTGTGCCTGTAATCCCAGCACTTTGGGAGGCCAAGGTGGAGGGATCACTTGAGCCCAGGAGTTCCAGGCCAACCAGGGCAACATAGTGAGACCTCATTTTTTTTTTTTTTTTTTGAGATGGAGTCTCACTCTGTCGCCCAGGCTGGAGTGCAGTGGCGCAATCTTGGCTCACTGCAACCTCCGCCTCCTGGATTCAAGTGATTCTCCTGTCTCAGCCTCCCAAGTAGCTGGGATTACAAGCGCCTGCTGCCACGCCCGGCTAATTTTTTGTATTTTAGTGGAGACGGAGTTTCACCATGTTGCCCAGGCTGGTCTTGAACTGAGCTCAGGCAATCCACCCGCCTTGGCCTCCCAAATTGCTGGGATTAGAGGCGTGAGCACTCCAGCCTGGGTGACAGAGCAAGATCCAGTCTCATTTGAAGCAAACAAACAAAAACATAAACAGGCCTGGGACCCGCTGCCCCTGACGGAGGGCTGCTGGGGCCAGCATGGGGCTGTGCAGGTCGGATGTTTCTAACACTGAAGGACATTGGGCCTTGCTGACCTCTGGCTTCTCTATCCCTGGAAACACCTGCTGCCCCCACCGCTGGCCCCCAGAGGCTGTGTCAGGGAAGGACAGAAGATGCGGCACCAGCTCCCTGAATGGAACCTCCACCCTGGGCTAAGTGTGGCTCGGCAGCTGACATGGACCAACTTCCTGCAGCTCCCGATCCTGGCCCTGAGCCAGGGAGAAGGGTGGGGGGCATGAGGCGGGATCAGGGAACAGGGAGCTGGGGCAGGAGAGGAGATGCCTTCTGGGAGGCAGTGGGGCCCCTCAGGAAGGGGCTGAACAGTGAGGGACCCAAGTGTGGTCAGAACCCAGCCCTCTGGCTCCTGCCCCAGCTTAGTGTTCACCCACCGGCACCTCCATGAGCCCAGGGGTCCGCTCAGGCTGGGACATGGCAGGGGTATAGCCAGCAAAGAGGGGGCCCCACCTGAGGCTTCGATGCAGCGCAAGAATGTCTCCATGTGGCTGTCGCACTTGGCCTCATTGGCGTAGAAGTAGGTGCGGGCACTGATGACACCATTCCTGCGGTCCCCGAAGGCCCAGTGGGCCTGGTATTGCTTGTCCCGCTTATTCGTGCCTGGAATAGCGAATGCACGGCCTGAGCACAGCTCCAAACACCCACCCCCAGCACCCACACACCAATAGCCCAGGGCCCCTGCCCTCAGGAGGGCTCCAAGCATAGTGGCCTTGCCAGCCTGGCCCTGGCACTGCACTGCCCCATGGTTCCCATCCCCAAGCCCACCCTCCTGTCTACACCGCGGCTCTTCCACCTGGAGTGCTGCATCCCCCTGGCTAAGCCTCCTCATGAGGCCAGGACGGCAGTCTCCTTAACAAAGGCCTAGGTCCACCAGGAGGCCATGAAAAAGGAGCAGGGCGTCTCCCCAGACACTTGCGAGTATGTCAGAGCCCAGAGCGACAGGGCAGGTGCCCTGGACATAGGGAGGAGCCCGGGCTCCGACGTCACCCCAAGGCCCACTTGTGCCCCAGCCTAGACTCTCCTGAGCCACCAAGGGGTGTGCGGAGTCGGGAGGGAGTCTGTTCCTGCGCGGCAGCCTCTCACTCACCACTGCCATCCCTCTCCGCAGCTGAGGTGCAGGACCTGTGGGAAGGAGGGGGAGAGCAAAGGTCAGGGTCACGCCACCTGAGCCTCAGGTGACAGGCACGTTCCCACTGAGGCTGCACGGAGGGCCCCACCACAACCCCGGTGGAGGGTAGATTCCAAGGTGCAGCCCCAGCCCCACCCCTAGCCTGGGGTGGAACACTTGGGCCTGGGAGGGGCAGCAGTTTATGGGGCTGCTGTGTCCCAAGGGCTCAGGAAGCCCGGGGCTCCTTGTGGGTGGAGAAATCAGAACGATATTCCTGAGCTCTCAGAACAGCCCAGGGCTTGCAGCAGGTTCTCAAATAAAGGTAGTTACCTGGTTCCAAGACAGAGCCAGTCAGGGCTGAGAGGAACGGAGGCGGGAAGGCACCAGCACACAGAGGTCCCCAAATCCCCAGCGAGGCCCCCTTACTCAGGCCTCCACCCCAGAGCCAGGGTCTCCCAGGCAGCTCTGATGCAAGCACAGGCTCCTGCCCCCGCACAGCCAGCCCTGCAGTCCCGCCCTGTCCTCCAGGCCGGCCCTCCTGTAGCATTCTTGCCCCGACACTTCTTTTCCAAGCAACAACCAGAAATGTTCCTTTAAAGTGAAAGCAGATCTTACCATCTCATCTTGTTTCACGCCACCCCACCCAGGGTTCCCATCATTTCCTAGTAATGCCCAAAGTCCTGGGCCCCTGGCTTGGGCACCTCAAGACCAGTGAGGCCAGGATGCAGGCTGTCCCCCGCTAGGCTGGCCACACTCTGCTCAGCCAAGCCCCTGTCCTTCCTGCAGAAGCCTCTCCATCCCCGCCTGGCCAGCACCCCCATTCCCCCTGGCCCCTCCCTTCTCTAGGGTACCTGGCTCCCCTCCCCCACCAGCCCTGCACCCCTGCCAGAGCCTCCTCTTCTTCCTCCTCCTCCCCACAGCCACAATCTGCTTCTGGCACTTGGTTTCAGTGCTGTGTCATCCAGGCTAGCAAGAGTTGCTGCGGCCGTTAAGTCTGCTGTGACAAAGCGACCATGGTCTCCCTGGCCCCCGGAGCAGCTCTGAGGGTCACCTGACTTTATATTCAAACCTGATCAAGTCAGTGACCACGGAGAGAGCTCAGCTGCATGACCAACAGCACCCAGAGCCTTCCTGAAGCTCCCCAGAGGCGCTCGGACCCTCAGGGGCAGCTCTGCCCACACTCACAGGAAAGGAGAGGGTCCCCCTCAGATGCCGGGAAGGGGAAAGGCAGAGCAGTGGTCAGTGAGCCGCATCCCAGAGGCCTCCATGTCAAGGGGCCTCAGCTGCCCACTTTCCACCTGGCTGCTCAAGGAGCAAGCCCTGGGCCAGGAGCCCCCGCCAGGAGGCCTTCCCTCCCACCCACTCCTGGGCAGCCCCACATGGGCCAGGGACTCCACATGTGCTGCCAGGGCCCCTGAGGCTGCAGCCCAGTGATGGGAGCTGGCAGGCAGATATGCTCTGGCCACCTTATGCTGACAGAGATGTGACAGAAGAGGGTGGAATGTCACCATGTGACTAGGGAACAGGCAGGCAGCACGTGAACCCCTGCCTGAGACAGGGAGCTCCTGGGCCCCTGGCTTGGGCACCTCAAGACCAGTCATGAGATCAGCCCTAAGACCTTCACGCCAAGGCTTAGGTACAGCCAGGAAAAGCCATCCCCAAGGGGGACTCACTGTCTATGTTAAGGCCGGGGTGGCAGCCAGGGCCCTGCCCAGGGCAGAAACCCTCATGGCAAGTAACAGCAGACAGTGGGGACAGGGCCTCAGGGGCCTCCATGACCCTGAAGAGAAGGTCCCATCCTGAAACCACACAGCCCACAGTTTGGATAACACGGGACTTAACCACACAGGTGTCTGCCTGTGAGGCAGCTCACCTTCATGAAACAGGATCATTATCTGACAGGTCCCCAGGCAGATGAGTTCCCGCTCAGCATTCCCACAGCTGCTGTGTTCATCCTCTGAGGTGGGCCTGGCAGGAGAGGCTGGGGAAGCCAGGGCTGCTCCCTCTCCTGCTCTGACACACTCAGAGGCAGAACACCATAGGCTACCGCTGCTCCTCTCCGTGAACTTCCAGAGCACAGACCAGGCTGACACAGCCAAGCAGTGGCCAAGATGACCACACAGCACGTGCAGTGGCCAGAGGGGCAGCCAGGTCTCAGAGTGGATGGCTACGCAGCAAGGACAGGGCCACACTCTCCAACAGGCATCATGGATAAGTCACAAGGAGACACAAATGGTGGTTCCCAGGCAGGTCAGGGGTCCTATTTCCACTGGAGAAGAGGAAGAAAGCACCCTGGGAGCAGCTGATTCAGAACTGCGGGTGCCACACAGGAAATCTGGCTTTCGCCACCTGGGACGTTGCCACGTCCTGGCTCAAGGCACCACAGGGAAGAGGGGGGCACATGGCACTGGCAGCTGTGGGGTGTTAGAGGAGGAAGGGTGAACCAGTGGATGTGGGGCCCTGATCAGGGTGGGGACCACATCCCAATGCCTCCTTAAAGCCAGGACCTGCCTCGTGCTCCCCCAGTCCCACCCCTCATCATGCCCAGGGCATAGTCTGTTGAAGGGCACATGATCGCACACATGGGCACGACCTGGGACAACAGAGGAGGGAAGAGCGACAAGGGGACATAGGGCAGAGGAGGACAAGCACGTGTCCCCAGGGGGTCTTCAGAGACAGCAGGAAGACCCTGACCACCCCCTCAGCCTCCACCTCAGCTCTGGGTGGCTGTCCCTGGGGACGTGATGCCTATTGAAACAAGCAGAGCATGGGGGTCCACACCCCGCCCTTGTCCAACTCTCTCCTGGAGGGAAGCCTGGCAAGCCGCTTCCTACCTGTACCCCCCTCCCCAGCTCCCCAACCCTCTGCCTCCCCAGCCCCTCGCTCAGGACACTCACTGCACACATATCCTGCCTCCAGCCAGCCCTGGGCCTGCACAGCCAGACCAATGCCCCCATCCACCCCCTAGGTGTTCCCTCACAGCCCAATCATCAGGAAGATGCCTTGGCCCCTTCCCCATCCCCAAGCCCTCAGCCTGCTTCGGGGATCCCTGGGACTCCTCTCCTGGGGTTGGGTGGGGCCCTGGCCTCTGGGAAGCATGGTCCACCCCCCCCCCGGGTGGGCATTGCCCTCCTGCACCTCCAGGCTCCCACCTCCTCTTTCTTTCTCGGGAGCACTGCTGGGACTCACTTTGCCATGCACTCAGACGCCTCCATCCTCCCTGGGCCTCTCACGGCCAGCACCACTTGCCATGGCCTTAATTTGGGGCGGTGGCCTCAGTGTCTCTCCCCAGAGTAGAGCCCATGGCCCTTGTGACAGGAGGGTAGGTTAGGAAGGCAGATCTCTAAGCAGTTCCCTGCACTAGGGTCTGCGTGACTGGTCACTCCTGGCCAAGCAGGCCATGCTGCAGTGTGGACATCAGACCAGTGCTTGCAGACCCAGCCCTACCCCCATGGCTCAGGCCCCTCTGAAAGCACAAAGCAGCTGAGCTCGGTAGGTGTCCTCAGCATGCACCCCTGTGAGGACAGGAGGGAACCCTGTTCACTTCCCAGAGCTGGAGCAGGACCCCTGCAGACAGCAGCCACCAGCAGCAAGACAGGTGAATCCCTTGCAGGGCAAAGGACTCAAGCTCCTAAGGACACAGGTGCCCAGCCCCCTGGCAGAGTGCAGGCCAGTCCACCTCCAGACACTCAGCCTGCAGGGCAGGGAGGAAGCCAGGCAGGACCACCCTGGGAAAGGAGTCTTTTCATACCAGAGGCGCCTGAGAGGAAAATCCCATTGTGAAACCAAGTCCCCACCCAGACTCCTTCTGAGAACACACAGGCCATTGGTTATTCAACAGGCAGCTCAGCAAAGGCTGCAGCCAAGAGCTCAGGCAGCTGCAAGGCCCACGGGGCCTGCTAGGAACACAGTGGGGTGCTGGGGCTGTAGTACCCCACCTTCAAAACAGCCAATCGCAAGGCAGGGGCTGGGCTCCCCTGGCCAATCCTCTCCAGGCAGCTGGCAGCCGACATGCTGAGGCAAGCCTCAGACATTCCGTTCCCAGGGCTGGAGGCCTCATGTGACTGCCTTTCCCTCCCCTTCCCAGGCCAGCCACCAGGGGAGGGGCAGGAACAACCACCAAGGCCTGACCAGGTCCACAGAGGGACTGTCCCAAGCCTTATGTGGGTCAGGCCCGGCTGCTGTCAGGGTGCAGGGGACCCAAATACATAGGAAGACATAGGGAGATCCCATCTTTACAAAAAAAAATTAAAACTTAGCCAGGTATGGTGGTGCGTGCCTGTGGTCCCAGCTACTTAGGGGGCTCAGATGGGAGGATCACTTGAGCCCAGAAGGTTGGCTGCAGTGAACAATGGCACCACTGCACTCTAGCCTGGGCAACAGAGCAAGACCCTACTTTAAAAAAACTGGTTGAAAGAAATCAAAACAAGAATAATATTTTGTGACACAAGAAAATTATATGAAATTCTAATTACTATGGCCCTACTGAGGCAGAGTGAAGCCGTTGTGGCAGGGAGGGTGTGGCCCGACTGAGAGTCTGTGCTACCTGGCTGTTTACACAAACTTGCTGACCTGATGGAGGAGGCTCTGCTACAGCCTCTCTTTTGCAGGGATTCCTGACCCGCAGGCAGGTCCCACTGCCCGACCCTTGCCTGGCCTCAGCCTGCCCTGCAGTTGTGGAACCTCCCAGGCCTGGCCCCTGCCCCATTGTCAGTGGAGAAGGGAATTGAAGCCAGGAGCAGTGTAGCAGGCCGGCCTGGAGTCAGCTCCTGGAGGCCACTAAGCTGATACAAGGCCCCTTCCCTGGGCAGTGAGTGTAGAGGGCAGTTGGTACCACCCTGACCCGCCCTCCTGGGCAGGGCATCAGGACAGAACAACAAGACCACGTTTCCCTCCACTTCCTGGAGCAGTCCCTGGCTCATGTGAGATCCAGGCGAGACCAACCATTCTTTGCAGAGTGCTTGGTTCATATGCTGGTGCCTGTGCTCCTCCAGGCGGTGGACTAGATAGGGCCAAGGGCCATTCTGTACTCTGCTTCCTCAGGCCTCACGCACACCAGGCCTCCCATGAAAGCCCAGAGCTGTCCACCGCATGAAACAAAAATGCAAGAACTCCAGGCAGAGCCCAGGAGGGTCATCGGTAGTTGGGCTGACCAAGCTCTCCTAGCCTTGGCCTCTGCCCAGCTGAGGCTGAAGCCCAGCAGCTGGATACATCCCACCTGCTCCCACTGGGTGCTCCAGGGTCATGATCAGAAAGCCCGCAGACACCGGGCAGGCCTTACTCCATCTCCTTGTGCTCTGCCTCCTCGGGGCTCAGGTCCTCCTCCACTCCATAGTCCAGGATGGCGCTGACACCGAAGGCCCTGTAGTGCCGAAGCAGGGGCTGGATGGACTCCTGGTCCTCCCCGGCTACAAAATGCCCATAGAAGGTCATCTTCATGAGCTTGTTGAATAGCCTCTGTCCTAGAAGTTTCCTGGAAACATACAGCAGCTGAAAGGCAAAGGGAAGCCGCTGTCCTGGGCTGCCTGAACTCTCCTTTCCCAGCAAGGCACCGCTGCTCATCCCCGACCACACTTCACCCCAGCCATGGGGCCTCGATATGGTCTCTTGGCGACTGGGCTTTCAGGGTCAGTTTCATGGTGAAGACCAGCTAAAGCCGCTTGCTTCTCCACCCTGTCCATCACTCCAGTTCCCATCCAGGGCAGAGAGACCACAGGAGGTGCTGCCTGCTTGGCCTGAGGACACTGTTCCCACCTGGACTCTGCCCCTTCAGGGCCCCACCCATGAGTCACTCCAGCAGCACACAGTGGGTGCCTGACCACTGCTTGGTGGATAAAAAGGAGAATGGCCAGCCTCCCTGGGGATGACAGCCGGCATTTTGAGACCATCCTCTGTATCCACACCTTGGTAGTTCTGCTGCGGAAGAGGAGGATCTAACTTGACTTTCTAGTACTTGAGTGCCCAGATTTTTCAATGTTTTGTTCCCTCTTATCCCAAGTCCCTTAAACAGTGTGACTGGCATGAGGCCAGCCCCCGAATGGATGCTAAATAACAAACGTGTGAAACTCAGGCTGAGTCTGCGCCCAGCTGGAGGGAGGCATGCCCTGGCAACAAGGACAATGAGCTAGATGACAGTCCACAGGGGCCTGTGAGATGACTCCCACCCCAGGACCCATGCGCTCTGCAGGGTCATCTGGGGCTGACCAGCCACTCTGACAGATGCTGCCCGGGAACTGTCTGTCTCCTCCAATCATATTTCACCACGTCGCTCATTCAGATGTCCCAAGCTGCCATGCACCAAGCACCTTTTATAGACTGGAAACAACCAAAGGAAACCGACCAGGATCTCACATCCTGGTGGTAAAGGAACCCCAAAGGGGAAGGAGGGACTCTGCCTATGACTCAGGACAGGGGGATGGGGCAGTGCCTGCAGGGTAGGGCAGGGGTGTTTACTAACCCAGATCCAGGAGTGGGGCTTGCCAAGGCGAGGAGATGGCATGGACAACTGTGGGAGCTCCAGCACGGGGGACAGCCAGGGCAGAAAGGACAGGGACAACGAGAGGCTACTTGGAGAGGAGGGCCGAGTGTGATGCTCAGAAGCACACCTCCGCGTTGTGTCTGCTGCCCCTGCCGACTCAGCCCCAACACAGGAAGAGCCTGGGGTTTCTCAAACCCAATGGATACTAGAACTCCTTTTATGTGGGGAGCATCTCTTGAGACCGTAGTTTCAGGAACAACTTCTAGTCTAAGCAAAACCATTAGCGAGTCAAACACTTACACCCAAGCCAGCCCTGAGCACCCACACGCCTGCCCACAGGCAGACATAGCCCCACAGCCTTACCCTGAACATTGGTGCCCCATGGAGACGCCTCCTGACCATCACCCCTGGGCACGCCATGGGGCAGCCCCAAGGACCAGGGTTTCCCAGGCACTCACCCCTGCCTTCCTGCAGCCTCCAAGCAGAATCTGACTTTAAGGCATTTTGTTCTTTTATCAAGAGGATTAGAAACTGGAAAATGAACAGGCTGACATGTTCTCCGTCTCCCACTGAGCCTGAGCCAGGCCTCATTCCTGCTGGCAGCACCCAGGGATAGTTGGGAGAACAGGATGGGTCTGAAACATATCAAAGATCACCCAAGTGGCAGGCGGGGCAGAACTGGGGACCTGAACACCATCACTGGGCTTATCCACATCCGCTCTGAGAGAACCATCAGAAAACAACAGGAGGGAGGGTGGGCAACTGTCGACTGCCGCACGGGGCCACGCAGTCTCCCTCTACCTAACTGCTCGCCTCCGCACGGCCAGCACTAAATGAAGGGGCGGGAGCCCAGGCTGCACTGACTCCAGGGATGCTTATTCACAAAGATGGGGGGCTGGGGGACTGGGCCCGGGCTGAGGGTGGAAGCTCCCTGCACAGGGCTGCAGAAGCACACAGGCAGGGCTGGCAAGTTTTTTATTTATTTATTTTTAGAGGCAGGGTCTCACTCCTGGGCTCAAGCGACACTCCTATCTCGGCCTCCAGAGTAGTTGGGACTACAGGCATGCACCACCACACTCAGCTAACTTTTATTTTTTCTTTTTTTTGAGGCAGAGTTTTGCTCTTGTTGCCCAGGCTGGAGTGCAGTAGCACAATCTCGGCTCACTGCAACCTCCACCTCCCAGGTTCAAGCGATTCTCCCGCCTCAGCCTCCCAAGTAGCAGAGATTACAGGCGCACACCACCATGCCCAGCTAATTTTTATATTTTTAGTAGAGATGGGGTTTCTCCATGTTGGCCAGGCTGGTCTCAAACTCCTGACTTCAGGTGATCCACCCGCCTCGGCCACCCAAAGTGCTGGGATGACAGGCATGAGCCACCGCACCTGGCCCCAGCTAACTTTTAAAAATATTTTGTAGAGACAGGGTTTCACGATGTTGCTCAGGCTGGTCTTGAACTCCTAGCCTTAAATGATCCTCCTGCCTTGACCTCCTTAAGTGCTAGAATTACAGGCATGAGCCACCATGCCTAGGCATGAGCCTAGGGCTTGTAATTTTAAAGCTGACTCCACAGCAAAGCAACCACTTTAACACCATCCTGGTGTCACTGATGTCCCCGCATGGCACTACCTGAGACCAGGGCAGCCCCACATCTTCTTCAGGTGAGGAGATCCTTCGAGGATTTAGAAACCTGCACCAGTAACACATACACTTGTACCCCCTGTGAAAGACTCAACCAAATGTGTGCAGAGTAACACTGGTAGAGCCGGTTCTCTCCCCTCCCCCCACTCAGGGAACCACTGTCACCACGGGTCCTGTCCCTTCTGTGAGGGCGCACACCCAACCTCAGTGCTGTTGTCATGGAAATCCTGGGACTTTCCTAAACCCTCCTCAATAAGTCTGGCTTTCAGGCAAGGGCGGGCCCCACTGCTGTCCCCATCCAAGGCAGCAGCTCAAAGATCAGCTACTACAACCTGACACGCCTGTGGCAGATGTGGCCTCACTGCCCGGGTGCCTCACAGACCTGTGCTGGCTCAGCAGAAGGAATCTCCCCACAGCCCAGAGGGTGAGGGAAGGAACTCCCCTCTGGCCCGCTCACAGGACCAGGTTCTAGTGAGCAGCTCACAAGCCCAGGACCTGGCCTCTGCCTTCTTCCAGTGCTGAGGCTGCCGACACCCATGGGACCACTAGCAAGACAACAGTACAGACCCCACTGAGGGACTTCCCAGGGCACAGGTGGGACCCTAGGGGAGCCTGGGAGAGGTCACCTCTGGATGCCCTGCCTCTTCCAGGTACTCACAGCACCATCCCTGAGCCCTGGCACTTGCCTCAAGAAGGCACCCAAGGGACAGCGGAGCCAACAGTTTCCTCCCACAGTCACGGAACAGCACCTGGCATTCCCCGCAGCAGACTGGGCACCAAACCCCACACCCAGCTCTGCTGGCTTCTCTGTGCAACAACTTGTCTTGAATCTAGACAAGAAACCTTAGGGCTGTGCCTACAGAAACCTGACCTGGTGCCTTCCTAGCCCCCTCCCCATCCCAGCCATGCTTAGGGCTGTGCCTACAGAAACCTGACCTGGTGCCTTCCTAGTCCCCACTCCATCCCGGCCACAAGGTGGGCATGGCTTCTGCACGACTGGCCCCAGCTGCCACCTAGCATGCCCGTCCTTGCCCTGGGCAGGGACCTGTGGCTGGCCACTCCCTCCCCTGGCATTTCTGCCCTGCTGCCTCCTCCTCCTATTGCAGCACCACCAGCACTGGCTCCTCTTTTGGGATGCCCCTTAGATGTGGGCACTCCCCAAAGCCTCCACATCGCCGTCCCTCACCTTGCCAGTTCCTCTACCTGGGATGTCCCTTCTCGCCCTCCTGTCTCCTTGGCCGGGGCTCTCTATGACCAAAACTTGACCTTAAGACATCCTTGTGTGCACACACAGCAATGCCCTCCCAGAGCCCTCCATCTGTCCAGTTCAGCTCCTTCTTCCTCCACCATCCTCCGCACTCCCGCCACCACGGGTCCTAGGCTGACCTTGGCGCTCCCCATGGGATTCGGGCCAACAGCATCTGACTCTGAGTTCGTGGATCCCTGCCCTCACCTCGCACCCGCCGAGGCCTCACCTAAGCTCAACTGTGGCTCGGTGCTTCTCATCTGACACCGTCCCCCGCCTTCCCCCGCCTCCTGTTGAGGCCAGGGGTGCAGCCCCCGACCTCTGTACAGTCTCACCTGAGAAATCAACACCACCAGATACCCTGGCGCCAAAAAGCGGAACCTTGCAAACTCTTCCCAGGGTCACCTGGAGATAACCGTCATCTCTAGTACCCCTAGGCTGATGCGGCTAAAACAGTGTTCTGCTTGTTGCCCCCCACCACCGCCACCAAAAGCCCTGACACTTTTTAAAGCTACCATGGGTGAGTTCAAAGCTGGGCGTTTGAGGGGCTTCCCATTTTTCCCCAACAGTGTTCTCAGAGTGGCCGTGTCTGGGAAGCTGCTGGGTCCCGGGGTTTGAATTCCGGGGTTCCAGGCTATGAGCCCTACACCAGGATTCTCTTGTCTCAACATGAAGAATACTCCATTTTAAATTCCAAGTGATAACTCTGTATTCCCACAAGTGGTATATATCGTAAATATGAAAACGACCATTGTTTTTAGTTGGTAGACATCGACAAATAGGAAAATTTGCGAGGTCCGAGAGGGACTGCAGGAAACGCCTCCCTTCCTGGCTTCCCTTGCTCCAGGAGATGCTTGGGAGGCACCCGTTTCAGGCCAGGAAGCTCCGTAAAGGCTCCCGGGACCGGCAGAAGCCCCCGCGCCCCCGCCTGCACCCCGCGCACCTGCTCGTGGCGCGCCAGCAGCGCGGGCCAGGCGCACAAGCGCAGCACCAGCAGGCTCCGCGCCAGCTCCCAGGTTCGCCGGCTGCGGTACGCCTCCTGCGCGTTGCCGAAGTCCACGGCGGGCACCGGCGGCCGCACTGCCGTGGCCGACCCACCTCCTGGCACGGCCGCTGGGCCCGCTGCGGGCTGCTCGCGGGAGGCCGGCGCCGTGGACAGCGGGACGAAGCGGGGAATGCAGGGGCGCAGCGCGGGCAGGGCGCGCCTCAGAGCCATGGCGGGACGGCGGTACCCGCCCGGGCCGCTTAAGTGTGCGCTGTTGGTCCCGCCCCGCCCCGCCCCGCCCCGCCCCGCCCCGCTCGGTCCCAGAGGCCTCACCCTATATTCCTGACAAATGCCAGACAAGGGCTTAGACTTCACAAGCACCCTGGCACTTCAGCTGCATGGTGGGGACCCTCTGCCGGCAGGGCTGAGGCCAAGGCCCACTGGCTTCTCAAAGCCTCTGCTCCTGCTCTCCGTGAAGACAGCAACAGAGTGAGACCCTGTCTCAAAACAAAAATTATGTATTTTCAGATAGCTTGAAGGAGAATATTGAGTGTTCGTAATGCAAAGAAATAATAAATGTTTGAGATGATAGGTATGCTAATTACCCTTATCTGATCACTATACACGTACAGAAACATCACTACGTACCCCACAAATATGTACAATTATTATGTGTCAACTAAAAAATAAAAATAGCCGGGTGTGGTGGCTCACGCCTGTAATCTCAGCACTTTGGGAGGCCGAGGCAGGAGGATCTTTTGAGCCCAGGAGTGCCAGAGCAGTCTGGGCAACATAGTAAGACCTCGTCTCTACAAAAAATAGAAAATTAACCAGGCATAGTGTTGCATGTCTGTAATCCCAGCTACTCAGGAGGCTGAGGTGAGGGGATTGCTTGAGCCCAGGAGGTTGAAGCTGCAGTGAGCTGATTGTGCCACTGAACTCCAGCCTGGGCAATGGAGGGAGACCCTGTCTCAAAAATAAAAGTGAATTTTTTTTTTTTGAGATGGAGTCTTGCTCTGTCTCCCAGGCTGGAGTGCAGTGGCATGATCTCAGCTCACTGCAACCTCTGCCTCCCGGGTTCACGCCATTCTCCCACCTCAGCCTCCAGAGTAGCTGGGACTACAGGCGCCTGCCAAGCCTGGCTAATTTTTTATGTTTTTAGTAGAGACGGGGTTTCACCGTGTTAGCCAGGATGGTCTTGATCTCCTGACCTTGTGATCCGCCCGCCTCCGCCTCCCAGAGTGCTGGGATTACAGGCGTGAGCCACCACGCCCGGTGAATTTTTTTTTTTAAAGAAAGATTCCGGACACAAACGGCCACAAGTTGTATGGTTCGTTTTATATGAAGAGTTCAGAATAGACAAATCGATAGAGACAGAAGTCACACGAAGACAAGCCCATAGTGGAGCCTGGTGAGTATGGCACTGGCAGTGGTGCCTGGAGGTGGAGGACGGGAGGAGTGGGAGGGGCTGCCAAGGCCCACGGAGTTTCTTTGGGGTCCGGAAATACTCTGGGGCTAGAGAGTGGTGATGTTTGCTCAACCTTGTGTATAGACTAAAAAACCATTCAATATCTCAATAAAGCTGTTATATTTTTTTAAAAAAGCAAAGTTCTAGCATTTGCTTCAAGGAAGCCTGTGGCCCTGCACAGAGGCAAAGGTGGGCAGGGGCTGCCAGGGGCAGGGCTGCAGAGAGGGCAGGGGGAGAAGCGAGGGGTGCAGGGATCACAGAGATCACCACTCACGTCCAGACCATAGCAGAGCAGGCCTAGCGCTGGGTGCCCAGGCCCACGGGAGAGCCCACCTGTGAGGGCACCTGTGGGAACAAGGCTGGCCTGAAAGTCACTGGCTCCATGTGACAATCAATGAAACAACCGAGTTTCACAGGAGCTCTGTAAATCCTAGGAAGCAGGTCTTAGGCTCAGCTGGGGACCCTTGGCAGGTGGCTACCCTGAGCCAGCTGATGGCTTTTTTTTTTTTTTTTTTTAAGAGACAGGGTCTCTCTCTGTTGCCCAAGCTGGAGTGCAGCCATGTGATCACAGCTCACTGTGGCCTTGAACTCCTGGTGTCTCATGTGTCCCTGTGAAGGGACCACCAACCAGCTTTGTATGAGCAACAAGGCTGTTTATTTCACCTGGGTGCAGGCAGGCTGAGTCCAAAAAAGGAGTCAGCAAAGGGTGGTGGGATTATCATTAGTTCTTACAGGTTTTGGGATAGGCAGTGGAGTTAAGAGCAATGTTCTGGGGGCAGGGGTGGATCTCACAAAGTACCTTCTCAAGGGTGGGGAGAATTACCAAGAACCTTCTTAAGGGTGGGGGAGATTATGAAGTACATTGATCAGTTAGGGTGGGGCAGAAACAAATCACAATGGTGGAATGTCATCAGTTAAGGCTATTTTCACTTCTTCTGTGGATCTTCAGTTGCTTCAGCCCATCTGGATGTATCCGTGCAGGTCACAAGGGATATGATGGCTTAGCTTGGGCTCAGAGGCCTGACACCTGGGCTCAAGTGATCCCCCTGCCTCAACCTCCCAAGTAGCTGGGACTACAGGCTGGACTGCACCTAGCTAATTTTTAAAAAATATTTTTTTGTGGAGACAGGGTCTGGCTGTGTTACCCAGTGTGGGGAAAAGCAAGAGAGATCAGATTGTTACTGTGTCTGTGTAGAAAGAAGTAGACATAGGAGACTCCATTTTGTTATGTGCTAAGAAAAATTCTTCTGCCTTGAGATTCTGTTAATCTATAACCTTACCCCCAACCCCGTGCTCTCTGAAACGTGTGCTGTGTCAACTCAGAGTTAAATGGATTAAGGGCGGTGCAGGATGTGCTTTGTTAAGCAGATGCTTGAAGGCAGCCTGCTCCTTAAGAGTCATCACCACTCCCTAATCTCAAGTACCCAGGGACACAAAAACTGCGGAAGGCCGCAGGGACCTCTGCCTAGGAAAGCCAGGTATTGTCCAAGGTTTCTCCCCATGTGATAGTCTGAAATATGGCCTCGTGGGAAGGGAAAGACCTGACCGTCCCCCAGCCCGACACCCGTAAAGGGTCTGTGCTGAGGAGAATTAGTAAAAGAGGAAGGAATGCCTCTTGCAGTTGAGACAAGAGGAAGGCATCTGTCTCCTGCCTGTCCCTGGGCAATGGAATGTCTCGGTATAAAACCCGATTGTATGCTCCATCTACTGAGATAGGGAAAAACCGCCTTAGGGCTGGAGGTGGGACCTGCGGGCAGCAATACTGCTTTGTAAAGCATTGAGATGTTTATGTGTATGCATATCTAAAAGCACAGCACTTAATCCTTTACATTGTCTATGATGCAAAGACCTTTGTTCACGTGTTTGTCTGCTGACCCTCTCCCCACAATTGTCTTGTGACCCTGACACATCCCCCTCTTCGAGAAACACCCACAAATGATGAATAAATACTAAGGGAACTCAGAGGCTGGCGGGATCCTCCATATGCTGAACGCTGGTTCCCCGGTTCCCCTTATTTCTTTCTCTATACTTTGTCTCTGTGTCTTTTTCTTTTCCAAATCTCTCGTCCCACCTTACGAGAAACACCCACAGGTGTGTAGGGGCAACCCACCCCTACATCTGGTGCCCAACATGGAGGCTTTTCTCTAGGGTGAAGGTACGCTCGAGCGTGGTCATTGAGGACAAGTCGACGAGAGATCCCGAGTACGTCTACAGTCAGCCTTACGGTAAGCTTGTGCGCTCGGAAGAAGCTAGGGTGATAATGGGGCAAACTAAAAGTAAAATTAAAAGTAAATATGCCTCTTATCTCAGCTTTATTAAAATTCTTTTAAAAAGAGGGGGAGTTAAAGTATCTACAAAAAATCTAATCAAGCTATTTCAAATAATAGAACAATTTTGCCCATGGTTTCCAGAACAAGGAACTTTAGATCTAAAAGATTGGAAAAGAATTGGTAAGGAACTAAAACAAGCAGGTAGGAAGGGTAATATCATTCCACTTACAGTATGGAATGATTGGGCCATTATTAAAGCAGCTTTAGAACCATTTCAAACAGAAGAAGATAGCGTTTCAGTTTCTGATGCCCCTGGAAGCTGTTTAATAGATTGTAATGAAAAGACAAGGAAAAAATCCCAGAAAGAAACGGAAAGTTTACATTGCGAATATGTAGCAGAGCCGGTAATGGCTCAGTCAACGCAAAATGTTGACTATAATCAATTACAGGAGGTGATATATCCTGAAACGTTAAAATTAGAAGGAAAAGGTCCAGAATTAGTGGGGCCATCAGAGTCTAAACCACGAGGGACAAGTCCTCTTCCAGCAGGTCAGGTGCCCGTAACATTACAACCTCAAAAGCAGGTTAAAGAAAATAAGACCCAACCGCCAGTAGCCTATCAATACTGGCCTCCGGCTGAACTTCAGTATCGGCCACCCCCAGAAAGTCAGTATGGATATCCAGGAATGCCCCCAGCACCACAGGGCAGGGCGCCATACCCTCAGCCGCCCACTAGGAGACTTAATCCTACGGCACCACCTAGTAGACAGGGTAGTGAATTACATGAAATTATTGATAAATCAAGAAAGGAAGGAGATACTGAGGCATGGCAATTCCCAGTAACGTTAGAACCGATGCCACCTGGAGAAGGAGCCCAAGAGGGAGAGCCTCCCACAGTTGAGGCCAGATACAAGTCTTTTTCGATAAAAATGCTAAAAGATATGAAAGAGGGAGTAAAACAGTATGGACCCAACTCCCCTTATATGAGGACATTATTAGATTCCATTGCTTATGGACATAGACTCATTCCTTATGATTGGGAGATTCTGGCAAAATCGTCTCTCTCACCCTCTCAATTTTTACAATTTAAGACTTGGTGGATTGATGGGGTACAAGAACAGGTCCGAAGAAATAGGGCTGCCAATCCTCCAGTTAACATAGATGCAGATCAACTATTAGGAATAGGTCAAAATTGGAGTACTATTAGTCAACAAGCATTAATGCAAAATGAGGCCATTGAGCAAGTTAGAGCTATCTGCCTTAGAGCCTGGGAAAAAATCCAAGACCCAGGAAGTGCCTGCCCCTCATTTAATACAGTAAGACAAGGTTCAAAAGAGCCCTATCCTGATTTTGTGGCAAGGCTCCAAGATGTTGCTCAAAAGTCAATTGCCGATGAAAAAGCCCGTAAGGTCATAGTGGAGTTGATGGCATATGAAAACGCCAATCCTGAGTGTCAATCAGCCATTAAGCCATTAAAAGGAAAGGTTCCTGCAGGATCAGATGTAATCTCAGAATATGTAAAAGCCTGTGATGGAATCGGAGGAGCTATGCATAAAGCTATGCTTATGGCTCAAGCAATAACAGGAGTTGTTTTAGGAGGACAAGTTAGAACATTTGGAGGAAAATGTTATAATTGTGGTCAAATTGGTCACTTAAAAAAGAATTGCCCAGTCTTAAACAAACAGAATATAACTATTCAAGCAACTACAACAGGTAGAGAGCCACCTGACTTATGTCCAAGATGTAAAAAAGGAAAACATTGGGCTAGTCAATGTCGTTCTAAATTTGATAAAAATGGGCAACCATTGTCGGGAAACGAGCAAAGGGGCCAGCCTCAGGCCCCACAACAAACTGGGGCATTCCCAATTCAGCCATTTGTTCCTCAGGGTTTTCAGGGACAACAACCCCCACTGTCCCAAGTGTTTCAGGGAATAAGCCAGTTACCACAATACAACAATTGTCCCCTGCCACAAGCAGCAGTGCAGCAGTAGATTTATGTACTATACAAGCAGTCTCTCTGCTTCCAGGGGAGCCCCCACAAAAAATCCCCACAGGGGTATATGGCCCCCTGCCTGAGGGGACTGTAGGACTAATCTTAGGAAGATCAAGTCTAAATCTAAAAGGAGTTCAAATTCATACTAGTGTGGTTGATTCAGACTATAAAGGCGAAATTCAGTTGGTTATTAGCTCTTCAATTCCTTGGAGTGCCAGTCCAGGAGACAGGAGTGCTCAATTATTACTCCTGCCATATATTAAGGGTGGAAATAGTGAACTAAAAAAAATAGGAGGGCTTGGAAGCACTGATCCAACAGGAAAGGCTGCATATTGGGCAAGTCAGGTCTCAGAGAACAGACCTGTGTGTAAGGCCATTATTCAAGGAAAACAGTTTGAAGGGTTGGTAGACACTGGAGCAGATGTCTCTATCATTGCTTTAAATCAGTGGCCAAAAAATTGGCCTAAACAAAAGGCTGTTACAGGACTTGTCGGCATAGGCACAGCCTCAGAAGTGTATCAAAGTACGGAGATTTTACATTGCTTAGGGCCAGATAATCAAGAAAGTACTGTTCAGCCAATGATTACTTCAATTCCTCTTAATCTGTGGGGTTGAGATTTATTACAACAATGGGGTGCGGAAATCACCATGCCCGCTCCATTATATAGCCCCACGAGTCAAAAAATCATGACCAAGATGGGATATATACCAGGAAAGGGACTAGGGAAAAATGAAGATGGCATTAAAATTCCATTTGAGGCTAAAATAAATCAAAAAAGAGAAGGAATAGGGTATCCTTTTTAGGGGCGGCCACTATAGAGCCTCCTAAACCCATACCATTAACTTGGAAAACAGAAAAACCGGTGTGGGTAAATCAGTGGCCGCTACCAAAACAAAAACTGGAGGCTTTACATTTATTAGTAAATGAACAGTTAGAAAAGGGTCATATTGAGCCTTCGTTCTCACCTTGGAATTCTCCTGTGTTTGTAATTCAGAAGAAATCAGGCAAATGGCGTATGTTAACTGACTTAAGGGCCGTAAACGCCTTAATTCAACCCATGGGGCCTCTCCAACCCGGGTTGCCCTCTCCGGCCATAATCCCAAAAGATTAGCCTTTAATTATAATTGATCTAAAGGATTGCTTTTTTACCATCCCTCTGGCAGAGCAGGATTGTGAAAAATTTGCCTTTACTATACCAGCCATAAATAATAAAGAACCAGCCACCAGGTTTCAGTGGAAAGTGTTACCTCAGGGAATGCTTAATAGTCCAACTATTTGTCAGACTTTTGTAGGTCGAGCTCTTCAACCAGTTAGAGAAAAGTTTTCAGACTGTTATATTATTCATTATATTGATGATATTTTATGTGCTGCAGAAACGAAAGATAAATTAATTGACTGTTATACATTTCTGCAAGCAGAGGTTGCCAATGCTGGACTGGCAATAGCATCTGATAAGATCCAAACCTCTACTCCTTTTCATTATTTAGGGATGCAGATAGAAAATAGAAAAATTAAGCCACAAAAATAGAAATAAGAAAAGATACATTAAAAACACTAAATGATTTTCAAAAATTACTAGGAGATATTAATTGGATTCGGCCAACTCTAGGCATTCCTACTTATGCCATGTCAAATTTGTTCTCTATCTTAAGAGGAGACTCAGACTTAAATAGTAAAAGAATATTAACCCCAGAGGCAACAAAAGAAATTAAATTAGTGGAAGAAAAAATTCAGTCAGCGCAAATAAATAGAATAGATCCCTTAGCCCCACTCCAGCTTTTGATTTTTGCCACTGCACATTCTCCAACAGGCATCATTATTCAAAATACTGATCTTGTGGAGTGGTCATTCCTTCCTCACAGTACAGTTAAGACTTTTACATTGTACTTGGATCAAATGGCTACATTAATCGGTCAGACAAGATTACGAATAATAAAATTATGTGGAAATGACCAAGACAAAATAGTTGTCCCTTTAACCAAGGAACAAGTTAGACAAGCCTTTATCAATTCTGGTGCATGGCAGATTGGTCTTGCTAATTTTGTGGGAATTATTGATAATCATTACCCAAAAACAAAGATCTTCCAGTTCTTAAAATTGACTACTTGGATTCTACCTAAAATAACCAGACGTGAACCTTTAGAAAATGCTCTAACAGTATTTACTGATGGTTCCAGCAATGGAAAAGCAGCTTACACAGGGCCGAAAGAACGAGTAATCAAAACTCCATATCAATCGGCTCAAAGAGCAGAGTTGGTTGCAGTCATTACAGTGTTACAAGATTTTGACCAACCTATCAATATTATATCAGATTCTGCCTATGTAGTACAGGCTACAAGGGATGTTGAGACGGCTCTAATTAAATATAGCATGGATGATCAGTTAAACCAGCTATTCAATTTATTACAACAAACTGTAAGAAAAAGAAATTTCCCATTTTATATTACTCATATTCGAGCACACACTAATTTACCAGGGCCTTTGACTAAAGCAAATGAACAAGCTGACTTACTGGTATCATCTGCACTCATAAAAGCACAAGAACTTCATGCTTTGACTCATGTAAATGCAGCAGGATTAAAAAACAAATTTGATGTCACATGGAAACAGGCAAAAGATATTGTACAACATTGCACCCAGTGTCAAGTCTTACACCTGCCCACTCAAGAGGCAGGAGTTAATCCCAGAGGTCTGTGTCCTAATGCATTATGGCAAATGGATGTCACGCATGTACCTTCATTTGGAAGATTATCATATGTTCATGTAACAGTTGATACTTATTCACATTTCATATGGGCAACTTGCCAAACAGGAGAAAGTACTTCCCATGTTAAAAAACATTTATTGTCTTGTTTTGCTGTAATGGGAGTTCCAGAAAAAATCAAAACTGACAATGGACCAGGATATTGTAGTAAAGCTTTCCAAAAATTCTTAAGTCAGTGGAAAATTTCACATACAACAGGAATTCCTTATAATTCCCAAGGACAGGCCATAGTTGAAAGAACTAATAGAACACTCAAAACTCAATTAGTTAAACAAAAAGAAGGGGGAGACAGTAAGGAGTGTACCACTCCTCAGATGCAACTTAATCTAGCACTCTATACTTTAAATTTTTTAAACATTTATAGAAATCAGACTACTACTTCTGCAGAACAACATCTTACTGGTAAAAAGAACAGCCCACATGAAGGAAAACTAATTTGGTGGAAAGATAATAAAAATAAGACATGGGAAATAGGGAAGGTGATAACGTGGGGGAGAGGTTTTGCTTGTGTTTCACCAGGAGAAAATCAGCTTCCTGTTTGGATACCCACTAGACATTTGAAGTTCTACAATGAACCCATCGGAGATGCAAAGAAAAGGGCCTCCGCGGAGATGGTAACACCAGTCACATGGATGGATAATCCTATAGAAGTATATGTTAATGATAGCGAATGGGTACCTGGCCCCACAGATGATCGCTGCCCTGCCAAACCTGAGGAAGAAGGGATGATGATAAATATTTCCATTGGGTATCGTTATCCTCCTATTTGCTTAGGGACAGCACCAGGATGTTTAATGCCTGCAGTCCAAAATTGGTTGGTAGAAGTACCTATTGTCAGTCCCATCAGTAGATTCACTTATCACATGGTAAGCGGGATGTCACTCAGGCCACGGGTAAATTATTTACAAGACTTTCCTTATCAAAGATCATTAAAATTTAGACCTAAAGGGAAACCTTGCCCCAAGGAAATTCCCAAAGAATCAAAAAATACAGAAGTTTTAGTTTGGGAAGAATGTGTGGCCAATAGTGCGGTGATATTACAAAACAATGAATTCGGAACTATTATAGATTGGGCACCTCGAGGTCAATTCTACCACAATTGCTCAGGACAAACTCAGTCATGTCCAAGTGCACAAGTGAGTCCAGCTGTTGATAGCGACTTAACAGAAAGTTTAGACAAACATAAGCATAAAAAATTGCAGTCTTTCTACCCTTGGGAATGGGGAGAAAAAGGAATCTCTACCCCAAGACCAAAAATAATAAGTCCTGTTTCTGGTCCTGAACATCCAGAATTATGGAGGCTTACTGTGGCCTCACACCACATTAGAATTTGGTCTGGAAATCAAACTTTAGAAACAAGAGATCGTAAGCCATTTTATACTGTCGACCTAAATTCCAGTCTAACACTTCCTTTACAAAGTTGCGTAAAGCCCCCTTATATGCTAGTTGTAGGAAATATAGTTATTAAACCAGACTCCCAGACTATAACCTGTGAAAACTGTAGATTGCTTACTTGCATTGATTCAACTTTTAATTGGCAACACCGTATTCTGCTGGTGAGAGCAAGAGAGGGCGTGTGGATCCTTGTGTCCATGGACCGACCGTGGGAGGCCTCACCATCCGTCCATATTTTGACTGAAGTATTAAAAGGTGTTTTAAATAGATCCAAAAGATTCATTTTTACTTTAATTGCAGTGATTATGGGATTAATTGCAGTCACAGCTACGGGTGCTGTAGCAGGAGTTGCATTGCACTCTTCTGTTCAGTCAGTAAACTTTGTTAATGATTGGCAAAAAAATTCTACAAGATTGTGGAATTCACAATCTAGTATTGATCAAAAATTGGCAAATCAAATTAATGATCTTAGACAAACTGTCATTTGGATGGGAGACAGACTCATGAGCTTAGAACATCGTTTCCAGTTACAATGTGACTGGAATACGTCAGATTTTTGTATTACACCCCAAATTTATAATGAGTCTGAGCATCACTGGGACATGGTTAGACGCCATCTACAGGGAAGAGAAGATAATCTCACTTTAGACATTTCCAAATTAAAAGAACAAATTTTCGAAGCATCAAAAGCCCATTTAAATTTGGTGCCAGGAACTGAGGCAATTGCAGGAGTTGCTGATGGCCTCGCAAATCTTAACCCTGTCACTTGGGTTAAGACCATTGGAAGTACTACGATTATAAATCTCATATTAATCCTTGTGTGCCTGTTTTGTCTGTTGTTAGTCTGCAGGTGTACCCAACAGCTCCGAAGAGACAGCGACCATCGAGAACGGGCCATGATGACGATGGCGGTTTTGTCGAAAAGAAAAGGGGGAAATGTGGGGAAAAGCAAGAGAGATCAGATTGTTACTGTGTCTGTGTAGAAAGAAGTAGACATAGGAGACTCCATTTTGTTATGTGCTAAGAAAAATTCTTCTGCCTTGAGATTCTGTTAATCTATAACCTTACCCCCAACCCCGTGCTCTCTGAAACGTGTGCTGTGTCAACTCAGAGTTAAATGGATTAAGGGCGGTGCAGGATGTGCTTTGTTAAACAGATGCTTGAAGGCAGCATGCTCCTTAAGAGTCATCACCACTCCCTAATCTCAAGTACCCAGGGACACAAAAACTGCGGAAGGCCGCAGGGACCTCTGCCTAGGAAAGCCAGGTATTGTCCAAGGTTTCTCCCCATGTGATAGTCTGAAATATGGCCTCGTGGGAAGGGAAAGACCTGACCGTCCCCCAGCCCGACACCAAGGGTCTGTGCTGAGGAGGATTAGTAAAAGAGGAAGGAATGCCTCTTGCAGTTGAGACAAGAGGAAGGCATCTGTCTCCTGCCTGTCCCTGGGCAATGGAATGTCTCGGTATAAAACCCGATTGTATGCTCCATCTACTGAGATAGGGAAAAACCGCCTTAGGGCTGGAGGTGGGACCTGCGGGCAGCAATACTGCTTTGTAAAGCATTGAGATGTTTATGTGTATGCATATCTAAAAGCACAGCACTTAATCCTTTACATTGTCTATGATGCAAAGACCTTTGTTCACGTGTTTGTCTGCTGACCCTCTCCCCACAATTGTCTTGTGACCCTGACACATCCCCCTCTTCGAGAAACACCCACAAGTGATGAATAAATACTAAGGGAACTCAGAGGCTGGCGGGATCCTCCATATGCTGAACGCTGGTTCCCCGGTTCCCCTTATTTCTTTCTCTATACTTTGTCTCTGTGTCTTTTTCTTTTCCAAATCTCTCGTCCCACCTTACGAGAAACACCCACAGGTGTGTAGGGGCAACCCACCCCTACAACCCAGGTTGATCTGAAACTCCTGGGCTCAAGCAATCCTCCTACCTTGGCCTCTCAGAGTGCTGGGATTCAGGCATGAGCCACTGCGCCCAGTCATGGATTATTTTGAAAGAATGATGCCCTGCCAGGGCCAGAGGATCCAGGTGGGAGTTGGCGGTGGGGGGGTCCTCAGGGAGATCGGCTGGATGGGAGTTGAGTGCCGGGGACAGAGGGGTGGGGTCTGTTCTCCAGCTCAGGAGACAGGCAGAGCTGAGAGGGCCAGACTTGGGCATGTGGTGGTGACCCAGCTGCTGGGCGCCCCCGAGGTTGGGCCGGTCACCAGGGCCTGCCACTCCCAAGGAGGAAGCAGACAAGAAACAGACCTTCGAGGGTAGAGAGGCCGCTGTGCTGCCTGTCCGGGCCCCTGCGGACATGCAGTCAGCCCCGCTCAGGACTCCTTCCATTCTCCCACTTGCACTCATTCCCAGCGAGATAATTGTTTCTCCTCAGCCATGAGCATGACATTGGAGCTCTGGCAAAGTCAGGTTTTTTTGTTGTCTTTTTTGCCATGTGCCTCTTACCTGTACTCCTGAAATATTTGTTTCTGTGCTGGAACCATGGCTCCCTGCATTCATTCTGATTTGTTGCATTTTTGCTGCTTGCCCTGTAGCTACTTTTACCAATACATTTGCTCTGTCTGCAGGCAAAGGAATTCATTCACATTTGTTTAATTTGGAGCTTGTCTTTCCTTTATCAGCCTGCACCAAACCTGGGCTGCTGGGTATATAAATTTCCCTCATCGGTACGTTATCCCATTATCCACTTCATGCTGCCGTTCACAGATCCTACTTGAGTTCTGTTCAGCTATGTCATTTTATTCATTTTTTGCAAAGCTAGTAAAATGTGATTGCATTTCCTGAAGTTAAGATTGTCTGCTGGATCCCAGAACACGCCACTGTTTATGTGAATGCAATCACACTTCACCACTTTATATAATCATTTTCAATGCGTGTATGAGAAAAGGTAGTTAGATCCCCCCACCCCTGCTAGATTGTTTCCTGCTGAGACCAGCTTAGTCGGGGAGACCCTAACACGGTGGCGCTAGAATAATTAAAGACACACACACACAGAAATACAGAGGTGTGGAGTGGGAAATCAGGGGTCTCACAGCCTTCAGAGCTGAGAGCCTCAAACAGAGATTTACCCACATATTTATTGACAGCAAGCCAGTGATAAACATTGTTTCTTTCTTTTTTTTTTTTGAGACAGAGTCTCGCTCTATTGCCCAGGCTGGTGTGCAGTGGGACAATCTCCACTTACTGCAAGCTCTGCCTCCCGGGTTCACCTGCCTCAGCCTCCCAAGTGGCTGGGACTACAGGCGCCCGCCACCACACCCGGCTAATTTTTTGTATTTTTAGTAGAGACGGGGTTTCACCATGTTAGCCAGGATGGTCTAGATCTCCTGACCTTGTGATCCGCCCGCCTCGGCCTCCCAAAGTGCTGGGATTACAGGCGTGAGCCACTGCACCTGGCGTGTTTTTATCCATTTTAATGGGTTACTAGCTGCTAATCTGTCTGCAGCTCCTTCAAGCACTCCAGTTCCTGGCATTAAGGTCAGATGTTCCTGGGATGCTTTAAATATTTGTTCTTTTAATTTTGCACATCCAAAGACAAATTTGTAGAGGGCCCTTCTAGATGCTTTTTTATTCTTTCCCAAATTTTGATCTTATTAAGAACTGTTAATAGTTTCCACAAATCCTTATGTGAAGCTCCTAGAGCGGGCCATATCATTTGAGATTGAGGTGCCACTATACTGCCATGGTTCCAGATAATGGGAACTTTTGCCATACTTCTTATCATTTCTACCACCTGACCATTTGTTCAGACCAGCTGAACATAGGGTGGCCGTGGCATGCAGACTGAGAGGTGCAATTCAAGCTAAACATCCCCTTAGGGGACCAATCAATAATGATTCCATAGGAATCGCTGCGCAGCACCTCTGCCTGTTCTGCAATGCAATCTTCCTAAACAAGTACGTTCATTATTTCTGGCCAGGTTCTATTTTGTTTACAAATAGGTTTTTGAAGGCAGTATGCCTCAATTATAGGAGCAGATTTATTATGGTAAATACTGAGATCAGAAAGCATGTGTAAATACGTCATAGAGTGATTACTTTCAGGCATTATTACCAGTCAAGATTGATAAATATGCCCTGTAAGTATAATTGTTCTCTGTGTCAGACCTTGTTGAAGGAATACTCACGGCAGTGGTGATAACCGATATCATAGCTACCAGTAAATTACTCATTGTGACTGGTTGTCCCTCTTTCCTCAGGTTTTCTTCTGCCATCTGTGACAGCTTCTTGATCTGTCCCCAGGTGGGTGGCTGTGTTCAATGGGTGTTGCTTGTGACAGTTGGCTGGTGTGAGATGTGTTTCAGCCCCAGGTCTCAGCCAGTGGTCGCCCAGTGGCACAGTCAGAGCCGGGCCTGCCTGGTTCCCTGGGCTGGCACTCTGAGTCCAAGGTGGCACGGTTGGGCAGCGACCCCTCCCTGAGCCCCCAACCTCTGACCTCCTAGGCACTGGCCTGAGCCGTGGCTTCTGAAAAGGAAAACCTGGGAATTCCTTCAATGTCCACCTTAGGTGATGATGGGCTCAGGGCACCATGGGGTGTGCCCAAGATGATGAGCCCCTCCCTGCATGTCAGTAACAGGGACACACATCTCTGATGCGCGGGGAGGGAAGAGTCTGAGTGTGTGAAGCTGTCTGTCCATGCAGGCCACATGTGGATGGGGGGCAAGGACATGGAATGGAGGAAGACAGGACTCAATGTTTTTGCATCGACCGCTCTTGTATAAGAGCGGTCTTTACAAAGTAATAATGCCTTGAGTTAACCCCACAGTTTATCTTGTAATGTGGAACAGTCAGGGCCAATTGAAGATGAGCATCCCCCTGAGGCTGACTCATAGCCGGGCCGCTGGAGCCAGGCCCTTCGGGGTATTTGAGATTTCTTTAGCCAGGCCTGGGGGGCACTGGCAGGGAGTGCCTCCAGAGCTGTTCACGGCCTTTGTCTCCCCTCTGGGAAGGGCACTGAGTGGAGTCAGGTGAGGGGCCCGTGCTCGCCCACCAGGGTTGTTCCAAACACAGGCAGCAGGGCTCCCTGGCAAGCTCCCGGGTGCCCTGTGAGCAGCTCTGACGTCGGTGGACAGTGTTCCCAGTGAGTCTGCCGTCAGTCCTTGTGCCCAGCATTGATTTTCCTTCCGCGGTCAAGCTAGGCTGTGTTGTTGGTACTCGCTGTACCTCCAGGTGCTGAGCAAGCTGACCTTGGCCTCCCTGGCCCCACGGCTGCATGAGGCTAATCTCCCCCTACACACCCCACCCCTCTGCCCCCGCCAACACCAGGGCACAGAGGGGCTGGCCCATGGCTTTCTTGAAACGGTGCATTTCACTTCTGATTATAAAACTAAGGCGTGCTTTGGTAGACAGCGTGGTGGATATGGGGAAGGATAAAAGGACATCAACCTGTTCTGACATCCCAGCACCCAGGGCAGGGACCCAGAGGGGAGATTTGGGTGTATTTCTCTCCGTTGTCTTCTCTGCAGGCATGACACAGGTGTGCACACACTCATCCAGCCCACTGACGTGTGCACAAGCATGAACACATGTGGGACACTTGCCCTGCGCTGCAGTGTGTGTGAGTCATGTGCACGTCCACTGCCCTCTGTGGAAGGCGTGTTCACACCTGTGCACATACCTGAGGCCGCTCTATCACTGCAGGCCCCTGTGCATTTCCTGGGAGGTATGTTCCCATTTCATTAAGAATTCTCGGCCGGGCGCTGTGGTTCACACCTGTAATCCCAGCACTTTGGGAGGCCGAGGCGGGTGGATCACGAGGTCAGGAGATCAAGACCATCCTGGCCAACATGGTGAAACCCCGTCTCTACTAAACATACAAAAATTAGCCGGGCGTGGTGGTGGGTGCCTGTAGTCCCAGCTACTTGGGAGGCTGAGGCAGGAGAATGGCGTGAACCCGGGAGGCGGAGCTTGCAGTGAGCCGAGATCCCGCCACTGCACTCCAGCCTGGGCGACAGAGCGAGACTCCGTCTCAAAAAAAAAAAAAAAAAGAAAAAGAAAAAGAAAAAGAAAAAGAATTCTCAGTGATGGATCTACTCCAGGCCCTGCCTCACCATCACTAGCCACAGAGCTACTCACAGCCAGTGCTCTCCTCACAGGGGTCTGAATGGCAAGGAGTGAGCCGCAGGATGACCCAGGACAAGTGGCAGCAACAGGGTGAGTTCCCAGGATGCTGGACAGGCTGTGTGCAGCTCCCGGTTCTCAGCGGGTACAGAGATCCCAGGGAAAGCCGTGAGATGACTCCTGCACTTGTCCTGCCAGCAACCTGCAGGGGTGGGTGGGATCAAGAGTGACAGAAACCGCAGGCACCAGGCATCCCCCCAAAAGAGCAAGGGGGCTCTGGGTGATGTCCTGGAGGGGCAGGAGCAAGGAGGGAGGCCAGGGGCACCGAGGGCATCTCATCACATGGGCTCTGTCCCAGCCACAGTGCTGTCTCTCCCAGAGCCCTGTGTAGCCTCCTGCCCATAGGTGAAGACCCAGCCTCAGCTCCCTGCACGCAGCAGGCCCACCCATCCATCCATCTGTTCACACCAGGAAGCCCAGAGGCAGGTGGATGGCCTCTGTCCTGGCAGTGCAACATTGCTGGAAGCATCCTCCAAGAGTCACCCATCCCCACAGACACTGATGGAGGACAGCAATGATGCTTCCTGACAGCAACCACCATTCACTGAGCATTCAGCAGGGGTGGGTGTCAGGGTCAGCCTCCACCACGTCACTGTGGGAACAGCCCCCAGGACCCGCTAACTCATTTTATACATCAGGAGGAAAGCCAGGGAGCACGGTACACTCTCCAGCTACCGTGGGGCCAGCACACTGTCCAGCCACCTTGGGCCAGTGAAACGGAAAAAGTTCCCTTGTTGCCCTAGCAGTGTGTGTGAGAAGGGGAGTGGCTCGCTTCTTCAGTGCTCCACTGCCCAAACCTCTAGGGGAGCTTACAGACGGGCAGGCTGTGGAGCTCCGACCCCACAGCAGTGTCTAGGGGTGAAGGTTTACAGCTGAAGCCCCAGTGGGCGTGTGTCACGGGGGCTTTTTTAGTTTGTCGTCTGTAGGGTGGCTTGTGTTAGTCAGAGGGCTTTCTGGATCCTGGGGTTCTTGCCTTTGTGTACCAGAAGAGTCAGATCACACGTGGACTTGGAGAATGAGTGCAAGGTTTTATTGAGGGGAGGTGGCTCCCAGCAGATAGGGGAAGCTAGAAGGGGGTGGAGTGGGAAGGTTTTCCCCTGGAGTGGGGCCGCTGTGCACCCGGGCTGTCCTCCAACTGCCCCAGCCAAACTCCGCGTGGTTCTGCCAGTCAGTGGCCTGCCAGCATGCCGGTGCCTATCAGTGCGTTCATCTCGACATCCAGCCGCCCGTGTGTGTCTCCGCTGATGTGCTCCTCTCCACGTCCAGCTGCCTGTGTCTGCCTGCTAAGGTCTCAGGGGATTTTATAAGCACAGGATGGGGGCGTGGCAGGCCAGGGTGGTCGTGAGAAATGCAACATTTGGGTAGGAAGTGCCTGTTCTCACCTAGGTCCGTGGGGTTGGAGCCCTAGTCTGGGACCATGCCCTCCTCTACCCAGCACTTCCTTTCCCTGCTTCCGTATCATTTAAATGGACCACACTTTTCCCTTCCCAGCACTTGCCTTCCCTATCAACAGCACATTCTCTAGCCACCATGGGGTCAGCACACTCTCCAGCTACGTCGGGCCAGCAGCGGCTGGGCTCCAACTCAGGTCTGCACCAGACCCTCATTCTTAAACCCCTGCGTCTCGGCCTGCCCATGTTCCAGCTTCCCCAAGTCTTGACTCCCAATGTCCCAGCCTCCTTGAGGTCTCAGTCTCCCTGTTCCAGGCCTCAGCCTCCCCTGAGTCCCTGCCTAGCCCAGTTCCTACCTCCCACTTCCCCTCCCCAGGTCTCTGCTACCATGGCCCACCCAGCTGCACCCCCACCCCACACTTCTCCTGGGACCCAGGAGGCCACTCATGGGCTAAGCCTGGTGGCATCTTCATGTAAACCTTGCCCTGAGCACACGCCCGTGGCTGTGGCTGCTGACTTTCACTGTGCATATTAAATGCCATTAAGATGGTTGCGATTGGTTTTCAGTGTCCAGAGGACTGCAGCACACGGAGAAACAGCCGCCCTGCAGGGCCTCTCCCCGAGCTCTGGCGGGTGAGCCCTTGTGGGAGGGGCTGGGGAGCTGGGACCCATTTAGGGTGTGGTTGGGGGAGAAGGCAGGAGGCAGGTGGGACCTCCCCCGGAACCTCTCCTGAGACACCCTAAGGGCTGGGAATGGGAGCTACTTGGTGGGGGAACCCAGCAGGGGTTTCCTGTCCCCGGGCTCTGGCCATGACGAGGACCCTCCTGCTGTTGCCTCTCCCAAGGCCACTCGGCCCCTGCTCACTGTGCAACCTTACAGAGCAGCTCAGCCTCTCTGAGCCCCTCTGTCATCTTTAGCCACTGCCCACCAGAGTCCCCTTGGAGCTGCTGGCCAAGGCAAGGCTGGGCAGGGGCTTGACATAGGCTCTCACGCCTTCAGATGCCCTCAAATGGGATTCAACCCCGTCTTGGCTCCTGAGACCTCCCAGCCTGGGGTCTGAGGGTCTGTCCAGATCTGCAGGTAGATGGCTGGGCCTGCAGGGACAGAGGCGGCCGGCGGAGGGCAGCAGAGGGCCGCAGAACTGAGCGGCCGGCACTCACCAGGCCGGGATGTGGCCACCCTGCATGCAAGCAGCCCTGCCTCTGCCCTGGGTCTTGTCCCACCCCCCAGGACACCCAGGCCCTGGCTTGGCTGCGGCAGGGAGGCCAGGCCTCACCCCTCTCCCTCCTGACACCTGCCCAGCCACTGGCTTGGGCCGCCGCCCTCCAGGCCTCTCCTGCCACCCACCCCAGCACCAGGCCCCCTGATGCCCCTGCTTCCCTCCCAAGGGTCCCTCCTAGACACCATCCTGGCCCAGCCAAGATGCCAGCACAGGATCTCCCCAAAACACTCTGGGCCCTGGAGGACAGGGTGAGGCTCCGGCACCTTCCAGGTGGCACTCATGATGGACAATCTCAGGGGCCACACACCCTGGACCCACCTCCCCCAGTGCAGAGACCCCCACGGCAGGCTCTCAGCCGTGAATATGGACACACAAGGCTCCCGGGACATGGGCAAAGGGTTGACACTGGCTCATAGTGTGGGCACCATGTCACAGGGCGAGACGGAGACTCAGCCCCCAGGGTAGCGGCCAGTGCTGACCTTGGGCTAGGCCAGGGCCTGGCCATGCTGAACCAGGTCTGAGCATCCTCAGGGGCCAGCCTCTCCCTGTGGGGTCCCCACAAAGGTGGCCATGGGCTGTCCTCTGATGACAGGAAGCCCCCCTTCCCGTCAGCCCCGTCTGTCAGCTCCCTCTGCCCTGGGGTGAGGCCTCTATGGTGAGGCCCATGGTCCTGGCTCCAACCTCGCACTCCTCGGGACCCACTCCCATGCCCGGCTCCCTGCCAGACCCACACACCCAACCCAGCTAACACCAGCCCCACCCTGTCCTGCCCCACGGGGGCAGTGCCCTCCACTCTCCTTCACTGGTCCCCTCTCCGTCCTCCTCTCACCCACTCTTAAGAAACCTCCCACACATGAGCACCCGTCCGTCCCCACACCTGCTCACCAGGCCTGGCTGGGCCTGACCCTCTCCTGAAGTGAGGGCTGCAGCCTGGTCGGCTCAGCTCATCAGCACAGACTTGTTTCTGTCACAACAGCTGATGAGGACTGAGCAGATCATGGGCTAGCCAGGTCTCCATGGCCTGCCCCAGGCACCGTGATGTTCCAGGATGGTAAAATGAGGGAGGAGGTCCAGGTGGCTGACAGCTGGCTGAGGCAGAATGCGCTGATTGGCGCTGCCCAGAGGGGAGGTGGACCCCTGGGCTAAGGGAGCTCCAAGGAACAGAGCTGAACCCACCACTAACAAAAGATGGGCCAGAGCCAGCACCGTATGCCACAGCACGCAGAACAAAGGCCTCGTGCCCTGTGCCCAGCTGGCCGTGTGTCCCCTCCAGGCCCGTCACTGGGCTTCCTGACCGCCTCATCTCCACTGTCTCTGGTAGCCACCCTCATTGTACCCTTCTCCATGGTGCCCTCTGAATGAGGCCACCATGTCCGAGGGGACATGGATGACTCCAGCTGGCATGGCCTTGCCCATCCCTTGGGGCTGCAGCACAGTGGCCACCCTCTCCTCACTGCTGGGAATGTTCTGGAGCTGAGTTGGTGCAGGGAGGGTGAAGAGGCCCCGAGCCCTCCACACACCCACCTCTGGCAGCAGTTAGCAGCAGCTGGGGAGAGAAGGGTGTGAGCTCTTGCAGACATGGCACCCCAGGGTATCCTGTGCCAGGGGACACTTTGGCCATGAAGGAACTGTCGGGGCATGGCAAGCTCTGGGGGGCATCGAGGGTGCACTGACAGCACTTGTAGGGGAGCGGGGTCCCAGTCTCAGCACTGTCCAGTCAGACAGGCCTGGCCTGAGTTCCAACTGCCTCTCCCAGCTGTTTGACCCCAAACATCATGGTTTTCTGGCCTCTGGAACGGTGCTGGAGAGGGATGAAAGCATCACCGGGGGTGCAGGAGGAACCACAAAGTCCTGTGGAAGTTCATGGCAGCTGTGAGCCTTTCATTCTGAGTATCTGAGACCCCAGGAGGGGCTGGGCGCTCGTCTGGGCTGATGTCTCACAGTGAGGGGCGGCGGCCCCAGCCAGGATGCACCATTCATTGCCATTGATGAGGTCTGGGAAGAGAGGTGGTTTGGGGGACATCATACGGGGTCCCTGGGCCGGAGGGTCCCATCTTTGGAACAGAGGGGCCGGGGGCCATTCCAGAACAGTGTCCAGGAGAGAATGGGCTCTAAGCCGACCACCCAGCCCCCTCCTGCCATGTGGGGCTCTGTGCTGAGTGCATGGCCCCCCAGCCCCCCGCCTGTTTGATGGCTTCTCCCCTCCCCTCTCTGCTGCCTGGTCCCCTGGAGCTCTCCCTTCCCCAGCATGGGGCTCAGTTAAAGAAAAAACTGATTCCTGCAGATGAGGGGAGGAACAGCCCTGCTGGAGGCAAGGTGGGCGTGGGGGGAGCTTGTCTCCCCTGATGCGCAGGCAGTGGCTGGCGGAGCGTCTTCGGGGGTGGGGGATGAAAGCTCAGACTCTGGCCTGTGGGTTCCAGCTCTAGGCTTCCCAACCACCAGGCTCCCCAAAAGGTCTGTAGTGTCCTGGGCACCCAGGCCCCGATCTCGGGGGCAGGGGGCACAGTGCCTCCCACAAGCGGCTCTCGGCCCAGCCTCAGGGCTCCTCACGCACACCCAGGGCCTCTGGAGTGGGCAACTCCTGCACCCTCCACTTCCCTCAGCTCAAAACCAGGGCAGGTTCGAAACGCGCGTGCAGCTCATCATAAACACGGGTTTGGAATTTCTAACGCGGTGCCTCCAATTTCACAAAATATTGCCCCACTTTAGACATTCTCAAGGAAAGGAAATGGGGGCTGGGAGGGCCCAGGGCCTGTGGAGGGTGGGGCTGGGGGAAGCAGCCATGGGACCCTTTCCCTGCTGCTTTCAATCTGGCTCAGATATTTTTTAGATGAAATAAAATCTGATTCAGTGGTGGTTTCTGCACTGCCCCCAGGGTCTGGGGTCAGAATTCCCCCGCTGGGGCACAATAGGTGCCATTTCCCATGTTTGGGGGCTCAGGGAACAGGGTGTAAGCCATGAGGGGAGGGGCTTGGGAAGGTGGGGATGGGCTGCTGGAGGCCGTGGGCCGGCGTCTTGGTGTGGCAGCCTCCACCACGGCAGGCAGGTCATTTGATGCCCAAGGCCCAGGGCCCCCTGTCCAAGGTGAGGAGCTGTGGCTGGGTCTCTGGGGAGGCCAGGCTGCCTGCAGTGGACCGGCTATACCCTGGAGCCCCGCGCTAATGCCCATCCTCAGATGCTCCCAGCTCCGGCTTGCCTCAGGGCCTTGGCACTGGTGACCCCTCCCGGTCTCCTGCACTGTCTTCAGAGCCTATGGCAGCAGCCCCACCTGAGTTCCAGCTCTGCAGTCTGCTTTGGGCCACATTTCCTCACTGCAGGCCCAGCTGGCTCTCAGCATGGTATCTGCCCGGGTGCCCACATCACAGAGACTGGGGTATGGAGGATGGCAGGCTCCCAGGGACCCTCTGGGCCGATCTCCAGGTTGGGTGCATGCTGGACACTCACTCCATTCTGCCCTCCATTTGCCCATGCTCCGTCCACCCAGCCGGGCCCGGAGGGTCAGGGGTGTGTGGGCAGGTGCTGCTCAGAGGCCCTGGCTATGGGGCAGGGGGCCCAGCCTCAAGACTGCGGCCTGGCCCTGAGCGTGGGCGCAGCCTGGCTCCCCGACTCTCCCTCCCCATAAATAAAAGATTCCCTTCCTCCTTCCAGCTTGCGCAGCCGCCGCCTGCTCGCCGGCCCGGCCCTTTGTGCCCACGCGTTGCCATGGAGATGGGCGATTCAAAGTCCTGGCACTTCAAGGCTTCCCTCCTCTCCTGGTGGGCCGGGGCGGGGGTAGCCGGGATGGTTGCCCGAGCCCCAGTGGGTGCCGCCTCCTCTCTCTGTCCAGTAAAATGCCAGATCCTGCCGGGGCTAGGGCACCCACCAATTCTCACTCTGGTGTGGGTGGCTGACTCTGGCCCCTACCCTGAAAACAGATGCGCTTTTACAGGGACCTTCTTCAAAGTTTGATAGAATAAGGGAAACTGAGGCACAGCTGGTCCCTTGGCCACCGTGGGGAACACAGAGCCGACCCCCTGTATCATGCACCATTTGCACAGTGGGCTGCTTTCAGCTGTGTGCTGGCCAGGGTCATCAGGCTCCAGGACGTGGCCCTGCGGAGAGGCTGCCCTTCCTCCATCCCAGCATGGACGGCCCAGGGCTGGAAGCCGGGATTTGGGGTGAGCTGCACGGGGATGACTAATCCAGCCACAAAGCCGTCCCCTCCACACTCTGCCCGCCATGCGGGTTGGAGCTATCTCTGAGTCACCGTGGAGACGTTGAGAATGTCGCAGGGTCTTTGAGGCTCTTCCGCTCCCCCCAATCCTGTTCCCCACTCATACTTTTTATCTCCCCACAATCTGCCCTTTGATCATCTCCTAAGACTCATGCAACCAGCAGAATTGACGGCAGCACTTTCTGGTTCAGCCACTGCCTCCCACCTACCCCACTGCGGCAGCCACTTGGTATTTGTTGCCTGCTCACTGTGGCAGCCAGGCAAGTCTGGGACCCCTTAGAGCCTCGGTTTCCTCTCCTGTGTAATGGAAGCAGTCGTCCACTCTTAACAAATGTCCAGAGATGTCTGGGGGCCAGGTCTCTGTGCTGGGCCTGGGAACAAGACACCTGATTTTGGGGGAGATTCTGTCCCCCTTGCTCCACCCCATGAACTCTGGTGAGGGTGACCACCACACACCACAGTTACTTCCGGGCCCCAAGTGGCTGGCCCATCAGGGACTTCCCGGGAGTCACAGGTTGGAGGGAAGGAAGCCAGGGAGAGGTGGCAGAGCTGGCTGCACCCCAAGGCTGTCTCCAAGGGGCCCACCCTTGGCCTCCATCCACCCCTCCCTGGCCCGGACCCCTGTCCTGCCTCAGCAGCCCAGCCCACGGCAGCTGTCCCCTCACAGGCTACAAAGATGGTGGCCCTGGTCCTGGCCGTGGAGCAGGCAAGGCACGTGGAACATAAAGAAATATGGTTGTGAAGTGGCCAGGCCATGGAGGAAGCTCGGGGGACCTCGATGTCTACATTAAGACCTCCCAGGAGTGGGTTGTCCCTTCTGGAAGGGTGCTGGGGACAGCCGTGTGGCCCTTTTCAGTGGAAGGATCCCACATCCTCAGGCAGTGCCATCACATCCCCTGAGAAGCCCTGAAACCCAGGCATGAGGATGCAGCTGGCCCGGTCCCGGCAGGGAAGGGAGTGCAGCAGCTGGGCTCCGGCTCGCCTACCCACTGATTGCCAGTGTCCTGGGTGAGAAAGCAGGAGGCTTTTGTGCACACATGGGCCTCGGGACTGGGTCAGGGCTCAGGCTCCCCAGACGGGAGAAAGTGCATGCAGGGCCACCGGCTCCCCAGCTGAGGCTGAGGGAGGTGTCCTTGCCTTCCGTGCTCGGAGCCCTGTCTCAGGTGCTTGGCGCTCTTCTCTGCATCTTGGGTTTCCAGCAGGCCTGCCCCGCCCCAGGACTTGTGGGGAGGCTGGGACTGACCGCGATCCCCCAGGAACAAGGCAGATGATTGATAGAACTGGGCCCCGCCTGCTCTCTCAGCCCCCAGAGCCCCCAGAGGTGAGCTCCAGATGTCACCAGGGCTAATTTGGGAGCCCCTGCCCCATAGAGGAAACCCCCTGCACCAGGCAGAGCCCCGCTTGGCCCCTGCTTCAGCCGAGGGCTGCGGCCCATGCTGCCACCTCCCCTGCCCTGCAGCGGAGCTAGATGATGGCTGTTCTGTCAAGGGGGCCCTCGGCCTAGAGCATCAGTGCCACTCGGCCAGGACTAGCTCAGGTGGTAGTTTGGGGCTTTGACCCTGGCCTGTCTGATCTGCAGGCCGAGCATCCCCCACCACACTGTTTTCTACAGGATGGAATGGAAAGGAAGCCAGAGACCGGGAGACCCAGCCACAGCCATGCAGGAGAGGGCTGGTCAGGGCTGAGGCTGCTGCCCCTGACCTGAGAGCAACGGCACCATGCCCCTCCATCTGCCATCTGCACACAGGGTCGCCTCCAGCCCACAGGGCAAGGGGGCCAGGGCTGGGTCCTGAGTGCAGGGGTGTCCTTGGCAGGGTAAGAGTCAGCCTAACTCAAACTCCACTGCCACACTTTGCAGTGAGACTGACAGGTGGAATAAACCCACCAGGCCCCTCAGCACCAGTAAGAGCTCTTCAGAGTGGCCCAGGCCTGGCCATGTCCCTGAGAGAGGGGTGCTGCTGGCGCGCCCTGAGCAGGGGGTGGGCTGGGCCCTACTGCTTGGTTCTATCTCAGATTTTTGCTAATAAGCCCGTCTTTTTTCTTTTTTTTTTTTAATAAACTTTTCAACTTTAGAACAGTTTTATCTTTGCTGAAAAATTGAGAAGACAGTACAGAGAGATCGCATCTACCACACACCAGTTTCACCGTTGTGAGCATCTGGCATTGGTAGGTTAGAGTTGCTGAGCCAATAGCGGCACACTATTATCAGCCATCGTCCATGCAGTGTTCACATTTCCTTCGTCCTTACCGATGTCCTTTTCTCCATACCAGGATCTGACTTTGGTCATTGAAATTGCCAAAAACAAGGGGACACAGGAGTGTGTTTGGCCAGGTGGGCCACCTGCTGCTGCTGCCTCCAAATGTTCATCCCAGCCCCCCACGCACTCGGGGGATTTTCAAAGGGTCTCACGTGTTGGGTGCCAGAGACACCCTCCTGGGCCTTGGATTCCTCCTCTGTGATGAAGGCCGGGGCTGCTGGCTCCTCCACACCACACTCGGCCCCCAGCAGACAGGCAACAGGGGCCTTGTCCCACTGTAGCTGTGGTCAGGTGGTCCAGGGCTAGACGGTCCTATGGGGAGCTGAGGCCCCCACCTCGAGATCTCCCTGCCCAAGACACCAGTGGGGTTGGGGTGGGTCAAAGGCCTGTTCCTCCAGGGCCCATAGCAGGGGCTTCTTAATCTGAGGGTGAGAGGGTTTGGGAGGTGACACCCCAACTCCCACCCCAATTCTCACCCTCCACTTCTCACCCCACAAGCTATCACCATGACTGCCCACCTCCACTTCTCACCCCCACCTCTCACCCCTACCTCTCACCTGCCGCTCTCACCTACCACTTCTCACCCCCAATTCACACCCCTACCTCTCACCTGCCGCTCTCACCTACCACATCTCACCCCCAATTCACACCCCTACCTCTCACTCACACCTCTCACCCACACCTCTCACCTTCCAGCTCACTCCCTCTATTTCTCCCCTCTCAACCTCTTCCTTCTCTGAGCTCAGCCTCCACTGAAAAGGTGGCCTTTTCCCCAGATAGCTGGGCAGGGGCTGGACCGGACAGATTGCTGGCAGGGGAGGCACACTTGCTCTTCTTTGGTGAGAGTGGCTCTTGCCTCCTATGATCCTGGAGCTCAGGCCTGTCCAGCGCCCCTCCTGGAGGCAGCAGGGTGGGTGTGTTCCTGCAGACATGGACAGCCCACCTTGGCACTCAGGGCCCAGCAATCCAGCCCCTCCTCCAGGCAGCCATCCTGGATCACTCCTCGCTGCTTTAGCTGACTGGCATCTCAGCACCTCCCCAGGGAATGTCCCCAGGCCCTGCAAACTCAGTCCTGTCAGCCCCCAGCCCGCTCTGGGACCCCTCAGGAATGCTCCTTTCCTCGAGTCTTCTTCCTCCCACGGCCTCCATTCCCGTGGATTCTCCCTGCTAGGAAGTAGATCTCATCCCGTTTCACCATCAGGGAAACTGAGGCTGGGAAGGTAAAGGTACTGCCCAGAGCCATGCCTGTGGGAGGGCTGGGACTTGCTGGTGGCCTGTGAAGGTTGGGCAGGGGTGGATGGCTGGAGTCCCCAGGACCACCAGGACCACACCTGGCAGTGGAGGCCTAGGGTGAGGGACTGGGGCTGAGCAGGGCCTCTGTGCTGCCACTGTTGAATGTGACACAGCTCCTGAGAAGCAAGACCAGAGACAAGTTAAGCAGGCCTCTGCTAATGGGGCGCTAACAAAGACAAGAAGGGTGAGCAGGCATCAGGAGCGCTTGGGGACTCGCGGTGGGACAGCCATGAGAACTCAGCCCACAGCCATGTCAGTGGTGGCAAGGAGAGGACGGATGTCAGCTGTTTTTTATTTTATTTTATTTTATTTTTTATTATTTTATTTTATTTTGTTTTATTATTTTTCTAGAGGGTCTTGCTCTGTTGCCCAGGCTGAAGTACAGTGGCATGATCAGGGCTCACTCGAACTCCTGGCTAACATGATCCTCCTGCCTCAGCTCCCAAGTAGCGGAGACTACAGGCGTGCACCATAACAGCCAGATAATTTTATTTTTTTAATTTTTGTAGAGACTGGGACTCACTATGTTCCCCAGGCTAGTCCCGAACTTCTAGCCTCAAGGGATTCTCCCTGCTCTGCCTTCCAAAATGCTGGGATCACAGGTGTGAGTCACTACAGTTAGCCTGTTTTATTTTAAAATATATATATTTCCTGTTTTGAATGGGTATCCTCTCCTTCCACCCCATCCCCAGCGACCTGACACCCCCAGCTGTACCTGCAGGCGGTCCCCCTCCTCACCCCCACTAGACGTATCTGTGAGTGCCTCACCCCGGCCCCACCAGACCTGCAGGCCTCTCCCTGCCCTCCAACAGCCAGACCTGTGGGAGCCCCTAAGCAGCCCCCCTAGGGAACCCCCAGCCTGATGCGGCTGCCATCCCTGTGGGTGAGGGGCAGCATCTCACTGCAGCTTAGATCTGCGTGTTTCTCACTCTGAGTGAAGGTCAGCAGCGGGTGATGGGAGGTTCCTTTCATGCCTTTGCCCATTTTTCTCTTGGGCTGTTGCTCTTTTTCTTACTGATTTGTATTGAGAACCAAAAACGGCCCTTTGTGAACTGAGTTGCCGATGTTTTTACCCTTTGTTGGTTATCATTTTATGGTGGTTTTTTTCTCTCCATGCATCTGCCTTTTATTTTCACGAGGTTGAATATACCCATCTTTTACTTTATGGCTTCTGGGTTTTGTATAATTCTTAGAGTGACTAAAGATTGGTTTTTTGCCATCCATGCTTTCTTCTAGGAGTTTTATGGTTTCATTTTTACTTTTTAAATCTTAGTTCCACTTGGAACTTGTTTTAGCGTCAAGGAGTGAGGTAGGAATCCAAATGTTTCCTCCATATGTCAATTCCGTTGTCTTAAGGCCAAGTGTTGATTGTATATGTGGGATTATTTGTTGAATATTCCATCTCTCCTCTTGGATTTGACCTGCCTCTTCTCATATTTGCATTTGAGCCTCTTTCTGGACTCTTTCCCATCGTGTGACTGTCCAGGGTCTGTGTTAATTATCATGGTCTTAGAATATAAGGCGTTTCAGGATGTGACATGGCCCATCTCTCTCCGTATGCTCCTTCTTTCATGTGAACTTCACAATTGCTCTGGATGGGCCTCCTGATTCATTCAAGGAACAAGCCGTCAGGCTTCAGCCAGGCCAGAGAATGGGCCGTGGGTCCCAGCACTGGGCTTTCATCTGGGTTCCATCCCATTGGCCTGTGCCCCAGGGCCTGGCTCCTCGGGACTCAGCCAGTCCTGCCGGTGGAGTGCGCAGGCGTGACGCTGAGTGCTGGACTCTGTTTCCACGCGAGGCCTTGGGGTGGAGGGGTGTCTCAAGGGAGTGGCCAAGGCAGAGGACCCTCTTTCTGGATGTCCTCACTTGCCCATGGGAAGGGAGGTGGTCCTGGCTGAGCCACAAGGCCCTGCAGGCCCAGGCCCTGCACACATGCACCTTGGCAGAGCCAGCCAGAGAGGCCTGATGACCAGAGCACCCAAGCGGCAAGGGCAGGCAGGAGTGCCCAGGAGGGAGCCAAGCTGTGGCCGCTCTGCTGAGCCATCCGTTCCAGCAGGCAGCAGGCAGCGGACTGAGAATGCTCAGTTCAGAACTCGAGCCTGGGCATGAACCGGAGCCTCCAGAAACCTGCCCCTTAAGCGGGCCGGCTAAGAGTGGCAGCTGGGAGCTGGAGACCCAGGACACAGGCAGCCCCCAGCAGCCCATGTGGCCTCTTCTCAGCCACACCCCGAGGGCCCCGGGCTCTGCTCCCACCATGGCCGGCCTCCTGGGAGCCCCTCGCCTGGCTGGATGGGCCAGTGAGGCGGTGGCATTGAGCAGAGGGTGGTGGGGCCGGCAGACCCCAGATGTCCTGACACAGGCTAGGAGAAGCGCCTCCAAGGCTGGCAGCAAACCCCAGCCAGCCTATATAGTCAGCAGGAATCCTGGCTAAAAATACCCCAGTCTCAGAGGCCCACCAGCTGCTGCAGTCTCAGAACCCCCTCCTCACGCTGGGCACTGCCCATGTGCCCCTCCACCTCCCTTGCAGGCAATAAGGCCTGCGGACACAGGAGGAAACTCAGGCCCTGTGCCAGCAAGTCCTAGCCCCAGGGCCTGGCCTCCAGGACTGCCCACAGAGGCCCCCATCTTACTGCAAGGCCAGGGCTGGCCCCGCCCTGCTCTGCACCCGTGAGCCTGGGCAGGGGTCAGGGCAGGCCCCATCAGGACCAGCTCGGGCAGGGGCGCAGGCTCTGCTGGCCCCACCCTGCACAGCTCCCTGTCCCATGGCTCTCAGAGGCAGAGCCACTGGCTGGGGGGCAGAGCCCCAAGGACTTGGTCTGAGTCACCATGGCAGAATGTGGGGTGCTAGGTGGGCTCTTCCCAGTCACCCCTGTGGGCTTCAAGTGACCACACGGCATGGCTATGCCCTTTATCCTGGAATCACTGGCTGGGGAACTCAGGCCAAGGCCCACCTCCCCGGGGCTCAGTTTCCCCACCTGTACCCAGTGGGGATATGTGGAATAGGGGTCCAGTAAAGGTATACGGGGTGTTACAGCTTGCCTCTCAGAGTGTTTGTTGAGTGACTAAATGAATGAGGAAGTGAGCAGATGAAGGCAGTGAGGGAGGCTGTGAAGGGTGGGACCACTGCGCTCAGAGCAAGCCCTCAGCCTCTCCATCTGGGAAACGGAACAAACCTGCATGCCGCATGGATCATGGTGGCCCAGAGTGGGGTGCCCAGGGACCCAGGGAGCTCCTACAAGAGCAAGGCTGGGCACTAGCCAGCCAAGGCATCCTAGGGACCATCTCACTGTGGCCCCAAGGTGGGTTTGGCGGTCCACCCTGCCTTCCACTCCCCACCCACTCCTGCTGACAGCTATCGCCATGCCTTCCCTGCCTTCCCTGCTCCACTGGGAGCTCGTGGGTGCTTTCAACAGGTGCCCCTCCCCCCCAACCCAGGTTTGACTGCCTGCTGGGCTCCTGGTGTTAACAGCAGCTCCCAATTTAGCTGTCACTGCCAGGTGGGTGGCTCTAGAAGGATCCGTACTCCCTGCAGGGGTGGGGGAGGGGCGTGAAGCCACAGCGGATGCCTTGGGCACAGCCCAGGGACCCCCACCTTCCGGAGCTCTGCCCCTGCACCAGATTTGTGCCTACAGGGACCAGAAGCCTCCTACTCCCCAGCCCCACCCAGCCGGCCTCCCCAGAGAGAGGCCACCAAGTTGGTTGTGCCCACTGAGAGAAGACCCTGAGCCCATCTGCTGGCGAACACAAGTGGCCCGAGCTCATCTCAAGGTCCAGGAACCCTGGGGACTCACCCCTTCCTCTGGGCACCAGGAAGAGTGGTGGACCAGGGGTCCAGGTGCCAGCCTGGCATGTCCCACTTGGTCGAGTGTCCTTTCATCTCTGTTCAGGTTCCCATCCTGGAGATGGGCCACAAGGGATCCAGTCCAGGGCTGGGGGAGGCAGCCCTGTGGGAGGAGGCCCTTGCTAGTGAAGGGTCAGAGGCATTTGGAGATGGGCAGGCCCAGTGGGATTCTTGGGGCCACTGCCAGGATTTGGTTGTCGGTCCCTTCCTTGTGCCAGCCCCCTTTGCTGCTGCGTGTGGCTTTGATGAATAAGAGATGAGGAAGCATATTAATTATGGCTTAACATGCACCAAAGTTGGGCAGAGGGACTCCTAGGGATGGGAGTCCTCAGGGGTGCAGAACTGATGGGGGAAGACCAGGACACCCTCTGCAGCCCTGGGGATGGGGGATGGTGAGAGGCTTCTGGAGGAGGCAGAGGCTGTGGGCAAAGAGAGGGCTGAGAGAGGCTGCCAAGACGTGGGTCCACCTAAGCTCCCCAGACCTCCTTCTCTGGTCTGGAAAATGGGTGGTGGTAGTAGTGTCTACACTGCAGGACTGAATGGGATGACTCACTCAGCAGGCCTGGCACAGAGTCCTCTCGGGCCTTGGGCATGCAGCCACCCTCTGTGGTGAGAGCAGATGGCAGGCTGACGCCCCCCAGCTCCCTGGCACCGGGACCACATCCCTAGCCGCCCACTCAGAGTGCAGGGAAGGGTTGGTCACATTGACACGCTTGGGCAGCAGGCATGTGCTTGCCGCATGACCTTCTAGCTTCCTTCCTGGTCTCTCCTTGCATTGGCCTGGAGTGGCCCAGAATGTGTGGAGCAAAGACCCAATTTCCTTGCTGCCCATCCCTCCCCAGGAGACACCGAGGGCCTGGATGTCCGTGAGAACCGCACAGGCATGCCAAGGAAAGCCATGGCACGCCTATCTCTCCAGGCGGGAGATGAGCCTCCCGAAGCCCTGGGAAGAAGGGACCTTCCAAGGAGGCTGAACCGTGTCCCTGTCAGCCCAAGACGGGCCACTGCGAAAGGTCCCCTCATCTCAAGCTGGCTTCTATGGGCAGGCATGGAGTTTTGAGTGAAAACCCTGCATGATCCTCTCAGGGGACAGGAGGGGTGAACAAAGGAGGGACAGTGACCAGCTGACCAGGCCCTGAGGCATTAGCGTCTGCCTCGTCCACATGCTGTGCAAGCTCAGCGAGGCCAAGGGGCTGGGCCGAGGTCACACAGCTGGGCAGGGCCCTCATGACCGGCATGCTGGTCGTGGAGGCCGAGCCCCAGGTTGGGGGTGGGGGTGGGAGGTGAGGCAGCCCCTGGCCTCACTGGAGGGGGGTGGTGGGCTGGGGAAGCTGGCAAAGGATGTGCCCTACATGGTGGGTGTGAGGTGGGGAACGATTCGGGCAGATGCCCGTGTGGCCCTGCTGACCCAGTCCAGGCAGGGTGTGACAGGTCTGCCCAGCCCTGAGGTCACAGCTGTCTGCAGTCTCCAGCTCACTCCTGATCCCCAGGGCCACGTGTCCAGAAAGCCTGGGAGCTTGCATCAGCTGGGCACAGATGGCCTGTCCTCCCAGCACCCCTGCTGGGGCTTCCTAGGAACTGACTGGTGTAGACTCCGGGCAGCAGACGGCCAGGCTCTGCCCACAGGGTCCCTGGCTCCTCCCATGAGGTGACCCGATAGAACTGGCTGTGCCCCTTGACCAGGGGCTCCAGCCCTTGTCAAGCCCTCCCTGCTAGCCCCTCACCAGCCGTCAGCTGCCCTCCCTCCCTTGCCCGTTGGGCCCTGGGGGGGTGATGGCTCCGCGGTCGCCTGCCCAGAGAGTACACCACTCCCCATGCTGCCCCCCGACCTGGCTACACCCTGAAAAATGTGGCTTACCAAACCCTCCCACATGCACAGCCTGAGAAGCGGGCTGTGCCTTGCTGGTAGCAGACCGACCGGCTGCCTAGCCCTGCTCAACTCTGCCTCTGCACCCCCATAACTCCCTATCAGCGCTGGCCCACACCTAATCGTTCCAGCTAGCACCCAGGAGTGGGCTCAGCTTCCAGTGGGGAGGGCGCTGGCCAAGGTGCTGACCGAGGTGGCGGACACAGGAAACCAGCCGGTCCCCCAGCGCTCCCTCTGTGGGCCTTGGGCCTGCTCCCACTGCACAGACAGGTGGGGAGGTGGAGGCCCAGGTCCCAGCCCAGAGCAGCTGGGAACAGCCGGACTTGATGGCTGGAGAGGGCTGTGGTGCCAGAAGCCTCCAGGTTAGCCCTGGCTCCCCATTTCCCCCCATGCCCATCCCATGCCCCAGAATGGTCACTTTGGCTGCTGCAGGAGGGGTGGGAGGGGCTTTAAACCTATGAGATAGGGTGTGGGGTCACAATCTTCAATTGTAGTGGGCCGCTCTGGGTCACTGGTAATTGAAGAGACGCCTGCATAGTAAGCACGCAAGTGTCCTCTCAAGCCCTCTCTGCAAGCACAGAGCAGCCCGAGACTGGAGCCTGGTCCACCCCAGCGCTGTCCTCAGACTGATGGTCAGTGCCTCATGACTCATCTAGGGTCTGATACATCCCTGTGGTGAGAGCTCAGTTCCTAGTCTAGGGGCTGCTGCGTGCAGGGACCCTGGAGGAAGAATGCTTGTTTAGGGGTCAGGCCTCAGCCTCCCACTGGCTCTGTCAGCTTCGCCTGAGGTTCCCCATCTGTGCAATGGGTGATGACATCTTGGTGTGGCTCTGGGAGGACCTGTTGAGCCACCTCAGGGGCTGAGCTGGTGGCACTCGGCAGCCAGCACCCTCTGGGGAGGTGGCAGTGTGTGCACAGCCCACCCCTTCAGGAGGCCAGGGGACAGAGTGGCTGGGGGTGTCTGGGCCCCACCTCACCTTCTGTGTGGCTGGGAATGGCATGCACTCCACAATGCCCTCATAAGCCTAGGCTGGGACAAGGGTGATAGGGATAAAGCAGGCCAAGGTGATGAGGGCCACAGAGCGGCAGCCAGAGGCATGTGGGCAGTGCAGCCTCCACACCAGGCAGAGGGCCCGGCCAGCATGGCTCCACCCTGGGAAGCTGCCTGCCACTGGGATCAGATGGGAGCACCAGGGCTCTGGGAGGTCCTCACTTCCTCTGGACAAGGCAGGCAGGTCACCAGCCCTGTGCCCTGCTCATCTCCCTCAGGGCCACCTCCATGGCCAGGGGCAGGCAGAGAGCACAGGGCTGCCCAGTCACCAGGTCTCTCTGCTTCATATCAGTGGACCTGGGCTCTGAGGGGAGCCATCAAGACCTCAGGCTGGCCCACTCCGTCCTTGAGTCAGGGTCCTACAGACTGACACCAGGTTGGCCTGCAAGACCCTGGTCCTGTCATGCAGGGTGGGCCTGGGGAGGACCCAGCCCAGCTGAGCTGACTCCCAGCACTCCTCCAGGTGCAGGGACAGCCTGGCAGTTGTCTGAAGACCCCGGGATGGGCTTAGGAGCTCATCATCATCGGATGCCCCCCGAGCAGAAGACGGAGAAGGAACACCCCCACCCTGTGTGGTGTGTGTAGGGGTGTCACTGGGTTCTCTGGCTCCATGACGCCCCCCCGGCCCCGCTGGGGGCTGGCTTAGTAGAGTGGGGGATGATACTAAGCAGGCGGCCTCGGAGAGCGTCTTCTGGGTTTGGAGGCCACATTCCGCAGGAAGGAAGAGGTGGGGGACCCCTGCAGGGTTATGGGTAACATCAGGCCTGGGTCCCCTCCCTGGGGTGGTGCAGAGAGGGCCACAAAGGCCCAAGAGGGCCCCCAGAACGCTCTTAAGCCTTGAGCCTGTTTCTTACTGAAAAATGGGGGCGATCGTGCTCCAGCAAGGGGCTTCTGTGCAGGGGGCGGGGGGGGGCGGGGGGTTCATGGGTTTCGTGAGGCCAGGAAGCGAGTGGGTCGCGCAGAGGCCATCCCCAGGCCTCAATGGCCCCAGCCGCCATCCCCTCCGCCGCCTGCAGGGCCGCCGCCTCTTCAGGAATGCGCGGCTTTGTCTAGGGCCGGGTGGGCTGAGCACCTCCTGCTGCCCGGCCTACGCTCCCCGGCCAGCCGCGCCGCTCACGCCCCAACTTGGGCCCGCGCCCCCCAGCCCCCGCCCAGGCCCGCGCCCCCCAGCCCCCGCCCAGGCAGGCGCCTGCGCCCAGGTGAGGGCCCCGCCCGCCGCCGCCTCCCGCGCCCTGCGCGCCCGCGGCCCGAGCCCCGCCCGAGCCGGGCGGAGCGGAGCGCGCGGAGCCTAGACCCGCTGCCGGGCCGGGGCTGGGCCGGAGCGGCGGCGCCTGGATGCCGGCCCGGGGCTGGGCCGGAGACTGGCGCCCGCCCCGAAGCGACTTTCGGTCCCCGACCCGCTCCGCCTGACCCCTATGATGAAGAGGGCGTCCACTGGAGGTGAGTGTCCACGCGGCGCCAGAGCCCAGCAGGCGGCGGGGCGCAGAGCGGGGTGGTTCGCCCCTCCTCGGAGCCGCAGGGCCCGTCCAGGGCTTCCAAGGCTGGGGAAGCGTAGCCGGGCGGCCGGGAGGGCCACCGCAGTGCCGCGCCAGGCTGGGGCCAAGGGCGCCCCGGCCCCGGGAGGGCGGAGCCGGAGGCAGCAGGAAAAGTTGCCGCTTCCCGGGTAAGTTGACGGCGATGGCGGGGCCGGGGGTGGCGGCCCGGGGGTCCCCGAGGCTGGGCCAGGTCCGGGGTGGGGGCCGCGGGCTGGAAGGACGGGGTCCGGCCTCGGCGCCGCGGCCACGAAGGGGTTAATGAGCGGGTTTTTTTGCAGAAACGCGGGTACCGAGAGTAGGTGGAGGTATCGGGCCGCCTCCGCCCCCGCCTCGCGGACTGGGCTCAGAACCTCCCGTTTTTCTGAGGTCAGGCCTCAGGGGGATCAATGGGGGCGTTGGCGGCAGTAGAGGGCGTGGGGGACAAGGTTGTCCCAACGCTGCCTCCAGGGCGGGCGGTGAGAGGAGGCAGCAATGCCCAGACATCCGCAGCCCGAGGGACATTGAGAGGCTTGGCTGGGGGAATCAGGGGTGGTGGGGCAATCAGCATCCCCTCCCTGGCAGCCTTCGTGAGACTCCCCCGCCCCACTGGGTGTGAGGTCCCGCAGTGGGGGGCAAGGGAGGGTGGGCTCCATGTGAGTTGGGCATGCCCTGCCTGGAGGGTGCTCCCCAGGTGCCCACCCAGGCTGCCCTGCTGATGTCCATGGTGTCGCAGGCTGCACACACGTTTCCTTGCACGTGCACATGTCTACACGGACTGCACACTTGCACACCTCTGGTGCACATGCGTGCCAGCGCCACCCCAGTGTACACATGCACGAACACTGGGTGCACACACGGACTCTGAGGGTGCATATCTGTGTCCTCGCCCCCGCTTGCACGCCCACGGCCACACATGCATGTACGCGACATGCCTGCTGTGGTCTCCACGGGTGGCACATGCTGGGGCCCCTTTCACAATACCCACTCCCGCACCCACATGCTCGTCTGTTGAGTGGGGAGGCCAGGCCCACAGACAGGGGCAAGACATCCTGGGCCCCACCTCTGCCTGCCTGCCTCCGTGTCCTGGGGGTCCCCGCCTCGGGCGTGTGTGCGTGTGTGTAACTTGGTATGCATCTGCACGTGTGTCTGTGCGCGTGATCATGTGTGCCTGCGAGCACATAGGCATATGTCTCTTTGCCTCCAGGGTGTGGGTGCCCCTTGTGTGCCTAGACAGGCTGTGGCCTAATCTGGAGCAGAGGCCCTGGAATGTGTGTTGGGGGCTCATTGAATGCCCCCAGCCCAGGGTGTGAGGGGCAGGGTCTCCCAGCCACTCCGCACCCACCAGGGCTGAGGCAGTGATAGATGATGGTGGGCTGGAACCTGTCTGGTCAGGGAAGACCCATTTCAGGCCATGAGGTCAACACTGTGACCAACAGGCCAGACCCTGGGCACCCTTGGTGGCCGCTGCAGCTTGGCTGACTGGAGCACGTGACCCAGCGTGACTGCAGAGGCCCCGCCTCCAGTACCTCAGTTTCTCCATGGTGAGGACCTTCTTGGTGAGGGGTTCCGTGGTGGGCTCCCCTACCTCCGGTGTTGTGTAGGGTGCTGAGCAGATGGATGCCATGCTGCATGATGGGCAAGGGTGGCCCACTAGCACTGTGGCAAGGGCCCTGGGCTGGGGCTTCAATTGGCAGGCCACACCTCCTGCTCCCCTGGCCACCACCAGAGGCTCATCTATAGAGTGGGGACCAGCAGGTTATCCTTGTAGGTTGTGTGAGGGTGAAACATACTAGCAGAGGGGCAGCTGAAGCAGTGGGGCTGGCCAGTCTCTTTTTCTAAGCCTCAGTCTTCCCATCTATAAAGGGGGTACTGTTCCCTGTTCTTCTCTACTGAGGTGAGGAGGAAGTGAGCTCCCATGCCGGGGGTGGGAATGGGTGGCCATCAGCACCTAGACCCCACCTGGCAGAGGGGCACGTGCAGGGCCTGCCGTGGCAGAACCGTGACCTGGATTTGGGTCCTGGCTCAGCCACCTGCTGGCAGTGTGACCTTGGGTGTGACAGGTCACCTCTCTGCCTCAGTCTTCCTCACCTGCACCATGGGCCAGTGGTCAGGGATTATCGGGGCACTTCCAGGCTGAGGCTGGGCGGAATTGGCCCGGCTTTCCCTGTGGAGTTCCGACTCTGGTGCTTCTGCCTCAGAATGCCCAGAACACCTCCCCACACCCCAACTCAGCAGAGTCCTCCTGGGACCTTTGCATGGCCAGCTGGCCCCTCACCCCATCCATTTGCAGAAGGGACAATAAAAGCCCCTAGTCAGGCAACTCAGGCCACAGGTGAGTGGAGAGGGGACAGGGCAGGGATGCTGCCCAGCTTGGGAGACCCTCCCATAGTACCTTCACTCCCTCCCTGCCCTCCCCCTGTTCCTCACCTGGGGGTCTGTGGAACCCCTGAGCCTCAGTTTCCCTGTGCCAGGGTCCTTCCACTGGGACTGGCAGAAACGTAGGTTTGCATGGAGTGAGAAGCAGGGGAGAGGTTGAGGGAGGGCCTGGCCCAGCAGGTCTCTGAAAGCCAGAGGGCTTGTGGAGGGTCTATGGAGGACACCCCCACAGGGGCTGGGGCCCTGGAAGGTGGGGGAAGGTCCTGTTGTCCTGGGAGGCTGGGGACTGGCCCACAGCCTGTGGAGGGGCTGGGGTTTGTTTGCTGTTGCTGTGAGTGACAGGCAGGCTGTGAGGGCCAGGGCATGTGGGACCGTGCCCTCCGCCTCCCTCTGCCCAAGGACAGTGCAGCCTTGTAGCACTGCCCTCTCCTCGTCCCTGCCCCAGCCTTGAATTCATGCTTTGTGGCACGGACGGCCCTGTGCAGCCGGTGCAACACCAGGAGGGTCCAGCTGGTGAGGACAGGACGGGTGGGAGGCAGAGGAGCCCTCCTGCTGTCCTGGGCCTGTGGCCCGGAACCTCTCACCGGGAGCCTTGGTCTGTGCACCTGGGAAAGGGGTCAAGAACAGGAAGCATACGGGGAGTTTCAGGATGACCTGGAAATGAACAAATGCATGTGTGAGCCAGGCGCCCTGCCCGGCCCTGGCACAGGGTTAGTGAGGGCTCCCGACGCTTGGCTACTGTCTGATCAATGAGGTTCATGCCGTCCCGCCCCCATTCTGGCAAGCCTGACCTCTGATCCCCAGGCTGGCCTGCCTGACCCTCTGCAGCCACCCAGGGCCTGGGCTTTGGGGTCTGCAGGAGCCGGCCTGGCTGCCTGCTGCCTCTGCAGCTGTGCAGATGCCCTCTCGGGGCCCTCTCTGCACCCCTCAGTGTCCCTGCTCTGCAGCCTGGCTGCACCCAGGCCAAGGTCACAGGCACCCTCCTCGAAGCCAGATCCCAGATGCTGCATTTGCCCCAACTGTCCGTTCACTTTCTCATTTGTTCATTCATTTGCTTGTTCGTTCCTAGCCTGTCAGATTCTCTTCTGAGCCAGGCAAATCAAGGGGTGCAATCCTTGGCATCGTGCATCTCTAGGATTAAATGCTTTAAAGGATAGGAGGTAACAGAGTGGCCCCGGGGAAGCCCGATCGGAGTGGCGGGCATGCTACCCCACCCTGCAAATCTCCCTGCACTGTCCCTGGGGCCCAGCTGGGTTCCCCACACCAGTTGTTCTGTGCTGCCGTTTCTTCTTTTATCGCTGTATTTTAAACACTTTGCACATCGGGAACTATTCTTGTGCATCGTGGGTTTTCTGGTGTGTGTGGAATCCCTTCCTGAGAATGCACCATCATTTATTTATCCAAACCTGCACCGGCCTCCTGCACTGCCTGCAGCCGTGGAGCTGGGCACCGGGAGATGCAGCTCTGCACACCCACCCCACCATGTCCTCAGCTGGCACCCACCAGGTCTAGGGGCTGGTCACGTGCCTCTCCCCTGATGCTTGAGCTGATTTCAGGGGACTCGGCAGCAGGGCCAGATCCCGCCCCTCCTAGCCAGCTGAGGCCTTTGACAACCGTGGGCTGGCCGGGTGGGTGATGGTGAGTGAGTAGAGTCTGGGCATCCATTTGTGCAGTGGGTGCCTTGGGGCCGCCTCTCCTCTCCCTCTTTCACACAGCCTCTGGTCTTGCCCGCTATGGCCTGCGGGGCCTCTTCTGCGGGGCAGCAGGGCAGCGGGGCATGGGGTAATGCTGACACTGTTCTGCAGCTGTGTCCTGTCCAATGGAGGCAACCCACGGCAGCCAGACCAGGAGGTGGAGAAGAAAGGCAGGGCTGTTGGCACACCTCGAGAGTGGCCTTAGGAGAGGCTGAGTGGGCACAGGCCAGGGTCCCCATGTAGTTCTACACAGGCCTGGCAGGCGGTAAGCCCCATTCAGGGCCCTGGCACATGGAGCCGGGCTGATCTGGGAGTGAAGTGTCAGGTGCTGACCCAGCCTCACTCAGAGCAGCCTGCCCTGGGCCCCCGGGTGCCTCTTGGCTCTCCAGTCGGCACCCTGGCATTCTTAGCTGGCTGTCACGGGTCACGGTCCATGGAGTTGAAATTCTTTGGAATGTTGGGGGTATCACATAAGGGCTTTGTGGTCAAATGTGGGACCTGCTGGAATAAATGGTGCTGATGGTGCTCCTTTCCCGCAGGGCATCTTGGGCTCTGTTTTGGAGAGGGGTGGGCAGCACCTTCTCTGAGAGGCACCCCTATGCGATGTACCTCAGGGCCTGGTGTGCCCAGGAACCTGTTTTGGGAAACAGTGGTTGAAGTGCCTCGGAGGACCAGAGGAGACCTGTGGGCCTCCAGCAAGTGCCCCAGGATGGGTAGACCCTGCCACACAAACCCCGCACCCACGGGGCGCCCAGTGGGTGGAGGGACCACTGCTTCCCCCAGCAGTTTGAGGCGATGTGCAAATTTAACCTTTGGATTTATGACTCAATTTCTTTGTAGCAAATGTCACGGGAAATGTCAGGCCAAGGCTGAGGCTGGGTGAGGGGCCCGTCGAGGAAGCGGGTAGGGCTAGGCAGGCTAGAGTACCGAGGAGGGGCTCAGGCCAGGGTGGGCTTCAGGCCCCTCACCTCCTCCTGGGAGCCTTCCTGGATTGTCCCTTGCTTGCCTGGATCCCCGGCACTGTGTCCTCAATTTGTCCCAGCTATCACAACCTTGTTGAGATGTTGCCTTTATTTGCCTTCTACCAGGGCCCAGATGAGGCCAGCTCGGGGACATGCCAGAAGTCCCCCATTCCCCAAGGCTGGGCAGCCATGGGATCAGCTTGTGCAGTGCCGGCTTGCTGTATGACCTTGGGCAGCTCCACCCTTCCTGGTCACCGTAGGCCTCTCTGCAGTCCACAGCTGGTGGCCAGAGGTGGTGTTCCCAGCTCAGTGCCTTCAAGAGTGGGAAAACGCCTAGAGTCCTCAGTATGTGGGGTGTGGGGCTCTGGAGGAAGTGGGTGGGGGCTGAATGCAGGGCTGGGGTTGCGGAGGGCTGGCCCTTGGTGGTCCCAGGGGCTAGAGCAGCCCCTGCACACAGCAGGTGCTCAGTAAAGACCAAAAGGCAGTGCGTGGATGTGGAAGGTGGAGGTGGATTCCAGCTGGGAGTCCACAGTCCCCAGTTACATGTCCCCCCTCCACCGCCACATGCCAGATGTCATTCCAAGGCCCCACGCTGGCCCGTCACCAGCTCTGCCCTGCCTCCCAGGCCCGGGCGGGTCAGGGAATGGTGACTGCCTCCTCCCTGCCGTGTGCCAGGCCTGTGCACTGGAGCAGGGGTTCAGGCTCCCTAGTGCTCTGCATCTCTCCTGCACACACAGCTCCCCACACTGCACACCTTAGGCCTCCAGATCCAGCCTGTCTGCTAGTGTCACATCCTCCGTACCCAATGTCCAAGCCCAGAGTCTCAGCCTCTTCCCTCGACCCATCCCCAAAAGCAAAATCAGTGTCAAACCTGCACCCTGTCTCCCGGTCCATCCCCTTTACTCCTCACTGAGGACCAGCCTCAGACCTGGCCTCTGTCCCCAGCCTGTGGCCACAGCTGGCCCCTGCAACCTCCCTGCCTCCTGGGTTCAAGCGATTCTCCTGCCTCAGCCTCCTGAGTAGCTGGGATTACAGGTGCCCACCACCAAGCTAATTTTTTTGTATTTTTAGTAGAGATGGGGTTTCACCATGTTGGCCAGGCTGGTCTTGAACTCTTGACCCCAAGTGATCCACCCACCTCAACCTCCCAGAGTGCTGGGATTACAAGCGTGAGCCACCGTGCCTGGCCTCTGAAGGACACTTTCAAGAGAATACACAAACAACAAATCAGGAGAAACTATTTGCAAATCATATATCTGGTAAAAGACTTATATCCTAAATATACAAATAATAACTCTCAAAACTCAATAATAAGAAAAAAACCTATTCACAAATTGGGCAAAATAATTGAACAGATGGTTCACCAAAGAAGACATTTTGTCAGCAAACAGGCACCTGAATAGATGCTCCACATCTTTAGTCATTATGGAAATGCAAAATAGAACCTCAGTGAGATAATATTTCACACCCACTAGGATGGCTGTAATTTAAAACAGAAAATATCAAGTGTTAGGAAGGATGTGGAGGAACTGGAACTCTCATACGCTGTTGGTGGGAATATAACATGATGCAACCACTTTGGAAAATAGTTTGGTAGTTTCTTAAAGAGTTAAATATGAACCTACCATATGACAGTCATTCCCCTCCTAGGTATTTACCCAAGATAAGTGGAAGCATTTGTCCAGACAAAGATTTGTATACAAAGGTTTATAGCAGCTTTATTCGTATAAGCAAAAACTGGAAATGACCCAGAAGTCTGTCCACATGTGAATGGATAAACAGGCTATGTGATATCAATACAGTGGAATTGACTTTTGACACATGCAACGTGGATGTGTATCATGGATGAATATCAAAGGATTTTAGACATGGATAAATATCAGAATGATTATGCTGAGTGAAAGAAGTCAGACAAAAAGGAGTACATACTGTATGTTTCTGTTTAGATTAAATTCCACAAGATGTAAACTAATCTACAGTGACAATATAGAAGAATGGTTGCCCGGGGCAGGGAAGGGCACGGGGAACCTTTTGGGGGTAACCACCTCAACTGTGGTCAGAGGTTCACAGGTACAAACATGTCAAAAGGTACCAAATTATACGTTTTAAATGGGTGCAATTTATGTCAATTACACCTCAACAGAGAAAAATACAATGCTTATTTTATGCAAAGGGTTATTTTGTAAAACTCTTTTGAGGAGGACCGTCCTGGTCAGCGGCCCTCACCATCGAGACTCTCCCTGCACATGGGTGCTGTGGTGACTCGGCCCCTGGGCTCACCCTCTGGTGCTGTGTGCACCTCAAGAGCAGGATGGAAAGGTCCCCTCCCCACAGCCTGGCTGTCAGACCCCCGGCACAGAGGTGCACCGTGCAGCCTCCCGTCATTTCCCATTTGCCTGCCCAAGCTCTCAGTGTCTGAGCTCTGTCCTCTTTCTGGAAGACAGCCAGGTTTAGTGTTGGGAGCAGGAGACCAGCATGGGCTAGCCCAGTCCCACCACCTGAACAGAGGGGCTGTGATCCTCCAAGCTACCCAGGGAAGGTGCCACCTGGGTGCACAGCTGGTCCCAATGGTCAGGCCTCCCCTTGACAGAGGGGCAGGGCCGTGTCATGGTCAGGGCCTGTGCTCTAAAGCCAGACTGAGGGTCAAAACCCAGCTGCCCCATTTACAAGCTTCACGGTCTCAGGAGTGTCACTCTGCACATCAGTTTCCTCATCTGTAAAACCGATCAGTGACATCTGCCTGGTTACCTGCTGGGGCAAGTGGGTGAGTTGAGTCCGATGAAGCACTTAGAACGGTGCCTGGTATGTGGCAGTGTACAGAGCATGGGGCAATCACTGCAGCCGACCTAGCTGGTGGCTCCAGTGGGCCTTAGTGCCCCAGGCATCTGAGGAGCCCACTCTTCAGCACTGCCCCCGAGTGGCTGCAGCACACACTCCCCCAGGACTCATTCAGCCCTCCCAAGGAGTGGGAAGCCTCCGGAACCTGGTGCTGTCCGAGGCACGACACGCAGGAAGCAGGGCAGGTGTCCTCCCTGGCCCCTCACCCTTCCTAGCCAGGCTGCAGCTGATCCGAGGTGGTTCCTTGATCCTGGAGTCTGAAGGGACATTGAGGGGCTACCTGTGCTCCAAACAGACCAGCCCGCTTCTCATCTGCTTCACACACAGGGGTTCTGGGTAAGATTTCACTTCATTTCTTTGAAACACCACTCTGCTGGGCCAGCCAAGTCCTGTAGACCCCATCACTTGTACCCCTTGACCTCAGCAACAGGACCAAGACCTGTAGACCCCACCACTTGCACCCCTTGACCTGAAAAACAGGACCACAACCTACACCCAGCCGTCCTCACCTGGACTATGAGGATGGTACTGCTCACTGGCTCCGGACAGCTGTGTGACTCCAGGGGAGCCAGCTGTGGTTGAGATCTCGGGGGTCTTGGTAAATCTGGTAAACTCCTTGTGCAGTTCTAGCGAGCCCAGTGTGAGGACTGCCTGTTGGCTGGGAACCGTAAATCTGCTTGGGTTTCATGAGAATCTTGCCCTGAGTGACCTCCAGCTGGGGAACTCACCCTCCATCTGCGCCAGGGAGAGCTTGGTCATTGTCTGCAGGGACCCAACTAATCAGGACGGGCTTCCACGAGGAGACAGATTTGAAAGTATGCTCTCTTCGGGAAGCAGTAGCTTTAAACTGGACTAGCTCTTATATAATGGGCACTGTGTCCCTAACGAAACCAAAATATGGTCCAATAATGGCTTCTTTGAGGGAAGCACAGGGCAGTTGGGTTGTCCAAAGCCTTCTTTGGAACTTCACAGGTTTAAAAGGTGATGGTTCAAGAGGCCCCAGTATTATTCAGCCATATAAAGGAATACATAAACAAAAATGTGGCCTAGCCATACAGTGGAATATTACTCAGCCATAAAAAAATAACATTCTAATACGTGCTACAACATGGAAGAACCTTGAAGCATGATCCTGAGTGAAAGAAGCCAGACACAAAAGGTCACATGTAATGTGATTCCACTCATATGAAATATCCAGAATAGGTCAATTCAAAGCGACGGAAGATACATTAGAGGTTGCCAGGGGCCAGGGAACAGGGAAATGGGGAGTGACTGCTAATGGGTTCTGCTTTAGGGTAATAAAAATGTTCTGGAATTAAACAGCAGTGATGATTGCACACCATTGTGAATGTACTAAAACCAATTAATTCTACCCTTTAAAGTGGTGGATCTTATGTGAATTATATCTCAATTGTATCTAAATAAATAATAATTTGTAAAGGCCTCAGGAGAGGAGCTGATAATCAGGACTTAATCCCTGACTTGGCACACTACCTGTCACCCAACTGTCTCCAGTCCTTCATACTCATCAGGAGCCTTGTGCAACATCACCTTTGCACTTGAGGCTTCCTCTGCTTAGAATGCTGATCTGCCTGCCCCAGCATGTCCCATGAGCCTGCCTGGCTCAGCTCAGTGACTCTCGGCTTCTGCTCTCCCCATTCCAGGTATCACAGCTTGTATTCTGCTTTCAGAAATCAGGTAGTCAATCTTGCTGGTGCCTAGGGGACTGGCATTCTGTCACATATAAAGAGTGGGTGACCGCCAGGTGCGGTGGCTCACACCTGTAATCCCAGCACTTTGGGAGGCTGAGGTGGGAGGATCACGAGGTCAGGAGATCGAGACCGTCCTGGCTAACACGGTGAAACCCCATCTCTACTAAAAATACAAAAAATTAGCTGGGCGTGGTGGCGGGTGCCTGTAGTCCCAGCTACTCAGGAGGCTGAGGCAGGAGAATGGCATGAACCCAGGAGAGCTAAGATCGCGCCACTGCACTCCAGCCTGGGCAACAGAGCAAGGCTCCATCTCAAAAAAAAAAAAAAAATGAGTGGGTGACCAGCATTAGAGCATCAGGGAACACCCTCACCCAGGCACTCACCTGTGGGATGAAGCCACAGCACATCACCATGTGGAAGCCAAACTTGGTCACATACTGAGGCTCAGCACCCTCACCTCTTCAGCCTGTTGACAGAGATCCTTGGCCTGAAGGAGCTGTTTGTCTTTCTCTTAAATGCCAGACCTCAGCAGAGCATCAGTACAAGCCTGGGCTGCACATGCTAGAATATGGGTGGTCTAAGGATGTACTACATACAGTAGCAATTAGTCAATATATGGATCTGCCAGGACACTCCTACCTGAAGCACACTGGACAGCAGGGTTGGGTATAAAAGGGGTTATTATTACCTCAAGCACACCAGACAAGAGGGCTGGGTATAAAAGGGGTCATGTGCCAATTCTACTAGCTTATCAGCTCCATCAAAATTCTTATTTAATAATGTCATTTTCATAATGTAGTGTAAAGGGAGATGGTATACAACTCAACCTATTATTGAAATGCCACCAAGAAGTACCATGAGCACCAATCTAGGGTAGACAATGTGGCTGGGTCAAGGTACCCAAAAGCAATCTGAACATACCCACTGTGTTCTCCTCCTTCAACTTCTCCCTGAGCTTCTGGTTGTAAAGGTGCAAATCTGCCATCTGGTCTCCAAGTTTTGATGCTTAACGGAGGAAAGAAGAAATGCCCCTAATTAAAATAACAAATAAAAAATAACATTATCCAGTTTGTTCCATTTTCAGAAATGTTTTAAATACATTAAAAACTACTCTGCACTCTTTAAAAAGTAAAAAATGAACCCCAGGCAATGACTCTTTTCCTATTTCTTTTTTTTTTCTTTTCTTTTTTGAGACGGGGTCTTGCTGTGTCATCCAGGCTGTAGTGCAGTAGCACAATCATGGCTCACTGCAGCCTTGACCTCCAGGCCTCAAGCAATCCTCCCACCTCAGCCTCACAACTAGCTGGGACAACATGCATGTGCCACCATTCCTTTTTTTTTTTTTTTTTTTTTAAGATATGGAGTCTCCCTATGTTGCCCAGCTGGTCTTGAACTCCTGAGCTCAGGCGATCTTCCTGCCTTGGCTCCCCAAAATACTGGGATTACAGGTGTGAACCACTATGCCTAGCCCTGGCAATGACGCTTTCCAAAATATAAAATTGTGTAATCACAAAGAGGAATTAAGCAGGTGAGCTTCAACAGAAGTCTTAGCAGGTACTAGGAATTAAAGGAGGAGTGCTGAAAAAGTAACAATAAGTGAAAATGCAGGGTCAGGCACAGTGGCACAGTGGCTCAGGCCTATAATCCCAGCACTTTGGGAGGCTGAGGTGGGAGGACTGCATGAGACCAGGAGCTGAAGACCAGCCTGGGCAACATAGTGAGATCCCATCTCTACAAAAAATTTAAAAATTAAAAAAAAAATAGCTATAAATTTTTTGTGAAAACCAATGTAAATCACATATAGGAAAAAGACTGGGACTGGGTGTGGTGGCTCACAACTGTAATCCCAGCACTTTGTGAGGCTGAAGGGGGTGGATCACTGAGGTCAGGAGTTTGAGGCCAGCCTGGCTAGCATGGTGAAACCCTGTCTCTACTAAAAATACAAAAATTAGCTGGTTGAGGTGGCCGGATACCTGTAATCCCAGCTACTCGGGAGGCTGAGGCAGGAGAATTGCTTGAACTTGGGAGGGGGAGGTTACAGTGAGCCAAGATCGTGCCATTGCACTCCAGCTTGGGTGACAGAGCAAGACTTTGTCTCAAAAAACAAGCAAACTGTCTGGGTGGGGTGGCTCACGCCTGTAATCCCAGCACTTTGGGAGGTTGAGGCAGGTGCATCATGAGGTCAGGAGATCGAGACCATCCTGGCTAACACGGTGAAATCCCGTCTCTACTAAAAATACAAAAGAGAAAAGAAAAAAAAATAGCTGGGCGTGGTGGTGGGCGCCTGTAGTCCTAGCTCTTAGGGAGGCTGAGGCAGGAGAATGGCATGAACCCAGGAGGCGGAGCTTGCAGTGAACCGAGATCGCGCCACTGCACTCCAGCCTGGGTGACAGTGAGACTCCAACTCAAAAAAAAAAAAAAAAAGAATTGCGTATTTGTTTGTTTTGAGACAGGGTCTCACTCTGTCATCCGGGAAGGAGTGCAGTGGCGCGATCTTGGCTCACTAGAGCCTCTGCCTCCTGGGTCCAAGCAATTCTCCTGCCTCAGCCCCGGAGTAGCTGGGATTACAGGTGTGTGCCACCACACCCTGCTGTGTTTTTGTATTTTTACTAGAGACGGGGTTTCACCATGTTGGCCAGGCTGATCAAGAACTCCTGGCCTCAAGTGATCCACCTTCCTCGGCCTCCCAAAGTGTAGGATTGCATGTTTAAAAAAAATCAAACCTCATGAATGAGACCAAAGCGTCTACTGGCGCACAGGAAAAGAACACCCTTTACTTGAAATTACCCCAGGGAAAACCCAGGCACAGCCTCCCCAGCCTGGCAGCCCCTGCCAGCCTGTACCTAGGGTGGGCGTGAGCGTCCACAGCTGGGAGAGCAGCCGGCACACCCCAGCCCTGCTCCCAGGGTGAGCCACGCATGCACCAGGCAGAGAACTCCTGGGCTTCCGGCTGCTAAGCCCCAGGGGCCCCAGCGTCACCTGCTCTCGTGCGTGGACTGAGCACCTACTGTGTGCAGGCCCTTCTCAGGGGTGGGAGGGAAGGAGTGGTCTCACCCTGCAGAGCTTTCAGGACAACTGAGGAAGTTTCCCAGGGTCCATGGGAAGTCTGAACCAAAAACTGCTTCCCAGTGAGTGGGACTCCTCACTTTGAGGGATTTGGGTTCTGAGCCAGTAGAGCAGGCAATGCAAGAGGATCCGATCCCACATCCAGGCTGCATGGCTCTGGGAGTCCTCCTGCCAGCACTCTCCACCAGGACCCCTGCTGCCCCTCAGAGCACCCCCCACCAGAGTATGCAGGGCCTCTTGAGCCCACTTGGGCCAGGAGGGCACCCAGGCCTGCCTTTCCCTGCCTGCCTGCTCTCAAGGGTTAAGCTAACTTTCTCCATTTGTGCTAACGTTTTCCATACATTCTTTATTTATTTAATTTTTTTTATTTTTTGAGACAGAATCTTGCTCTGTCGCCCAGGCTGGAGTGCAGTGTTACCGTCTCAATCTAGGCTCACTGCAACCTCTGCCTCCCGGGTTCGACTGATTGTCTTGCCTCAGCCTCCTGAGTAGCTGGGATTACAGGCCCGTGCCACCCCCCCGCCCCCACTGGCTAATTATTGTATTTTTTAGTAGAGACGGGGTTTCACCATGTTGGCCAGGCTGGTCTCAAACTCCTGATCCACCCACCTCAGCCTCCCAAAGTGCTGGGATTACAGGCATGAGCCACCACGCTTGGATTTCCATACATTCTGGCCATTGGGACGAGCTGTGCACCCAGGTGTCACATTCCCTGGGTAGCTTGGAGGATCACAGCCCCTCTGTTCAGGTGGTGGGACTGGGCTAGCCCATGCTGGTGTCCTGCTCCCAACACTAAACCTGGTTGTCTCATCCACGCAGGGCCCCCACAGGACCTCCAGTCCATGCAGGGCCCCCACGAGACCTTCTGGTCTGCACAGGGCCCCCAGAGACCAGGAAGGATCCCCTCGCTGGAATTTGAGTCCCAGCCTGCGAGTTGGGCCAGTGGCATTTGTTCTCCACGTGTGACTCTGTAAACAGCTTTCCCTCCTGGTTTCTGTCTTTTTTTTTTTTTTTTTTTTTCCGAGACATGGTCTTGCTCTGTTGCCCAGGCCGGAGTGCAGTGGTGTGATCTTGACTCACTGCAACCTCCACCTCCCGGGTTCAAGCAATTCCCCTGCCGCAGCCTCCCAAGTAGCTGGGATTACAGGCGCCCACCACCACGCCCAGCTAATTTTTTGTATTTTTAGTAGAGATGGGGTTTTACCATGTTGGCCAGGATGGTCTCGAACTCCTGACCTCAGGTGATCCACCCGCCTCAGCCTCCCAAAGTGGTGGGATTACAGGCGTGAGCCACCGTGTCTGCCCTGGTTTCTGTCTTGGGTGTGGTCCCCAAACTCTTAAGCACAGCCTCACACCTCCACCCAGTCATTCACATAGACCCTGGGGTGCGCAGAGGCAGAGGGTCACCCGCAGAGGAGCTGTCCGCATGTCCATGGCAGCCTCAGTGTGGCTTCTCTGCTCAGCCCAGGGTGTGGTGATTCCGTCACTGCTTTAAATGTGGGGTTCAGGAGGAATTCTGATATAACAGGGATGTCTCCACATGTCTTCCCTGCCTTAGCGTCTTGAGGTGTACGTGGAAAAACCTCTGGCAGGGCTCACTCTGACAGAGTCCCGGCCTCTGACATTGAATCACCCACAGTCTCTCTAGTTTATGTGGTAGGGTTCGGGATTTATGAAAATCAAGTACTAAAAAATGACTTCCTTGTCTCTTTGAATTCAACTCTGATTAATGTTTGATCCTATTTATTAACTTAAACCATGAAATTCCCTTAAGTATTTTAAATGGAATTAATATACGTCATATATTTGATTTTTATTTTCCTATATCAGTTGTTTGGCTAGCAAACAGACCTTCCAAGCATTTAAACAGTGCTTGTAAATCTAATAAATTAAGCTAAAAATATGAAGCACGTTTAATTCTCTGGATTTTAATATACTTTGTGAGCTTAGTAACATTTTTCTATTCCTCTTAAACTTAAAAAAAAAAATTGAAAACTAGGCCAGTTTCAGTGGGTCATGCCTGTAATCCCAGCACTTTGGGAGGCCTAGGCAGGTGGAACACCTGAGGACAGGAGTTCAAGACCAGCCTGGCCAACATGGTGAAACCCTGTCTCTATTAAAAATACAAAAATTAGCTGGGAGTGGTGGCACATGTGTGCCTGTAATCCCAGCTACTCCGGAGGTTGAGGCGGGAGAATTGCTCCCAGGAGGTGGAGGTTGCAGTGAGCCGAGATTGTGCCACTGCATTCTAGCCTGGGCAACAAGAGCGAAAGTCTGTCTCAAAAAAAAAAAAAAAAAAAATTGGAGACTAATATTAAAGAGCACAATCTAAAGTGTAGGGCTGGAATGAATGAATGAGCTCTCTAGGCGAGCAAAGCCTTTCAGGGCTGATGTCCCTCGGTCCCACGAGCCAGGCCTCCGCAGGCTGAGCACTGAGCGCTGTCTGTCTGACCAGAACATCATCCACTCGGGCAGTGCCCTCCTGGCCCCGGCCACCAGGGCAGCGTGGGAGCAGATCCAGCGGAGCGAGGGTGGCACGGCACAGCTGCTCCGGCGCCTCGAGGGCTACTTCAGCAATGTGGCACGCAACGTGCAGTGGACGTACCTGCAGCCCTTTGTCATCGTCACCACCAACATGAGTAAGGCACTGGCTGCGTTGGGGGTGGAGGCCTGCAACCCTCAGGGGTGCGCCCAGGAGCTGGGTCCCCATGGGTGGAGCAGGTGGGCTCCCGGCCCCCACTTGGCCATGCTCTTAGAAAAATGATTCAGAGGCTGGGCGCAGTGGCTCACGCCTATAATCCCAGAACTTTTGGAGGCCGAGACAGGCAGATCACATGCAGTCAGGAGTTGGAGACCAGCCTGGGCAACATGGTGAAACCCTGTCTCTACTAAAAATGCAAAAAGTAGCCAGGTGTGATGGTGCATGCCTGTAATCCCAGCTACTTGGGAGGCTGAGGCAGGAGAATCACTTGAACCTGGGAGGCAGAGGTTGCAGTGGGCCAAGATTGCACTATTGCATTCCAGCCTGGGTGACGGGGAGACTCTGTCAAAAAAAAAAAAAAAAAGCCGGGTGCGGTGGCTCATGCCTGTAATCCCAGCACTTTGGGAGGCCGAGGAGGGGCAGATTACGAGGTCAGGTGATCGAGACCATCCTGGCTAACATGGTGAAACCCCGTCTCTACTAAAAATACAAAAATTAGCTGGGCGTGGTGGCAGGCGCCTGTAGTCCCAGCTACTCGGGAGGCTGAGGCAGGAGAATGGCGTGAACATGGGAGGCGGAGCTTGCAGTGAGCTGAGATGGTGCCACTGCACTCCAGCCTGGGCGATAGAGGGAAATTCCATCTCAAAAAAAAAAAAAAAAAAAAAAAAAAGGTTCAGCAGCAAGGCCTCCATTTCCTCATCTGTAAATGGAGCCTTTGGGAAGACAGTCTGCAATGACACACCCATGGCTCCCAGGGGACAGGTCCTGGGCTTGGGAGATGTTAGGCCGTGATCTTGGGGGTTTGGCAGGCCTTCCAGACCCTCAGGTGTGAGACTCTAGAAGAGTGAGTGTCGAGGATCCTGCCTCACTTCAGGCTCACTGCAGACAGGTGTAGGTACACATGGGATGCAGGAAGTTGGAAGTCGCTTCTGTTCTAAAGATGGTTAGTCAACTGGATATGGCGGTTCACACCTGTAATCCCTGCATTGTGGGAGGCTGAGGTGGGCAGATTGCTTGAGCCCAGGAGTTCGAGACCAGCCTGGGTGCCATAGTGAGACCCCATCTCTATTTAAAAAAAAATTAGCCAGGTGTGGTGGCATGCTCCTGTATTCCCAGCTACTCAGGAGGCTAAGGTGGGAGGATCGCTTGAGCCCAGGAGGTTGAGGCTACAGTGAGCTGAGATTGCACCACTGTACTCCAGCCTGGGTGACAGAGTGAGACCCTGTCTTAAAAAATACATATAAATAAGTAGGCTGGGCACGGTGGCTCATGCCTGTAATTCCAGCACTTTGGGAGGCCGAGGGAGGCAGATCACTTGAGATCAAGAGTTTGAGAACAGCCTGGCCAACATGGTGAAACCCATTCTCTACCAAAAATACAAAAAATTAGCCGGGCATGGTGGTGTGTGCCTGTAATCTCAGCTACTCGGGAGGCTGAGGCAGGGGAACTGCTTGAACCCAGGAGGCAGAGGTTGCAGTGAGCAGAGATTGCACCACTGCACTCCAGCCTGAGCGACACTGTGAGACACCGTTTCAAAAAAATTAATAATAAAAAATAAATTAATTAATAAATATGTCCAGCCAGTGTCAGTGTGACAGTTGTGGTCATTTTGATAACAGCAAGGGTTCAAGAAAGCCCTGGGAGTGATGTCTGATTAAATGAACTGTCCCCCCAGTTCTTGCTGTCGACATCTTTGACAAGTTCAACTTCACGGGAGCCAGAGTCCCATGGTTCGACGCCATTCATGAAGAATTCCCCAGGGAGCTGGAGTCCTCCATCTCCTTCCCAGCCAACTTCTTCAAACCACCTGAAGAAAAAGGTAGAACCGCTTAGAAACCTGCTACTTCCCTTGGAGTCCCCAGCGTTCAGGGAGGGGAGGGCTCCCCCTGCGGGCATCCCAGGAGGATGAACACGCCATACTCCCTGCGCACTGAAGATCCGGGGCCGGAGTGTTCCGAGTGTTCGCTGGCACCAAGTCCTATTGGTGACAGCAGGTTGTTTTGTCCAAGTGCTTAGGTAGAGGTTGAGCATCCTAATCCTGAAATCTGAAATGCTCCAGAATCTGAACCTTCTTGAGCACCAACCTGACACTTAAAGGAAGTGCTCATTGGAGGGTAAGTATGAAATGATACTTTAAAATAAAAAAAAATCAAAATCCAGGCCGAGCACAGTGGCTCATGCCTGTAATCCCAGCACTTTGGGAGACCGAGGCAGGGGGATCACCTGAGGTCAGCAGTTCGAGACCACCCTGGCCAATGTGGTTAAACCCCGTCTTTACTAAAAAATACAAAAAATTAGCCAGCTGTGGTGGTGGGCACCTGTAATCCCAGCTACTCAGGAGGCTGAGGCATGAGAATCACTTGAGCCCAGGAGGCAGAGGTTGCAGTGAGCCAAGATGTGCCAGCCTGGGTTACAGAGTGAGACTCTGTCTCAAAAAAAAAAAGAATCCAGAATGTTCCCAAACATTTCAGTTAAGGGATACTCAGCCTTGTAACTGATAACTTGAGAAAGAAAAGAGAACTGAAATTTGTATGTGAGCTGATTGTCTTTGATGGGCAGTTGAACCCGTGAAGTTGAACTTGTCAAAGATGTTGACAGCAAGAACTGGGGGGACAGTTCCTTTAATCAGACATCACTCCCAGGGCTTTCTTGAACCCTTGCTGTTATCAAAATGACCACAACTGTCACACTGACACTGGCTGGACATATTTATTTATTTATTTATTTATTTATTTATTTATTATTATTAATTTTTTTGAAAAGGTGTCTCACAGTGTCGCTCAGGCTGGAGTGCAGTGGTGCGATCTCCGCTCACTGCAACCTCTGCCTCCTGGGTTCAAAGCTGCTTCTAGCTGGGCATGATGGCTCACGCCTGTAACCCTAACACTTTGGGAGGCCGATATGGGGAGGATCGCTTGAGCCCAGAAATTCAAGACCAATCTGGACAACATAGGAAAACCCCATCTATACTAAAAAAGTTTTTTTTTAAATTACCTGGGCATGGTGGCACATGCCTGTAGTCCAACCTACTCAGGAGGCTGAGGCGGGAGGATTGCTTTAGTCCAGGAGATGAGGCTGCAGTGAGTTGTGATTATGCCTCTACAGCCCAGCCTGGGCAACAGAGCAAGAACCTGTCTGGGTCGGGGGAGGCAGGGGAAGCTGATTCTAAATAGAAATAGAAATTTTAGACTCACCTTCCCTTCCCTGCAAGAAACAAACAAACAAAAACAAACAAGAATGCTGTCTGTGTATGTACAAATCTTCACTCCTGGGTTGAGATTATGATACAAAACAGTTTGAACATTCTGAACTTTCTTAAGGTGCTTTTTTTACAGATCTGTGACAATTACTAAAAACTTCCCCAAATAAAAAGGACATGAAAAGGTAAACTCCATAATGGACAGTTTAAAATTGGAAACCTTCTTAGTAAATGGATTTTGTCAGGTATATGGTGTTACCTCATGTGTCTTTTTTTTGTTTGTTTTTTTTTTTTGACAGAATCTCACGCTATCGCCCAGGCTGGAGTACAGTGGCGCGATCTCCGCTCACTGCAAGCTCCGCCTCCCGGGTTCACGCCATTCTCCTGCCTCAGCCTCCCGAGAGTAGCTGGGACTACAGGCGCCCGCCACCACGCCCAGCTAATTTTTTGTATTTTTAGTAGAGACGGGGTTTCACCGTGTTAGCCAGAATGGTTTCGATCTCCTCACCTCGCGATCCATCCGCCTCAGCCTCCCAAAGTGCTGGGATTACAGGCGTGAGCCACCGTGCCTGGCCCTCATGTGTCTTAAAAAGAGGGGTGACTCTGATGTGGGGTCATGCTTGAAACTGAGAGGACGAGGTCCCCGACCCTCCATTGCAGCCAGCTCTCTCTGGAACTAACAGAGTGAGAACTCGCTCATTACCAAGGGGAGGACACCAAGCCATTCATGGGGGACCCACCCCCATGACCCAAACAACCCCGACCACGCCCACCTCCAACCCTGATCACATTTCAACATGAGATTTGGAGGGGCCAGACCTCAAAACTGCATCAGATACATTCATGTTTAAGCAGTCCATCTCCAGAACTCTTTTCATCCTGCAGATCTGAAACTCTAGCCCACAAAACACCAACTCCACTCCCCAGCCACTGGTGCCCACCGTTGTTTCTGTCTCTGAATTTGACTCCTCTAGGGACCTCCCATAAGTGGAATCATACAATATTTGTCCTTTTGTGCTTGGCTTATTTCACTGAGCGTAATGTTCTCTAGGTTCACCTGTGTTGTAGCAAACGTCAGACTTTCCCTCCTTTTGAAGGCTGAGTAATATTCTGTTGTGTGGATGGAGCACGCATTGTTTATCCACTCACCTGTTGACGCATGCCTGGGTCGTTTCCACCTTTCGGCCTGTGTGAATGGTGCTGCTCTGAACAGGGGTGAAGACGTATCTGGGCGTCTGCTTTCAGTTCTTTTGGGTGTATACCCAGAAGTGGGCTTGCTGGGTCACGTGGTAAATCCTGTGGTTGATTTTTTGAGGACGCACCATACTGTTTTCGGTGGGACATCTGTTGGGTTTTGAGAAGCACCTGCTGGCACTGAGAGCTGTCTTGGGGAACACAGGTGCTCCTGCCGGAGTCCTCACGCTCTGCTCACGTTGCAGAAGGCCCCCTGGTAAGGCCAGCCAGCCGGAGGACCACCCCGCAGACCACACGCCCAGGGCCTGGCACCGAGGGGGAGGCCCCGATCAGCAGGTGAAAGCGACACCCTGATGACACTGGCTAGTTCACCTTCACTCTGGTCATCGTTTACTGTACCCCGGGGCAGCTCCCGCCTGAGCCCTATGACCCCAACCGCCGCAGCCTCTGGTAAGGCCTGGGTATGGGGCACATGGAGAGGGCCCATTCCAGAGGCTCCTAAGTCAAAAGAGATTCCACAAGTCAAAATCCTGATCCTGATCAAGCACAGGCCTTCACAGTGACATTTCACTGTGACCCTGGCCCAGAGACAGAGACCACTGTCCTGCAGTGTCCCTGGGAGGGAGGTTCTGGGTCTGCCACAGGACACCACACCCTGGAACATTGCACACCCTTTGCCTGGCCTTTTCCCAGTGTTTCTGTCAGAAATGCCCCCTCCCAAGCATACACCCCATCTTGTGCCCCGAGGGACTCGATTCTCTCCCCACACACCCGACCCGAGGCTGTCATGGGTAGTGCCTGCTGCTGGCCCCAGGGTTAGGGCTGCTCAGCCAGTCCTGGCTGGAAAGGATGAATGTCCCACAAGCAGCTTTGGGGCCTGCTTGGTGGGAGCAGCCCGAGGATCCGCCCTTCGTCCTCCTGCCATTTCCCACTTCCCTGGCTCTGGGGTCCTCATGTTCACGTGGTTCTCAGTGACTGGGTGATTGACCCCCATGAGCTGTCATTATTTTGGTGTCTTTTGCTGGACATTTAAGCCATTCCTTGTGTTTCTGCCATTAGCTATTATGGGCTGTAACATCTTTGCACCTGTGCCTTCTTTCTTTTTAAATTTCTGAAGTCCTAATTTGACCCAAAGGTGACACATCTCCCTGTGTGCCCTGTCAGTGATGAAACCTGCTCTGGGGATGAAGATGCCGTGGGGCCCACAGATCCAAGCTCTCGGAGTGTGATTCTGTCTCCCCTAGAAACACATCCATGGCATGTCCTCAGGGCATTTGTGCATGGGATTAAGCAAATGTTTCCTAATCATGTTTGTCCCTGTGCTCTGGCTTCTTGACCTCAGGCTGCCTCACTGGCCCATCATTAATACGTCGATGGTGAGCGCACTGGTGTACAGCGAGGGGGCTCCACTTCCGAGACCCCTGGAGAGGCCCGTCCTGGTGGAGTTCACCCTGCTGGAGATGGAGAAGCGAACCAAGCCTGTCTGTGTGTTCTGGAACCATTCCCTGGCGTAAATGTGATGCCGGGAGTTCTGCATCTTCATGTGAGGGCTTTGCCAAGACACAGAGAACCCGCAGGGTTGTTGGCTCAGCGGCAGATCGTCCCACGGGGACAGTCTCTTGTGGTCTGTGTCTCCCCCTTCAGCCCCCTGTGGGGCAGTGAGCCTCCTGCTCTGCTTCTGTGGGTGCATCAGAGCCCCCCCAGATGCCCACACGCAGACGCGCACAGGCCTGCACGTGGAAACACAGACATGCGCACACGCAGGCCCACACACAGACGCACACAGAGCTGCACGTGGAGACACGTGCGCACACGCAGGCCCACACGCAGGCCCACACACAGGTGCACGCGGACCTGCACGTGGAGACACAGATGTGTGCACATGCAGGCCCACACACAGGTGAGCGTGGACCTGTGTGAACAGATGCGCGCAGACCTGCACGTGGAGACACAGACATGCAGGCGCACAAAGAGATCCCTCAAGGCTGACACCCAGGAAGGGGCCTCTCACTTGTGGGACTCCCGAGATGCAGTGGCCAACACGAGTGTAGTGCCCAGTTCACTGCTGGATAAGACAGAGGCCTGTTCTGGTCACACATGGGAGGCAGAACCCAGAGACTGGGCCCAGGAGCCCTTCTGCTGACAGTGGGAACTCCCAGCTACGTGTGGGGGTCCCCATACCAGACAAAGGTCCCTGACCTTAGTCTTGCCCGAGAGGCCGACACAGCCCAGCTTTGGGGTCTGGCTTTACCCACAAGAGGCCACACCTTGCCACAGCACTGTTTATCTGGCCTGTTTCAGAAGCACCGTCAGAGTGGCGAAGGCAGGAGGTGGTGCACGAGAGTCTACGTTCTAGCATCCATTCAAGTGAGGGAAAGGCGTTTCGTACTTAGAAAAATGCAAAATTAATGATTCTCACCCACACATGAGACTGTGGATTCACCCATGTATGAGATAGTGGATTCAGAGCCATGCTGTGGCTCTCATCTGCTGGGAGCCAGTAGTGTTTGTGCTTTGGTTTTGCTTTTTTAGCTACATGGTTTATGTGAGGTGCGGACTTACTTGAGTTGCTCTGTCTTTACAGGGAGCTTGCTTTTTCTCTGCTGGTTTGTTTTCACTTTTGCTGTCTCTGTTTAGAAGAAAACATTAGAACTGGGGTGTGGTGGAAGGATGGGAGCACAATCTGGGAGGGGAAGACCTGCTCTCTCTCCACATACCAGGAGGGAGTGGCAGGAAGGGGAGACACTGTGCCGGACTCAGGGAGTCAAGAGCGTGAGCACCCCCAGGCTTCAATCTGCTGAACGTTGTGCATCTGGGGGCGCCCGTGCAGCAGGAACACTCTCCCCATCACAATTCCTCTGGGCACAGTGGAGAGCCATGAGTGGGGGCTGTCCTGGGGGCTGCGCTATGGTGAGTGAGCCCACGCCAGGAGCCAGTTCAGCCCAGCCTCATTCTTCTCCTGCTTCTTTGCTTTCCAAGTTCTAGTTCATAAGCAACCAGCACAGTACCTGGAATGTAAGAGGCGCTTGGCTTATAAAAGAGAGAAGAAAGGAACCCCTTTCACCACGAGGGACGTCAGGCCCAGCTCTCTGTCCCGGGCATTCATCTTTTTTCCGGCAATTAGCTTCAGCTCTAATGACCTGCTGTCTGCTTTATGTTGCACCTATGATTTCCAGATTGTAAAGTTTGTGGCAAATGTATTAACGTTCACATCCCATTTACAGATTAGCAAACTAAGGATCTGAGAGGTTATGTGATTTTCCCAGTCTGGCGGAGGGCAGGGCCCTGTCAGAAGCCGAGACACACCTCGTAACAGCTTGTTATTTGGGGCTTCCCATCAGTGAGGCAGGAGTCATAATGGGGCCCTGGCTTCTGGGCAATTCCCATAAAACATTGTGCCACCTGAAGATGGAAGTGTCAGAGGAAGGCGAGATGTTATTTCTGAAAGCATCTACCCTCAGAAAGAGACAGAGGAGTGCATCGCAGCTGTGTGAACCCGGGGTGGTGGTGGTTCCAGCAGCGGGGCACGTGGTGGACGCAAGACGGCCCCGTTTGAGTTTTGCTGCTAGGTGACATGTAGAACTTGAACTTCAGAGGGTGCTCCTTGGAGGCCCTGATGAGAGAGACACAGAAGGGAAGGGAGACTGTTCCCATGGTCCTGCCTCTGCGGCAGCGAGCCTGCTGCTCTTGCAGCTGGGTGGCTGTTCGGTGCAGGGGGCCGGTGAGGAACACGGTGGGGAGCAGCCTGCGAGGGCGCCGGGCTTTCAGCACTCACTATACCTGCTGTTTGGTTTGGCCAGGATGGCCTGGGAGTCCCCAGGGCCGGGCAAAGACTGCCCCCAACAGACATGGGCGGAGGGAACCGTCTCACCCCTGCCTCTTCTCCCTTCTCTACGCAGTGTCAGTGGGACGGGAGGGTGGTCTGCCCGGGGCTTCAAGCTCCTGTCCAGGAACCGGACCCATGTCGTACGCCAGTGCAGCCACACGGCCAGCTTCGAGGTGCTCATGGACGTCTCCAGGTGTGAGATGGGCATCTTCTTGTGGCCACTATGCCCGCTGAGCCTACCCCCAAACCTGCCCCTCCTCAAACTAAATCTTCCATTCTAAGCGCTTTGAACGAAGCAAATCAACCAATTAAAAAAATATATTCCAGGATTGGCCAGAGTCTGTGAAGATTTCCATAACAAATCCCCGTTACAAGGGTTTTCAGAGAGCCCTGGTTGTGCATTAAACCCCGCGATGGCAAACCCAAAGCTCAGGCTCTGAGGAGCTCTTGGAGTCTGCCCCTCGCTTCAGAGATGGTCTGTGCGAGGGTGCCGCTCTCCTCCCGCTTTGATCATAAGGAAGGTGACAGCTGCTGGGGACGGTAGGCACTCTCCCTCAGGGCCACAAGCTGGGCTGCAGGATAAAAGACTGGGCGGCTAATGTTTAACCTCTGGCATTTTAAGCGGCCTGGGAGTGTGAGCCGGCCATTGTGGGCCTGCAGATGAACTGGGGAGTGGCCCGAGTGCTGTCCTCGGCAGGACAGTGCTATCCAGCCAGGAAGTGGGTGGCAGCCAGCCTGGGAGTGGCCTATGTGGGACCCTCCTGTCTAGGAGTCAGAGCCAGAGGCCTGGGTGGCCTCCCCTGGCCCCTCCCCAGGGCTGCGCTGTAGCTCAAGGGCCCAGGCCACCATCCTTCCCGAGGGCTTTCTGATGTGAAGTGGCCCTGGTTTCTGTCACAGTCTTGGAAGGGTGAGTCAGCCCTGGGGCAGGGCTGGAGGAGGGCTGTGGCTTCCTGTACAATGTGCGGGGGAAGCTGTCCCACCTGTGCCCCCATCTCATGGGCAAATGGCACTCCCCAGCAGGACCCAGCCTGGAGAGGGGTTCAGTGATTAGTGGACTTTGTTCATAGAAGGGCAGGGTTGGGGGTTGTCTCGTGGCCAGGACGCCGGGCAACATGTGGGCCAAGGAAGCTGAAATTGAGGCGGAAGGAAGGAGGCTGGAGTGGGAGTCCGAGGCTCCCATGGCCTGGGTGCCCCAAAGTTAGCGGTCTCTGAACAGCCCTGAACCAGTGGAGGGAGACTGGGGTGCTGCTCCTGGCCCCAGGGATGTCCAGGGCCCGGGCATTGAAGGGACCTCAGAAGGGGCAGTTCCAGGCCCAGGGCTGTGAGCACTCGGCCTCCCCAACCCAGCCAGGTCTTGGCTTCCCAGCTCCTAGTTCCACATGGTAAGCAACGCCTTCCAGAAGTTACCAGAGAACCAGAGCTTGTTGTTCCCCAAATGCAGAAACTCCCCAGGGACCTGGGTCCTGGGCAAGTGTCCTGGTTTGTAAAAGCACAGGAAACACAGCAATGTGAACCTACACACTGCTGAACTGTACGCTTCAAAGTGTCCAAGATGATATGTTTTATGTCATGTATATTTTAGCACAATTTTCCTTTTTTTGTTTTTTGACACAGTTTTGCTCTTTTCGCCCAGGCTGGAGTGCAGTGGTGAAACCTTGGCTCACTGCAACCTCTGCCTCCTGTATTCAAGTGATTCTCTTGTCTTAGCCTTCCAAGCAGCTGGGATTACAGGCTGCAACCACCATGCCGAGCTAATTTTTGGATCTTTAGTAGAGACGGGGTCTCACCATGTTGGCCAGGCTGGTCTCAAACTCCTGACCTCAGGTGATTGACCTGCTTCGGCCTCACAAAGTGCTGGGATTACAGGTGTGAGCCACTGTGCCCAGCCTGTTTTTTAAAGACATGTTCACTGCCTGTAAGAAATGCATAATAAGGTGGGGTGTGGTGGCTCACACTTGTAATCCCGGCACTTTGGGAGGCCGAGGTGGGCAGATCATTTGAGCTCACAAGTTCGAGACCAGCCTGGGCAACATGGCGAAACCCTGTCTCTACCAAAAATACAAAACTTAGCCAGGCATGGTGGTGCATGCCTGTAGTGCCAGCTACTTGGCAGGCTGAGGTAGGAGGATGACTTGAGCCTAGGAGGCAGAGGCTGCAGTGAGCCAAGATTGTGCCTCTGCAACAGAGCCAGACCCTGTCTCAAAAAAAAAAAAAGCATAATAAGGGATCTGGAATTTAAAAAATAGGTCCATATAACAAGCTATAATAGAGACGTGCAGCTGGCACAGGACATCCATCCACTGGTGATAATGATAGAACACGTCATATTGCACGATAGTAGGAAAAACAGGACAGATGGGAAGGGTGCGGATGACCAGCGCCGTAGCAATCTGAAGCATCGAGCCTGCCAGTCCACATAACTGAAACCTGAAGCTCTGCCCCTGCCCAGCTCTGTGACTTCCAGCAAGTTGTTTAGCTTCTTTAAGCATTGATTTTCTCACCTGGAAGATGAGGGTTGCATTCACACTCTCTTCATAGCTGTGACCTAAGGATGATATGAAACGACGCCCTTGGCAGATCTATCAGAACCCCTACCACATAATAAGTGCTCAGTAAAAGGTTTTGCTGAACAAAGGAAATTACATTCATGTTGTATTACCACAATTACCCACTTTCTTTATAAAGCGGTAGTAAGTCTTTCAGCCAAAAGAATAAGTCCATGATGGGATTAAGTGAAAGTCCAAGAGGTACTGCATGCACCTAAGGTGGAGATGTGTTTATCTTTTGCATAAGCTGGGGATGTATTTGGAAGGTTTCTGCTAGCCCAGAATTTGGGTGGACAGGCTGAGCCCCTCCCAACAGCAGGATTCACCTATGGGGTTGGTTTTGGGTAGACAGGCTGAGCCTGCCCCATGGAACTGTAGGGGCTTACGAAGGCATTTCGTTTGGGGAAGGAGCTCATCCAGGAGGACTGGGATCTCTGGTTATATGTGACTTCTGACCTCTGGGCATGGAGGTCTCTCTCCAGAGGCCCAGGCCTGGACACGAAGGGAGAGAGGCCTCCATTGTCCCACAGGGGCCGAAATGCAGACGGTGCATCCCCGGTGCCCTGGGGAACCCTTCTCTGATCATCAGGATTCTCTTGGACTCCGGGGTCCTTGTCCTGCTCAGGCATCCCTGCCCTGCTGTCCTTCAGGGCCCTCAACACGATCTTCTCTGGACACGAGTCTGGGGATAGCCGGGTGTTGTGGGCTCCAAAGGGTTGACTCCTTGCTCCTGGGCCCCACAGAGAGTCCTTGTGCTCAGTGCACTGGCTGTGCTGCAAGATATCCTGGAATTCGAAGCACACAGTGCTGGCTTGCTGTGGTACCTGTGCAATCAAATTGAAGGCAAGATCACCAGGAAGGAACACAGGGCTTGCAAGATCACGGAAAACCTTCTTGGAGTTGTTTTGACACACCACTCATGTCAAGTGTCTGGGTACTTGTAGGATGGCCCGCCACTCCACCCAGGGGCAGGAGCAACAGGGAGATCCCACAAGCAAAGTGAACTGGGGGATGGGGTGAGTGGGCTCCAGGCAACAGAGCCCTACTGGCAGGTCCTCACCCCCTGGGCCGGAACTGGAGTGAGGGGCACAGAGTGCCCAGGTAACCGCTCCTGGGAACAGTGGGGAACTGTCAGATGCTCGAACTTTCGAGAGCTGGGCTCTGAGCGTCCTCGTGGAGCTGCCAACTCGGCCAAAGGAGAAGCGAGCAGTTTCTTCTGTTGCCGGGCAACACGCCTTTTAAACCTGAGCGAGTGGGTGCGCATGCAAAGAACGGGCGCGAGTGACAGAGCGACCTTAACGGATTAGCACCTTAACGGATTAGCACCTTAACGGATTAGCGTGGCAAGGTATGCAAGCAAGTCACCTGCTGGCAATTTGGGGGTGGGGAGGGGGAGGTGCGCAATACATACTGGAAGGAGAGGCACCCACACAAAGGACGCAGGAAGAACAGGTGCGCACAAAGGCACAATGGCGGCAGATCTGCCCGTGGATCACTGAAGATTCCTGCTCTCCTGCTGAGGTGGAGATTGCAGTGAACTAAGATCACACCATTGCGCTAGAGCCCGGGCGACAGAGCAAGACTTGGTCTCAAAAAATAAATAAAATAAAATAAGTACAATAAAATAACAAAACAAAACAAAGTAAGAGGAGATGATATCTGGTCGTGTTTTATGGCCATCTGGTAAGCTAGATTCTTTCCTTTGGTTTTATTGCCAATCAATGATTAGAAAGAAGCAGTTTGCTGTTGGCTTGTTTTTCCCCTCAACTAAATGTAAGAAAAAAAAAGAGTCAAAAATACCGAAGCTAATTTTAAAATGTATGTATAGAGAGAGACTTGGTCTTACCTTGTCATCCAGGCTGGAGTGCTGTGGTGCCATCACGGCTCAGGGCAGCTTCGACCTCATGGGCTCAGGCAATCCTTTCACATCAGTCGACCAGATAGCTGAGATTACAAATGTGGGAAACCACACCCTGCTAATTTCTTGTATTTTTTGTAGAGTCGGGGTTTCACCTTGTTGCCGAGGCTGGTCTTGAACTCCTGGGCTCAAGCAATCTTTCTGCTTCTGCCTCCCAAAGTGTTGGGATTATAGGCATGAGCCACCATTCCCGCCGAAATATTTTTGAGATTCATAGAGATGAGTAGGTCATAATAAGAGTGCACAACTTGTAGTTATATTTAATATCTTTTGAAATTACTCGGCACCCCCATTGTAATTTAAATGATTTGTTCCTGACCTGGTTTTACTTTGTTCCTGAGGGTTGCAGATCCCTTGAACAATATTCCACGAATGAAGCAGTGATAATAAACCTGCAGCTGCCCCGAGGGGGCGCTGTGCGGAGGTTCACAAAGGGACCTGGGTCTCCCTGGTGCGGATGCGGGGGCCGCCTCCATTCTGCTTTCTGACACTGCCACCGCGGGGCCAGGCTTGATGTGACCCCATCACTGCTCAGTTCACTACACAGTTTCATCTTTTGATATGGAAGATTTGACTCCATCCACGTTCCTTAGGAGGTTACTGGAAATGACAGCGCTGTAAATTTCTGGGTAAATGAGCAGCCAACATTTTTGGGAGCTGTCACACAACCACACTGCCCTTCCCTCTGCCTGAAAACCTTTAGGCCTGATTGACTCGGAGAAAGCCCATTAAACTCAGCCCCCACTGACTTGTTCATTTCCACTCAAACGTTTGTGATAGTCCCAACACAAGGCTTGTCCTCCAAGGGACAACTTGTAAACACTTCTAAGAGAAAGGGTTGACTGGGCCCGGTGCCTCACACCTGTAATCCCGGCACTTTGGGAGGCCGAGGTGGGCAGATCACTTGAGGTCAAGAGTTTGAGACCAGTCCATGATCTTGGCTTGAAGAGGCAAGACCCTATAGTTTATTGAACATTTTAAGCCCACTCCTTGATCCATGAGCCGCAGAATGGATGTTGTATTAGCAAAAATGAAAACAACATTAATCTCCTTGTATCATCATTAGAGCTCCTGGCTGACTGGTTACATTGTCAATCAACAGTAATATTTTGAAAGGAACAGTGGGCTTAAAATGTTCAATATGCTGTCAACAGATGTGCTGTCATCCAGGCTTTGTTATTCCGTTTATAGAGCACAGGCAGAGTAGATGTAGCGTAACTCTTAAGGGCCCTAGGATTGTGGGACTGGTGAATGAGCACTGGCTTCCACTTAAAGTCACCAGCTGCTTAGGCCCTAATGAGAGAGACAGCCTGTCCTTTGAAGCTTTGAAGCCAGGCATTGACTTCTCCTCTGTAGCTATGAAAGTCCTAGATGTCATCTTTTAATAGAAGGCTGTTCTATCCACATTGAAAATTGTCATTTAGTGTGGCCACCTTCATCAGTGATCTTAGCTAGATCTTCTGGGTAACTTGCTGCAGCTTCTGTATCAGCACTTGCTAGCTTCGCCTTGCACTTATATGTTATGGAGATGGCTTCTTTCCTTCAATATCGTGAGCCAACCTCTGCTAGCTTCAAACTTTTCTTCTGCAGCTTCATCACCAATCTCAGCATTCATAGAATTGAAGACAGTTAGGGCCTTGCTGTGGATTCAGCTTTGGCTTAAGGGAATGTTGTAGCTGGTTTGATCTTTTATTCAAGGCAGGAAAACTTTCTCCATATCAGCAATAAGGCTGTTTTGCTATCTATCATTTGCGTATTCACTGGTGTAGCACTTTTAATTTCCTTCAAGAACTTTTCTTCTGCATTCACAACTTGGCTAACTGGCCTAGCTTTCAGCCTTTTGGCTTTTGCCGTGCCTTTCTCAATTCGCTTAAGCATTTCTAGATTTTGATTTAAAGTGAAAGATGTGGGAGTCTTCGTTTTACTTGAATACTTAGAGGCCATTGTAGGGTTACTAATTGGCCTAATTTTAATATTGTTATGTCTCAAGGAATAGGGAAGCCCAAGGAGAGGGAGAGAGACAGAATGGCTAGTCAGTGGATCTTTCAGAACACACACAACTTTATAGATTAAGCTCACTGTCTTATATGGGCACAGTTCATGGCACCCCAAAACAATTACTATAGTAGCATCAAAGACCACTGGTAATACATCACCATAACAGTTATAATAATAATGAGAAAGTTTAAAATATTGCAAGAATTACCAAACTTGACCTAGAGACATTGAAGTGAGCACATGCTATTGGCAAAATAGTACTAACAGACTTGTTTGTTACAGGGTAGCCACAAACCCCCAATTTGTAAAAAACGCAGTATCTGTGAAGCACAAGAAGGTGAAGTACAATCTGAGGTGTATCTGTATTTTCTTCCACGTTGTTAGGTGTCTTCTTATAACCTAAGTTTTAGATTTTCCTAGACAATAACTTAAATAATTTTAGAACATTATAAATTACTTCTCCCTTGAAGGATTGCTTGTGGTCAGGAGTTTGAGACCAGCCTGGACAACATAGTGAGATCTTCTCTCTACTAAAATTTAAAAAAATATATAGCCAGGCATGGTGGCGATCCTCCCACCTCAGCCCAGCTACTTGGAGGGCTGAAGCAGGGGGATGACTTGAGCCAGGAAGTTGAGGCTGCTGTGAGCCATTATCACGCCACTGCACTCCTGCCTGGACAACAGAGCAAGACCCTGTCTCCAAAAAAAAAAATTACTTCCCCTTTGATTATAGAACTTTGTCACATATCAAGTTGATTAAATGAAGATAATTCAAGCATTAAGTAATTATTTAATGCTTTTTGTGTTCTTCTAGTTTGAGTTCTATGATTCTATGATCTTAAGATATTTACCTTAATATATAGAGAGACATATATATTAATTATTATATAACACAAATCAATTATTTCAATTAATAATTTGAAGTTTTTTTCCATTTACTTGGTACTTAGAATGCAGGGGGAAATATGATATAGGATGGTTAGTCATACATAAGGAAAATTCTTTTTGTACACTTGACAGTCTTGGCTACATACCCAATTCTCTGCTTTTTTATTTCCTATGGACACTTCTTTGATGATATATATGTATGGCTTGGGGGAGGCGGTTGGCTTTTGTTTCCTGTGAGACAGATATCTAAGTTCCATAGATATCTGTTCCTTCCCTTTAGAAGCAAAGAGGATACTGGTTCTTTTATTTCAAGATCTGTAAGTTAAAATTGGACAGTCTGAAATGCATAATCTTTTTCTTTTTTGAGACGGAGTCTCACTGTCACCCAGGCTGGAGTGCAATGGTGCAATCTCGGCTCACTGCAGCCTCCACCTCCCTCCCAGTTTCAAGTGATTCTCCTGCCTCAGCCTCCAGAGTAACTGGGATTACAGGTGCCTACCATCATGCCTGGCTAATTTTTGTATTTTTAGTAGAGACGGGGTTTCTCCATGTTGGCCAGGCTGGTCTCGAACTCCTGACCTCAAGTGATCCGCCTGCCTCAGCCTCCCAAAGTGCTGGGATTACAGGCGTGAGCCACTGCACCTGGTCTGAAATGCATAATCTTTTAAAACTGAAAGCCATTTCTAATAGTGTTCTTAATTTGTCAAGAATCGTATGAGAAGTGCCAGTGCCCTTTGCCTGTCTAGCTATAAGTGGATTATCATGCCCACCCTTTGGAGCCAGCAGTTTTGGTTCAGTCCTTTGGTCTCTGACTACTCACAGTCTGCAGGAAAGAGCAGGTTGTGACACTTGACTAGTTTATGAGAGCAGAAGCTGTTACGTGACACTTAGCACATACTGCTCTCAGAGGCCCCAGATGGATCATTAATGCTCGGAACGTGCGTGCTTTATGGAGAAACCGCCTAATCAACGGAGGTAGATTCCCTAATACCCATATCATCTTTCGTTAACTCTCTTAAGAGTCACCCTAAAATTACTGTGCTGACGATCACTGTATTTCATTAAGTATCCATTACAAAACAAGCCCTTATGAGTTTAGCTTTTATTTAACAAATACATTGTTCTCTTCTAACTTGTGCCTTTTATCATCCGTTGAAGCTTTAGAATAGTAGAATGTTCATGCTGAAAACGTCTTGGCATTCTGGTTTATTATCAGGTTTACAGATCTGGGACTGAAACCCGCACAAGGATAAATGGCTGCCTCAAGGCTATCTTGTGAGTCCAGGGCGTTATGTAACCAGCTTTCAGTACTATTGCTTTAAGGGTTGCATCTTCCTTTTTTTCTATTTTTAAAAAATCAGTGCCTCTGTTTATACACAATTATGTTTTTAATTTAAATATGCAGCTAACTGTAATAATTTTTAAGTGCTTATCATGAGAAGGGGTAATCGAGTTCCCATTTCCTTATCTCTAAAATTTCGCTGTCCAGAGACAACCATTTTTAATTTTTTTAGCTGTTGTCTTTAGGGATTGATGGTACTAGATTGGTAATACAAGAATAACCAACCGGAATAGAGAAGATGTTTATACATTCAGTAAACTTTTCTTTGGTTTTAGATTTTTCTGTCTATGAGCTTTAGTTGCGTTATTGTTTTCTTGCTCTGGAAAACCCTAACTGAATGCAATCAAGATGCCTCTAAAGGTTCAATTGAGAGAGCTTTATTTTGAATGAAAAATCTCATTGTTTTTTGATGAAATGCTAGACTTAGAAATGGATTGGTTAAATCTGAAGAATAATGAAACCACTTAATCTAGTATAAAATACTTTTAATAAATGAACAGAAGATTTTAGTGCTGCCTGAGGTCATTTAATCTCAGATTGACATTGAGAATGCAGCTTTATTGGGGGATGTACTTCATGAATGTGTGGGCCACAGAAGAAAAGATTGGCTGTTTCTTGCTGGAGATGAGTGGAATCAAAAGAATTAATGGGCTGGAATGGTTTAGCAGGCATATATTTATGTGTTATGCTTTGCTTGCATTCTAAGCTTTTTTTCCTAATATAAAAGTTAATAATTTGTCAACTAGTAACCTCTGTGTCAGGTAGTGTGCTGAGTGTTTAAATAGAAGTTAGGGAATAAAAATAGTTTCTATTCTCAGGAAGTTTATGGACTAGTCAGTAAAAAATACATCAGTAATTAAAACTCAGTAAATTAAAACTTTTGTTTATGGTTATAACAGAATATCAGACCAAATCTCTGATGAGACTACTGTAAAAACTGTTTAAAATACAAAAACAAATATCTTTGATGGCACTGGGGACTAACCAAGGCAGCCAGGTCAAATTTGGCAGGAGCCAAAATTGTAGAGAAAAATCCTATTGAGTTGAGCCCGTATGTACCCCTGCTTTTTTCCCTTAGGGTGGTGGCTAACTCTACACATGGGGTGGAGACCAGACAAAGCAGTGGTCCAGAGTTTGTTTCATAACCACTGAGTAGTGGGAGTAAAACTTGAATTGAGGGATTCTAAGGCAGCCAAGATTTGAGGGTCCAAGATCCTAGGAAAAAGACAACCTCAAGAGTAATGAACTCAGTCAACATGGTGGCACATGCCTCTAGTCCCAGCTACTCAGGAGGCTGAGGCAGGAGGATTGCTTGAGCCTAACAGTTCAAGATTACAGTGAGCTTTGATCACACCACTACACTCCAGCCTGGGCAACACAGTGAGACCCTATCTCTTTGGGAAAATAGAGAGAGAGAAAGAGGGTAGTAAACTCAATATTTGACTTAGCTTTTGCTGTTAAGGTATTTTTCAAAGTCAGAAGGAGAAATTCAGTAGAAAGCTATTACCCAAGCCTAAAAAACGTAAGCACAGTTTTTGTTCTCACAGGAGTAGGTTGACAAAAAATTAGATTTCAAGGCCAGCCAAAGAGGAATGACAATGGGAAATACTCCAGGCCTTCGGCTGAGACCTCAGAAGAATTATGACCTACAAATAAAGGTTGACCAGAAGTTATCAGCTTGAAATCCAGCTTCAAAACTTTGATTGGATCAGGGTGATCAGCCCTTATTCTAGTTACCTGCCAGAAGAAACTTAGCCCCTATACTCTTGGAACATACTATCCTGCATTCCATCAAAATACCAGGCATGGCCAGGCGCAGTGGCTCATGCCTGTAATCCTGGCACTTTGGGAGGCCAAGGTGGTAGGATTACCGGAGGCCAAGAGTTCAAGACCAACCTGCCCAACATAGTGAGACCCTGTCTCTATAATTAATTAATTAATTAAATACCAGGCATGCCAATAAGCACGATCAAGTGAATGAAAATCAAGAGAAAGAATGAGTAACAGAAAGAACTTGAGGTGATCCAGATATTGGAACTCTTAGATAGGCTTTTAAAATAACCGATTTATGAGTTTAAGGAAACAGATGAAGAGATAGAGAGTTTTACCAGAGAACTGGAATCTATAAAATAGAATCAAATGAACATTTTATTTTATTATTTTATTTTATTTTTTATTTTTTGAGATGGAGTTTCACTCTTGTCACCCAGGCTGGAGTACAATGGTGCAATCTTGGCTTGCTGCAACCTCCGCCTCCCAGGTTCAAGCGATTCTCCTACCTCAGGCTCCTGAGTAGCTGGGATTACAGGCACCTGCCACCAGGCCCAGCTAATTTTTTTTTTTTTTTGTACTTTTAGTAGAGACGGGGTTTCGTCATGTTGGCCAGGCTGGTCTCGAACTCCTGACCTCAGGTGATCCTCCCAAAGTGCTGGGATTATAGGCGTGAGCCATGGCGCCTGGCCAAATGAAAATTTTAGGACTAAAAATACATTAGCTTGAGTTACAAACTCCCAAGCATGTGTTTCACAACCACTCAACACGGAAAAGATTTGTGAATTAGAGGACTGATCAGTAAGAAATATCTACAGTGAAGCACCGAGAAATGAAAGGATGAAAAAAATACAGTGTAGTGGAGACACAGGACATAATAGAGGGGTTAAGACACATACAATTGGGTTATACTAAGAGAAAAGAGAGGGCTAGGAGTGTCATAAGTGCTAAAAGTCAAGGACAGCAAAAAAAATCTTTAATTGCTAGAGAAAAAAGATACTAGGTTAAGAGGAATAATAAGATTGGCAGCCGATTTCTCAATAGATAACAAAAAGAGGATTTGTCACCAGCAGGCCCATTCTGAAAGAAAAAGGAAGTTCTCGTCGCAGAAAGAAAATAATACCAAAGGGAAACAAAATTTCAAGAAGGAATAAAGAACAGTGGAAGAGTAAATATGAAGGTAAATATATATGAATATTGACTGCAGTGTAATAAAAATGTCTTATTTAAAGATACATGCAGGTTTAAAGTTTAAGATAAAATGGTTCAAAAGTTAGGAGGGGGCAGTAAATATAATTAAGGTGTTGCAAGGTCTTTGAATTGTTCAGAAGGTTAGGAAATTAATTTGTCGTAGACTCTGAGTAAGTGAAGGGCTGCACATTGTAAATCTCTAGTCCTACACGCTGCTACAGTTGACATTCATTGCACGGAGTTACTGAGAACTCAAATGTGACTATTCTGAATTGAGATGTGCTGTGATTATAAATAAACACCAGATTTTGAACACTTAGAAGATTTCATATAGAAAAATAGAATGTAAAATGCTTCATTTAAAAAATACTGATTACATGTTGAAATGATCTCTTTTTTTTGAGACAGAGTCTCGCTCTGTCACCCAGGCTGGAGTGCAGTGGTGCATCACGGCAGGCTCCACCTCCCGGGTTCACGCCATTCTCCTGCCCCAGCCTCCCAATTAGCTGGGACTACAGGTGCGTGCCACCACCCCCGGCTAATTTTTTTGTATTTTTAGTAGAGATGGGGTTCCACCGTGTTAGCCAGGATGGTCTCGATCTCCTGACCTCGTGATCCACCCGCCCCGGCCTCCCAAAGTGCTGGGATTACAGGTGTGAGCCACTGCGTCTGGCTGAAATGATCATATTTTTAATATGTTTGATTAAATAAGATACATTAATATATATTTTTAACTTTTTCAATGTGGCTACTATAATATTTAAAATCACATATTGTTAACAAAGTAATAAAAGAATGGAAAATAAGAGGCTAACAGAAGAGAAATGGAATATTAATACTTGATTAATCCAAAATAAGGCAGGAAAGGAGAGAAAAGGAACAAAGAACTAAGGGTACAGTAATAGATGTAAACCCAAATATGTAAAAATCACATTATAGGTAAATAGGCTGCATATTCCAGTTAAAAGACAAAGATTTTCAGATTAAAAACAATAGACCCAACCATAATTTTGTTCAAAAGACCCACTTTAAATAGAAAGACTGGAAGTAAAAGAGTTGGAAAAGATGTACTATGCGAGCACTAACCAAAGGACTGCTGGAAGAGCTATACTAATTTCAAAGCGTCATTTCTCAGAAAGAAATATTACTAGAGATAGAGATTGTCCGTAATGATAAAGGATTAAAACAATTACAATAGCCAAGGCACCCTTAGAAAACAATGTGGGAAGACTTCACGCTGCCCAGTAAGACTTTAGAGGCACGTAGAGCACATCATAAATTCATATGTATCTAGTAACGCAGCCCCAGAGAATATAAAGGGAAACTGATAGAACTAAAAGGCGAAATAGGCATATTTGGAAATTTTAACACATTCCTCTCATTAACGAATAGAAAAAGCAAATGAAATTTAGTAGAGCTACAGAACATGTAAGTAATGCTATTAACTACTTTGTCCTGACTGATCCATAAAACACTGCACCAGACAACAGCAAATTGCACATTCCCTTTGTGTGTGTGTGTGTGTGTGTGTGTGTGTGTGTGTGTGTGTGTGTGATGGAGTCCCTCTCTGTCACCCAGACTGGAGGGTAGTGGCGTGATCTCGACTCACCACAACCTCTGCCTCCCGGATTCAAGCGATTCTCCTGCCTCAGCCTCCCGAGTAGCTGGGATTACAGGCATGTGCCACCATGCTTGGCTAATTTTGTATTTTCAGTAGAGACGGGGTTTCTCCATGCTGGTCGGGCTGGTCTCAAACTCCCGACCTCAGGTGATCCACCCGCCTCGGCCTCCCAAAGTGCTGGGATTACAGGTGTGGGCCACCGCGCCTGGCCTGCACATTCCTTTTAATTGGCCACAGTATATTCATCAGAATTGGCCACATGCACTCTCAAAAAATTTCAATGAATTAAAATCCTTCAGAGTAAGTTCTCAAAGTGGAGGGAAAAATGTGATCTAATCAAAGTGATGAACAAAAGCATTTGATAAAATTCAACACCTGTTTATTAGTTTCCAAAAAAACCCCCACAGAACAAATTTCTAACAAACTGGGAATAAAGGGACTTTTAAAAAGATGATAAAGGGTATCTACACAAAATAATATTTATAGTGGACATTAAGCCTAATGGTGACTTATTGAAAGCTTTCTTCCAGAGATGAGGAAAGAGACAAGACCCTGCTCTCATCACTTCTATTCAGTGTTGTATGTAAAGCTCTACTGGGAGACTGAGGCAGGAGGATCTCTTGAGGCCAAGAGTTCAAGACTCACCTGGGCAACATAGTTAGATGCCCATCTCTACAAAAAATTAAAAAATAAAGTTCTAGTCAGGGCAGAAAGGCAGAAAGAGAGATAAGAAGTATAATACTTGGAAAGAAAGAAATAAAATTCTATTTGCAGACATGATTATGATGTAGGAAATACTAACAAAGATGCATGTAAAATATGAGAATTAATAGCAAGTGAAAAAAATTTCAGGATCTAATTTTTATTAGCATTTAAAAAATAAAGTACAGTGGCCAGGCACAGTGGCTCACGCCTGTAATCCCAGCACTTTGGGAGGCCGAGGCGGGCGGATCACAAGATCAGGAGTTTGAGACCAGCCTGGCCAACATAGTGAAACCCTGTCTCTACTAAAAATACAAAAATTAGCCAGGTGTGGTGGCATGTGCCTGTAGTCCCAGCTACTTGGGAGGCTGAGGCAGAAGAATTGCTTGAACCCAGGAGGCGGACGTTGCAGTGAGCTGAGACTGCACCGTTGTACTCCAAAATGGGCGACAGAGCAAGACTCTGTGTCAAAAATAAATAAATAAATAAATAAAAATTATAGCCAGGCTTTGCTGTGCCTGCAGCAGATTAGACACAGAATGCCTCATTTTAAAAGCTCATAATACCAAGTGTTGGCAAGGAAGCAGAGAAACAAGAACACTTGCACCCTGCTGATAGGGCTCTAAACTGTTCTCGCCAGTTTGGAAAACATTGGCACTATCTGCTGAAGTTGAATAGTCTCCTTAAGAGTCAAAAGCTGGAAACAACCCAAATAATCATCAAGACATGAATGGACAAATGAATTGTGATATATAAGGTATACAAAACAAGCAAAAAAAAAGAACAAACTGTTGCAACATGCAGCAGCGTGGATGAATCTCACACGCATAATATTGAGCAGAAGCAGCCAGATGCACGGGAGTCTGAACTATGATTCCATTTAAATGAAGCCAAAACAGTGGTGGGAATTAATCTATTATAATATGTCAGAAGAGTGGTTATCTTTAGGGGAATTGAGGGAGGCTTTCTGGGATTCTGATTACATTCTGTATCTTGATTTGGGGGAGGTGGCTACATGGTGTATTCACTTTGTGAAAATGCTTTTAGCTGTACTTATCATTTGGGTACTTCATGTATATTATACTTCAGCAAAAATTAATAAAAAATATTTTTGGTATTTTCAGGAATGTTGTTGCCCCAATTATCTGTGGTTCTGAGGTTTTTATGTCACATGTTTCTGATATTTTACTCTTCTTCATTTATTCCAGATGATTTATTAAGATCCATTAGATTCATTTTCTTTTCTATATAAAACAAATTATTTATAGTATAGTGTATTCGTTTTCTGTTACTATTGAAATTACTACAAATGTAGTGGCTAAAACAACACATAGTTTTCAGCTTAGAGTTGTGTTGGTTAGAAGTCCAGCATGGCTCTTACTGGACTAAAATCAAGGTGTCAGCAGAGCTGTGTTCTTTTCTCAAGGCTTTAGGGGAGAATCTGTTTCCTTGCCTTTTCCAGCTTATAGAGGCAGCCATGTTTTTTGGCTTGTGGCCCCTTCCTCCATCTTCAAAGCCAACAGCTGGTCAAGTTGTCACATTGCGTCACTCTGACCATAGGTTATCTGCTTTTAAGGTCTTGTGTGATTTGATTGGGTCCACCTGGACCATTCAGGATCATCTTCCTGTCCTTAAAATTCTTAATCACATCTGCAAACTCTCTTGCCATGTAAGTGAACATGTTCAGAGGTTCCAGAGAGTAAGACATCAATAGCTTATGGGGCTACCACAGATACCTTATACAATTATCTCCTGAAAGTTGAGTTTCTAGGATTTAGTTGTGTTATTTTTTTTTATAACTTGCATACCATACAACTCACCAAGTTGGACAGTTCAGTGGTTTTTAATGTATGCACAGAGTTGTGTAACCATCATCACAATAAATTTTAGGATATTCTCACCACCTCACAGCCCTAGGCAGCCACCATGGGTTTGCCTGTCCCAGACATTTCATGTAACAGGAATCATTTGTGGTCTTTTGTCACTGGCATCTTTCAGGTATCATTTTTTTTAGGTTCTTCCATGAGGCATGTGTTAGTACTTCACACCTTTCTATGGCTGAATGATTTTTTTTTTTTGAGACAGAGTTTCTCTCTTGTCACCCAGGCTGGAGTGCAATGGCGCGATCTCAGCTCACTGTAACCTCCGCCTCCCGGGTTCAAGCGATTCTCAGGCCTCAGCCTCCCAAGTAGCTGGGATTACAGACATGCACCACCACACCCAGTTAATTTTTGTATTTTTTTTTTTAGTAGAGACAGGGTTTCACCATATTGGCCAGGCTGGTCTCGATCTCCTGTCCTTGCGATCCGCCCGCCTCCACCTCCCAAAGTGCTGGGATTACAGGTGTGCACCCTGATAAGTGACAAGTGCTGATTAATTTGCATTTCTCTCATTATGAGTTAGGTTGATCATCATTTTCTGTATTTGTGTGTGTGTGTGTGTAAATTGATTGTGTGATTCATTCATTTTGCTCATTCTTCTGTCTTTTTTTGGTCTTTTTCCCTTCAATTTTAAACCATTTTGGATGTATTAGGGACCTTAAGCATTTACTTGTGAGATATTGCAAATATACTTTCCCAGTTTTTTATGTTTTTAAATTCTATTTATGATGGTTTTCTCGTCATGCAATAACATTTTCACTTTTTTTAATTAAAAGGATTTTTTATTTTTAAGATTTTAATTTTTATGTAGTCACATCGATCAAGTCTTTGTTTTACAATTTCAGATTTAAAATCGTAGTTAGAAAACCCTGGACTTTATATTTGATATGGTGTGAAATAGGTCTCAGCATTTATCTTTGCCCCCTTTGTGTATACACTTGACCTAGCACTATTTGCTGGAAGACTCTTGTTTTCTGCATTGCTGCTTTGGTTATAAAACATGTGTCTATAAATATGCAGCTTCTTCAGAGACTGTTTTACTAGTTTATTCTTGTGCCAGTGCTGTATTGTCTTAATTATTATAAGTGCAAAGTTTGTGATTTGGTGCCCTTGTGTATATTTAACTTTGTCATTACCCAAAGGCAAATTGTAACCAGAGAAGTGTGATGAGTAATCCACGTTGACATGACAATGGAGGGTGGTTTTCAATGTAATTATTATCAAATGAAAGAATATTTAACTTACGGAGGAAGAAAGATTAGTTCAAAGACAATTTTACTTTTATTAGCAGGATATAAAAGAAGATTGAAAATATAAGAATATGTTGAGTTTATTTACTGGCTAATAGAGGAGGGACAAATTGGCAGGAAAGTGGTATGACTTTCATTGTGTGACTTTTTGGCATCATAGTTGATGGCCAGTTTTTGTGAACAGAAACAAGTCTTAAAGAATATGAACAGGCCAGGCGTGGTAGCTCACACCTGTAATCCCAGCAGTTTGGGAGGCCGAAGCAGGCGGATCGCTTGAGGCCAGGAGTTTGAGACCAGCCTGGCCAACATGGCGATACCCTATCTCTACTAAAAATACAAAAGTTAGCTGGGCGTGGTGGCACACGCCTGTAGTCCAGCTACTCAGGAGGTTGAGTCAGAAGAATCGCTTGAACCCAGGAGGGGGAGATTGTGGTGAGCCAAGATCATGCCACTGCACTCCAGCCTCAGTGATAGAGTGAGACTTTGTCTCAAAAAAAAAAAAAAAAAGAAAGAAAGAAAAAGAAAAAAGGCTAAGCGCAGTGGCTCATGCCTGTAATCCCAAGCACTTTGGGAGGCCAAGGTGGGTGGGTCACCTGAGGTCAGGAGTTTGAGACCAGACTGACCAACATGGTGAAACCCCATCTCTACTAAAAATACAAAATTTAGCTGGGCGTGGTGGCGCACGCCTGTAATCCCAGCTACTCAGGAGGCTGAGGCAGGAAAATAGCTTGAACCTGGGAGGTGGAGGTTGCAGTGAGCCGAGATTGTGCCACTGCACTTCAGCCTGGGCGACAAGAGCGAAACTCTGTCTCAAAAAAAAAAAAAAGAATATGAACAGTCCTTGAAATTAATGAAATTAGTGCAGTGTCTCTCTCTCTTTTTATGTATTCTAGATTTCATAATGTGACAGCCCTAAATCATAAATCACCAGAGTTAAATTCTGTTTAATTCATTGAAAATATTGATCCCTTTTTCTGCCTCTTTTTTTTGGGGGGGCAGGTGGGGACAGGGTCTCACTCTGTTGCCTAGGCTGGAGTACAGTGGCGTGATCACGGCTCAGTGCAGCTTTGACCTCCTTGGCTCATGCGATCCTCTCATTTCAACCTTCCCAATAGCTGGGACTACAGACATGTGCCACTTTACCCAGTTAAATTTTTAAATTTTTTGTACAGACAGATTCTCCTTATGTTGCCCATGATGGTGTTGAACTGGGCTCAAGTGATGCACCTCGGCCTCCCAAAATGCTAAGATTACAGGCATGAGCCACTGTGCCCAGCCTTTTCTGCCTGTTCTTAACCTAATGGTACTGTATTAGAACTTTCATAATTGAATAACAGAAATACACTCCACATGGAGTCACTGACATTTAGAACTGGAAGAGACTTTAGAGATTAGTTACTTATAAACTACTTTGATTTGTACAAATAAATTCAGTACAATTATCTGAGAGAGGGCATGGTTCCAGATAGGAGATAGTGTAAATCGGTTGGCTAACTCATGCCAAAGAGACAAAACTTTTGGGTTCTTTTGATAAAAAGTAGTTTTTATTTTTTTTCCCCACAGATCTTTAACTCCTCTGTGTTCCCTTCATTTCTAGAGGAAGTGAAAACATTTCTTCACTACTTTTTAGAATAATAAATTTACAGCCAATTTATTATCCATAGTGTTTTTTAAAGCTCATATTTTAAACATTGTCTTTATAAAATATAAATATTGCAAATGGTCTTTATCAAGTAATATGATCATTTAGACAGCATAACCCTTGCTCAAACTGTAAAGTCTCTAGTTTTTTATTAATATATTATGCATGTTTTAGAAAATACCTCCTTTCAATGGTGACTAAAATTTGACTACTACAGAATTATAAAGTAAAAAACATAAATTTCAGAAAAAATTCTTTTTTTCTTTTTTTTTTTTTGTGACAGAGTCTCACTCTGTCACCCAGGCTGGAGTGCAGTGGCGTGATCTTGGCTCACTGCAAGCTCCACCTCCCGGGTTCATGCCATTCTCCTGCCTCAGCCTCCCTAAGAGCTGGGACTACAGGCACCCGCCACCACGCCCAACTAATTTTTTGTATTTTTAGTAGAGACAGGGTTTCACCATGTTAGCCAGGATTGTCTCGATCTCCAGACCTCATGATCCACCCACCTCGGCCTCCCAAACTGCTGGGATTACAAGTGTGAGCCACCGCGCCCGGCCCAGAATAAATTCCTTTAGATACTGGCCTCATCATGGAATCACTTTAGAGCAATGAGGATTATTTGACTCTCAATGATATTTCTTTCTGGAAATTGCAAGATGACACTTCCTGTGGCATTATAGGATTTTCCCAAGATATCATGTGCTATCCCCCATCATCTGAATCTGGCATATGTGGACACATCTCAGGCTTCCATAAAGTCTTTGATTACATATATGATTTTATTGTTTTAAAAAGAAGTACATGATTTGGCCAGGCACAGTGGCTCACGCCTGTAATCCCAGCACTTTGGGAGGCCGAGGTGGCTGGATCACAAGGTCAGGAGTTTGAGACCAGCCTGGCCAATATGGTGAAACCCCGTCTCCACTAAAAAAAAATACAAAAATTAGCTGGGTGTGGTGATGCATGTCTGTAGTCCCAGCTACTTGGGAGGCTGAGGCAGAAGAATCGCATGAACTGGGGAGGCGGAGGTTGCAGTGAGCCGAGATTGTGCCACTGCACTCCAGCCTGGGCAACAGAGCCAGACTCTATATCAAAAAAAAAAAAAAAAAAGAAGTACGTGATTGTTTATAAACCTGTAAAGTTCTATTTCTGTAGCGCAGTATGGTGTGCTGCTTACTACCCGTCAGAAAGTTTTGGTAATAGGGCTCTTGAACTCAGTATAAAAGTCATGAGCTTTGTTGAGTCTCAAAATATCTAATCTTGCTTGATCTACTAAATTCGTTTTCATTTTCTGTTGCTTCTAGACCAAGAGCAGTGATGACCTTTTAGCTGGAATGGCCAGAGGGGTAACGGTGACTAATGGTGTTAAAGGGAAGGAAAGCTCCTGCCCATCTGCAGCACCTTCGGCATCTGCCCCTGCCATGACCACTGTGGAGAACAAATCCAAGATTAGCACAGGTATGGGTGACATTCAGTCTGAGACTTCAACTGCTTTTTTGTTTGAATAGGCAGGATGCATTGGTGTTTACAGTGTTCCATCTCATTATAGGAAATTGTAGACATACAAAAGTAGATGGATTGATATTTCAGCCCAATACGCTCATCACGCTCATCACCATTATCAGCTCACAGCCAGTTGTAACTCTGTGATACCCACCCTCCCCTCTTATTATTTTGAAGCAGATTCTGGACATCATATCATTTCATCCATAAATATTTTATTATCTTGGAAAGAGAAGGATTCTTTTAAAAATATAATCCTAATACCATTATCAGTCCTTAAAATAATTGATAATCATTCCTTAAATCATACCTTATTCAATGAGTATTTAAATTTCTAACAGTCTTATAAATATTTTTGTTTTATTTACTATCTATTTTTATGTTTGGATCAGGACTCCCATAGGTCCATATATAATTGGCTGATGTGTCTCTTAAATCTTCTTTTTTAAATCTATGGGTTTAACCCAATTCTTGCAGTTTAATTTTTGTGGAAGCTGGTCACGTGACCTATAGAGTTTCTGAGCATGTGGATTTTTATATCACAATATCCCCATGACGTTTTTGCCCATCACCCTTTGTTGTGTGTATTTATTGTAAATGGCATTGGAGACTTATGGGACAGATTCAGGTCCCCTGTCCCCCCAATTTGAAAAAAAAAAAAAAAAACAACCAAAACACCATGTTGACCAGGCTGATGTCGAACTTCTGACCTCAGGTGATCCGCCTGCCTTGGCCTCCCAAAGTGCTGGGATTACAGGCATGAGCCACCGCATCATTTAAATGTACTGAAAGTCCAGGCATGGTGGTTCAGAGCTATAACCCTAGTACTTTGAGAGGATGAGGCAGGCAGATCACCTGAGGTCAGGAGTTCAAGACCAGCCTGGCCAACATGGCAAAATCTTGTCTCTACAAAAAAAAAAAAAAAAAAAAAATTAGCCCTGCGTGGCGGCGCACGGCTCTAGTCCCAGTTACTTGGGAGGTTGGGGCATGAGAATCCTTTGAACCCCGGAGGCAGAGGCTGCATGCAGTGAGTTGAGATGGCACCACTGCACTCCAGCCTGGGCGACAGAGCAAGACCCTGTCTCTAAATAAGTAAATGTTGCCGGTAATCCTAGCACTTTGGGAGGCTGAGGCGGGTGGATCACCTGAAGTCAGGAGTTCGAGACCAGCCTGACTACTATGGTGAAACCCCGTCTCTACTAAAAATACAAAAATTAGCTGGGCATTATGGCATGTGTCTGTAGTCCCAGCTACTCAGGAGGCTGAGACAGGAGAATCGCTTGAACCCAGGACGTGGAGGGTGCAGTGAGCCGAGATTGAGCCACTGCACTTCAGCCTGGGTGACAGAGTGAGACTCCATCTCAAAAAAAATTAAATAAAATAAAAAATAAAAATAACAGCTCCCTAACAGCTCCGGAAAGATAAACAGAAAACAGAAAATGACATGCTCAGCCCTTGAGGCCAAAATGCCCTTCCCCAGAGCAGCTGCCAGAAGACAGGGAGCAGGATCGGGTTGGAGGTCACTTCTGGGTGAGGGGGAGAATGGTCAGACCCGTGGCAGGGGTGTTGGAGCCTGGTCGGCCTCACTGGAACAGAAGAGAGCTGCTTCATGATGCTCAACTGACAGGCAGAGCCTCGCATAACCCAAGTTCTCATGGTTCAGAGAGGCCAGCCAGTGCGGGGACAAAGACAGGCACGCACTGAAATGGTTTCCTGGAAGACGGCCCGGTTGCATCTCTCAAACGGGACCAGATTGGAAGGGAGACCAGCTGCTTTGGGCAACCGAGGCTGCTTCTGGGTGAACTCCCAAACTAGATGGTGCCGAGAGCCCTGGACCTGGCAGCTGGGCTGGACATCACATGGCTCTGTATTCCAGGAAACGGCATCTCAGTGCTTGTCTGGCCAGTTCTCCAAAAGAACCATCCACAGGCCATTTTTCCATTCCCTTCCTATGCACAGACTGGGCTGGGCCTGATCAGAAAACTCTCCCTTAGGGTTTTCAGTCACTGGCGAAACTTGAGCCCGGCACTGAGGATAGGATGTTAAAATGTGACTCTGGGCCAGGCGGCGGCTCATGCTTGTCAACCCAGTGCTTTTGGGAGGCTGAGCTGGGAGGGTCACTTGAGGTCAGCAGTTCAAGACCAACCTGAGGAAAATAGATCTCTACAAAAAAATAAAAATAAAAATTAGCCAGCTCTGGTGACATGCACCTGTAGTCCCAGCTACTTGAAAGGCTGAGGTGGCTTGAGCCCATGAGTTCAAAGCTACAGCTATGATGGTGTCACTGCACTCCAGCATGAAAAACAGAGTGAGACCATGTCTTGAAAAAAGGAACAAACTAGGCATAGAAGAAACATACCTGAAAATGGCCAGGCCCAGTGGCTCATGCGTGTAATCCCAGCACTTTGGGAGGCTGAGGTGAGTGGATCACCTGAGGTCAGGAGTTCGAGACCGGCCTGGCCAACATGGTGAAACCCCATCTCTACCAAAAGTACAAAAATTAGCCGGGCGTGGTGGCGGGCGCCTCCCAGCTACTCCGGAGGCTGAGGCAGGAGAATCACTTGAACCTGGGAGGCAGAGTTTGCTGTGAGCTGAGATTGCACCATTGCACTACAGCCTGGGTGACAAGAGCCAGAATCCATCTCAAAAAAAAAAACCTAGAAATAATAAAAGCTGTATACGACAAAGCCATAGCTAACCTACTACAGAATGGGGAAAAGTGAAAAGCGTTTCCTCTGTAAACAGGAACAAGACGAGGATGCCCGTTCTCACCACTTTTATTAGACATCACACAAATATGCAAGAGAAAAAAATAAAAGCCACCCACACTGGAAAAGAGGACATCAAATTATCCTTGTCTGATGAAGATGTGATCTTGGATTTACAAACATGTAAAGCCTCCACCAGAAAACTCTAGACTTGATAAATAAATTAATACAGTCATTTGCAGGATACAAAATCAACATACAAAAATCAGCAGCATTTTATACACCAATAATGGTCTAGGAAAGAAATTAAGGAGGCAATCCCATTTACAATAGCAACAAAATGAAAAATGATATGCCACAGAGGAAATTTTACCAAGGAGGTGAACGATTTCTACAAGGAAAACTACAAAACACTGATGACAAAGTTTAAGAGGACGGAAAGAAATGGACAGTCATTTCATGCTCATGGAAGGAATTCATAGCATTAAAATGACCACACTGCCCAGAGCAGTCTAGAGATTCAATACAACCCCTACCAAAATACCAGTGTCATCTCTCACAGAACTGGAAAATCGTAAAACTCATATGAAACCAAAAAAGAGCTCAAAGAGCCAAAGTCATCCTCAGCAAAAACAACAAAACTAGAAGCACCCCATTTCACTGCAAATTAGAATGACAAAATTTTTGACAAGTGCATGGTAACCAAAACAGCATGGTCCTAGCATAAAACTAGACACATAGATCAATGGGACGGATGACAGAGCCCAGAAAGACAGCCACATAGTCTTGGGGCTTGTGTCTCTCCTGCTGTGCATCCATGCTGGGTGCTTTACATACAACAGGCAGACAAGAAGTCCCTGTTGCAAGTGAGGACAAAGTGTGGGAAGGCCGTGAGGGTCTGCAGTCCCAGATGGCCTTGGCCTCACCCCGCAGTGCGCTTTTGCACCAGAGTGCCACCTTCTTCTCCAGGTCCAGGTCTTCAGCAGTGACCCCAGACCCCAGCTGTAAGGGAGGTGGCAGCATCAGAGGCTCCCCTTGCCTGAGTGGCAGCAGAGGAAACTTGCATCTATGGGGCCTAGAGGCCTGGGATGTGGGGGAGCCATTCCTGGGGGCAAGTGTCTGCCCTGGTGCTGCATCTGCTGCCTTTTCACACTGGGTGAGACCCCAAGAGACAGCCTGAGGCCGGTCCTCACTCACTGTCTTTGAGGACCTGAGGGGCAGCTGACAGTGGGATGAGGCTGGCCCCCTCCTCTTTGGTGACAGGAAGCCTCCCATGGAACTGTAGGAGCTCACGATGGCATTTTGTTTGGTGCACGAACTCATCCAGGAGGTCTGGGATCTCTGGTTTTATCCGACTTCTGACCTCTGGGCATGGAGGTCTCTCTGCAGAGGCCCAGGCCTGGGCACGAAGGGAGAGAGGCCTCCATTGTCCCACAGGGGCCTAAATGCAGACTGTGCATCCCCGGTGCCCTCAGGAACCCTTCTCTGATCATCAGGATTCTCTTGGACTCTGGGGTCCTTGTCCTGCTCAGGCATCCCTGCCCCCCTCTTCAGGAGGGCCCTCAACACGATCTTCTCTGGACAGGAGTCTGGGGCACAACTGGATGTTGTGGGCCCCAAAGGGGTGACTCCCTGCTCCTGGGCCCCACAGAGAGTCCTTGTGCTCAGTGCACTGGCTGAGCTGCAAGACATCCTGGAATTGGGAGCACACAGCACCGGCTTGCTGTGGTACCTGTGCATTCAAATTGAAGGCAGGATCGCCAGCAAGGAACACAGGGCTTGCAGGATCACAGAAAACCCTTGGAGTTGTTTTGACACACCACTGATGCCAAGTGTCTGGGTACTTGTAGGATGGCCCTGCCATTCCATCCAGGGGCAGTGGCAACAGGGAGATTCCACAAACAAAGTGAACTGGGGGATGGGATGAGCAGGCTCCAGGCAACTGAGCCCTACTGGCAGGCCCTTGGCCCCCGGGGCCGGGACAGGGGTGACAGACACAGAGTGCCCAGGTAACCACTCCTGGGAGCAGTGGGGAACCGTCGGATGCTTCAACTCTTGAGAGCTGGGCTCTAAGCATCCGCCTTAGCTGCCAACTTGGCCAAAGGCTATGCGAGCAGTTTCCCGTTGACGGGCAATGCATCTTTCCAACCTGAGCGAGTGGGTGTGTGTGCAAAGATGGTGCGAGTCACGGATCTGCGCAGGAAGGGTGACTTTAAGGGATTAGCATGGCCAGGTATGCACACAAGGCACCTGCTGGCAATGCCTTGGTGGGGAGCGGGCAGTGCACACAAGAGGTACTGGAGGGAGAGGCGCGCGGGAAGAACAGGCGCGCACAATGGCTGCAGATCCACCTGTGGATCGCTGAAGATTCCTGCTGAGGGTTGAGGCTGCTGGGCTGGAGGACTGTATGGTCCATGCATTGTAATGTCCCCTTCTCTCCCTGGCCCGGAGCCCCAAGAGCTATCCGGACTCTCTCCAAGACCTGGTTCTGGCCCAGCAAAGAGGTCTCGGCAGGGGAGCAGGATTCCCGGCCCAGCAGCTGGCTCAGGAGGTGACAGCTTTGGGATTCGCATCTGAGCATCCTCCTACTCTTCTCCTGGGAACTCTGTTGGGGAGGGTTGCTCAGAACAGAAGTGCCTGGGACGCCCAGATCCTGCTGGAGTGGCAGCTGGGGTGATGGCCAGGGCAGGCTGGGAGGGACATACTTTCCATAGGACCCAGTGCTTTCATCTCCGTGCAACTGACCAAGAGAAACCAAACCCAAACTCCTTCCTTTACACAGACCTATTTGAGGGAGGCTGGGTATTGTTTGTGTATTTCAACCTAACAAGATTTTGAGATAGTTGGAATGCAGAAGGAGACAGGAGGACTCAAGTGTCCTGTCTTTTGCAAAAATGTCAAACGTAGCTACTCAGTCTCTTTTTTGTTTTTTTGTTTGTTTTGAAGACTATGGTTATTTTGCAAAATATATATTATTTGAGTTTCTCTAGGTGCTATTTTTAGATAAATTAATATACTTTTTTCATCAGCACATGAAACGTTCTTCAAAACAGATCCTTTGTTAGTCCACAAAAGCTGTCCCTACACATTTTAGGAAATCATAATCATAATCATTCCAAAGATCAGACAACAGAGGAATAAACCTAGAAATGGACATCAAGGCAAACTACAGAACCTATACGCATACATGAAAATTAAACCCCACCCTCCTGAATGAGCACTGATTCAATGAAGAAATTAAAATGAAAATCCGAAAATGTTTTCAAACAAATGAAAATGGAAACATCATATACCAAAAGCCTTTGGATTCAGCAAAATCAGTGCTGTGAGGGAAGGTTGTAGCAATAAATACCTACATCCAAAAAGTAGAAAGATGAAAAATTAATAAACTTATGATGCACCTTAAAGAACTAGAAAAGCAAGAACAAAGCAAAACCAAAATTAGCCCATGAAAAAAATAATAAAGATCAGAGGAGAACTAAATAAAATAGGGTCTCAAAAACAACACAGAAATCAAGAAAAGGAATTACTGGTTCTTAGCAAGAAAAACACACTTTGGGTATTTCCTTTTTTTTTTTTTTTTTTTTTTTGAGAAAGCTTTTTTTTTTGAGAAAGCGTTTTGCTCTTGTTGCCCAGGCTGGAGTGCAGTGGCAAGATCTCCACTCAATGCAAGCTCCACCTTCCAGGTTCAAGTGATTCTCCTTCCTCAGTCTCCTGAGTAGCTGGGTTACAGGTGCTAACCACCATGCCCAGCTAATTTTTGTATTTTTAGTAGAGACGGGGTTTCACCATGTTGGTCAGGCTAGTCTCAAACTCCTGACCTCGTGATCTGCCCGTGTCGTCTCCCAAAGTGCTGGGATTATAGGTGTGAGCCACCGTGCCTGGCCTCAAAATATTCTTTTGAGGGACTCTTGCATACAAGCCCCAAGAGGCAGGTGCAAAAATGTCCATAGAAACACAGTAATAGAAAAAAAGAAAATCCAGACTGATTCAAATGTCCATTAACAGGAGAATGAATAAATTAGTTGGAATCTTCTTTTCTTTTCTTTTCTTTTCTTTTTTTTTTTTTTGAGACGGAGTTTCGCTCTTGTTGCCCAGGCTGGAGTGCAATGGCACAATCTCAGTTTGTGGCAACCTCCGCCTCCGGGGTTCAAGCCATTCTCCTGCCTCAGCTTCCTGAGCAGCAGGGATTACAGGCATGCGCCACCACACCTGGCTAATTTTGTATTTTTAGTAGAGACGGGGTTTCTCCGTGTTTGTCAGGCTGGTCTCAAACTCCGGACCTCAGGTGATCCGCCCGCCTCGGCCTCCCAAAGTGCTGGGATTACAGGCGTGAGCCACCACTCCTGGCCATTAGTTGGAGTCTTCTTATACAGTGGTGAGACTGAATCAGCCACAGTTGCACAACAGAATGGATGAAGCTTAGAAGTAATGTTGGGTTTAAATGGCCAGTCCCAGGCTGTTACATTTACCATTTGCAATAACAATAGGAACTAAGGTAACTGAAGAATCTAACAAAAACTATGCAAGACCTGTATAGAAAAATTATAAAACTTGATTGAAAGACATTTAAAAAATCTAAATAAGAGAGATAATACATAATCTACTCTTTGTGGATTGGGAGATTCAGTATTATAAAGTTGTCGATTCTCCCCAAATTGTTCTACAGATTTAATGCAAATCCAGTAAAAAATTCAACAAGAGGCTGGGCGCGGTGGCTCAAGCCTGTAATCCCAGCACTTTGGGAGGCTGAGGCAGGCAGATCACAAGGTCAGGAGATCGAGACCATCCTGGCTAACATGGTGAAATCCCGTCTCTACTAAAAAAAAAAAAAAAAAAAAAAATGAGCCAGGCGTGGTGGCGGGTGCCTGTAGTCCCAGCTACTCAGGAGGCTGAGGCAGGGAATGGTGTCAACCCAGGAGGCAGAGCTTGCAGTGAGCCGAGATCGAGACACTGCACTCCAGCCTGGGCGACAGAGCGAGACTCTGTCTCAAAAAAAAAAAAAAATTCAGCAAGGGGTGTGTGTGTGTGCCTGTGTGTGTGTGTGTGTGTGTGTGTATGCAAGCCATAGACAGAATACTTTTTTTTTCTTTTTGAGACAGAGTCTCACTCTGTCGCCCAGGCTGGAGTGCAGTGGCTCGATCTTGGCTCACTGCAACCTCCGCCTCCCAGGTTCAAGTGATTCTCCTGTCCCTGCCTCCTGTGTAGCTGGGATTACAGGTGTGCACCACCACATCTGGCTAATTTTTGTATTTTTAGTAGACACAGGGTCTCACCATGTTGGCCAGGCTAGTCTCCAACTCCTGGCCGCAAGTAATCTGCCCACTTCAGCCTCCCAAAGTGTTGGGATTATAGGCGTGAGCCACCGAGCCCAGCTAGTACACAGAATACCATTTTTTACTTAAGTATATTAATCTAGAAGAGTTTTTTTTAAAATACAGTATACCATTTTTATCTATAACACTTAAAGACAATCAAAGCCAAATTATGCTGTTTCAAGATACCATATACTTAGAAAAACATCTATAAAAAGCAAGAGAAACATACAAATCAGGCCCATCTGGAGAGAAGGGAGTGAAGCATTGCGCTGATACGGGGATAAATATGCTGGTTGGGTAGACAGGCAGTCCTTATGCTTTTGGCTGACGTAGATGTTACGTACTATTTCATGTGTTATCACACTCTCCAGTAAACACGTAACATAAGAGAATAATTAACCACTATCAAGCGTTCTCATCTTGAGACAGGAAGATGTAGAGGAAAGACCTTGATGTGTGTGTCAGTTACAAGGATGTACACCAGTGACTGACATGACTTGGTGCAAATCTTGGGTAGAGACCTATACTTAAGCTCCTCACCCCCACCTGCCGAGGCGTAAGGGCTCAGAGGGGGTTCCATGGGGTGGGCGGGAGTGGTAAGGGTCGAGGTGCAGCCACAGCCTGGCTCTGTGCACACCCCCTCCCTCCCCCTGGTCCCATGTGCACACCCTCTCCCTGCCCCCTGCCCCTTGTGCACACCCTCTGTACCCCCCTTCCCGCCCCAGCCTGTGTTTGCAGTGCTACAGGGTGGCTGCAGCCTTTGCCTCCCACAGCTCCTCAAGGTCAGAGGGCTGGGAACCCCTGGGATGTGGCTGGGATGAGGACCCTGCCCCTCCTCAGGCATTTCCAGGCAAGGGGCACAGAGACACAGCCAGCCCAGCAGCTGAGCCCCTCCTATCAGGCCAGGTGGGAAACTGAAGCATGAACACAACCCCAGACTGGAAATAAAAAGCCGTCATGTACTGTGTGCCTACTGAATGCCAAGCCCTATGCCCTATTCTTTAATGTCATCTTTAATGAGATGTCTTCACTCAGTTCACCACATGATAGTAGACAGGTATTTATGATGCGCCTACTGCATGCTGGGCACTTTTCTGGGCCATGAGGACTCAGGGAGGTCCCTGCTCTGGTAGAAGTCAAACCCGACAGGAGACAGAGACTAGGGGCCCACACACCAGGAGGAAGAACCCAGTGCAGAGAGTGCCAGCAGGAAGCCACAGGGGCAGGGAAGGCGCTCCTGGGAGGGTGGGTGGCTGCGTCCTGAGGCTGAGCAGGGGGAGCTGGCCTCGGGACAGGATGTGCGCAGGCGTGGAGCAGGAAGTTCCTGGAATGATGGGCAAGAGGGAGCAGGTCACTGGGGGCAGGTCTAAATACTGGGGGCTGCATTGGGATAGCAGAGGCCTCGGACAGGCCCGCTCAGCATGTAGACTCCCCTCCCTGGCCCCTTCCCTAGGATGACAGTGGAGGTCCATCCCCAGGTGGTGGTGAGGGCAATCCTGACACAGAGACCCCAGCCCAGCTGGCAGGGGAAGGGGAGCCCCCAAGGACCCCTGTATGTTGGGGCGTGTCCCGCCAGGCGGCCCTCCATGGTGCCCAGCAGCAGCCCTGCTTGCGGACCCTCTTTAGTCCCCACTGTTAAAAAAATAATTCAGTGAAAATTGACACTAGCTGGGCATGGTGGTAGGTGCCTATAATCCCAGCTACTCGGGAGGCTGAGACGGGAGAATCGCTTGAACCAGGGAGTCGGGAGGTTGCAGTGAGCCGAGATGGCGCCACTGCACTCCAGCCTGGGTGACAGAGTGAGACTCCGTCTCAAAAAAAAAAAAAAGAAAAAAGGAAAAATGACACTTGCCAAAGCGCTGTAGGGAAGACTGTCCAGGACCGTGTCACTAGGCATAAGGGACCACGGTGATGAGATTCTGCAGTGGGTAAGAGACTGGGCTCAGCCTCGAATACAGCATGGGCAAGTGGGATCGGACCGTCAAGGAGCAGGGGGAAGACTATCCAGGACCGTGTCACTAGGCATAAGGGACCACGGCGATGAGATTCTGCAGTGGGTAAGAGACTGGGCTCAGCCTCGAAGACAGCATGGGCAAGTGCGATCGGACAGTCAAGGAGCAGGGTGGGGGGCAGCGCATGGAAAGTGACTAAGAGGAAGCATCAGCAGCCAGGGATTCTGGCTTAACTCCCCTAACAGAATTCTTGCTGAAGGCCGGCCAGGATGGCCAGACCGCACCTGGGGGACAGAGGGGGAACCCGATCAGATGTCAAGGACGGGGGGCTTCTCGCTAAACTGACTTTGCAGGATTCTTGCTAAAACTAGAGTTTATAAGGAAGTGCTCAGATGTGCCTAGGAGAAGGCTCAGGAGCCTAAATAAAGCTTGACCAAGCAGAGAATCTTTGTCACCAGCTGTGGTGAGAGTGAGGCCCAGAGTGGGTCAGGGCTTACCTGCTCAGGTTGTGCAATTGGGAGGGGTCCATCAGGAGCCCGGAGTCTTCCCACTGGGGGCTGAGTCTGGGCCCTCAGGGCACATATAGGTAGATGCTGTCAGACCCGACACCCCATGCAGTGCAGACTGGGATGCTGGTGCCTGTGGCACAGACTGGTCAGACCCACCCCAGGCTAGACATTCCTTGCAGGGAGAGCTGAGGCTGCTGACACCAGGAACAGACAAACAAGGTCATCACCAGGTAATGAGCTTGTTACCCACATCAGGCAAGGCCATTGCTGGGTAATGAGTTGGCCTCCTGCAGAGCCACCTGCGCTGGGATGGTTCCCAGAGATCTGGCTAGCCAGTGCCACAGGAGGCCGGGGCACAGTTCCAGGGCCTAGTGGGCAAGGCAGGGGTATTCAGGGACAAGGTGCACCTGAGTCCCCACAGGAAGCCCCAGACCCTGCAGTAAGACCTGGAACAAGTCATTCTCCTCTCTAAGCTCTCAAAGAAGAGGTCAGCTCAGGGGTCTGGGAGGCAAGGTCTCCTAGAGTAGACTAAGCTGGCCGCTGCCATGCTAACACACACCCTCCCAGCCAGCCGCTGGTCCTGACAGATGAGGAAACTGAGGCTAGGTGTTTTCATGAGGCCTCTGAACCCAGAACCCAGTACCCAGTGTCCTGAGCAAAGCCCAAGCCAGACCTGCCAGCTTATGTGTACAGAGGCCCCACTATGCAGCCTGCACTCCTGGGGCCTAAAAGGACCATCACCTCCCCTTCTAAGAGGCTGGGCACAGGGGCTGGGTCCCAGCCAGGCCACCCTTCCTCCTCCTCCAAAGGCCCAGCAGCAGCTGCTCCCAGAGCAAGCAGCACAGTCGCAGCAAAGGCTGGACAAGTGTCCTGTGCTCTGTGGTCTGAGCAGAGGGCCAGGGGCCGTGACCCACATGGCCCCTCCAGGAGCAGCTCCAAGATGAGCCTTCCTGTCCCCACCAGTGTGTCCGGGACCTCAGGGTGGATCAGCCGCACCTGCCGGCTGCTCCTGTTCCTTGCTCTTCCTGGGGCTCCCCACCACCTTTGGGAGGCAGCTCCAAGACCCTGCTGCCTCCCTTGCTTACCCTCAGGCCCCTGCTGGGTGTGCCCCCTCCCCACACAGACCCCTGAGCCAGCTTCGAGGACTCTGCCTGCATCTCCACGTCCACTCTGATGACTGTGAAGCTACAGTCACACTCTCCGCCTCCACCCCCGCCCTGCCGGGTCCCTGCAGCAGCTCTCAGAGGCCCCCACAGCCCCTCCCACACACAGAGCTCGCCTGGCCCTGCCGTCTGAGCGCTCCCCTGGCTCCCAACCGCCCTTGGGCTCTGGGACATAAAACCTCCAGCCAAGGTGGCTGCCAAGTTTTATTTAATAGCCATAGAGCACAAAAGGGATGACAATTAAGTCACACGGAGAGACTGCCCCATCGGGACCCCTGGCCAAGCTAAGCAGAGGAGCCCTGGGGTTTCCTCTGACCCCCCACTGTGAATGCATTACTGACGGGCAAGGTGGCCAGTTGCCCACCCAGCCTGCACGTCTGCATGCACAGAGCTACAGCCTGGGCCCAGGGACAGCCCCGGGAGCCGGTGGCTTCCCACAGGCACAGCCAGCCTCCCCACCCCCACCATGCCTGGCCCCCGGCCCAGGGCACACTGAGGGGAACAGGAGGGGAAGGAGCAGGCCCTGCACTGGAGCCTCAGTCAGCTCCTCTGTGCCAGGGGCAGCTGGAGCTGGCTGAATTTGAGGAACTTCCCGGAGGAACTGGAGAGCAGACCTGTGTGCGCGCCCCGCTCTGCCACGTTCCCTGAGGGACACACTGCTTTGACCAGCCCCCACCCCATCTCCTCTCCGCCAGTCCCCGGTGTCCACCCCAGCCCCGCTACCGATGAAGCTCAAGCCAGGGTCCCCATCACCTGCTTCACGGCCATCCCTGCACTTGAGCTCAGGGGCTCAGGGTTGTGCTGACACGCCTGCCTGTCCACCCCTCACCGACACCTCTGCAGTCCTCCTCAGGGCCCAACAGGACCCCCAGGACCCCGCTCCCATTCTGCCCTTGCTCCTGCCAACCTGTCTTCTCTATGCCCATGACTTTGGAACCCTCTGCCACAAGTGCCAGCCCCCACATCTGTAGCCCCTGCAGGAACAAGCCCTAATCTGGACTCATTGCAATGGCTCAGCTTCTCTTCCAACCTGTCCATAAACCTCCAGGCAGAGATCACAAAACTAACAGCTCTTTCTGCAAATCTGGACTCTCTCCTGCACCTTCTTCACCGTCCAGGCCTCCCTGTCATCCGTCCTGGGGACCTCAGAGATCTCTTCATTTCACAGGTGAAGACTTGGCTCAGAGAGGGCAGAGCCCCTGGGTCACACAGCCCGTCTCCAGTAGGGCTGGGGAAAAGAACCCAGGGCGCTCTTGTTGGCAGTGTTTTAATGACTGGGGGGAGGGAGAGAATGGCTAATGAGGCTCTAGGGATCAGCACAGCCAGCTGCTGGAGGTCCCAGAGGACGGGTGACTCAGCAGGAATGGGGGAGTCTGAGGGGTTGACAGAGTGCCCAATTCTCACCTCCTCCTGCACCTTCCAGAGAGACGGGCTGCAGGGAGTGATTGAGTGGATGAACATGACTAGAGGGACCCAGTCTTCTCCTCAGCAGCTGCTTGAGGACAGTATTAGCGGTCCCCTCAATCCCCCCCCCAACACATGCACACATGCACTGACCTGCAGGGGCCAGATCCCGGTGGACCCGGGGACACAGCTTCCAGGGGCTGTCTTGCCATGTCCCTTCCCAGATCTGCCTGGATTCATGCCAGGCCACCCTCCACAATTTGCTGAGGGAGGCCCCAGAGTCCAGGGCACCCAGAGTGCTAACTAGCCCCTGGGGGTACAGGGAGAACAGCATGCTGTGTGGGGGATACTACTCTCTGCCCATACCTAGGGCCCTGTGGCGGCCACAGGCAGCACTGCTTATGCAGAGGCACTGGGGTGAGAAGGAGTAGGGTGCAGTAGTGAGGGCTCCACAGAGGGTGGAAGGGCTGCAGGGGAAGGCAGACCAGCAGGGATGCCATGAGGGCCTCAGATGCCAGGCTGCAGAGGTGGACGGGCTGGCCAGCTCCTCTCCCCAGCCTCCTACTGTAAAATGGGAGAGGATCCCAGCCCTGCTGATTCATCCACTCACTCCATGGCAAGACAGCCACTGACAGCTCTGTCCTGGGGCCCACCCGGGCCTGGCCTCTGTGCAGGCTAGCACTCAGTATGCTTAGTGCCACACTCGGCCCAGGAGAAATGACCCAGCCCTGGGCTCAGAGACCCCACAGTGGGTGGATGGAAAACAGTCATTTAAATACAACTGTGAAGGGTGCTGTGGAGGAGGGGCTCGAGGTCCCCAGTGTGGGATGGGGTGGTCATGGAACGTTTCCCTATCTAAGTGGGAAAAGTGAGAGCCACCAGGAAAATGGCGGGGGTGGGGGGGGAGAGGAATTATGCAAAGACCCAGAAGGATGAAGAAGACTGTTGGATTAGAGGAGGTTAAAGACACAGACAGGCTTGGACATGGTGGCTCATGCCTGTAATCCCAGCACTTTGGGAGGCCAAGACAGGAGGATCACTTGAGGCCAGGAGTTCAAGACCAACCTGGGAAACACAGTGAGACCCTATCTCTACAAAAAAAAAAAAAATTAAAAAAAATTAGCCGGGCATGGTGGTGCACAGTTGTAGTCCCATCTACTCAGGAGACTGAGGTGGGAGGATCGCTTGAGCCCAGGAGGTGGAGGCTGCAGTGAGCTATGATTGCACCACTGCACTCCAGCCTGGGCAACACAGCAAGATCCTGTTTGTAAAAACAAAACAAAACAAAACAAAAAACCCAGCTTGAGATGGCCAGGGATTTCCAGAGGCCCTAGGCAGACCGCCTTGGAGAGTAAGGGAGACCCTGAAGAGCTCCCATGGAAGGGCCAGCAGCCTGGGGCTGGAGATGCCACCTGGATGGATTCCTCCAGCTGTGTGGACTAGGGGACAGGGTGAGGAGATAATGGCCTGGACTACATGGAAGGACGTCGCCCTGAGCCATTGAAAAGGGCTGTGGGGTCCATGACCACTCCTGGCTTTCCCTTGACTATGATGGAGACAGTAGCTTCCAGTGTAAAATGTGAGCTCAGTTCCTGACTCGTGTCTAGCGGGTGGTGCCTGGTCTTTGGCTGGCGATGCTCCATGTCACCTATGCCCAGAAACTGGGCCATGCCCTTTGTGAGGACCTGCCCACAACGTCGTCGTTCCCGCAGGGTCCCCTGGGAACCGGGCTGCCCGAGACCCGGCCCTGCCGGGGTTCCCTGCGCCCCAGACCGGAACCCCCAGGGCTTTGGTCGTTCCCACAGCCGTCCCGCGGGCCCCCTCCACGGTGCGTCGCCTGGGCCCCAGCGGTCGCTAGGCTGCAGCCTGGGGCTCCCGGCCATCCCGGGCGCTGGCGGCGGTGGAGGCAGCAGGGCGGATGGCGGAGCCCGGCCGCCCGTGGGCCCAGGCGCGTAGTGCGTACAGAGCCAGCGAGGTGCTGCGGCGCGGCACGGGCCGCCGGCGGGATCCGGGGCCGCAATCCAATGGGCCGGGCCAGGAAGACGCCCGAGCCCCGGGCCGGATGGCTCGCCTGCGCGGCCAGCTCCGGGCCGAAGCGGCTTCGCGGTCCGAGGTGCCGCGGCTGCTGAAGCTGGTGGAGCGTGCGGGGGCCGGGGCGGCCGGGCGCGGGCGAGAGGACCGGCGCGCACAGCCGCGGGCTCCGTGTGCTCGGTATGCGGGGAGCCCCGCGGCGGGGCCACCTACCCGGCGGGGGTCCTGGAGGTGAGCGAGCGGCGGCTGCAGGAGGGCCTGGCGGCAGTGCGCGAGGAGCTGGGCGCCGGGATTGAGGCGCTGCGCGCGGAGCTTCGAGCGGAGCTGGATGCCCTGCGCGCGCTGCTGCCGCCGCCGCCGTCCCCGCCTGCCCGCCGCGAGCCCCGCGCCGTCCCCCGCGCCGCGCCCCGCGGCCCGACCCTGCCGCGGACGCTCGGCACCGTGAGCGCCCTGGTCGCCGCCTCCAGGCCCGCAGACGACGCCCCGGACGGCCCAGCAGAATGCGGAGCGCACCGAGCCCCGGCCAGGAAGAACCACAAGAAGATGCCAGTGCCGCCTGGGGCCCCGCAAGGTGGCGGGGACTGAGGGCGGCCGCACAAGGGCAGCCTAGGCGAGGTGCGGAAGGCGTCGCGCTGGCTACTCTGGTACCCCCAGGACGGGGCAAGTGAGCAGATCGGTCCCCCTCGTGGAGCGTGGCTCTGAGTCAAAAGGGTGCCCGGGTGCCGCCAGTTAGGGCTCCGGTACTGGAAGGAGGGGGTGGGCCACGTGCGTCTAGGGAGTGCAGCTGGCAGCCGGGGTCCTTGCCAGAGACTGAGTCCGGCTAGAGAACAGGGTGGAGCCCCTTTGGACCTTAGAGCTGGGCCTTTGGGCCTTGGGTCTGGGTGGGCCTTTGGGCCTTGGGTCTGGGTCAGCCTTTGGGCCAGGGCTGGGTCAGCCTCCAGGGAACAGCCGAGACTCCTCTTCCTTGGGGTGACTGCAGGTTCTTTTTCTTGCAAGGTCTCAGTGAGGAGGCAGGGTCTCCACGCACTGGAATAGTGTCAAACCACACACAAGAGCACAGAACCCAGGGACACAGGGCGGCTGAGACACTCAGCTGGTGATGGTCCTCAGGATGGTGTCAACCAGTATGTAATCACATTCCACAGGGCACCAACTGGACAGAGGCCTCCGGTCAGCCTCACTCTGACTGCAACCCCCTCTCACTGGACAGCATCACCTGGACACAGAGCCTCACCTAGTCTGTGTCCCATGGACACAACTTTGCTTTGGACAGTGACACCAAGAATACTCACCCCTTTACTTAGCCAGACCACAGGCAGCCACCTGGACACAAACATCTCTCCAGAGTCAGCCTCCACACAGACTCCACAGCAGAACTCCCAGGGAGGCACTGGGGCATGGCTTCAGAGCACCAGGCAGCGCTCCGCGGTGCCTAGCACCCGCTCAGCCAGGGCAGCCTGCAGCGGAGCTTGGAGCCAGCAGCTTCTCATCTCTTGGCCTCGGGAAATGTAGCTGGAGTCATCATTTAGCAGAGCACGGTGTCCCTGGGTTGGCCACCCAGCTTAGTTTTAAAATAAAATAATGTAATCTTGGCCTAATGGTGGAATTTCTGACTGCTAGATGTTCTCCTTCCATCTGACCAGGGGATTCAGACACAATGTATAGGATGAGGGTGGGGGCCCTTCTCCCTCTGAGAGGAACCTGGAGAGGCCCGGGTTCTGCTGAGGTAGGAGAGGGTCACTCAGAGGGCTCCCACGGAACAGACAGGCACACTGAGGCCTCAGTGGGATTAGGGCAGGAAATGCCCCTCTTGCAATGGGGGACCACGCCGGGTCACGCACCCACCCCCTCCAGGCTACATTAGGCTAAGGTCACTCTGTGCATTATTTCATTATTTCACATGGAGGGTCGCCCACGGTTGACAGAACCACAGGCTGAGCCCCAGGCCCATCAGAGCGCAGTGCACAACTGCTAGGGTGGGGGAAGAGCAGGGGGCTGCTGCGGGGACCGAGGCTCTCGGAGAGGCCAAGACTGCGTGCCCCTTAAGAGGCTGCTGTGGGCCGGGCACGGTGGCTCAAGCCTGTAATCCCAGCACTTTGGGAGTCCGAGGCAGGCGGATCAGGAGGTCAGGAGATCGAGACCATCCTGGCCAACACGGTGAAACCCCGTCTCTACTAAAAATACAAAAAATTAGCCGGGCCTGGTGGCGGGCACCTGTAGTCCCAGCTATTCAGGAGGCTGCGGCAGGAGAATGGCATGAACCTGGGAGGCAGAGCTTGCAGTGAGCTGAGATTCCACCACTGCACTCCAGCCTGGGCGACAGAGTGAGCCTCCGTCTCAAAAAAAAAAAAAAAAAAAAGAGGCTGCTGGGGGCGGAAGTTACCCGTGAGCGGTATGGGGTGAAAGTGGGAGGGTCCAGCCTGGGGCAGGGTGTAGAACAGGGTCATCTGAGGGTGCAGGGCAAAGAGATCAAAACGGGGTGGGAGAGGGGCAGCGCCTGCGGGAGGAGCCAGGCAAGGCCCGGGGAGGGGTGTGGGGGGCGAGGGGGGACGGTGGCTCCACCTGCACCCACCGGATGGGTATGGGGTCCTCGAAGACGGTCCAGAGCACCGTGGGCTCGCAGTCAGGCGGGGTCAGCGACCCAGCGAAGCGACAGTAGCTCGAGGTGTTGGGCCGCATCGACGCCAGCGGGAAGGTGGACATCAGATTCACTGAGAGCCCCGGGCGGCAGAGGGAGGGGGATTGGAACCAGCCTCCCTGTGCCCTGCTGGTGCCATCCCCAGCAAACCCCCCGCCCCTGAGCCGGAAAACGACCCGGTGGCTCCTCACCTGGCTCAGGCACCTTCCTCAAGCCCGACACTATGGCGCAGAAGTTGGTGTTGCTACAGTCCTGCTCCTGGGAGGGGCTCCAAGTGCGAGGGGTTCTGAGTGAGGGAGTCTCTGAAGAGGGAACTCAGCTGGGGTACTCTAAGCAGGAGGCTCCCAGTGGCAGGAGGCATCTGGCATCTGGGAAATGGGGTGGAGGGTTCTCGCCGCCACTGGCCCTGCCGATTCAGGCATTCCCACCGCCCCATCCTCCCACAGATCCTATAGACCCTAGAGATCCCCCCACGGACTCCACAGGCCTGGCCTGTCCACTTCCAGGATCCCCATGGACCCCTTTTTTGGAAACATACATAGAATCACAGCCCTGCCTTCACCGCCAGCAGCACCTCCAGCAGCAGGGCCTGCACTCGAGCCCATCACCGTGGCGTGGTGCCTCCTCCATGCTCTGGTACTTTGTGTTACTGTGGACCACGTGCATCTGGGGGGAGGCACAGATGTGGGAGATACCCAGCTGCCCTCACCTTGCTCTCTCTCACCTCCGTGGGAGCACTCCGGCCACCCCACCTTGTTCCCGAGTCTACCTCCATAGCCTGGCGCTGCCTGTCCAGGCTGTGCTCCGAGTCTGCTCGCCTCGGGCCCCCCCACCGCCGGCAGTTGAAGTGCAGCTGCAGTGCGCGGTAGACAGGCAACAGCAGCCCAGCCTCCCAAATCTCCAGGTGGTTCTGAGGATCAGTGTCCATTCAGAGTAGCAATGAAGGGGAGGAGGCACACGACACCCTCTCTACCTCACCACCTGTCCATCTTGTGCCATTAGGGCACAGGGTATGAGCAGAGGCCCTTCCTCAGGCCAGGTTTCTCCCCAGTGCGGCCCCATTGCCTCCATGGAATGGAACCCATGGTGTCCATGGCTCCTGCTGGTCAGCAGAGCAGAGCTCCACAGACTGCAGGGGAAACCCTTCCCCCCCCCACACCCAGCATGGCATGGAAGAGGGCAGAGGGCAGCCCTCCTGGTGTGGGGCTCTAAGCCCAGCTGTGTGTGGTCAGGGATCCTGGCCCTGCCAGAGACCCTGACTCCTGGTCCTCAGGGGCCATGGCTGGTTGTGATTTGTAAGGTGGGACCTGGCACCTACACAGAGGGTGCATCTGGACTGCTGTGTGAGGATGCTCCTTTCCTCTGAAGCTAGCCCCTGTGGAGGGTTTTTGGCCCTGTAGGTTGTCTCAGCTCCCGTGTGTAGGGGGTCCTGGTCCCTGTGTACACGCAGGAGCTCTCATGCCCTGTGTGGGGCTCCTGCCTCTGCCTAGGAGGGGTCCTGACCACAGGGTGCTGACTTGTGTGGCTGTCATTCTCCAGGGTCCAAGGGCCTGGAGGTGCTGAGTCATAGCCTCGGAAGATGAAGGGCCCTAGGGTAGAGTTCCGCCGGACCCTGTGAAAGTCAATGTTGATGAGGGACTGGCCTGGGCCCCCACAGGCAGGGGGCCAGCTTCTTCCAGTGGGTGGGGACTGCTGGAACAAGGACTGGGGCCTTTGGGGTGGGGGGGGGGTCAGGGAGGCAGCCTGGGGGTGCAGCAGAGAGTGGCCCCCATACACCCAGAGGATAGCCCAGCCTCAGGAAACCTAGCTCCCTGCTTCCCCCACACCTGAACAGGTCACAGCACCCCCCTTCTCTTGTACCCTGCATCTGACCTATCCATCTAGTCTCCCAGTTGGCTGCCCCATGGTGAGATGAAGGTGGAAGGGTCTCCGGCACACAGTTGCACACCCACACTGGGACCTCTATCACCTGCACACACTTGGGCTGGCCACAGTAACGGGCACACCAGCCTTGACTGACTCGGGACCGGCAATCACAGCAGGCCCAGACTCACACACAGGGGGACAGTCACGCACTTGCACCTGATGCCCAGTCAGTCTACTGGGGCAGACGACTACAGACAGAAACCTGCAAAGGCCACAGAGTGCAGGGTGCAGACTGTCTCTTGGCCACTCTTGCACCACTGGCACATGCTCTGGTGGTCCCAGGACACAGACTGATCTGACACAGCCTCACATGACACTCTGTCCTCACCATACTTGAGGTCCTGGGAGTCATAGCACCAGGCACCTATAGAGACAGTGGGCAGGAGGCTGAGCTGAGAGGCCAGTCATCTGGGCCCTCTCCAAGCCCCATCCCATCAGCTGGGGTCCAAGAATGAAGTAGGTCAGGGGTTTAGGCCAGGGGAGGCCAGTGAAGAACCTTCTCTCCTGTCACCCCTACCTCAGTATTTTCTCTCCCCAGTCCCTCCCCACTCCCAGTGGCAAGACCTAAGGGGTGGTGGAGCATGGCAAGAGGGTAGATTGGAGGCCAGACAGGAAGAGTCCTGGTGCTCACTCTCAGAGTCTGCGCCACACCAGCTGCACCGCAAGGCGAGCATGATGCCAGGGGCGTGCGTGGCTCAGTGGCAGCCGCAGCTAGGAAGGACTAGAAAGTGGCTAGACCACGCAGCCAGGATGCTGGCCTGGCTACTACATATTTATTCATTAGCTAGCTGGGCTAGGGGCGTGGCTACTGAGGAGAGGATGGGAGGGGTCGGTGCCCAGGCAGGGCCACCAGGAAGAGCGCGAGCGCTCCAAACTCACCCAGGTGTGCTCTGGTCCCAGGGCTGCACTGATGCCAGCAACAATCGCTGAGGTTAATCCTGCAGGGGAGGGGTGACCTATTATTATCCCCACTTACAGTCCAGGAAACAGAGGCTGGGGACCAGAATGACACACCAAAGCCACCAGCAAGAAAGGTCAAATAGTGAGGGCACCTTGGACCCCAGTGCCCATGACTTTCGGGGCAAGGATGGGAGGAAGGTGTAGGATGTCTCTTGCCCCACTGTGGGCCCGGAACTGCCACCCCATCCCAAGACCACAGCCTCCCTCCTACCCAGGCCCCCCTGCGGATCCAGGCCAAGACGGAGCCCTGCAGGAGGTCAGAGGAGGGGACTTCTTTGCACCCTGCGCCTCTTTCCAATCGCCAGAGGGCAGGGCCCTACCCACATTGGGGATGGGAAGACAGCCCCTACCCAGAGGCAGGGCTCGGGGCTCTGTCCAGAGTGCTGACAGTGACCTGTGTGCTCGGGACTCAACACCACCACTCCACTCCTGCCCCAGCAGATGGGATAAAAAATGAGGGGCCACATCCTCGAGGCTCCCATCCCTGCCAAGGGACTTACCAGTTCCTTTCCTAACCCTGACTCCTCTCGTGTCCGGCCGCAGGACGTCCCCCCAGTATACACATCTGGAGTGCCCCCAGAGCAGGGCATGCAATCACACTTCCTGGGCCCACTACCCTCTGAGACCTAGAGATGGCACTGCTGGACATGAGTGAAGAGGCCCCAGAGGACCTAGGCTACTTTGTAACATTAGGTGGCTTGGACTGGAGGGAGGGGCTGTTTCCAGCCACCCGGATGATGAGGGGAGCTTAGAGGAAATGGCGCTGACGGCCAGGTTCCAAGCCCTGCCCTACCACCCCGTCCCATGCTAGCTCCCAGATGGTGTCAAGCAGCCTTGCCTTTATGTGGATCCTGTGCACGTCAGCAACACCTGCCAAGGCAGCAGCCGATGCCCCAAGCAGGGCTGGGTGCTGCAGGATAGCTGTAGGCAGCTCAGGGCTGCTGCTCTCCCTGCACACTCCACCTAGGGGCTCCAGGCTCAGCTCTGCCTGGTCCTCAGGGGGTTTGATGGACGCCTGCAAGGGCTGCAAACCCTAGGTGCATTCTGCTGAAAGGTGGGTACCCAGCCTCTTCCACCTTAGCCTGTGGCAGCCGTGGGGGCCACACCAAGGACTAACCATGCCTCTTCCGGAACACAAGTTTATTTGGCATTTGGATGAAATGATTCTCACAGCATCTTAAGAAAAGTTAGTGTCAACCCAACCAAAAACTAAAAACCCTTAATGAAAACATAAAAAAACAGGCATCAAGACAATGTACAGTATCAAATCCCACCTCCGCATGGCAGGTCAGAGGGCACCTGGGCTCTGAGAAACCGTGGCAAGCTGGTCCTAGAGGAGGAGGACCCCTGGAGCACAAGGTTCAGCAAGGGTGACCCCGGGACTTGCTGGTCAGACTGGGGACTGCAGCAGGCCTTGCAAAGGGGGCATTCTGGATGGTGGTGCAAGAACAGATGAGCGAGTCCAGCTCTCCTCATGCTCCCAAGGGCCTCCTGGAGCCACAGTGGCAGCGGTGTTCCAGGCAGCCCTGCCATGTGGACCTTCTGCCTGGCCCAACGTGCCAGTGGCCTGAGTGCTTGTGGAGGCCCATGGGGAAGGGGCCACCCAGCAACCCCGGCCAGCCCAAGGCCCACCCTCTGCAGCCTGCATGGTCCACTTTACCCCGTTTCCTCACTGCCCCCTACGTGTCTGACCGGCCCCTAATGTTCCTCTGGTCCCCAAAGGAAGCGTCCCAGTCCCACACATCTCGTGCCAGCCACCCTGTCCCGCACACACAGTTCTGAGGCCTGGCAGGAATCCTCTGAGCTCTCAGGCTCAGGCCCGTGGGGGACTCTGCTGCGTGGTCCTCGGGCCCTCACTGGCCACCTGGCACCCATAATGCACATGCCTGCTGCTCTGGAACCTGGCTGCCCTGCCCCAGTGCATGTGGGATCCACGGCATGCTTCCTGCTTCGTCCTCTGCAGCCAGTAGGGGACTCCTGTGGCCAGGACTTCCTTGTTAAGTAGCAGCCCTTCTCCAAGGGGAGCACAAGCCTGCCCGCACACAGCCTCCAGCATCATGCTCCAGCAGGCCAAGCTCAGGGACAGGCAATTCAGTAACAAAACTCACAGCTCTGGACAGTTCTGGCACAAAGGTCAAGTCTGTCTGTGGGCAACTCAAGATTCTCATTCCACATGGGATGGAAAAAATGGGTCTCCAGCCACAGTGTGAGAATGTGTCAAGAAGTGGACTGTGCATGGAGTCCATCCCCGAGCAGCACCACAGAACTGCATGCTTCAGACAGGCCTCCCAGGTGCTGCCCCGCTGGTCTGGAAAGACTGAGCGAGACAGCACTGCCTCAGCACAGCCCAGGATGCATCGATGACCCTGGAAGAGTGGGCCCCCAGTGACCCGTGAAGTTCCATGTGCCACCCTCACCTGCAGACGCTTGGCCACATACACACACAGAGACACAAACATACAAAGGAAAGATCCAGACATTCAACGTAGAAAAGATATGGATGTGCTAAAAATCGCACAGAACCCGCTTAATCTCCAAACCTCAGAAATGTTAAAGGCCCTGTGTCAGGCAACAAAACCACTGCCCAGGAGCAGGCAACAGGGTCCGTCAGGCAAAAGGGTGCCAGGAAGGGCCCCCAGCCCCTGCGCTGCTGAGGAGGGGCCGGGAGGTGTGCATGCGGCCGCTGGGCACTGAGCTGCAGTAGTGGCGGTGATGTAAGGAGTGGACTTTAAGGAGATAGATGCAGCCCAGGATGGTGGTTTCAGCCACCCCTCCTGCAATGAAGCAACCCTTTATGGCACAAATGGGGCCGGGGGCAGGCCCAGGGGCAATTCAACAGGAGGCAAGAGCCCAGGGCTCCAGAGTGGAGAGACAGGAGGCAGCTCAGTCCCCAGACCCCAGCAGAGCATCTGGGGCCTCGGCCCCACTCCAGAGCTTCTTCCTGAGGGAGCCATGCACAGCAATGCTGGGAGAGGGACTGATGGGGTGGGGTCAGGCCTCCTGCCACAGAGCTGGGCTGCAGAGCCCAGATGGAAAGACACAGTGAAGAGCTCAACCTCCTTCCAAGCTCTCCTTCTCAGGGCTTCAGGTTCCAGAGCCCCAGGGGAGCTCCCAGCCAGGGGCAGGGTCACCTTGATATTCACAACTGGGCTTGTGGGGGCCATCTTCAGTGCAACCGTTGTGACAAAGTCAAGAGGCTGCCTCCCTGAAGCAGACCCACTGCCTACGCCACACTGACGGTCCAGAGGCCCCCTCCTGAGGGCGGCCAGCAAGGGGCACTGTGGCAGCTCCCACTGTGCCTGTCCCAGACTGGGTCAGCAGGTCTCTCTGGACAGCACACTGCACCAAGTAAGCCCACCAAAAACGCATCAGGTGTGGCCATGGCCCACAGTACCTTCTTCATTCCCTGCCTCTAACATGTGCGGTCTGAATGAATTTTGTCACTCTTCTGCCATTTATAAAGGAGAAGACAGTGATCCAAAGCTATGCATGTTTCTGAAGCCCTCAAGGAAGCTCGGTGCAGGCCATCACTTCTTTTGGCAGAAGGCGGGCTGTGGTCTCTATGTACACACGCGAGCCCGCCAGTGACGTGCGGCAGTGCGTGGCGTCCAGGCTGGGACAGGGGCCTTTCAAGTCTCCCCAGGGACCGGTGTTTTCTACAACAGACAGGTGCTCCCAGACCGTTGGGGTACAGGCCAGGCCGTCTACACCACAGTATTGAGGGAGCTGCGGCTGTGGCGGCCACCCCCTGGCAGTGCCTCTGCAGCTGGGGTGCTCCCGCTCTGGGCAGGGTCAGGGGGCACGAGCAGGGCGCTGCTGCTGTCGGCAGAGTCTTCCAGGTCTGCCAGAGAGGCCCCCGCAGTGGGCAGAGGCTGCTCCAGGCGCCGGAGTAATGCACCTTCACTCCCACCATCCCCAGGGGCTGGCAGGCTGACCTCCACAGGCTCAAAAGCATCATCGTCTGCAGGAAGAGACAGAGGGGTGTCAGAGGCAGGTACGGGCCTGGCACAGGGGATGCAGGGGAGCTAGGCAAAACCAGGAGACACTCCTCCTGCCTGAAGGCCCCCCTGAAGCTGGGTGGTGAGCAGGACCTGGGTGGCTCCCCCGGGCCTCAGATTTTGAAGGAGGAGCCTGCCCCACATGACACCTGTTGTACCTACTGCCCCCTGTGGCTGGGAACCTGGTATATGCAAGGTGCAGGGCCCATCTCACAAAGGCAGACACGGGCCTGTCCCACCATCGGTGTGAGGTAGGGGAGACACACTGACCAGCAGTCACTAGAACAGAGGGGCCCAAAGGGAAACCGTCTCAGACTCAGTAAGGTGAAGACCCGGCTCAGCAAGAAGGCAGGGGCATTTGTCATCAGGGAGGCACTGGGCCCAGGTGGGTGGAAGAACATTCAGGGCTGCAGCTGGAATGTGGCAACCGGAGTGTGGGCAACAGGGCTGCAGTGAGCGGCCTGGAAAACCACACAGGTGTTTGCAGGAAGCTCTGATCCAAGGCAGGCTGTGTGGTAGGCAGTCGACTCGCTTTGTTTTGCCCGATCTTTATTACTTGCTTTTTTTTTCTTTTAAGAGACAGGATCTTAAAAGATTGCACACTGGTGTGCAGTGACGTGACCATGGCTCATGACAGCCTTGAATTCTGGGCTCAGGTGATCCTCCATTCTCAGCCTGCCCAGTAACTGGGACTACAGCTGTGCCCACTATGCACGGCTAGTTCTGAATTTTTTGTGGAGAAGGAGGTCTCACAGGCTGGTCTCGAACCAACCTGGGCAACATAGTGAGACCCCTCCTCCCGCCTCAGCCTCCCAGAGTGCTGGATTACAGGTGTGAGCCACTGCGCCTGGGCTGCCTGCTTGTCATTACCATAGGCTGTCTCTGAAAGCTAACAGCACAAGGCCCCGGTGATGCACCTCCCTCCCGGCCAGCCCCTCACAGCCCCCACCCTGCTCTGCAGCCTGGCCCACACAGGTGTCTGGGATCTGCTGCCACCCACCACCATCCCTTGCAGGAAGCTGGTCCTACCCTGGAAGACTGTGACAATCTGTGTCATGAGGGCAGGGGTCAAATGCAAGTCTTTTCTGCACCCCCAGATCATGCAAGAGCTGTGGCAGCTGACTAAACAAACGAACAGGACTGAGACCTTTAGGCACAGCAGCCCCAGCCTCACAATGCCCATTCTGCCGAGATGGGCAGGCATGCAAGGAGCCAGCCACTTTGGGGTGGCACTGCCTACCAAATATACTACAGGTTTGTGTGTGTTAGGGGGCCTAATGCACAGGGAGATGGGATGGGACACCTGCACTGCTCAACAGAGACAGAGACAGGCCAGGGGTCAGGGGCCTGCCACTCCTTAGCTACACAGCCTTGAGGAATGGCGCCCACTCTCAGATGGGTGGTAGGCTCCAACTATGGGCCAGTAGCACAGAAGCCACGCTTTCCTCCCACCTCACAGAGCTGCCTCCTGACACGACAGGAGGGGCTGTCACCATGGTGTCTCTAGCTCATGTGTCTACAGACAAGTGATTGGCTCCTGGGTCTGGGCCAGCCCTGTCTTCACAACCACCACTGTCGGGCTCCCCAGGTCTCTAGAGCTGGGCTGAGGGCCCTGAGGGCTGCCCAGATGACAGGTGCTCACAGAAGGCAGGGAGGTAGGAGGGAGGGGTCCCAGGCCTTCTCAGAGCTCTCTGCACAGATTGCCAAGGGCGGCCAGGCAGGGAGATCAGGACCCCTTCTGCACGGGCAGCCCCAGGAGAAGCCTTAAAGGAAAAACCAAAGACAAAGCCGGAAAGAAGTGAGGTCCCTAGGCCTCTGCAGCTGGGCAAGAGTGCTGGGCTCAGCCCCACGTGCCAGGTTACTTGACAAGGTGTTCCCTCTCCCTGGGGAGTCAGGCACCTGCAGGGTCATAGAACACACTGTCCGGGTGGATGGAGGCCTCGTAGGGCGGCGGAGGGTCGTCGGGCTGGCCGATGTCCGGGTACTTGTATGCCGTGTAGGGAGGTGGAGGGTCGTGGAAATGGAAAGTCCCACCCTCTCCGTCGTCAGAAAGATGCAGCGGCGTGAGGCCCGTGCCAAACCCGTCTGGGCCGTAATCAAAGCCAGGGATCCTGCGGCCGAGGTTGAAGTGGTGCACTGGGCCATCAAAAGTGTGCAACGGGAACAGAGACAAGTCACTGGGGGCAGGCTGCCTGGCTCCTGAGCCCCCCACCCCCAGGCTGGGCCTGCCGTCCCTGAGTGCACACACCTGTGCCCCGCTGCCTACCCCTCGGCCACATTCGGCATCCCCATGAGACCCCTGGTGTGCTCCGTGGCATGTCTCACCCTCACCACACCAACCTGTCCCTCTGGGCTGACACTTCTGTCAGACCCAGCCTCTGGCTGACCACACCCCTCCAGCTGGAAGGGTGATCCGGGCCTCTGACCCTCAGAGGCCTCCGAGTTCTGCCCACCCTGTGGCTCAATGGGAATAAGGAGGGTCTTGGCAAGAACTTTCCTGGCCCACAGGTGAGGACACAGACCCCACAACATGTGGCCTTCAAACCTGCCTCTGCCCCTCTCTGTCCAGGGCTGGGGAGCTCATGGAGACATGGGGTGACCTGGGGTGGGGATGGGGACCAGGGTTGTGGCCCTCAGAGGGCACTTACAGTTTGCTCCAATCAGGGACTCGATGCGCTCCCGGCGCCGCTGGCGCAGCCGGTGGACCATGAAGAGCAGCAGTGACAGGATGAGGAAGGAGGAGATGCAGCTGACGACCAGGCGCATCCCGCTGGCCATGGAGTCAAACAGACTGTTGCCATCTGAGGGGGAGGGGAGGAAATGGCCGCTCTGAGAAGGGGGCCACCCTCGTGCTACGCTGGGGATGCTGTCGTCCTCCTGCCCAGGCGGGCTGTGTGGACAAGGCACACAGTGTCTCCCTGCACCCAACCATCTTTAGGATACATGTGAAATAAGGCCGCTCAAAATCAAGAACATGGTGACAGCACAGAAGCAGAAGAGCGAATCCCAGGTCAGGAGGAGCATCTCACCATGGCCCCAGGCTGCTGTGTGCCAACACCCCTCTGACCATCACCGGAGCAAACTAGGATTTCCTGTCCTAGGACTAGCACTCCTAGGAGGCTGCGCTCATGTGCTGTGTACCCCAGGTGTGGCTGGGGAGCGGCCCTCCTGCAGAGGTGCACATCCTTTTCCAGGGGCCAGGGCTGCACACAGGCCTCCCACGTCCGTCCAACAGCAGCCTTCCTTTTGTCTGAGGCCTGGGCTCTTGGGAGGAAGGTGCTCAGTTGCCCAGCAAGAATGAGCCAGGGGGCGGTGAGGGACAGCCCTTTCCTGGTAGGAGGCCAGGGTTGGCCAGGTAGGCAGGGGTCTCATGGATGACAGTTGCTGGCAGTTTGGAGTGGGGGTGACGCCCCTGCGGAGCATGGCTCGGGCGGCTGCCGTAGGGAGGACAGGCTGCAAGGGAGTAGCATAGGGCATCAGGAAGCCAGGAGGAGGACCTGCCGCAGCAGAGAAGGGAATGACAGAGGCCTGGACCGGGTAGTGACAGACTGGGAGAAGTGACAGTATAAGGTACACTTGGGACTCGGATTGCCACAACTCCCTGATGGACTGTGTAGGGGAACAGTGAGCCCCTGTGGGCAGCCGCACGGTCAACTCAGGTATCATTTCACAAATGTGCCTCTGCTGTGGTTGGGCGTGAAGCCTGTCACTCCAATCCTTAACAAGCCATGGCAGAGAAAATGCGCATCCCCTGACGCACCCAGCCCTGGCATACACGTGCAGATGACACCTGGACACAACACTGGGTCTCACAGGCTCCCCACTGAGATGCTCTCCCGGCTCAGCCACACCCACACATTGGGTACACACGCACCAAGCGCAGGTGTAGGAGGGCTGGGTGGACCCGACTCCACCTCTTTGCTGGGTGAGTAGGCAGGAGGGGCCATGAAGCTTGAAGCTGAGTCCCAGCCAGGCTAGACGCCAAGGAGCACTGAGTCTAAGCTGCTGCGCCTTCCTCTGCTCTTCTTCAACCATTTCACGCTTTTCGTGACCACCACTTGGCTGGGATGCTACTAGTATTCAGCAGGTGGAGGCCGGGGTGCTGTTCAACATCCTCCAGGACAGCCCCCAACACACAGTATCTGGTCCAAATGTCAACACCGCCAAGAGGGACACACCCTGCCCTGGTGCAGTGCACACTGGGGACAGGGGCTCGATATGAGCTGCCCATGGGGAGGCAGAGATGACATGAGTGGTAGCAGGCATGAAAGGAGAATCTACCAGCCACACATCTATAACATGGCTGGCAGTTCCATGCACTCCTGACTTGGGTAAACTGGCAACTCACAGAAGTCACAGAATAATGGAACCAGGAAGTGGTCCCAGAAGTAGCTTCCTCCACAGACCAAGAGTGAAGGCCAGGGAGGCTTCAAAACGAGGAGTGACCCATCAGCTCCTGGAAGCAGGAGGACCCCACACCAGCAGGGACCCTGCTAAGCTAGGAATGGCCACTCCCACCTCTGCAACAATCTCGGCAGGCAGGACCCCTACTGCCTGCCCCAAGGAGACACTTCACAACCCCCGTGTGAGTGGCTGGGTTCCCAGAGCCCTCAAGCCATTCCTGCTAGCCCAGTACACTCCATGCCCACACAGATGGCAGCGCCAGCTCCTGTCCTCCTCCCACGGGGCCAGGAAGCATCTCCAAAAGCTGCATTTTTTGCTGACGACACATGAAGTGAATATGTGAGAAGGATACATCCTCTCACCAATTAGCTGCTTTTCCTGATGCCTCTGACCCTCCTCCAGTCTCAAGGGCACTGTCATCAGTGGGAGAAAGCCTAGTGGCCCAGGGACTGGTGACGTGCCTGTTCATTGGAGGCCAGTTCAGAGATCCCAGGGGAGCTCCTAAGAAAGCAGCCCCTTTGCAATGACTAACTCTTAATCCGTTCTAAAATAAACCCAAGGACACGGTCAAGGTCCCAACTGTCCCTCCAAGGTGGGGACCGGAAATAATCATCTCTCAGAACCAAGCCACTTGTAGTCAAGCACAAAGAAGAGAGCCTGCCCCAGAAGCCAGAGGCCAGCCCAGGGGCCCCAGAGGCCCCTTGATAGGGCTGATCTCTCCATGGAGTTCTGGGCTGTGCAGTTGGGGTTGTCTTTTGTCTCTCAGCTATCCTGCAGCTCCCAGAGAGAGGATCCAGCCTGTGCAAGAAGAGCTCCAGTGACAAGGAGCTCACCATTTCATTGAGCTTGGTTAAGTGGTAACAGTTTCAAAATCTCCATCAGAGACACCATGGGGAGCAGAAGGTCAGCAGGGATCAGAAGCTGAGACCAGGAACCCAATGTGGGCTCTGTGCCTGGCAGCTGCACCAGCCAAACACCTCACCATGCCTCTGGGAACCTCATCGTATCAGGGCTGCCCGACAGCAGCAGAGCAAGCAGGGGCAGAGGGCGGCATGAGTTTCAGCTGCTCTGCACCTTGGCCAGCACTTGATGCTATCAGTTTCATTACTTTAGCCTTTCGAGCAGGGGTGGTACCCCACGTGGATTTAGTTTGTTTCCCTAATGGCCAATACTGAGCATCGTTTCAGCTGCCTGACTGTCATCCTATATCTTCTTTGATAAAGTTTAATAATTTACATCTTCTTCTAAAGCCATTTTTCAATAGCATTGTTTTGTTTTCTTATTATTGAGTTTTTATGTATTCTGAATACAGACCTTTGATCTGTGTTTTGCAAATACTTGTTTTGATTCAGTCAGGGGCTTATTTTTTCATTTCCTTAACAGTGTGTTCCAAAGAACAGAAGTTTTCAATTTTGATGAAGCCAAATTTGTCTGTTTTTTTTAAGGATCATGCTAAAAATGTTGCCTAACCCATGGTCACAAAGATTTCTCTCCTATGTTTTCTCCTAGAAGCTTTATAATTCAAGGTTTTACAGTTGTGTCTATGACCATTTTGAGTAAATTTTACATACAGTAGGAGGGACAGTGTAAGGTTCGTATTTTTTGGCATATGGATGTCCTGCTGTCCCAGCACCAGTGGTTGAAAGACTATCCTTTCTCCACTGAACTGCTCTTGCACCTTTGTCAAAGATTAGGCTGGTCTGAAGGTAGTGAGTCATCTCGATTGATTGTTCACAGTCAGTAACAGATCAAACTCCTTGTTGTACTCTTTTCCCGTTCTCACGACTGCACTTGACTCGTCTTAAACAAACAAAAACAGAGAGATCACCTGATTATACGTAGTGTGGGACTATTTCTGGACTGTTGTGTTCCACTGATCTATGTGTCTGCCCCTTCATCGATACCACACTGTTGTGATTACTATGGCTGTACAGTAACTCATACATTAGGTGGCATGGATCCTCCAACTTTGTTCTTTGTAAAAACTACTTTGGCTATTTTAATTATTTTGCCTTTCCACCAACTTTTATCTACCTTTTTATTTAAGAGACAGGGTCTTGCTATGTTAGCCAGGTTGGTCTTGAACTCCTGGCCTCAAGCAATCCTCTTGCCTCAGACTCCCAAAGTACTACAATTACAGGCATGAGCCGCTGAACCCAGCCCTATTTTATTTTTACTTTTTGAGATGGAGTCTCGCTCTGTCACCCAGGCTGGAGTACAGTGGCGTGATCTCAGCTCACTGTAACCTTTACCTCCCAGGTTGAAGTGATTCTCCTGCCTCAGCCTCCTGAGTAGCTGGTATTATAGGCATAAGCCACCATACCCAACTAATTTTTTGTATTTTTTGTAGAGATGGGGCTTCACCATGTTGGCCATACTGGTCACAAACTCCTGATCTCAAGTGATCCACCCTCCCCAGCCTCCCAAAGTGCTGGGATTACAGGTGCGAGACACCATGCCTCGCTCCACCTGATTTTTAGAATTAGCTTGTCAATACCTACAAAAATGTCTGCTAGAATTTTGGTTGGGATTATACTGAATCTATAATTTGGGAAGAGCTAACCTCCTAATGATATTGAGACACCTGATCCATGAACATGGTATCTTTCCTTTTATTTAAGCCTTTTTGTCATCATGGTTTTACAGTTTGCAGCAAACAGAATGTGCACATATTTTATATTATTTATAATTGGGTATTTCATTTTTTTTGGTGCTATTATTAATGGCACTTTTCTCAAAATTTTCAATTTTCAACTGTTACAGATAGATTATATAAATATGATGAATTTTTGTTACGTTGACCTTATATCTGGAGACCTTGCTTAAACACACTTATTAGTTCTAATAACTTTCCTGTAGATTCCCTAGGATTTTCTATGCAATCATGTGATCTGCAAAGGGAGATGGTTTCATTTCTTCCCCTCTGGCCTGGATGGTTTTTCATTTCTTCTTGCCTTCTGGCACTGGCTTTGACCTCAAGCACAATGATGACAGGGTGGCAAGAGTAGACACTCTTAGCTTGTTGGAGGGGACATTCTGATGCTTAACACATGACATCCTATTCCCAGAGTCTCCAGTTTTGGTGATAGTGTCTCGGTTCTTGAGCACTTTCCAGAAGAAGGCCCTAGGAGAGTCAGGAGCCCATGGAAGCATGGCCACAGGGCAGGCAGAGCAGGGCCCAGCTAAGTCGCTCTGGCCGTGCAGGAGAGAGGGCTGCAGCTGCTCTGGGCCCACCCAGATGCACTAAGGGCCCTGCTCTGCTAAGAAGTCCTTGGGGCTGGGCAGGCTCTTTAGGCCATACATGCCCACAAATGGGTCATCCTTGTACACATCTGGGCATTCTTACAAAGCTTGGACAGAGTGGCAAGGCAGCACTGGTAGACTCCTGAGAAATGGAACCAGGAGTCCAGGTAGCATGGCTTGTGAACAGAGTTTGACTCTTGTAGCCAGTCACTAAGCTGGGGGTTTAAAGTTATGTGGCCGGGCACAGGGAACTTGATAAGCACTCAACCAGTGCTTCTCATGGCCCTAAACAGACATGCACCCTATACGAGGAGAAACTGCCCTGCAGAATGGGGTCCAAGCATCACCCTCTAGCTCTGGGTCCTCTGGTGGGCTTGGCTGCAAATGTAGCCTTGTGCTCACCACAGTCAACTGCACATGTCTGATGGTACATGCCACAGTGCCCACTTTCACCCAGCCTCAGGCACAGCCTCTGGAGGACAGCTTTGTCCTCCCACCCAGCAGCCCCCCAGTGTGGAGGGACACTGACAACATTCCACTCAGGGGCAGCTTTCACTGTTGTGGCCCAGCCTCTAGCTGCAGCCTCTCCTCCACAGGGCCCCTAGAGACAGAGATGGCCATCACACCCTGCCCAAGCTGCTCTTCTACAGGGGCCACAAGTCCAGGGGCTTCCAAAAGTCCCCATCATTTCATTCCTACTGTGGCACCCAAGAAAGAAAGAAACTCATACTTTTGATTTACATTTCTCTTGAGATCTGAATTCACACAGAGCTGCAGCTACACCGGTGTGCAGAATGACAAAGCATGCCCGTGGAGTGTGAGGGGTGTTAACATCTCAGAGAGCAGTGGCCCACCTGCTCCTCTCTTTTTGCAAGTGGAAGGGAGAGGATCACCCTGAGATCAGATTCCCTGTAGTGTCTACCTTAAAGCCCCCGCCTGGTGGTGAGGAGTCTGATCTCGAAACTGAGAATAATACTTCATCTTTTTCTCGAAGATTCTAAGGTAAAAATGGATGACTGTAAGCAATGACAACTGTCACTACCCTCCATATCATCATACTAGAGAACAGGAAGAGCTCCAATGTGGACATAAATTAGAAGTCTAGGCTGGACGCGGTGGCTCATGCCTGTAATCCCAGCACTTTGGGAAGCTGAGGTGGGTGGATCACTCGAGGCCAGGAGTTGAAGACCTGGTCTGGACAACATGGCGAAACCCCGTCTCTACTAAAAATACAAAAACTAGCCAGGCATGGTGGCATGCGCCTGTAGTTCCAGCTACTGGTGAGGCTGAGGCAGGAGAACGGCTTAAACCCTGGAGGCGTAAGTTTGAAGACAAGTTTGAAGCTGTCAGTGGTGACTTGTGAACAAACAGCCACACTTGAGTTCAAGTTCATTTGTGAATGCTGCCTGTCACCCCAGAATGGGAAGGAGGCAGCTGGAGGGGTCGTGTCAGACACGCCCACTAGAGTAGTGGCATCAAAGTCTCTGAGACATCTCTGTGACAAACGCTGCCATTGCTGCTGCGCGATGCTCCATAAACTCTCCTGAGTCCTCACCACTGAGGAAGCAAAGGGACGCCCAGCCTCCAGCCCCAAATAGGGAGGCTGACTTGGGACGTCCTATCAAGAGTCTCACCTGGGTCCAGACACATGAACTTGCAGCACTCTTTGGGGTCCTTGCGGTACTGTTGGCAGCCCTGGGGCCTCTCACAGAGAGCAGCCACACACATCTCAGGCTCCCCTCCATGGCAGGTGCAGCTCAGGCATGGGTCGTCCCCCTTAGGGGTGAAGTAGAACCCTTCATCCACCACGTTGTCCTTGATGTCAACACATGTTTGACCTGCAATGAGCATACATTGTGTACAGATGTATACAATGCCAAAAAAGGTAGCCTCCCCGTGTGGGCCACACTGCCAAAAAAGGTAGCCTCCCCGTGTGGGCCTGTGAATGCTACCTGTTACCTTAGAATGGGAAGGAGGCAGCTGGAGGGGGCATGTGAGACATGCCCACTAGAGTAATGGCATCAAAGCCTCTAAGACAGCTCTGTGAGCAAACACTGCCATCACTGCTGCACCACTTGACATGAGCTGACCTTCCCCACCTGGGCCTGGGGAACGAACAAGGCAACTGAAGACTTGGCCAGATTGTGCTGAGAGTCTTCCCAGGGCTGGAATGCCATGGATCTCTGGCCCATGGCACAGGGAGTGGCTGTCCAAGAGCAGTCACTACAACACTGTTAGAACAAAGTACATCTAGCCAGGGCAAATGGAGGCCGGAGAGCCAGGATGGAGCACAATGCCAGACTCCAGGGTCACTGCAGAAGTGTTTGCCTGGAAGTTGCTGAAGTAGATTACTTATGAGATTTTCTCAATTCTAAGATGCAGCTGCTATGAGTATTAACCATTTCAAAATCAGAATGTGTGTAAGGAAGCTGCCAGTTCTGCTTGGGAAGGCAGTCCACTGGACCTGAGGCACACTCTGCACAGAGCTGACCTAGGATGAGAGTAAGAGGAATGGCCATGGCTAAAAACCCAGAGTCTTCAACTGGTAGGCAGACGTTGCAAATGCCTGGAGGAGAGACAAGGAATGAAGGAGCCTCCAAGAGAGCCACCCTCAGTGAAAGGCAAAGAGACATGAGAAGGTAGCTTCTTACAGTCTCCAAATGGGGTAAGGATGTCTAGAAAAAAGACTCTTCCGAAATTTCACAATCACAGGTCTATGCCTCACTTAAGATTGTAGTCAGCTGGGCGCGGTGGCTCACACCTGTAATCCCAGCACTTTGGGAGGCCGAGGCAGGCAGATTGCCTGAGGTCAGGAGTTCAAGACCAGCCTGGCCAACATGGCAAAACCCTGTCTCCACTAAAAATACAAAAATTAGCCAAGCGTGGTGGCATGTGCCTGTAATCCCAGCTACTCAGGAGGCTGAGGCATGAGAATCTCTTGAACCCCAGAGGTGTAGGTTGCAGTGAGCAGAGATTGTGCCACTGCACTCCAGCCTGGGCGACAGCATGAGACTCTGTCTCAAAAAAAAAAAAAAAAAAAGATTGGGATCAAATCTAGGTCACCCATGTGGTCAGGAACTCCCAGGGCAAGATACTCACATACAATTATTCCCTGGCTAAAATAGAGAAAAAAGAATGAACAGAAATGAACAGAGCTCCCAGAGAAATGTGAAACACCATTAAGTACACCAACATATGTGAAACAGGAGTAACAAATGGAGAGGAGAGAGAGAAAGAGGCAAAAAAAAATTAGTCGAAGAACTAACAGCTGCAAACTACTCAAATTCATTGAAAAACAATAACCTATACATCCAGGAAGCTCAACAAATTCCACATTCCTAGGATAAATGCAAAGGAGCCACAAACTGACACATCAGAGTGAAAATGCTGAAAGTGAAAGACAAGGCGAAAATACGAAAAGCAGCAAATGGGACGTGACTTGTTACTTCTAAGGGAACCCCAATAAGACAAACAACTGACTTCTCAGCAGAAACAACAGAGGCTGGGGCAGTGGGATAACTGCTCACAGAAAACCATCAACCAAGATCCATATCCAGCAAAGATATCTTCTGAAAAATGAAAGTAAAATAAACTTTCCCAGACAAACAACAAGTGAGAGAAGTTGTTTGCAGATCCACCTTATAAGAAACACTAAAGGAAGTTTTTCAGGCCAAAAGTATGCAATCCCCAGATAGTAATTTGAATACAAATAAGAAACTGAAGAGCAACAGTAAAGGCAATCGTGATTATAAATTATAGCCTACATGCATAGTTTTCCTCCTTTATTCTCTTAGCTGATTTAAAAAGCAATTGTATAAAATAATATGTATGGAATGTAGTATTGGGTCTATGACATACAAAAATATAACACACTTAGATTTGCCAAGAATGGCACAAAGGTGGTGTGTGGGAGCAAAGCTATACTGGACTAAAGAACTTCACCTAAGTCTCACATCTTATTAAAACACTCATTCGAAACATGTCCTAGACTTAAATGTAAAACGGAAAATGATTAAAATTTTAGGAAAAAAACACAGAAGAAATGTAAGGCTAGGCAAAGAGTACTTGGACTTGACACCAAAAGAATAATCCATAAAAGGAAGCTGGTTTCAGTGGCTCGCACCTGTAATCCCAGCACTTTGTGAGGCCGAGGTAGGTGGATCACCTGAGGTCAGGAGTTTGAGACCAGCCTGGCCAACACTGTGAAACCCTGTCTCTACTAAAAATAGAAAAATTAGCCAGGCGTGGTGGCTCATGTTGGTAATCCCAGCTACTTGGGAAGGTGAGGCACAAGAATCACTTGAACCCAGGAGGTGGAGGTTGCAGTGAGCCAAGATTGCACCACTTCACTCCAGCCTGGGCAACAGAGTGAAATTCTGTCACAAAAAAAAAAAAAAAAAAAAAAAAATCCACGAAAGGAGAGAGAAATAACTAGGACTTCATTAAAATTAAGAACTTTTGTTCTTTGGGTAAACTTATACTGCCAGGAAAAAACAGCAACAACAAAACTTTTGTTCCTGAAAGCTCACCTGAAGAGGATGAAGGCAAGCTACAGACTAGAAAAAATATTTGCAAACCACATATCTGACAAAGGACTGGTATCTAGAATACATAAAGAACTCTCAAAACTCCACAGTTTAAAAAAGAACAAAACAGATCATTAGTTCACACCTGTAATCTCAATACAGGAGGATCACTTGAGCCTAGGAGTTGCGTTTGAAGCCAGCCTAGGCAACATAGTGAGATCCTATCTCTATAGAAAATAAAAAACTTAGCCAGGCATGACGGTGCACACCTACAGTTCCAGCTACTCAGGAGACTGAAGTGGGAGGACTGCCTGAGCCCGGGAGCTGGAGGTTACAGTGAACTATGATTGCACCACTGCGTTTGAGCCTGGGTGACAGAGCAAGACCCTTTCTCAAAACAAAACGAACAAACGATGCAAAGAGAAAACGGAAGAATAATGTGAACAACAGAGAATATACAGATGGCAAATAAGCACATGAAACATGAAGAGGTTTTAACATCAGTAGCCTCAGGGAAATGCAAATTGAAACCATAAGGAGCCACAGGTCTACATACATATCTGCATACCTAACAGAAGGGCTAAGATGAAAAATAGTGAAAACAGTAAGCGCTGGGGAGGATATGGAGAAATTAAATCACTCCTACGTTGAATCACTCCTACGTTGATAGTGGGACTATAAAATAGTACAGCCACTCTGGAAAACAATTTGCTTGTTTCTTTAAAAACTAAACCTGCAACTACGATACAATCAAGCAACTGTAATCCTGGGCATCTATCACACAGAAGTGAAAACACATTTGCAGCCAGGCGTGGTGGCTCATGCCTGTAATCCCAGCACTTTGGGAGGCCGATGCAGGTGGATCATCTGAGACTGGGAGTTCAAGACCAGCCTGGTCAACATGGTGAAACCCATCTCTACTAAAAAGACAAAAATTAGCTGGGCGTAGTGGCACATGCCTGTAATCCCAGCTACTCGGGAGGCTGAGACATGCGAATCGCTTGAACCCAAGAGGCGGAAGCTGCAGTGAGCCAAGACTGTGCCACTGCACTCCAGCCTGGGCAACAGAGAAAGACTCTGTCTCACACACACACACACACACACACACAAAAGAAAAAAAGAAAAAAGAAAACACGTTTGCACAAAAACCTGTATGCGGATGTTCACGGCAGTTTTCATTGTAATAGCCAAAGACTGGAAACAGCCCAGATGTCCTTCAACACTTGAGGCCTATAGTTTGAGACCAGCTTGGGCAACATAGCGAAATCCCGCCTCTACAAAAAAAAAAAAAATACAAAAATAAGTTGGGCACAGTGGCATGCACCTGTGGTCCCAGTTACTCGGGAGGCTGAGGTGGGAGGTTCACCTGAGCCTGGGAGGTTGAGGCTGCAGTGAGCAGTGATCACACCACTGTACTCTAGGGTGACAGAGACCTTGTCGCCAAAAAGAAAAAAAAAAGGAACAAATCATTAATAAAAGTAACAATTTGGATGACTCTCCAGGGAATTATGAGTGAAAAAAGCCAACCCCAAAAGGTTGCAACTATATGATTCCATTTATAGAACATTTCTGCCTCATGATGATACCTGACAAAGGCCAGACCACATATGACCAAAGGCCTCTGACCTACCACTTCTGTAGCAACCAGTCTAGGGCAGTCAGGATCTGGCCAGTGGCCACCAGCTTCTCTATTTTGAGTCCATACTTCCAACTGGAAACCCACCAGGGAAAGTCAAATATGTTCCCCAAACCAATCACCTCCACTGCCCTGCTTCTAGTCAGGCTGCCTCTAATCAGAGCATACCTGGAGCCTTTAGGGCCCTGGTGAAAAGCCACTGTGCTGGACCCAACTCCAGCTGCAGGAGGGTCAGAAGCACTTGTGAAGGCTCCACCCTGGATCCTCAGGGCACTGGGCCTGCTTAAGGCTCAGATACAGTTAGAACATCAGACCCTACTATCAGCATGCTAACAAGCCTTGAGTCACACAGTGGACTACTGCTAGGCGGGCTGCAAAAGACAGACTCTAGAGATGTAGCCCAAAGGGATGACCTCAAGTAGAGGGTGGAGCAGACATTAAGAAAAACCCTCTGGCAAACCAGCCTCCACCCAGAACAACAATGCTGCTAAATACGAAAGCCTGAGGTGCACTGAGGGCAACTACAGTGCCAACAAACCCCAAGCCCAGCCCAACTCTCGCCCAGATCAACGCCCTGCACTGTACTAAAGACCTCCCCACAAGAAAGGCCTAGTGGAAGTAAAGGCATAGCCACTGCAAGCACAAAACTACTGAACTCAGTCTCTATTGTCCCACACAAGATGTCAGAGTTCCAATGAAAAGCCTAGAAAAAAGTACCATGCTCCAGAGACAAAACAATCAAAAAACCAGACTCAAATATGACACAGATGAAGGAACTTCCCCACAGGGAATTTAAAATAACTACGATTAATTTGTTAAAGGCTCCAGTGGAAAAGCTGGACAATATACAAGGTTAGATGGGAAATTCAGATGAGAGATGGAATCTATAAGAATCAAATGGAAATCCTATAAATAAAAAAACAGACAAAATCAATGAAACAGATGAAGAATACCTTCAATGGGCTCATAAGCAGACTTGACATAGCCAAGGAAAGAATTAGTAAACCTGAGGACAGGTCAACAGAAATTACTCAAACTGAAGGACTAAAAGAATCCAAGAGACATGATGACTAGATGCAATGCATGATTCTGGACAATGAAAAAAATAGCTATAAAGGATATTATTGGAACGACTGATAAAACTGGAATAATGGATTGTGGATTACTGTATGGTACTGTATCCATGCTAAGTGTTCTGATTTTGATCCATATAGTGTGGGTACATAAGAAAGTGTCCTTGTTCTTAGGAAATACACACTGAAGTATAAAACGCTTAATTAAGGTCCACAGTATCTTCAGTTTACTCCCAAATGATTCAGAAGAAACATGTAGAGAAAGTGAATGATAAAGCAAATGCAGTAAAACTGAAATACTGTAACTGGTGAGTCTGTGTAAATGGTGTATGAAAGGAAGTTCCTTGTATTATTCTGCCTTTTCCATAAGCTTGAAATTATACCTAAATTAACAAGTTACAGAAGTCTCCCTCGCCTGACCCAGATGGTCCTATAAGGTGGTTCTATCAAACACTCAAAGACAAGTTTATCTCCAACTTGGACAAATGGATTTAGAGAACAGTAAAATAAAATGTTTGCCAACTCATTTTAGAAAACTAATATAGTATAATACAGAAATGAGTCAATGTAGTCCCAGCTACTTGGGAGGCTGAGGCAGGAGGCTCACTTGAGCCTAGGAGTTCAAGACTGTACTGTGCTATGATCGTGCCTGTGATTAGCCACTGCATTCTTGCCTGGGCAACACAGTGATGCCCCACCTTAAAAAAAAAAAAAAGAGAGAGTCAAGGAGAGTATAGAAAAAAATGTAACAGGCCAACCTCACTTCTTAAAAGAGTTTCAGGCCAGGCACGGTGGCTCACACCTATAATCCCAGCACTTTGGGAGGCTGAGGCAGGTGGATCACTTGAGGTCAGGAGTTCAAGACCAGCGTTCAAGACCAGCCTGACCAACATGGTGAAACGCCATCTCTACTAAAAATACAAAAATTAGCCAGGCGTGGTGGCACATGTCTGTAATCCCAGCTACTCAGGAGGCTGAGACAAGAGAACTGCCTGAACCCGGGAGGCAGAGGTTACAGTGAGCTGAAATCACGTCACTGCACTCCAGCCTGGGTGACGGGGCAAGACTCTGTCTCAAAAAACAACAAAGAGTTTCAAAAATTCTAAATATCAGCAAACCAAATCCACCAATATAATATATTATATATATATAAACCATGAGGATGGTTTAACATAAGAAAATCCATTTATATGAAATAATGACTGAACAGACTGAAGAAAAACTACATAACCCCAATAAAATCCACTAAAAGCATTTAATAAAAATCAGTACACTTTTGTAACACAAATATTCCCAGCAACCTAGGAATAGGTACTTCTTTGACTTCATACAGGTACATTCTAAAATCCTATAGAAGGCATTCTGTAGAATATTGATACATTAAAATAGCATTCTAAGTTGAGAAGACAAGAATGCTCACTACCACCATTTCTAATCATCACTGTCCTGGAGACTGTAGCAAGAAGAGTTGACTGGGCAACATAGTGAAACCACATCTCTAATAAATGTAAATAAATAAATAAATGTCAAAGATTTGAAAGAAGAAACAAACCCATCTAAATAGAAAATCAACAAAATCCACAAACTAAGAGAACCAATAAAGGAGTTTAGAAAACATATCCTAAAATTCACATAGAAAAGGGTCAAAAATAGGCAACATAACAGGCAAGAACAAGGCAGAGGAAGTCGTAACACCAGCAGTCAAGATTTATCATGAAGCTCTCTCTGTTGCCAGCCACCTGGGAGGAGCTGCCGCCCCGGCCGCACATCTGCAATGGATGGTCGCGAGGAATCATCCGGCCTGATCAAGGGGAATAAGCAGACCCACAGCACTGAGCCTGAGAACTTAAAGGCTGCAGCTCCTTCCACTACAACGAGCTGATTCACTGCAGGACTGTGGGTGTGGACCCGGCAGCTGATGGCAAAGGTGTGGTGGTGGTCATGGAGTGGAGATCCGGCCAGCAGAAGCCAGCCACCTCCTATGAGGGGACCACCGTCGGGTGGACACGGTGGCTCACACCTGTAATCCCACCACTTTGGGAGGGCGAGGTGGGCGGATCACGAGGTCAGGAGATCGACACCATCCTAACACTGTGAAACCCGCCTCTACTAAAAACACAAAAAATTAGCCGGGCGTGGTGGCAGGCACCTGTAGTCCCAGCTACTCAGGAAGCTGAGGCAGGAGAATCGCTTCAACCTGGGAGGCGGAGCTTGCAGTGAGCCGAGATCACGCCACTGCACTCCAGCCTGGGCAACAGAGCGAGACTCTGTCCCAAAAAAAAAAAGAAAAAGAGGACCACCGTCAACAAGAACGCCTGCACCATGCTCGGCAACATCACACACATGATCCGCAAGAACAAAGCCTCTCCCCAACCTGCGCACAGCTGCCATCCCAGAGCCAGCGCCATCCTGCGAAGCCAGAAGCCTGTGATGGTGAAGAGGAAGGGGACCTGCCCCACCAAGAGCTCCTGAGACCCCTGTCCCCCAAAAGCAATAGAGTTAGCTGGCTTTAATAAAAAAAAAAAAACACACACACCATAGACTGGCAAGGTAAACAGAGAAGCAGAGAAGCAGAGAGAAGGATGGCAGAAATGGGGGGTGGGGAGGTGACAAACAGCCTTAGATGCTCCAGAGATGCCAAGTCCTTGGGTCCTCATTCCCATTTACTCTCTTAACAACACTGCAACAGGGAGGACAGGGATGATTGTCTCTTCCGTGGGAAAAGAAGCTGGGCTCTAAGATGCTTCCGTGGGCTCTAAGATGCTGACCAGCTGCCCTGGTCACAGAGCTGCAAATGGGCCCCAAGAACAAGGTGTGAGCTGGTAAGGGGCGTCCACCGCAACACTGCAAATCAGGTTCTGCCTCCGAAACCTTGAACTCAGGGTCCAACAAAGTGACACAAGGGCCCAGACATTCCCCAAGAACGCCAGCTCAAGGGGGCTTACTTCTTTTACACAGAAATGAAGACTTCTCGTAGCAGCTCTCGGCGTGCCAGCTGTGGAGGTCGTGGTGCCGCAGGGTGGGGAAATGGAAGCACTGAAGCTGGGCACAGAACACGTTGTCGTTCTCAGACATGGCCGAGGCAAAGATGGGGTCTGGGGGCAGGAACACCTCTGAAGAGCCTGTTGGGGAGACAAAAGGTGGGGCTGGACAACATCACATCAGAGGACAAGCTGTGCAGTCCTCAAGGGGACCATGGCGTCAGACAGGATCATCAACCACAGGGCCTGGACCGCCAAGTACTGGTGGTCACTGTGGCCAGGTGTTCACTCGGGACTCCCCAACCTCCTGGGAGTCACCCCAGGTGCTGGGCCTAGCGGGAGCCACTCCTTGGAGCCTGCAAGCACACAGGCCACAAACCCTGGGTAGCAGTAAGTGCCAGCCTGAGCACCAGAAGAGGGTGCTGGATCACGGTTAGTGGGTGGCATTTAAAGTTAGAGCAACAGCATAATAACAAAGTAATGGATTGTGGCACACTGGATTAAAATGCAAACAGGGGAATGGGCAAGGGAAACAGGCAGGGAAGCTCTCCCTTAGGACAGCACACTCAGATAAACAGAAGACTTACAAAGTCCACCCAACACCCAGGAGAAAGGCGCCGTCAGGCAGCATTGGCACTGGCCGGCACTGCCAGCAGCTGGCTGCAGGGAACACTTAGGAAGCACTGGCTCCCGGGGACCTCTCTCAGCTCAAGGGAAACTGTCACCCACTCAGCTCCTGCCTAAGCCAGGCACAAGGCAGTCAGAAACCGTGTACCCCTGCCGCAGAGAGCGTGAGGGTTGGGGACTGCTAACCTCCAAGCCTCTCTTTTGCAAGGTTCCAGGTGGGCTCTGGCCATGCCCAGGGCATGGCACAGCCAGCCCTAGGCCCCACTCTCTCCCCTGCACGGCCCTTCCAGTCTGGGCTGCCAAGATTCCTTGAGGCTTACCCGACCAGGATCAATGGAAACACAAAGCAACCTTTCCAAGAAGCAGAATAATGAAGGCACACCTGGTGCTCTCCCCCTCCTAAGACAGCAGCAGTGCAGCTCACCCCATTTATAAGCCTCCAGCATTCTCACCTGCGTCTTTTGGAGCTCTGTTTATACCCAGCACGAAACATGGGGCTCTGCCTCAAAAAAGCCAGTGAGTCTGGAGGCAGGCCTATGCTGTGGGCCTGTGGACACATGGTGCCCTGCCATGGGCAGGAGGACAGCTCTCAGGAAGCTCTGAGACCTGCAAGACCTGTGCCAGGCCAGCAGGCAGCCACAGCAACAGCTGTGCCCCCTTCCCAGGGACATACAGGCCCAGCATCTCGCCTGCCTCATCTGCATCTATCAGACCCACAGCAGAGCAGGAAAGGGGCCCACTGTCTGGAGTCACCTCCCCATACCACCTGGAGGGCTGGTCTCCACTGCTGACAGTGGGTGCCACCACCATCACGCTGTGCACCACCCCACCTTTCCTCCAGGCCCCCGAGCCCCTGCACACCCTCCTCATCTCCCACAGATGCCTTCTCACCTAAGTAGAGCCCCTCCCCTTTTAAACACTGTTTTCTTCACTATTTGCCTTCTTGTCCCGTGGCAAGAAAACCAAACAGGTTCCTTCCAATCTTTAACAAACAAAAAATCTTCAGCGCTGAAGCTAGTTGCCAGCTAAGAGCTCCTGCCCACAACTACAGTACATGACAGCAGACTGAGACCAAGGACACAAATGACCTCTCCGGGCAGAGTCCTGGGACCCAGCATTTGCCCACGAAAGCTGCCTGGACCGGGGCACAGCAAGTCAGAGTGAGTCAGGCAACCAGCAAAACAGGGTTCGTGTGGCACTCTAGGCCAGGGCCCAGAGAGCCACACAGTGCTCCCTCCTGGCAGCAAGCTGCATGGGCACCTGTGTAGCGCCCCTGCCCAGGGGAGCTGCTGGTGGCTCTGCATCCAGGTGCTGAATGGGGGCTGGTCATGCGGGCACTGCATGCCTACCCGAGGTGCAGCCTTGCAGAGCGGGCAGGTGTTCGTCTTTGGAGCATCCCTGGAAGAGGTCACAGTGGCAGCCATGAACAAGGCAGCCTGTGGGGCTGGAGAAGAGGCTGGGGAGTGGTAGGTGATGAGGGTAGTGAAGGAAGGGGCTGCTGGCCTTGATGGAACTGTGATTTCTATGAGAAACGAGAGCTGTGAACAAGGGAGCAGAGGTGAAAAGGACCCCCAGCAGCTGTGTGAGGAGCGGTGGGGCTGGGGCCAGGAGACCAGACAGAGGCCACGAGCACAATCGGGTGACGGATGATTGGGTGTTAGATCCCGGTGGGGGCTGCAAGACTGGTGCCAGGTGATGAGATCCTGGACATATTCCAAAGGTGTGAGAGGAGCCTGGAGGCTTCCCGATACTGCACTGGGGATGACTCCTGCAGATTTTCCTCCAGGGCCTCCCACTTCCTCCTGGACACCCCCTTACCTCAAACATCCCGCTCTTCCTGAAGGACCCTCATCCTAGAGAAAGGCCCTGTGAGCAGAGCTGCCCTGGCTACCAGAGTGACTGGGAGCAGTTCCTCGTGCAGAGCCCTCCTCTCAAGCCTCCCTCCAAGACACTACTCCTCACCCCCTGCCACCCCAGCAGATCCAGTCCTCACCTCGACAGGGTGGCGGCAAGTTTCCAGGTGCCCCTCCCATATGTCCACACATGAGGTGTGCGCAGGACTCTGACGGGAGCCTTGGGCTGGGCCGTCACCAGCCACCGGAGGACACCCTGCTCCCCAGACTGATACACGAGGGCATCTGAACCTGATTACCTCTGCCACCACATCCTCTCCCACATGTGCGAGCAGCCACTGCCACCTCCATGTCCACCGCTGCTCGCCGAGCCTGGAGAACCCTCCCCGGCCCCCGAGTCCCCCATTGTTCGAGTGGTGGGGAGACCTTCACTCACTTTTCTGAGCCCTCAAAGAACCTCCCCTTCCTGTCTCGCCACCTCCACAGCCACAGAATGAGCCTCCACTCGGGCCCACCAGGGGCTGTCCAGATGCTCCCGAATGCCCCACCACGGTGGCAGCTGCCCCACTCAGGGTCTGTCTCCCCTCCAAGAACTGTGGCCTGACCCCAGCTGACCCCATCCTAGACCAATGGTCAGCTCACCCAGAGGGCAGGGTCTCTACAATGCACCTTCCAGTGGCTGCTAGGCCAGCCTGGCCCCTCCCTCACTGCTGACTGAGGCTTCTAAACGCTAGGTCCCACAGGCTGGCCCAGGACCACAGCCCTGACTGCTGGCCTCAGCGGGCAACACCATACAATCCCTCAGGTACAGCACCAGAGAAAGAAGAAGACGGAGACCATAAAGGACTGGGCACAAGATTTTGGGGGAGAAAAGAAGGCTTCTACTAAGTCACACACCTCCTGACCTCAGCCAACCTGCAATGTGCGTGCTGAGACACCACGGGGGACAAATGAGGGCCAGGCACTGAGTAATCTTAAATGAGCAAGTGACACAACATGTGGACACATGAAACACACGCTGTTTTCACTTTTATATTTTAAGGTAAATATCAAGTATGACTCACCAGACAGAAGCTACACTGCTGGTGCTGACGGGAAGGCCCTGGGAGCAGCACGTGGGGCGGTGTGGATGATTCTCCCTACACAAGGATCTGTACTTTTTCAACCTTTCTGCACAAATGTTACAGAAATCCTGGCCTCATGTCTTCTGGCAGCAGCAGCGGCAGTTCTGTCTCCAGGGCACATCATGACCTGGTGCTGTCAAACCTGCAGGGTCTTGGCCCCCAGGCGGGGCTCACAGGCTGGTGTGGGCCTGGGGGAGCGCCTGGAGAGCGCTCCACCAAGGCGCACAGGAACCCTGCGGAAACGAGCTCCCAACTTCAAATGTGTGTGCAGGGTACCGACACATGGGCATAGTAAGCGTCTATGTACCATGGTATCACTCACACCCCAATCTGGAACATATTATACAACACAGAAAAGATGGACAACATGTAGATGAAAGAAACATTTTTCAACATCTTAATGTGAGGCCCTTCCACCATCATTAGCTGATATTCTCAGGTACAATATTTTCTTAGGGAAGGGTTCAGAATGAGTAACAAATGACTTACATCCATTTCCCATGGTTTTTTGGGTATTTTTGGGGGGGCCAACACCTCAGACCCCAATGACCCCTCTGCTTTGCACCATGTCCCCAGGCAGGAGAAAGGCTGGGGTGGGCTGGGCTGGGCTAGACGTGCTCTTGCTAGCTTGTTTTATACTCAGTACTGTCTTCACTCTGCAGCTTGCTTTTGGTACAGGAATTTTTAAAACGATTCCACTATGGAGAGAGGAGTGCGTGCACCCGAGCCACCTCGGTGCTGACCGCACCCTGCTGCTTGGCTCCTCTCTGCCCTACCACCCTGGGAGCCCCTCCCCTGCAGACTCCAGGATACTGGCTCCTAAAACCACACAACCACAGTCCTATTGCTGCACCTAAGAAAATGAATCTTCCACAAGTCCCCACTCATTTCTTGAATTGTCCTGTGGAAGATTTTATAAGCCTCCCAACCTAGGACACCATAAGGGTTCTTGTGCCACATTTGGTTTTATGTTTCTTTAATCTCTTTAAGCCCAGAACCACTCATGATGCTGAGCTGCATCAAGGGCCAGTTATCCTGCAGCAGAAGAATTATTGTTATTGTTACTATTTGTTTTGTGACCACTATTTAAATCCGCTAACAGAGTTCCCGAATCCATTTAACTGGGCACAAGCAGGCAGTGGCACATGGTCACCTCCGTGGAGCTCCGGGATGCTGTGGGGCCCCTTGCACGTTGAGCCACACAAATAGGGAGCTCTATGCCAGCTGCAGCTGCCAGCACCAACATACGTGTTCAATCTTTTTCTAAATTTTAGGTTCACTCTCCTGCCTGAGGCTCCAATGGAGTCACTGAGCTGCACTTGGCCATTAAAGCCCACCCAGGACCCTTGCCATTCTCACACCAAGCATGAGGCCCCCAGTCCCCAACTCTGAATGTGCTGTCATCCCACTCAGAATCATGTCTTCTCTTCAACCACCAGTGTCAGGAGGACAAGCTACCAGGATAATTATGCTCTATGAGGCAAACTTTGACTCTGGGGCCTGGAAACCCAGAAGCCATTGATTAGTCAATAGCAATCTAAACAATGCACTCATAAAGCCAGGGAATGCAAATGTGGCTGGGGCTCTCAGGAGGGCACTGGTGGTCATGAGAACAGGGTGGCATCTGTCCTGAGCAGGATCGGGACAGCAGGTGTGGCCCCAGTCTGCTGGGCTCTGCAGCCCCCACCTCTGCTCCTGCCCTGTCCCAGCAGCCAGGCATGGCCCCGCCTCTGTGGGGCCCTCTTTTCTCCAGGGAAGCCGGCCACCCAGGCCTTGACCCTTTTCAACCCTGTCCCCAGGCCCATCACTCCTCATTTATCCTTCTTAGAGATACTTAAGACATCAACAGCAGGACTGGGATGTGTTTACGAAAAGAACCCAAATCCTAGCTCAAGCCACAGGCACAAAGTACAGCCCAACAGACAGGGAAGGGGCAGGGCAAGGGAGTGTGACCCTGGCGGCAGCTGGAGAAGGCACTGCTGGAGTATGTCCAGGAGGAGCTCGCCAGTGCCAGGGCAATGGGACAGGAAGGGCAAGCCAAGTCCGAGCCCAGGGAATGTAAAGGAAACAGCAGCCATGTTTCCTTTACGTCGTCTTGGTATTTCCAAGCAGCTCCGCATAAAATCTTTGCGCACACACACACATGCATGCTCACTCTCTCTCTCTCTCTCTCTCTCTCTCTATCTGCCTGATAGTTTCCTTCAGGTCTGGATTCTACGTCTGACCTTTGTCCTGGCAAGCTTGTCCTCCCCTCCAGCCTGCCAGGGGCACACTCTGCATGCTCATTTTTATACTCCAAGGTCTTTAACTTCAAAAGGAGGCGGGGGACAATCTAGAAAGCTGGCCAAAGTGAGATGCAACAGAGGGTTCCAGAGACAGCCACCGCCCAATGCAGGGCCTGATCTGCAGGCTGCACTGGCCCCATGACCGCAGCCCTCCCTGCAACTGGGGCTCACCCACTCCCTGCACAGCACCCCTACGGGCCAGGCAGCACTGGGTAAGAGGGAGGAGGGGAGGCCCCGAATCAGGGTGACTCTGCCCAGCTTCAAACACTCCCACACACCAGAAGGGCTCACCTTTGAATGCCACCTCCCAGCGACCTTCCAAGGAGCGGTTCCGGCCAGTGATAACATACTGATAGCCAACCCACAACCTGCAGGGCACAGAGACAGAGACAGAGATCTCAGCGGCAGGAGGGATGCAACCATCAATGACTGTGTGTTTTTTGTTTTTTGAGACAGAGTCTCGCTCTGTCACCAGGATGGAGTGCAGTGGTGCGATCTCGGCTCACTGCAACTTGACTTCCTGGTTCAAGCAATTCTCCTGCCTCAGCCTCCCGAGTAGGTGGGATTACAGGCACAGGCCACCACGCCCAGCTAATTTTTGTATTTTTTTTTTTTTTTTTAGTAGAGACGGGGTTTCACCATATTGGCCAGGATGGTCTCGATCTCCTGACCTCATGACCCACCCGCCTCGGCTTCCCAAAGTGCTGGGATTGTTTTTTAATAGCTATACTGACCTCCACAACACTGAGCTTCTAACATGAGACACTCATGTTAGAATGCATTAAAATTCAAAACAAGAAAGTTCACAGGGCAGGAAAAGTTTTATCTCAGGGAACTCTTGCCAAGACTGTTTCTATGAGCTAAACCGGTAAAGCTTTCACAATTTAAGCAAGAACAATCTTATTCTTGGTAGACATGAAACCCCATGAATACAACTCGGTGACTATGCTAAAACCATAGGACAGGGCACTCCACAGGGGAGATTTTCATGGCATGTGAACTGCATCTCAATAAAGACATAAGTCCCTGCAAATATCCACTACCATGGGGGCTGAAAACACTTGCACGGCTTCCCACTCAGAGCCAGCCCACCTCAGGCCTGCAGCCTGCTCCTGAGCATGCAGGCCTAGCACTGAAAGGACCTTGCACTGGCATCTGGCTGACCGCCATAAGCTCCTGCCTAGTCCATGTCCCTTGGCCCAGCTTTCCAGCCCCAAGCCTAGAGATGCCCATCAGCAGGTCTCCCCGCATGGCAGGAGCCCAGGGATGGCACACTCTGCCCTATGCTGTGCAACCACAAGGCTGTCCTCAGAGATGGGGCTGCCCTGCCCTCCGGGCTATACCCTCTTGCTTCTCCACTGGACTCACAGGCCTGTCCTCATGGGGTTAGTACAACAACCTGTGAGCTAAGAGTTAGTTTCCTCCCTTTGTAGCTGCAGAAGGAAAAACAACTCCGTCTTGTGATTTGCCAAACTCTCACAGGGCATAACTGTGGAGTCAAAACCCAGCTTGGGTCTTGAAGCGAAGGCCCCCTTGCTTTCTTGGGGGGAACCCCCACCTACACTGCACACCCCTTGCACAAGGCCCACGAAGCCCCACACCAAGCAGTTCTCCCCACACAAGCCAGCACCCCCAGCCCCCTGCCTGCGCTCAGCAACTGCACTTGTACAAGGAGAGGGGTACCAATGAAAGGGGCTGCCCCACAGTCCCACAAAGTAGCAGCAGAGTCCAGCCTGCCCCTGCTCCCAGGACCCTCCACCTATCTCGATGCACACTCCTACCCATGGATCTCCTGGGCTTCCAGTGGGCGAGGCTGGTCTTCCCAACCTGCTGTCTGCCAGCTGTGCTCCAGGAGTTTACTGAGTGGTCAGAGGCCATGTGCTCAGTAGTCATCAGACTCTGACTCCAGCCCCTCAGGTCCCCAATCCAGGACTCACTTGCGCTGGTCCTTCCAACCAAAGCTCCGCTCGGGCTGGTCCCATTCCTGGGCCAGGACAAAGCGCAGCTCCTGGTCAGTGGAGAAGGTGGCGAGAGAGCCATTCAGGCGCTGGCAGGTCTGCGCGGCATCCCAGTAGTTCTCCCCGCTCAGGTAGACCCGGTAGCAGCTGGCCGTGCCTTCGTAGTGGTGCCACCCTGTCGGGCACTTCCCTAGGAAACATAAAGGACAGAAGGGGAGTTGTCCCCCAAGTTAGGATCCAGCTCCAAAATGGAAATTATATGTACTCCATCAGGGACAGGCACACCTTGTAAATCACCCTAGAGAAGTGGGGAAACTGAGGCTCAAGAGGACAAGGTCTGCTTCTGAAACCACATTGCAGAAATGCTCAAGTTTCTCTAAAACACAGATTCAATGATACAAGTACATTCGGTGACTCTTCCCATTTCTATAAGATCTTTTAATTTATTCACTAGTCAAGAACGGCTGCTGAATTAAGTCTTGTAAAGTGGATTTCATTCTCTGGGTTAACAACACAGCACAACTCCCATGCAGTTCACTTTGGGCCCTGCTTCCAATGCCCAGCTCTCCTGGCCTCCGCTGCCAGCTAGCTCACTCCCCTCTCTCCCTTTTCTACTTACATGAGCATTTGCAGTAGGGGCTGGCCAACCCTCCACTAAAACAGCAGCTCAAAGGATAACAGCTGGGAGAGCCATGACACTGTGTGACCCGCCCCTGCCTCCCACAGCCGAAAAAAATAAGGTGTGGGCGATGCCACAGGTGGCAAAGCTAAGGAGCCAGCCAGCACTTGAGTATCAATGAGTCTGGCCAGCGTCCTCTCACTTCCTCCACCCATCACTTCCGACTCCTACACCCACACACGGGAATGCCTGGTAATTTACAGCTCACCTTAGGTAACACCAGTGACCTCTTTTATAGAATCTTTAACCTTCAAATGTTGGGTACCTCATATTAGTACACTGGAGAAGAGTGACAATTTTTAGCAAAGCCAGTTGTAAAATTAAAAATGCCATTTTTAAAGTGCAGCTATGTCTTGTGGCACTAGTAAAACTTCTAGACACGTATCCCCATGTATTTATTATGTAAGCATGTGTGTGTGTGACTTCTTCATAAAGGCACATAGATTACAGAAAAAGAGGGGCACCCCTAGCCCCTAAGCATGGCCACAGCTGGACAGCACCATCTGCTCACCGTGAAGGGTACACCTGAGTGTGCAAGGAAGCTCTTTAGGTGCAGACAAGGAATCAGAGGGCTGGCAACAGTGGCTCACGCCTGTAATTCCAGCACTTTGGGAGGCCGAGGTGGGCAGATTGCTTGAGCTCAGGAGCTTGAGACCAGCCTGGGCAACATGGCGAAACCCCCTATCTACCGAAAATACAAAGAATTAGCCAGGTGTGGTGGGGCACACCTGTAGTCCCAGCTACCTGGGAGGCTGAGGTTGGAGGATCACTTGAGCTCAAAAAGGCAGAGACTGCCTGCAGTGAGCCAAAAGTGCGCCACTGCACTCCAGCCTGGGTGACAGAGTGAGACCCTGTCTGAAAAAAAACAAACAAAAAACAAACAAACAAAAAAAAACAAAACAACAATAAAAAATGTCAAGGCATCAGCTCTCGAGAAGGTGTGTTGCACATTCATTGCGTGTTTCCTGGGTGCCACACCAATGCATGCAGCCTGACCACATGCCCCGCAGGTGGCTCTGCACCGTCTCCATGAAGAGGTGAGGACACTGAGGCAGGCAGAGGCCAGGCCCCTATCTCAGGCAAGGTGAGAGGAAGCCCTGTAGGGAGGGAAGCTGGCTGAGGCATGGAGGGAAGGAGACATCCCAGGATGGGAGCCAGCTGGCTGGGGCATGGAGGGAGGAAGCACTCCTGTGCACTGACTCATCTTCTTTATGTTCTGAACTTGGTGGAGTTGCTTACTACCCAGGCAGAAGTGCTGCCTGTTCAAAACTGAACAGACAGGCAAGGGGAAGGAAGAACATGGAGCTGAGCATCAGGACCCCCTGGGGCTGCACTGTGAACTGCCCCTTCCCTACAGGTGGCCTCTCAGCCTCAGTGTCTTCACACACCAAGCCTGTGCACCACACTTGCACTGTGGGGACCCGTTCGGGCTGTGGGCACAGGCCGGAGACAAAGTGCATCACCAGGACATGTCCAGCCCTGCTTCAGCCGCACCAACATGCGTGACCACCTGGAAACACCTGGCCCCACTCTGGCCACCCAGGGTTGGTGGGGGTTCTGCCAGAAGCAGACCTGGTCACCTCTGAGGTGCTCCCCAGTGCTGAAAGTCTGGGGGCTGAGGAGTAACACAAGCAGACAGGCCCAAGGCAGGGCAGCAGGCCCATCCAGTATCAGTCCTGCCTGGTCCACAGCCGCTGCTCAGCGTACTTGGGTACCTCGCGCCTGAGAGGGTCTGCTCAGGGCCATTTCAGTGGTGGCTTTTCCTCCCCTCAACCTTCCTTGATGATCTCATGCCCCTTTAAAATTTCAATGTCATAGGTAATTTATTAAATAACTAATCACCTTAAAAATTTTTCTTAAAATGGCTGGACACAGTGGCTCATGCCTGTAATCCTAGCACTTTGGGAGGCTGAGGTGGGTGGATCACCTCAGGTCAGGAGTTCGAGACCAGCCTGGTCAAGGTGGTGAAACCCGGTCTCTACTAAAAATACAAAAATTAGCCGGGCGTGATGGCACGTGCCTGTAATCCCAGCTACTCGGGAGGCTAAGACAGGAGAATCACTTAACCTGGAAGGCAGAGGTTTCAGTAAGCTGAGATTATGCCACTGCACTCCAGCCTGGGTGACAAGCGTGAGACTCCGTCTCTAAATAAATAAATAAATAAATAAATAAATAAATAAATAAGGAGTCGAGCCTTCCCATTTTATTGCTGTATCTAAACTCAGAGCTGGTTTCCTCATTTATAAAAGGGAATAATACAACTTTGGAATTTCCAAGGGCCAGTGCCTTCTGGCCCTGAAAAGCAGTCACTTTGTGAGAACAAGCAGCCTGGCCTCAGAGCCGGTTGACTTCCTAGGGCCTTGAGTCACATACCACCACTCCAGCGCTGGGTGACTGCGGGTGGGTCATCATGCAGCCTCATTCATTCCCCTCACTGGCCTCCAAGGGCTGCTTTGAGAAACCCCTCACGCAGCACAGTAGTGCTGGAAAGGCAGGGGTCATGTCAGGCTTGCACTCCCCAGTGTCCCAGTCAGGGCAGGTCTGCAACTTACTGCTGAAGCGAACGGGCTGCGCCACGTTCACCGCGTGGAAGTGCGAAGGGTCGCCTCCTCTGGCCCGCCCCTGCCGCGGATCCACAGCCTCCTTCCCATGATGAGGACGCACCTCCCCGGTCACTTCTGAAAGCAAAAGGAGATGTGTGCTGTGAGTCCTGCCTGTGCAGTCGCAGTCTCCCTGGCCAGCATGGTTCAGACCACTCAGGGCTGCAAGGCCGGAGGGGGGGCCTGTAGCACAGAGTCCGGCAATGCAGGCTTTCTTTAGAGCCCTATGAAACACTGCCGCTCGCATCAAATGGGTCCCGTGTGCTTCTTATTAAAATTATGCCGTGGCAGTTTTTGTTTTTTAAGTTACTATTGTGAAATGGAGGCCCTCTTCATTGCATTTTCTAACAGGTCATTGCTAGCACAGCAAAGGGTCCTGCATAAATTAAAATCCCTCAGCAGTTCCAGCCCCATGGGGATGGCCCATGAAAGAGTTCTCTCCAGAGCCCAGGCTGCCCCTACCCCTTCCTTGAGGGCCTTCTCTCCCAGTATGAAGGAGACCCACGTGTGCAACCTTCCTCTGCAGCCCTTGTCCTGGGGCCTGAGCTGCCTATCTGTCCCCCTGCCTGCTGGTCCCCCATGGCTGTGAAGGCCTCCAGGCCAGGACCTCAGTATGTTCCTGTCTGGCTCTTTGGTGCTTGGCACAGGCCCTGGTGTGCAGCAGGTCTCAGTGCATGGCTAGAAGGTGTCAACAGGCAGCTGAAGATGAGGAAATAACTATAGTTTTATACAGCATGATCTAATAGTAATTTGCACACCAGTGCTTCCACCCACACACTCTCTTTTGTCCTCCAACCCCCTTGTGAAAAAGGAGAACCACACTCCTCCCATCTCACAAGGTGAAGGGCAGACTCAGAGAAGGGGAGTGACTTACCCAAGGCCATGGTGCAGGGGAGAGGGCCCTCATGGGCCCGCTCACCTCCCACTCTGTACAGGTGTACCCTGATGTGTCATGAAGGGCATCGGGTACAAGGTCAGGTCAGATGGGAAACAAACTTGGTCTGCAAGGCTGCACACAGACAGACGCCTGCCAGCAAGTGCACTCTGGCTGCAGATGGCGAGTGGGGCCTCGGCTCCCCAAGGGAGGTCACAGGGAGGGTTAGGAGGCCTCCTGCAAAGCCTCCTTCCCTGAACCTGAACCGGCAGTCAGCGCCACCTGACGAGCCCCTCTCCAGCAGGTTGGTTCTGCTAGTGTCATAGACTTTGCAATGGTTTTTATTTAATAAAAAATCCACATGCTTTTTTGCTCATGATAAAGTAACAAACATTCAATGTGAAATGCTTGAAAAATACAAAAGTTTGAAAAGACAATAAACAACAAAGGCCATATTTAACTATGCGAGCATCTGCCCCCTCACCAAGTCTCTTTTCTACACAAATCTTTAAGAATACTGGGATCACATCAGACACTCCATTTCACGACTTGCTTTGTAAGCTTAAGACTATAAACAGCTTTCTATATTTTTAAATGGGCTTAGGAACATGACTTTTGATGGCTGCATAGTATTCCACAAATGGATTTCTTTCATCCCCATAATCTCTATGGTTTGAGGTTAGGCTGTTTGCATTTTTTTCATTATTCTAGAAAAGGCTGCCTTAAACACCTTGTACACAAGTGCGTATGTAGTCTCATTTCTGAGACTCTGGATACTCACTCAGTACTCAATAAGCATAGTTCCATAGCTCCTGTCAGGCATGTGATGGGGATGGGTTGCTATTCGACTGGGAATCACTAAAATATAAAATATGCTACCTGTGTCCGAGACACTTTCAACAGAAAGTGAAGACCTCAAAGGGAGAAGCATCTTCAAGGCTTGTGTTTTTTGGTAGAGGTGTCTTTGGGGTACTTTACCACCCCAAAATACAACCTAAGGACCTCAGTGTGGGACAGTAACTGGCACCACGACAGGCCTGATGCTGTAAACACGCAGTACTTGGGGACCATCAGCTCTTTAGGACTGGTCCCATGTCCTAAGCCATGCTACCTGCAGCACCCGACACTCTGGGTAGGAGACTCGACCCACAGACTCGCTGGTAGCTCTGATGCAGGGATGCAGCCACTAGGATGGGGCATCAGCACTTGGTGGAGAAGGGAAGAGCCACCTGAGCTTCTGGGCCTGAGACTGGAAGCTGAGAAAGAACAGAGGGGCTTTCTGGCAGATGGAGCAGCTTTGGCAAAGGGCAAAGGCAGACATATCCGGGATAAACCTGAGGCCAGGCCTGAGTGTGGCTGGAGAATGTCACTGAACTTAAATTCAACATCTCCCTCTGCTCAAATGGGCAAGACCTGTGGCTCCACTTTGTATCCTGGCCTCTTCCCCAAGCCAAGCACAGTACCTGGTAAAATTGCTCACAGAAAGACAAGATGAACTGAGGGCAGAGGAAAGGGAAGAGAAAGAAGAGATAACAGAGGGACAGTGCTGCCAGGTCACATGGGCACCAAAGACCAGGTTGTTACATGTTGACTGAGTGAAGTCATCTGCCCCCTGGGGTGGGAGACCAGGTGAAATATTTCAGAAACATAACCAGAAAGCCAAATGGTGATAAAGGACACCACTCTGTTGAGCAGGCTTCTCTGGGTTTAGGTGGCAATTGTGAGCCCTTTCTTTTTTCCATCATGCATCTCCATATCCAAATGCTCACATTCATCCCCTCACCCCCACGTTTATTCAATGCCCATTCTGGGCCCACCATGGAAACCTGCCAGCACAGACACAGGCCTTTGCCAGCAAGAAGGGGAAGGGCTTGGCTGTCAAGATGATGCTGATGTCAGACAGTGTCCTGGGGGAGAGTCTGGGGGCCAGGCTGGGGAATGCGCATAGCACAGGACAGAACCCTTACAGACCTCTCAGGCCTGCCTCTGACAGTAGAGAATGTCCCTCTTCCCGCGGAGGGCCAGCCTTTGGTAAGCTGGGGGGCCTCTTCCACCTCCACCAGGGCCATGGGGCCCGAGCAGCCCTGCCTCACAGCCCAGCTGGGGACCTGGTGCAGGGGTCACTGTAGCACCCAGAGCCACATCTGCTCCGACTCTGGGCTCCATGACCTGTGCAGCTCGGAGCACATGTGCCCCTCCTGCCTCCAGCACCACTAGAGTGCCACGCTGCTGCTTCCCCAGCACAGGAACACACTGGAGAGCAAGTTCAACAAGGAAACAGAATCAGGGAGAATACCTAGAATACCACTCCACAGACTATTTATTCACAAATTACTTTTCGTCACAAAAAGGGAAAGAAATATTCACAATAGTGATCAAACTTAACATCACCAATAATGAGACAAAATGACCTTGGGCCTCGTGATTTGATAATTTATGACTTACATAGTATTGCTACCTAAAAAAAAAAAGTCTCACCTGAAGCTAATCCTGAAGAAAGAGACAAGTCCAAATTGAACGCCATTCTACAGAACTGACCTGGACTCTTCAAATATGGCAATGTCATGAAAGACGCCCAAAGCCCCCTGCAAAAGAGGGCTGGGAATACTTCTAGATTAAAGAACAAAGCAATACGGCAATAACATACTTACATTAATCCTTGAATAAATCTTGAATTAAAAGGGGAAAGAAACCTGTAAAGGATGTTCTGGGGATAATGAAAAGAATCTGAATATGGATTACACAGAATAGTACTACAGTAAATTTCTTGCATGTGAAAAGGCTTCTGTAGAGGATTGTTCTTATTTTTTGATCATAGTATTTAGGGGTAGAATATCATAATATCTGTAACCTCTCAAAGGGTTCAGAAGAAAAACACAAAGAGCAACTGCGGCAGGTGAACCCGGGTAAAGGTGCGGCAGGACACTATCAGCTGGTGAACCCGGGTAAAGGCTGCAGGAGTGTTTATTGCACTATGATTATGAGTTTTTTATAGATCTGAAATTATTCATATTAAAAGGTGGGCGCAGGGACAAGGCAGGTGGACACACCCAGATTCCTCCCACAACTCAAGCAGTAAACAAATCAAGAGTTAACTGGTAAGAAGATAAAACAGGTGGTGTCTGGGTTAGGGGACACCAGTTCAGCTGAAAATCAGGGTTCTTTACTCAGGGAAGAGAGGACAGATTCCCCATCGCCATTTTTCTTCCACTAAGCTCTCAGAACCCCAGGCTCCAGGCAGATAGGAAATGGTCCTTTATGGAAAAAATCTGACCAGGTCAAGAAGAAAGTCCCCAACAGGAGGAGATTCCCAACGAAACATATCCAGCTGGTTCACCCTCCAGGGAAGCCCACGTGCACAGAACTTCAAGTCCCTCAGCCACATACAGCAGATAGGGAAGGACCACCAAACCTCTGAGGCAGAGACCCAAACCACAGAGGAAAATAGCACAGAAGAAACAAGTACAGAGACAAAAAGTTAAAACCAAAAACAGGCCATTAACATCCTCAAAGTGAGAGGTTCTACTGTACTCATGAAACAAGAAAAGGGTGCTATTAAGAAGGAGCATGGACCGGGCACGGTGCCTCACGCCTGTAATCCCAGCACTTTGGGAGGCCCGAGGTGGGCAGATCACAAGGTAAAGAGATCAAGACCATCCTGGCCAACATGGTGAAACCCCGTCTCTAATAAAAATGCAAAAAATTAGCTGGGCGTGGTGGCACACACCTGTAGTCCCAACTACTCGGGAGGCTGAAGCAGGAGAATCACTTGAACCCGGGAGGCAGAGGTTGCAGTGAGTGGAGATCGCACCACTGCATTCCAGCCTGGCAACAGAGCAAGACTCTGTCTAAAAAATAAATAAATAAAATTTTTTTTTAAAAAAAAGGAAAATGCAGACAACACTATCCATCATTACTTGCCTCTGAAAATGATCTTGTACAAATGAACAGGAGGCCAGGTGCAGTGGCTCACACCTGTAATCCCAACACTTTGGGAGGCTGAGGCAGGAGGATTGCTTGAGGCCAGGAGTTGGAGACCAGCCTGGGCAACACAGCAAGACCCTGTCTCTATGAAAAATAAAAATAAAAATAATTAGCTGGGCATAGTGGCATATGCCTATAGTCCCAGCTACTCAGGAGGATGACACAAGAGGACTGTTTGAGCCTAGCTGTTTGAGGCTACAATGAGCTATGACCACACTAGTGCACTCCAGCCTGAGTGACAGTGAGACCTGTCACACACACAAAAAAAAACTGAATACATGACAGCAAACATGAAAACTCATAAAAGATTTGGCAGAAGTTATAGAAACCTACTAAAAGTAAAATAATCAAAGAGATGGAAAACTGCAGAGGAGAAAACGAAAACTGGGAATCAATCCAAGAGCTCCAATTCCCAATAATAAAGAGTTCCAGAAAAAGGGAACAGAGAAGAAAACAGAATAGAACAGAGAACAGGAAAGTGACCCCTTTCCCTAAGCTGTAAGGCATGAGTCTAAGATGAAAAGACCCACTGAGGAGGCAGTGCAATGGTTCAAAAGATACGCAAAATTTCCAGGAAGAAAACAAGTTATGTTCAAAGAATCAAAAATTATGTCACCAGCAACACTGGTGTTGGAGTAAAAATGGAGTAAGCTTAACCTTCAAAATTATGGGAAAAACTTATTTCTAGCTTATGATTCTAAAACCAGCCAAACTTATGTGCAAAGGTAAAATAAGGACACTTCAGACATGCAAACAAGGAAACACAAACCTTTGTCTCCTATGTTCCTTTTCCACATAAGTGGGGCAGTACTCGACTAAAATGAAGGAATAAAACAAAACAGGAAAGATATAAAAACCAAACACCAGAGGTTCCAACGCAAGGAGACACAGGTGAGAGTGACTGATTCTCCCACACTGATGGTGAACGGGGAAGCTGGCCCAGCAGCACTGACAGGTGAGGACCACCAGGGGCGTCTGGGAAAGGAGGGGCCAAAGAACTCTGACTGATAGAGATCTGTAACTGAGGGGACATCAGGAAAGAGACTTCTAGGTACTTAAAAAGAAAAGATATATATGAATCTACAGGATTCACACCAAATTGGAAAACGGCTTGGCAATTTCTTAAAAAATTAAACATGGCTCGGCACGGTGGCTCACGTCTGTAATCCCAGAACTTTGGGAGACCGAGGCAGGCGATCGCTTAAGGTCAAGAGTTCGAGACTAGCCTGGCCAACATGGTGAAACCCTGTCTCTACTAAAAAATACAAAAATTAGCTGGGTGTGGTGGCATGCACCTGTAATCCCGGCTACTCAGGAGGCTGAGGCAGAAGAATCGATTGAGCCTAGGAGGTTGCAGTGAGCCGAGATCGCGCCACTCCACTCCAGCCTGGGCCACAGAGCAAGATGAAAAAAAAAAAAAAAAAGTGAAAACACAATGTTGTGCCAACAAAAAGGAAACGGAGTGCTCCTGCATGGCCCAGCTAGGAGCAGCACTGAAAGCAGGCAAGACCTCACAGAGCACAGGGCCCAGACTCACCCACCAGGCTTAGGGAAGAATCAGCAGAGAATGCCTAAAACCACGGAATTTAAAGACACACAGATAAATACCAAATGAAACAGCTAAAACAATGTTTGCCTTGAAAATTAGAGGGGTTCATAGGGTTTGCTATTAAAAAAAAGACTTACAGAATCATTTGAATATTCAAATTGTATGCATAAGTAACTTGAATAAAGATAAAACTAAAAATTTGAAGTAGACAATCAAAATCAGTTCCTCTACAGATCTGGGATGCCCCGCCCCACCTTTTTTTTACATCGGAGCTGCCGCTGAGGCATCTACTGCTCTGATTCCTGATCCTTTTATTGTGACCCAGGTTTCCCGCTACAGGGGTTGATGTCCTCTGCATTACCAACGTGCTGCAGCTGCACAAGGAGGTAATTTATACAGGCCTTTTTAAAATTATTGTGCCAGTCCCTTCCAATCCAAGGATACAATCTTTCATTTCTGGGAAATTTTCTTATATAACTTCTTTGCTAATTCCCTCCTCCCCCATCTCCTCTATTTTCTTTTAAGGAATTTGTATTAATCAGATATTGGATTTTCTGAACTCATTTTTAACCACTTAAGAGTGTACAGTTGGGCTGGGTGCAGTGGCTCACGCCTGTAATCCCAGCACTTTGGGAGGCTGAGGCAGGCAGATCACAAGGTCAGGAGATCGAGACCATCCTGGCTAACACAGTGAAACCCCATCTCTACTAAAAATACAAAAAATTAGTCGGGCATGGTGAAAATTAGCCGGGCGTGGTGGTGGACGCCTGTAGTCCCAGCTACTTGGGAGGCTGAGGCAGGACAATGGCGTGAACCCGGGAGGCAGAGCTTGCAGTGAGCCGAGATCGTGCCACTGCACTCCAGCCTGGGCCACAGAGCAAGACTCTGTCTCAAAAAAAAAAAAAGAGTGTACAGTTAAGTGGCATTATTAAGTACCTTCACATTAGTTCCATAACAACCATCACCACCATCCATCTCCAGAACTTTTCATCTTACCAAACAAACTCCGTATCCATTAAACATTACCTCCCAATTTTTCTCTCCTCCCAGCCCCTGGCAACCACAATTCTACTTCCTGTATCTATGCATTTGAGTATCTTGATAGCACATCTAAATGGAAACATACAGTATTTGTTATTTTGTGACAGGCTTATTTCACTGAGCATATCCTCAAAGTCCATCCATGCTGTAGCATGTGTCAGAATTCCTTCCTTTTTAAGGTAAACCATATTCCACTGGATGGATAGACTACCTTGTTGTTGATCCATTCATCTGTGATGGACACTTGGGTTGCTTCCACCTTTTGGCTACTATGAGTAATGCTGCTATGAACTTGGGTGTACAAATCTCTCTTCAAGTCTCTGCTTCCAATTCTTTGGAGTCGAACTGCTAAGTTGTATGATAATTCTACTTTTATTTTTTGAGACAGAGTCTTGCTCTGTCGCCCAAGCTGGAGTGCAGTGGCATGATCTCAGCTCACTGCAACCTCCGTCTCCCAGGCTCAAGCAACTCTCCTGCCTCAGTCTCCCCAGTAGCTGAAATTAACAGGCGTGCGCCATGACGCCCAGCTAATTTTTGTATTTTTATTTTATTTATTTTTTAAAGTTCACTTTATTTTTTGGGGGGGAAGGAGTCTTGTCCTGTCACCCAGACTGGAGTGCAGTGGCATGATCTCAGCTCACTGCAACTTTCGCCTCCTGGGTTCAAGTGATTCTCCTGCCTCAGCCTCCCAAGTAGCTGGGATTACAGGCATGCATCACCATACTCGGCTAATTTTTTTTTATATTTTTGGTAGAGACGGGGTTTCACCATGTTGGCCAGGCTGCTCTAGAACTCCTGACCTCAAGTGATCCGCCCGCCTCGGCCTCCCAAAGTGCTGGGATTACAGGCGTGAGCCACCGCGCCCGGCAGGTAATTCTACTTTTAATTTGGGTGGCACTGTCATACTGTTTTAGTAGCTGCACCAGTTCCCATTCCTAACAACACCGCAGAGGGATTCCACTTTTTCTAAATCCTCGTCAACACTTGTCATTTCCTGTTCAACAGCAAACATCTAATGGCTGTGAGCTATTTCACTGCTGTTTTGATTTGCATTTCTCTAATCATTAATGTGCTTATCAGTCATTTGTTTATCTTCTTTGGAGAAATGTCTACTCAAGTCCTTTGCACATTTTTTTTTTTTTTTTTTTTTTTTGAGATGGAGTCTCGCTCTCTCTCCCAGTCTGGAGTGCAGTGGTGTGATCTCGGCTCACTGCAAGCTCCACCTCCAGGATTCATGCCATTCTCCTGCCTCAGCCTCCCGAGTAGCTGGAACTAAGGCGCCCGCCACCACACCTGGCTAATTTTTTGTGTTTTTTAGTAGAGACGGGGTTTCACCGTGTTAGCCAGGATGGTCTCGATCTCCTGACCTTGTGATCCGCCGGCCTCCCAAAGTGCTGTGATTACAGGCGTGAGCCGCCGCACCCAGTCCTTTGCACATTTTTTAACCAGGATATTTATTATTATTGAGCTGTGGGAATTCTTTTTATATTTTAAATATTAACCCTTACCAGATATGAGTTTCAAATGTTTTCCATTCTGTAGGCTGCCTTTTCACTCTGTTGAGTGCTTCTTTTAATTAATAGAAGTTTTAAATTTTGACGTAGCTTAATTTATCTATTGTTTCTTTTGTTGCCTGTGATTTAAGTGTCTTATGTAAGAAATCATTGCCAAATCCAGTGTCACGAAGACTTTATTATGTTTTTCTAAGAATTTTATAGTTTAAGGTCTTAAATTTAAGCCTGATCCATTTTGGGTTAAGTTTTGTATATCATTAGCTAAGGGTCTAACTTTATTCTTTTGATTTGTATGTCCAGTTTTCCTAGCACCATTCATTCTGAAAAGACACTTTTTCCCTCACTGAATGGTAATGGCATCCTTGTGGAAAATAATTTGACCACTGTATGCAAGGACTTATTGCTAAGGCTCTGTATTCTATTCCATTGGTCTATATGTCTGTCTTTATACCAATACTACAATGTTTGGATTACTGCAGCTTTGTAATAAGGTTTAAAGTCAGGAATTATGAGGATTTCATATTTCTTCTTCTTTTTCAAGACTGTTCTGGCTCTTTGGAGTCTGCTGAGATTCTATGAACATTAGGATAAATTTTTCTACTTCAGCAAAAAAAACTTGTTGGCATTTTAATAGGGATTGAATCTGTAGATTGCTTTAGGTAATAGTCACATCTTACGTTTTACAGTCCATGAGCATGGAACATCTCTCAATTTATTTTTGTCTTTTTTTTTTTTTTGAGACAGTGTCTCACTCTGTCACCCAGGCTGGAGTGCAGTGGTGCGATCTCAGCTTACTGCAATCTTCACGTTCTGGGTTCAAGCAATTCTCCTGCCTCAGCCTCCTGAGTAGCTGGGACTACAGGTGCACCTCACCACACCCAGCTAAGTTTTGTATTTTTCACCAAGACAAGGTTTTGCCATGTTGGCCAGGCTGGTCCTGAACTCCTGACCTCAAGTGATCCACCCGCCTTGGCCTCCCAAAATGCTGGGATTACAGGTGTGAGCTACCACACCCAGTGTCTTCTTTAATTTCTTTTAACATTTTGTAGTTGTCAGTGTTTTCAGTCTTTCATGTGTACTTAAGAATATTCTTTAGTACAGACAGACCCCCAACTTATGATAGTTTGACTAAAAAATTTTTCGACTTTACAATAGGTTTAAGACATAAATCTGTTATAAGTTGAGGAATATCTGTATTTTATTCTTTGTACTATTACTGTAAATGGAATTATTTTCTTAATTTCCTCTTCAGATAGCTGAGTTAGTGTACATAAATATAAATACAACTGATTTTGTGTTTTGACTTTGTGCCCTGCAATTTTGCTGAATTCATTTATTAGTTCTAACCATGTTTCTGTGAAATCTTTAAGGTTTTTATATATAAAATCATGTCGTCACACATACAAACAGGGATAACTTTACTTCTCCCTTTCCAATTTTGATGGCTTTCTCTTCTTGATTAATTACTGTGGGCAATTAACTTCAATACTATGGTGAATAAGTGGTGAAAGCAGACATCCTTGTCTTGTCTCTGATCTTAGAGGAAAAGCTTTCAGTCTTTGACCACTGACTGATTTTAGTTTGCTGAGACATCCTTGCATTACATTTGGTCCAAGCCTTTTGACAGACTGCTAAACTTGGTTAACTTGGTTTTGCTAGTATTTTGTTGAGGATTTTGTATCAATATTCACAAAGGATATTGGTCTGTAATTTTCTAGTAGTATTACTGTCTGGCTTTGGTATCAGGGCATGTTAGAGTCACAGAATGAATTCACTTGAGAAGGACTGATGTTAATTCTTCTTTAAACGTTTGGAGAATTCATCAGTGAAGCCATGTGGTTCAGGACTTTTCTTTGTTGAGAGGTTTTTGATTACTGATTCAATCTCCTTATTAATTATAGTCCTATTCAGATTTTCTATTTCCTCATGATTCAGTCTTGGCAGGTTGTATGTTTCTAGGAATGTGTCCGCTTCATTTAGGTTAAGCAATTTGTTAATGTACAATTCTTAACAGTATTCTCTTATAATCCTGGCATCAAGTAATCCTCCCACCTTGAACTCCCAAAGCACTGAGATGACAGATATGAGCCCAGCCCAAAATCCAAAACTCTTGAGTGCCAACGTTGTACTCAAAGGAAATGCTCACTGGAGTGTTCAACTGGTAAGTATAATGTAAATATTCCAAAATCAGAAAAAAATCCAAAATCCAAAACACTTCTGGTCCCAAACATTTCAGTTAAGGGATACTCAATCTGTATTTTGAATGTGGCTTTTTCTTGATTAGGCATTTTCTTAGCTGGGCTAAGAAACCTCTGACTGTTTTCCAGAGCTTCTATAAAGTTATTCCATCTAGTCCCTAGTTGCTTATTAATGTTTTCTATGGTGGAACGAGAACCTGGAGCTTCCTGGACTGCCATTTTACCAATGTCAGAATACATTTTTTTAAGTTTTATTACATGAATAAAGTAACTGCTAATTGAGGGATTACTGTGTGCTACATTCTTGTCTAATCCCTTTATATGTAGCATGTAATGTAATCCTCACAACAACCCCAAGTGACAGGCACTATTATTTTCTCCATTTTATGGATGCAATTTGCCCAAAGGATCACAGCCAGTAAGTGGTGAAAGCAGGGGAGCAGCCCCAGTCCCTGGCTCAAGCCCCCACATTTAACCACGATATGACATACAGCAGAGCTGGCTGCCTCAGGCCACTTTGCTGTGGCCCTTCTGGTCTGGTGTGCTTTGTTCAGACTCTGGCGAATATCCACAGTGGATGTTTTCTTCTAGATCTGGTCAGCACTGGTTGTCTTTCATCATAAGAGGAAGGTGACCCAGCTAGCCAGAGGCTCTAGTGAGCCTAGTGGGCTAGACGCTTGTCAGGGACCACGGTGGGAGAGCTAGTCTTTCAGTTGGAAACCTTCCATTATGTTGACACTTTTCTACCTCTTGTATGAAGTGCCAGTGTCTCTAGAAAAGACTCCTCCAATCTCCTGTCTGGGAAAACACCTGGCTGCTGACATCTGGAGAGCAGGGCAGAAGACAGGCCTGAGCATCCTACTTATTACCTACTTGTCACTACAGAGAATTTCTCTTAATTCCTCTATTTTCAACCTCCACGACTCCCCTCTGTTGTACCTGGTGTCACTTATTTTGCAGACTTTAAGTGCTGTCTAATAGAAACACAATGCAAACCACATTTCAACAAGTAGAAACAAACATGAAATTAATTTTAATACTTTATCTAACCCAATATATTCAAAATACTATTACTGCAACATGGAAACAATATAAAGAAGTATTCATGGGATGTTTTACATTCTTTTTTTGTACTAGGTCTTTCCTATTTGGTGTGTATTTTACACCTGCTGCACATCTTCCTTCAAAACAGCCACATGTGACTCATGGCTACTACACTGGACAGTGTTGGTCTAGAAAATCAACTCCTGCGGGGCACAGTGGCTCATGCCTGTAATCCCAGCACTTTGGGAGGCTGGGGGCAGGATTGCTAGAGCCCCGGAGTTCAAGACCAGCCTCAGCAACAGGGCGAGACCTCGTCTCTACAAAAAATTTAAAAATTAGCTGGGCATGGTGGTACACGCCTGTAGTCTCAGCTACTCAGGAGGCTGAGGTGGGAGGATCGCTTGAGTCCAGGGGTTTGAGGTTGCATTCAGCTGTGGTTTCACCACTGTACTCCAATGGGCAACAGAGCAAGACTCTGTCTCAAAAAAAAGAAATGAAACCCCACATCTTATGGTAGCAGAAAGAGTCACCCAGTGATGGAAAGTGAAGAAGGGAATGCGAGTGCCAAGAGAATTCCACCAATCCCTATCCCACTCCCATGCCTATGCCTGATGCCTGCCACCCTTGGCACTCAGAGCCTTCAAGCGCTGAGCCTTTCTGGGAGGCTGCTGGGCAAACTGCTTATTTCTTGTTGTTCTCACTCAAGCAGGCCCATGGTTGCAGCTGCTCTGCTACACCAGGTCAGTTTAACTCTCCCATTGGCTTTTCTTTGGAAAGGAAAAAAGCTGTATAATATGTGAAACATTTCAAAGAATGTATGTAGCACACATGTAAGATTCATAAGCCTAATAATATAGTTGTGAGCGACCTCCCCACACCCCATTTAGGAAATCAAGCATTATTTTGCTTCTCCCAGTCTTATATCCCTCTGTCTCTCCACCAGGAACTAGAATTTTGTGTATCACTGCGCTTATTTTTTTCTTTTAGTTTACCACATGTGTATGTATCTATAAGTAATATAACGATCTGTTTTGCTTCTCTATATTGTGCCATATGTCGTTTTTAGCAACTTGCTTTTAGCTGACGTTCTGTTTTCAAGATTCATCCATGTTGCTGCATAAACCTAACATTCACTTACTGTTGCTGGTGTATAACATTCCATCATGTGAGCACAGACATTTGGGTTGTTTCCAAGACATGTATCAATGGCAAAAATTAAGATGTCTGACAAAACCAAGAGTTGGAGAGGATGTGGATGGCTTGGAATTTTATCTGCTCCTTTACACCCACTCTGGAAAAACTGTACAAACAATTCTGCAAGGATTTTTCCAGAGTTTCCCTAAATAGAAATCCTGGATCACAGAAAATAAGAATGTTCAGCTTTGCAAGATAATGTCTCTATTCCAGAGTGGGTGTAAAGAAGCACATAAAATTTCCACACTATCCATATCTTCTCCAACATTTTAATTTTTGCCAGTCTAAGCATCTGTAAAGTGGTATCTCACTGTATGTAGTCTTAGAATACTAACGAGGTTAAATTTAAATGTCTTTTTCTATGTTTAATCACCATCTACGAAATGCTTTATAGGAGTTCTTTATATACACTGAATTAGAATCCTTATCCTTTACAGGCTGTAAGTGTTGCAAATATCTTCTCTCTACTCTAGCTTGTCTTTTCACAGTCTTTACTGGTGTTTTTTGGGGTTTTTTTTGTTTTTTTTTTTTTGAAACAGGGTCTCACTCTGATGTCCAGTGGTGTAATCTCGGCTCACTGCAGCCTTGACCTCAGGGACTCAGGTGATTCTTCCCACCTTAGCCTACTGAGAAGCTGGGACTACAAGTGTGTACCACCACATCTGGCTAATTATTTCTTTTTTTTTTTTTTTTTTTTTTTCATAGAGACAGGATTTCACCACGTTGCCCTGGCTGGTCTGGAACTCTTGGGCTCTGGCAATCTGCCCACCTTGGTCTCCCAAAGTGCTGGGATTCCTGGCATAAGCACCTGGCCTATTGGTGTCTTTCAATAAACGAGAGATCTTAATTTTAATCTAGCAAATTCAGTCATTTTTATTTTAGAGTGAATATTTTATGTGATTAAGAAAAAGGTGGCCAGAGGCTAGGTATGGTGGCTCATGCACCTGTAATCCCAGCACTTTGGGAAGCCGAGGCAGGCAGATCGCCTGAGATCAGGGGTTCGAGCCCAGCCCGGCCAACATGGCAAAACCCCGTCTCTACTAAAAATACAAAAATTAGACGAGCGTGGTGGCAGATGCCTGTAATCCCAGCTACTCGGGAGGCTGAGGCAGGAGAATCACTTGAACCCAGGAGGTGGAGGTTGCAGTGAGCTGAGATCGCACCACTGCACTCCAGCCTCCAGCCTGGGTGACAGAGCGAAACTCCATCTCCAAAAAAAAACAGAAAAAAAAAGAAAGAAAGAAAGAAAAGAAAAAGGTGGCTGGGCGCAGTGGCTCATGCCCCCGTAATCCAGGCACTCTGGGAAGCCGAAGCAGGCAGACTGCTTAAACTCGTGAGTTAGAGACCAGCCTGGGCAACGTGGCGAAACACCGATTCTACGAAAACATGCAATTAGCCGGGCATGGTGGTGCACGCTTGTAGTCCTAGCTACTCCGGAGACTGAGGTAGGAGGATGGCTTGAGCCCAGGAGGCGGAGGTTGCAGTGATACAAGAACGTGTCACTGCACTCCAGCCTGGGTGACAGAGCCAGACCTTGTCTCAAAAAAAAAAAAAAAGAAAAAGAAAAAGGCACACTTCCCTATCAAGGTCTTAAAGATAGTCTCCTATAATTTATCCAAAACTGAATTTCCTGTATGTTGTGAGTTAGGGATCCAACTGCATCCTTCTCCGACTGTCACAGCACTGTGTTTGAAGAGTCTGCCCTTTGCACAGCGATATGTAATTCCACCTCTGGAATTCAAGCTTCTTAGGTCTGTTTCTGACAGCTTCTGTCTCACTGGCCAATTTGGATTTCCCTGAGCCAATTTTGAAGTAAATCTTGATACGGGCAAGGCAAGTGCTCCCTCCTCATTCCTCTTCTTCACAACGACCTCTCAATACTACGACTTAATTCTTCTCAACATTTTAGAATCGACTTATCGCATTTCACATAAAACTCACGGAGCTTTAAAGATGCACTGAATCCACAGAACAATATGAGTTTTTAAAAGATTCGGTCTTCCTAGGCAAGAACATTCTGCCACTATTTACTTGTCTTCTTTAATGTCTCTTAATAAAACTGCAAATTTTTCTCCCTCAAAAATTTTACACATCTTTTGTTAATTCTCGTTTATATCAAAGATGGTTCCCCTCTCCCTCTCCCTCTCCCCCCTCCCCCTCCCCCTCTCCCTCTCCCCACGGTCTCCCTCTCCCTCTCTTTCCACGGTCTCCCTCTGATGCCGAGCTGAAGCTGGACTGTACTGCTGCCATCTCGGCTCACTGCAACCTCCCTGCCTGATTCTCCTGCCTCAGCCTGCCGAGTGCCTGCGATTGCAGGCGCGCGCCGCCATGCCTGACTGGTTTTCATATTTTTTTTGGTGGAGACGGGGTTTTGCTGTGTTGGCCGGGCTAGTCTCCAGCTCCTAACCTTGAGTGATCCGCCAGCCTCGGCCTCCCGAGGTGCCGGGATTGCAGACGGAGTCTCGTTCACTCAGTGCTCAATGTTGCCCAGGCCGAAGTGCAGTGGCGTGATCTCGGCTCGCTACAACCTCCACCTCCCAGCCGCCTGCCTTGGCCTCCCAAAGTGCCGAGATTGCAGCCTCTGCCCGGCCACCACCCCGTCTGGGAAGTGAGGAGTGTCTCTGCCTGGCCGCCCGTCATCTGGGATGTGAGGAGCCCCTCTGACCGGCCGCCCAGTCTGGGAAGTGAGGAGCGCCTCTTCCCTGTCGCCATCCCATCTAGGAAGTGAGGAGTGTCTCTGCCCGGCCGCCCATCATCTGAGATATGGGGAGCGCCTCTGCCCCGCCGCCCCGTCTGGGATGTGAAGAGCACCTCTGCCCGGCCACGACCCCGTCTGGGAGGTGAGGAGCGTCTCCGCCGGGCCACCCCGTCTGAGAAGTGAGGAGCCCCTCCGCCCGGCAGCCGCCCCGTCTGAGAAGTGAGGGGCCCCTTTGCCCGGGAGCCGCCCCGTCTGAGAAGTGAGGAGCCCCTCCGCCCGGCAGCCGCCCCGTCTGAGAAGTGAGGAGCCCCTCCGCCCGGCAGCCACCCCGTCTGAGAAGTGAGGAGCCCCTCCGCCCGGCAGCCGCCCCGTCTGGGAAGTGAGGAGCGTCTCCGCCCGGCAGCCACCCCATCCGGGAGGGAGGTGGGGGTCAGCCCCCGCCCGGCCAGCTGCCCCGTCCGGGAGGGAGGTGGGGGGTCAGCCCCCGCCCGGCCAGCCGCCCCGTCCGGGAGGGAGGTGGGGGGTCAGCCCCCGCCCGGCCAGCCGCCCCGTCCGGGAAGGAGGTGGGGGGGCGCCTCCGCCCGGCCAGCCGCCCCGTCCGGGAGGTGGGGGGCGCCTCTGCCCAGCCGCCCCTTCTGGGAAGTGAGGAGCCCCTCTGCCCGGCCACCACCCCATCTGGGAGGTGTACCCAACAGCTCATTGAGAACGGGCCATGATGACAATGGTGGTTTTGTGGAATAGAAAAGGGGGAAACGTGGGGAAAAGATTGAGAAATCGGATGGTTGCTGTGTCTGTGCAGAAAGAAGTAGACATGGGAGACTTTTCATTTTGTTCTGTACTAAGAAAAATTCTCCTGCCTTGGAAAAAAAAAAAAAAACAAAGATGGTTCCACTGGGAAAACAGAAACCATGCTAAGGGATTTCTAACACGAAGGGTTTAATACAGAAAATAGGTGCTTTCAAAACAACTGGCAAGGCTATATAGTGTGAGCAAAAGTAAAGTGGGCTAACTCCCCATCTAATTCCCACAGTCATTGTCAAGAGTCAGGAAGCTACTACTGCCATCTATAGGTTAGGAAACTGCAAAAATCTGCTGCCAATACTGCAGCTGCTCTGCAGCCCTGAGACAGCTGGCCAGTGGGGGAAGGCAGAAGCCACTGCAAAAAGTCACCTCAAAAATCTAAGCCCATGCACACCCCCAACATACACTATGGCCTGAGGAAGAAAGGTTCCACCTCCCTTCCACTTGCCACATTTCCCAAGACACATGTCATAGGGCAAATGACACACAGAAGCCTGCTGCCAGGTGGTTCTGAGTGCTACTGCTCCAGCATTCCAGCCTCTGAAACCCACGGACAAGCCCAGAAGGGAGTGAGTGGGAAGGTACTGAATGCCCAGGCTGTACCTAGCATGTCATTTCCCTCTTTTCAAAAACATGCAGAAATTACTGATCTACTGTTACATCTTTCCCCTTTTTTTGTCCCTTTGGTTTTACATTTTTTATACTCCTTTTTAGCAGGCTTTTAGCAGGGCAATGAAGTAACCCCATAAGGTAACTCCAGAAGTCCTGAAGTCTAGTTCAAAAGCAACTTGACTGAGAATGGCCCAGGGCTTCCCTAGGGGTTACTGAAACTCTCCTCATACAAAGGAAGGTCACAGCTTTTGAGCAAGGGTGGTTATTAGCTAACTCTCTACTTCCCCCACAAACACAAAGAGTTTCCTTTTTTGAGAGGGGAGGAGGTTGGGGGAAGGGAGAGTGTCAATGAGGACTTGACTCTATATCTATGATTTTTTAAAAATTTCTTTTAAAATAAACTAGAAAAAAAATCACAAGATTTAGCAGTCATTAATTCAAGGAAGTAAGAAAATACGTATTACACATTCTTTGTACATTTTTATGACTTAATTTGCTCAGAATCTCAACTTTAAGAACAATTAGAAATCAACCTGCTTGGCCGGGCACAGTGACTCACGCCTGTAATCCCAGCACTTTGGGAGGCCGAGGAGAGCGGATCACAAGGTCAGGAGATCGAGACGATCCTGACTAGCACGGTGAAACCCTGTCTCTACTAAAAATACAAAAAAAATTAGCCGGGTGTGGTAGCAGGCGCCTGTAATCCCAGCTACTCAGGAGGCTGAGGCAGGAGAATGGCATGAACCCGGGAGGCAGAGCTTGCAGTGAGCCCAGATGGCGCCACTGCACTCCAGCCTGGGCAACAAAGCGAGACTCCATCTCAAATAAAAAAAAAAGAAATCAATCTGCTCACCCTCCAGACTGTGACACAGCACTATACAAGGACAATCATAGGACCGTGAGTCAAGGAGAAGCAGGGTGAGCCTTGTCAGGGCAGTGGCCTCCTCAGCCCACCCAGAACACTCCTAGGCCCTACCAAGCCTCAGGGGGCTTGCACACACGGGTCCTCATTGTCATGCCTTCACTGCTCAGCCCTGGTGCAGGCCACCACTCGTAACTTTCGGCTTCTATGAGAGATTTTATTTTTCTGTCTAGGGAAAACATATGGCAACCAATGTAACTTCAAGCCAATACTCAAGTGCAAAGTTGATGCCTGCTCCATGCCAGGCCATGTGGTCAAGAGAAATAAAACCTACTCCTTGCCTTCAACAAGTCTTCAGAGCGTGGAAAGATGAACAAGGTGGCAACTATGAGTGTGGATACCACTATGTTCAGCGTGTGTAACAGGACAGTTATTACAAACAACTACAAAAGCAAAGCCAAATGGCACTTTGAGAACAACAAATAAACTCTGCTTCCATTTGAAAGCAAACCAAGAATCATCTGGTTCTCTCTTCAGGAATTCTCCAAGAGGCTGGATATAAGGTCTCACTCTATGAGTCAGACAAGGGGAGGCTCCCACTCATAACCACATGGTCGTCCCCAGGCTGACCAACCAGGGAACTTCAGCAGCCCAAGCACTGGGAAGCCCACTGGGAATCCACTTTCTCTGGGCTTTGACCCCAAAGACCCACCAGAGAGGCTCCCAGACAAAGGACTGTCCCAGAGGCTCCTGACCGGGCCAACACCATCCAAACCCTCATTTGGAAAGGCAAACACCTCTACCAGAGACACGCATAATCTGATGAAGAATGGGCTCCAGAGATGATCAGGAGGGGCCCCCTCTAAACAGCATTCTTTTCTTTTTTTTTGAAACAGAATCTCACTCTGTCGCCCAGGCTGGAGCGCACTGGCATGATCTCAGCTCACTGCAACCTCTACCTCCTGGATTCAAGTGATTCTCCTGCCTCAGCTGGGATTACAGGTGCTCGCCACCACGCCCAGCTAATTTTTGTATTTTTAGTAGAGATGAGATTTCACGATGTCAGCCAGACTGGTCTGAAACTCCTGACCTTAAGTGATCCTGCCTGCCTCGGCCTCCAAAAGTGTTGGGATTATAAGGCATGAGCCACTGCACCTGGCTTTTTTTTTTTTTTTTTTGCCTTTGAGACAGAGTCTTGTTCTGCAGCCCAGGATAAAGTGCAGTGGCACAATCTTGACTCACTGCAATCTCCTCCTCCCAGGTTCAAGCAATTCTTGTGCCTCAGCCTCCTGAGTAGCTGGGATTATAGGTGTGCAGCACCACACCTGGCCAATTTTTGTATTTTTATTAGAAACGGGGTTTCACTATGTTGGCCAAGCTGATCTCAAACTCCTGGCCTAAAGCGATCCACCCACCTCAGCCTCCCAAAGTGTTGGGTTACAGGTGTGAGCCTTCGCACCCTGCCTAAACAGCATTCTTTACAGGCAAATACAATCTGACCAGACCATCTCTGCTTCTTATTTTGGAACCCCCCCTCAAAGAACTACCACAAGTTCAAATGTCACCTAATCCCCTACCTAATACCCTGGTTGGAATGAATTGGTTTTCCTTCAGTACTAAGCCTATAGGAATTACAGCACACCTTTCATGTCCTAGGCCAAGTCCCACTAAGGAAGGAGAAAGGTCTCTGCCCCCTGGGAACTCATGGTCTGGATGGAAAAATCAAGCCTGGGCACCAGGAATGGTGAGAATTACCAATGGTTCTGATGCTATAAGAGAGGGACGAATGGGGGACTGGAAGAAGCCAATCTATAAAATGAGGGACCACAGACATTCTCCCACTGGGGTAACATCTGAGCTACACCTTGAAGGATGGTAAGGCTTGTCTATGCAGAAACAGAACAAGAGAATTCCAGGAAAACATAAAGGAAGCACACATCTACAAGATTATTAATGGGGTGGGCACAAGAAACAGCCCAGCTGAGCCACTGAAGGGGAAGTAGTGATAAATCAGGTTGGCAAAGCAGACCTAAACCAGCTTGTGAAGGAGTCTGCATGTCTGGCCAAAGCATTTAAGCCTGTGATTCTCAAGCTGGGGTAAGACACACTTTCCCCTTAGTGGCTTTATCAGCACCACCTAGTCTTAAAAACGAATTCATGGATACATGTATATGTATGTCTCACACATTCACACACACATGCACAAGTACTCACTACACCTCCCACCCAACCAAAGTTGAGAACAACGGATCCAGTGAACATTGTTATTCATGGGGTGCCCTGTATTCCTTGAGGGTGCTGAGGCAGAAACCAGGTGAAGAACCTGGTTCTCCGATTTAGCCTTTTTGTGGCCTTTCCATACATCTTTAGGAGACTACATAATGGCCAGGAGAGAACCTGTGAGTGCAAAGTTCCAGGTGAATGAGTGAGCAGGAGGGGAGGGCGTGCCAAGGCCAGTCTAAAAGAGCACATTCAGGATCAAGAGGCACCCACATCCAGAGCCAGGATGGGGATAAGGTCAGAGAGGTGGCCAAGGTGCCACCCCTCAGGAGGGGTTCACACTCAAGATCATCCAAGTCCAGGGAGTGCAGCGCCTCCTTAAGTGGAGCCTCCTGGGCATCTCACGGGCCTCCCCACAGCCCTGCCATCTTGCAAGTTCTGGGATCTGCCTAGGTTGGGCACTTATTTTTTAAAAAGACAGAAAGACAGAGAGAGAGGAAGGGGTCGGCTCAAACTAACTTTCCAATGTGTTAAGACAGCACACACCTCCACCCCTCACAAGAGGCACAGTCACCCAGCTACAACAAAGAGACAAGGTGGTGTGTACCCCGCCTACTCAACACACTCACCTGGACAGTTGGCTTCGTCGCTCTCATCCTCGCAAGTCGCCCAGCCGTCACACTGCCAGGGGAGGGGGATGCACTGGATGGTGCCGCTGCGACACGCAAACTGCCCAGGGTTGCACCGCAGCTCTGTGGGACCAAAGGGTGAGAGGCCATTGAGGAAGTGGCAGTAGGCCAGCAAACCATAGCCCATGGGCTGGATCAATCTCTTCCCATTTGTTTGTTTGTTTGTTTTTGAGACAGAGTCTCATTCTGTCACCCAGGCTGGAGTGCCAGTGGTGCAGTCTCAGCTCACTGCAACCTTCACCTTCCGTGTTCAAGCAATTCTTGTCCCTCAGCCTCCTGAGTAGCTGGAATTACAAGCATGTGTCATCATGCCTAGCTAATTTTTATATTTTTAGTAGAGACGGGGTTTTGCCATGTTGGCCAGGCTGGTCTTGAACTCCTGGCCTCAAGTGATCTGCCTGCCTCGGCCTCCCGAAGTGCCAGGATTACAGGCATGTACCACTGTGCCTGGCCCCCATCTGTTTTTAAAATCAGGTTTTATCAGAACACAGCCACAAATATGTATTGTCTATGGCTGCTTTCAAGCTACAGCAGCCGAGCTGAGTAGCTGCAGAAAAGACTATATGGCCTGCAAAGCTGAAAACATTTAATGCCTGGCCCTTTACGAACCTATTACCTAGAGATAAAAACTGTAACACTTAAGATGAAAAGTACGCTGCAGAACATTAACAGGTTAGATTTTGTAGTAGAAAAGATTAGTGACTTGAAGATATAATAATAGAAACACTCTGAACTAAAACACAGAATGAAAAAATACCAGGAAAAAATGTGCAAATCATCAGTAAGCTGTGGAACAACCTCACACACCCTAATACATGGGGGAACAGACACAACATCTGAAGAAACAATGGGGAAAATTTCCCAATTTGATGAAAACTATAAACCCACAAATCCAGGTAGCTCAATGAACCACAAGCACCAGAAATACAAACAATACAATTCCAAGTCACATTGGAATTGAATTGCTTAAAATCAGCGATAAAATCCTAAAAGCAGGCAGAAAAAGAAGACATGCACAGAAAAACAAAGATCTAGATGACAGCAGATTTCTCATTAGAAACGATACAGCCTAGAAGACAGTGATGTGACATGTTAAAGTTCTGAAAGAAAAAGCTGTTGACCTACAATTATTTAAAGCAAACACACAGATACTGTATTGTGCAGTTTATAACATACACAGAAGTAAAATTTTGACAATAGTAGCACCAAAGGTGGGAAGAGAGAAACAGAAGCACACTGTTTTAAGGCTCTCAAACTACAGGTAAAGTGGTCCATCACTTGAAGGTAGTCTATGATAAGTTAATGATGAACCCGACTAAAATAACACAAGAGTTGTGGCAAGTAAGCCAACATAGAAGAGAATAAAAAATAATCCAAAAGAAGGAAAAAAAAAAGACAAACAGATGGTACAAATGAAAACAAAGGGTAATATGGTAGATTTTAATTAAACTTGCCTAATCAATAAATACGCAGAACGATCTAAACACTCCAACTGAAAGGCAGAATTTGTCATGTAGGGAAAAAATCAAGATACAACTACATATTACCTAAAACAAACTCACTTTATATAGGCATAAATAAGAGAAAATAAAAGAATAAAAAAGATATACCATGTTAACACTAATCAAAGGATAGCTGGAAGGGCAGGTACATGGCTCATTCCTGTCATCTCCATAATCCCAGCATTTTGGGAGGCTGATGCAGAAGGATCACTTGAGCCCAGGAGTTCAGGACCAGCCTGAGCAACATGGCAAAATGCCATCTCTCTAAAAATACAAAAAATTAGCCGGGTATTGGGACAAACGCCTATAGTCCCAGCTACTCGAGAGGCTGAGGTGGGAGGATCACCTGAGCCTGGAAAGTTAAGGCTGCAGTGAGCTATAATCGTGCTACTGCACTACAGCCTGGGCAACAGGAGTGAGACTCTGTCTCAAAAAAAGGCTAGCTGGAGTGTATTAATATCACACAAAGTAGACTTCAGTGCAAATATTACCAGGAATAAAGAAGGTCATTTAATAATGATAAAGGGATTGATTCAAGAGGACATAATCCTAAATGTTTATGTATCTATTAAAATTTACAAAAGAAACTTCAAAATTCATGAAACAGAAACTACTGTAACTGCTAATAGACGAATCCACAATTAAAGTCAGAGCTTTTAATAACCCTCTTGATAGAACAAGCAGATAGAAAACCAGCAAGGGCTGGGCGTGGTGGCTCATGCCTGTAATCCCAGCATTCTGGGAGGCTGAGGCAGGCAGATCACTTGAGGTCAGGAGTTCGAGACCAGCCTGGCCAACATGGTGAATGGACAGGAGTTCGAGACCAGCCTGGCCAACATGGTGAATACTAAAATACAAAAATTAGTTGGGTGTGGTGATGCACGCCTGTAATCCCAGCAACGTGGGAGGCTGAGGCAGGAGAATCGCTTGAACCTGAAAAAAAAGGAAATTACAAAAGAAGAGCAAATGAAACCCAGCAGTAAGAAATAATAAAGATGAGAGTGGACATTACTGAAATTGAAAACAGAAAAATAGAGAAAATAAGAAAAACAAAAGTTGTTTTTTTGAGATCAGTAATATTAATAAACCTCTAGACAGTCTGATCAGCAAAAAAAAATAAAGAATACAAAATACCAGGCCAGGCATGGTGGCTCACACCTGTAATCCCAACACTTTGGGAGATGATCCAGCAGATCATCTGAGGTCAGGAGTTCGAGACCAGCCTGGCCAACATGGCGAAACCCTGTCTACTAAAAATACAAAAATTAGCCAGGTGTGGTGGCACATGCCTGTGGTCCCAGCTACTCAGGAGGCTAAGGCAGGAGAATCGCTTGAACCTGGGAGGCAGAGGTTACAGGAAGCCAAGATTACACAACTGCACTGCAGCCTGGGCGACAGAACGAGACTCCATCTTAAAAAAAAAAAAATACTACTATCAGAAGAGAGATGTCATCACTGTGGATTCCAGAGAAAGTATAAAGGCTAACAGAGGAGTGAAGAATAAGGTAATAGTATGAAAAACTTTATGTCAATAAATCTGACAATTTGGATGAAATACACAAATTCTTTGAAAGATGAAATGCAAAGTTCACTCCAAAATAAATAAACAATCTGAACAGCCCTAAAAGGAATTGAATTTTTAGTTAAAAATCTTCAAAGGAAACTCCAGGCACAAATAGCTTCAATGGAAAATTCCTCCAAATATTTAAGGAAGAATTGATGTCAATTCTATACAAACTCTACTGTAAGTTCAGGTATTTAAAAATTACCATTAACAATAGTATCAAAAAATAAGAAATACTTAGGTATAAATCTAACAAAAGATGTGAAGTCCTGTACACTGAAAAATTTTCAACATTGCTGAGAAAAAACATTTTTTAAAGACCTAGGTGCAAAGGCAGCTCCCTGAAGAAAGAACAGGCCTTTCAACAGAATGGTACTGCGAAACACGGAAGAAAGAAAAATGAAGAGGAGGAGGAGGAGGAAAGAAAGGAAGAAGGAAGGAAGGAGTTCATCTACAAAATGAAGTTAAAAAAAGGAGGAGGAAGAGGAGGAAGAAAGAAGAGAAGAAGGAGGAGGAGGAGGAAGAAAGAGGAACAAAGAACAACTACTTTGATCCATTCCTTGAACCGCATAAAAAATTCAGAATAGCCAGGCCCAGTGGCTCATGCCTGTAATCCCAGCACTTTCGGAGCCTGAGGCGGGTAGATCACCTGAGGTCGGGAGCTCCGAACCAGCCTGACCAACAAGGTGAAACCCTGTCTCTACTAAAAATACAAAATTAGCCAGGCATGGTGGTGCATGCCTGTAATCCCAGCTACTCGGGAGGCTGAGGCAGGAGAATCGCTTGAATCTGGGAGGCGGAGGTTGTGGTGAGCCGAGATAGTGCCATTGCACTCCAGCCTGGGCAACAAGAGTGAAACTCCACCTCGAAAAAAAAAAAAAAAAATCAAAATCGATCATAGGCCTACAGGTGAAGCCTAAAACTATAAAACTCAAGAGAAGAAAACACAAGAAGAAAATCTTCGCACCCTTGGTTTAAGCAAATACCTTTAATATATCTACCAAAAACACAATCTATAAAAAAAATTGATAAATTGGACTTCATCAAAATTGAGAACTTTTGTTTTTCAAAAGACATGTTAAGATAATGCATAGACAAACCACACACAGAGAGAAAACATTTGCAAATCATGTATCTGATAAAGGGCTTGCTTGTAACCAGAATATATAAAGCATGCTCAAATTTCAATAAGAAAACAACCCAATTTTTTAAATGGGCATGGGCCAAGTGCAATGGCTTATACCTGTAATCCCAACACTTTAGGAGGCCAAGGTGGGAGCAACACTTGAGCCCAGGAGTTCAAAACCAGCCTGTGCAACATAACAAGACCTCATCTCTACATTACAAAAAAAAAACAAAAAAATTAGCTGGGCTTGGTGACACATGCCTGTAGTCCCAGCTACTCAGGAGGCTGAGGCAAGAGGACTGCCTAAGCCTAGGAGTTGGAGGCTGTGGTGAACTAGGATTGCAATGCTGCACTCCAGCTTAGGCAACAGCAAGACCTCCCCAACTCTAAAAAAAAATAATAAATAAAATAGGCAAAAGATCTTAATGGTCACTTAACCAAGGAAGATATATACAGATGGCTAGCAAGCACATGAAAAGATGCTCAACGTCTAGTCATTAAGGAAATGCAAATTAAAGCATGAAAAGGTGGGGCACGGCGGCCCATGCCTGTGATCCCAACACTTTGGGAGGCTGAGGTGGGTGGATCACCTGAGGTTAAGAGTTTGAGACCAGCCTGGCCAACATGATGAAACCCCATCTCTACCAAAAACGCAAAAATTAGATGGGTGCGGTGGCGGGCGCCTGTAATCCCAGCTATTCAGGAGGCTGAGGCAGAATTGCTTGAACCCAGGAGACAGAGGTTGCAGTGAGCCAAGATTGCACCACTGCACTCCAGTCTGGGCGACAGAATGAGACTCCGTCTCAACAAACAAAAACAAAAACAAAAAACCATGAAGAGAAACCACTTACTAGAATGGCTAAAATGAAAAAGAATGACCATACCAAGTGGTGGCAAGTGTGTGAAGCAACTGGAACTCTCCCAGTGAAAATGTAAATGGTACAACTTCTTTGGAAAACAATTTGACAGTTTCTTTAAAAACTGAATGTATACCTACCATATAATCTGACCATTCCATTCCTAGGTATTTAACCAAGAGAAATGAAAGCATATGTCCACACAAAGACTTGTTCATAGTACTTTTATTTGTAATATCCAAAAGCTGGAAACAAACAGTGTCTATCAAGAAGCAAATTGGTAAGTTGTGTACAGCCATACAATGGAATACTACTCAGCAATAAAAAGGAATAAGCTATTAACACATTCCGCAGCATGGATGAATCTCAAAATAATTATATTGAGTGAAGAAGCCAGTATGTACTCAAAAGAATACCTACTGTATGACAACATTTATATAAAAATCTAAAAAATGCACTTGCAGCTATCAAGACAGAAAGGGATGGGGGTGGGAGGGATTACAAAGGAGCACGAGAAAATGTTTGGGGTGACGATACGCTGTGTTTGTTATCTTGACTGTGGTGACGGTTTCACAGATTTATACATATATGAAAACTCAAATTTGGCCGTGTGCAGAGGCTCACGCCTATAATCCCAGCACTTTGGGAGGCTGAGGTGAATGGATCACCTGAGGTCGGGAGTTCGAGACCAGCCTGACCAACATGGAAAAACCCCATCTCTACTAAAAATACAAAATTAGCCAGGCGTGGTGGTGCATGCCTATAATCCCAGCTATTCAGGAGGCTGAGGCAGGAGAATCGCTTGAACTTGGGAGGCAGAGGTTGCAGTGAGTCGAAATCACGCCACTGCTCTTCAGCCTAGGCAACAAGAGCAAAATTCTGTCTCAAAAAAACAAAAAACTTGGCCAGGCGCGGTGGCTCACACCTGTAATCCCAGCACTTTGGGAGACCGAGGCAGGCAAATCATGAAGTCAGGAGATGAAGACCATCCTGGCTAACACGGTGAAACCCCGTCTCTACTGAAAATACAAAAAATTAGCCGGGCGTGGTGGCGGGCGCCTGTAGTCCCAGCTACTCGGGAGGCTGAGGCAGAAGAATGGCGTGAACCCAGGAAGCAGAGCTGGCAGTGAGCCCAGATCGCGCCACTGCCCTCCAGCCTGGGCAACAGCGCAAGACTCCGTCTCAAAAAAAAAAAAAAAAACAACTCAAATTTTACACTTTATGTATCATTTATTATAAGTCAATTATACCTCAATAAGGCTTTTTTTAACTATCATGAAATAGATTTCTGTTTAAAAAATCAGGAAACAATTTTGAGATCAAAAGATACTGACCACAAGGCTAAAAATCCAGGCACCCTGTGTTCTAGGACTAGATATGCCTGGAACTGAAGAACTAAATTGAATCATGGCCCACCTAACGTGCTTGCTTCTCTGGAAAAGACAGCCTTGGCCTACCAGATCTCACCCCCGCCATCCATACAGGAGCTAGGTCCTTTTCATAATTATAAATCCAGGGCTTGCCCCATGACTGGTACTGAAGCACTATTTGATGAGTAAATCAGCAATTGGGACATGCTCTTCTGGCCTAATGTCTGTCTTCCTCAGCCACAATTAACCATTAGACCAAGAACCTGGAACCCTCCATTCCTCCTCAGTGTATTCTAGGTCTTCAGTTTTATTAAAAATTTCTAACTTCTTATTATTTTGCCATAAAAATGGAACATGAATGGAACTGGAGGACATTATGTTAAGTGAAATAAGCCAGGCACAGAAAGACAAACTTCACATGTTCTCATTCATATGTGGGAGCTTAAAAAAAGTTAAACTCATGGAGCTAGAGAGTGGAGTAGTGGTTACCAGAGGCTGGGAAAGGCAGAGGTGAGAAAAAGAGGTTGGTTAATAGGTACAAAAACACAGTTAACTATAGTTAATAATGGTTTATTCTATACTTCAAAATAACTAAATGAGTAGAATCAGAATGTTCCTAACACAAGAAAAGTTACAAATGCTTGAAGTGACAGATACCCCAATTACCATGATTTGATCATTACACATTCTATGCTTGTATCAAAATATCATATATACCCCACACATGTAACTACTGTGTCCATAAAGTTAACAAAAAATTTTTTTAAAGACTAATGCAGGAAAAAGGAAAAAAAAAGCCTTCTAATTTCCCAAACTATACTGAGAAAGAGTTCATTCACTGAATAGAGATTTAGCAACAGAACATTCTTTTTTATTTTTTAGAGATGGGGTCTTACTATGTTGCCCAGGCCAGAGTGCAGTGGTGGCTATTCACAGGCACAATCATGGTGCCTCAAAGTCAAATGACTCTCCCACCTCAGACTACAGGCCTGAGCTACCCCGCCCAGCAGAATATTTTAACAGTGTCCATTCTATTAAAAAAAAAAACAAAAAAAAAAAACACCCTATGGTGTTGTTCAAAGTAAATTCATAGCTCATGTCACAGCCCTCCAAATCTACGCCCTAACATATCATACCCTAGGCCCAGAAAAACTTCAATGCACTACCTTAAATTATTTTTGGAAATAGTTGAGTAAGAAGTAATAAGTAACAACACTGGGGGTTTTCTTTCTCCATACCCCTATATCCTCCAAAAGCAAACGTCAGCCAAGTCTTCTCTGGCAAACAAGGCCCCTTCCCCCATGCACCACATCCACCTTGCCTTGCCTTGGCTGCTTCTAAGTAGTACTTGTCACTCCTGGCTTCCTATATATCAGTATATAGTAAACCTATATATATATATACATATATAGATATGTAAGTGAAACAGCCAGGTGCAGTGGCTCACGCCTGTAATCCCAGCACTTTGGGAAGCCGAGGCGGGTGGATCACAAGGTCAGGAGTTCAAGACCAGCCTGGCCAAGATGTTGAAACCTCGTCTCTACTAAAAACACAAAAATTAGCCAGGTGTGGTGCGGGTGCCTGTAATCCCAGCTACTCTGGAGGCTGAGGCAGAGAACTGCTCGAATCCGGGAGGCGGAAGCTGCAGTAAGCTGAGATTGCACCACTGCACTCCAGCCTGGGCGACAGAGCAAGGCTCTGTCTCGAAAAAAAAAGTAAAGCTTCCTGAGGGCACAGGTCATGTCTGCACTGTTCACTCCTGTGTTCCCAGGGCATAGCCGACCACACTTAGTGTCCATAACTCAAACACACTTGAAGAATACTTCTTCTCTCCATACTCTATGCATGTCTGGGAAAGGCTCCAAAGGCCCAAACAGCCTTCCTCTTTGAGAAGTGCCCATCTGGCCACTCCATGAGTGCCACCTGCCCTGCCCCAGGCTGGGCCAATGAGAAGAGTCTGTAAGGTGATGGGAGTGGGAAGATCCAGGCTAGCCAGACTGAGACAGTCACTTGAAGTTCTGTGCACCCTGAGGCAGAAAGAGGTAAGGGCTAAGACCAGAAGGGCTGAGAAAGGGGAGCAACACCCTTCACAGTCCCATGACCCCAAGGATGGCTGTGCTTCCTCCCTGGGCTCAGGGAAAAGTTCCTCCTACAGCTACTCCTTACAACCAGACAGCTCTGGCTAAAATAGCCCCCACACGGATTTTCTGTCCTTTTCTTTCTTTCTCCAGACTTTTAAAAAAAAAATAGTTATCAAAAGAGGAAAAATAAGCTATCAGCAGAATGACTGTCTTGCTACATCCTGAACACAGCTGGGCTCCCCACTGCTGGGCCTTAGTCCATGGCATCCCCTCTCCCCAGGTCTCAAGACACACCACTCTCCAGGAACCCCTCCCCAAACTCCCCTAACTGAGTCGGCCTTCTTGGCCTAGCCCTGTTTTCCTAAGCAGCCCTTCTCTGTTCTTTTCTTCACACCCTGAGTAGGGTCAGCACACTTTTCCTTCAAGGGCCAGATGATAAGTATTTCCAGGTGGCCAGCTTCACAGGCCACCCTCTCTCTGCCACAGCTGCTCAACCCTGCTGCCGTGGAGCTAAAGCAGCTGCAGATAATATGGGAATGCGTGGGCATAGGCATGTCCAATAAAGCTTTAGCGAAAAACAAAAAAAAACAGTGGCCAGTTGCAGGTATAGTTTGCCAAACCCTGTTCTCGAGTATACATATAGGGACATTTTACATACATGTAAATGTTTTGTTTTTTGAGACAGGGTCTCGCTCTGTCACCCAGGCTGGAATGCAGCGGCATGACCACAGATTACTGCAGCGTAGACACCCTGGGCTCCAGTGATCCTCTTGCCCCAGACTCCCAAGTAGCTGGGACTACAGGCACATACCACCATACTCAGCTAATTTTTTATTTTTTATTTTTAGTAAAGACAAGGTCTTGCTATGTTGCCCAGGCTGGTCTCGAACTCCTGAGCTCAAGCAATCTTCTCACCTTATGCTCTCAAAGTTTTGGGATTACAGGCATGAGCCACTGTGTCTGGCTGAGGGACACATCTTTATTGCTGCCCCATACTCCATGTCACCAACACCCCACACATGGAGGCATGCACTAAATGCCTAATGAACTGCACAGCTCAAAATCTTCCCATATTCTGCTAGCAGACAATGAAGTGTCAGAAGTTCTCCAATAGGGAAGGTTTTTCTCCCTTCTTGATCCATCTGTCAAGCCGGGTCTATTCTGGAAGCAACTGAAGATGTGGATCACTCATTAACACTGGCACCTACTCTGTGCCAGGCAGTTCTCCAGGTGACAGGGCTGTGGTAATGAACAAAGAAAGTCAATTCCAGGACATGACAGAGCTTGCATCCAGCACAGCACACCAGATGGTGACTCCAACAGGTCAAACTGGCATTGCTTTAGCTGGACATCAACACTGCGTTTCCACTGACTACGCGTGGTGACTCACGCCTGTTACCCCAACACTTTGGGAGGCCAAGGCAGGTAGATTACTTAAGCCCAGGAGTTCGAGACCAGCCTGGCCAACATGGTGAAATCCCAGCTCTACTAAAAATACAAAACATAAGCCAGATGTGGTGGTGTGCATGCCTGTAGTCCCAGCTACTCAGGAGGCTGAGGTGGGAGAATCACCTCAGCCTGAGAAGTCAAGACTGCAGTGAGTCACGATCACACCACTGTACTCCAACCTGTCTCAAAAAAACAAAACACCACCACCAACAAAAAATTGCCTGTCCTTTCTCAATATCCTCCACAGTCTCTCTGTAAAGCAGTAAGTGCAACTTCTGCCACATACAAAGTTGCTTAAAAACAGTCACCCTTGGCCAGGCGTGGTGGCTCACGCCTGTAATCCCAGCACTTTGGGAGGCCAAGGCACGTGGATCACAAGGTCAGGAGTTCAAGACCAGCCTGGCCAAGATGGTGAAACCTTGACTCTACTAAAAATACAAAAAAATTAGCTGGGCATGGTGGCACATGTCTGTAATCCCAGCTACTCTGGAGGCTGAGGCAGAGAATTTCTTAAACCCAGGAGGCAGAGGTTGCAGTGAGCCGAGATTGTACCACTGCACTCCAGCCTGGACGACAGAGCAAGATTCTGTCTTTAAAAAAAAAAAAGTCACCCTTGACCCAGTATGGTGGCTCATGCCTATAATCCCAGCACTTTGGGAGGCCAAGGTAGGAGGATCACTTGAGGCTAGGAGTTTGAGACCAGCCTGGACAAGGCGAAACCCTGTCCCTACTAAAATACAAACATTAGCTGGACGTGGTGGCACACACCTGTAATCCCAGCTACTCGGAAGGCTGAGACACAAGAATCGCTTGAACCGGGGAGGCGAGGTTGCAGTGAGCCAAGATCACGCTACTGCACTCCAGCCTGTACAACAGAACAAGACTCTGTCTCAAAAAAAAGAAAAAGAAAGTCACCCCTTTTCACTGATGGCTTTACAAGGTCCTGTCCCAGGCCTTCTGGTGATGACTGTCACCTTGCTGTAGCATGGCAGAGGCAGGCCAGCTCCTCTTAGCCAATGGATTGTTGACACTTTATGAAACAATCCATGCCCACAACATACCAGCCACAGTACCAACATAAGGACAGCCCCATCCTGGCTAACATGGTGAAACCCCGTCTCTACTAAAAACACAAAAAAATTAGCCGGACGTGGTGGTGGGTGCCTGTGGTCCCAGCTACTCGGGAGGCTGAGGCAGGAGAATCGCTTGAATCCGGGAGACGGAGGTTGCAGTGAGCCAAGATCGTGCCACTGCACTCCAGCCTGGGCGACAGAGCGAGACTCCGTTTAAAAAAAAAAAAAAACCTGCCACATCAGCAGTTCCTAGACTTCTTCATTCTAAGACACCTTAATACACTTAAAATTATTGAAGACCCCAAAGAGCTTTTATTTATGTGGGTTATATCTGTCAATATTTACTGTATCAGAAATTAAAACTGAGAAATTTGGCCAGACATAGTGGTTCACGTCTGTAACCCCAGCACTTTGGGAGGCCAAGGTGGTCGGAACACTTGAGGTCAGGAGTTCAAGACCAGCCTGGCCAACATGATGAAACCCTGTATCTACCAAAAAATACAAAAATCAGCCGGGCGTGGTGGCACGCTCCTGTAGTCCCAGCTACTCGGGAGGCTGAAGTGGGAGAACCACTTGAACCTCGGAGGTGGATGGTCCTTTGCAGTGAGCCGAGACTGCGCCATTGTACTCCAGCCTGGGCATCACAGCGAAACCCTGTCTCAAAAAAAACACTTGAGAATTTTTTGAACACAAGAATCTGAAGCACCTGCTCAAAGGTTTTAACCTTTTAATAGAATTATCAAATGCTCACGATTCCACTCATAGGCATGTACTCAAGAGAATTAAAAGCAGAGACTCAAACAGATGCTGGCACACCACTGTTCCCAACAGCATTATTCATACTAGCCAAGAGGCAGAGACAACCCAAGTGGCCATGACAGATGGGAGGATAAATAAATGTGGTATAGCTCTACAAAAGAATATTATTCCACCATAAAAACAGGAGGCATGTAGTACCCCATGGGCAACCAAGTAATGGTGTATTGTGTCGCTTCAAAAGTAAATGTGGGGCCTGGCATGGTGGCTCATGCCTGTAATCCCAGCACTTTGGGAGGCCGAGGTGGGCGGATCACCTGAGGTCAAGAGTTCAAGACCACCCTGGCCAACACGGTGAAACCCCGTCTCTACCAAAAGTACAAAAGTTAGCTGGGCGTGGTGGCGCACACCTGTAGTTCCAACTACTTGGGAGGCTGAGGCACAAGAATCACTTGAACCAGGGAGATGGAGGTTGCAGTGAGCCAAGGTCACGCCATTGCACTCCAGCCTGGGCAACAGGAGCAAAACTGTTAAAAAAAAAAAAAAAAAAAGTGAATGTGGGCCAGGCATGGTGGCTCACCACACTCGTCAGTAATCCTAGAACTTTGGGAGGCCGAGGCAGGTGGATTACTTGAGGCCAGGAGCTCAAGGTCAGCCTAGCCAACATAGTGAAACTCCGTGTCTACTAAAAATACAAAAATTAGCTGGGTATGGTGGCACACGCCTGTAATCCCAGCTACTTGGGAGGCTGAGGCACAAGAATTGTTTGAACCTGGGAAGCAGAGGTTGCAGTGAGCCGAGATCGCATCACTATACTCCAGCCTGGGTGAAAGAGTGAGACAAAAAATAAAAAACAAAAGTGAATGTGATCAGCCATCAGCCATAAAAAGGAAGAAAATTCTGACACATGCTACAACATGAATGAACCTGGACAACATTATGCTAAGTGAAAGAAGACAGACACAAAAGAGGCAAATAGTATATGATTTCACTCATAAGAAGTACCTACAGTAGTCAATTTAATAAGGATGGAAAGTAGAATGGTGGTTGCCAAGGACTAGGGGTGAGGAGAATAGGGAGTATTGTCTAATGGGTATAGTTTCTGTTTGGATTGACAAAAAAGTTCTGGAAGTGGGTAATGGTGCTCGTTCCATAACATTCTGCATGTTCTTAGCACTGCTGAATTAACCGTACACTTAAAAATGGTTAAAATGGGGCCGGGCGTGGTGGCTCACGCCTGTAATCCCAGCACTTTGGGAGGCTGAGGTGGGTGGATCATGAGGTCAGGCGATCAAGACCATCCTGGCTAACACGGTGAAATCCCATCTCTACTAAAAATACAAAAAATTAGCCGGGCATGGTGGCGGGCACCTGTAGTCCCAGCTACTCAGGAGGCTGAGGCAGGAGAATGGCGTGAACCTGGGAGGTGGAGCTTGCAGTGAGCCAAGACTGCACCACTGTACTCCAGCCTGGGTGACAGAGCGAGACTCCGTCTCAAAAAAAAAAAGGTTAAAATGGGGCTGGGCATGGTGGCTAATGCCTGTAATCGCAGAACTTTGGGAGGCTGAGACAGGAAGATCGCTTGAAGCCAGGAGTTTGAGACCACCCCAGACAACATAGTGAGACCTCATCTCCACAAAAAATAGAAAAATTTGCCAGACACGGTGGCATGCACCTATGGTCCTAGCTACTCCGGAGGCTGAGATAGGAGGATCACTTGAGCCCAGGAGGTCAGGGCTGCAGTGAGTTATGATTTGATTGCACCACTGCACTCTAGCCTTGACAACAGAGTGAGACCCTGTCTCTAAAAAAGATAATATGGTAAATTTTATGTTACATATATCTTACCACAATTTAAAAAAGAAATGAAATACTAACACATGCTATAACATGGATGAACTGCGAAAACATAATGCTAAGTGAAAGAAGCCAGACACAAAGGACAACATATTGTATGATTCCATTAGTATGAAATATCTAGAATGGGCAAATCTATACAGACAGAAATTGCCAAAGGCTGTGGGCAGGGGAATTGGGGAGTTACTGTTTAAAAAGTATAGAGTTACCGTTTGGGATGATAAAAAAAAAAAAAAGTTCTGGAAATGGGTAGTGGTGCTGGCTGCACAACATTCTGAATGTTCTTAATGCCACTGAATTGTGTACTTAAAACTGGTAAATTGTATGTGTATTTTACCACAATAAAAAAAGTTCTTTTTTTTTTTTTTTTTTTTTTTTTTTTTTTTGAGCCGGAGTCTCGCTCTGTCACCCAGGCTGGAGTGCAGTGGCAAGATCTCGGCTTACTGCAAGCTCCGCCTCCCGGGTTCATGCCCTTCTCCTGCCTCAGCCTCCCGAGTAGCTGAGATTAGGCGCGCACCATCACGCCCGGCTAATTTTTTGTATTTTTAGTGGAGACAGGGTTTCACTGTGTTAGCCAGGATGGTCTTGATCTCCTGACCTCGTGATCCACCTGCCTCGGCCTCCTAAAGTGTTGGGATTACAGGCGTGAGCCACCGTGCCCGGCCAAAAAAATTCTTAAAAAAAAAAAAAAAAAAAAAAAAGGCCAGGTGCGGTGGCTCATGCCTATAATCCCAGCACTTTGAGAAGCCAAGGTGGGAGGGTCACTTGAGTCCAAGAATTCAAGACCAGCCTGGGCAACATAGCCAGACCCTGACTCTACAAATAAAATAAAATAAAAATTTTATTTTTTATTTTATTATGAGGTGAGAGTACCTCTTGAACCCAGGAGTTCAAGGTTACAGTGAGCTATGACCCAGCCACTGCAATCCATCCTGGGCAACACAGTGAGGCACTGTTCTTTCAAAAGAGAGAGAGAAAAAAAGAGAGAATCCCAAGCATACATCCCATTAGCTGTCAGAGCAATGATGTCATCACATATCAAATAGTGTCTGGAAATGCTACCTTATGCTTGTGAGGATGAGAGAAAGGCAAATGACACCTCAGTATTATCATGAAAACAGTTTTGACCTCACGGAGCCCCTAGAAGGGTCAGGGAACCCCCAGAGACCCCTGGGCACACTTGGAGAGCTACTGCTTTGGGCTATGCAACGCCCAGGAATTAGTGGATTCATGCCCTGTAGAAACCCACGAGTCTCTGCAATACAAATTCTTTCTCTAGATTCAATTTCTCCTTTGTCAGCAAGCCTTAGCCTTGTTTCAAGGCTGTCTCAAACTGAGCTGTCTCAAATTACTGTGTGAAATTTAGTATGCTGCATAAATTGTTTAGAATTGATTTCTCTTCAACATTTGCCCACAAAGAACAAGAGGGAGACAGAGTACTAGCAGAAGCACACATGTCCACAGTTACATCACTAAGAAAATCAAAACATTTCCAGCAAAGAAATGCAGGAGAAATTCCAGCCCATCTGCTCGCACTACTCACAGCCCACTAAGATAGGTCTCCACCAGAGCAGTCTGAGACCCATCAGACACAGACTCCCACACCCGGGGTAGGGGACACCCATGCCCTGCTGGAGTGCCCAGAACAGAAGGTTCCAGCATCCCTGGCAGGCCTGCTCACACCTGGCAGTAAAGCCTTACTGCACATTCTGTCTTGGAAAGAGCTGGCAGCTGCTTCCCAGTGGGGCTTTCCCACAGGTCATTTCACCTTCCATACAAGTTGCTACTAGGAAAGGGAGATTTGTCCAGCACACTTCAAAGCAGCAGCAGCAGCAGAGGGGAGAAGGTTTGGAAGCCAAGGGCTGGCTGGGCTATTGTAACAGGCGACCACGCATCTCCAGGAGACCAGAGGTGTGGATGCTGGGTTCTGCCCTGGGCCAGCCATCTCTTCTCCAGATGCCCTCAAGAAGGGACAGAGGGCCGGGCACGGTGGCTCATGCCTGTAATCCCAGCACTTTGAGAGGCTAAGGCGGGTGGATCACCGGAGGCCAGGAATTCAAGACCAGCCTGGACAGCATGGCAAAGCCCCATCTCTACTAAAAATACAAAAATTAGCTGGGCGTGGTGGCGCACACCTGTAGTCTCAGCTACTTGGGAGGCTGAGGTGGGGAGAATTGCTTGAACCTGGGAGGCAGAGGTTGCAGTGAGCCAAGATCATACAACTGCACTCCAGCCTGGGTGACAGCATGAGACTCCATCTCAAAAACTAAAAAAATAGGGAGGACAGAGACCACTGTTGATAGCACAACTAAAAGACAAAACAGAGGGCATATTGCTCGGTGACCTTCTAAATGGAGGGGTCACCTCTGTCCTGAGGCAAGAGTGAATAATAAGGGCCTTGAATGGGGCCTCAGAGATGGCCAGCATCTGAGCCACCAGGGGCCATGGGCAGGCCTCTGGCAAGCACCCATTCTGAACAGGTGCTGCCCAGTGGGGAAGGGAGCGATGCACGCTCTGGAAGGCACACTGTACTCCGGGGCCCCAGAGGGACTTCGGGACCAGATAGCTTCATGGGATGTGCTATAACTCCAGAAAGGGACGCGGCTGGCGATGGAGGAGTGCATCATCAGAACACCAACCTGCGTCAGACAGAGAGCAGACCTGGGAGGGCAGAGCTAGGAAGTGAGGAAAGGCAGGACCTGGCATTCCAAACAGTGCACAGACCATCCCAGAACCAACTGTGATCACATCACAAACTCCCTGCCTTCTCTACAGTGCTCAAATGCCATCTGCCCTTTTATGGAGTCCAAGGGCCACCTCTAACCTTCCCGCAAAGCCCCACATCCAGGTTCTTGGGGGTCCCGGCTCACCAGTCCCTGCAGCTCTCCCCTGAAGCCCGTCTAGCCCCTTCCCCATCGCTGCCACTGCCCCGTAGCACCAGCAGGCCAGCACACAACCTCCCCACCCCTGTAGCTTCCTGGAACCACGCAGGGAGACTGGCTTGGAAAGACGCCCCAGAGATCCGTTGCGAGACAAACAGCAGGCTTCAGCTCCTGGCCCGTGCAACCCTGCTCAGCCTCGCCAGGCTGCTTCCTCCATCTGTAAAGCATGGAGGTGACCATCCTGCCCTGCCTATCCCTCCTGACTTCCACGGAGGTGATGAGGCCCAAAAGAGAAAATTACTCCAACAATGCTCAGCTGCTGAAGTTTCACATATGCCACCCTTAGGAACAATCCTGGGAGGTCCTCTGCAGAGATAAATGCTCTGAGAGGGACCCACAAGGGCAAAGAGAGGATGGGAGGCAGGAACCATGGCCAGGGGTTCTGTGCAGTTTGACCTGCCACTGCGTCTCAGCAGCAGGGGGCAGTGAAGACTGCTGATACCTGGAGGCCTGAGCATCCTCTGTACTGGCAGCCACCAGGCTACAGCACCAACGATGCCAGCATCTGAACCTCAAGCCACAAGGAGCCCAGAGGCCAGCCGGCTCCTCACCCATGAGGGCCCAGAGTTCAAACGGGAACAAGACATGTGTGGCTCATGGAAAATGATGAGATTGGAAGTTTCATTAGCAAAATGTGAAGGAAGGCCCGAAGCTGTTCTATGTATTGAAACCCCCAACTAGTCCAGCCAGCTAGCTTCTCAGAGGGGCTGACCCGCCTACTCAGTGTCCCACATCAAGTTGGCAGCAGCAGAATGGGCATCAGAGGTCAGGCTGTGGGCTCTTTGACCCAAATCCCCATCCCTGAAGCCAGCAGAGCCCCTGGGTGGGGCTCTGCATTCTGACTCCCTAGAGGACCAGGTCCAAACTTTCCAGTTCTGAGCCATTTCCTTCACCGAGACAGCAGTCAGCAGAGCCTCTGGGGGCTCACTGCACAAAGCCCAGGGATACCAGAGCCCCACCACCAGTCTGGTGCAGAGCCAAGGATGTACCAACATATTGTACTTTTTTTCCCTACCAGTGGCCAGTTACTAGAACAAAATATTTTACACCTGCAAACACTCCTGCTGTGGTTTTGAAATATGCCTGCAACTTCTTTGATATGGCTCCCTAAATGGCAGTAGCTCCCCAAACACATAACCACCAAACCCATTTCCAAACAGCCCCCGGGGCAAGTGGAATCTCTGAGTGAAGGCTCCACCCTCAGTCACTCCTCCCCTGGACCCTGGAGCTCCTGACTCCCCATCACCACCACTGGAGACAGGTGGCCAGCTCTCCTGCAACAGTGGAGAGGGAGTAGGGTTGCCAAGCGCTAGGGGAGTGCCAGCCACTTTCTCCCACAGCCCAAGGGGTCACAACACTGACACTGGGGAACACCACACAAGAACAAAGGGACAAGGCCTATGCTTCAGCATTTATTTCTCATAAATAACAAGCATTTTCTACCTCCAGGAGAAGAAGTGATCACCACCTGCTACCATCTATCTGTAGATGCTGTCCAACCAAAACACTGGCTCAGCTGCTCTGCCCTGTGGCTTCTCCTTAGGCAGATGTTTGGGAAAGAAGGCCCTGTTTAAAATAAGTTATCCTAGAAAAGAAGGGAAGGTCCTAAGAAAAAGGAAGGGATCATATAAGATGAAAGAAGAGAAAGGCAGGTCCACCAAGCATACCTATTCCATGAGTGACACTTTCAAGAAAAGAACAGCAACTTGCAATCAGTCCTTATTTCATGGGGGTTCGGGCAGGAGGGGCTACATACTTGGGAATAAGACCAGGGCAGGAGGGTGGGACAGAACTGGAGCGAGAGCTATCTCGCATCTGATGTAAACATCAGCCAGCAGTTTCATCCAACACTCGCACCACATTTCGATCATAGCCACAGGATAGCGCAGCCAATTTCTCTAAGAGAAAGAACAGCTGTAGTCAAATCAGATTCCTGAATGCTCATTTTGCATGTGCCAGGCAGTATATCAAGTGCTTAGAATACATTATTATGAATCCTTAAGACAACTCATTTGCTCCTTCCATGAACACCGCCGTGTACCTCCTAGGGGCCAGGTGTTGTACAGGACACAAGTGAGAAGAGCAGGAGGAGAACCATAAGGTGTCTGCCCCCACGAAGCTCAGATTTTACTAGGGAAGGAGAAGAACTTCGTAACCTTGGGGTAGGCAAGGATTTATTAGACAAAAACAGAAAGCATGACCATAACAAGAAAAAATGATAAATCAGACTTCTTTAAAATTAAAAAAGTCTTTGATCAAAAGCTTAGTAAAGATACACAGACCACACTGAGCACAGTAGCTCTCACTTGTAATCCCAACACTTTGGAAAGCTGAGACAGGAGGATCACTTGAGCCCAGGAGTTGGAGACCAGCTTGGGCAACACAGGGATCCAGTCTCTACAAAAATTAAAATAAAAATATTAGCCACATATGATGGTGAACACCTGTGGTCCCAGCTACTCGGTGAGGGTGAGGTGGCAGGATCACTTGAGCCAGGGAGGTCAAGGCTGCAGTGAGCTGTGATCCCACCACTGTACTCCAGCCTGGGCAACAGAGAATTTATCTAAAAAAAAAAAAAAAAAAAAAAAAAAAAAAAAAAAGATGCACAGGCCAACAGAACAGAATAGAATACAGATCTCAGAAATAGACCTACACAAATGTAGTCAATGGATTCTGACAAAGGTACAAAGACAATTCAATGGAGAAGGTATAACCTTTCAACAAATGGTACTAGACAGTTGGACTCCACATATCAGAAAATGAACCTCACACTTTGGGAGGCGGAGGTGGGAGGATTGCTTGAGCCCAGGAGCTCAAGACCAGCCTGAGCAACAAAGTGAGATCTCATCTTTACAAAAAAAAAAAAAAATCAAAAAATTAGCTGGGTGTGGTGGCATGCATTTGTAGTGCCAACTACATGGGAGGCTGAGGCAGGAGGATCACTTGAACCCAGGAGGTCAAGGTTTCAGGGAGTTACGATTACACCACTGCACCTCAGCCTGGATGACAGAGCGAAACTGTCTCAAAAGGAAAAGAAAAAAAAAACCTCCTTAATCATCAGGGAAATGTAAGCCAAAACCACAATAGGCTATCACCTCACCCATTAGGATAGCCACTGTCAAAAACAAACAAACAAACAAGTGTTGGCAATGATGTGAAGAAATCAGAACTCATGTACATCGTTGGTAGGAATGTAAAATGGTACAGTCACTATGGAAGACAGCATGGAGTTTCCTTAAAAAATTAAAAATAGAATTACCATATGATCCAGCAATTCCAATTCCACTTCTGGGTACATACCCAAAATTAATTGAAGGCAAGGTCTCAAAGATATATTCATATACCTATGCTCACAGAAGTACTACTCACAATAACTAAGAGGTGGAAGCGACCCAGGTGTACACTAAATAAACAAAATGCAGTATATGCATACAGTGGAATACAACTCAGCCTTAAAAAGAAGTTCTGACACATGCTACAACATGGATGAACCTTGAGGTAAAATAAGCCAAACATAAAAAGACAAATACTGCATGATTCTACTTATATGGAGTATCTAAAGCAGTCAAACTCTTAGAAACAGGAAGTAGGACGGTGGTTGCCAGGCTGGAGAGAGAGATAAAAGGGAGGGGTAGTTACTCAATAGGTACTGAGTTTCAGTTTTGCAAGATGAAAACATTCTAGAGATCTGTTGCATAACAAGGTACATACTCTGGCACTACTGAACACTGAATGAACTGAACACTGAATTGAGTGGTTATGATGGCATATTTTACGTTATTAAAAAAAAACTGCGGTAGCAGTGGAGCCGCCTAACCCTGAAAAGCACATATAAAATACGGAGGGATTTAAAGTCCTAAGGATAATATTACAACTGAATGAAGTAACTCCTGCAAGAAAGCAAGACTAGAAATCTGACGCATCTAAAAGGAGACTGAGCCTACAGCCCAGCCATGGGCAGGCAGTTCTGCCCAGTTCCTCCCTTGTCTAACAGAGTGGGTCCAAACTTTAGTGTGATCACCACAGGGAGTTACACTCACAAAAAGCACATGTCCTATCATATGGGGTCTTTAAAGAACATTCAAAGGAAACATTTGCAGTCTGAAAGCTTCATTTCCTGCTCTTATTTCAAAACCTAAGTTGAACACAAGATTTAACACACGAAAAACTCTATCCAAAAAACGGGGTTACAGTTAAGGTTAATGGAGCTATTACATGCCAAGTGCTGATGAGGGTGCCTGATGCTCAGAAATGGGGATGGGGTGGCAGTGATAAGACAGCATCAGCTAAGAACCAAGGCAGGGACTGCAGGAACAGGCTGCGGGGAAGTGTCAGCTTCCTGGGGGCATTTGTGTGGACACAGCAGGGGTGGGCCCTGAGGAGTCAGGGCTGCGGCACCTGGAGCCTGCTGAAGCTATGGGAAGAAGACAAGAAAAGCAGGGTGGGTGGGAAGGTTCACATTGAAAAGGCGGGAGGAGAGCATTAGGACAAATACCTAATGCATGCGGGGCTTAAAACCTAGATGACAGGTTGTTAGGTGCAGCAAACCACCATGGCACATGTATGCCTATGTAACAAACCTGCATGTTCTGCACATGCATCCTGGAACTTAAAGTAAAATAAAATTAAATTAAAAAAAAAAAGAAAAGGCAGAAGGAGAAAGACAAGGAGTAGATGGAAAAAGAGCCAGAGACTTCTCTTGAAGCTGTGCAATATCACAGCATGAACTCTATGCTGCCCATGTTTCAAATACCCACTCCATGACTTTAAAAGCTGTGTGACTTTGGCTAAGTCACTTAGTCTCCCAAGCTCTGTTTCTCTATCTGTAAAATGAGGTTAATATGAGTAAACCTACTTCCTATAAAAAGACATCACATCTCATGCTGCAATTATAAAGCAGAAATATGCAACAGCATTAAGCTAAAATTTCATTTAACTTTTTTGTGGGTTCTAAGCATTTTAGATCTATTTTTTCTGTTAAGTAGTATGTTTTATATTCAGTTATACACATTTTTTTCCTTTTAAAATACCTTTTCCTCATCTTTTACTTTCATGAATGTTTGTTAAGAAGTAATACATCCACACGGTTGAAAACCCACAAAGTCCGTCCATACAAAAGAAGGTGACACTCTAATAAGCCTCCCAAGCTTCTGGAAACACACAGGTAGATTTGATTGCAATCACTGTGTGGTGAGATCACAGAGGGTGGTCACCAGCTGGCCTGAATTGATCACCCAAGCCCAAAGAGACATCACAGCATCAGTGTCCACACAAGATGCTGGTGCAGTCAGAACTGTGAACACTAGCGATGCCCAACTCAGTGAAAAGGTGCCCGGTTCTTAGGCAGGAGGCCCCAGGTGGTGGCGCTCCACTTAGCTCCCTCTGCCATACAGCTCTTTCATCAGCTTTTGGAATCATGGTGCAGGAGGCAAAGCATGTGGCTCAGGATAGCAGTCCTGAGTTTCCTGTTCTTGCTTCTACTTAAAAGCTAAGTGATGCCACCAAGCAAGCTAATTAACCTCTCTGGGTCTTAGCATCCTAATCTCCAAAACAGACCTACCACCTGCCTCACTGATCACCCCTCCACAATGAGTCTTGTCAGGTAAAGGGTGTGTAGAACTATACCCAAACTCCCAGGCCAACCTCAGCCCCTGCTTCAGACAGCTCCCCCATACCACTGCATACCCAAAGACTATCAGAGCACGAACCCAAGCTATCGGATGGAGAGGAAACACAAAGGGTGATGGCTGGTGGAATGAGACCCTGTTAAACCAACAAGCTCACAATGTCAGCACTTGGGCCCAAATAGCCCTTGAACATCTAAACTCTTTTTTGTTTTTATTTTTTATTTATTTATTTTTTTTTGTCTCCAGGAAGAAACTGAAACTTAAAAAGTGATTTACCAAGAGTTTTGACAAAAGTACATCAACGAAGGCTCAGGACTGTCAGAAATGAAAAATAATTATTTTTAAAATATCTATTTATTGGCTGAGCATGATGGCTCATGCCTATAATCCCAGCACTTTCAGAGATGCAGGCGGGTGGATCACCTGAGGTCAGGAGTTCAAGACCAGCCTGGCCATCATGGCGAAACCCCATCTCCACTAAAAATACAAAAATTATCTGGGCGTGGTGGCACGCACCTGTAGTCCCAGCTACTGGGGAGGCTGAGGCAGGAGAATCGCTTGAACCCGGGAGGCAGAGGTTACAGTGAGCCGAGGTCGCACCACTGCACTCCAGCCTAGGTGACACAGCAAGACTCCATCTTTTAAAAAAAAAAAAAAAAAACCTAGGAAAATAATAAAACCGTTCAAAATTGAGATGCTTCCTTACCAATTAGTGTAATGAAAGAGGGGCTTGTTATAAATACTGAGGTTACAGTAAATACCACTCTCAATATTATTTAATAAACATGGTTTCAAATCAAAACAGGTTTTTTTTTTGGTTTTGGTTTTTGAGGCAGGTCTTGCTCTGTTGCCTAGGCTGGAGTGCAGAGGCATGATCTCAGCTCACCATAACCTCTGCTCACTGGGCTCAAACGATCCTCCCACCTCAGTCCCCTCCAAGTAGCTGGGACTACAGGCGTGTGCCATCATGCCCAGCTAATTTTTGTAGTTTTTGCAGAGATGCCATATTGCCCAGGCTGGTTTAGAACTTCTGGGCTCAAGCAATCCACCCACCTCAGCCTCCCAAAGTGCTGGAATTTCAGGTGTGAACCACCCGGCCCTGCCTCAACACAGTTTTGAACCTAACTGTGTAACAATCACATGGAAGAGAGAAGAGAATTAATCCAAGTAGCTTTTGAACCCAAGAACCTTGAGTATACACCATCAATCTGAAAACACAAAGAGCTAAAAAAAATTAAATTAAATTAAATTCTACTTAATAGGTCTGCTGTTACTAGTGGTGCGAATGCAGTACTTCTGAAACTATTCTGGGTGCAGTGTAAGACTAAGCAAATGAGTAAACCTACTGATGCTGTTGGGAGCCAGGGTTCTCACTGTAGAAAAAGAGAGAAACAAACATGCAACAGAGAAAGCAAGCAAGAACCTGGAACGCTGGATTAGAACTAAAGAAACAGTATGGGCCAGGCACAGTGGCTCACGGCTGTAATACCAGCACTTTGGGAGGTGGAGGTAGGCAGATCATGAGGTCAAGAGATCGAGACCATCCTGGCCAACATGGTGAAACCCCATCTTTACTAAAAATACAAAAATTAGCCAGGTGTGGTGGCGCATGCCTGTAGTTCCAGCTACTTGGGAGGCTGAGGCAGAAGAATCGCTTGAACCCGGGAGGCGGAGGTTGCAGTGAGCCGAGATCACCCCACTGCACTCCAGCCTGGCAACAGAGCGAGACTCCGTCTCAAAAAAATAAAAATAAAAAAAAAAAAATAACAGTATGAACTTACACAGGCACAGACACATGCACGTATGCACACACCTCTTGGGCTAGACTGAAAAGATGGAGTCGCAGCATACTCTAGTAGCTAGCAATAAACACATCTACCACCAAAATCCTGCTTTCTAAATACCATCTCCCACCAAAAGGAACCAGCGCTCTGTGGGAAAATGCCCCATTCCAGTGTGGGGCAGGTAAGGTACAAGATGTGCCTGGTAAAAAGGAATTTCAAGTTGATGGAAACATGTCAGAAGGCGACACGCTCCCATCCTGAAAAGGCCAGGTGAAGGGGTTTCCACTTGCCAAGTCAACCTACTGTTATGTAGGTTTGAAATATTTCCAAAGTAAAAAGATTTCTAAAAAAGAATGAGTTAGGCCAGGCACAGTGGCTCATGCCTGTAATCTCAGCACTTTGGGAGGCCAAGGCAGACGGATCACCTGAGGTTGGGAGTTTGAGACCAGCCCAGCCAACATGGCAAAATCCCATCTCTACTAAAAATACAAAAATTAGCCGGGCATGGTGGCAGACGCCTGTCATCCCAGCTACTTGGGAGGTTGAGGCAGCATAATCACTTGAACCCAGGAAGTGGAGGTTGCAGTGAGCTGAGATTGCACCACTGCACTCCAGCCTGGGCAACAAAAGCAAGATTCCATTTGAGGAAAAAAAAAAAAAAAAAAAAAAAGAACGAGTTAAGACAATCTTGCCCCGACCCATTCCCACCTTTCCTCTCCATCTTTTGTTACCAAAGGAAAAAAAAAAAAAAGAATGAAGTTATATATGCACTGATCTACAAAGATCTCAAAATAAGTTAAATACAAAAATTAAATAAAAAATATAATTCCATTTATGTAAAATATTCTATGTATGAATGTTAGCAAATGTGAAGAAATATCAACTTTATTTTTTCTAGATTGTCCAGACAAGATCTTCTACACCCTTGGGCTCTCTCCATGCCCCATGGCTTACCATGCTGGTCTAGCAGGCATCCTTCGCAAATAGGGTAGATGGGGAAATCCGAAGAGCTGCTCCCACTGTCAGGAGTGGCCAAGAAACCTCCAAGAACTGCAGCAAAGGCCTGCCATGGCCCCCAACAAGCCTCTAACTCTTCCAGGTCCTCTTATTCTAAGACCATAGACAGAGTTCTGTAGGTAAACTAATCTACCTGGAGGCCCTAAGAAGCAGCCAGTGGCACCGGAGAGACCTCTGCATCAGCAGACCTAGTTTCAATGGAGCATCTGGCCCGGTCCTGTGGTCAGTCTCCTGCTGATCATCCCTGTGTTGACCTTCTGGGTCCCTCTGCTGTGACTCCTGCCCCTCATCCAGTGCCCTGGCCAGCCACAAACAATCCTCTCCACAACTATGAACTCCTAAGGAAGGTTTCCCAGAAAATGAGACTTCCCAGGCAAGGAAGAGGGCAGGGTCTACCTGGGGGACCCTTAGTCCACCATACCCACCAGAATACTGTCCTCAGTACTGTCCTGTCCAACAGTAGCAGCCAACAGCTGAAGGATGACAGACTAACCAAGGAAGACAAGCTAACCAAACTGATAGCTGTCTGCCATTTTGCCAGAGGTCAGCCAGAAGTCAGCCTACAGGGAGGGACCTGTAGGGGACAAGGGCACTAAGAACAATGACCAGCTCAGAGTGACTGAAGCAACAGCTACCGCAGGCAGAGGAGGAGGAGAAGGCCAAGAGGCAAGCATGTGCAGCCCATGCAGCCCATGCACCCAGCCAGCTCTTGACCAGAAACAAGCCCTGCACTGTGCAAACAACCCAGGGAAGGTCCAGCCACATCCTCACACAGGGCAGTCCAGTTCTCAAAGCCAGGTGCCAGCAAGTCCATCAGAGAGGCAGCTCCCTCAGCACCGGCTTGCTGGGGTCCCTCCCTCTGGGAGCCCCTCAACCCTCCACCCCAGGCTGGGCAGCTGGTGAGCTTCAGTGAGGATCCACATTAATGAGAAGCCACACTTGCTCTCACCTCTCAGCTCAGCTCCCATCACAGAAGCAAGCTCCTACCAGGGTGGGGCCCAGGCCAGCTGGCTCCACAGCCATGTCCCCTACCCCCGGATCCCATCCTCCCAAGGCATTTTTGCAGGACTGCCACAAGGCTCTCATCCTCCTCGCCACCCCCACCAGAGGCAGCTGCAAGGCCTGCTGGCTAAAGTAGCTGTTGCTCTTTATGTCAAAATATAAATAGGCATTTGTGCATTTGTTCAATAACTGATTTCTGAGTGCCCAGTCTGTGCCTGACCAGGCCCAGGTGACAGAGCATGAATGTGACAAAGAGCAAAACGTGTATGAACAATCCCAGCCCTGTCCAAAGCACCATGGCTGTTTCGGGGGCTCTCAGCAAGTCATACGCAGTCCCTCTGATCCCATCATAACAGCAAAGAGCACTCTCTGTGTGGCAGACACTCCTCAGAGCCACTGTACTCTGCCACCTCCTGAGGGAGCTCTCTCCCGACCAATAAGCCCTGTGCACAAACCACCTCACATTTCACATTTCAGTTCAGGGTTCCTGAACTCTATCTGTGATTAACACTAACATTTTGCCTGATGAAGAGTTTGCTTTATGTCAGACACTTTTTAGAATTTTATACTTACCCATTTTAATCCTCACAACATCTCTATAAAGCTCTGTTACGATGTCCATGTTCCAAATGAGGAAACTGAAGAGTGAGCAGTAGAACAGATTGAGCCTAGGCAGTGTGGCTCTAGAGCCCATGCTCTTAAGCCACCATACCCAACTGCCTGCCATGGGCCAGGATGAGAAGGCTTGATCTAATCCCAGCTGCTACTTTTACAGACAGCTCATTTGAGGCAAAACCAGACCTGAGCTTCCCCATCTCCCAGGAGGATGCCCAGAAGGTCCAGGGCATCTGGGTCCACAGGCTATTCACCCTCCAACCTAGACTTGCCCTGCCAAGCCCGCCATGTCCACACTGACAGGACACACAGCTTGGAATGGCAGGATGAGATGGACTGGCTTTGACTAAACTTCCCAGGACAACTGGTAAATCATGTCAGAAACACAAATACAGGTGTTACACAGCTATCACATAATAACCATACCCAAGCCCATGCATCACTCTGCTCAATGAACTGTTGGCCCAAAACTGGTCTCTCGGGATTACCGAGCCCACTCTGCAGACTGGCAGTGAAAGAAAGGAAAGAGGACGGTCATCAAAACCTCAGCACCCAAACATAACAGCACATAAGAGAAAATCTAATAGCATACCAAGGAAAAGACATCTAATCAGTCAAGAGCTATCTACGGGGTCCTTAAATGTTGTCACTGATGCATTCCACTTAGAGTCAAGAAACTACTAAATGCCAATCGGGTCGTCCTTATGCCAACAACCAAGAGAGGCAGAGGAACTCCCTGCCTGTCAAAGGCTCAGGTCCAGCAGGAGAGAGTCAATAACTAGATCACCTGCCATCAGTGTTGAGAGGATGCATGCACTACTAGATCACCTGTCATCACTGCTGAGAGGACATGCACACAACCGGATCACCTGCCACTACTGCTAAGAGGAAACATGCATAATGAGATCACCTCCCATCACCTCCCATCACTGCTAAGAGGACACCTGCACAACCAGATCACCTCCCACCATGGCTAAGAGGACACGTGCACAGCTAGATCACCTGCCCTTACTGCTAAGAGGACACACACAGATCACTCACCTCCCATTACTGCTAAGAGGATCTGTGCGTAACAAGATTACCTGCCGTCACTGCTAGAAGGACACCTGCACAAACAAATCACCGGCCACCGCTGCTAAGAGGATATAATCACTCAGTACTCTGGGAAGTGGGAAGGAAGGGGTGGGGAAAGTGCCCACAAGCTAGCTTGGGAAGTGGAGCAGCGAAGGCGCAGCCTAACACAGCACAAATCTTCCACAACAGCAGTCTTCATTCCTAAACCCAGAACCGCCAACTAAAACAATAACCCTGACATGCAGTGATGCCAGCTTGCCTCCACCTGGGCCAACCTGGGCTTTAACTACAGGGCTTCCTGCACCCATGAGACCTTCCCACGTGACACAGGGCTTGGCACATAGCAGGTGTTAGTGAGAACGATGGGGTGGGGTTAAGTGGGAGCAGCCTCTACTCTCTGCAATGGTTAACATGTACAAGGATAAACGGCCATGGCGCATACAACTTATTCTCAAATGGTTCAGAAAAAAGCAATGTGTGTGAGTACACAGATATGCACATACACATGGAAGATGAGGGATAAGGCAAATAAGGTAAAATGCCAACAGTAGGGAAGCCTCAGCAAAGGATATGCAGGTGTTCTCTGCACTCACTTTACTCTTGCAACTTTTCCGGGAGTTTGAAATTATTTCCAAATAAAAGTTTTCTTTTTGTCAAGAAAAAAAAGGAAAATTCATTAGCTAGTGAAGGTAGAAAGTATATTACATCACTTTCCAACTAAAAAAAATGAACCTGTTAACCCAAAAGCCAAATCTACCAGTGGACAAACTCTACAAAGTGTCACAGTACTGGCTACAGAGGAAAGCACTCCAAACTCAGGAGGATTTGGCAAGGCTAGGTGCAAGCTCACCTCTCCAGCTACTTCTGAACCTCGGTCACTTTTCCTTGTGATGAAAATATGCACTCTCTCCCTATGCACCAAACCCCTGTGCTACTTCACATGAAAGAAAACTCTGGACTCCAGCCGGGGAGAGGTGGCTCACACCTGCAATCCCGTAACTTTGGGAGGCCAAAGCAGGTGGATCACTTGAGCCCAGGAGTTTGAGACCAGCCTACATGGCCAACATGGTGAAACCCCGTCTCTACTAAAAATACAAAATTATCCCAGCATGGTGGCGTGCGCCGTAATCAAAGTTACTCTGGAGGCTGACACAGGAGAATTACTTGAACCCAGGAGGTGGAGGTTACAGTGAGCTGAGATCCCGCAACTGCACTCCAGCCTGGGTGACAGACAGAAACTCCATCGCAAACAAAAAAAAAAAAAAAAAAAAAAAACAACTCTGGACTCCAGAGCCAAGGTGCTGTGTTCACTTCTCAGCTCCCTGAGATGTGATCAGCTCAGCACAGCTGCCTACTGAAAGCAAAAGAGAAAGAACCCTGAGCTAGCAGCCAGCTCCACCTGGGTCTGAACCCACGCTCTGCTGCTCACCAGCTGTGTGACCTTAGACAAGTCACTTGCCTCTCCCAGCTAGCTGTACCAACAATAGAAGGAAGACGACCTTCTAGTCCTCTACCTTACCAAGGGGCCTAGCTGAGCACAGGCCCTGTACAGGACCAACAACCAGCAGGAAGGGACCAGGGTGCACCAGCATTCAGAAGGCAATTTTTTCTCAGCTATGTATGGTGGGTTCAACCTGGATAGAGCTGTGGCTCATGATATAATTTTGTTTCACAATTAAAGCTAGAAAGAAAAACAGTTTTAGAATCAGCAGTCGATGCTGCCTTCTCTACACAGATGGAGAAAGGGCCAATGAGACAGTATCACAATCAGTGGTCCCCAAATCCCCCCACCATCTCGCTGTCAGTTACCTCAGCAGTAGTCTCCAACCGTTCTTCCTCATCACACCCCCAGTGATCATAACACACATCATCAGTGGTCACATGGCCAAACACAGAAGGGATTTGGCAGAGGGTGAGTGGTTCTGTCCCTCAGACTGGAGTATCCACATGGAAAAAGATTCTGCACCCTCACCTAGAGGACCCTGGGACCTAACAGGGGACAGAGGCAGTCTGTGGCTCCACCTGGGGTTAAGGAAGCTGTTCAGAGCATAATATGAGGTACTCCTGTGGCTGGGCTGGAGACACACAGTTGGAGTGCACAGACCCCAGTCACGGGTGCATGATGGGGGGAAGGCCAGACTCCTACGATGAAATCTCATCTCAGCCTTAGCTTCATGAGTGCTCTGGATTTCAGCTTCCCCATCTTTAAATGAGGCTAAAAACAGCATCTAGCAGGGACCTCTTGAGAGTTAACATATGTTAGTGCTTAGAACAGTGTCCGGCACATGACACATCTTAAATCAAGTTCAAATGTGCACTTAAAAAAAAATTGCTGGGCATGGTACCTCAGGCCTGTAATTCCAGCACTTTGGGAGGCCAAGGCAGGTGGCTCACCAGAGGTCAGGAGTTCCAGACCAGCCCGGCCAACATGGCAAAACCCCATCTCTACTAAAAATACAAAAATTAGCCGAGCGTGGAGGCGTATGCCTGTAATCCCAGCTACTCGGGAGGCTGAGGCAGGAGAATCGCTTGAACCAAGGAGGTGGAGGTTGCAGTGGGCCAAGATCACGCTACTGCACTCCAGCCTGAGCAACAGAGCAGGACTCTGTCTCAAAAAAAAAAAAAAAAAAAAAATTGGTGAAAGGTCAAGTACAGCAAGCACTTGCTGCCCCATAACTCCATGAAAGGCCTTCCACCCTGCCCTGTACCAGAGAGGAAGCCCAGGTGGCTTGGCATCATCTTCAGGGACCCCACCAGGCAGGAGTCAGAAAACACCCTCCTGAGAAGTGGGCTCTGACTGATACCTTCCTCATACTCAAGTATGCTTTTAAGGCCGGAATCCCCACAGAAAGAACGCAGACTAAGACCAGAGAAGCCCCAGCCTCTTGCAAGCACCAGCCAGGCAGATCCCTGCAGCACTCTCAGGAAGGACACATGGTGAATGTGTGAAGAGGCACACACGGGCATACAAGGAACACATCAGGCCCAGAGGCCTGCCCTCCCTGCCCAGCCAAAGCCAGGAAGCCAGCTGCAGCTCCCGGGTTCTGCAGGGCAACTCAAGACGCCTCCAGGGGTAGCTGCAATGTTCTCATCTGGAGAGTCATGGAATCGAAAGAATAAGTTTGCTCCCTCTACCAGATCCACCCCACCCATGCCCTACTCCGACCTCAGTGTGAGGTCTCCTGTGACGCCCTCACTGCTTCACAGGTACAAAAAGATGGCCACCTCCACCCACCTCTGGGACCCCACACTCCAGGGTATTCAACACACAGGAGTGTGACAAGTGACTTACACCTGGCCTCTGTTCCACATCAGGCACTCCTAAAAGGAGGGGCTTGTTCTTGTCACTTGGATTCCCTAGGGATGGGCAGGGGGCAAGCACCCACAGGCACTTTCTCAGTTGCTGCTGGCCAGTTGGCAGGCTATGTGAAAAGGCTGGCAAGGAAAAAGGAGTCGGGGACGTCAGTCACCTCTATCACCCAGGCAGGAGATGCTGGGCCTGGAACCAGAGGCACCCCAAAGAAGCCAGGCATAATATGGCCTCACCTGAGCCCGGTGACCTCATCTGCAAAACTGGGACTCAAGAATCAGAAAACGGTGACCTTCTACCTCTCTACACGTACATATATGTTTTCTAAAGAAGTTAATCACAAGAATCCACAAACCCATTGGTTCTGACCTCCAAGAGCCTATATGATACCCTCCTCCACAGGTAGCCCTTTTCCTGGCTTCTGTTCTTACCAAGGCCACCCCACAACTAGTCATCCCGCTGCCCAGAGAGCAGCCAAAAGCAGTGAGCAACTAGCTCTACATGGGGAGACCAGAGAAGCATCACTGAATCTGTCCAGGTTGAGCACCGGTCAGGGCCTTGGCCACCAGGCAGGCACTAGGGAGGAGGCAGACATTCCACATAGATGACACAAGCGCAGAGCCAAGAGGTGCGGTGTATCTGGGCTGGGAGCCTGGCTAGGGCACAGGAGAGGGCCACACACCCCGTGCTCCCACACCCAGGTCATCAGAGAAGATGGCCCTGGCACTTCTGCCTTCATGGGACCTTTCCTCCATTAAGAAATATTAAGAGTCATGCTTTTTCACTGTATTAGTATAAAGATGACTGTATTAATATACATACGAAAACATTTTATTTGACCTAAAAGTTCATTTTTTTTCTGCTGACTTTAAAAAAAAATAAAATAACATTCGAAGGCTACTAAAAGTACCGTGGGCAAGTGATACCAGGATTCCTGTGCCTGATGGATACATCGGCCCTGCATTTAGGGAGTTTGATTTTTTGGTGCAGTTCAAGGGGAGGTACACCGAAATAGGTAGAAAAGGGTCTCCTGGTTGCCACGGTTCTGATTCCCCACCACAGACTTAAGAACACACTAGCTCCGAGGGGAGTTCCAAAGCACGGACTCATTCATCACATACACGCAGCACGGCTAAGGGCCCCGCACAGTGGCGAGGTCTCTGCTCCCGGGACGCTCGCGCCGGCCACACAACGCTAGGCTGACTCCTGGTGCCTCCTCTAGGCCCGGTGGGACCTGAGGACTTCCTTAGCGCAACGTCTCACTGAATGACAGCCACAACCACCGCTGTCCAGGCGAGGAGTTTCCAGGACTGAGAGGCTGGCACTAGGCCACTGCTGGGAGGACGTCTGTGAAACCAGGTGCCCCTGAGAGCCACTGTCCCCAGCCCGACTCCGACGCTGGACTGGCGAGAGGGTGCGCCCGTGGCGTAGCTCCTGGCCGCCGCCGCTCCCGGGAAGGGCCCAGAGGCAACATCCTGGACAGCAGAGCTGCACGAAGTCCGAGGCGCCGCGAGCCCAGGTAAGCTCCAGCAGGCGTCCGCAGAGAGTGCCAGGCGGCCCGCGAGCCAGGCCCCGCCCGCCCCTGCCCCAGGCGCGGCCCCTGCAGGAGGGCGCCGCGGGTGAAAGGAGGTCCCGGGGCGACCCCGGCCCCGCTCGCCGCCCAGCCCCCACACCGCCCCCATCGCGCGGCGCACCTGGCCGCAGCGGCTCGGTGACAGTGAGCACGAGCAGGAAGAGCAGCAGGAAGGCGCCGCTGTCTGCCTTGGGCACCATTTATCCTCCGTTCATCGTCCCCGGGGCGGCTGGAAGGCCGGACCAGGCCGGACTGAGGGTCAGGGGACCGTGCCAAGCGGAGGGTCAGGCGGAGCTGAACCTGGGCGAGGCGCGGAGAGGCGGCGGGAAAGAGCTTCGGCTGGGCCGCGGGCTGGCGCACACTCTCGGCTGCAACCTCAGGCACCGACTCCAGCTGCGCGCAAGATGGCGGCCGTCCTGCTCGGCTCCGCGCCGCGCCGCCCCGCCCCGCCTCCCGCCCGCGACGCAGGCGCGGGCCAATGACCGTCAAGATGGGGGGCGGGGCCAGAGCCAAAGCCCTCCGAAGAGGGTGAGGCCTAAGGTCGCGACGGCGGAGGGCGGGGACCTAAGGGCGGGGACTGAGGGGCGGGCTCTAAGGGAAGGGCGGGACCATACGGAGTGAGGCGTGCCATTGGTTAAGCAGAGAGGCAGGGCCGGGGCCGGGGCCTGAGCGGCGGGGCCACCGAAGGGAGTAGGGTCTCTGGACGCCGGTTAGGGACGGCGGGCGCGGGACGGCAAGGATGGACATCGAAAGGCGCGGGGCATGGGGCGGGGCGCCGAGGGGTCGCGCGGGTGGGGAGCGGAGAGAACGAAGTGGGAACCTGGCTGGGACTCCAAGGGTCTTCACACCTGCAAGCTCAGGTCCCGTGAGCAGCCCAAAAGTGCGCCCCAAAGGGGTCTTTTTAAGGCCGAACCGCTGTGGAGGAGGGAGGGCCTGCCGGTTCTGAGGGTGGGGAAAGAGGAACAGGAATGGCCTAAGAGAGTGTCAGGCAAAGAGAGACCGGGAAGGCCAGGTCCTGGAGACTGCAGCGAAGCCGGCTCCCTGGAGGACCTGCCTACACAATGGCTAGGGGAAGGCCACATGTGCAGGAAAGAAAGCTAGGCAGAGAGGAGGCTCAGCGCCCCTGCGAACAGTGCTCCAAGTGCCACTTCTCCCGTCATCACCAACAGGGTGAACCTTGGAGGGCAGTGTCGGCGAAGAGTCCAACTCTGTAAAATATTTGAAGACATTTCTTCTGAGCCAATATGTGACCAATAGCCTGGGACACAGCCCCAGGAGATCCTGACAAGTGCCCAAGGGGGTAGGGCCACAGCTTGGTTTTATACATTTTAGGGAGACAAGACATCAATCAGCACATGTAAGATATACATTGGTTCAGTCGGAAAAGGCGGGACAACTTGAAAGTGGGGGGTGGAGGGGGGCTTCTAGGTCATGCGGATTGGCAGTTGGTTCAAAGAGTTTATCTAAAGACCTGGAATCAATAAAAGGGACTGTCTACATTAAGGGGTTGTGGAGACCAAGTTTCTTAGGCAAATGAAGCCTCCAGGTATCAGGCTTCACAGAGAAAAGACTGTTAATGTTTCTTATTAAAAAGTGCCAGACTCTGCCGGGTGTGGTGGCTCACGCCTGTCATCCCAGCACTTTGGGAGGCCAAGGCGGGCGGATCACCTGAGGTCAGGAGTTCAAGATCAGCCTGGCCAACATGGTGAAACCACATCTCTACTAAAAATACAAAAGTTACCCAGGCGTGGTGGCACACGCCTGTAATCCCAGCTACTCAGGAGGCTGATGGCAGGAGAATCGCTTGAACCGGGGAGGCAGAGGTTGCAGTGAGCCAAGATCATGCCACTGCACTCCAGCCTGGGCAACAGAGTAAGACTCTGTCTCAAAAAAAAAAAAAAAAAAAAGGAAAAAAAAAAGGAAAAATAAATAAAAGGTGCCAGACTCTAGTTAATTCTCTCAGGAGAAAAGACCTTGAAAGGGATAGGGATTCTCTACAGAATGTAGATTTTCCCCACAAAAAACAGCTTTGCAGAGCGACTTCAAAATATGTGAAAGAAACCTGTTTTGCAGTAAAATATGTGTTTCCTTCCGGGCCTGCTGTCATGCTGGTATCTTACTGCCACAGAGTCTGTTGTCAGTCTTCAAGTCTCTGTGTCGATGTTACACTGCTTAGCTGTGCCTGAAACCTGAAGGGAGGAGGGATAATGAGGCCTGACTCCCACTTCCTATCACGGCCTGAAATAGTTTTTCAGGTTAAGTTTGGAATGCCCTTGGTGGAGAGGAGGGGTCCATTCAGATGGCTGGGGGGTTAGAGTTTTATTTTTGGTTTCCAGGAGACAGTAGTTGGGGTGTCCCCAGCGGGAAGGAGAAGGAGGCTGTCTGGAAGGAGGAGAACCAAGAATGCACAAAGGCCTGGCAGTGGGCAGTCAGCGTTAGGGAAGAAGGTGAAGGAGCAGAGAAAAGGGGGAAGGGCCACGGCAGGTGGGGACCCAACCCAACATGAGTGACAACCAGCCCGCCCTACCAAGTCATCCTGAGGGGCCCAGGGTTCCACTTGGCTCCTGTGAGAAAGGGGTGCTCACTCCCTCTAGGTGGATGAGGCCAAAGTCAAATCCAAGGCTAGGATAGTCATGTGACTCCTACTCCCCTAGGGCATAGCCCGGAACAAGTGCTGGACACAGAGCCTGGCACAGCAGAGGGGCTCCACTGCCAGAAAAAACAATGGCCACACTCTCCAGTGCTGCCCCTGCTGCTTGTACTGTCCTCAGAGCAGCCACCAGTGCTCAGGGTGGCATCCAGTCCCCGCCTTTAGCCCCCAGCCCCAGATCTGCCCTGGGAGCCCAGCCAGGGGCAGAAAAAAAACTAGTTCATTGAGTGCCAGGGAGCCCTGCCCAAGGACATGGCGTGCAAGATGTTCCACCAACTCTCCTCAGCCATTAAATACTGCCACGACCTGGACATCATGCACCAGAACCTCAAGTGTTAGAACCTTCTCCTCGACAAGGACTTCAACATCAAGCTGTTCTACTTCAGGTTCTCCAAGCTCTGCCTGCGGGATGACAGTGGCCAACAGAGATTAAGCAAGAACTTCTGCGGGTTGGTGGCATATGCAGCCCCCGAGCTGCTGCAGGGCATCCCCTACCAGCCCATGGTGTATGACATCTGGAGCCTGGGCATGATCCTCTACATCATGGTCTGCAGCTCCATGCCTTACGACTCCAACATCAGGAAGATGCTGCGTATCCAGAAGGAGCACCGCGTGGACTTCCCACACTCCAAGAACCTGACAGACGAGTGCAAGGACCTCATCTACTGCATGCTGCAGCCCGACGTCAGCCAGCGGCTGCACATCCATGACACCCTCAGCCAATGCTGGGTGCAGCCCAAGGCACAGGGACTGCCCTCTATGGTCTTCAACAAGGAGGGGGAAAGCTCCCAGGGAACTGAACTCTTGTGGACCCCTGAACCTGGCTCTGCCAAGAGGTCTGCCACCAAGCTGGAGCCTGGGGAACAGACACAGCCCGAGGGACAGCCTGAGACAAAACCTGAGGGGTTGGCAATGCAAATGTCCAGGCAGTCGGACATCCTAGGCTTCCCCAGCAAGCCGTCGACCAGGGAGAAAGAGGAAGGGCCCCCCAGCAGCCTCCAGAGATGCGCACCTAGTGAGCCGTTTGTGGCCCAGTGTGCCAGCGGCGAATGAGATGGAGCTCACGCCTTCAGGCCCAAGCTCTGAAGAAGTCAAGGCACAAACCAGAGAAGGAAGACGGTCCCGGATGAGCCGCTGTTTTCATCAATTTCTTCTCTCTCCCCTTGAACTTCATAACCGACATTGCTAAAGGAGCAATAAATCACTATATTAATGCAGATGCCAAAGTGAATGTCTTTGCCTCAACTGACTAGTCCTGGGCTCCCCTCCACTGGTTTCCCACTCAGATTGTGCAATGATTCCTCGTTTGCTTGGGAAAACACATCCCAACGTGCCCAGTCCAGACCATGACCTCAGGCCCAGGCTGGGGCTGGGGCTTGGGCTGGGGCTGGGAGAGACCTGGAGGGGCAGGGGCCAGAGCTGAAAGGTGAGTGAGGAAGCCGCTGCCTCAGAAGGGACGCCCCCAAGTGCGGTGCTGGGGTCGGGAAAGGGCAGGGAGAGGACAGGACCAAGAAGCATGCCGAGGTACCCCTGTAGAGGAGCGCAGGCTTTATCTGCAGTTGGGACTGAGGGTCTGGGCAGACCTCTCCAGCCCCACAAGGCTGCCAGTGGGGGTTGTGGGAGGCTGCAGAGGGCAGGTGGCCAGCCTCTCAGCCACTCCTGAGCTCCCTACCCTGCTGGGCAACTCGTTCATTGTGCTCTGTCCATCAGAGGCCCCCTGTGTCCAGCCAGCACCCAGCTTTCAACAGTGCCGGGGTCGCCGCACCCTGTGGTCATTCTCTAGCCCGGGAGAAATAGGAGGCTCTGCTGGATGGCCCAGCCACACTCCAGCCTGAGCATGTCCCACAGTCTTGTGTGGTCTTGACCACATCTTGTTGTCCCCGTCCCAGCCTGTCCCAAGGGACGACACCCCTGCATTAGAAGTTGACACTGGCAAGTAGGATACGACAGGCAACCACAAAGGACAAGCGCTTTCAGAATTACCTCTCCCATGGCCTCTAAGTGGATGGGGCCAAAGTCAAACCCAAGGCTAGGACTGTCATGCGACTCCCACTCCCCCAGGGCGGGGCCTGAAGCAGGTGCTGGACACAGAGAATGTCAGAGCAGAGGAGCTCCACTGCCAGCAACATCGATGATCACTGTCCACAGTCTACCTATGGTCACTTCTCTACCTCGGGAAGACCCCAACCTCAGTCCCCTTGGAGAAGTAGGGTCTAGTGAGAGCCTGGACTGGCCCTCCTTGCGCTCTTCCCCAAGTCCACCTGCCTCCTCATGTTCTCACAGCCCCCTTCCACGTGGTTTAATTTCAGGCCTCCACCCCAACCCTCCCACCACCTCCGACAGTGTCCAGAGCCATCCCCCACCAGCCTGGCTCCCACTGCCCAGTGGGGAGGAACCTACCCTGGCCTCTGGGGTCCTCCTGTGGCCCAGTGCATCCTCCCCTGGCCTCTGGGCACCAGGCCTCACCACTGCGCCCCCATCACACACACGGCCCATAATCATACAGGGAACTCGCCCCTGCAGACTCTGTCCAGCTCTCCAGGCTCAGCTGAGAGGCTGAGGCCTCCATAAAGCCTTCTAGGGGTTCTCAGCAGCCTGCCACTGTGTACTCTGCCAACAGGCCTCAAGGAGCCACCCTATTTTTCCCACCAAGAAACTCATGGTGGAGAGGGAGCCCAGAGTGCTGGGATGGGGGCCCGGGTGGGACATCCTGAGAAATGGCTCTTGGGGCCTCCTCCTCAATTATCCCCACGGACCTGCGCTGGTCCTCAGGGCAGTGGCTGGCAAGCAGGTCTGGGAGCCTCACTGTAGCTCAGCCAGGTAAGCCCGGGTGGGAGGGGCTGCAGGAGGAGTTCCTGCTCTGAGCTTTACAGCTGGAAACAGCTCAGAGGGAGTGGGCCACCTGTCTGAGATCACACTGCCCAGGGCAGGAGTCCCAGGTGACGCCTCCACAGGTGGCCTCGCCATGCCGGGCGACTCCTGTAGGTGGCTCAGCCCTGGCTCAGACCCCTTCAAGGATTCTCAAAGGTGCTAGGACCAGGACCTCAACAGGGCCCTCCATGGCCTGTCCGTGCTCCTGCCAAGCCACATCCCTTCAAACCGTCACATGTAATAGCTATCCTCATCCCTCTCCACCTGGCTAGTTCCTCAGACCTCAGCCTTCCCCAGCTTCCCAAAGTCCAATCCCCAGTTCCCTGTCCTCACAGCACCATGGTTCTGATGCGTGGCACAGCCACCATCGCGCACACACACTTGGTGTGATTGAGCCTCCCTCGCCTCTGGGCTCCAGGACGGCATGGGTGGTCTAGCTCATCAGTGTACCTCGGCATCCAGGGCAGACCCTCAGTGCTTGGGGGACAAATAGGTAAAAAGGTGTCTACTTTATAAAGGATAGGAAGGTTCAGAGAGAAGTGGATTTCTCAGAGTGTGCAGGTACCTTGCTCACAGGACTGCAACCCTAGGAGCAACGCTGGAGGTCTCCAAGTCGAATCCAAAGCTCTCTGTCAAACATACCAGGAGTGCCGGCCCTGTGTGTGCATCCTGGATGAAGCGGCCCGCTCCATGCCCGGGCAGTTCTGCCTCTGCAATGTTGACACCTGCCTCTTCTGGCATGTCCCCCAAGAACCAGAGAGACCCTCAGGAGGTGAAGAAGTAGAATGCACAAAAAGAGGGAGAAGGCATTGGTAGAGTCTGGGAAGAAGGCAGATATGCAGCCAGGGCACGGTGGCTCATGCCTGTAATCCCAGCACTTTGGGAGGCCGAAGCAGGCAGATCACTTGAGGCCAGGAGTTCGAGACCAACCTGGGCAACATGGTGAAATCCCATCTCTCCTAAAAATACAAAAATTAGCTGGGCGTTGTGGTGCTTGCCTGTAATTCCAGCTGCTCGAGAGGCTGAGGCATGAGAATTGCTTGAACCTGGGAGGTGGAGGTTGCAGTGAGCCGACATGGTGCCAGAGCATGACTCCATCGAAAAGGAAGGGGAGGGGAGGGGAGGGGAGGGGAGGGGAGGGGAGGAAGCAGATATGCAGAGAAGTGTCCCAGATAGGGCATTTGGGGGAGCAAAGGAAAGGGTCAGGGGGTGGTAAGTGGGAGGTCTCATGCTCCTGGGTCCTGGCCTGCAAATTTTCATAGCCAGCCCCTTCTAGGACAAAAAGGAGTGAAGTGTTGGTCATTTCAGCCGTAGAGGCTCCCAGGAAAAAGGAAAGCATCAAACTAAAGCTATTAACCACCGATGCTATAAAGAGCTTCGGGTGGGACTCTGGGAGGCTGTCACTGCTGGAAGGCAGTCACTGTAGGCACGTCGGCCCACCCTGCCCATCTGAGCCTCTCAGCTTAGCATCCTGACTTTGGCTGCCCTGTTTCTGCAATCCTCCCTAGTGACCTCCAAACACAGGGTGCTCCCTGTGTACTCCAGATGGAGTGGGTCCACACAGCCATGCCAGGGCCAAGATGTCACATCTGTCTGACATGTCCTGCCCCTCTTGTCAACCCTGTGGAGTCTGCTGATCCCCAGCACCCCAGCTCCAACATCACTTCCTCTTTGAAACCTTCCAGGACTAAACCCCACCTGGGAACAGGCCTTCCTCCCTCTCCCCTAAACACTGAACACACAGCTCATCTGTCCCAGCTGCTCCCTGTGAATCCAGGATGCCTGTGATGGATGACAAATGAACATCAGTCCAACGCACCTGAGGAGACATGTACAGGATGCCACATTTCCCAAAGCACAAATCCACACACCAGCACTGAAACAGGATGTTCACACTGCAGGTGCAAAAGGCAGCCCGAGACGTAAATGCTACCCAATGTCAGGGTTCCAACAGGCGACTGCTGCTCACTCCACACAAAGGCCCAAACTGATGTGATTCAGAACCCCCTCCTCACCCAGGTGCCTGGTCTTTGCAGTGCATGGCCTGGGCGCTCTCAGCCCCAGGATTCCCCAGCACCAAGGCCCATCCACTCACAGTCTAGCAAACAAGACTAAGACCTGACCTTCTCTGTCTCCTGCTGATCCTGAGGCCCACCCTGGCCCAGCCTCTTCTCATTTGGTCAAAGGCACTGGCCCCCACTCTCACCTCAAAGCCAATTCTACTCTTTCTGTCTCTCTCTCTCTGCCACTGACCATCTTAAAACACAACTGGGACGGCCCTCCTCCTGTCTTGCACCTGCAGGGGCAGGCTGCCGCTTAGAGAAAAAGCCGAGACTCCTTCACTTCCCTCCTACTTCCAGTCACTTTCAGAAAAAGCCCTCTCTTCTCCCAGGCTCTCTGCTGCCTGGGTGCCTTCCTGCCGCCTCTACCCAAGGGAGGCCCTGCCCCACCCCTCAGACATGCAGCCACCTGCCCTGGACCCTGGGCACCCAGCTGGCATGCACTGCAGCCCCGACCCACCCATACACAGGCCCTTGCTCGCTGGAGCAGCAGCGACTCACCTGCCCGGCTCTCTACCCTGAGGGGCCTGCCGCCTCTGCTCCCAAACACAGAGCTGCTTTCGTCTACCAGGCTTGGCACCACTGCCAGCCTGACTGGTCCAGGGCAGTCCCTCCCAGGTACCACTGTTCCCAGAACCAAGCCAGGTCCAGCTGCATTTTCTTGAGGCCCAATAACGAGAAGCAGACAAACTAGGAAAGAAGGGAGTTTATCACTGTAACTGGATACAGGGAGAAGGCTGGAGATAATTCCAGCAGACCAACTCAAAGTGCTACAATTTTCTTACTGTTTATATAGGTTGGGGTTATGTGCCTACATGCAGTACAGCAATCACCTAAGTCTACTGGTAACTAATTTTGTTCCAAGGAGAAGGTCAGAGGCAAAAAAAATGCTTGCTAAGTCCGATTAAAAGGGGCCCAGTGCCTTCAAGGCCTGTCTACTGTGGTACCGGAGTGATTATTTCGATTGTATCTCCTTTACAGCTTGGTCCAGAGAGCTGCCTTAGACTATCCAATTGATCTATTCAAACAGCTGCCTGTTCCCTTAACTTGTCTTCAGATTTTGTCGACCCGAGATGGGTCCTGGCACTAGGAATGTAAAACCGTTCCTATTATTTTGGCTTGCTCCAGCAAAAGAGAAGCCCATGCAAGGCTCCTGCTGACCATGTTTCATTTCTAGCTTTGATGTCTGGGCACTGATTTCCCTAGATTTAACTATGTGCTCAATGGTAAGGCAGTGCTGTGGAAATCTGTCTGTGTAACTGGGGTGCTATGCAGGCCTGTCTGGGTGACTGTCAGGGACAACTGTCCTACCACACCAAGGACACAGCCCTGGGGGTGCTTTTCTTCATAGCCAAAGAAGCTGCAGGAAACCCACCCTAGTGGGACAAAGACCAATGCAGGGTCAGTCCCCACAGCCAGGTGATGCAAACAGGCTGGACGTGGGCCGCCTCCCCTCCAGCTTGACTTGTGACAGGGAAACCAATGCAGCAGCAGCAGGGCCACCAGAGTCCTGTCCTGGGGACAGGCTTCCTTCCAGCGGGCGGGGAGTGGGTGCTCCTGCCAGACCAGCCTGGCTTCCACGGTTCCAGAGACCCTGTTCTCCCTCAGCCCAGTCCCCGCCCCCACTCCTTGGCTTTATGAGTTCATTGGCTGAAGTCACCCGGAGACAATGCTGAGTGTTCCACCCCTGAGTCGAAGCCCAGCCCAGGGCAGCCCAGCCAGACGCCTCCGGTAGTGTAAATGAGGACAATGCCTGCTGGCCCACATGACGGGGGGATGTAGACGGCAGCGGCGCCAGTCGCTCCTGGCACCATGGACGATGCCACAGTCCTAAGGAAGAAGGGTTACATCGTAGGCATCAATCTTGGCAAGGGTTCCTACGCAAAAGTCAAATCTGCCTACTCTGAGCGCCTCAAGTTCAATGTGGCTGTCAAGATCATCGACCGCAAGAAAACACCTACTGACTTTGTGGAGAGATTCCTTCCTCGGGAGATGGACATCCTGGCAACTGTCAACCACGGCTCCATCATCAAGACTTACGAGATCTTTGAGACCTCTGACGGACGGATCTACATCATCATGGAGCTTGGCGTCCAGGGCGACCTCCTCGAGTTCATCAAGTGCCAGGGAGCCCTGCATGAGGACGTGGCACGCAAGATGTTCCGACAGCTCTCCTCCGCCGTCAAGTACTGCCACGACCTGGACATCGTCCACCGGGACCTCAAGTGCGAGAACCTTCTCCTCGACAAGGACTTCAACATCAAGCTGTCTGACTTTGGCTTCTCCAAGCGCTGCCTGCGGGACAGCAATGGGCGCATCATCCTCAGCAAGACCTTCTGCGGGTCGGCAGCATATGCAGCCCCCGAGGTGCTGCAGAGCATCCCCTACCAGCCCAAGGTGTATGACATCTGGAGCCTGGGCGTGATCCTGTACATCATGGTCTGCGGCTCCATGCCCTATGACGACTCCGACATCAGGAAGATGCTGCGTATCCAGAAGGAGCACCGTGTGGACTTCCCGCGCTCCAAGAACCTGACCTGCGAGTGCAAGGACCTCATCTACCGCATGCTGCAGCCCGACGTCAGCCAGCGGCTCCACATCGATGAGATCCTCAGCCACTCGTGGCTGCAGCCCCCCAAGCCCAAAGCCACGTCTTCTGCCTCCTTCAAGAGGGAGGGGGAGGGCAAGTACCGCGCTGAGTGCAAACTGGACACCAAGACAGGCTTGAGGCCCGACCACCGGCCCGACCACAAGCTTGGAGCCAAAACCCAGCACCGGCTGCTGGTGGTGCCCGAGAACGAGAACAGGATGGAGGACAGGCTGGCCGAGACCTCCAGGGCCAAAGACCATCACATCTCCGGAGCTGAGGTGGGGAAAGCAAGCACCTAGCATGACAATGGCCCCGTTGTGTGTGGTGGGGGTCGGGGTTGGGGGGCATGGTGCAGTCGGCCTTCACGTAAACTAAGTAGGCAGGTAGGATCTGAAGAAGGCACAGGTGCAAGTAAAATTCGTCAATTAAACCACTATTTTGATTACGTTCCATTAGCTTTCTTCCACTTAGCAGCAAAGACGTTCCTTACTGACCACCAAATAAACCACAGGGTGTGTGCAAGCATCAAGAGTGCCCAGTGAGGAGTGTTTTTCTCTGGGACTCAGCCAACCGCCCCACCTGACACACAGTGGTCTCCGGCCTAGGAGCACAGGACAGATGCTCAGGTACAGGCAGAATCACAGTGTGGCCTGGCCTTGTGGGGGACAAGAGGGCCTCTGCCAGGGTCCACCCACCAGGCCCACACTGTCTCCCTCTGACCTGGCCTTGTCCCCAATGCCCTGGGGCTGGCCAGCTCCAGTGGTCCACGACTCCCCCTGGCTTCCTGCAGTTCAGCCCCCTCTGACCTACCCCCACTCCCTCACAATCCCTCGCTCAGCATCCTCCTCTTCCTCTATTTCCTGGAGTCATGTGAGATTTCTGTCCTCAGCCCTCAAGTTCCCTGCCCTGTCCTCCAGGGGCAGCCCCAGCTGAGACCTCCCCGTGTGCCCTCCCCACCCAGTGGCTCTTCAAGCTGCTCAGCAGCCCTTGATGATGGCACACTGGCCGGTCTTTTGTGCTTCCTGCTGGGTCACCCATTGCTCCCAAAGCATGCGGCCCACTTGCTGGCCAAGTGCTCCAGGTGGTCAGCACCTAGACATGCTCCTCCCCCCTCCCTCCCCACTTCCTGGGGGCTCCCTTGGGATAACGTGCACCCTTTCCTAGGGGATAAAGCACTGAAGGCCCCACGTCCCCCACCCCTTAAGAGTCCCAGCCTGATCTGTCCAGCAACCCACTGTTATCTGGGAGCTCCTGTTGGTGGAAGTGACCAGGTGAGGCCAGGGCCAGCAGCATAAGATGGGCAGTGCCTATAGCAGAGGGGTGAGTGGGATAGTCCCACCCCATGAGCTGGAAGCCAGGTGCTGGGAGAAGGTGATAGCTGAGATCACCTGATATGCAGCCCCCACACAGTCCTATAACCAGCGCACCTCACAGCCGGCAAGCCCAGAGTGGAGGCTGCAGACCTGGGCCCAGAACCGCAGGGGAACCTAAGGGTACAACTTCCAAGGGCTCCGTTTCTCCTTCATATCCCCCCAGAGAAGCAGAAAGCACTGCAGGATGTGAGCTCAACTCAGAACACAGGTTCCGAGTGCCGCAGAAAGCAACGCCAGTCACCCGGTGCTCCCACAGCCGCCCCACCTGCAGCTTCCTCACCTGGGGGGCCCCTCGCTTCAAGCCCCGCAGTCCTGAGACGTGATGCAGGCCCCAGGGCAAGGCTAGGGCTCGTGTGGGGAGCAAGATGGAGAGGCAACCCCCCAGACTGTACCTAGGTGTTCTTTAATGACAGTTCAAGGGGCCAATTAAACAGCAAACAGCTTGGCAAGGCCCTGGGGTGTGGTGTGGGCACGAGTGCCTTGTGCCAGTCTGGCCCCAGCACAGCCCCTTTCTCCAGTGACTCCTGGTATGGTCAACAGCTTCTGGCCCAGGCCTGGGCCCCGAGAAGGCTGGAGTCCTCTGCTGGGTGTACAGCTGCCCTGCAGGCTCTGTGAAGCGTCTATGAGCCCAGCCCAGGCCTGGCTCTAAAAGAAGTCCGAAGCTTTGCGCCGGGCAGGGAGCTGCAGCAGGTTGTCCGTGATGGAGGCCGGGTCCTGTGTGAGAGGGGTGCGTGTGGCAGAGCCAGGCGCCGGTGTGCTTGTGGGGGTCTGCAGCCCACTGGCCGGGGTCTTGAGGTGGGTGGAGCGTGCTGGGGATGGTGTGTAGCTGGCCCGCAGGGCCCGGTCTGTGTACTTGCTGGCCGTCCTGCTCACAAGGCGCTGTAGGGCTGGCGACATGGCTGGGCTCAGGCCTTTGGGGGTGAGGCTGGGGTGGAGGAATGGGTGAGAGAGGCAGGGTTAGGTGGGCTGAGAGCTGCCGGCAGCAGGGCCTCCCTTGGCTCCCAGGAAGAGCCTGGGCAGAGACACAGTCACTCTGAGCTGAGGAGGATGGTACTGCCAGCATGGCAGCAAATGCGGGGGATCCCTGAGGTCAAACAGCAGCGCTCAGGTCAAACCTGAGGTCAAACAGCAGCACCGCCCTTGGCTGTGGGGGCTGGGGTGCACCCCCAGGCCTCTGAGAGTTGGAGTCCCCACCCCTCTCCAAGGGGAACGATGACTCTCTCCACAGGGCTGATGAAAGCTCCCAGCAGGACCACACGCCTAAAGATGCCTCTTAGGGACGGGTCAAAGAGGACGTGGAGGAAAGAGAAGATGGAGGGGGCCTCTCATCCTGTCCATGTGCGGCCATGCTCTGGATAGAGGAGCTGCCACAGTACCCACTGCAGAACCCCGCGGACCTGCCCTGGACTCTGCCGCGTGGGCCATGCCTCCACACGGTCAGGGCAGGGGCCGAACAGGAGCAGGCCAGAGCCACCCTCGCACTTCCCCACCAGCCAGGCGGCCCCTCACCTGGCCAGATTCTCCGTCACTCTCCGCAAGGCTTCCTGCTTCTTGGCCCGGTTCTTGGCAGCGGCCTCGTTGGCCATCTTCAGACCCAGCCGCTCCCTGCGGCCTGGCTCCAGGATCTACAAGGTAGCAGGTGTGTGGGTAGCTGCGCCAGGCCTGCCACACGCCAGGCAGCCCCTCACACAGAAAGCCACTGTGGTGGGTGCCAGCCTCTCTTTGTTGCCTACAAAACCCCCACAACCCATCACCTCCCACTAAAAGCCCCTGGAAAGCCCCAAACCCCACCTGACCTGCCCAAGGCGCAGCACTCCTCACCTGTCTTCGTGTTCCTCCCAAAACCATGACCTCTGACAATCTCTCAGGAAAAAGCAGTCTGTTTTAGTGTTTCCCTGATTATCAGAGTGAACATCTCTGTCTTTATCGGCGCTCTGTATTTCGGGCGCTTCCCCGTGTGCCTGTGGCCTATTTTGCTCTCAAGGGGCTCATTTTCCTTTTCTGCTGCTGTTACTCAGAAGACCCTTGCCAAGACCTTGTGTCAAGTCAACTGTGCTACGCTGTGCACATGTTTTTTCACTCATTTACATTTGTTTCATTTATAACATTTTCTGCTGTATTTGTTATTTTCATTTGTGATTTCTTCCTTTGCTTTTATGTTTAGAAAGTCCCTCCTAACTTAAGATTAGACTACAGGCTGGGAGTGGTGGCTCACACCTGGAACCTCAGCACTTTGGGAGGCCAAGGTGGGAGGATCACTTGAGCTCAGGCATTGGAGACCAGCCTGAGCAAAATGACAAGACCTCATTTCTACACACACACACACAAAATTAGCTGGGCATGGTGGTGTATGCTGTTAGTCCCAGCTACACAGGAGGCTGAGGCTGGAAGGTCATTTGAGCCCAGGAGCTCAATGTTACAATCAGCTATGATTGCACCACTGTTCTCCAGCCTGGGCAACAGAGTGAAACCCTATCTGTTAAAAAAAAAAAAAAAAAAAAAAAAGAGGCGAGGCACAGTGGCTCACGCCTGTAATCCCAGCACTTTGGGAGGCTGAGGTGGGTGGATCACGAGGTCAGGAGTTCGAAACCAGTCTGGCCAAGGAGTTCGAGACCAGTCTGGCCAACATGGTGAAACCCCATCTCTACTAAAAATACAAAAATAAGCCGGGCGTGGTGGCACGCGCCTGTAGTCCCAGTTACTTGGGAGGTTGAGGCAGGAGAATCACTTGAACCCAAAAATCAAACTAAATATTCGCCACTATTTTCTAGTCCCAGTTACTTGGGAGGTTGAGGCAGGAGAATCACTTGAACCCAAAAATCAAACTAAATATTCGCCACTATTTTCTTCTGGTTGTTTTATGGTTATTGTTTTTACATGTAACCTTTTCACCTTTCCACAATGTATGCTGCTACACATCCTGAGGACCCAGCTCCCTTCATTTCTAAATACTCTGCTATTCAGTGCAATCTGAGTTGCCATCTTTATCGGGCCCCAAATTCTGACTTGGATCATGGTTTGTTTCAGAATTTATCTGTTTACTGTTGGCCTGGAGACTCGGGAAGCAGTGGCAGGCATACCTCAGAAGCACCTCAGCCCTTGCCTTGCGCTCTCACATTGGACAGCACGGCATCCTCTTCATTATCCCTCTCGCACGTTTGCCTTGGTTATCCTTGTGTCCCAGACAATTTAGAACCAAGGTAACCAGAACCTCTCCCCATGTTTTGTCTGGACATGGGTTACCTGTACTAAGTATTCTGGGGAAAGGCCCGCAGTGGTATGGGGAGGCCTGTTGTATCTGACCCAGCCCACGAAGAGCCTCCCCTGGTCTGTGCCGGGCCTCACACACTCCACCCTGACCACTCCTACAACACCAGGCTTGAGCCGTGTAATCCAGCGTGTCCCAATCGTGTTCTGTAACCAGGGGCCTTCTCTACAAGCACACAGCCTCGTCCTATGGCCCTCAGGCCTGCAGAGCTCCTCACGTGTCTGTGACCATCCTGCCTCATTCATGAACAGCACCCGGCCTCCAGGATCCAGAGGGCCCAAGCCACTCCCTGCCTTGGTGTCTCAGCCCTTACACCCCCAAATCCCTCTGTGACAGGTCCACCCACCCACACCTGCCTTCAGCACCCTGGCATTCAGAAAAGCCAGCACTCTGCCCGTCAGCAGCTGGGGGCCGATCCCAGTGCTCAGTCCTGAGCCACAGGCACTCAGGGCTCCAGAGGTGTCCACCCCGGTCGCACACAGTTCCCCCATCACCACAACCCACCTTAAAAGCTGGGCCGGGTGTCCTGTCCACGTAGGGCGTTTCCGACCCTTCAACTCTCAAGGGTGTGTTCTCAACCTCCCCCCAGGTCATCATCGGGGACTCGTTCACACCTGCAGACAAAGAGCCCAAAACCACCTCAGGCCAGAGGACTCCCCACCACCCTCCCCTCCAGTCACAGCTTGTTCACCCAATGTGCATCCCAGCTAATACGAAGGCAGGCAGCTAGCCCTCTCTCCTTCCCCAGGACTCTGGAACCCTGGCACCTCCATCCTCCGAAAGGGAAATGCCAAGCTCCCAGCAGGCCCGAGGCAGGCTCAAGGCCCTACAGCCATGTGCTTAGCCTACAAGCCTCTGGGAGGTCTCCCCCAGCCACGCAGGAGGAGACACTCAGGCCTTCCAGGGCTCCCAAACCTCCTAGAACCCCAGGCAAACCTGTGGTGCCTTCACATGCCCTGGCGTGTGACACAGCACCAGCACCCAAGAGCACAGAGGCCAGAGTGCAGAGGGACACCCACGCATGCCACAAGACCACCTGAGTTTCACCTCCACTGAGGTGCTGGGCCTCCCTCCCTGCAGTGCTAGGTAGACTTAGACTCATAAGCACTGTGCACACACCCCCACCCACTGACATCACAGTAAGGACCAGGACAGGACACGTCATCCCAGGATGTCTCAGGCCAGGTCTGCCTGAGAGTCCAGCCCACCCACGGCCCCAAGCAGCCTGGACACCTGGCCTCTAGGGCCTTGTACAGACAGGAGACCAGGTCCCTGAGTTACACAAGGTGTGGGGCAGGCCAGGTAGAGGCCAGGAGTGGCCAGGGCCGACTGAGAAGCCCACCTCCCCCAGGGAGTCCCAGCAGTAGACCCACTTGCCAGTGGGCACTTTTCTCACCAGGGGCAGGGGAAGGAGTGGCAACAAATCCAAATCCACCCACTCGAGGGGACTCCTGGGGGATCAGCTCCTTGCCATCGGGGCCCACCTTGCCCTGTTTGTGCTGGAACAAGCAGAGAGGCTGGCATCAGGGGGACCGCAGCCCACGCTCGACAGCTGGCCGGTGGGCAAACACGTGGGAACATGCTGGAAACACTTCCTCTCCTCAGGGCAAGGCTGGGGCTCTGGGGTTGGCAGCCTTCTTGGAGAAAGAGAGGGAGGGCCCCTGCCCCAACCCCCCAAAAGACCTTGAGGGCCTGTCAAAGTGGGTACCCAAGCAAGGAAAGCCCCCTCCTCCCATCCAGGGAGGTGCCAGGGCCTCCACTCGAGCTGCGCCTATCCCAGCAACTCCAGAGGATGCTGACGCCAGGCCCCTGCAGGGGGCAATGCTGATGACAGGCAATGCTGATGACAGGCAATGCTTATGCTCTAGTCTCTTCCTGCCTTCCCCACTTCAACCCTGTGACTGCCACAGTCACCATCAGAGAGTATCTACTCGTCTTGCTCCCAGACTCAGAAAGCCTCTGCTCTCTGCCAACCCAGGGCCTGTCCCACCCCAGCCACCCCCTGGGGCTGGGCTCCCTCTGCGGCTCTCTGGCTTCCCTGCCCGGTGTGTGGGCGTGCAGCTGCCAGCCTGGGCTCACTCCCAGCAGTCCCTTTTCTCTCCTGCCCCTGCCATCAAGGGAGCTGGCACAGATCTGGACCTACAGAACGTGTGTGACCAAGGCAGTGTTCAATGGAAGCCCACTGGGGCCAAGGAAAGACTCAGGATCCTGCCGCACAGGGCCCCAGATGGTTCCACTCACTGAGCTCTGCCAAGCTCAAAGAGATGGGAGAGATCATGCCTGCCCCCAGGCAGCCCTGTCCAACCTGGCCCATGCGGCCCTGCTGACCCGCCTGCTCACCTGGGCATTGAGGGCGGCTGCCTGCTGGAGCTGGCACCTGCTCAGGGCTTGGCTGAAGGGGTCCCTAAGGAAGCGCGTGTTCTTATGTACCACCTGCCGGGGCTTCTTAAACAGCTGCTCCTCGTCAGGGACACCTGGCAGACGAAGCAAAGGTAGCAGCAGGTGTCAGAAGGGCAGCAGCCTAAGGAGCATGAGGAGCTCGCTTCTCGGCCAAGTCACTCCCAGATGAACAAAAGCATTGAGCAGAACGCAGGCCCCAGTGCCGCTGGAGAGGGTCTCACTCACTGCTGACCTCACACAGACCTGTCCACCCTTAGACAGACCAGTACCCATCAGAAGCCCAAACTGCAAGGGGGCACGGCCATACACACCTGGAAGGCTGCTCCAAACACAGCCAGACACACACAGCTCTACCCAACACCTCCCCATTTGGCTGCGAGGCCCGCCACTTACCCTCTGGATAGTACATGAGGGAATTCTTGGCCTTGTACTTCCAGGTCTCCACACTGGCCTGGCTGCTCTCGATGGCCTGGTGCTCTGCTGACGGGAGTTCGAGATTATCTTTCTGCCTCTGCAATCACATGGGGAAAAGTGATGGTCAGAGATGCCCCTGGGCATTGTACCCATGGCCCTGGGGCTCCCCAACCACCACAGAGGGTGCCTACGCCTATGTGACACCCCAGACCCCAGAGACACCTTCTCAAACTCTTCCTCAGCCTGGTAGAGCCAAGCGTGGCGTGCCCGGCTTCTCTCCTTGGCCACCTCCATGATCTCCTGGAAGGAGGCATTGTCCTCACTCGTGTAGCGGCTCAGGAAGACATCTAGGCTGGGCAGCGGCTCCTTCTCCTCCTCCTCTCCAGCCTCTCCTGCTTAGGGGTTGCGGGAGGAGGAACACAGCACCCTTTGCAGTCAGGAAAGAGGAGGACACCCAGGCCCAGGAATCATAGCCCCCAACATGCAGGGCTGGAATCCTCTCCCCTGGTCCTGGCTTCTGCCCATGAAAGCCCACACTGCCAAGGACTCCCCACGGGGGCAGAATCCACCCACCCTGACTGCCCAGAGAGCCCTCAGGTGGTACCCTACAGATTCAGGGCCAGCTCTGCTCATGTGCTGGATGCCAAGGGAATTACGTGGTCTGATTCAGACTGGAGAAAGCAATACAGGTGTTAGAGCAAGAGCTCGTGATCACAGGCAGGCTCCTCCCCCACCAAAGTGGTGCCAGGCCTGTGGGTGCCAGGCCTCCAAATCCCTGGGGCTCTCCCTCACTCCCTAGGATTTCCTTACCTTACCCACTCTTCTCTTCCTGGTACCTGTACTACAGGTGGGTGGTCATCGCCTAATCATCCTGACCTGAGAGCGAGCCCCAATTCCAGGGATCTCATATGACTTAGTCCTCTGGATGGGGCCTCACAGGTGCTAAGCCACAACCCCAAACACCCCCCCCTCCGACCAACCCTGCCACCATGGAAAGTGGTACTCCCACTGAGGTGGTGCCCTGGTGCTGCGTGTGGTGGTGCAAACTTCGGTGGGGCCACCTGGAGAGCTCTGCCTTCAAGTCTAGTGACAGTCCTGACCACCTGCTACACGTGAGGCTATGCACAAGGCACAGTGGCTACAAGCTCAAGACCCACGGGATGAGGACAGGGGTCAGAAACTCTATTCATCTCAGAGAGATAAGAAGTGAAACCCTGACCATCTCTGAGACCTGCAGAAGTGACTGCCTTTCTGAGCCTCAGTTTCCTCACCTGTAAACATGATGATGGTTCCTACCACTTAGGTTCTGAAAAGGATTCCTATATTTACTGGCATGTAGGTGTACAGGTATTGAAAATCTGCAAACTGGCTAGGCATGATGGCTCACACTTGTAATCCTAGCACTTCGGGAGGCCAAGGTGGGAGGATCACTTGAGCTCAGAAGTTTAAAACCAGCCTGGGCAACATAATGAAACCTCATCTCTATAGGAAAAAAAAAAAAAAGGAGAAGAAAAAAATCTACAAATTGCCCTGTGATGCACAAGCTACATTTCAACAGATAATCAAGCTTCAAGGACAACAAGGACTGTGTTAATGGCCGAAAAAGCTGGATTGTAAAGCAAAAAGTATCATGTTTGCATGTTTGTGCAAACACACAACACATCTGTGCTACTCCAGCACAGTGGAGTCTACAAACTGATAAGAAAGAGTGTCTCGTTTGTCTATACATGCACTGACATTCTACTACTGATGAAAAGAGGGCCTGACAACGCAGAAGTCCCATGGCGTGCAGAACACTTGCATTCAACAGGACTCGGAGTGCCCTTTCCTAAACCGACTCCCCCATCAAGTCACGATGTTACCATATAGAGCTGTGTGTCCCAGCAAACATGCTGAAGATGACAACTCTTTCATCTGTTCCATGTGTATCTGTGCAAGGCCCACAACACCACATGTGCTGTTCCCAACACGGAGCATACAGATGAAAGCAAAACAAAGCTTCTGCTCTTGTGCAAGGGATGCCAATTAGGGAAAGAGACCATAAACAGAAATGCCTTTAAAACGTTATGTCTTGGCCAGGCGCGGTGGCTCACACCTGTAATACCAGCACTTTGGGGGGCCGAGGCAGACAGATCACCTGAGGTCAGGAGTTCAAGACTAGCCGGGACAACATGGCAAAACCTCGTCTCTACTACAAAATACAAAAATTAGCCAGGAGTGGTGGCAGGCGCCTGTAATCCCAGCTATTTGGGAGGCTAAGGCAGGGAGAATTGCTTGAACCTGGGAGGTGGAGGTTGCAGTGAGCCGGGATCACACCATTTTACTCCAGCCTGGGTGACAGAGCGAGACTCTGTGTCAAAAAATTAAAAATAAAATGAAATTAAATAAAATAAAATGTCTTGTGATGAAAAACCAAAGCCAGGCTGGAAGCCACAGAGCACCAGTGGTGTTGTGACTTCACACTGGCAGGTCAAGAAAAGTTTCTCTGAACAGGTAACACCTATGCAGAGATCTACAGGAAGAAACACAGTGAGCCATGCAGTTATCTGGGAAGTGACCAACATGAAGGAAACAAATGGAGAGGCCCTGAGGCATCTTCAGGATAGTAACAAAAGGGGCCTTCCAACATCCATGAAGCCCACAGGGCAGGGCTGGAACACAGCAGAAAAGCCAGCAAGAGCTGGTGAGAGTCCCATTTCACAGAGGCGAGCCATGTGTGGGAGCTGGACCCAGATGTTCTACCACCTAGACCAATGTCCTTTGACTTCACAGGCTGCTATTTACGCAAGACCCCTCAGGAACAAGATGTGGCCTGCAGCCCTCTGGACCACCCCCTCAGGGCCTCACAGGCTAAGATTCCCAGGCAATCCTGACCATGTGACTTAAAGAGGGCACCCTCACTCACCATCCTCCAGGCCTCGGCCGCGGGGCCTGGGCTTGTTGCCCACCACTCCAGTGCCTGCATGCACCTCAGGGGTTTCAAATGTGGCTGGAGTCACATCTAGGGGAAGAGAGGGGGATAAGAATTAGAGTGAGCCTGAAGCGACAGTTCAGCAGGCTTTCCCCTCTCCGCCACCCACAGGGTCCTCATACAGGGTGGCGGGGGCTCCCGGGACATCTTGCCCAAGGCAGAGCCAAACTTGATGGCAATCTGGCGCATCCGTTCCAAGTCTCCATTCTCCTCGGCTTCCAGGTACTCCTTCTGTGCCTGGAGCTTCTCCACATCAGGAAAGAAATCCCTTTGGATGACCGTCTGGAGGCCCTGCAAGGAGAGATCAGAATGAAAGTCAGAGGCCAGGCGCGGTGGCTCACACCTGTAATCCCAACACTTTGGGAGGCCAAGGGAGGTGGATCATGAGGTCAGAAGTTCAAGACCAGCCTGGCCAACATGGTGAAACCCAGTCTCTACTAGAAATACAAAAATTAGCCGGGCGTGGTGGCAGGCACCTGTAATTCCAGCTACGTGGGAGGCTGAAGCAGAAGAATCGCTTAAACTCGGGAGGCGGAGGTTGCAGTGAGCCAAGATCACACCCCTGCACTCCAGCCTGGGCGACAGAGCGAGACCGTCTCAAAAAAAAAAAAAAAAAAGAAAAAAGAAAGTCGGAGCTGCAGTCTGGGTGCTCCTGCCTCACAGGTCCACTGCTGTACATGCTAAGGAACTTGCTGAACCTCCTTCAAATTCTACTTCCCCAATGACTGGGGCTGGATTGAGGGAGCTTGAGGGCACTTTCTAGTGGGGTTGAGCATCCCATATGGTAGCCATGCTGCAACCTCTAACATTACTAAACACTCTTCTGAAGTCCGTGAAACCCTTCTCTCTCGCCCTTGCTAACTGGTCATTCTCATTCTCCATTGCTGGCTCCCCACAAGCCAGACCAATGTGGGTGTTGTCACTTTCATTCCACACATGACTTTCTATTTCCAATCTAAACCTTTCTCCTGGCGGGGCATGGTAGCTCACGCCTGTAATCCCAGCACTTTGAGAGGCCAAGGCGGGCGGATCACCTGAGGTCAGGAGTTCGAGACCAGCCTGGCCAACATGGTGAAACCCCACCACTACTAAAAATACAAAAATTAGCCGGGCGTGGTGGCGGGCACCTGTAGTCACAGCTACTCGGCAGGCTGAGGCAGGAGAATGGCTTGAACCCAGGAGGCAGAGGTTGGTTACAGTAAGCCGAGATCGCGCCACTGCACTCCAGCCTGGACGACGAGCGAGACTCCGTCTCAAAAAATAAAATAAAAATAAACCTTTTTCCTGAGTAACTTCAGCCAGTCACTACCACAAGTTGAGATTCCCAAGTCTGCACCTCCAGCCAGACCTTGCTCCCGAGCTGCATATCTGGGCACCCAACCGTCCGTTAAAGCCATCCATCTACATATCCCAAAAGGTGTCCCGAATTAAACAGGTCTAAAACCAAACTGACTTCCGCCAATCCCCGTTTCAGCTCCTCCTTCTGTGTGCGTGTGGTGGGGCGACGCAGGTCCACTCACTCGAGATGCTGTCACAACTGCGGTCTCTTTCCAGGAACCCCAGCATTCACACTTGCTGCCACCGCTCTTTAGAAAGCCCTCTTTGCCACCATCCTTCCAGTTTGTCAAACTCCTACTCACACTTTAACAGAAAATCTTCTTTCCCTGACCCCCGTCCCATACAAAGAGAGCCGCTCTCTCTTTTCCCTGACAACACTACTACAGCCTCTTCCACCACAGACGTCTTCCTCTGCCCTGTTTACTTGACTCGTGGGACCGTCCACACCCGGCTCCTCCACTTCCACGAGGAGACGGAGTGTCAACACCCGAGAGAGGGAACCTGAGAGGAGCTTGAAGCAGAGGATGGGCCCAGAAGTCGCCGGCGTCCGCACCGAGGTCGTACCTCGATATACTCTTCCTCGTCCAGGACCCGCTGCTTGCTCGTCGCAGCCCCAGCCTCTCCCGCCTCGCGCTTCCTCGGGGGCCTGGACGCGGCGGGAAGCAACAAGGACGACGCTGATGCGCCCGGCGTCTCCATCGCTATCCCAGGAAAAAGCTCGGGCCCAGCAGGCGCGTCACAGGGTGGAGGGGGCGGGACTGCACCATTTGCGCAGGCGCCTCCAATAGTTGGCCAATGGAAAAGCTGTGGCTCTAGAAAGCCAGCCCGCGCTCCGTTCTGACGTCACTATAAATGCTAGACTTTATTGGAAATGTAGTCCTTGTCCTGCCCCGCGCTATTCATGCTTGTCAATGCTGTGAACACGAGGGGGTGCTGTGGAGGTGGCGGGGAGGATGCTATAGGGCGTGTTCTTCACGCGAGAAATTCTGGCTTTGCAGCGTCCAAAGGCCTTAGAATTCTAATTTCCCACAAATAAGAACTATGTATGCTTCGAGATTATTCTACAAAAATACAAACCAGGAAATTTACTTATATAGGAGTTTCAAGCTTTATGCAAGAAAAGGGCCTTAAAACAATTTTTTTTTTGAGACGGAGTTTCGGTCTTGTTGCCCAGGCTGGAGTGCAATGGCATGATCTCGGCTCACCGGAGTTCCCGGGTTCAAGGGATTCTCCTGCCTCAGCCTCCCGAGTAGCTGGGATTACAGGCATGGGCCACCACGCCCGGCTAATTTTGCATTTTTAGTAGAGACAGGGTTTCTCTATGTTGGTCAGGCTGGTCTCTGGATTACAGGCGTGAGCCACCGCACCCGGCCAAAACAATCTTTTTTTTTTTTTTATAGTTATCTAACAAAAGGTGAAAGAACAAGACAGTGGTTCGATTAAGAAATGTCTAAAGATTATTCTGTAATCCCAGAACTTTGAGAGGCCAAGACAGGCGGATCACCTGAGGTCAGGAGTTCTAGACCAGCCTGGCCAACAAGATGAAACCCCATCTCTACTAAAAACACACAAAAAAATTAGCTGGGCATGGTGGTGGACGCCTGTAATCCCAGCTACTCGGAAGGCTGAGGCTGGAGAATTGCTTGAACCCAGGAGGCGGAGGTTGCAGTGAGCTGAGATTGCACCATTGCACTCCAGCCTGGGTAACAAGAGCAAAACTCTGTCAAAAAAAAAAAAAAGATTATTGGGCCCCCAAATGCCAGAGTGGGCTTCCCAGAAGAGGGATCATTCTCATTCAAGACCAGGCACGGTGGCTCACGCCTGTAACCTCAGCACTTTGGGAGACCCAGGCAGGTGGATCACTTGAAGTCAGGAGATTGAGACCAGCCTGGCCAACATGGTGAAACCCCAACTCTACTAAAAAAAAAAAAAAATACAAAGTGGTGGTAGGTGCCTGTAGTCCCAGCTACTTGGGAGGCTGAGGCAGGAAAATCACTCAAACCCAGGAGGTGGAAACTGCAGTGAGCAGAGATTGTGCCACTGCACTACAGCCTGGGTGACAGAGTGAAACTCTGTCAAGAAAAAAAAAAATTAATATTCAAGTGAACCAGAAAATTGCCTCGGCATTTTTAAGGAATTTCTTCCCAAACGAAAGATGTGAATTGTGTTGGACAAATAAATTCCGCCCTGGAACAATTTAATACAATTTTGCTTTTGCAACATACAGGGATACCTTCATTCACTGAAGTGCAGCGTGCTGCTGCTGCCCTTGTAGAAGTGACAGTGCAATGGGGAAGACAGAGACACTTGTTAGATCATCACACAAACAGGTGTAAAATTGCAGCTGTGTCCGTGCAAGAAAAGAGTTTGTACTTGGGGAATCTTGACCTAGTTCGGGAGGTCAGAGAAGCTTCCCCAGGCAGAAAGTGATTGCAGATTCAAAAGACGAACAAACCGGCAACAGTCAGGTGGAAAGAGCATGTGCAAAGGCCTAGTGGTGGGAGGGAGCAAGGCAAGTTCTAAAGAAGTCCTTTGGAAATGCAGAGTGCAGTGAGGTGTGAGATGATGCCAGAGAGGCAGGGCCAGGCTGCACAGGGCCTTGTAGGGTATGGTGAGGTGGTTTGTCTTCATTCTGAATTGAAGGGGCAGGCCAGGCACAGTGGCTCATGCCTATAATCCCAGCACTTTGGAAGGCCTAGGCCGGCGGATAGTTTGAGGTCAGAAGTTTGAGACCAGCCTGGCCAACATGGCAAGACCTCATCTCTACAAAAAACTTTTCAAGTTAGTCGGGTGTGGTGGTGCCCACCTGTGGTCCTAGCTACTCAGAAGGCTGATGGGGGAGGATCGCTTGAGCCCAGGAGCTGGAGGCTATAGTGAGCCATGATTGCACCACTACACTCCAGCTTGGGTGATGGAGCGAGACCTTGTCTCAAACCAACCGACAAACAAAAAAGCAGAGCCAGTGTGGTGCAGGTGGACAAGATTAGAGACAGTTGCAGTGGTCAAGGTGAGAGGTGACGGTGGCTTACATCAGACTGGTGCAGTTAGAGCTGGAGAGATTCTGGGATTTATTGATTTATTGATAAACAGTAAAACTGACTTCCTGTCAGCCTGGGTATAGTGGATGATCAGGAGAGGGAGGGGTCCAGGGACCAGTTTCGGGTGGGCGGCTAGCTCTCTGGCTCATGTGCCTGGTTTGCACAGAAGAGCTCACTGTGGACAAGGTGACCTTAAGGAGTCTGTGGGCTTCAAGGGGACAGCTGGAGATAAATACCTGGCTCAGGGGAAGTGCCTGGCTTGAGATGTAAATGTGGCAGAAAGATGGGAATTGGAGTCTGAGGGTAAAAGATAAACCGGGAAGAGGGTGAAGATGAGAAGCGAGCGCCTGGGTGTGAGCGTGAAGGATGCCTATGTTAATAGCCTGCTGTGGGGGGTCAGCCTGCCAAGGAGCAGCTAGAGCTCAAGAAGCAAATTCAGGAGAGCAACACAGCCACTGAGCCCTGGAAGGTGGCGCTCCACAAGCTCTGATCGGGGCTCCCAAAACAATGACAGATGGCCATTCAACCAAGGAACTCAAGGGGCCTGGAGCCTGTGAGATGCGAGTGTCCCCAGCTGCAAGGGAGCTGACTGGGACACGGGCATGTCCACAGGTAGTCTGTTCAGTCCCCAAGGGCAAGACCAGGGTTCAGGGAGAAGGGCTTTGTGTGCATGCTAGGGGTGGAGGCGGGGATGCTAGGGACACCCAGCAGTGTCAGGGCAGTTCTGACTGGGGACACCATGCTTGCTTGGTGTTATCCAAGCTGGCCAGCCTTGGGGTGTCTGGGGAGCTGCAGCCCTGGCTTCTGCAGTCCTGCTTTTAGAGATGGACTTCATCTCTTGCAGGTAGAATGGCCCCATTCCCTGCAGGGCCTGTAAGGAGACAGAACGAGGTGCTCAAGCCAGCTGGGGGTGGGGATGTGAGATGCTTTGGACCCACTGTAGGGCCTACTTGGGGAATCTAAGGCTTCTTTCCACTGTGCCTTTTGCCATGGGCCAGGATAAAGAAGGGGAGGGCAGGCATCTTCCCAGGCAGCAGGGGCGGGGTCTCCCCAGTCCAACCTCCTCTTGCCCTACCCTAGGATGGCACAGATTGCTGTGAGGGAGTCCGAGCCCACAGCATGAAAACCCCAGGAGGAAGCAGGGGACCCTCACCCATGGGCAGGTTCACAGTAGCCTAGAGGCCAGGGCTGGACCCCAGGGGTCCAAGGCCACCATCCGTGGAGCAGTCCCCTCTGCTGGGGAGCACCCTGGTGCAGAGACTGAGGATCGCTGAGCTGTGCTCCTCTCAAAGACAGCTGTACCCTAAATACCCCCTCGCTGGGAAGGAAGAAGAAGGGACAGCTCCTTGTTGGGTGTGGGAGTGGAGCCAAGGTGGACTTGAGACTCTGGGCGGCTTCTGTGGTATTTGAAGTTGCTAGTTTCTCAGTATCAGCGCGAGGCTCGAAGGTGAAGGGACTGTGGAGGGGCTCCTGGAATCGCTCCTGCGACCTTCTTATTCTACAGGTCCAGATACCAAGACCCAGCCCAGGGCCTGGGAAGCCTGCAACGCCAGGACTGCACAGACACGAACCCCATCCCCTCTCCCGCTGGGGGAGGACGAGCCAGGTCAAGTTAGGTCAATGTCCACATTGAGAAGAGGGTGGCCAGCATGTCCCAGGGTGCGGAGAGACGCTCCACTGCGTAGGATTCTGGGTCCCGTGTTGATACGGGGTGGTTCCCCTCCTGCGGTGGAGTTAGTGTCTCTCGGGGGGTAGGGAGCTGAGGAAACTGCTCTATGCCCCAGCCCACCCCCAAGGGACTCGCCACTCCCACTGCCGTGGAACACCAAGCACCGGGGGCCCGTCCCCAGCGCCACGGCAGCACGAGCTGCAGGAGGCAAGGGCTGTGGAGACGGGTGGAGGCGGCCGGTGTACTCTCCCAGCTCCTTTTCGGGTAGACCTGTCTTCTCTCAGCGCCAACTCCAAAGATCCCAAAAAGGGTGGCCGAGCCCAGGGGCAGCTCCTAGAGTCATCAGCAGCTCCCCTTCGGGGACTTCTTGACGCCGGGCAGGAGCCTCGCGGAAGCCGACGCGCGCTTCTGGTGTCGCCATTTGGCCCGGCGGTTCTTGAACCAGACCTGGGGATGGGGGGAATGCTCAGCCCTAGCCCCAGGTCCTGCGTCCCACCGGCTCCCGAGGGTCCCACAGGGACCGAGAGGGGAGCTTCGCAACAGGGATGTGGGCGGACGGCGCTGTAGAGCCGACACCCGGGCCGCGGCTGCGCGCCACCTGCCCTTATTCGCTGCGGACAGACTCGGTGGGTCTGGACGCGAGATGGGAACCCCCTTAGTACCCGCCCCAGCCTCCAGCTGGCGGCGACCAGGACGCCCCTTCTTGGGTTGCGGGCTCTTCTGAATTTCCCAAATTCTGGACGTGAACGCGGGCCTCTTTCGTCACCAGAGGAAAGTGTAAAACAAAAGAAAAGAAAAGTAGCCCTCCGGTTCCTTTCCCGCGGCACCTCCCTGCTCTCACCCGCTCCTCATACCCCCGGACGCCCAGCGCCGTCCAGGGACCTCCTCCCTCCGGCGCGCCAGGGCGGGGCTTGGGCCGAGGCCGTCTTTGCAAAGGGCGCCCGCCCGCCAGGACCCCAGTCCAGTGTAGCCGCGGCCCGCGCGCTCCGGGGAAAGGCTGGGCGGGGCACTCACCTCCACGCGCTCCTCGCGAAGGCGGATGCGGCCGGCCAGGCGCTCGCGCGTACTCACGTCAGGATACTGGTTCTGCACGAAAAGCGCCTCGAGCGCCTGCAGCTGCTCTTCGCTGAAGATGGTGCGGTGGCGCCTCGTGCGCCGCTGCGAACCCGGGCCGACCGCGCCCGGGAGCGCCCCGGAACCTCCGGCTGGCGCACCCAGAGACAAGGGCACCGCCGGTCCCAGCCTCAGCGGCCACGCCAGACGAGCGCCTGCGGAGCGAGGGCGCGGTGAGGCGCGGGGCTGGGGCCAAGCTCGGCACCCACTGCGCCGCGCCCCGGGCTCCGCCGGGCCCCGCGCCCCGCTCCGCGCCCACTCACCCAGCCCGGCGGCCGCCTCTGGGGGCCCGCAGGGCGCCGCGCGGGGGCCGCAGCAGCAGCAGCAGGCGCAGGGCGCAGCCTCGGGCGCCCCGGGCTCCTCTGGCTTCGCGGGGCTCTGGCGACCGGCGGGCTGCGGTGGGCAGGCGGCCCGGGCCGGGAGGCTCCGCTCGGGCAGGCTGGAGAGGATGTGCTCGATGGAGAAGGGGCAGGGCCGCCCGGCACCCCGGCGGCTCGCCGCGCCCCCAGCCGCTGCCGCCATGCCCGGCCCGGCCGGGGCGCCGCCGCCGCGGGAATATATACGTCGGGGAGGGAGCGCGCAGTAATCCCCGGGCCGGGCGTCCAGTCCACGCGGGTTAATCCCGCAGCGCCGGCCGCGAACGCGCTAATCCTCGACTGCGGCGGCCCTGCCTCCGCGCGCGGGGGCCGGGGGCGCTGCAGAGAGGGCCCCCTGTGCCCCCCACCCCGCCCCGCGTCCTCCTGCCCCACCCGCGCCCGCCGCTCAAGCTGGCAGGGCGACCTGCGGGGAAGGGGCGGAGGGCCGCCTCGCCGCCGCCCGCGGGGCCTGGCAGCCGCTCGGAGGGCGCCCCGACCCTGGCAGCTCCCCAGAGCGCGGCGGTGCCTCCCGGCCCAGCCTCTGGTGGCTCCCCCTCGTTCGGCTGGGCCTAATTCCTCGTCCCCTCTGGGGCCCTACTGCGGCGGCTCAGCACGCCTGCAGAAGCTCGGCCTAGCCGCCCACCCGAAACTCCTGGACCGCAGCCTCCATGGGGCCCAGCACCACCGGCAACCGCACGATCCCGCCGCGCTCGGGTCCCGAACCTGCCCGCCACCTCGGAGCCAGGGTCTCATGGCCCTGGAGGGCGTGAGAGCGCGGCAGGAAGCCTGGGCTGCCGGGTGCCCCCAGTTCTCCGTCTCCTCACCTGTGTCAAGGAGACCTCCCCGCCCCTTCCGAGGCCCCTCCTCGGTGCTTCAGAGCCGCCTGTCCTCCAGCTTTCCCACTGGTCCCAGAATCCCCGCGAAAACATCCAACACTGCACCTCGCCCTTCCCCGCACTGTCACTGCCCCCCAGAAGCTGTGGGCTCCCCCTCCTCGCTCTCCGCCCAGGCCAGTCCTCTGGCCACACCGTCCTCGGTCCCTTCTGCCACAGCGCAGGTGACCCGCACTTGGCTACATTGTTTCACCCTCAGTGAAGCGGCTCCTGGCAGCGGGACCGTCACTTCAGCTTAAGACCCTTTCCTCTTGACCTTTGAAAATACAGTATGGGACTCATAGCACAGAGAAACAGACGGCCTGGCTCATACTCCGTTGTCAATTTCTGGCCGTGTGACCTCCATAGGCGTCTTCAGCCTCTGGGCTTGGCTTTCCCAATCTGTAAAGTGTAGTGACTAGGTGTGAGACGGTTAGAACCTGGCCGCCTCCCCAGGGCAATGCGTATTCCTGCGCTCCTCCCGCCGCCAGCCCCTCTGCAAGACTCTGCCATCCCCACTCTGCTATCAGTGAAAGTGCTGTGGACATCACTGTGACCGAACCTGCTGATTTAATTTCTGTCACAAGAGCTCCCACATAGGTTTCCCAGGGGTAGTCTGGAGGCTCAGTGATGAGCTGCCACCTCCATGAGTGGCTCTGTCAACCCCTCCTCCACCCACCTCTTGGTGGTAGAATGGCTGCCACAGCCCCACACTTTTCATCTCCTCCCATGGCCCTTTGGATGGCCATGGATCCCTCCTCCCTCAGCAGACCTCCCTCACAGAACTGCATCTGGACCATCCTCCAAAATCAGAGTGCTGCTATGATGGGGGAGGCAGGGTCATTGGTCAGGAGAGCCAGCCCAACATTTGCTGAGCCCTCTTCCTCCTAGCCCTGGCCATTCCTTCATCCTTTCCCATTCTCACCCTCAATACCTATTCCAGCCTTGGAGCTCCAGACACCATCTTTGTGACAGTGACTCACAAGTGCACCTCCAGCCTGGCCTCTCTCTCTGCTCCACGCTCTTGTTTCTGGAGCCTGCTCCACATCTCCATCTCCACTACCAATAAAGTTCTCCCAGTCACCATGCCAGAAAGGAACTCAAGGTCTTCTCAAAATCCCTTTCTTACCCTATGTTCTCCACTTTTACAAATGGGCCACTGCCCACCTGTCCATCTCTAGTGCTCATTCTCTTCTACCTATTTGCCTCTGCGTGTGCCCTGCCTCTTTACCAGTCCACCTTGGTAAATGGCCCACTGTGGCACTTTTTCAAAAAGTTTATTTTCTATTTTGCATTATTTTTTGAGACAGGGTCTTGCTCTGTCACCCAGGCTGGAGTGCAGTGGTGTGATCATGGCTCACTGCAGCCTTGGCATCCTGAGCTCAAGTGATCCTCCTGCCTCAGCCTCCCAAGTAGCTGGGACTACAGGTGCACCACCATGCTCAGCTAATGTTTCTGTTTTGGGGGGGTTTTGCCACGTTGCCTAGGCTGGTCTCAAACTGCCGAGCTCAAGCAATCCGCCTGCCTTAGCCTCCCAAAGTGTTGGGATTACAGGCATGAGCCACCGTGCCTGCCTGGCCTGCCCCCCTCCCTTTTTTTTTTTTTTTTTTTTTTTTGAGACGGAGTCTCGCTCTGTCGTCCAGGCTGGAGTGCAGTGGCATGATCTCAGCTCACTGCAAGCTCCACCTCCCGGGTTCACGCCATTCTCCTGCCTCAGCCTCCCGAGTAGCTGGGACTACAGGCGCCTGCCACCATGCCCAGCTATTTTTTTTTTTTGTATTTTTATTAGAGACGGGGTTTCACCATGTTAGCCAGGATGGTCTCGATCTCCTGACCTTGTGATCTGCCCGCCTCGGCCTCCCAAAGTGCTGGGATTACACGCCCGGCCTTTTTTGTTTGTTTTTTTACTTTTGAGACAGGGTCTCGCTCTTTCACCCAGGCTGGAGTGCAGTGGGTGACCATAGCTCACTGCAGCCTCTGAACACCTGGGCTTAAGAGGTTCTCCCACCTCGGCCTCCCAAGTAGTTGGGAGCACAGGCACACGCCACCATGCCTGGCTAATTTAAAAAAAATTATAGATAGGGTCTCACTATGTTGCCCAGGCTGGTCTAGAACTTCTGACCTCAAGCAATCCACCTGCCTCAGCCTCCCAAAGCTCTGAGGTTACAGGTGTGAGCCACCGTGCCTGGCCACTCTGGCGCCTCTGAAACATGCTGGCAGGTTCTCTGATGCTGCTCCCTTTGGGAGTTTAATTGGGTTTCTTCCTGAAACATGGGCTGGCCTTCACGACTTGCTTGTAATCCATAGAATGCAGCAGAACTGACATCGTGTGGTTTCTGAGGCCAAGTCACACACAGAGTCACACAGATCAGATCAGCAACCCAACTCCTTCTCTCTCTCTCACACATCTTGGGATGCTTGATCTTTACACCCAGCCACCATGCTGTGAGGGGCACAGGCAGCCTCGGGAGAGGATAGGCGTGTTCCTGCCAGCAGCACCAGCTGAAGGACCCATCCACCCCCTGCACGGGTCACCTACAAGTGAGTGAGGAAGCCTTCCAGATGGCTCTGGCCCCGGCCACCATTGGACTGCAACCACAGGAGACACCAAAACTGAGAATCCCCTCCCTGAGCCCAGTCAAGCCCCATGACTATGAAATATAATAAAATAGATGATGCTGGGTGTTTTTACTGCACCAAGTTTGATGTGGTTTGTTATATAACTATAGATAAGCAGAACGGGATCTGGTACTGGAAGTGGGGTGGGTGCTGCTGATACAAAACCTAAATCATGTGACATTGGCTTTGGGATGGGGCAGTGTCCAGGAGCTGGGAGGACCTTGCAGAGGCTGACAGTGGGGACTTAGAGGAAAGTGAAGAAATTGTTACTGGAAGATGGAGGAAAGAAGACCATTGTTATGCAGTGGCAGGAAGTTTAGCAACATTGTCACCTGTAGCCAAATAGGAAATAGAAGCTAGATAGTATTCCCAAGAATAAAATGATCTAAGGACATACCCAGAGAGAAAGTTCAAGGTGCTACTTGGCTTCTTCTAGCTACCAATAATAAAAAGAAAGAAGATATGATTCAAAAAGCAAGATTTAGGGCCGGGCATGGAGGCTTACTCCTGTTATCCCAATGCTTTGGGAAGCTGAGGTGGGAGAATCACTTGAGGCCAGGAGTTCAAGACCAGCCTGGGCAACATAGCAAGACCCTCATCTCTATAAAGAAAAGTTTTTTCTTTAAGATGGAGTCTTGCTCTGTTGCCCAGGCTGGAGTGCAGTGGTGTAATCTCTGCTCACTGCAACCTCCGCCTCCTGGGTTCAAGCAATTTTCGTGCCTCAGCCTCCCGAGTAGCTGGGATTACAGGTGTGTGCCACCATGCCCAACTAATTTTTTTGTATTTTTAGTAGAGACGGAGTTTCTCCCTGTTGGCCAGGCTGGTCTTGAACTCGTGACCTCAGGTGATCCGACCGCCTCAGCCTCCCAAAGTGCTGGGATTACAGGCGTGAGCCACCTTGACTCATCACCCTGGAGCTTCAGGTACTTCTCTTGATGTCCTCATCTCCTAACATCCTTCCTCTTCCTCCCCCTCCCCTCCCCCTTCCCCTCCCCCTCCCCTCCCCCTCACCTCCCCCTCACCCTCCCCCTCCCCTTCCCCTCCCCCTCCTCCTCCTTCTTCTTCTCCTTCTTCTTTTCTTTTCTTTTCTTTTCTTTTTTTTTTTATTTTCCAAGACAGAGTCTCACTCTGTCACCCAGGCTGGAGTGCAGCAGTGTGATCTTGGCTCACTGCAGCCTGCCTCTGCCTTCCAGGTTCAAGCAATTCTTGTGCCTCAGCCACCTGAGTAGCTGGATTCCAGGCATGCACTGACATACCCGGCTAATTTTTTGTATTTTTAATAGAGATGGGGTTTCACCATGTTGCCCAGCCTGGTCTCGAACTCCTGACCTCAGGTGATCTGCCCATCTCAGCCTCCCAAAGTGCTGGGATTACAGGAGTGAGCTACTGCACCAGGCCCTCATCTCTTAACTTCTAATCTTGCTCTGTCCAGGTCCCTGAACCAACCAGCTCAACTATTTGCTACAGCTGGTGGGTCTTGCAGGTTCTGCCTTTGCAGAGTGGATGGCACAGTGCTCACAGAAACTCTGCCGTTTGGGAGTCTTTGCCCTCATGCTCCACTGCCGTTCAGGGCTGCCTGAGTGAGCTGTGGGGCAGATGTCATAAGTGAGGCCACATGGGATGGCAGTCACCTGCTTTCACAGCTTACGTGTGTCCTCTGGACTTGCTGAGAGCTGATCCTCGTAATGCCACTTCTGTTGTGTGGATGGTTGGTACCTTGAGACCTGGTGGCTTGGCCAAGCACAGTGGCTCACGCCTGTAATCCCAGCACTTTGGGAGGCCGAGGCAGGAGGATTGCTTGAGCTCAGGAGTTGGAGACCAGCCTGGGCAACATAGCAAGACCTTGTCTCTACAATAAATAAAAAAATTAGCTGGGCGTGGTGGCATGTGCTTGGGGTCCCAGCTACTCAGAAGGCTAAAGCGAGAGGATCGCCTGAAAGATCGCCTGAACGAGTTCGAGGCTGCAGTGAGCCGAGATCAAACCACTGCACTTCAGCCTGAGTAACAGAACAAGACCCTGTCTCAAAAAATAAAATAAATAAAGCCTGGCATGGTGGCTCATGCCTGTAATCCCAGCACTCTGGGAGGACAAGGTGGGTGGATTACCTGAGGTCAGGAGTACCAGACCAGCCTGGCCAACATGGTGAAACCCCGTCTCTACTAAAAATACAAAAATTAGCTGGGCGTGGTGGCAGGCATCTATAATCCGAGCTACTCGGGAGGCTGAGGCTGGAGAATCGCTTTAACCCAGGAGGCTAAGTTGCAGTGAGCCAAGATCACACCAGTGCACTCCAGCCTAGGTAACAGAGCGAGACTGTGTCTCAAAATAAAATAAAATAATAAAATAAAATAAATAAAAGACCCAGTGGGTGTCTCTGACAATACCCAGCTCTAATGAGCCTTCTGGTCACTCAGTAGCCCATCGTCAGATGCCCAGTTCCTGCCAGGGCCCAGAAACGTGGAAGGAGCTGTTTTGTTTTGTTTTGTTTTTTGAGATGGAGTCTCGCTCTGTCTCCCAGGCTGGAGTGCAGTGGCGCAATCTCAGCTCACTGCAACCTCCGCGTCCCAGGTTCAAGTGATTCTCCTGCCTCAGCTTCCCGAGTAGCTGGGACTACAGACACCTGCCACCACGCCCGGCTATTTTGTGAATGGTATGTGGCATGGCCTTGCTCCAGAACCCTAGGAGTGGGCACTGCCACCCTTCCACTGCAGCCTGCTGAAGGCGCCACATGAAACCTTTCTCTGCCAAGCGTTGGCCATGGCTCTGTCAGGTCACAGGGTCAGGCTCAGGGCTGCTGGTACCACAGCCTGGACCTGCAGCAAATCCCATACTGCCCTAGGCTCTACTAAAAGCTGGCATCCTCCATATCACCCACAAATTTCTTGGGCAGTATTCCCAAGTTTTTTCCGCCTCCAAATCGCAAAGAAGCCTCACCCTGTTGTGTTCTTTCATAGTGGTGAGAGGAGCTGGGCGCTCGCCCTTCGCCTTGGAGGAGTTGCTCTGGCATCCCAGGCCGCTGGGCTCCCAGAGGCTGCTTTTTTTTTTGTCTCTTCTTCATTACCGGTTTGTGAGAGTTCTTTGTATATTTAAGATACTAGTCCCTTATCAGATATATGATTTGCAAATATTTTCTCTCATTCTGTGGGCAGTTTTTACTTTTTCCTTTTCTTTCTTTTTTTTTTTTCCAGAGACAGAGTCTCGCTCTGTCGCCCAGGCTGGAGTGCAGTGGCGCGATCTCGGCTCACTGCAAGCTCCGCCTCCCAGGTTCACGCCATACTCCTGCCTCAGCCTCCCCAGTTGCTGGGACTACAGGTGCCCGCCACCATGCCCGGCTAACTTTTGTGTTTTTAGTAGGGATGAGGTTTTGCCATGTTGGCCAGGCTGGTCTGACCTTAGGTGATCCGCCCACCTCGGCCTCCCAAAGTGCTGGGATTATAGGAGTGAGCCACTGCACCCAGCCTTTACCTTTTTTTTTTTGAAACAAGGTCTCACTCTGTCGCCCAGGCTGGAGTGCAGTGGCATGATCATAGCTCACTGCAGCCTTGACCTCCTTGGCTCAAGCCATCTTTCCATCTCAGCCTCTTGAGTAGCTGGGAATACAGCCAAATGCCACCATGCCTGGCTAATTGTAAAAAATATATATATACGTATACACACACACACACACACACACATATATATATTTGTAGAGACAAGGTCTTGCTGGCCTGGCACAGTGGCTCATGCCTGTAATCCCAGCACTTTGTGAAGCTGAGATGGGCGGATCACCTGAGGTCAGGAGTTCGAGAGCAGCCAAGCCAACATGGTGAAACCCCGTTTCTACTAAAAATACAAAAATTAGCTGGGCGTGGTGGCGTAGGCCTGTGTCCCAGCTACTAGGGAGTCAAAAAAAAAATTGAGACAAGGTCTGGCTATGTTGCCCAGGCTGGTCTCGAACTCCTGGGGTCAAGCAGTCCTTCCACTTCAGCCACCCACAGTGCTGAGATTACAGGTGTGAGCCATTGCGCCTGCCCGTTTTTTGCCTTTTTATTTTTAGAGACAAGGTCTCACTATATTGCCCAGACTGGTCTCAATCTCCTGGGCTCAAGTGATCCTCCAGCCACAGGCTCCCGAATAGCTGGAAGTCCAGACGCTCACCAGCATGCCTGGCTTCAGCTGGCATTTTAATAGGAGTTATATTGAATCTGTAGATTAGTTTTCGGAGCAATGCCATCTCAACAATATTTAACTCTTCCAAGCCATGAACATTAGATGTCTTCCATTTATTTAGTGCTTTGATCTCTTTCAACAATGTTTTGTAGTTTTCAGAGTTTAAGTTTTCATTTTGTTTACATTTGTTCCCTAATATTTTGTTCTTTTTTTTTTTTTTTTTTTTTTTTGACAGAGTCTCACTCTGTTACCAGGCTGGAGTGCAGTGGTGTGATCTTGGCCCACTGCAATCTCCGCCTCCTGGGTTTGATTCCCCTGCCTCAGCCTCCCGAATAGCTGGCACTGTAGGCGTGCACCACCACACCCAGCTAATTTTTTTTTTTTTTTTTGTATTTTAGTAGAGATGGGGTTTCACCATGTTGGCCAAGATGGTCTTGATCTCCTGACCTCGTGATCCGCCCTCCTTGGCCTCCCAAAGTGCTGGGCTTACAGGCGTGAGCCACCGTGCCCGGCCAATACTGATGCATTTTATTTCTTTTTCCTACCTAATTGTAGAGCTTTCTTTTCTTTTTTCTTTTTCTTTTTCTTTTTTTTTTGAGACAGAGTCTCACTCTGTTGCCCAGCTGGAGTGCAGTGGCATGATCTTGGCCTACTGCAACCTCTGCCTCCTAGGTTCAAGTGATTCTCCTGCCTCAGCCTCCTGGGTAGCTGGGATTACAGGCACGCACCACCACGCCTGGCTAATTTTTGTATATTTTTAGTAGAGACGGGGTTTCGCTATGTTGGCCAAGCTTGTCTTGAACTCGTGATCTCAGGTGATCCACCTGCCTCGTTCTCCCAAAATGCTAGGATCATAGGCGTGAGCCACTGTGCCCAGCTTAGAGCTTTCAATACAATGTTGAATTGAAGTGGCGAGAGTGTACATCCTTGTGTTGTTCCTGATCTTAGAGGAAAATGATTCGGTCTTCACCATTGAGTGTGATGGTAGCTGAGGATTTTTCATAGGTGCCCTTTATCAAGTTGTGGAAGTGTCCTTCTTTTTTTTTTTGAGACAAAGTCTCACTCTGTCGCCCAGGCTGGAGTGTAGTGACGCAATCTCCTCTCACTGCAACCTTGCAATCTCCGCCTCCCGGGTTCAAGCAGTTCTCCTGCCTCAGCATCCCGAGTAGCTGGGATTGCAGGTGCGTGCCATCAAGCCCGGCTAATTTTTGTATTTTCAGTAGAGATGGGTTTTCACCATGTTAGTCAGGCTGGTCTTGAACTCCTGACCTCATGATCTTCCCGCCTCGGCTTCCCAAAGTGCTAGGATTATAGGCGTGAGCCACCGCGCCCAGCGTGTCCTTCTAGTTTTGGGATTAAACAACATGATCCACTGGTTTTTGCAGGAGCCAGATAATGTATTAAACTGGGATTTGCTAAAGACCACATTGCAACCTCCTTTCAATCTTTATTTATTTATTTTTTGAGACAGGGTCTTGATCTGTCACTCAGGCTGGAGTGCAGTGGTGTGATCAACACTCACTGCAACCTCACCATCCTGGGCCCTGGTGATTCTCTTGCCTCAGCCTCCTGGGTAGCTGGCACTGCAGGCATGCACCATCGTGCCGGGCTAAATTTTGTGTTTTTTTATAGAGACAGGGTCTCACTATGTTGCCTAGGCTGGTCTCAAACTACTAGGCTCAAGCGAGCCCCCTGCCTCAGCCTCCCAAAGTGCTGGGATTACAAGGCATGACCAGCCACTCCCGGCCATCCTTTCAATTTTCAACTGAGACCTCTAAGCTCTGCTATCCTTCCTGGGACGCAGCACTGTATTTTTTTCTTTTGAGACGGAGTCTTGCTCTGTCGCCCAGGCTGGAGTGCAGTGGCGCAATCTCGGCTCACTGCAAGCTCCGCCTCCTGGGTTCACGCCATTCTCCTGCCTCAGCCTCCTGAGTAGCTGGGACTACAGGCGCCCGCCACCACACCCAGCTGATTTTTTTGTATTTTTAATAGAGACGAGGTTTCACCATGTTAGCCAGGATGGTCTCGATCTCCTGACCTCGTGATCTGCCCGCCTCAGCCTCCCAAAGTGCTAGGATTACAGGCATGAGCCACCGCGCCCGGCCAGCACTGTTTTTTTTATCTTGGTAGGGGCAGTTCAGGAACTTTCATGTAGCCTTTATTGCAAAACAGGTCTCACTTTTGAGAACTGAAAGTAAAATCCTAAGCACTCCCACCAACTGAAAAGATCCCCCTTGACCAAAGGACCCCAGAGAAACCTTAAAAACTGAGTTAACAGCCATGACAGGACAGAAGGTCAGACATGCCTCGCTGTACCCTGTCCCTTTTGTGGTTTAGGCACAACTGACCAACATTAATGTTAAAATAGAGATCATAAGACTGACAGAAGAGACTCTGGCAAAACGATACCAAATTATAAACAGGACCAAAGGCCATGCTAGGCAAGGATTAAGTCATGCACCCCTATACTTAAAGAAGAAACTATATTCTGTCACAGGTGGTTTTTTTTTCCTCTAACAGTTAAACAAGCACTAGCCTCAAGATAAACAATATTAAAACAATTACAACTCAACCACTGCCAGACACTCACTGACCCTCCTGTTGTACAAGCCACAACTACAGCTTTGATAGGACATGAGACTGGATTTAGTAACTTTCTTCTGATAAAAAGACCATCCACCCTAGACTGGTTCTGGCTGGTTACAGAGGCTGCACACTTGCGTGCCTTCACGTCCGTCCCTACTTCACCTTCTGACGTGTAGGGCCTAATTGTAATGCATTTAAATGTGAAGTCTCCGCCCCAAAGTAAACATGGCTGCATGGGACATGCGTATTTGCTTCTCACATATGCACATGTTCCCCCTTCATGAATATTCACAGCTCCTCCTAGATCCTGTTAAATATGTATACTTGGCTGGCCTGGTGCGGTGGCTCACGCCTGTAATCCCAGCACTTTGGGAGGCTGAGGCAGGTGGATCATGAGGTCAGGAGATCAAGACCATCCTGGCTAACACGGTGAAACCCTATCTCTACTAAAAATACAAAAAAATTAGCTGGGCGTGGTGGCGGGCACCTGTAGTCCCAGCTACTCAGGAGACCGAGGCAGGAGAATGGTGTGAATCTGGGAGGTGGAGCTTGCATTGAGCCAAGATCGTGCCACTGGACTGCAGCCTGGGAGACAAAGTGAGACTCCATCTCAAAAAATATATATATACACACACACACACACACACACACACATATATATACATATATATATACGTACACATATATATACACATATATATACGTACACATATATATACACACATATATATATACACATATATACACACATATATACACATATATATACACATATATATACACATATATATACACATATATACACATATATATACACATATATACACATATATATACACATATATATATATGTATACTTGGCTCTCCTATTCAGCATAAATTCCTGTTTCACCGCTCTCATCCTAAACATGCCTGTCTTTTGATCTCTGCGAGAGGCTACACTTCCCAGCCTGGCCGCCTTGCAGGCTATAACCCTTTATAAGAAATAAAGTTGGCAGAGCACAGGGCTCATGCCTGTAACCCCATAGTCCCAGCACTTTGGAAGGCTGAGGTGGGAGGATCACTTGAGGCCAGGAGTTGGAGACCAGTCTGGGCAACATAGTGAGACCCCATCTCTACAAAAAATAAAAAAATTAGCAGGTATGGTAGCGTGCACCTGTGGCCTCAGCTACTTGGGAAGCTGAGAGGGGAGGATCTCTTGAGCCCCAGAATTTGAGACTGCAGTGAGCTATGATTGTGCCACTGCTCTGCAGCCTGGGTGACAGAGTGAGACTGTCTCTAGAGAAAAGAAAATAAATAAAGTCTCCTTTCTAAATTTATAAATTGTGTGATTTTTCAGTTGGCACTCTACAGGTTAGAAATCACTGTGAAAGTTCTGCCAAATACTAAATATGTCTATTCCAATTATGCATTCAGAAACTGCAGAAATAACCTGTGAGTAGCTCATGAATTGCTGGGCCCACTGTGGGATGGAATTGGGCCAGGACTTTGCGTACTGCCCGGCTGTCTGTGCTCCTGCTCTAGCAGGGAGGCCATGAGGGCACTTTGGGTCCCAGGAATCAGTGCTGACTTGGAGCCAGTATCCAACAGCACTAAAAAGATCTGGGTTTTCCCTTTCCCCAGCGCACAGCTACCTGAGTAAGCGGAAACAGGCCCCTTCGTGAAAGGATGAGGGGAATCACTACTAGAAGTACCTTTCATGGTGTTCCTGGCTCCTTCCTCATGGGAAGGAGACTTCAGCAGAGGAGGTCTGGGCCTGAGAACTGGCTGGACACTGGGCGACACTGAGACATTTCAGTGGGCAGGTGACCTGACCTCAGCCTTTTGCCCTTCTATTATTTTTACTTATGTTTTTAAATGTAAAATAAAGACAGCATAGCATTTACCATTTTAACCTTTTTGTTTGTTTGTTTGTTTTTGGTAGAGGGGATCTTGCTCTGTCACCCAGGCTGGAGTACAGTGGTGCAGTCATGGCTCACTGCAGCCTCGATCTCCTGGGCTCAAGCGATTCTCCCACCTCAGCCTCTGGTTGCTGGAACCATAGGCATCCACCATGTGTACCTAATTTTTGTATATTTGTAGAGACTGGGTCTCACTTATTTGCCCAGATTCATTTTAACCTTTTCTACGTGTGCAATACAAGTGTGCATTAAGGATATCCACAAGGCTGTGTAACCCTCTCCGCGACCATTCCCAGAGCTTTCCTAATCAGAAAACTGTAACCATTGCACAGTAATTGCCCTTCCCTGAACTCCCAGCCCCCGGCGAGCGGGGCTCATGGCTGAATAACACTGCACTGCATGTGCAGACTACATTTTGTTTATCCACTTATCCCTCCAGGGTCCTTGGGTTGTTTCCACCCTCTGGCTGCTGTGAATAGCGCTGCTGTGAACATGGGTGTAATGCGCTTGCTTCAGTTCCTGCATTCAGCCCTTCTGGGTATATACTGAGGAGAGGAATTGCTGGGGCGCATGGTAATTCTATGTTTAGGGTTTTGAGGATCCACTGAACTTTTCCACAGCTGCATCTTACATTCCCACCAGGTTCCCATAAAAGTTCTACTTTATCCACGTCCTCAACAACATTTGTTATTTTCTGGTTTTAAAATGTATAGACATCCTAGTGGGGATGAAGTATTTTTCTCATTCTGACTTTTTTTTTTTTTTTTTTTTTTGAGATGGAGTCTTGCTCTGTCACCCAGGCTGGAGTGAAAGTGGTGCGATCTTGGCTCATCGCAACCTCCATCTCCTGGTTCAAGTGATTCTCGTGCCTCAGCCTCCTGAGTAGCTGGGATTACAGGCGCCCGCCACTACACTCAGCAAATTTTTGTATTTTTAATAGAGATGGGTTTCGCTAGGTTGGCCAGGCTGGTCTCGAACTCCTGGCCTCAAGTGATTGGCCAGCCTTGGCCTCCCAAAGTACTGGGATCACAGGTGTGAGCTATTGTGCCCAGCCTCTTTGCTTATTTATTTATTTATTTATTTATTTTTATTTATTTTTTTGAGACTGAGTTTCGCTCTTGGCCCCCAGGCTAGAGTGCAGTGGCACAATCTCAGCTCACTGCAACCTCCGCCTCCTGGGTTCAAGCAATTCTCCTGCCTCAGCCTCCCGAGTAGCTGGGATTACAGGTGGCTGCCACCACACCCAGCTAATTTTGTATTTTTAGTGGAGACAGGGTTTCACTACGTTGGCCAGGCTGATCGTGAACTCCTGACCTCAGGTGATCTGCCCACCTTGGCCTCCCAAAGTGCTGGGATTACAGATATGAGCCACCGTGCTCGTCCTCTTTGCTCATTTTTAATGTTTTTTTCTTTTTTCTTCTTCTTCTTTTTTTTTTTTGAGAGAGTCTCGCTCTGTGGCCTAGGCTGGAGTGCAGTGGCTATTCACGGCTCACTGCAGCCTTGAAATCCTAGGCTCAGGTGATTGCGTGAGCCACCATGCCCAGCCAGTTGTTTGTTGTTGTTGTTGTGTTGACTTACATTATTTTTTCCAATATTTCATCATGAAAATTTTGATGAAATTTTCATCAAAATATTCAGATAATTTGAAGGGATATTCACTGTCTAGATTATTCAATTATTAGTATTTTGCTATAGTTGATTTATCACTATGTATGCATTCGTCTTTTATTTTTACAAATGGGGTCTTGGTATGTTGCCCAGGCTTGTCTTGAACTCCTGGACTCAAGTGATCTTCCCGCCTCAGCCTCCCAAATTGCTGAGATTATAGGCGGGAGCCACAGCAGCAGGCCAGGATTGTTTTTTATTAATTTTCCAGTGGCCTGCCAATGGTATATATAAATCCAGTCCATGTTTGTGTAGTCATCTGGTAACTGTTTTAGCATCCCAGCACACAGTCAAGAAAAATAAACTTTAAAAATAACTAAAATAACTAAATAACTAAATGGCCCAGGCACGGTGGCTTACGCTTGTAATCCCAGAACTTTGGGAGGCCAAGGCGGGTGGATTGCCTGAGGTCAGGAGTTGGAGACCATCCTGGCCAACATAGTGAAACCCTGTCTCTACTAAAAATACAAAAAATTAACCAGGCATGGTGGCGGGTGCCTGTAATCCCAGCTACTTGGGAGGCTGAGGCAGGAGAGTCACTTGAACCCGGGAGGAGGAGGTTGCAATGAGCCGAGATTGCGCCATTGCACTCCAGCTTGGGTAACAAGAGTGAAACTCTGTCTCAAATAAATAAATAAAATAACTAAATGGAAATTCTAGAACTGAAAAATGCAACATGAGAAATAAAAAATTCCCTAAATAGGCTTAACAGCAGAAGAAAGATAACAGTATAACAGAAGAGTCAGTTTGAGACTAGCCGGATAATAGAAATTATCCAATCTGGGGTGGGATGGTGGCTCGCACTTGTAATCTCAGCACTTTGGGAAGCCAAGGCAAGCAGGTCACTTGAGCTCAGGAGTTAGAGACCAGCCTGGGCAACATGGCAAAACCCCACTTGAATTTCTACGAAAAATACAAAAGTTAGCCGGGCATGGTGGCACATGCCTGTAGTGCCAGATACTCGGAGGTGGAGGCGGGAGGATTGCTTGAGCCCAGGAGGTTGAGGATACAGTGAGCCAAGATCACACCACTGCACTCCAACCTGGGTGACAGAGCGAGACTCCATCTTAAAAAAAAAAAAAATCCTGGCACTTTGGGAGGCTGAGGAGGGCAGATCGCTTGAGCCCAGGAGTTCAAGACCAGCCTGGGCAACATAGAGAGACCCCCATCTCTATAAAAAATACAAAAAATTAGCCAGGGGTGGTGGTGCACACCTGGAGTCCCAGCTACTCAGGAAGCTGAGGTGGGAGGATCACCTGAGCCTGGGGAGGTCAAGACTGCATTGAGCCATGATCCTGCCACTGCACTCCAGCCTGGGTGACAGAGCAAGACTCCATCTCAAAAAAAACAAAAGCAAGTAAAAGAAGATTTTTTTTGTATAGAGTCAATAATATATAAAAAGGCAAAAATAGGCCGGGTGCGGTGGCTCACGCTGTAATCCCAGCACTTTGGGAGGCCAAGGTGGGCAAATCACGAGGTCAGGAGATCGAGACCATCCTGGCTAACACGGTGAAACCCCGTCTCTACTAAAAAATACAAAAAATTAGCTGGGCCTGGTGGCGGCCACCTGTAGTCCCAGCTACTTGGGAGGCTGAGGCAGGAGAATGGCGTGAACCTGGGAGGCGGAGCTGGCAGTAAGCCGAGATCACGCCACTGCACTCCAGCCTGGGCGACAGAGCAAGACTCCATCTCAGAAAAAAAAAAAAAAAAAAAAAAGGCAAAAATAGAGAAAATAATGAAGCCAAAGATAAACAAAATTAATAAACTAAACTGAATCAGAAAAAAGGAACACTAATTACTAATATCAGGACTGAGGGAAGGGATGTAACTATAGATTCTGCAGAATTTAAAAGAATAATAAGGGAATATAATGAACAACTTTATTAATAATCTATAGTTAACCTGCAGTTAATATCATACTTTCTGGCAAAACGTTGGTTATTTTCTCCCTAAAATTAAGAGTAAAGTAAGGATATCCATGACACTTCTATTCAACGTTGTCCTGGAGGTTTTAGTCAGTGCAATAAAGCAAGAAAAATATAGAAAAGGTATAAAGGGCTTGGCATGGTGGCTCATGCCTATAATCCCAGCATTTTGGGAGGCCGAGGCTGGAGGATCACTTGAGGCCAGGAGTTTGAAAACAGCCTAGGCAACATAGTGAGACCTTGTCTCTAAAAAATATTTTTTAAAAATTAGCAGGGCATGGTGGTGCACACCTGTAGTCCCAACTACTTGGGAGGCTGAGGTGGGACGATCACTTGAGCCTGGGAGTTGGAGGCTGCAGTAAGCTATGATCATGCCACTGCACTCCTGCCTGGGCACCAGAGCAAGACTCCATGTCAAATAAACCCCTCAAGGCCGGGCGCGGTGGCTCACGCCTGTAATCCCAGCACTTTGGGAGACCAAGGCGGGTGGATCACGAGGTCAGCAGTTCGAGACCAGCCTGACCAGCATGGTGAAACCCCATCTCTACTAAAAATACAAAAAAAATTAGCTGGGCATGGCGGTGGGCACCTGTAATCCCAGCTACTTGGGAGGCTGAGGCAGAATTGCTTGAAACCAGAAGGCAGAGGTTGCAGTGAGCCTAGATTGCAACACTGCAGTGTAGCCTGGGCAATGAGAGCAAAACTCTGTCTCAAAAAAAAAAAAAAACTCTCAAAATAAAAAACCTAAGTGCGCAAGGCCATCCACTCAGATACACCGCCCCACACATCAGCGTCCCACCCCTTCACTATCAGGCTGTCACTTTGCTGTGAGAGCCTTGTTTAGGTTGAGATCCCCTGCTTCTCCTGGAGTTCGGCTGTGCTCCACTAACCCCCGGGGCCTCATCTTCATTTCTGTCCACCCGCCGGCCAGTCTCTGCATGTGCCAGCTGGGCTCTGATGCGGGGCACTCTGCTTCATGCTGTTGATCGGTGTGTCTGGATCTGTCATGTTCTCTCCTCAAGGAATCAACAGTGCTTAGCAACAGCCTCTCAGTCCCATGGCTCTTGGAGTTCCTCCCCACCTCTCAGGTGCCCAGGGCACTGCACCAGTGACACTGCCTCCAAATGTCTCCCATCCCAGTTCCCCCTGGTGACAGTTCTTACTGTCACACTGTGACCCAGGCCGGGGGCTGTCAGTTCTCCACCTGACACCTTGGCATCTACGAGGATGGAACACCACAAAATGCTGGAAACACGAGAAGAGTGACAGCTCCTCGTTGCCACCCTGCCGGCGCAGGAGCCAATTTCAGAGTGCTGTCCTTCAGGTGGGCTTCCCAGGGCCACCCACCAGACACCCACTGTTGAGGTCGAGTTCCCTAGAAGCAAAGCCTGAAGCAAGGATTCTTGTTCTCGGGCTGTTGCTGAGCGTGTGCCCAGGAGAGTGAGGAAGTCTGTGCTGCCTTCCGGTGGTGCTGAGCCCTGAACGGTTTCCAACAGGAGCTTACTTGTTCATACTTCCAGAGGTCAGGAACCCAGATCAGGGTGTCAGCAGTGTCGTGCTCTCGGAAGGCTCCAGGGGACAGTCTACCCGGTGCCCTTCTCCCAGCATCTGGCCTTGCTGGACCCACTGGGCATTCCTTGGCTCACAAATGCCCCCTCCCATCTCCACCTTGGTCACCACATGGTCTTCTCCTGTATGTGGCTCTTCTCTTCTGAGGACTTCATCAGTCTTACTGGGTTAAGGACATACCCTACTCCGGTATGACTTCATCTTCATTTGCATGGTTCTTGTTGTTGTCTGGTTTACAGGCAGGGTCTTGCTCTCTTGGCCAGGCTGAAGTGCAGTGATGTGGTCACAGCTCAGTGCAGCCTCAACCTTCTGGGCTCAAGCAATCTTCTCACCTCAGCCTCCAAAGTAGCTGGTACCACAGATGTGTACCAACATGCCCAGCTAGTTAATTTAAGTGTAATTACATCTGCAAAGATCTTATTTCTAAATAAGTTCACATTCACAGATAGGATGAGCGAGGACTTTGGCATCTCTTTGGGAGACACAACAGAAACCTAGAGGGACTCCCCATCCTGATTTGCCTGTGACTTTCCCAGGTTTTGGTGCTGACAGCCCTGCTTTCCGGGAAATTCCTTAGTCTTGGGAAAACTGAGATGCCTGGTCACCGTGGAAGTAGGACAGGGCTGGGTGGTAGAGTGCAGACTGCTGAGCAGAAAGCTGTCTCTGTTACAGGTCAGTTTTCATCATTCCACATGGAACCGCTGTGGCAGACACTGAGAACTTCACAGATCTGAACCACCTTTCGGCAAAGCAGGGATGCCCAGGTATCAGCCATTGTCAGGGTTCTGCCTCTGGGTCTGGAGGGCTGCTGTGTGGGTGGCTCTCATTCCCCAGGACAATTCTCCAAGACCAAGGTGGCCATGAGCCACCAGGAGGCAACAGTCAGCAGCTGGGGACCAGTAGGCTGACCCCTAAAGGGGATCTGAATAGAGCCATCTATGCACACCCATCCCCTTGTCTTCCCAGTAAATGGCCCGCGGCCCCACCTACTCACCTGGGTAAACACACACCTCGACTCCTGTGCACCTTGGTAAACACACACCTGTCCGTCCAGGTAAATGCCCCACTCACTCACCTGTGCACCTTGGTAAACACACACCTGTCCGTCCAGGTAGATGCCCCACTCACTCACCTGTGCAGCGCTCACCTGACTCTAGAGCTGCTCAAGGCTCAGCTGGTGGGCAATGCTTAGCACTCCCTACTCCCACCTCGGATCTCATCGTCCACCTCCAGCTCCATCTGGTATTGCCCACGCCTGTCCCTCTGCACTGCCTCCACCTTGGCGCCAGTCGTAGATGTCTGCCACCGGCACCCCCACAGTGGCTGGCTTTTGAACCCACTCCCAGCAACTTTTCTCTCCTGTCCTCCTCCCCAAAGTGAGCCTCCCCGAGAGGCGTCAATGCTTGCCACAAACAGAAGTCCCATCATGGCACCCTCACTTCAGATGCCCGGAGTGAGTGGTCCTCAGTCCCTGGAAGCCCTGGACTCTGCCACCTCTCCCATCTGTCCCCTCCCTCCTCACTCTCAGCTGCCCAGGTCCCTGGTCAGCTCCTTCAATGCATCCACCCTGGCTCCTTGACGCCCTATCCTGGGGCTCCTGGCACCTCTGCAAGGGGGCCTTCCCTACTGTCCCCACCTGCACCTCTCTAGACAATCCCAGTGCTCCCGGCTGCCACCATTTCTTTCCCCGACTAAAGAACAGACCTGACTGTTTCCAGGACTGGATGAAACTGAGGCAGATGAAGAGGGCAGGGATCTGGAGGGGCTGGGGGAGAATTAGAGGCCACAGAGGAATGGAGCTTTGGGTGGGCACGGACAGACCACTGGATTTGGACAGTCAGGGCCGGGACGCAGGAGCAGCTAGGGCCCAGGGAGCCGGGGGTTAGGTCCCTCAGATCCCGCACATGCAAAAGTGAGGCTGAGGTAGGGGGGTGGTCCCTCGGCATGTGAGCCCAGGGGGTTCCCGAGCCAAGTGGCAGCCGGAACAGTGGGGAGGGACAGCCAAGGAGGTGGGGAGGGGTCGCTGGCCCCGCTCAGGGCTGGTTGGGGTGGAGGAAGCCCGGGCCCAGGCCGCCCCCCGCTGGGTCGAGGCCACCCCGCCTCGAGGGCGCGGCCGTCCGGATCTCCTGATTGCTTTCTTTCATCTCTGTTCCTTTCTCAGCCACAAACGCCCGCTAATGCCTCTTTTATCACGGAATTAGGGGATTTAGGGCCGGTCGCACAAAGGGGCCCTCGATAGCGGCCATAATCAAACCCCAATCGGCCGACCTTGGACGGGCCGGGGAAGAAAGGAGCGCCGGGGATTAGCGCGGTACCGCGGCCGGGCAGGCAGAGATAGCATCGGCGCCGCTGCGGGGCTGAAGCCGCGGAGGGCTCGGCCGCGCTCGGAGAAAGGACGGCTTAGCTCCTGGAGCCGGGGATTCTGAAGCCATTAGGTGGGGATTAACACCCAAGTTAATCTGCTTTGGTCGCTCAATTGTCAGCAGCGAACGCGCGGGACTGAGGAAGCCTGGCTCCCAGCGACCACAGGGCCTTGCCACCCAGCAGTCCAGAGCTACGAGCTGGTATCAGTTTCCCCAGCTGTCACCCGGCCAAGGCGGGCCTTGGAGCCAAAAGGGAGATGCACACCTTGGTGGGCTGGCCAACGGGTCTGGATGAGTGGACCCCCTGCCCCGCCAGCCTTCCTGGGTAATCAGGGAACTCAGAGAAGGATGTTCCTGCCCCATCCTGACCCAGACCACTTGTGGACCCTGACAGCCAGTGCAGCCCTGGGTGCCACCCACACACTGAGCTTGGGTTGCACGGCAACATGCATGACACACCTGTCCCCATCAAGCAGGGTCAGGGGGCAGCCTGCAGACTGGGTGGACGCTGACAGCAGCTAGCAGCCCCCTTGCAGACCCTCCATCTTCCCTTTGGGGTCCCTGTCCAGGTATAGCCCCCTAAAGACCTCTGTTGACCAACTCACTGACAGGGCAGATGTGACACCACCTGCTCTCAATTCATCCTCACTCTTCATCTTCAGTCCTCTCTCACTAGGCGGCAGAGGGAGGGACTGGACCTATACAGGTCCCAGGTAGGTCCTTTGTCTCTGTCTGGGTTTTCCTATCTGAGGAATGGAGCCGGCTAAGGAAAGGCCCAACCAGAATGTGCCAGTGTCGTGTGTGGCCTGTGCTCACTGCTATCTTCTGTGGGGACGCAACCCCAACCCTGACTCCTTCTCCTGTTCCTGCCAGCAGGCCCCCAGAGTAGGTGGCTCAGAGGGGTGTGCTTACACCTGCCTCCTCCTCCATGGAGATGTGGCAAGGTCACTGTGCCTTACATGAGCCTACAGGCAGCAACAAGTGGCTGGACTGGAGCTGACCAGGCAGGCAGGATGGGGTGGGCAGTAGCAGAGGAGAGGCCAGTGGAGCGCTCTGGGTCCCCATCTTCTTTCCCATGGCTGAGACTAGGGACATTGGAACAAAAAGTCCCAAGTGGAGGAAAAGACGCAGTCATAAGTACATTTGTCTTTCCTTCCCTCTCATCTCCCTTCCTCCCTTTCTTCCTTCAGCAGTGACCAACGATTCTCCCATCCAGGCCCTGTGGAGGGGACACAGGCGTGAGCCACAGACCCAGGCTCTGCCCTCTGGGAGCTTGGGTCCGAGGACACAGTTAGACAACCGGATGGGAGGGCGCCCTTCGGGAAGGGGAAACAGGCACCCCACATGCACAGGGCCAGGCAGGGCCTGAAGGGCAGTGTGAATTACAGGGAAAATGCGGAGGGAGAGGAAGAGTGCTCCAGGGCGAGGAAGCCGCGCCCGCAGCGATCTGGAGTGCGGTGGGGAGCAGGTGAGGCGGGAGAAGCCCAGTTCTGGGACACGCAGGCCAGCTCTAGGCAGGGGAAAGGAGGGGCGGGAGGCCAGGGAATGTTCCCTCAGGCTGGTGCGTCAGAATGGCCCAGGCAGCCTCCAGCGTGGGCCCCCGCTGGTCCCGGGAGGCGCCGCCAGAGGCTCGGGGAGGGTGGACGATGTGGCTGGGCCGGCGAGAATCCAGGGGCTGCAGGCAAGGACGGGGACTCGCGATGAAACCCGAAGATCAGGGGCTGGTGGCAGTGACCGCGAGGGGCCTCCAAGCAGCCCAATCAATCTCGGACGAGGGGTCGAGTCAGTGGCGGTGCAGGCGGCAAAGGCAGCCAGGGTCTGAGCAGCGCGGCTCCAGCCCCAGCAGCAACGGGAGAGCGCGTGCGCCGCCCCAGACGACTGGACGCGCCCTCGTGACGCCATCAGCGCGCGCCGCCCCAACTTCCGAGCGCAAGCGTGGTCGCCCCCACAGCCTGTGGGCTACGGGAACGCGATCCGACTCGGCGGCCCTCCCTGCCTGGATGGCCGGTCCCCGAGGCTGAGGAAGTCCATTCCTCTTTCGGAAATGGTCCCCAGGAAGCTTCTCCGTGTCCCCCTATGGCCGGGTACTGAGCGGGGCCCGGGTGGTCTGCGGCCGTGGCCCCCGCCCCTCAGCGCAGGCGACCCTCCTGGCCCTGGCGGGCACAGCGCCTCTCCCGTGACCTGGGCCGGCCCGCAGGATGAGCCCCCGGATCACGATCGCTGGCATTTTATTTACCTTCTTCCATTACAACCCCAGGCGAGTCTCCCGGGCCCCGAGAGGAGGGGGTGACTGGTCAGGGTCATCGGTAGCGGCGGCAGGGGCCTGCATAGGGCTGCCTCGGGGCGACTAGCAGAATGGCCGCCAGCCTCGGCTGCCCCAGCCCCCAGCGCATGGAATGTGCCCCGGGCCCCAGGAGCTCCAGGAACCGCGCTTGTGAGACGGAGCTTCGGCTGCTTGGAGCTAGTGAGCCACCGGCCACGGCAGGGATTTGAGCAGAACTTGGGGGCAGAGGGATGAGATGGTGCATCCCTTGAGGTCACTTCAGGAGATGACACTCCTGTGGCTAAGTGTAGCTTCCCAGGTCATGGCTCCCAGGTCAGGCCTGGTCAATGGAGAATTAAGTGGGCGTTGGGTGGTGGATGGATGTGATTTGGCAGAGGGGACAAATGTGACAACAGTGTAATAAGGGCCATGTTGGGGAGGGTCAGGGGTCAGGGTCCGGCCCAACCTGAGCAGAAGGGAGGCTGCTCTCAGGGATATTTGTCAGGTAGGAATGGGTGGAGTGGAACTACAGGGCCACCATGTTTCCCATGGGTCACCCATGGTGGCCTTGTCATGTTTATCCGTGATCCTCAGTGTTCTCTGTGGTCCTCCCGTCACCCCTTTCAGACTGTCCTTTCAGTTCTCCACTGTCCCTGCATCACCTCTGCCCCTGTCCCGTTTGTCTGTGTTCAGTCCATGTTCCCAGGTCTTGAGGTGGCCCCTGGTTCTATGCCCCTTACCTAAGACCCTGTGCAGGGAATCTGTGAAAACACAGAGGAAATAAAAAGTGAGGAAAATAGTACTCTTGCATCCTCGACCAAGATAGTGTTTGTTGTGAGTGCTGAGACGGACCAGCATTCTCTTTGTTGGTGAAGAGGAGACAGACCCATCCACAGGAGTCATTGGCTTTTTTGAATACTAAGCTCTGACTGCCATTCATCATCTACACAGGGACAGAAAACCCGGTCTGGGGGACGTGGCACGCAGCAGTGTGTGAGGGGAATGCCAAGGAATCTGGGGAGCGTCAAGGAATCTGGGGAGCGGGAAGATGGAGCGGGGTAGCTGCCTGGAGGCCTCAGTCCCACAGCAGTGAGGACAAGGCTGGAGGTTAGCCAAGCCCTGCCCTAGGTGTGGTCACGACCTCACCAGCTCCCTTTTCCTTTTCTCTGAGGCCATTGTCTCTCCTGGGCACAGTCCGTAAGGTTCAGATTCCAGACTGTGACTTTAACTGGTCACCGTGGCTCTGGCTGGAGCAGGACATGGTGACCTGGAGTCTCCATCCACTCCTCCGATGTGCACTTAGCCACCTCCTGGGGCTCTCCCCAGCACTGGCCGAGCATCCTGGTTAGTGGGGAAACGTGGAGCACCAGGCTAGAAATCAAGACCCTTCTGCCTGCAGACTAGCTTGGAGACCCATCCACGTGTCTCTGCTCCTCTGCCCCTTAAGGGCAGGTGCGCCCCAGTGTTCTTAGTCTGTGCTACTCCCTGCTGCGGGCCTCCTCTCTGCAGTCTGGTTAAATGCAACTTGGCTCCCTCCAGGCCCCTGCCTGCCTCTCCAGCCTCCAGCTCTTTCCTGCACAGACACCTTTCCCCTTGGGTCTCAGCTCCAAGACTGGAGGCTGCTTGCTTCTTGAGGGAATGTGTGAAGCAGCCTACAGTGTGGGTTCTATCTACCAGAGTACGTGGCTCCTCCATGCTCGTGGCCCCAAGGGACTCAGACCCAGCTCAATCAACATTTCTGGCTGGGCTATCTGATGTCTGCCGTGTGATTCAAAGGTGATTCGAGGTGACCCTGAGGATGGCAGGGGTCCAGGGAGGGTGGAGACCCATGCCATCCTACACCCTGCTCTCACCTAGTGCAGCCTCGGCCCCTTCCTGTGGAGAGGGACAGGGACAGGACTCGGTGCAGGTGTGCAGTGAGTGGCTGGCATCTCTGGAGGTCAGTATGTGAGGGTGGGGGTCCCCTCCAGGCAGCTGCGAGGGCTTGGCTGCTCCCAGAACTGCCTGGAACCTGGGGAGACTGTAAACAACCTCTTGCAACCCCAAGAATAAAGCTGCCATGTGTGAGGGCTTGCTCTGAGCTAAGCATGATTCTGAGCACCGGCAGGGAGTACAGCAAGTGGATGCTGAGGCCTGGAGGGCAGGCCCCAGAGAGCTGAGTGCCCCTCCAGGTTTCATGGCTGGCACTGTGGACCAGTGTGGCCCACTGCCTGCTTGCCACCCCACAACAAAGCTTCAGAGGTGCAGAACCAGTGGCCTGAGCTCCAGGGACAGGAAGCATCTTGGCGTGGGGTTCTCATGGTGGCACTTGCATGCCCTAGTGCACAGGGGCGGAAGGGGAAGCTCTGTTGCCTGGGCCCTTTCTCTGTGGCAACAGATGGGGAAGTCTGCCGTGAGGATAGAGAGTGCATGGCCATCCCATCACAGCACAGGTTGAGTGCTGAGCCACCCCGAGCCCTCCCCAGCCCAGCGGCTCTCCCCAAGGAGGCTTCAAAACCCCGTGCTCCCTTTGTACCCCCAAGCCCATGCTTGGCTCTCAGATCCACCTCGGGCCCTTTGCACCCCAGACTCCTCCCCAGCTGCACATTCCCGGGATTCCAGGCATCTGGTGCTGTGTGAGGTCACTAGGACAGGGCAGTCTCCCCAGGGACGGGACCTGTTCACATGGAGTTTCTGGCTGGCAAAAGCTTGTTCTCCAGTCTGAGCCAAACGCTTGCATGACTCTTCCCCCACGGAGGCACTTGGACAGGAAGCTGGCTTCTCTGCACAGCCAGGGGCACTAAGTGATCCCATCCTGCCTGAGCGTCCTCCACGTGGCTCATAGGCTGTGGAAAGAGGGGCTTGGCCCCATGGGGACATGCCAGTTCAGAGCTCTGGCCTCCAGCCAGAGGGACACCTTTCTCTGAGGCTCATGGCTGTGGCATGAGGTGCCCAGAGAGCCCTGGTCAGGCAGCCCCACCTCCTGCTGCCCCAGGGCAGCTGCCTCCCAGCCCAGGTGAAGGAACAAGGGAGGGCCCCTGCCCAGAGCCTTTGGGTAGCAGATGCCAGACACCCACCCCCACCTGGAGTTCAGAGGCCTCAACGTGCCCCCATCTCCTCCTCCCCACGAGCAGCCCATTTCACTCACTGAGGAGCTGGGCATACCCCAGAGGGGCCCTGGGCAACCCAACCCTTCCCTAAGCTTCCCTGTGGGTGAGGGGCAGGCAGTCGTCCTGGGGGCTCCATCTCCTGGGCCCAGCCCCCTGCTCTGAACACTCTGCCAGGCCACCCCTAGGCCTTGTCAACACACCCTTTTACCCATGCCACGGGATCTTGCCCAGAGGCCACAGGGAAGGCCAGGGTGCACCCAGATCCTTCTTGGCCTGGCGCTGGGCTTCTCAGGGAGCCAACACTGTGGCCACAGCTGCTCTGCCCTGGGTGGACACTAGGCTTTCCCTGTCCCCCTACTGCAGTGTCCTCAGATGGGGGTGGCCTGGTCCCCTGCAGAGGCACAGCCACCAATGCCCATGCATAGATGGGTCCATACAGGGACGAACACAGGACAGGAGGCTGCAACAGGATCCGGTTTATTCTGCCTTGGCAGGGTGGTCCTGAGAGTGGTGGGTGCCACCCTGTCCGGGGCGGAGAGAGGGCCCGAGGGCCAGTTAAGGCCAATGGCGGGAGAAGCAGGGGGCTGCAGCCCCTGGAATGCGGTGAAGCCAGGCCGAGGCCCGGAGGCAGCTGTGGTAGGCCAGGGCAGGGTGGAAGGCACCGGACTGGGACCGGGCCAGGGCTACAGGGCCGAGGACCCAGGCCACACGGGCACCCCGGGAGGCGGGGCACAGGGTCACGTGACACAGAACATGAAACACAGGCACAGGGTCATAGGCCAGATGCACATCCAGCCATGGCTGGGCCAGACACTGGGACACAGTGGTGGTGTCACACACAGACCACAGGGGGGACACATGGATTTGACAGCCACAATGCACAGACCAGGCTACAGAGCTCGAGGGACGTGGGAAGGGGCCTTTTGGCACTACTGCACTGGAATCGTGAGACAAAGGTAGCAGGACACTCTGGCGGTGCCTGGGGCGGTCCCCTTGCGGCCTCTCTAGGCTTAGTCCGTCTTCCACACTTTGTTGAGCAGCTTCACCACTTCATCATAGATGACAAACACTATGGCCACATCCAGGCAGACCCGGCCCAGGCGGGGGACAGTGCCCTTGTAGAATCTGGGTGGGAGGAGGGGCGGGGAGAGGAAGGCAGGTCAGCACAGTGTCCCTGCACAGGGCAATCCCCAGATACTGAAGTGAGAGGCACAGAGGCCTGAAGGGGACAGAGTGGGCAGGCCAGGTAGGCCGGGAAAGGTTTGAGGTGGGGACAATAGCCCTGCCCCTCCCCCACTCACGCCTTGAGCCCCTCCTTCTTCAGGATCTGCAAGCCGCAGTCCCACGTGTTCCGGTATTTGTGCGCCTCCAGGCCCTATGGGGGACATCAGCAGGCAGGGGCTCAGCAGCTAGCTCTGGCCTGGTCCCCCCTTCCCCTCCCCTTCCCGGCCCCACCACCTGCATCCGGGTCTTAATCACATCCAGAGGAGTGTTTCCAAAGACACTGGCTGCGCCTGCAATAGCTCCGAAGACCCCAGTGATCAGAGGGTTCATGGGCTTGTTGGGGTTGTCCCCTGGATATAGGAGGGGTGAGGTGGGTCAGAGGGTGCCGGGAGGGGCCTGGATCAGCACTTCAAAAGGTGGGTGCCCGCCACCCAGGGGTGGCCCCAAGGAGAGGAGAGGAGCTGGCCATGTGCAGAGATGGGGCCCTGTGATGCAGACACACCTCGGTACCAGTTGCGCAGGGAGGTCATGACGAAGAAGCGGATGGCCTGGTTCGAGCCCTGCTTCAGGACAGTGGCTGTGAGGCCCTGGTACGTCCCCTTCAGCCCTGCGGGAAGGCAGGCACGGGGTTACCCTGCAGCCTCTCAGGCCCCGGTTGGGAATTGGTGTGTGTGGGGGGTGGGTGTTGCACAAAGCCCAAGGCAGGATGGGAGGTGCAGGCCCTTCCCACCCTGGCCCAGGTCCCTGAGCCCTATCAGGAAGGTCGAGTGGCTCACCTTGTTCCCGCACAATCTCCCTAACCCCGTGGAAGAATCCTCTGTACTTGGGGTTTGGGGAGGTCTGGTCGTGGATGAACTTCACCTGAGAGAGAGAAGCAAAGGCGCAGGTTCTCGGCTGCCACCTGGGTGGGTCCTGGCTAGCTGGCAGGCCCAGGGCCCATCCAGGGTGGAGGGAACTGGGAACTCTTCCCCAGGAAGCAGTGCAGCCAAGGCCGCCCTGGGCTGCCCACACGGACCATGCCCCGGGACACAGGGCAGCCCACACGGACCATGCTCTGGGACACAGGGCAGCCCTGTGAGCAGCCTCTCCCTTTATGTTTGCTGCTCTTTTCCAGTTTTGGCAGTGAAGGTGTCATTTTGTTTTCTGCTTTATAAAAGTATTTTTTAAAGACTTTAAGGCTGCCTTTAGCATAGACTCAGCCTCCACGGGTGGCCCTTCGTGGCAGGCGTCCTGCCCCAGGGCCCCGCGGTCACCCCGCCGGCCTTCCCTGGCGTCCAGGAGACCCTCCCCAGCTTGCCGGTTGCCCCGGGAGCACCGGGCCAGCGGGGCCGCCCGTCTCCGTACTCCCTGCGTGTCCGGGGTCCTCGCCAGGACCTTCCCCACCTTGATGGTCTCCATGGGGCACACGACCACCACGGCCTCGGCCACGCCAGCGCCCAGGCCGCACAGCAGCCCACGCGTGCTGTCCAGCCGTCCCTGGGCATCCCGCATGTGGTTGCTGAGGAACTCGAACATTCCAAACCTGGAGGCGGGAGGCGGGTGAGAGGGGCTGCCGCGGCCGAGCCCCCCTCCCGCAGCAGCCACCGGCCGGGCCTCACCTGACGGCCGCCTTGGGGATGGAACCGTAGAGCAGGGAGCTAAGGCCGCGGTACAGGCCCAGGACGCCATGGCTGCGAACCGTCTGCCGCACGCAGTCCCCTGGGGGAGGGGGCGGTCAGGACCCCACGGCCCTCGGTGCCGCCGCCCTGGGTACCCGCCCCCCGCGGCGCCGCGGCCTCCCCCTCCTCACCGATGCCCCGGTACCGCGGCGGGTGCGAGCGCTCGTCCAGCTGCAGCTGCGTCTTCACGTACTCGGTGGGGAAGGTGATGCAGATCTCGATGCCACCCGCCAGGCCGCCTGCAGGGACCGGGAACCCGCTCCTGAGACTCCCGCCCGGCCGCTGGCGCTCGGGCCCCTCCCCCGTCCCGGACTTCGGTCGGCGCGGCCGCCGCGCCAGTGCCGCGGGGAACATAGGCTGGGGCCCCACGCCCCCATGCCCTCACCCCGTTGTCCCGGCGAGGCGCAGGGGGTGACAGACGGGAGGCGGGCGAGTCCCAGCGCGCCGGGTGGGGACCAGGACCGCGCCTCCACGACTCCCCAGCCCACGGCCCAACCCGGAAGTGGGGCGGGGCCTCAGCGTCCCGGGCCCACCCAGAAGCGCGGCGGGAGAGGGGTCCGCGTCCCGGAGGGGCCCACCTGCCAGGATCGCCTTCCCCGGGTGCGTCAGCTTGGCCTTCCCGGACGCGGGCGCGGCGGCCGCCAGAGCGCGCGGGGCGCGGGGCGCGGGCATGGCGGGCGGGAGGCGGGGCGCCCTGTGGCGGCTTCGGGTCCGAGACTCCAGAACTCCGCGCTCGGTCCGCGGTGGCGGCGGCGGCCGGTTATGGTCCCAGGGGCGGGGCGGCCGCGTCAGCTCCAGGTCCCGCCCCGCGTGGTCCGAGCCAGGCCCCGCCCCCAGCCCGCCCCGTGCGGGCCGGGAAACTGAGGCCTGGGCGGGGCGCGCCGAGGCAGGCGTAGGGGCGGGGCCAAAGCGCAGCCAATGGCCGAGGCCGAGTCCCTGGGCGACCGCGAGCGGCGGGACGGGGGCGGGGCTGCGGGAGGCGGAGCCGTGGCCCAGCTCCGAGCAGTGGGTCAAGGTGCACTGTGTGCCGCGCCGCGGGATAGCGGGCCTCGGGTCTGCGCGACTGTCGAGAGCGGCGGGATCCCCAGGGATCCCGGAGGCCAGGGGCACACCCTCCCCGAAAACACGTGGGGCTAGCCCAGTCCCAGAGGAACTCTAACGTTTCAAACCTGGAGGCGGGAGGCGGGAGGCCGGTGAGAAGGGGCTACGCCGCCGGGCCCCCCTCCCGCAGCAGCCACGGGCCGGGCCTCACCTGCCGGTTCCCACCCACACCTTTCCCGGTTGTAGTTTCTGCGCTCAGCGAACAAGGTCAGGAAAGACCACAAATGCAAGCGGCTGTATTCTCCTAGGCAGCTTGTCTGGGCAACGGAGGTCCCACACCCCAAAGAGGACCCAGCAAATCTTTAATGGACTGCGGGGCCTAGGAAACTGGCCCGTCCCTCCTACCCATACCAGCACCAAGCAGAGCACCTTTGCCTGGATAAACCGACTTTAATATTTATGATTGCCAAGAGGCTGAGAGTCCTTTTATGAGGTCCGGTACCTCCAAACAAGACGTGTTCATGTAGTCTTCAAACTGGCCTGGAGGGGGCAGCTCCAGCCAGTCGGAGGCGCCCAGGAGGAAGGCCTGGCTCCAGCAGGAGGGCCCACAGTCCAGTCTCTGTTGTCGGCTAAAGCTGGTCTTGCGCCGTCAGCCTCTACCCTGGCCTCCCCAGGCTCTGGGATGGCTCAGAGGTTGCCGTCATTGGGTTTCAGCAAAAATAAATATTGTCCAGGTGTCCCTGCCTCCCATTGCGTCCCCTGTGCTGCTGGAGTGACATGCTCCTTGGAGAAGTTAGTAACTCTGCAGGTAGGGTGGGTGGTGACAACGCCCACTACACGCGGAAGTTGTACATTGGAGGCTGGCGAAGTTGGGAGCAGAGGCATATCCATAGGGGAAGCTGGCAGGGGCTGGGCCCACGGCAGGGCCTGCAGAGGGGGAAGCCCACAATGAGCAGAGCTCTTCCTGCCCATGGGGGTCCTCTCCTGGCTGCCCCTGAGTAGCCCGGGGCCCAGGGAGCAGGGTCTATAGGACCAGCCCTTACCACCCAGACGCTGAGGCCCCAAGAGAGCAGGCATCCAGAGGCAAGGAGCGTGGGGTCAGCCAGAGAACCTGGCCTGGCTAGAGGATAAGCTAGTCTCCAAATGGGACACTTACTTAGTGCAATCAGCTGGGTCTCATTCATGCCCATCAAAATCTAAAAAAACCAGAATGACATTAATGGTGGAAGGACACACTCAGCCGGACGCTGGAGACCCGCCGGCGTGCTGCACACTCACACCACACCCTCAGGCCTGTGTTTGCCCCACAGTGTCCAAGCACCCCACAGCCTCTCCAGTCTGCTCGACAGCCAGGCTGCCCTGGGCAGGTTCTCAGGTGCAAAGCCCCTCCCAGCACACACCAGCAGCAGCCTTGCTGTCCAGGGGCCAGGCCCAGCAGGACACAGCAGTAGTTCACAGCTAGGCAGGCACCCCTATCAGAAGGCAGGCATCCTTACAGCAGGGAGGACAGCGGCCGTGCCAACATTCCTGGGCGTACACTTCTCCACACCCAGTAGCCACTGGGATCCTTCCAGCCCCCACCCATCTATTCCCATCCCCATCCAAAGCCCAGCCAGGTAAGGGCAGTGGGACTTTGACTCCCTCCCTGCTCCCTCCCCAGGGGGTTGGGGGCTACAGGTGCCACCTACCAAACACGAGAGGGGCAGGCTCTGTCACATGCTCCTCTTGCTTGCGCAGACTCTCCAAGGCATCCAGTTTGTCCACCTGCAAGGAGGCAAAAGCACGTGAGCACCCGCTTGACAGAGTGCAGTCCGGCCTCTAGGTGAAAGTGGAGTGGAAGGTCAGGACACAGGGCCTCCAGGAGAATGACAGTGGAGGAGGTGCACATGGGCAGATGTGGAGTGGCTCAGCCCACACCCCATGCACTTTTAGAATGCAGCAAGGCATGGAGAGGTGAAGCCTCGGTAGCTGGGCTGAGATGGAACGCCAGGTGGGGCCCCCAGAGCTTCCCAGTGGGCACTGGGGCAGTCAGTTGTTACAGGCTGTGCATGTGGCCTGCTTATGGGGGGCCAAGTCCTCCTCTGGATACAGGGACACTGCCACTTACCGACCTGCAGGGCTGGGGCCATGTGCAGGGAACACTGTCTGCTTCTGGCTCTGGCCAGTCTAGTTTGCCCGCCCCTCCAAACCAGCAGAGAGATCATGTGGCTCTCAGAGACAAGTCACCTGGCACCTAGACACTTCACCTGAGAAGCACTGAGGACAAACTGCCTCCTCACTCTTCCCTGAGGCTTCACCAGGCACTGACCCCACCCACTGCCAGAGAGCGAGGCGGCAGCACTGCACTAGAGGGGCGGCAGCAACTGTGCAGCTAGGATCCCCTCACAAACACACTGAGTAAGAAAGAGAAATAAGAATGTGCCCCCCATGAGCTGGGGTCTGGGGGGGGCTGAGAAATGAGGAGGAAGCAGGGGGCACACTTGCTGACACCTAGGGTGAGGGCTGAGCTAGGCCTGTACCCTCCCTACAATGGGAGAGCGCTGGGGGCGTCTCAGAGGGATGGCCCTCAAGCTTCCCAGATGAGCCACGAGGCCCCAGGCCCAGCTGTCCACCAGGAAAGGACTGTGCTTCTTGTCCGCGCCCTCATTCTCCCAGCACTGCTGTGTGGTGTCAGCTGAGCACCAGCTCAAGCTGACAATCAGCTCACACCCCCATGCCACTGACTGGGAAACCCCTTGCCAGCCCCCTCCTCTCCTTGAACTCTCCCCATGACAGGCGTCTCATCTGCCCCAGCAGGAATAGGTGGGTGGCAGCAGAGAAGGTGCTCCAGCAGCCACCACCTCCCAGGGCCAGTGGAGTCTGGGAACCCTGGGCCAAGGCTGTGCAGCCACAGTGTGGACCAACGTGATAGTGGCTGCTAACTCCATCATCCGCAACAGAAAGGGAATGTGCGCCTCAAAGTCCTGGGGGATCCCCACAAGCACTTTGACCCCCACAGCAATGACACTCCCTAGGGCCTGGTGAGCCTGAGTTCCTCTGACACTAACCCACGGGCCTCTACTGCCAGGAAGAGATTCAAGCACTTTCTTTCCTTGTGCTGGTTCTCAGAACACAGACTACTTTCAGGAAAGACACCCGAGGGATGGGAAAACCTGCTCATCATGGTGACAGCAGCTTCCACAGGCACGCACCAGACACCGCACACCACACACTGCATACCACAAACCACATACCACACGTGCCGCCTGTAGGGAGTTGCCATCCACTGTGGTGGGGGAACCAGGGCCCTTGTCAATCCAACCAGTCCATGTCCCCTGGCAGCCCACGAATCTCAGGCCACGTAGCCAGGGCTGTCCCTTCCTCCCCAACCCTTGAGAGTCATCAGGGAGTCTCACTCAGGCATGCTATGCAGATGGGATGGGGTCACACTGTCCTACAGGAGGGCAACGGCCTTGAATGGACTCTGGGATGGCCTTTATCAGGGGCTGGGCAGCCCCCTGGAGGCTCTGCAGGCGGCAGGCAGCCCTCCAGGCTAAAGCTGGCAGCATGAGCCCGCCTTCCTGTTTCCTTCCTACCTCCCACTCACCTGGGAGGCCCCTCCCTTCCCTCGCTCCACTGAGTGATGCTTCAGCATGAGTGCCTTCCGAGGCTCTCCATCTGGCTTGAAGGAGGTTAGATAGGCAAGTAGATGCTACTGGAAGTAGCTTTTCCAGTGTTAGAAACAACAAACTGTACCAGATGACACTGCTGACACAGGTCTCTGGACAGTGGCTAAAGCTAGATCCCAGCAGGGACTCCTAGGACTTCAACACCCAGGGAGAGTTTTACAATCAAGTACTGTCACTTCGATGAGGCAGAGAGTCATCCTCCCTATAGCTGTTAGAAGGATTCAGTGGATCTGTGAATACTCCTACTATGTGTTCAGCAAAAGGCAGCTACCACCAACCGTATGCTAACAGCTGCACCCCCAGACGCCACTGGGAGCTCCTCAGGGAGCTGGGATTGCCAGCCACCTCACTGTCACCTTGTTGAAGTCCAGGGCTGGGGATGAGCACGCCTGTTGTGCTCCTAGCAGTGTGCACATTGGGACAGCTGCCCAGCCAGAGTCTACAGGAGGGCTGCTGCCAGTGGGCACTCCCCATGATGATTTTCTGGAGGGGCTTAACGTTGGGCAGAAAACCACTTCAGCATGAAGGAAAGCAGCCACTCCTGAAGGCAGCCAGGGCTGGCTGGGGAATCTGGGTTGGCCTCAAAGGGGCCCACCCTTAAGACCTGCGGCCAGAGTCACTGCCAGGGTTGGGTCATGCCACACAGGGGCCGGGGAGCTGCAGCCGGCCCGGCACCTACCTTGCTCAGGTACTCCCTCATCACCTGGATGAAGTAGGGCATGGCCAAGTCCACGAGGTTGTGCCTCCAGGCCAGCTCAAGCACCATGTCTGGGCGAAGCAGGTCATAGCAGGTGAAGAGACAAGCTGCGAAGCACTCCCTCTTGCCTTCCTCCAGGAACCACTGCAGCAACTTCTGGGCCAGCTCAGCATCCCGCGACTCTGCAGCATGCTGCATGGCATCCTGCAGCCAAGGCAAATGCTTGCTTGGGCATCCTGCAGGCAGAGGCTTTGTGCCTGCAGCAGCTGGGCCGGAGGGCAGGGAGTGGCACTAGACTCCACCAAGGACTTCCTGCGCTGTGGAGCAAGCCTGGACCCATGGCTGGGCCATTCCCTATGCCCTGCTGCCCACTGGTGAAACGGAGATGCCACCTCCGGAGGCTCTGGAGGGGACAGGTGGCTCACGGAGGCGCAGGTGCCCTGGGAGACAGGAACTCTAGCCCCGAGGGCAGAGGGCGTGCACAGGCTGCTCTGAGGAAGGCACTGATGGGAGTTTGGGGGTTGTGGGGCTGCTGCAGAGGTGCTGCACTCAGGTCCATGGAGCGTGTGACACCAGGGGAGCAGTTAGGAGGGGTACGGCTACTGCTCTAGAAACAGCAATGTGTTTTTCTTTCAAGTGGCTCAAAAACCCCTAACTGCTATTTTCATCCTTGCAAATGTATTTGTCTAAGACAATATCATTGACAAAATAACACCTGCACCTGACCAGTCCTGAAGAAGCCTGCACTTTCTGTGGCCATTCTCTATTTTCTAGCTCCACAGCAGGCACTGGATCACCTGATTCCTTCTATGGCAGGGGCTATTAGTACCCCATTCAGAGACCAGGAACCTGAGACCCAGATGTAGTCACTTGCCCAGGGCCACTCCACCTGGAGTTGGCCATGATCCACTGACTGTGACCTGTGCTCTCCAGGGATACCCTGTGGCGGTCCCAGCTCTGCATGCCTGCCATCGCCTGCAGCACACACCTCTGAGTTCCGTTTGGGAGACCCCTGAGGACGCCCAGTGCCCACATCTGCATGGACCCGATGTGCTGAGCTGGCTCCGGAAAGAAGTCTCCCCCGCTGGCATGCTGCTCATCGATCGCTGCCTCCTGACCCACACTGTTCCTACAAAGGCACCAGGATTCTGACCCTCAGGTGAGAGCTCCAGGTGCCTTTGGGTCTCCGCTTTGAGGACCTGTGACGCCCGCTCATCTGTCTCCCTGCCGTGCCCTCCACCGGCCCAGCCTACCCTTGCTGACTTGTCTTCCACATGTGCCTAAAGTGGGCCCTGCTCTGTTCCTCCTCTGTGGGCCTTGGGGACTGTCTCACTGCCTTCCCAGAGGACTTCCAGTAGAAGCAGCCCCCAGGAAGCTCCCAGTCAGTGTCCCGCTCCTGCGGCCTGGAGCCCAGCTCGAGTCAGGCTCTCCCACACCCTCCTCTCTCATCACCTCCCCGGCCCATGCCACTCTCAGGGAGGCTTCATCCTGGTCCCCATCCCTGTGTCCAGCTCTCCAGTCTACACCTGTACTTCCGCAGGCCCCTGCTCTTCACTGGTGGGTGTGGGAGGGCCCCACTGACCGAACTTTCATTTAAATGCTACTTCTGTCATCTGGAAATACAGTTTTCTGTTGCTAGCTGGCTTTGCCCTGACTGGACACGCTGTGACCTGGCCACTCCTCCAGGAAGACTCCAGGAGGCTTCAGCTCTGGCCTCAGGGCAGGCTCCTCCAGTGGCAGTGCTGACCTTGGGAGGTCTGGGGAGCCGCCTGTGCACTGGGGCTTGTGGGCCCCATCCCTGCCTCTACGGCCTATACACAGCACCACGCCCTAAGCTGTGACAACCAAACATTCCCTGGGGTCACAGTCATTCCTGGCTGACAGCCACTGTTCTGGGGGAAGCGCGCTCGGCCACTTTCTTTTTTTTTTTTTTTCTTGAGACGGAGTCTCGCTCTGTCACCCAGGCTGGAGTGCAGTGGCGTGATCTCTGCTCACTGCAAGCTCTGCCTCCTGGGTTCACGCCATTCTCCTGCCTCAGCCTCCTGAGTGGCTGGGACTACAGGCTCCTGCCACCACGCCCAGCTACTTTTTTGTATTTTTAGTAGAGATGGGGTTTCACCATGTTAGCCAGGATGGTCTCGATCTCCTGATCCTGTGATCCGCCCGCCTCGGCCTCCCAAAGTGCTGGGATTACAGGCATGAGCCAACGCGCCCGGCCCTGTGCTCGGCCACTTTCTATCTGTGGCTTTGTCCTCTGGACTCTCTTCTGGGCCCACGTGGCTCGGAGTGGGTGGCTGGCAAGGCCAGTAGGCCTCTGGCAGCACTGATGGCCCTGCTCACTCATCACTGCCTGAGTGTTGAGGAGGCTGTGTGTTTAAGCCCCTGACAGGGACCACATGGGTAGGACAGAATGGCTGTGATCAGCCAGCCGAGGGCAGCCTTCCCTCAGGTGCGTCTGAGCCCAGCTGTCTCCTCCCAGCAGCCAGGTCCAGAGACCTCCAGGTGCGGTCTCAGAGCCTCAGCAGCTTTTCCTCTCCATTCCCTCTGCAGGGGCCCTGTGGGCACCTCAGGAAGGATCACAAGCACTGTCACCAAGGGCTAGGATATGTCACAGAACAGTCCAGAACACTGGAGGTGACAACTTAGGGTGAAACTCAATGCAACACTGATGCAGGCATCAGAGGCCTCCACGGAGTCTGAGCCAACAGCCGCAGACCAGGAGCCATGAGAATGAGGCCCCTGTGCGGGACAGGAAGTGGCAAGTATCCATGTGTCCTGTGAAGATACTCAGGAATGCCTAAGGCCAACTCCGTAAGTAACACCCTCAGGTCAAGTCCAGAGTCTTTGGGCACAAGGAGCCCTTGGGAATTGGCTCAGCTGCATCACACAGCACCCACAAGGGCCCTCTTGTACAACTCCACCTCACCCCCGCGGGGAGATGTTCAGGCCAAGCAGAGGATGTTAATGCCTTCAGGGTCTTGGGGGTCCCTCCAGGCAGCCCAACCTGTCTAGCTGATGCCCAGATCCCGGTCTGAGAATGATACTAAGAAACCTCTCACCAGCAGAAAAAACACAGTTTCTTTTTCCTCTCAAGTGATCCTCCCACTTCAGCCTCTAAAGTAGCTGGGACTACAGGTGCACACAACCGTACCCAGCTTTGAAACAAATGTTTTGAATGTGATTTATTTATTTTTTTCCTTTTTTTTTTTCCGAGACAGAGTCTCACTCTGTCACCCGGGATGGAATGGAGTGGCGTGATCTCCGCTCACTGCAACCTCCGCCTCCTGGGTTCAAGCGATTCTCCTGCCTCAGCCTCCCAAGTAGCTGGGATTGCAGGAGTGCACCACTACACCCGGCTAACTTTTGTATTTTCAGTAGAGATAGGGTTTCACCATATTGGCCAGGCTGGTCTTGAACTCCTGACCTCAAATGATCTGCCCACCTCAGCCTCCCAAAGTGCTGGGATTACAGGTGTGAGCCACCACGTCCAGCCTTTGAATGTGATTTTAATTTAGGTTTTTAAATTCCTCAAATCTTTTTTTTTTTTTGGAGACAGGGTCTCACTCTGTTGCCTAGAGCAGTGGTGTGATCATAGCTCACTGCAGCCTCTGACTCCTGAGCTCAAGTGATCCTCCCTTCTCAGCCTCCCGAGTGGCTGGTACCACAGATGTCCATCACTACACTTGGCTAATTTTTTGTAAAGATGGGGTCTTGCCATGTCGCCTAGGCTGGTCTCAAACTCCTGGGCTCAAGCACTCCACCCACCTCAACCTCCCAAAGTGCTGAGATTACAGGGAAGTTCCCAAATCTTGATAGGAAGTAAAGTAGGTGCCAAGAAGTGAATCTTGCCACACTGTGTTTTGGTAGAGTGAAACTCACACAAAACTGCTGCGAAAAGAATCAACTCCGTAAAACTCTACAAGTCTTTCAATCCAAACAGTTTTTAAGGGGTGCTAGCTCACTCCCAATTCTTACTCTATGTTCTAAATATGGTCTCCCATTAATACTAATCCCCCCACCCACCACGAGGATCCCCTGGTGAAGCTCAGAGCCAGGTCTCAGGAACAAGAGGGAAGGGATGTGACCCCCAAAGCCATCAGGAAACACACCAAGGCAGGAAGGTGGGAGGAAACGGGCCCAGGCCACCAACCTTGTAGAGATGATCCTTCTTGCAGAGCTCCACGCTCTGGGCCCACCAGTTATTGCCCTTGTACAGATAGGCCGCAATGCACCTGAACTCCATCAGCTGATGCTTCTCCAGCTGCTGAGCCAGGCTGATGTTGTCAAAGTTGTCATAGGCATCGATAGATGCCCTTAAGCCCTAGGAAGACAGCCTTTCTGTGAGGGATGGGACACTGACATGGGCTGCCTACACATGGAGCAGGCACCTTGTGTTACTTGATGGCTGTTGCTATCAGCACAGCCTTAGAAAGGCCCCTGCCCATATATCCACTGGTGTCCTGTGGGGCCTGCACACCCTCCTGTGCAAAGGCAGCCTGCTTTGAGAACAGAATGGCAGTTGCAGGGGAGGAGCCCAGCCCACCCAGGACAGGGCTCCTTCCTGCACACCCACCTGATAGTCCTCCTCCTCTGTCAGCAGGTGGTTGAGTGCCTCATTCACACTCTTGTTGTTGTGGCTCTGGACTGACCGCAGGTAAGGCTTCACCAGGGGCAGCTGACCTGCCTGACAAGTTGAGGGAACCGTCAAGGCACTTGGCCAAGCTTGTTATGGGGACACTAGGCAGGGGCACAGGTGGGCACGTGCGTGCCATCCACTTGAATGGTCCAGCTCTGGAGCCAAGGGCACCTTCTGGACACCTAGAACCAAAAGACCTACACTCACACAAAGAGGACTGTCTGGGCGATTCAGTGGATGCCAATGTCACCACAGACATTCACACCTTAGAGAGACACATGGGTTTGGGTCCAGACCACCACAATAAAGTGAACATTGCAATAAAGTGAGTCATATTAATTCATGTTTACACTATGTTGTAGCCTAAGTGTGTAACAGCATTATGTCTACAAAAACACAGTACACACCTTAATTAAAAATATTTTAGTGCTAAAGAATGCTAACAATCATCTGAGCCTTCAGTGACTCGTAATCTTTTTGCTGGGGAGGGTCTTGCCTCAATGTTGATGGCTGCTGATTCATACAAGTGGTGGCTGTTGAAGGCTGGAGAGGCTGTGGCAATTTCTTTTTCTTTTTTTTTTTTTTTTGAGATGGAGTCTTGCTCGTCGCCCACACTGGAGTGCAGTGCCGTGATCTCGGCTCACTGCATCCTCTGCCTCCCAGGTTCAAGCAATCAATTCTCCTGCCTCAGCCTCCTGAATAGCTGGGACCAGGCGCTTGCCACCACGCCTGGCTAATTTTTGTATTTTTAGTAGAGACAGGGTTTCACCATATTGGTCAGGCTAAGTCTCGAACTCCTGAACTCAGGTGATCTGCCCACCTCTGCCTGCCAAAGTGCTAGGATTACAGGCATGAGCCACTGCGCCCAGCCGGCAATTTCTTTCCTTCTTTTTTTTGGGGCGGGAGACGGAGTGCAGTGGCGCGATCTTGGCTCACTGCAATCTCTGCCTCCTGGGTTCAAGCGATTCTCCTGCCTCAGCCTCCTGAGTATCTGGGATTACAGGTGCGCGCCCACCACACCTGGCTAATTTTTGTATTTTTAGTAGAGACAGAGTTTCACCACGTTGGTCAGGCTGGTCTCGACCTCCTGACCTCATGATCCACACGCCTTGGCCTCCCAAAGTGCTGGGATTACAGGCGTGAGCCACCGCGCTCGGCTGGCAATTTCTTAAAATAAGACATCAATGAGGTTTGCCTCACTGACTGACTCTTCCCTTTATGTAAGACCACTCTGGACTTGTGTTGCATAAAACAAAATAAACTAAACAAACAAAAAGACTCTGTGCAGCATGCAATGCTCTTTGATAGCACTGTACTCACAGTAGAACATTTTTCAAAATTGGTCTCAGTCCTCTCCAACCTTGCTGCCACTTTATCAACCAGGTTTATGCACTATTCTAAATCCCCTGTAGTCATTTCAACAATGTTCACAGCATCTGCCCCAGCAGTAGATTCTATCTTAAGAAACCACTTTCTTTGCTCATCCCTAAGAAGCAGCTCCTCATCTGTTCAAGTTGGATCCTAAGATTGCAGCAATTCAGCCCCTTCTTCAGGCTCCACTTCTAATTCTAGTTCTCCTGCTGTTTCCCCCACATCTGCAGTGACTTTCTCCACTGAAGTCCTGAACCCCCAAAGTTATCCATGAGGGTTGGAATCCACTTCTTCCAAATTCCTGTTAATATATGGATATTTTCCTTATATACTGGTGTCTTTACTTGTTTCCAACTTCTTATTGATACATGATAGTTGTGCATATTAATTGGGCATATGTAATATTTTGATACATATACACATGTGGGATGATCAAATCAGGGTAATTACGATATCCGTCACCTCAAGCATTTATCATTTCTTTGTGTTGGGAACATTTCAAATCTTCTCCTTTAGCTATTTTGAAATGCACAATAATTTATTGTTTTTTTTGAGATGGAGTCTCTCTGTTGCCCAGGCTGGAGTGCTGTGGTGCAATCTCGGCTCACTGCAACCTCCCGGGTTCAAGCGATTCTCCTGCCTCAGCCTCCCAAGTAGCTGGGACTACAGGTGCCTGTCACCACGTCTGGCTAATTTTTGTATTTTTAGTAGAGACGGGGTTTCACCATGTTGGCCAGGCTAGTCTCGAACTCCTGACCTCGGGTGATCCGCCTGCCTTGGTCATCCACCCACCTTGGCCTCCCAAAGTGTTGGGATTACAGGCATAAGCCACCATTCCCGGCCATTAATTAGCCTAATTCCAATGCTGTTGTGTCTCAGGGAATAGGGAGGCCCAAGGAAAGGAAGAGGGACCAGGGCACGGCCAGTCAGCGGAGCAGTCAGAACACATACAACATTTATCCATTAAGTTTCCCTTCTTATAGGGGCATGGTTTGTGGCATCCCAAAACAATTACAATAGTAACATCAAAGATTGCTGGTTGTGTGCACTGGCTCAAGCCTATAATCCCAGCACTGGAGGAGGCCAAGGCGGGAAGATTGCTTGAGGCCAGGAGTTCAAGGTTGCAGTGAGGTATGACCATGCCACTGCACTCCCACCTGGGCAACAGAGCAAGACTGTCTCAAAAAAAAAAAAAAAAAAAAAAAGATCACTGATCACAGATCACCATAACATATATAATGACAAAATTTGAAATATTGTGAGAAATCCTAAAATGTGACACAGGGACATGAAGTGGGCACATGCTGTTGGAAAAATGGTGCTAATCGACTTTCTCAATGCAGGGTTACAAACCTCCAATCTTTTTTTTTTTTTTTCTTTTGAGACAGAGTCTCACACTGTCACCCAGGCTGGAGTGCAGTGGCACGATCTTGGCTCACTGCTAGCTGTGCCTCCCGGGTTCACGCCATTCTCCTGCCTCAGCCTCCCAAGCAGCTGGGACTACAGGTGCCCACCACCACGCCCAGCTAATTTTTGTATTTTTAGTAGAGACGGGGTTTCACCGTGGTAGCCAGGGTGGTCTCGATCTCCTGACCTCGTGATCCGCCCGCCTCGGCCTCCCAAAGTGCTGGGATTACAGGCGTGAGCCACCGCACCCGGCCACAAACGGCTAATCTTTAAAAAAACACAGAATTTGAGAAGCACAATAAAATGAAGCATGATACGGGAGGTATTCCTGTATCTGAAACCTAAAACACTTTGATACACTGGTGAATCTTCAAGTCAGCTGGGGGTCATTTCAAAAACTCTTTATAAAGGTGCTATCATTCAGATGACTTTGTTAGAGCTAGCCCAATACACTCTTCTACCTGGGGTTTTGGTTGACTCACCTTTGAAAAGAAACTGACTGTCCAGGTGTGGTCCAGCCGGGGTGAAAGCACCAGCAGCAGGTCATTGATGAGCAGTGGTTTGTAATCCAAATAGAACTGCAGGGCTCTGTAACAGAGCTCGACGTTGGCAACCTGTGGTGAGCAAAGCTGAGGGTCAGTCCCTGCCGCTGTCTCCAGATACCCCAGGGCTCCTTCCAGTTTTTGCTCAAATGACACTTTACTACTGAGGCCTGCCATGACTACCCCCTATAAGACTCAATGGCCTGTGAAGGTGCCTCCTCTCATCCCTGAGGTATTTTGTCCCCCAGCACTGACACACTGAGCATTTTTCTTAAGAGGCCAGCCTCAGGGTTTCCTGCCTCAACCCAGCACCTAGACCAGTATCTGATGCAGGGTCCACGATCACTCAGTATCGGCTGAATGAATGAAGTGTAATCAGTCAGAATGAAGCCCCACAGCAAAACCAAACAACAGAGTATGTTTCCATCCAAGCAAGATTACTCCAGCTTTCCTTGGAGGCCTCAGCCTGAGCCATAACCAAGTGGACAGCATGTCCTGTGACATCACCAGAGCTTTTGAGCTGAAACACTGTGGTGCTCAGACCCTGGGTGAGACCTGAAGGCCAGCCCATGCAGAGAGTGGACCACTCTGGGTGGACCCTGTGCCTGTGCTCCTGGGTCTCGAGATTTGGCCAGGCTGCTGTGTCTCTTAGCACTTTCCCCACTGGTCTGCCACCATTCTCTTGCTGGGCGATGTCATCTTTTTTTTTTTTTTTTTTTTGAGACGGAGTCTCACTCTGTCGCCCAGGCTGGAGTGCAGTGGTGCGATCTCTGCTCACTGCAAGCTCTGCCTCCTGGGTTCATGCCATTCTCCTGCCTCAGCCTCCTGAGTAGCTGGGACTACAGGCAGCTGCCACCATGCCCGGCTAATTTTTTGTATTTTTAGTAGAGCCGGGGTTTCACCGTGTTAGCCAGGATGGTCTCGATCTCCTGACCTCGTGATCTCCCCACCTCAGCCTCCCAAAGTGCTGGGATTACAGGCGTGAGCCACCGCGCCCAGCCCTGGCGATGTCATTTGGTGGCTTGCTGACTGTGGCATCGATGTCCAGGGCCTGGACACAGCTCTGTTCAGGGAGCATGCAAGCCAGATGGGCATGAACCAAGACAGTGGTGATGAATGTGTCTGCGTGAGTGTGGGGGTCCCGGGATGTGCACAGGGCACAGCTGGAGCTAAAGTCATGCTGGGATCCCAGGGTGATCACCACTGGAGCCTCCAGCACTGCTGGGTTTGGGTGACCTGGCAAAAATGTGGGGCCCGATGGGGTCTTCTGACTAAAAGGGGTCTAATGGTCCCACTATGGCTTACTGGCCACTTCAGGGTGTCTTCTTTCTCCTTCTCTTTTCCTTTTGTGCTAGAGCACTCACTGTCACCAGAGATTCTGACCCAGACAGGCAGCAGGGTCCCTAGTACCCGCCACCATGGATTCAGAGCAAAACGGTGAACTGGCCGCATCACAAAGCTTCACCTATGGCACTGGTGGGCCCCCAGACTCTGCCACAGGCCACTGTGGGTCCACTCCTATTGGAGCTCTAGCACCTGTCAGCCTTCTAGGCTGGCCCTTTACTCAGCAGCAGGGCCAGGACATGGGGGCCTCAACTAGACACTGAAGAAGCAGAGAGCAGTCAGGATGTGATGTGGGGCTGAAGAGAAGGGTAGGGACTCAAGTTCATCTTCTGTGGCGAATCACCTCCTCAAAGCCCCACCTGCTTCCCCACCAACCACAAGGCTCCTCAGGCCTCCCGTGAAGGAGAGGAACCATCCAAGGACAAGCCCATTTCAGAGACTCTTGCAGGTATCACGCGAGTGGACAGACTTGAAGTGGGGCACCAGCAGTCCTAGCTTCCCTTGTGGGACACCTGGTACCATGTGCACTCTTGGCCCTTTCAACAGGTCCATGCAGCATGGCCGGAATGCCGTTTAAGGTGGAGTATAACTGCCATGTTCCCACCCAGTTCCTCTGGTGTTGAGGCCTGCAGGGACACACATCTCTGTTGGGCTCAGCTGCTGGGATCTGGAGCCCTCTGCACTACAGGAGGAATGGAGCGGCGGGGCCCCTCTGGAGCGTCCTCCAGATCCAAGCTGAAAGACAGGATGGGGTGAGTCCACTAGCCACGCGCCAGGACATGGAGCACTGGCAGGCCCGTGCCCACTAGCATGGTCAGCAAGGACAGCCAGCACCCCAGAAGACATGGTAGTATCCCTGTTTTATACAAGGGAAAACTGAAGGCTGGGCGTGGTGGCTCACGCCTGTAATCCCAGCACTTTGGGAGGCCAAGGCAGGCGGATTGTGTCTGTAATTTATTCCTTCCGGTGGGTTCTTGGTCTCACTGACTTCAAGAATGAAGCCACAGACCCTCATGGTGAGTGTTACAGCTCTTAAAGATGTTGTGTCCAGAGTTTGTTCCTTCAGATGTTGAGAGGTGTGAGTTTCTTCCTTCTGGTGGGTTCGTGATCTGGCTGACTTCACAAATGAAGCTCCAGACCTTCGCAGTGAGTGTTACAGCTTTTAAACCTAGTGCAGACTCAATGAGTGAGCAGCAGCAAGACTGATTGTGAAAAGCAAAAGAACAAAGCTCCCACAACATGGAAAAAGACCCGAACAGGTTGCACTGCTGGCTCGCATGGCCAGCTTTTATTCCCTTATTTGGCCCCACCCACATCCTGCTGATTGGCCCATTTTACAGAGCGCTAATTGGTCCATTCTACAGAGTGCTGATTGGCCCATTTTACAGAGTGCTGATTGGTACGTTTTTTACAGAGTGCTGATTGGTGCATTTACAATCCTTTAGCTAGATGCAGAGTGCTGATTGGTGTACTTACAATCCTTTAGCTGGACACAAAATTTCTCCAAGTCCCCACCCGACCCAAGAAGTCCAGGTGGCGTCACCTCTCAAGATCACCTGAGGTCAGGAGTTTGAGAACAGCCTGCCCAACATGGTAAAACCCTGTATCTATTAAAAATACAAAAATGAGCCGGGCGTGGTGGCAGGCACCTGTAATCCCAGCTACTCTGGAGGCTGAGGCAGGAGAATCGCTCGAGGCTGGGAGGCGGAGGTTGCAGTGAGCCAAGATCGCGCCACTGCACTCCAGCCTGAGTGACAGAGTGAGACTCCGTTTCAAGAAAAATAATAATAAAACAAAAAAAGAAGAGAAAACTGAAGCTGAGATTCCGCCACAAGCTCCAGGATAGCTGGTTGGCGTGCTGTGCTGCACAACCTGAAAGAAGCGCCCACCGGATGCCAGGCACCTGCCATGGACCACTTGGTCGGGAGGAAACATGATGTCCATTGTATGGATGGGATAACGAGGTTCACAGCGGTGACACCCCTAGCCCACATGGAGAGAGACAGTGAATGGCTGAGCTGGGGTGCCCCCCGTGTGAGTTAGCAAGCTCCCCTGCTCAGGCTGCTGCTGGCCCAGCCCTATGGCTAAGTGGATTCCTGCTATCGTGTGCCCCAAATACAGATTGGATGTCGTCCATCTGATTGGACCCCTGCACTGGCGAGTATCCTCCTACCCCCTTCACACCTGAGCTGACAGTGTCTGTCTCCCACACGGCAGGGTGTAGTAGAAGCATCATGAATCACACAAGGAACTGGACTCAGCCATCAGCCCTGCAGGCACCAGATGAGAGATGCTGCTCTCCCACACAGTGAGTCTCAGCTGTCCTGCTATTATTTTATATGCCAGTAAGAAACAAAAGCATGGCCACTTCCACCACGGCTCAGCAATTTTTAAAAACACCCTAATATCAGAGGAGTTACAATGTGAATAAAATACACACAGGATTGATCAAGTATGGATTTTCCAGCACACAGACAAATCTACAAGGCAGCAGCCACGTGTGCCAGGCCACAGTAAGGTATGACCTGGCCGCACTCCCTCCAGCAACCTGCAGACTCTGCTCAGGGTGGGACGCCCCATCAAAGGCCCCCACTTTCACGTACCACCATGCCCAGTAACATGGATGTCCTCCAACAAGAAGCTCGGGCTTGTGGCCTGGTGCTCAATACTGGGTTCCTTCAAATAGTTCCCAGGAAAGGCAGAGGCTGAAGGCCTCACCTGGCAGCACACGTGCCACTCGCGCCCACCCTCAGTAGCCGCATGTGGAAAAGAGGTGCATGAGCGAGGCCACAGCTCACTGCTGTGCCACTCCAGTCACAAGCCGACTGTGACAAGTTAGTTACCCAAAGACCATGGCACAAAGCGCAGATACCCAATGCAAAGGGATGGGGGCTGAGGATAAAGAATTCCAGCCCCTTCACCAAACTCACATACAGAGCTGGAGAGGGGTGGGTCCTGAGGTTGAACTCTCTAAGAGACCGGAAACAAAATAACAAAGGCTCACTTGACCATGGCACCCAAACCCGACACCACCCAACAGTGTGGCTGCTGACAGAGAAACTCGGGTCCCGGTTTAGCCCAGTTAGGCTACAGGATGGAGGCCCACTCCCAGACAGGTAAGGCCGCTGGTGCTGGGGAGAGACATGAACTAAAAAAAAAAAAGGTCCGATGGTGAACAATAACCACAGGAAGTGGGGGTGGGAGCCCTGAGCTGACAGGGCAGAAGGAAGAACGAACTGAGGCCTGGCCACAAGGGCGTGGTATGGTGGGAGGGGCGGGCAGGCAGGGCCACAGGGCCACGGCTGCATGCTGGCCTGACCCTGCCCGCAGCTCAGCTGTGCATCGCTAGACGGGTCACCTGCCCTTCTTAAGTGTCAGTTCCCTTCAAAGATGGAATTACTACCATCTGCCCAGAGGGTGGTGGACTCATACAAGTGAACGCACACACAGCATGGGGGCATGCTGGTACTCATTCCACTCCCACCTGCCCATTCCCCTGCACCCAGAATAGGGCCTGGCAGAGGCTGGCAGGAGCCAGCGCTCTGTATCCCCTCTTACCTTGGTAATGATGTCCTTGAACTGACCCTCCTTCCAGGCCTCAGTGGGGTGGCTCATCATGGTGAGCACAGCATTGTCATACTCCTCGTACTTGTCATAGAGGAACACCAGCTCAGCCCACAGGTGTGCCTGCTCTGCAGCCCTCAGCACCTGGACAAGGAGGTCAGGGTCGGCTTGTGCTGCACGTGGCCACGGCTGCCAGACTGCAAGGAGTACACGGTACCTTTGGGATGTTGACACGGGACCAGAAAAGCTCCAGATGCTCCAGCATCTTCTGTGGCTTGAATTTGGAGTAGAGGATGGCCAGCTCAGTGAACATGCCCATGTGGGCCCGCTCCAGGCCCAGGGCCGCTTCCAACAGCAAGATCAGCTCCTCAAAGTAGCCACGATCCTAGCAGACCAACAGCCACGCGTGGGGCAGAGTGATTGCATGCCTCCTGCAGCCACCCTCCAGCCCATGCCCACGCCGCAGGGACTGTGCTTGTGACTGGGAATGATCCCGAGGAGGCATGTGTGAAGAAAACGTGTATACATACTGTGCTACAGATCATGCCATTTACTTAGCAACTTATTGGATCATCTGACAATTACCAGTGGCACACTGCACTACAATTTTCAAGTTTAGTAAGTGCAAATTAGTATTGCCAATTTTATTTAAAGAATTAGAAAAAAAAATAGGAAGTGGGTGGTAACAGGGTCTGGGAATGATTTGTTTTAATCCCTTGCTACAGCTCATTACTGAGATCCTGGCTCCAACAAACCTTCAACTCCACTCACGATGCCACGTGGCTGTTGTTTCACTGTGTCCCTAATTATGATGGCCAGCCCCTTGCATTCAGCCCCACACGCCTCTGACACTCTCCCTGGACAAGACCAGACGTCTGGTTACAGCCTGCTCAGCATGCAGAAAGCCTGGAGAAACACCCAGCCATGTGACCCTTTCCCTTTACTCTAACGACCACAGCCCTGGGAGGGTCCGACCTAGAGGACTGCCTCACACCTCTTGTTTTCCCAAGGAGGACACCCTTCTGTGCCCCCTCCACTCTCAGACTAACCTCATTTCCCAGTGGCACACTTGTCTGCTGGCAGCATCTGCACCCCCCAATCAGCTACAGACACGCCGCCTGTGCTCCTGTCTGGAACCTGCCCAGCCTGCAGCTCCATCCCACCTGCTTGCCTACCAAGGCCACAGCTCCGGTGACTCCTCATTTCTCTTCTGCCTTATTTTCACTCTCCACAGCTGGGTTCAGCAAGCATCCCGCTCATCCTCCTATCCTAAACACCCTCTTGACCCGATGTCCCTGCTAGCTACCTCCCATTTTTTCTACTTCCTTTTGCAGCAAAAACTCCTCACAACAACCATTCCCATTCCTCTCCCTGTTCTCTCCAGCCACCATCAGGCTGAGTCTCTCCCAAGCTCCAGGTCACAAGCAGCCCCCTGGCCCTGCCATCCTGCTGTCTGCTCAGCAGCAGGCCCTGTCCCTGCTGACCGGCCCCTCCTCTCCAGTGCATCCAGGAGCCAGCACACTCTCTGGGTTTTCTTCCCACTGTACTGGCTGCTCCTGCTCCCCTCCTCAGCCCACCCCTGTTGGGCAGTCTGGTCTTTTCACCTACACTCATCCCCAGGGGACTGCAGGCAAACATAGATGGATGTGGATCACCTATATGTCAGCAACTCCAGGTTCACTGCTCTAGCTAGGCCCCTCCTCTGTGGAGCTCCAGATCTGTCTCCAGCTGCCTACATGATGCCCCCACCTGAACATCCAGCGGGCAGCTCAAGACTTAGCACCATGTGTCCAAAAAGTAATTCTTGTCCTTCCCTCCCGTGCTGCACCTTCAGTCTTCCCCTCATCCACTGGTGATAACTCCGTTATTTCTACTTATTCAAGCCAAAACCAAATGGAGTTATCCTGGGCTTTTCTCTCTCACTCCACATCAGTGCATTAGCATATCAAGGTGGCTGCTCATTCAAAGCACACACCCAATCCTGATGGCCTGATCACCTCTCACCCTGTCACCACCACCCTAGTCAGAGTCACTGTCCCTTCTCGCCTAGACCACTGCAACAGCCTCCAGCTGCTCTTCTGGCTCCTGTCCCTACTCCTCAAGTATGTGTCTCAGCACATGAGCCACCATGATCCTTTTACCCCCGACAGCCCTGCACCCATCCCAAGTACAGCCCGTGACCTTCCTAACGGCCTGAGATCTGGCCCTCCGTCAGCCTCTCTGCCCCATCTCTGGCTCCAGCCCCTTCCTTGAATACACAGCACACTTCTGCCTCAGGACTTTGCCTGGCCACTGACCCTTCCCTCAAATGTTCCCATGACCAAATCCTTCCATTTCTTCAGGTCTTTGCTCAAATGTCACCCCCTCAATTGCTGCTACCTTGACCGCCCCTTTATGAAACTCCATCCAGGCACTCCTATGCCCTCAAACCGGCTCCATTTTCCTCTATAACTGATCACCTTCAAACACACTATATAATTATTCATTAGGTTTGTTGCTTGCCTGCCAACCTTGCTGAATGCCAGTTCAATTAAATAGAGGCTTTTCTGTTTTGTTCACTGACACAATTATTGAGAATAATGCCTAGCACACAGTAAGTACTCAAAGATTTGCTGACTAAATTGTTCTTTTGTCAGCCCTGTACTGCTTGATCACCCTCCCTGTTGGCTTTCCAGTTCATTTCTCAGGCGCCTCTCTGGGGGTGGGAAAGCATTTCTCATTGAAAAGCCATCACACCCAGCTAATATCTGGACACTCTGGCGCTGGTGCGAGCCCCTCCAGACAACGTCTCACATAGTGAGGGGTTTGGGGCTCAATTTCCATGGCCATGGTGACACTGCTGAGCAGAGTCAGATCCCATCTTCGTCTGCCTTGACTAACCATACCTGGAGTTGTCATGTGGCTCTAGGAATCCCACAGGTGGAAGCCCAGGTCCCTAAACACACAAATCACTGTCTACCAACCACTCAAGAGAGCCTACCTACAGCATGAACATACAGGGCCCCACCCTTCCAAAGGGTCCAGGTGGGGTTCCCTCTCTTGCCTGTGCTTTGTCCCTAAGGCACTTGAAAAACAGACTACTGGGGCTGCACACTGTGGGGAACTAGGCTATGGACTAGAGCTCTGCCACCACCAGCCCAGTATTCTCAGCAACCCTCCAAGGGTTGTTCCCGTCATGCAAGCCACTGACTGGGCTTCTGAAGGCCCAATAACACAAGAGGATGGAGAGAACTTAAAAAACACAAAATTCCAGCCAGCCATGAGGTCGAGGATAGCTAACAAGGCAATTGAATTTAGTTCATAAATGACTGTCTAACACATGAATCTTCCCCTCAGGGCCATGCTTCATATTTGCAGATGCAACACTGTGATGGTCACGAGCTAAGGGGATGACCGTGCCTCTCTGTGGAGTGTTTAGGCATCACTTGTCATCTGCATTACCAGCAGAGATCATCTGGTCACCTGGTAATAGCACATCAGCTCCTCCAGCTCATCTGCATGAATGACGATGTGAAGACCACACAGCTGTGCGAAGCGGAACTCTTGTCCATCCATGCAGGCAAAGCACACCTAGGGGACGGAGGGCAAGCGTGAGGGTCCCCAAGACAGGACACAGCACCACAGCAGCTGACTTACAAGGCACACAGTTGCAAATGCAGAAATACCAGCAGTGGGGTATTTTAAGTTGGATTCTGAACAAGTAGCTAACTCTATGATGAATTGTACAAGACTGGGAGAAAAAATATGACATTTGTAATCTGCAGGCCAAGGGGGTGCTTGAGACCATGGAAAGAATAAAGTTTGTGCATTACTTCGTAGGCCCTGAGTTTTGTTCAGGTGGCGGGAAAGTCATGCTGGAATTTCAGGTTTGGGGTTTGAAAAGGAAGGCTAAAAAATAATGACCATCAGAATGCATCTCATCTGAGTGTTGTTTTCACGGGGGAGCTTGTTTTAATAGTTTTTTAGACTACTTTTGTTTTCTGCACTGTACAGTATGTATACTTAATGATAACAAGCCTTGAGAAGTGCAGAATTCCCCTGTACAAAAATAATCACATAAGCCAGTGTCATTAACTTGAGATATAATCTTTGGCCCACTGTTTCCTATGTGTGATGCATACACCAGCACCCTGACAAATTTCCCACATAAACACAGTGGAATTACATCATACATTCTGCATGATGATATATTCCTCGCATAATATTGGCAACATCTTTTCCTGCAACTCTGCCTATTCATCTTAAACAGCAGGGTAGAGTTGTAATGCATACATTAACAAAGGCCTTGGCCGGGCGCAGTGGCTCATGCCTGTAATCCCAGCACTTTGGGAGGCTGAGGTGGGTGGATCATGAGGTCAGGAGATAGAGACCATCCTGGCTAACATGGTGAAACCCCGACTCTACTAAAAAATACAAAAAAATTAGCCGGGCGTGGTGGCGGGCGCCTGTAGTCCCAGCTACTGGGGGAGCTGAGGCAGGAGAATGGTGTGAACCCGGGAGGCAGAGCTTGCAGTGAGCCGAGATCGTGTCACTGTACTCCAGCCTGGGCGACAGAGCTAGACTCCATCTCAAAAACAAAAACAAAACAAACAAACAAACAAAAGGCCTTGACATTAGACCTTTAGGCTAATTTTAATCTTTCATTAAACAATGCTGTTTTGGATATTTCTTCAGTTTTTTCTACTTGAAGATGGATTCTGATATTATCAGAGAGCCTCCAGACAATTTACCAATTTGCCACAAAGGACCAATAATGTAAATTTACACTGATTATGCAAATAAGGTGACATGATTTAAAAGTGTTATGAAAATACTTATAATACTGGTAATTCCATGCTATTAAGGCTACCTCTGGGGGCCAACTGGTTCCACATCAGATTCTCTGGGGCCTCTGTTCCAACTACAAACACTAGCCTAGAGACTCTAAGAATCCCAAGGGTTCAGACCCCTGCCTGGGCAAGAGACCGGCACCCAGAAGAGTACCGAGCAGAACGCAAAGGACACGGAGAGCGTGCCTGTCCAGCACACTCTGCCGTCTGCAGTTGCCCGCAGCTCACCTCCTTCCACGTCCGGGTGCTGCTGGCCTTGCGGCTGTTGTCCACTGCTGCCTGATACTCACCGAGGTGAACCAAGGTGGAAGCCAGGCGGGCAAAGTTAGAAACATTGCTATAGAGCAGCTTGGCAGCCTCGTACATTCCCTCCTCGTAACAGCGGTCTCCAACCTACGGATAATAGGGTAGCTCGACTGAGACACTCTTCAATGGGAAGATTTCTCCAGAGTTGCTTTTAAGTTCCTAGATGGCAGAGGTATTTTTCTGTTTGCTAGGGTGGTAAGCATCTTTCTGATCGCACCAGTGACCAGATGAAGTTGGCCTTGGCTTTCTAGTCCCTGGACACCCTCCTCCACCTCAGGGGGCGCTTCTACCTGCCCGCTCCTATCTAACCCTGCGTTCTGGCACCTCTCAGGCCCTGGCTGTCACCTACCACATCTGCACCCCACTGGGCCTGGGCTGAGGAGGTGTGCTCCTTGCTGCTTCCAAGCCGTTCCCCTTCCTCCTCAATAAAAACCGTTCACAACCAATCTTGTGTCAGGTATCACTCACCAGCCCTAGTTCCTGATGCCATTTACAAATCTTTCTCATTCTCTGGCAATTTATTTGACTTCCTATGAGCTGGGGACCTTGTTCTTCTCACAAGAACAAGTCACTGCCATAGCCACACCTTACACCTCAGAAGAGAGATGCCAGCCCTGGGAACCTTCCACAAGTACCTACTCTGCCTAGCACTGCCCAGCTCGCCATCCTGAGCGCCTCAACTCCACCAGTCCAGTGACTGGACTGAATTCCTGCAGCCCTGTCCATGCCCAACTTGCACTTGCCCCAGCTGGTGGCCCCAGATCATGCTGGACAGCTCCTGGCATTCACTCTTGACTCTCCTGATTGTTCTCAGTCCTGCTCAGAGCTAGTTCTCTGCCCATTCCATACCTGTGGCTGCAGAGCTAAACACAGACAGCAGAACCCCAAAGTGCTGATGGGTCTCTCTAAATTCATGAAGGCTAACATCAAATGCACTGGCAACACTACCCATCCTACTTCCGCCATCCACAGCACCTCCCGCACCAACCCTCCTTCCGCCATCCACGGCACCTCCCGCACCACCCCTCCTTCCGCCATCCACGGCACCTCCCGCACCACCCCTCCTTTGCCATCCACGGTACCTCCCGCACCACCCCTCCTTCCGCCATCACGGCACCTCCCCCACCACCCCTCCTTCTGTCATCCATGGCACCTCCCCTCCTTCCATCATCCATGGCACCTCCCCTCCTTCCGTCATCCATGGCATCTACTGCACTACCCTACTTCCGTCATCCATGGCACCTCTTGTACCACCCCTACACGCCTGTCATCCATAGCACCTCTACTGCCACCCCTCCTTCCATCACCCATGGCATCTCTCATGTTAACTCTTTCATATCTCCTTCTCTTCTCAAAGCTCTAACGATTCCTCAAGCTGAGTATTTGGCTTCCCTTTTCCTGAGAAAACAAACTATCAGGAGAGCCTTTCACAGCACAGTGTCCGTGGAATGTCCTTCCTATGCCACCAAGGCCTGCTCCATGGATGTCCCTGACCCCCTCTCCACATGCTCCATGTCAGGGTTTCAGCAAATCCCTGCATCAGCATCCATCACCTTCTGCACTCATCCACTCTGACAAGCTTAAAGAACCACTGTTCTTTTCTCTAGTTTAAAACAAAACAAAACTGGCCAGGCACAGTGGCTCACACCTGTAATCCTAGCATTTTGAGAGGCTGAGGCAGGTGGATCACCTGAGGTCAGGAGTTTGAGACCAGCCTGGCCAATATGGTGAAACCCTGTCTCTACTACAAATAGAAAAATTAGCTGAGCGTGGTGGCGGGCGCCTGTAATCCCAGCTACTCAGGAGGCTGAGGCAGGAGAATGGCTTGAACCTGGGAGGCAGAGGTTGCAGTGAGCTGAGATCGCACCACTGCACTCTAGCTTGGGAGACAAGAGTGAAACTCCATCTCAAAAATAAATAAAATAAAACTAATCCAACTTGCTCTGCCCTCAACTTACCTGGGGGCTGTCAGCCTGTTTCCATGCTTCCCATCAGAGCACAGTTCTCAGGGAGTATCTGTGTGTCTGTAACAGTTGTCCCCTGTCTTCCTATTCTCTCTGCAATCCACTCCAATCAGGCTTCTGCCAGCCTCTCTGCCAGGGTCACTGCTCCTCCAGACAGACGCAGACATGGTTTTCTGGACACCCCTGCCTGCTTTTCTCCCACCCCGCTGGCCAGTCTCCATCTCCCCCTCTCCCTGCTGTGGGGCTTTGGGGTGCTCTGGCTTCTTTGGTCCATCCCCCCCCAGCCCCACACCCCCACTGCCATGCTCTCCCACACAGGTGGCGGCTGTGGGTGCTGCCTGTCCCTGGAGGCTGCCCATGCACATCTCTAGTCTGGGCTTCTCCTCTAAAACCTAACTCCTACTTCCAGCTGGACAGATCCACATGGCATCTACTAGAGGTCCGACTTGTCCGAATATTAGTCCTGATGCCCCCAGGCAGTCCTCACACACTGTCCCCACACTGGTAAGCATGACTGCCCACACCCCCAAGCTTGACCCGCCCTCACTGCTTCTCTCCTCACACCCCACTTGGCAGCACGCCCTGCCGGCTCTGCCTTCAACACACATCCAGAAGCTGACTATGCTTTGCACTTGCCTTGCCCACTTTATCTGCTGTCGCTGCCCCTTGCGACATCACTGCACCATCCTCCTCTATGCACTCCCTGCTCCACCCTTGTCCTTCACTCTGTTTGTAGCATAGCAGCCAGAGGGGTTCCGCTGACCCCTAGACCAGATCATTTTCCTCCTCTGCTCAAAATGTCCAGTCTCGCCCAGAGCAGAAGCCAGAGAAGCCAGAGTCCTGATGACGACCCCTGAAGTCCTGACCCGCAGAGGCCAACAGCTGCCTCTTCCTACTGCTCCCCAAGCCTCTCTCGCTGGATGGCTGTGCTCCAGCCAGGGGCTCCTGCACCCCACAATGCTCCTCACAGGATCCTTGCACTTGCCCCGCTGTCTTGTTCTAAGGGCTCCTTCCCAGAGGTGTACAGACTCAGCACTTACCCAGGGGCCCTTTCTAAAACCAGAATGTCCACTGTCACACCCACACCGTTCCAACGCTTCTTATCCCTGCCCCGCTTCACTTAGCTCCTTATATTCACCATTTAATAGATCACAGTATTTTTAAGAATCTTATGATTCACGGGGCAGAAATCTGATTACCATTTTCCCTGCTACATCCATAGCCCCTACTCTGGCACACAGCTAGCTGATGCTTAATAAAAGGTGATGAATGCATAAATGAAGTATTCTATCAAAGGGGTAAGCATGTAAGACTTGTTACTGCCAATTTACAGGAAACGCAGGGAAAATGAGTTAAATGACATTGTGGAGTTGCAGTCAGCAGATGCCAGACTGTGGGAAACATACACAAACCAGGCGATGGGCTGGGATCTGGCCCCCAGGCTGAAGGTTACTGGCCCCTATCTCAGGGGAGTGACAGCAGAAGGCAGAGAGCTTGCCAGGCCTGGGGCCACTATGAACATAGGTAAAGAGCCAGGTGTGCCTCTGCCCCACCCAGCCGGCCCTATGTGAGGGAGCTTCTGCTCTGGCCCACAGCGCCTCTGACTCAGGAGAACCCTGTTACTAACCCAGAGGGGGATTGGGGGCAAGGCTTTGTTTTCTATTATTTTAACTACTTTTTGGATTATAAGGGCAATTTCTAAAGTTACATGATCACTGATTAAAAAAAAAAAACTTTGCAAACACAGGCAAGTAAAAGAAAAGCAATATGATATTGCCAATTCCAAATCCCAGAGTTATTCACTGTCCTCATCAGTATTATACTCCATTGATGGATGTTGTTATTTAACTATTTCTTGGCCGGGCACAGTGGCTCACCCCTGTAATCCCAGCACTTTGGGAGGCTGAGGCGGGTGGATGGTTTGAGCACAGGAGTTCGAGACCAGCCTGGGCAACATGGTGAAACCCCGTCTCTACCAAAAATACAAAAATTAGCTGGGAGTGGTGGCGTGCACCTGTGGTCCCAGCTACTCGGGAGGCTGAGGTGGGAGGATGGCTTGAGCTCAGGAGGTCGAGGATGCAGTGAGCTGAGATCGTGCCACTGCACTGTAGCCTGGGTGACAGAGGAGACCCTGTTTCAAAACAAAACAAAAGCACTATTTCCTTTTGCCAGACATTGGCTTTTGATTTTTATTTGCATAATCATGCTGCAATGATTAAATATTTATAGGTAAAACTATGTGGATCTTTTCTACTTTCTTGGGATAGATTTTTACATCTAGACTTAGAGGTCCATGTTTAGAAATAATAAAACTCTATAGCTATATTTCAAATATTTATGTATTAGCTGAACTGATATTTTCCTTTATGCTTTCTTCCACTGCTTACATGTTTAAAAATTCCTTTCTCATGCAAAAATTCAAATACATATTTTTAAAAAATTTTAAGGAAAAGCTCAATTTTTACCTTTAATTCTTTCATCTGGAATTTTACTTGGTTACAGAATTACATGATGAACTTTTAACACCTTTCAAAACTTTAACTTAATTTCCAACCATTGTTTTTTTTTTTTTTGACACAGGCTTCTCACTCCGTCACCCAGGTTGGAGTGCAGTGGCACAATCACAGCTCATTACAGTCTTGACTTCCCAGCCTCCAGTGAGTCTCCCACCTCAGCCTCCCAAATAGCTGGGACTACAGGATGTGCCACAATGCCTGGTTAATTTTTGTATTTTTGGTAGAGATGGGGTTTCTCCATTTTGCCTGGGCTGGTCTTGAACTCCTGACCTCAAGTGATCCACCTGCCTTGGCCTCCCAAAGTGCTGAGATTACAGGCCCTTCACCCCCTTGTTTTCTTTTTGTTTGTTTGTTTTTTAAAGACAGGGTCTCGCTCTTTGCCTAGGCTGGAGTGCAGTGCCCCGATCACAGCTCACCCCGATCACAGCTCACTGCAGCCTTGACCTCCTGGGCTCAGGTGATCTTCCCACTTCAGCCTTCCAAGTAGCTGTGATTACAAGTGCATGCCACACACTCGGCTAATATTTTTTAGTTTTTTGATAGAGATGGGGGTCTCACTATGTTGTCCAGGCTGGTCTTGAACTCCTGGGCTCAAGTGATCTTTCCACCTCTATCTCCAGAGTTGGGATTAGAGGTGTGAGCCACCGTGCCCAGCCCCAACAACTACTTGGAACTTATTTTGAAATAAAAAGCTCAAAGTTCATTTTGTTATTTTTTTTCTTTTTCCTTTTTAGAGATGGGGGTCTCATTATGTTGCCCAGGCTGGTCTTGAACTCCTGTGCCCAAACGATTCTCGCACTTCGGCCTCCCAAAGTGCTGGGATTACAGGCATGAGCCACTGTGCCCGGCCCACTTTGTTGTTATTCATTTCAATAAATTGCATGCGTTCCTCCAAGAAGTGCACTTGTAACTAATATAGAGTTATAATACATTCCATTATCTCTTCATGTCTCTGCATCACATTTTCCAAGGGTAACATCTTATCTACATGGCGGACTCCACAATTATTTAGATCTTTTATTTATGGTTAAGGTTTATTTAAACATTTTGGCTTTATTCCTATTAAAAAAGGAATGTTTTCTTCCCCATTATGTTATCTGATTTTTGGTGACATAAACTACTAATTTTTTTTTTTTTTTTTTTTTTTTGAGACGGAGTCTCGCTCTGTCACCCAGGCTGGAGTGTAGTGGTGCTATCTCGGCTCACTGCAACCTCCATCTCCCGGATTCAAGCGATTCTCCTGCCTCAGCCTTCTGAGTAGCTGAGACTACAGGCGTGTGCCACCAGGCCTGGATAATTTTGTTATTTTTAGTAGAGACGGGGTTTTGCCATGTTGACCAGGTTGGTCGCAAATTCCTGACCTCAGGTGATCCACCCGCCTCATCCTCCCAAAGTGCTGGGATTACAGGCATGAGCCACCATGCCCAGCCTATTAATTTTCAATATATATTTTATGCATCCAGATTATTAACTCTGACTCAATTAATTTTGTTTTCTTGTAGTAAACAGAACGCCTGGATGTAAGTCTTCACATCTCTTCTAGGAGAATTATTCTGATGTGTATAGCCAAGAGCATGTCAAAATTCCATGGGTCTCAATTTCCATACCAATAATAGCAACAGGTTACTTACTTCCTCGTGTGGCTTGCTTCTCATGATCTTTATCTGCATCACACTAAAGCAGCGGTCCCCAACCCCCATGCCACGGACCGCTGCTGGTCTGTGGCCTGTTAGGAATCACGCCCCATAGCAGCAAGTGAGCAGCAGGCAAGCGAGTGAAGCTTCATCTGTATTTACAGCTGCTCCTCATTGCTTGCATTACTGCCTGAGCTCCGCCTCCTGTTAGATCAGCAGCAGCATTAGATTCTCACAGAGCACAAACCCTATTGTGAACAGCACACGCGAGGATCTGTGTTGCATGCTTCTTATGAAAACCTAATGCCTGCTGATCTGTCACTGTCTCCATCATCCCCAGATGGGACCATCTAGTTGCAGGAAAATAAACTCAGGGCTCCCACTGAGTCTACATTATGGTGAGTTGTAGAATTATTTCATTATATATTACAATATGATAACAGTAGAAATAAAGTGGACAATAAATGTAATGCACTTGAATCATCCCCAAACCACCCCCGACCTGTCTGTGGAAAAACTGTCTTCGATGAAACCAGTCCCTGGTGCCAAAACAGCTCGGGACTGCTGCTCTGAGGAACATCCCTGGACCTAAATCTGACTGGCAGTGCACAGCCCCCAGGGGGCATGGCCTACCTGCTGGATGTGGGCATTGTTGGGTCCATTAATAAAATCTTCTAGCTCAGAAACACGGCTGGTTTTAGCCAAGGCAAAAATAAGTTCAGTCTCTATATAGGACTCACGGCCCTTTTTCCTGGCCATCTGCAGAAATTTAACTAGATCCTCCCAGTTGTCTAAAGACAGAAAACAAAGATAGGTTAACCCAGAGCTGATAATTTTAAACAAGGGCTCAATTCCTCCCATTCTGTTCTCAGCCAGACACATTTACCCTCCAGTTATGTCTCACTGGGAACTCAGACTCCAGATAACGTCTAGGAGGTCTTGATTATGCTCACTAAGCAGATCCATAGCTCAGAAGGGAGGAGGGGAGGGGCAGAGCCACACTCAGGCCACCTCCCTTAGAAAAGACTTTGCCAGGAGACAGAATGCTTGTTCTGGACATCAGAGAGGTCGGTGCCACAATCAACTTGAAACACCAGAAGATCCCTGGGAATTGTGGGCCTGTCACTCACTTTAAAATTACTACAGTGGCGATATTGAGATATCTAGTGTGCTTAAATGACCTCATCTTGTAAAGGAGGGCAATAGTCAACTAAAGAGCTGGTGTCAATAACAGAATAATGTTTATCTCAGACTCTTGTGGGAAACTTTCATGTAGATGTGCCCTCTGATATCTCTGGATACATCATACGTAGAGATTTGTGAGAATCTCTTCAACTTCTTGCTTCAGCCAGGTTTTGCATCAGTGAGATGCAGAGCCCTAGGGAGAGGGGACTCACTTACTGCTCCTGCTGGCTGACTGAACAACTTCCAGGTAAGAGGAAGGGTCGTCCCCTCTGATATAGGAGTTGATGGCTTCCTTCACCAAATCTTTCTGGAGCTGGGCTTGGGCCAGCTGACTCCACACAGCAGGCTCATTGCATCTCTCCGCAAACTCATATGCCCGGTCCAGGTTTCCAATGTGCTCGATCAGGACCTAGGGGTTATGAGAGGACTTCCATTCTCTGCAACATCTAGTCAGCTCCAAAAAACAGACACATTTTTGTTTGGTTTCCTGTTCTGCCTAAAGCTGCATGACCATTTCACTTCAGTCAGAAGCAATCAGGTACTAAGCATTTCTCAGATGGACAGGTTGAGGGAAGAGACAAGAGCTATTATATGAGAAGGGGGATGCCGAACAAAGAAGAGACACTCCAATAAAGAGGCACAGAGATGGAGATAGCCAGGTTAAGCTTTCTGGGCCGGGGGTAGGACATGGGACTTGCTCCTGACCTTGGGAGGAAAGACAGTGCAACAGAGCATAGAAACTGTAAAAGAGTTCACAAGAATTGCTGTGGGGAATAAGATTGCTCACCAGGCAGAAACAGGCTTGCTGAGCAGTCTGGCAGATTGCGTGACAGTGAGGGCCACCCACTGTATAGTAGTGGAGGTGGTGGCAGTATCAGCTGCCCCCTAATATGATGAGCTGGTCTGTCTCAAAGCAAGGCCAGAGCCCATGAGGGGGCACAAAAGAAGGGCTCCTGGATTGGGGGTTTCACAGCAGGTATAGAAATAAGGTAAAGGAAGAGGCAAGGACATAAAGATAATTGGTAGGACAGCAGTTCAGGTGAGATGTCCTGTGGTTTACAACTGATTTGGAAATAAAACCAGAAGAGGCTCATAGACTGGAAAGAAAGGGATGCAGTTTAAAGAAGAAGAGTTCTTGAGGAGGCAGAGGGGCAGGCAGGGAGGGCTGGAGGGCCTGCTCTGGGAACCTGACCTTGGATCCTGAAAAGCTCCTGCTGAGGAGATGGGGGAATGGGGAGTATAGGGGGTGAGTAGCATGGTGCAGAGGGCTGGAATGGTTGTCATTGAGGGTAAGATGTGAGTGCCTCTGAAAATCAAACGTTTCTGTCACCTGGGCTGACCGATGACATTGGGTCAGGTACCCAAGTCCAAGGGAGTGCTGGGGAGTAATAGGGAAGGGGCAGACTAACAGCCAATGGAAGGAGCACCCACAGAGAAGGTCAAGACAAGGGGCCAGCGGGCTGGGAAGATGGGTTGCTGGTGAGGAACAGAGAAGAGCACGAAGAGATGCACTGGACAACCAGAGGGTCTGACACCCTTGGAGAGGACAAGGGCTTGCAGGGCGCACTCATGATGTGGCAGAAGGTGCTAGGTCCGACATGCTTACACTCAGCAGCCCACCTGGATTGCTGAGGCATTCATATCAAACTTGTGGAAAACGGTGAAGGCCTCCTCATACAGTGCGCTGCTGACAGCGATGCTCGCGATGTCCAGTGCGTCATAGTTGTCCAGGCGGCTGATGTACTCCATGACCCGTGTGCGGTCTGCCTTGATGGCAGTCAGGATCAACAGATTCTGTAGATTCCTGAGGAGAGAGGGTGGTCAGCACGGCATCCCAGGAACGAAGGCTGCACAAACCATTTTTTGGCAGGTCAGGCATCCCCAGACCCCCAGTTTTTTTAAAAAAGTAATTAATATACACACACATAACTGCTAAGTAAATACAACAGAGTATTTGTGAAGTATTTGGGATCTAAAAAGAAACAGTATAGCAAAGTCTTGGGAAAGCACAGGTAAGAGAATCAGAATGTGCCAATCAAACCACTGGGAGGGCTGCTGTGGCTTTTTAGAGCCCAGCCTCTGGATCCTGCTGTAGAGGTACCTATTTTCCTACCTGTGCTTTCTTTGTGATTCATTATAGCTTTATCACATCTACTGTATTTCTAAGCAATATAGGCAGCTTTGCATTTTTTTTTAACTTTTTAAAAATTTTGAGACGGGGTCTTGCTATGTTGCCCAGCTGGTCTCAAACTCCTGGCCTCAAGTGATCCTCCCACCTTGCCCCCACAAAGTGCTGGGATTACAGGTGTGAGCCACCACACCAGGTCACTTTGCATTTCTTGAACTTTCCTTTGCTTTAATTATAATAGATGCATTCTTGCAAAACTTTATACAATTCAAAAATGTGGAAAAAAAATCAGTGTAACACACCACATATCAATAATCTAAAAAAGAAATACTACATCTTTATCAAATGATCAGAAAAAGCATCTGACAAAATCTAACACCTATTAATGAGAAAAACTCTCAACTAGAAATAGAAGGAAACTTCCTCAATCTGAGAAAGTACATCTACAAAAAGCCCACTGTTAACATCATAAGTAACAGAGTCTGGACACTTTCCCCGAGGATCAGGAACAAGGCAGGGATGTCCACTCTCCACACTTCTATTTGTGCTGGAGGTTCTGGTTAAGGCATTTAGGCAACAAAAGAAACAAAAAGTTTCTTTTCTATAATGAATCGCAAAGAAAGCACAGGCAGCACTAGATTAGGAAGAAATAAAACTGTCCCCGGTGTCTCACGCCTGTAATCCCAGCACTTTGGGAGGCTGAGGCGGGTGGATCACAAGGTCAGGATATCAAGACCATCCTGGCTAACACGGTAAAGCCCGTCTCTACTAAAAATATAAAAAATTAGCTGGGCGTGGTGGCAGGCGCCTGTAGTCCCAGCTACTGGGGAGGCTGAAGCAGGAGAATGGCACGAACCCAGGAGGCAGAGGTTGCAGTGAGCTGAGATTGCGCCACTGCACTCCAGCCTGGGCGACAGAGCAAGATTGCATCTCAAAAAAAAAAAAAAAAACAAAAACAAAACTGTCCCAATTTGCAGCCAACATGATTGATTAAAAAAAACTGAAGAAATCTACAAAAAAAAAAAAATCCAATAAATGAGTTTAGCAAGGTTGTAGAATACAAGGTCAACATACAAAAATCAATTGTATTTCTATATACTGACAATGTTTTTCAATGAACAACTGTAAACAAAAAATCTATTTAAAATACTTCCAAAAATATGAAATAAGTATAAATCTAATAAAATCTACATATGACCTATATGCCAAAAACTATAAACTGCTGATGAAAGAAATCAAAGATCTAAATAAATGGAGAGACATATCACTTTCATAGAATCAACATAGTAAAGATATCAATTCTCCCTAAATTGGTCCATAGATTTCATGCAGTTCCAGTTCCAGCAGATTTTCTTGTACATATAGACAAGCTAATTCTGAAATTTATATAGATAGGCAAAGGAACTACAATAGCTAAAACAATTTTGAAAAAGAATAAAGTTGAGCCCAGGTATAGTGGCTGACACCTGTAATCCCAGCACTTTGGGAGGCCAAGGTGGGAGGAGTGCTTGAACCTCAGGGTTTGAGACTAGCCTGGGCAATATGGCAAGACCCTGTCTCTACCAAAAAAAAAAAAAAAAACAACTAGCCAGGCATGATGGTGCACACCTGCAGCTACTCAGAAGGCTGAGATGGGAGGACTGCTTCAGCCTAGGAGGTTGGGGCTGCAGTGAGCCGTGTTCATGCCACAGCACTCCAGCCTGGGTGACAGAGGGAGACCCTATTGAAAGAAAGAGAAAGAAAGAAAGAAAGAGAAAGAAAGAAAGAAAGGAAGGAAGGAAGGAAAGAAAGAGAAAGAAAGAAAGAGAAAGAAAAAAGAAAGAAAGAAAGAAAAGAAAGAAAGAAAGAACAAAGGTGGAAGAATTACACTATCTGGCCAATTGATTTTTGACAGAGATGCAAGAGCAATTCCATGGAGAAAGAGTATTTTTAACAAATAATGCTGGAATAAACTGGACATTCATATGCAAAAAGCTGAACCTCACCCTAAACTTCACACTTTATTGGATAATGAATCTAAATATAAAATGAAAAAGAATGAAACTTTTAGAAGGAAATAACAGAAAATCTCTGTGACCTGGGAGTATTAACAGAGTTCTTGTTTTAACACCAAAGCACAGTCCATAAAAGAAAAGTTTATGAATTGGACTTTATCAAAATTATAACTTTTGTTCTGTTAATGACACTATTAAGAAAATAAAAGAAAATCTACAGAATGAGAAAATATATGGAAATCACATATCCAACAAAGGACTTGTATCCAGAATATACAAAGAACTCTGAAAACTCAACAAAAAACCAAACAACCCAATTAAAACACAGGCAACAGATTTCAAGAGACACTTCACCAAAGAGGATCTACGGATGGTAACTGAGCACATAAAAAGTTGTTCATCATCATTAGCCACTAGGGCAATGCAAATTGAAACCACAATGGCACACTGCTATACATTTATGAGACTGGCTAAGATAAAAAAATACCAATATACCAAGTGCTGCTAAAGATGAAGAGTGACTGGAACTCTCACATATTGCTGGTGGGAATGCAAAATGACACAGCCATTCTGGAAAACAATAGTGAGGCGGTTTCTTAAACAGTACATATACCATGTGATTGGGTATGTTTAAACAAAAATCTGGACACAAATGTTCACAGCAGATGTATTCATAATAACCTCAAACTGAAAACCACCCAAACGTACTTTGATGGGTGAAGAGATCCTGTGGTACATTCGTACAACAGAATATCATTCAGTGACAAAAAAGAATGTAAGGCTGATGCGATGCACTCACCAAGTTGGATGAATCTCAAAGGCATCATCACGCTGGGTGAAAGAAGCCTGTCACAGAGGAGTCTATACCACGTGACTCCATTTGCATGACATTCTTGAAAATGCAAAACTAGTGTGGCGGGGTGGTAGCCAGGGTTGGGGGTTGAGGTTTGGGGGAATGTATAATATACACGGTAGCTAGCACAAGGGAATGTTAAAGGGTGATGGAATTGTTTGTATCCCGACTGTGGTGATTCTACAGATCTACACTTGTGTTAAAATTCCTAGCACTGCATTCCCCATCCCCTTCCAGAAGGTCATTTTTACTGTATGGTGGTTTTATAAAAAAGAATTTTAAAGTTGGGTGCTAAGGGTCATCCATGTACAGTGTTCATTTCTACTGCTATCTGGTATTCCACTGTATGACTGTACTACAGCCTACTTATTGATGGTTATCTGGATCGCTCTTAGAGCTTTGTCTTGAGTATCCCTGCACATCTCCTCATACAAATAAGCTGAGTTCCTTTAGGGCTCATAAGGAAGAGAGGAAATTGCTGGCTGTGTGCATCTTTTTTCACCAAACTGTTTCCAAATGTAACGCACATTCCCAGCAGGGGCACGTCAGAGGTCCAGCTGTTCAACATCCTCATCAGCACTGATTAGGAGAGTGGGGTTCCTGCTGCTCTGGCAGGAGTAACAAAGCATCGGATGATGCACTGTGGCCTCACTCTGTGCCTCCTTGGTGGCTGATGAGGCTGAATTCACAAGCTGCCCTTCCTCTCACCGGAGGGTGTGCTCAAGCTCTCTGCTTGGTTTCTCATTGGGTTGCTTGTGTTTGTCTTTTATTACAACTTTTCCCTACTAATTTTTTGTTGGTTGTGTTGCAAATATCTTCCCCGCATTTGTAGCTTCTCATTTGTCCATCTTCTTTACGATAAAGTGCTTAAGTTTAATACAGTCTTATTGGTTTTTCACTAAAGGTTTATTTATGGTTTCTGGTTTCTGTGACTGGCTTAAGAATTTATTAGGTCATAAGTATATTCTTCCAAGTATATACTCTAAAAATAATATATTTTGCTTTTTTTTTTTTTTTTGAGATGGAGTCTCGCTCTGTCACCCAGGCTAGAGTATAGTGGTGCCATCTCGGCTCACTGCAACCTCCACCTCCCAGACTCAAGCGATTCTCCCGCCTCAGCCTCCCGAGTAGCTGGGATTACAGGCACCTGCCATCATGCCTGGCTGAATTTTTATTTTTAGTAGAGACAGGGTTTCACCCATGCTGGCTAGGCTGGTCTCAAACTCCTGGCCTCCCAAAGTGCTGGGATTACAGGCGTGAGCCACTACGCCCAGCCAAGGCTATTTTTACCTACGCATAAAACTGTCTGGTGAAATCATCAATGAAAGAAGAGCACGAACTTGAGGTTACCTGCATGTTTGAGAAGCAAGTGTTTAAGAAGACAGCAGAGCTACAGCCACCTGTAAGTGCCTGGAAGTACACACAAACTAACAACTATCAAAGGAGGTTGATCAGACAGCAAGACAGAATATCGTAGCCACCTCAGGCACCTTAATCCTGGCATCCTGTCATTAGTCAGGGTTTATGATTCCATTAAATATAATTTCACATTCCATATGCCATTACCATATAGCATCTCCAAGTTTAAAAACACACACACAAATTCCTCTCTATAATACTACAGCCCTTGATAGCCTTTCTGGCCTACAAAATAAATCTCATAACTAAATCTTTACAGCTGCACTTATGATGTGAGTTGATTAAAATCTGACACAGAATCTCTGATGGTGAATTTTGAAGTGGAGAGGAACCCCAGGTGGCTGGCCCATGCGGAAGCACGCACTCTTACCTCTATGGTGCCTGCCCATGCAAAAGAAGCACGCGCTCCCACCTCTATAGTGCTGGTCCATGCCGAAACACACACTCCCACCTCTATACTGCCGGTCCGTGTGGAAGCGTGCACTCTCACCTCTATAGTGCCGGTCCATCGGAAGCACGCACTCGCACCTCTATAGTGCCGGGCCTGTGCTGCTGCCCCTGCCACAGCTCCTGCTCATCTGGCTTCTACATTATACTTCGGGCAAGTCTTCCCTGATACATGCCCAGATCTGGTTCTCCTGCCACCTTTCTCCAAGCTTTGTTCACCATGATTTGAAGAGTTCAACACATCCTTAGGCCACATGAGACCTTCATAAAATGCCAGCTCCCTTTCTCTGAGCATTGTGTTAAAGGACAGTGTGGGCCAGAGCAGTAAGAGGAGCGCAGGCTCCTAGAAAATGTGAAACTGAGGCTGGGCTCTGAGACAGGCAGGAGCTAATAAGGGAAGGGCTAGATTGAGGTAGAGGAGGTGGTAAGAAGATTGGCATGTCTGGGGAGCAGCCAATGGGCAGGCTGGATGGGTGAAGCGGTACGAGATTGTAACAGAAGATGAGTATCAAGCAGATGTTTTGAATCTGCCTGTGTCCACAGCTACCCCTGGCATAGCCTCACCTGTGCTCGCTGAAGACAGAGTTATCCAGAACTATCTTCTCCAGCAGTTCAATCAGTTCATTAGGCAGGTCGGCTGTCATAAAGGCTTTGACAGTGACCGAAATCTCTTCAGGATCCCGTGTTTCTGACAATGCTGTCTGTACCACCTGGTTTTAAAAAGCATTTGAAAGAACTTGATTAAAGTCAATTCAAGACTGTATCTTTGAAGCTAAACAGAAGGGAAGGACTCCTCCAAGATGGTCTGGAATAGACACAGAGAAAATGGGAGACTTCTTAATGTAACAAAGGAAGGGTTTTCAAAGTTAATTTCAGGAAATTCTGTTTGCTCTGTTTTGACAATTAGTTTTTCTCTCATATCAAATATGCTACAGACTCTTACTCAGCTCCAATGACCAGTGCACCAGGCATTTTGAAATGAATGTCTCCTTTTAGATTTGTCTCTTAAAGCCACTAATAGCAAATATGGCTCCACTTCTCTAATGAAGACACCGCAGGGGCTTCCAGCAGCCTCTTACTAGAAGAGAGCACTGCCACTGCTGTGGCACAGTCCACAGCCAGAGCTGTGGAGCCACGTGCCTTCACACCGGATGACACTCAGAACCACAATCTGAAGGAAAGACCAACAAAAGACTGGCTGTGCCACCCCTCCTCCAATTATAGGTGTCTCACATACAAAAACACTTACAAATAGGGTGGAAAGACAGTTTTCCAAAGAGTACATTTCCCATGCAACAGCAGTTTGGAACGCCAGCACTGTTCTCTTTGCACTTTGGACCAGGCACCTTCAGTGACTTCCAGAATCTAATATTTTTGCCAAGTTTCTGGTTCTCCTCAGGGGTGGGCAACAGCCGTGTATCAATGAGAGGGAAGAGACAGCTCTGGACGGTCTTTCATGGCTAACACAGCCCTCTGACCATGAACTTTCACCTAGCAATCTTGAGGGGCCTTAAAGGAACCTAGGGTCAAGGTCAGTCCAGTCCACCTTTCTGCTAGTCTTTGTGAACTCAATGGTACCATAAGATGCAAAAGTTCTACCTCTGTGGAATTTGTAGTAACTACAACAAGGAGGCTGAAGAGTTTGAGAACAGGAGCTCTCCCAGCAGCTAAGGAACCAAAAGGGTATGCCTGAGGGAAAGGGGCACCAGGACACAGCACAAGTCCATCCAAAGGAGAAGGTACACTTCCAACAGTGACATCTAACTGTCAATTCTTGAAAACCTTGGAGGCCGGCCGCGGTGGCTCATGCCTGTAATCCCAGCACTTTGGGAGGCCAAGACGGGCAGATCATGAGGTCAGGAGATCGAGACCATCCTGGCTAACACGGTGAAACCCCAGCTCTACTAAAAATACAAAAAAGTAGCCGGGCGTGGTGGCGGGCGCCTGTAGTCCCAGCTACTCGGGAGGCTGAGGCAGAAGAATGGCGGGAACCCGGAAGGCGGAGCTTGCAGTGAGCCGAGATCGCGCCACTGTACTCCAGCCTGAGTGACAAAGTAAGACTCTGTCTCAAAAAAAAAAAAAAAAAAAAAAAAGAGTTCGAGACCAGCCTGGCTAACATAGTGAAACCCCATCTCTACTAAAAATACAAAAATTAGCCAGGCGTGGCGGCAGGTGCCTGTAATCCCAGCTACTCAGGAGGCTGAGGCAGGAGAATCACTTGAACCTGGGAAGTGGAGGTTGCAGTGAGCCGAGATCACGCCATTGCACTCCAGCCTGGTGAAGAGCAAAACTCTGTCTCAAAAAGAGAAAAAAAAAAAAAAAGAAAGAAAGAAAACCTTGGAGCAACTTAAATAAATACACACAGGTTGTTTTAAGGGCAAAAATAAATTTCTACCATCTGTTTGAGTCAATACAGGATGCCCCACCTAAGGTTGCCTCAGGACACTGCTCTCAGTAAACTTTTCATAATGAGGTTCCACTCCAGACACTAAAAGCAGCCTCCCTCTGTTATTATGCGCTCTGGATTACAGGAGCATTGCAGTTGAATTTCGCACCAGGAGGTGGCTACAGATATCCAATTACAGCAGAGATAATGAAAGACCAGCAGCTCTACCCAGAAACAGGAAGACAAGAGGCCCCCGCTGGCTCCGGTATGGTGCAGTGTTAAAGTGGCCCTTCCCCAGTACCAACATGAAGTCACCTTCAAGGTGTACCAGGTGGCTGGACTATACCTGGAGAAATGTCTGATGTCTGGGAACCTGGATGTAGAACCCTAGTAGAATATTGTGTTGTTTAATATTTTTATTAGATTTGGATGGGTAAGTCCAAAGTTGAAACAGAGATTCAAAACAACATGACCTTCCATAAATCTCAAAGTATTTCAAAATAAAAAGTTTATTTAAAAAAGTAGTGGCACAGGCTTGAGGAAACAGTGGACAGAAAACGAGAGGATGAAATTCAGTAGAGATAAAGGTCAAATCCAGCCCTCAAGCCTTTCGAAAGCACTGGTCCAGCAGGTTGGCAATGTGTATGAGGGAGGTGGGAGTTTTAACTGGTCCTATTCTCAGGGCTGAAGCCACTTGTTGGACGAGGGTTTTGTTCCAACATTGGTCTTGCCCCACCCCTAAACAGTCTGCCTAGCACCTAGGGACAGTGCTGAGGGCAGCAGAGGCACTATCTGCAAATGTCTGTGAGGCTATAACTGGAGAGGAGGCTCTTCCACAGGGCTGTGGGAAGCCCTCCCAGAGGCCGAGGCAGACTCCCACCTGCCAGGCCATACCCAATAATGACCCCTGGCCCCAGCACTCTGCCCAGTCTCCAAGGAGGTGCTGGATAGTCACAGGGGCATAAAGAGCACCTCAACAAAGGGAAGTCAGCTGAGACAACCTTGAAAGCTACTTCACCTCTGTCCACGAGGGCTGAGCTGGGCCCAGCATGCAGGCATGACACCAGGTACTCTCTTCCTGGGCTGCATATCCCTGCTTTGGATCCAAGGGCCAACTCTATGCCCTTGGCCAGTTAACAGTTCCAAGTCAGCTTACCCTGGGGAATCAAGCTATTTTTAGGCAAGCTATTTCTGCAGGGGAGAAGGTTCGTAAGGACTAAGATGTTTTATTTATTTATTTATTTATTTATTTATTTATTTATTTAATTTTTTTGAGACAGAGTCTCACCCAGTTGCCCAGGCTGGAGTGCAGTGGCGTGCAGTCTCGGCTTTCTGCAACCTCCACCTCCTGGGTTCAAGCGATTCTCCTGCTTCAGCCTCCTGAGTAGCTGGGATTACAAGCATGCGCCACACAGTGTGTTTTCGTATTTTTAGTAGAGATGGGGTTTCACTATGTTGGCCAGGCTGGACTTGAACTCCTGACCTCAAGTCATCCACCCGCCTCGGCCTCCCAAAGTGCTAGGATTACAGGCGTGAGCCACCATGCCTGGCCTATTTATTTATTTTTTTGAGATGGAGTCTCTGTCTGTCGCCCAGGCTGGAGTGCAGTGGCACGATGTCGGCTCACTGCAACCTCCACCCCCTGGGTTCAAGCAATTCTCCTGCCTCAGCCTCCCAAGTAGCTGGGATTACAGGCGTGTGCCACCATGTGCGGCTAATTTTTGTATTTTTAGTGGAGATGGGGTTTCACCACGTTGGCCAGGCTGGTCTTGAATTCCTGAGACCTCAAGTGATCCACCCACCTCCGCCTCCCAAATTGCTGGCATTACAGGCGTGAGCCACTGCCCTCAGCCAAGATGTTTTAAATTAAAAATGAAACCAGTCACTTGAGCCACAATGATGATCGGACGGCAAAATGCAGGTGTGCAGACATACCCATCTCTGTGCCTCACCTGGTCAATTAGCTGTCTCCTGGATGGGTTGGTCTCCTCAAGGACGTGAGCCCAGAGCTCCGGATCCTTTCTGCATACCAGGTAGCGGGCCTCGCTTTTGAACAGAGAATTCTCATTGCACACCTGAAATGAGCACACTCATGTGTGTGACACAGCAGCCAACCAGCGGAAGCTGCTTGGGAGGACACACCCCAATTCGTTCCCTGTGTGCCTGATACTGGTTTGGTGGACAGTCAGGGCCCAGGCAAGACGCTATGCTTTGACATGGGATGAGCAGCATCCTACAGGGTTAACGATGGACTCAAACTACCTCAAAATGCCCTTTCCAAGTTTACAACAACTCCCAGGGATGTGCCACATATCTGGCCAGTAGGACTTCCTGCATTCAGGGACATGCTCTGTCTCCCATTCTGTCTGATACAGCCACTAGCCATGGGAGGCTACTGAGCCCTTGAAATGTGGTGCGTGACAGGAACTAAACTGGTAATTTTTAATTTAGTTAAATTTAAGTACTCATATGTAGCTAGCTTTAAACCATCTGTAAAATGTTATCAGAACAGCCTAGAACTGGTATAAAACAGCACAAACACTGCAATGTTTCAAGATCTAAAAACTGTAAACTGTGCTTTCACTGGTAGATCTGGAGACCTTTTTCTGAATGTTATAACAGATCTCCAAAACACCAACAGTCCACTGGAATGTTCTAGCGTGTGCAGCACTTGCTAAATCCTGGTGAGGATCAGATCTGTTGAGTGCCAGATGCCCGGCACAAGGCTGAGCGGCGTGCACACGTGCTTGCGGATGCAGCGCAGTCCGCCTGTGTATCACAGGAAAAGCCCAAGCAGGCTGGTGTGGCACCAACCTCACAGGTGCCCTATTCATGTCTGGATTTTTAGATCAAATGATTAGGTAGGAACAGTTCATACAATTCAACCTAAACATGTAATTATATGTGGATCCAAGCCTGGGCAGATGCAGGCAAAAGACCTGGGCAGATGTCTCAAGGAGAGGCCAGCAAGAGCTCATTGGTCAGGTGATGGGGAAGGGCTTGTGTAGAGGGTTACCCCAAAAAGGGGGCATGAAGTACAAGGGTACTCGGGACATGAGGCACCCAGGGAATTGCAGGCCTCTCCAGGTGGGGTGGCAAGATGGATGGCTGATCAAGTTCGGGAGTTGGGAAAGGTGGCAGTCCACAGAGGAGCTCACGAGTCAGGCCAAGGAGTTCAATTCTGCCCTCAAATTGCCAGGCAATAGTAAGGACTGTAAGCAGAGGGATGATAAGTCAGGTTCAGGACCAACTGGTCTACAGGTACAATGCATACAAATTGCATGAGCAAGTTCCCAAAAGCTGTGAGAATCACAAGGAAATAATCTCATGACCTGCCATCTCCAGGTGCACAGAAAGCCCTGATCAGCTCCCCACAGGCACACCTTTGAAAGCTTCCCTGGGAGCCCAGGGTTACATGGGCAGCTCAGCACATCTGCTACCCACCTTGATGAGCTCAAGGTCACACTGCCCCCGCTCATAGGCAACACAGGCCAGATGGGGGTCTCGCTTCTCACAGTAGCGGCCCACCACGCTGCTGTCATAGTAGGCATTCTCTCTCAGGAAGCACTCGGGGCTGTTGTTGCTGTCGATGTAGATTTTAGCCAGTGCATTGTGAGTGGCAGGCTCCTCACAGCCTTCCTGAATCTGGGACTCCAGCCAGGGAAGCAGCAGCTTGAGCCTTTGAAAGAAGGAAGGTGCTGTAAAGTCTCAAGGCTACCACTGGAAGTCTTGAGGGCAACTCCAGGGCTCTGACAGATGTTTCCTGAAACAAAAAATCTCAGAGTCCATTGACTTCAGGTTGCTCTAGGGACCAAGATGGACCTGGTTTCCAAACTGATTTCTACTGTTAGGTTTTCCCCCAAGGTCTTCACAGTACCAATAGCAAGTAACTCATTGCTACATCTAAGATGTGTACATGAACGACCAGCTATAGAGACAGTCCTGGAGAATTAGACAGAAACAACAACAGACACTAGAATCCAGGGGTAAGAGAAAACACCAAGTAAGGACACCTTACCTATTTCTTTTTTCTACTTCAGCCACCAACTCATCAGTAGAGAACTGTCCTCTCACTGCCATGATTAAGTGTTTAATCACTTCCTCAGAACAATCCACATCAAGCAGCCCTCCAATCACAGCTGGGGTCCGGCTAGGGTTGACCTAGGGTAGTCAAGGTCAAGTAACTTCAGTGTTGCAAACACAAGTTATTGTTAGAAGCCTCCTACGACGTGGACAGTTTGGGCAAAACCCTGAAAGGGCTCCTGTTTAGCACTGCGCTGTGTCCCACCAAAATTCACCTGCTGATGTCCTAACCCCTAGTGGGATTCTACTTGGAAAGAGGGTGTTTAAGAAGGTAATCAATGTCAAGGGTGGGGCCCTAATGTAATGGGACTAGTGTCCTTCTAAGAAGAGGAAGAGACACCAGGAGTGCACATGCACAGAGGAAAGGCCCTGTGAGGGCACAGCCAGGAGGCTGTCTGCAAGCGTGGGAGACAGCCTTCACCAGAAACCAGCCCTGCCGACACCCTGATCATGGACTTCCAGCTTCCAAAACTGTGAGAAATAAATGTGTGTTGTTTCAGCTGCCTGGACTGTGGTCTTCTACTCTGGCAGTCTGAGCACACGAACCCACCACCCTTCAAAATGATAGTCTCTGAAATGTCAGGTGTTACAGGCAGCCTCTGAGGGGAAGACTGCCACTGACTGGGGCCCAGAGGCAGCCGGGTGTCACTCCAGGGAGCCAGCAGTACCTTCTGCACGTAGATCTCAATGTACCTCTGCAGGTTGTTGCGGTATAAATATAGGACAAGGTCATGGACAAAGCCAAAACGATCACACACGATGATGAGGGGAAGCTGGTCTGTGAGCTTGGCCTCCTGAGGATTAGAATGCACAGAACAAGTCAGGGAGTGGAGAAACCAGACAGCCAGACCTCGGACTCATTGCACACATGGGACGGCTCTGTCTCTGCAGCAGAGTGACACACAGGAGACTCAGAATGAGACTGCTCTAAATAGGCTGTCGTTTTGTGGTATGGCATTTGCTTTGGGAAATAAGTGAGAGAAAGATATTAGTATTTGGTTAAAGACTGCTACATTTGGCATTAACATTCCAAATCTGGACAAAAATATCTTTTAAGACAAGCAGCTCATTATGTGCAAACCCAACAGAAACCAGGCCATTCTCAAGAACAGCACACCTGCGGTAAGGGCTGCCTTTTCAGACACGCAGCCGCAGGCCATGGAAACACACCCGGCCACCATTCCCAGATGATGATGGCACTTGGGTAGGACAGCCACAGGCCACCACAATCATGCCTCCCCTCATGTGGTCCCGTGCCTAGATCACATTTTGAAGTTTTAAGTGTGGCCACATGACCTCATTTCCTCCAATGGAACGTGAATCCAAGTGTCATCTGCCACTTGCAGGCCTCGCCCATAAAAACCACCTATGCTGGTTCCTCTGTGCTCTTCCCTTCCTCTAGCTGACTGGGAAGACGACATCCAGGTGAGGTGCTGAACACGGCAAAGCAGCCATGAAGCTGGTCCTTGAAGTACAGTGGGAAGGAAAGTCACCCCACTGACCTCCAGCCTACCCTGGACTGCCACATAAGGAAGTAGGCTTCCTGTTCTTTATGACACTAGTGCTGAGTGGTCTACTTGTTTCTGCAGCTTTGCCTGCCTAATTGACAATGGCACTAATGGGATGTTGATGAATTACAATGCAGCAATAAGTGCCAGATACTTAGAGCACAGCCTCAAGCTGCTTTCCACACTCTTAAAACGATAGAAGGGTTACTTTAGAACTTTAAGCCATAAAGTGGAGCTCTGTCCCTGGGACTAAGGGGTCCCTGGCGAGACAGATCCAGCTTCCTGCCCCTGGGACGTCCTGCGGATGGTCTGCCCCACCTGCCATCAGCAAGGGCAGCTCATGGAAGGAGGCAGCACTGGAACACACCTTCAGGAAGTTCTTCACACGCTCTGGGTTGTAGCAGCTGCTCTCTCGGCATATCCTCTCCACCTCCTTGATCTGCCCTGTCTTACAGGCAGCCTGAATGTATTTCAGATGCACATCTGGGTCTTGGCTGAAGTTCACGATTGAGCCCAGGAAGTAGAAGAGGCCTATGAAGAGAGACCATTCCATTTTTGTCCTTGTAACACCTGCCTGTCTCCTCCGTAGCTGCTGCCCACCTTCCCTCGATGACCCTGCTCCACTCTCCAGGGACCCACAGCACACTCAGAACTCATAATCAATATGCCATTTGTCTGTTTTGGCAGCTCCCAAAAATAGCTAGTCGGATTTCCATTATATTTGGCAGGTATACCTGGCATGTTTTGATGTAAAATACTAGATATTTGGTACAAGTGAAATTCCTTTTGTGGGCCCAGGTATACCTAGATAGTCGTCATCAAGAGTAATTCCCACTGAGGTAATCTGAAATGGTGGTGGGACTGCTTCTCTAAAAAGACACATCAAGGGACAGAGAAATAAGCCATGGCCTCCAGGAGGAGGCCTGCAACTCAACACAGAGCTGACAGTGACATGGGCACCACATGCTGAGCCCCAGGGTGAGCCCCAGAGGACAGCATTCACAGAGGCTAATGATGTTCCTCATCATTACAGAGGCCAGCCAGGAGGCACCAGTAACAACAGGGTACGACACATCTGAGAAGGCCCCTCCCTGTCGAGGTCTTTCACTGTAACTGTGAGACCCTGATGCTAGGAAGGGAATGGGCAGCCCCTGGGCTGACGGTTCTCCACCAACCTACTCTACTGCCCTCTCCCAGCCCAGCTCCACTCAATCGTCTGCCATGGTCTTTCCTACAGGGGTGTCTTCTAAAGAGAAGGCCAGTTCCCTGAGGACAGGGTCATGTCCCACCCTCCACCGATGCCCCAACCTCACTGGACACATGGCAGTGGCTTGATGCCTAGACAAATGCTTAGTCTCTATCCTGGGTGGGCCAGACAGCCCCCATCTGTCCCTAACAAAGCCACTCCCATCCCAACTGCCCTAGAACACTTTTTTGGTGTGATGTCCAAGAAGGGGAAAGGAAGACAACCAGGTTACCTTGTCAGCCCCCCACAATCAACTGGGTAGCAGACACCACAAAGCAATGCACCCTCTATCGTGGGCTCTCATTTAGGAGAGGCCCAAAGAGCCTCCCTCCTGGGGCTGTAAAGACCAGACATCAGGCCCTTTCACTGTACCCACGACACAGGCTTTTAGATGAATTCTTGCCAGACTGTGCTGCGTAGACACACCGGGCTCCATAAGTTTCTCCATCCCATCACCAACCAACCTGATTTCTTCCTTTGGAAATACCAAAAAGGTTACTGAAGCTGAGGGTGCACATGAGATGGCAGTAGCATTCTGCCACCGACTGAGCACCCAAGGCAGCCAGTGCTGCATCCTGCCTGGCTTTGCAGGAAGGCCGTCTTAAGGCGGGCAGGTAGGCAGCAACACCTGAGAAAGGAGGTGTAGTCACATGGTGGGGTCGGCGAGAGGCTGCATGGTTTACCTTTGTAACTCTTGAAGGATTCAAAGAGCTCCACCAGGGCCTGCGTGCCCAGCTGCTCGTGGTACTTAGAGGCCACCTGCACACACAGCTGAAGGTTCTGTCTGATGTTAGCAGACAGCATGGCATGCAGACACTCCACAGAATCCTCCACCGATAAGGAGCCAAAGAAATTGACAAGCCACTGGGAACAAGGAAGAGTCTGTCCACAACGATGCACCACTCTAAAGATTGCTAACACTTGGAAAATAACTAGGTCATTCTCCTGTTCCCCTGAGTGTCAAAAATACAGAGAATTTCCACATAAAGGGGTTGAAAAGCAACTATCCATCACGGGAAAAAGTAGGAGCAAGGAGTAAAGCTGGGAAAAGACACTGATCTAAACTGTTCACCTGGAATATTCCACAGATGATGCTAAAACTTATTCCATAAATTGGAACACAATAGCTAGTTTAGCTTTGCTAATGGTTTCAGACAGTCCTATTAGGTTGTCAATGTTAAAAGGTGACCAGTATACTCCTGCTATTAGACTAAGTCAAAGGTGGATATCAGAAAGAAAGGTGCTACAGGGCCCAGACATGCTGCTGAGCAGATAAACTTTGTGCGTGGGCTGAATTAGAACTGCTTTTGGTAGTAAAGTATGGTAGGTTAGGGCAGTGACAGGCTCAGGCCACAGTTCCACAATCACCAACAGGTGAACACTGGGGAGCATGTGACATTAATTGCATAGACAACAGCCATAATAGGAGTGCCCAGGGGTACACAGTACCTCGGGATTGAGGAGGTGAGTGTGGACCACAGCCCTCTTGATGTCATAGAGGTCGGTGTAGTGCTCCAGTGCTTGCTGCAGGAGGCCTGCCTTCTCACAGAGCTGGGCAATGTGGGCCCGGTCGTAATGAGTAAACATTTTATTTCCAAGGATGGCATCTGCAACCTATGAAACAGGGAGTTCGGTGAGAAGCCCTGATCAATGGCAATAACTTTTTAAGACCAGCTGCTCAATCTTGCCCCAGGGTAGGGTATAGCCTGGCAACCAGAACTCACAGGCCCCTGTCCACATCCATACCTCTGTGGTGGCAGCAGTGCTTGTGGGTCCCAAATCCCTGGCTGTCCTTCAAGCCATCTTAGGCCCTTTGCACAAGGCTTCATTCTCCCATGTTGCAGCTGGGCCAAGCCCATGTGGTCACAGAGTTGGGCCTGTGAGAAAGGCTGAGGCTCCATAAAGCCCTATTACTGGGATGAGTCCAAGTCACTGTTGCAGCTTTTAAGCAATCACATTCTTTTTTTCCTTTTTTTTTCTTTTTTTGAGACAGAGTCTCACTCCATCACTCAGGCTGGAATGCAGTGGCACAATCTCAGCTCACTGCAACCTCCATCTCCCAGGTTCAAGCGATTCTCATGTCTCAGCCTCCCAAGTAGCTGGGATTACAGACGCACACCAACATGCCTGGCTTATTTTTGTATTTTTAGTAGAGACAGAGTTTCGTCATGTTGGCCAGGCTGGTCTCGAACTCCTGACCTCAAATGATCTGCCCACCTTGGCCTCCTAAAGTGCTGAGATTATAGCCGTGAGCCACCGTGCCCAGCCAGCAATCACATTCTTATAGGGTTTCTATGGCAAGATCAATGTGAGGGCTCAAGTCTACCGATTCTCCTTGAATGAGCTCAAGCCTTAGATTAGCAATGACCAGAAGGAGACCTGAACAAAACAAATCCCATTTGTGCTTACTAGACTTCTCTACTAGGCTAAATACAGAACTAGGAGTTGGGGATTGCATTTAAAAAACAATGAACACTCCTGGAAACAATTTTGATGAGGCATAAAATCTTTTTTTTTTTTTTTTTTTTGAGACAGGGTCTCACTCTGTTGCCCAGGCGAATGGAGTGCAGTGGTGCAATCTCGGCTCACTGCTGCTTTGACCTCCCAGGCTCAAGCAATCCTCCCACTTCAGCCTCCCAAGCAGCTGGGATTACAGGCACATGCCACCACACCTGGCTACTTTTTTTTTTTTTTTTTTTTGAGATGGAGTCTCGCTCTGTTGCCAGGCTGCAATGCAGTGGCATGACCCCACCCTGCTCACTGCAACCTCCGTCTCACGGGTTCAAGTGATTCTCCTGCCTCAGCCTCCCAAGTAGCTGGGACTACAGGCATGCGCCACCACACCCAGCTAATTTTTGTATTTTTAGTAAAGACAGGGTTTCACCATGTTGGCCAGGCTGGTCTCGATCTCTTGACCATGTGATCCACCCGCCTTGGCCTCCCAAAGTGCTGGGATTACAGGTGTGAGCCACCGCACCTGGCCCACCTGGCTAATTTTTATATTTTTTTGTAGAGATGGGGTTTGGCCGTGTTGTCCATGCTGGTCTCAAACTCCTGGGCTCTGCTCACCTTGGCCTCCAAAAATGCTGGGGTTATAGGCGCGAGCCACTGCACCCAGCCACTAAATATTCTCTTGAAGTAAGTAATTTTTGGGCTAAGACTGGATAGGTCAACACAGCAGCCTTGCAGCATGGCTGAGTGAGTGCTCCCTCAGTATCTAATGATGGTCTTGACAAGCTACACTCCTGGGTGCCTTCCCCTGCCACCTGGCACACTCTTTCTTATTCCTTCTAGGATCTGCATCACCAACCAGGTATGGCCACAGAGTGACCACAGCCACTGTCACACACCAGACCACTTCAGAGTGATGCACAGAGTTGACGATCAAACACAGTACTAAGAGTAGGGCTTTAGAACATCTAGCACTTACCTGAGTCTCCTATCCTTTGTTTCCTTCAGGTTTATCTTTACTTCTTGTTTTCAAACATTTTCTCCTCATAGCAACAGTGTATTTTATAGAATGTAGAAACCATCACGCAGTCCTACTGCCCAGAGAAGACTGCCAGCGTCCTGGGGCACTAAGCCAGAGCCTGCTGGCACCTCACCCAACTACTTGTTTCTCCTTTAGGGTCTGGGCATTCCTTAGGGTCTGTCTGCCAAGTTTCTGAGTGACGCTTGGTGTGTTTCAAATCTCATTCACCAGAAACGGTTACATACACTCACAAAGTCATGAGAGTCCAGTAGACCCCAAGCAGCAAATTAACAGTACTTTTATTTCCTAGAGTTGGAATATGACCCACTTCTTAGCAGCTAACTTGTAGATTTGAATAAATTGAGGTAACAGAACAATATACTTAATATGTTGTTTCCTAATTATAAAAACAGTAAGTGATTATTAAAGAAAAATCAGAAGAGATAAGTAAAGAACAAAGTGAACTTGTACAATCTTATCCACTTAGTACCGTGGTGAACAGCTTGATATAAACTCCTCTAAATCCCTTTCTTGTATATATATCTAAATTTAACCCAAAATAGCACAGACATGTGATTTGATTATACCTGCTCCCACAAGTTTCAGGCCAACAAATGATGCCTCACCACAGTGAGATACCACTGCACGCCCATTAAGATGGTGATTACTATTATTATTATTTTAGACAGGGAAGATGTGTTGGCAAGGATATACAGAAATTGGAACAGCTGAGCATTGCTGGGAAGAATATAAAATGGTACAGCCTCCTGGAATACAGTATGGTGGTTCCTCAAAAAGGTAAACATAGAATTACTGTAGGACATGATCCAGCAAGTCCACTTCTGGATATATGCCCAAAAGAATTAAAGCAGGGTCTCAAATAAATCTTTGTACACCCATGTTAACAGCAGCATTATTCACAATAGCCTAAAGGTAGAAGCAACCCAAATGTTCATCAATGGATGAATGGATAAACACATGTCATATATACACATGGTGGACTATTACTCAGTTTCAAAAATGAAGGTGTTTCTAACACATGCTACAACATGGATGAACCTTGAAAATAATATGCTAAGTGAAAAAAGCCAGGTAAAAGGACAAATATTTTGTGGTTCCATGTATATGAAATATCTTGAAAAGCCAAATTAATAGAGACAGATTAGAATGGCAGTTGTCAGGGGCTGGGAAATGAGGAGTCACTGCTTAACAGTTACATAGTTACTCTGGGATAATAAAAGTTCTGGAACTATGTAGTGGTAATGGCTGCATAGCATTGTGAATGTTCTTAATGCCACTGTATCAGACACTTAAAAGTTGTTAAAATGGTAAATTTGGTTATGTATATTTTACCACAATGAAAAAAAGAAGAAAGGAAGAAATGCTGCCCTAATTAGAACTGTTTCCATGAAAGTCCTGTATCATGATTTCTGGAAAATCCTTTTAAGGAAAGTCATGGAGAATGTCCACTGAGAAGTACAAGATAAACATCTGGCACAAGCCCAGCCCAGTCCAAAGCCACTGTGCTCAAGTCTGCAAACCCAGAGAGGTGCCACAGGTGCTCTGCCTCTCGGTGTTAGCCTACAAGTCACTGACCTGGGGTGCATGAACAAGGTTCATCTCCAACAGCCATGTCTGCAGGAGTCCCTCAGCTGGGCGATTATTCTTCAAGGCATCCAATAAGAAGGAAGTACACTGCTGAATTAAACTGTTTTCCATGAAAATGTCCACAATCTGAAACATATCCAAGCCACATTTTCACTCAGTATGTTTTCATTCAGTGTTTCATTTTCCTATTGAAATAGTTCCTGAAATATTATCTCATTTAGAAATTCAGCAATTAGTTCCCTCCCTTGGTTTTTTTTTTTTTTTTGAGATGGAGTCTCGCTCTGTCACCCAGGCTAGACTGCAAAGGCACAATCTCAGCTCACTCCAATCTCTGCCCTCCACCTCCTGGGTTCAAGCGATTCTCCTGCCTCAGCTTCCCAAGTGGCTGAGACTACAGGCACCCGTCACCACACCCAGCTAATTTTTCTATTTTTAGTAGAGACACGGTTTCACCATGTTGGTCAGGCTGGTCTCGAACTCCCGACTTCAGGTGATCCGCCCGCCTCGGCCTCCCAAAGTGCTGAGACTACAGGCATAAGCCACTGCGCCCGGCCCCTTTCCATTTTCTTCTGTCATCGCAATTCACATACAGCCAGGTGTGGTGGCATGTGCCTATAGTCCCAGCTACTCAGGAGGCTGAGGTGGATGCATTCCTTGAGCCCAGGAGTTGAGACCACTGTGGGTAATGCAGTGACCTCATCTCAACAACAACAACACAATTCACGTAATTTATGGTCATTAATTTATTAATAATCTTGCAAAATCATATCACCTACATCATACTTATCAGTGAGGTATTTTACTGAAGTATATGAAAGGGAGTAACTTTTATAACATATGAACCCCCAAGCAGTAATCATACATTACTTAATCACATCCTAGAGGCAGCTGTGATGCTTAACTTTAGGTGTCAGCTTGACTGGATTAAGGAACACATAGAGAACAGGTAAAGCATTCCTTCTGGGTGTGTTTGTGAGGGCATTCCCAGAGGAGACTGGCATGTGAGTTGGGGGAACAAGTAGAATGATCCACTCTCAATGTCGGGGAACACCATCTAATCGGCTGGGGGCACAAAAAAGGAAAGAATAGATTTCTTCTCTCTTTCTCCTGGAGCTGGGACATTCTCCACCTCCTACCTTTGGACATCAGAACTCCAGGCTCCCCAGCCTTTGGACTCCAGGACTTACACCAAAGGCCCCCCAGGGTTCTCAGGCCATTGGCCTCAGACTGAGAGTTACGCCTTCAGCTTCCCTGGTTCTGAGGCTTTCAAACTTAGATTGAGCCACGCTACCAGAATCCAAGGTCTCCTCTAGCTTGCAGACAGTCTATCACAGGACTTCTCAGCCTCCATAATCACGAGCCAATTCTCCTAATAAACTCCCTCTCATATATCTGAGATAGGGTCTCACTCTATTGCCTAGGCTGAAGCAGTGACAAGGTCACCACTCACTGCAGCCTCAACCTTCAGGGCTCAAGCGATCCTCCCATCTCAGCCTCCTGAGTAGCTGGGACCACAGGTGTGCACCACCATGCCTGGCTAACTTTTAAAAAATTGTTTGTAGAGATGGGGGTCTCACTATGTTGCCCAGGCTCCCTTTCATATAGCTATAGCTACGCTATTGATTCTGTCTCTCTGCAGCATCTTGACTAACAAAGCAGCTGATACTTGATATCTAACTCATATATATCATTATATTATTGGGGCACAACTGGGAAAATGCAAATATTTACTTAGACAATTATTAAAGTTAAATTGATGTTAATTTAAATAATTAATATGCCTTAGTAAGATGTGAAATACAGGAATAAATTTAATAATTGTTTTTGAAGGACAGCTTTACAGGAAAATAAAAAAGAACTTATTAACTGTGGAACTTCTCATAAAGTATGAGAAGTTTATATTTTGAACAACTTTAAAATATGAACTGTAAACAAGATGTGAACTGGAAATTTCTTTCCTATTGAAAGCTAAGTAAATTTGTCTCAAATCTCTTATTCATGTTCTCCAAAATATCTGCAGATTCCCAGATGTACAAACACATACAACTGCACTTATTATTTCTAAACAGTTGTTGGTTCTGATGCCTTGCTTCAAGCTTTGTTACACATCTATATATCATCAAAGCTCCTTGTACCAATTTACTGAAAGTGACTTGTCATGTGTTTACATCTAAATTTTAAGTAGGTTACACTAAAAAACAGGCTGATGCTCACGTAATCCAGGTCAGTCAGACACCCACAGGATGAACATCTGGGGGACGCAACAGCACTAGCTCCTGGTGCTCAGGCCAATGGTCAGGGAGAGACAATGATGTAGTAACTGGGGTGGGCCACGGGATGGAGGGCTGGAACCTAAATGACATCCTCACACCCTACACCATCACCACCCAAAGACACAAACCCAAACAAACATTCTCTAAAGTACTTCAAAACAAAGGAAGCAATGAGTACTCACATAGTAAAGACTAGAAGACAAACTCCCCAAGTACACTAGATTTTTTAAAACTGCAAGATTAATAGCAGATGAAGAAAAGCATTGAGACAAGTTAACAGGAAACGAATCAAAGAAATCTTCTAGATGGCTCTAAAAAGCCACAAAAAGTTGTCCAAAACTGCCTACGCTCACCTGGCTAATGTTGGCCAGCGGCTCCTCGTCCTGCACTAGCATTCGAGAAAACTGCAGGCCCTGTTCCGGACTGATCTTCATTACACCCCTCAGCAGAAAGATCCAGTCTGGGGTGTACCCAACCTAGAAGCAAGGGAGCACCAATCAGGAAAATCAATGAAAAACCCTGGGCATTAGAAAAGGAAGTTATCCATCCTTTGTTTTAAACTCGTGTTAACAAAGAAATGAGCAGCAACATTATCATGTGTAGGTACCACCTTCTGCCAAACACAATATCCAATTAAATGAATTGATTTAATGTACATGGAAGGCACAATTAACTATACAAAGAGCCCAGACCACAAAGAAGTTTCCTGATCTGTGTGCAAACACAGCCTGCCAGTAAGCACACAGGGATAAGATCTGGGAGTCTGCCAAAATATCAAATTAACATACAGAAGGAAGAGAGGGAGAGAAAAAACAAGATAAAGCTCCCAAATAAAACGAAGATGGAAGGACTGGAAAACTAAGGATAATAAAAAGCTGAAGAGAATAAAATATGATCATTATGAATAAAGATCCTAACAGCAACATTGCCAACTCTCACACCAGAGGACTTACAAAGAAGGGTATTTTATAAACTTTAAAATCAGCAACCACTCAACCACACGTGAGTAATCTGTGAGATGCCAGTGGTTCAACACACGTTACCTTTTTGGCATAGAGCACAATTTTCTGGAATTGGCCTGTTTCTGCAAAACACTGGATCACTTTGCTTGGCACATTTGCCCGAAGGTACACACTCAGAGCGAGCATGGGGTCAGTGGTTTTGACCAAGTCTCCGAGCTCCTCTGAGCACTCCAGCTGTGGTATGCCAAGGGACAAGGCAAAGTTAGGAGGCAGGTAGGGAGCCTGGACCAAGTTTTCAAGCTGTGCGGGGGGGCTACGAGCTCACAAGTGTTTCTACCTTATCTTCTTTCAGCCACTTCTCTAGGAGTTGCTTACGCCCCTGCTGAAGAACCAGATGGCAAAGTTCTAAGGATTCAAGTTTATTGAGCTGACCCTGGTCGAGCAGGATTCCGAAGTACTGCAGCAATGGAGAAGCCTGGCCAGACTGAGCGGGTATACTCTGGAATTTCTGGACCGTCTCTCTGGTACGCAGGATTCCCTAATAATAAATGGAAAAATAGGTCATTGTGTTGTAATCACAGGGGATCCCTTCACTCAACTTCCTTGTATGTAAAAACAAAAATCTGCCAGTGGAAATTCCACACTGCTCTGTCATAGACAAAAAGTCCTCTACCAAGGCAACTGCTTCTATCTTCAACAATAACCATAAGTATAGGGGAATCTAGGTCCTCCAGGTGGCTTCACACTTAGGGTCTTACTTCTCCCCCAGCATGCTGCAGTAAGAATTCGGCCTCTCAATCAGTCTTGTAGTAGTGAAGTTCTGCTATCATTATATTCTAATTCAAAATACTCAAATTCACAGATGAAGGCTAGAAATGGTTTGTTCACAACTACCCCTTGAAAGACAAGAAAAATTCTTTCAAGGACAAGCAACTTGAAAGTCTTTATCTACTCAGGAACAGATCCAGTCTCTGAACAATTTATCCAAATGAAATAAACCCAAGAAAAAGCCATATGCCGAAATGCTATATTCTAAAAGAGTGGAGAAAGTCCAGGGTAGGACTATCGCTAGATAAAACAGGGAACAACCACTTGATGTATTGTACAGTTGCATATTTGACAACCAGGTAGCAAGAGTGGAAAATGCTAAGTTACAGAAATGTGAAACTGTATCTAAGCTGTTGGGTGAGAGGTACGTATGCACACAAAGTGGGAGGCGTGAAGAAGTGCCGATGCAGCAAGAGTGTGTTTTTTGTTTACTTCCTTTACTGTTATGCCATTGGTGCAAAAATTTTAAACTAAAAACTCCTAACATAACACTAATAGACTGCAATATCACTAGTGAAATGCTTTTATGACTTATTTTCCTCTCAAGGTTGGTTCTTAACACTCAGAACACTTGAACAGTATTCAAGGTTTATCACCTTTGGTGCAGACGCTGCAACTTTGGCGGCTTCAGCATAGCTGCCCTGTGCAAAGAGGGTATTGAATTTTCTCACAAACAACTTCTCTGCCCCAGCCAGGTTACTACGAACGGCCAAACGCAGACCAAGGTCTGGATTCTGAAGCACGTTGGTTGCATAATTCACAATGTTATCTTCCTCAACACAAACTGACAGTACCTGTAAGGACACAACAAGTGAGAGCAGCCCGGCCTAGAAGAGTGCTCCACCATCCCTCTGCCATGTTCCCTTCCGATGCTGGAGTGGTAGCCACATTCTCAGGCGAGTGTTGAGCACACCTGTGATGGTGGCCCTCACAGTGAAAGGAGGCAAAGCAGCCGAAAGCCAAATGGTAACAAAACAGAACAGCATAGGAGTCTATGTAGTTATTAAAGTCACACAGATAAGTGTGATGCGTTCTGCGCTACAGCAAAATGACCTATGTGGATGGAACTGACAATTTTTCTTCTTAAACTTTTTATTTTTAAAGTACAGAGTTTCTTTCTTTTTTAAAAAATATTTTTGTAGAGACAGGGTCTTACTATGTCGCTCAGGCTGGATTCAAACTCCTAGCCTCAAGCAATCCTCCTGTCTCAGCCTTCCAAAGTGCTGGGATTATAGGAATCAGCCACTGTTCCCGACTTTTTTTTTTTTTTCCCCTGAGACAGGCTCTCACTGTTTCACCCAGGCTGGAGTGCAATGGTGTGATCACAGCTCACTGCAGCCTCAAACTCCTGGGCTCAAGCCATCCTCCTGCCTCAACCTCCCATGCAGTTGGGATTACAGGCATAAACTATTGTGCCCAGCCAAGAGTTTCTTCTTTTAACTATCTTTTTCAACTATGGTTGAGAAAAGTTACTTAAATACCATAGTATCTGCTTTTTCAACCCTCCCCAGTTAGGGTGTGCATGGTATAAAGATGATGTGCATCAGAACTGCTGTTCTATACGCAGGAAGGAGCTGCTCTCCTCCTGGAATCAATCCTGTGTTAGGAATGGTGCTGTCTGAAGAGAGGAAGTGTCAATATGAAGGAGGAGACATGGGTTTAAGTTTAATAACAGGAACTATTAATAGCTACACCCAGCTGCTTTCCTAGAGAAGGGGGAAAGTTTAAACGCCAGTCCCTAATGAATGGAAAAGGTAGAAAATGAAATGTCAGAGTTACACACCTGTCCCTTTTTGTTGACACCAATAATTCCAGAGGTTGGTTTGTGTGGAGCAGTGACAAATATTGTGTCAGCACTAATACGGTTCATGCAGATGCACACGCCAGACTCTAGGTCGTACAGATGAAGATAGCCATACTTTGTGATCAAGTAAATAACACCATGTTTAGCTCCAATCTATAAGAAGACAGAGAGCAAGAGGTTGGAAAGTAAGGAGGAGAAGCCATGCGGGTAAAAAGAGCTCACAAATGATAAAGAGGATTCTTGTTTGTTTGTTTGTTTTTTGAGATAGGGTCGTGCTCTGTCACCCAGGCTGGAGTGTAGTGGTGCCACCATAGCTCACTGCAACTTCCGACCTCTGGGCTCAGGTGATCCTCCCATCTCAGCCTCCAATGTAGCTGGGACTACAAGTGTGAGCTGCCACACCTAGCTATACAAGGATTCTTCAGTTTCTCAGGCCGAGAGATTACTGGTGGGAGCAATGCTTTCCTGAGACATGGATTCTAAGTTGTACTTGATTGAGAATTAGTTTTAAAGACAATATTTTGTCCAACCACTCTCAAATAAAGGTCCAATAAACTCAGGCTACTCCATTTATCTTTCAGGTAGAGCGATCCTTTCACAGTTTATCGAACCCCTTTAAGCAAGCTGTGAGTTCATAAGAGAAGGGGAAAGTTCTGGACAAAGACCTCAAACGCCAAGATGATGTTCCAGCATGCCTTCTACCACCACTTATTAACCTTTGAGTTTTGCCAAATGCTATTAACTTTTACAGAAAAATATTTAACACACAAGAAAACCTGAAGGGGCTGGGGAGAAAAAACAGATGCATTTGCCCAACCAGATTATTAAACATATATATTAAAACAGACAGTAATTTTTGAAGTATGATTTTACCACTGGAAGAGACAGAGAGAGAAAATAATTAAGAGCCCTGAAAGAGAATGAATCATATATGAGAATTTATTAAGAATGAGTGTGTGGTGGCTAATGACTATAGTCCCAGCTACTTGGGAAGCCAAGGCAGGAGGATCACTTGAGCCCAGGAGTTTGAGTCAAACCTGGGCAACGTAGCAAGACTCCAACTCTAGAAAAATAAATAATTAGTAGGTAACATATTAGTGGAAAATAGGCACTTTAATCAATATATAACATATATTATTAATATAGTTAGCTAGCTATCTGGAGATGGAGGTAAGAGTAAAGAACTGAATTTCTATCTTACTCTTTAGATCAAAGTAAATTCCAGATGGGTCAAAGATTTTAAATAAAAAACAAGGACAATTAGGATAGGAATGAAAGAAAATATAGGTAAATGTTGTGATCATCTTCAGGTGCAGAATTAGTCTCAAAACATGATACCACTGCCACACAAAAATGCAGCACTTCCATAAGGTGCCACATATCACAAATTACGACTGGGAAAAATATTCAAAATACATCAGACACTTAGTACTCTACAAGTACAAAAAGCTCTTACGAATAAGGTAAAAATCCTGGAGTTGGGCACAGTGACACACACCTGTAACCCCAGCTGCTTGGGAGGCTGAGGCAGGAAGATCGCTCGAGGCCAGGAGTTCAAGACTGGCCTAGGCAACATAGCAAGACCCCATCTCTACTTTTTAAAAAAAGATCCCAATAGAAAAAAAATGCAAAGATTAGGAAAAGGCAATTAACCGGATACATATGAGTGGCTGATACATCAATTCTGCCTTGATGGTAACCAAGGGAAAGACATCACAACATGGGATGCTGTCCAGCTACCACCGGCAGCATCAGTAGGAATGTGAACTGGCCAGCATGGTCAGGAGAGTCTGTGATGAGAGTGTGCCCCTGACCCAGCAGTTTAATTTCTAGGAATTTATCCTCGGACTTTTAGACTAACATACAAAGATGTATGGAGCACAATGTTCCTTATAGTGTTTCTTGTAAATGTAAATACCAATCAACAGGGGATTGTTTAAATGAGTTGTAGCAAATCCACAGAACAGATGACACAGACAATAAAATACATACATTATGTTACTGGAACAGAATGATCTACAACATAGCTAGAGGAGTTTATACAGCAGCAAGGCTAGTGCAGAGCCATTTTCATAAGAGTCCATCTGTATAAATCTGCACAAATGTATGCATGTTAAGTTACTTCCAAAGGGGTAGCCAAATTATCAGCAGTGCTAGGATTTCAGGTGATATTTAATCCTGCTGTTACATTTATTGATATTATTAGAAATGTACAGATAACATATATTTTATGAGAACAAAAGAGTAAAAAGGAGAGTAGATTATATAATCTTACATATATAATGTGATGCCAATTTTGTTCAGAAAAGGTATAGATCTAAATTTTTTATAAAACAAATTGTAAGATTTTTTATTTTTATTCTTATTTATTTATTTATTTATTTTTTGGAAATGAAGTCTTGCTCCAGGCCGCGGTGCAGTGGCATGCAGTGGTGTGATCTTGCCTCACTGCACTCTCTGCCTCCTGGGTTCTAGAAATTCTCCTGCCTCAGCATCCCATGTAGCTGGGACTACAGGTGCACACCGCCATGCCCAGTTAATTTTTTATATTTTAGTAGAGACGGGGTTTCACCATGTTGCCCAGGCTGGCGTCGAACTCCTGAGCTCAGGCAATCTGCCCGCCTCGGCCTCCCAAAGTGCTAAGATGACAGGTGTGAGCCAACGCGCCCGGCCAAGATTTCTTATATATTTTACATCCAACTGGTTTATCTACAGAGGAATGTTTTCTGACTCTGTGCCTTTGACACTTCCACAACAATATTCTGCTCCTCAATAAGGAAAGCACACTTGATCCTGTCACGAACACACTTAGCACACACGGAACCACCACAGGCCCTGCTGACATGTGTTTCTGTTTTAGGGAACCTCACAAGAACTTCAGGTCTCATAGCACGAACTCCTCGAAGTCTGGCTAGGCACATGCCACATGCAGGTTCAGGTGTTTTCCCAACCTTCTTGATGTAAAGGTGAATAATTCTCCCACCAGGGGCTTGGGACTACCTAGTTTCACTAGAGGCTGCGTGTCAAAGGCTGGGCCATTCTGAATGCCAGCTCAAAGGACTGTCCCTGGGAGCTCTAGGCTCCCTCAATGGCAGCCAATTGTAAAGGAAATAAGTGTTTTATTCTTTTTTTTATTATTATAAGTTCTGGGTTACATGTGCAGAACGTGCAGTTTTGTTACACAGGTATACACGTGCCCTGGTGGTTTGTTGCACCCATTAACCCGTCACCTACATTAGGTATTTTATTCTTTAAATATTCTCATACCACAGTGAACATCTAATCTTTTATAATAAGAAGGAAAGAGCTGAGGACTTTGATGTGTGACTTGGCAACGTCTTCCTGCTGCCCTAACTCACCCTCATGCCGGGCATTCCTTTCTACGAACAGGGCTTTCCCAGCTCACACGCCAAAGCCTTAGGCCTCTAAATGGGTTTGAAAGCATCACAGTGGCAGGAGACAGCAGAAGCAGACTAAAAATGGCAGCCTCCTGTATCTTGGGAGGTGCTAGAGTAGATTTTAGGACATGAAGATGTTTAGAGAGCAGCACATTCGTACCTGCATAGCCACTGGAAAATCATTCTGTGCCTCTGGAGGAAAAAACACATCTACTGCTTTCTTTACAAAAGGTTGGTTTCCCGCTGCAGGCTGTCCAACTTCAATGATGTGCAACTAGAAGAGAGATTTTAGGTCAATCAAGGGGACCGCCTGTGGTGGTGGGCAAGTGCTAGTCAAGGCACAGAGGCAAGTGGAGCCTCAGCTCCACACACTGGATGATTAACGCTAAAAGTCACATTCAACCAAAGCAGAACAACCCCCTTGTCGGAGTGCCTGTGATTATCCAATAACCTGCTGCCCACCACCAAGCATGGCACAAAGGGCCAATGCCAGGCAGCCTGGAGCCTCAGTTCCAGCACAGTGGCAGAGTCACTTCCCCTCCCCGGGCCTGGATGCCGATGAAACAAAGGGCTCCAGTCAGAATCTGCTGTCCCTTCCAACTCTGCTCTCTGCCTTTCTGGGTATGGCCCAGACTCATACAAGCCTGTTAGTGCAAGATCTCATCACTGGAGGCGAAACTCACGAGACATCCTCACCATGGCACAGGCCTGAGGTTTTCAAGGTTGTGCTGGGCGGGGGTAAGAATCTGATGAGGGAGCCCATCCCTGCCTTATGAGAACAGCTCCAAGTTCCTGACCTATGCCAGTGCCTTCCCTATAACTTTCTTTTTCTTCTTTTTTTTTTTTTTTTTTAAGATGGAGTCTCGCTCTGTCGCTCAGGCTGGAGTGCAGTGGCGCGATCTCAGCTCATTGAAACCTCTGCCTCCCGGGTTCAAGCGATTCTCGTGCCTCAGCCTCCCAAGTAGCTGAGATTACAGATTACAGATGCATGCCACCACACCCGGCTAAACTTTGTATTTTTAGTAGAGATGGGGTTTCGCTATGTTGGCCAGGCTGGTCTCAAACTCCCGACCCCACCTCGGGTAATCCAACCCCACCTCGGCCTCCCAAAATGCTGGGATTACAGGCACGAGCCACCACGCCCAGCCACCATAACTTTCATCTAAAGAAAAAATATTATAACTAACACAAGTCCACAACAAAATCCAAAATGAAGGGTAAGAGACACAAAACAAGGGCGGGAGGCTGGGCTTAGAGGACACAGACAAGGGTGTCTGTGGAGGGGCAGTCTGGGTTTGCGGTCTGGGTTTGGCCGGGCAGAGAGAGGAGGGAAACACCAAAGGGGCTCAGATAAGGAGGGGAGCAGCACTGAGAGCCGGGCCAATGGGGGAGGCTGAGCGGCAAGCATGTGGGTGCTCCTGTGGGGACAGAAGTCTGTGGATGGGGAATAGAAAAGTCTTGCACTGGGAGCTTTAAGGCAGATAAAAGGTAGTTTAGGAAAATTATCTGGCTAGGCCTATTGGTAAGAAGGCGTGAAGCAGGTCTGAGGACCTAATAAATGGCTATTCTGTAACCCAAATGTGAGGTGAGAAAGGCTTAGTGTACCACAAAAGGGTAAGTCAGATGTGGGACTTGTTAAAGGTCAGACAGTGACGAGAGAATAGAATGGGGCTTGACTGCTATGGGTTCTTGCTCGGGAGCTGAGAAGGGTGACACTGCCAGCAGGAGCAGAGGCACAGAAAGGACACCAGGCTCTCAGGGCAGCAGCAGGAGGAGGTTGGCAGAAAAGAACTGTGTCCAGGCAAGCTCCGCCCCACATGTGGAGACAGCTGGCCAGTCCCAAAAGGACAGGTGAGTCCTGAAAGGAAGGTGCATGCCTGGGCACAGGCGGGGCGGGCACCCTCCCAGGACCCCACACCCACCCTGCAGCCGGGAGGACCGAGTCTGCCACAAGACACAGGGCCGCTCCAGGACAGGTACTGTCAGGAAACCGCATTTCCCAGGCTCTCTGGGTCACAGAAGACCTCCTGGTCCATCTCCAGCTCGGCTGGAGGGGCATGCCCACCAGAAAGCTAGGTGTAGAGAGAACCCCCAGCCCCTTCTCTTCTTGGGGCTGCCGTCTGTGTACAGAGCCCCGCTCTGGGAAGTGCTCTTCTCCACAGGGCACTCTGTGAGGCAGGCTCTGCTCCTCAGAGGGAGGCCTGTCGCTGCCCTGCTGCATCTGTAAAGGAGAGGTGTGCCTCACTCTGAGGGAATATGGGAGCAAGCTCTTTGAGCCACATAACTAAAGTCAGTGTCCTTCATCAGCAACAAGGCTGACACGTGACCCGAGTCCTTTTCCTTCTGGCTCTCAAATGAGGAGGGCATGAAGTATGTTACTCAACAGGAGGCCAAAGTATTCAGTGTATTTCAGATGAGGAAGTTTGTAAAGCCACATTCTAATTGAGAACTCCTCTGCCTTGGGGAATATTTCGGGGCTAACGAACAACCCAAAATTATGGTTTGAGAAAGTGTTTTTCACAAGACGACTGTCTTGAAGCAGCTCTCCAAGTGGCTGAGACCACAATGGCGGAACCCAAGGTCTCCCTGACATCACAAGCTCTTCTGTCTCCTCACCTCTGCCCATGGCAGCCCTGCCGAGCAGCCGCTGGCCATGTCCCTGAGCCTAATAAAACCCACTGGCTCCTGGGCACAGTCTCAATCTCTCTGGAGCCTCCCTGAGGCGCCTCCCAACCACCTGGGAAGAACCATGCTAATGGCAAGGATGGCACCACACTGGTGATTTCACAGTCATCTCCCCAAGAGCAGAAACTGTGCCTCATCTACCTTTTTTTTTTTTTTTTTTGGAGATGGAGTCTCGCTCTGTCGCCCAGGCTGGAGTGCAGTGGCGCGATCTCGGCTCACTGCAACCTCTGCCTCCTAGGTTCAAGCAATTCTCCTGCCTCAGCCTCCTGAGTAGCTGGGACTACAAGCGCACACAGCCAGGCCCGGCTAATTTTTTATATTTTAATAGAGATGGGGTTTCGCTGTATTGTCCAGGCTGGTGTAGAACTCCTGAGCTCAGGCAATCCACCCACCTCGGCCTCCCAAACTGCTAGGATTACAGGTGTGAGCTACCGCACCTGGCTGCCTCACTTACCTTTAGAGTGCATTTCAGTCTAGTCTGTGTGGAAGGATTTTTTTTTTTTCTTTTGAGACGGAGTCTCACTGTGTAGCCCAAGCAGGAGTGTAGTGGTGCGATCTCGACTCACTGCAACCTCTGCCTTGCAGGTCCCAGTTCAAGCAATTCTCCTACCTCAGCCTCCCAAGTAGCTGGGTTTATAAGAATGCGCCACCATGCCCAGTTAATGTTTGTATTTTTAGTAGAGACGGGGTTTCACCACGTTGGCCAGGCTGTTCTTGAACTCCTGACCTCGTGATCCACCCTCTTCGGCCTCCCAAAGTGTTGGATTACAGGCGTGAGCCACCGCGCCCAGCCTGAGGATTTTTTAGGGGAATGGGGCCACTTAATCATGTGCATCACGGTGCACAGTTCTCAACACCACCATGAACCTTTCCTCACACAGACATCTGCAGGCCATGCCCAGCCACACACACGCACACCCCTAACACCAGCTCATGACACTTTTCTCAGGGAGAAGACAGTAGAGTGGATCTTACCTTGCCTCCTGTGGGATTACGTACAGCAAAGCAGAAAAGGGTGGCAGGCTTGGCATTCCCCTCCATCTTGAACTCTGCAAAAGCCGCAGCATGGCCTTCTATGGGTTGTGAAACCTTCCTATCCACAGAGTAGAGCTGCATTGCTCCAACCACACGGTTTTGCTAAGAAAAGATATTATGCAATGAAAGGGAGAGAAAAGAGAGGAATATAAAGAAACAATTCTTAAAATATATTTCTAAAATGAAAGTCTCATACATTAGAGGTATACTTCCTCTAGTAAAAATTAAATGTATTAGCTATTAAAGGCATGATATCACTCTGAATTTTATGTGGAAAGATGGCAAACACTATGGAAAAAAATAAGACCACAAAAAAGTAAGATGGACAAACCTAATTTGTTAAATATAGTAAGTGTGAGAGCATTTTTTCATGGAAAGTAACTCGTGCACTTTGGAGGAAAAACTCTAAAGCATTAATAGTAGTTAAATCGGGGGATGCAATCACAGGTAATTTTGAAAATTGTGTTTTCTGAAATTTCTAAGTAGCAAAAATTGTATTTAATAAAAACCAATAAGGCCAGCACAGTGGCTCACACCTGCAATCCTAGCACCTTGGGAGAATCACTTGAGGCCGAGAGTTCAAGACTAGTCTGGGCAACATAGCAAGACGCCATCTCTACAAAAAAATAAGAAAATTAGCTGGTCATGGTGGCATGCGCCTGTTGTCTTAGCTACTCGGGAGGCCAAGGCAGGGGGATTGCTTGGGCCAAGAAGTTTGAGGTTGCAGTGAGCTATGACTGCAGCACTGCACTGCAGCCTGGGTGGCAGAGCAAGACTCTGTCTCCAAAAAAACCAAAACCCCCAAACCAGTAAGACTAATATCTTTTATAAAACTTAGAACTTGTATTTTCTTTCTTTCTTTCTTTTTTTTTTTTTTTTTTGTGATGGAGTCTTGCTCTGTCACCCAGGCTGGAGTGCAGTGGCGTGATCTCGGCTCACTGCAAGCTTCGCCTCCTGGGTTCACGCCATTCTCCTGCCTCAGCCTCCTGAGTAGCTGGGACTATAGGCGCCCGCCACCATGCCTGGCTAATTTTTTGTATTTTTAGTAGAGACGGGGTTTCACCATGTTGGCCAGGATGGTCTCGATATCCTGACGTCGTGATCTGCCTGCCTCAGCCTCCCAAAATGCTGGGATTACAGGCTTGAGCCACCATGCCCAGCCAGAACTTATATTTTCTACTAAAGAATTTCAGTACATTTATATCCAATGTCAAATGCTCAAAAAGCTAAGTGAATGGAATACAAAAGGGTCCCAGTTCAAGCTCCTGTAATTAAACATTCAATCCTCTCTGCTGAGTGAGCTCACATATAGTCGTGGGTAAAATCCTCAGTCTATTCCTCACTCACTCACAACTCCTTAAAATGGGATAACAAAGGCTTCAACTTTGTCTTTAAAAATATTTTCTATTGCACAGATTTCTGTTAACGTTATTAAGCAAAGTACTGACACATGCTACCACATGGATGAACCTTGAAAACATGCTAAGGAAAGAAGCCAGGCATGAAAGGCTGCATATTGTCTGATTCCACCTATGAAATATCCAGAAAAGGAAAATTTATTGAGACAGAAAATAGATTAGTGGTTGCCAAAGGCTGGTAATAGGGAGAAATAAGGAGTAAACCAGCAGATAAGTGGTCTGTGTTTTAACAGAAAAATGAGCATGGAAAGGTAAAAATGAGAATCCAAAGACAGGACAAAACTCACCCTCCCCAAGAGACTGTGGGAAGACTTCCAGCAACATGATGATAGCACATTTGAGTCCTAAAGGTACAGATACCTAAACGAAGCCTAAACTGCAGCCAAGACGAAGAGGCAGAGAAGACAGAACAGCCAAGGTGAAGGTGAGAGACCAGACCTTAGGCTACGTGTGTGGCCTTGGGCCGATGTCCTGCTTCTAAGTCTTAGGCACCTGCCAGGCTTACCTTCCCACCTCATGGGGCTGCTGAGTGTTAAGTGTGTCAAATTTTGGTAAAGGCATGTTAAGGACTGTAGCAGGCAAGGATTCAATGAGCAAATGCATTCATTGTGCCAGGCACCATGCTAGGGGCCAGGGATAAGTAAAATATGACACAGGTCCTTCTCTCAAGAACAGATGGTAAGAGTTTCCGGCAAGTACACAAGCAACTGCAATACAGAGTGCTGATTGCTACAGCATGGGAGAGAACAAGATGCCTTATCAGCTCACCAAGATCAGTAAGTCAGGGAGGCTTCCCAAAGTGACACCTAAGCTGGAGTAAGAGCTAACCAGGTGACAGGAACAGAAGTTGTTTCAAACAGAAACAGGCATCTGTATTTGCAAATGCTTAGACAGGGTTGGCAAACTATGGCCCCATGTTCCCCTCTCCCCCTCCTTTTTTTTTTTTTTTTTTTTTTTGAGACAGAGTCTGGCTCTCTCTCACCCAGGATGGAGTGCAGTGGCGTGACCTCGGCTCACCACAACCTCCACCTCCTGGGTTCAAACGATTCTCCTGCCTCAGCCTCCTGGGTAACTGGGACCACAGGCGCGTGCAAGCATGCCTGGCTAATTTTTGTCTTTTTAATAGAGAGGGGGTTTCAGTATGTTGGCCTGGCTGATCTCAAACTCCTGATCTCATGATCTGTCCACCTTGGCTTCCCAAAGTGCTGGGATTACAGGCGTAAGCCACCACACCTGGCTTCCCCTCCCCTTTTTATGTTGAGGTGACATTCACAAAACAAAATGAACCATTTTAAAGTGTATGATTGAATGGCATTTAGGACACTCGCAATGTGTGGAACCAAAACCTCATCATAGTTCCAAAACATTTTCATCACCCAAAAGAAATTCCTGTGCCCATTAGTCAGTCCCCAGTCCCCTGACCCAAGTCCCCTAGCAGCCACCAATCCTACTTTCTAGCTCCATAGATTTACTGATTCTAAATATTTCATATAAATGGAATAACAATAAAATATGAGGCCTTTTGTGCCTCACTTTTTTCATTTAGTAAGTTTTTGAGGTTTACCTATGTGTAGCATGTATCAGTACTTCATTTTTAGGGTTAAATAATGTCCCACTGTATGGATACACCACAACTTGTTTATCCACTCATTTGCTGGTGAACATTTGGGCTGTTTCTACCTTTTGGTTATTATAAAAAATGCTATTACGAATATCTGTGTAAAAGTTTTTGTGTGGATACATTTTCATTTCTCTTAGGTAGACACCTAACAGTGGAACTGCTGGGTCAAATGGTAATTCTGTGTTTAACTTTTTTTTATTTTTTGAGATGGAGTCTCCCTCTGTCATTTAGGCTGGAGTGCAGTGGTGCGATCTTGGCTCACTGCAAGCTCTGCCTCCCGGGTTCACGCAATTCTCCTGCCTCAGCCTCCCAAGTAGCTGGGACTACAGGCGCCTGCCACCATGCCCGGCTAGTTTTTTTGTATTTTTAGTAGAGACAGGGTTTCACCGTGTTAGCCAGGATGGTCTTGATCTCCTGACCTCGTGATCCACCTGCCTCAGCCTCCCAAAGTGCTGGGATTACAGGTGTGAGCCACCACGCCTGGCCTTATGTTTAACTTTTTGAGGAACCACCAAACTGCTTTCCACAGCATCTGAACATTTTTATATTCCTACCACTAATGTAGGAGGGTTCCAATTTCTCCATAACATTGCCAACACTTCTTTTCTTTTCTTTTTTTTGAGATGGAGTTTCGCTCTTGTTGCCCAGGCTGGAGTGCAATGGCGCGATCTCGGCTCACTTCAACCTCTGCCTTCCAGGTTCAAGCAATTCTCCTGCCTCAGCCTCCGGAGTAGCTGGGATTAAAGGCATGCACCACCACACCCGGCTAATTTTGTATTTTTACTAGAGATGGGGTTTCTCCATGTTGGTCAGGCTGGTCTCAAACTCCTGACCTCAGGGCCAACACTTATTTTCTACTTTGTAAAAATTATAACCATTCGAGTGGGTGTAAAGTGGTACTTCATTGTGGTTTTGAATTGCATTTTCCTAATGGCTAATGATGTCAAGCAAGTCATTTGCCCACTTTTTAACTGGGTTGACTTTTTGTTGTTGAGTTGTAAGTGTTCTTTGTATATCTGGATACTAGACCCTTATCAGATAGATGATTTTCAAATATTACATCCCAGGTTGTCTTTTCACTTTATTGGCAATATCCTTTTATGCACAAAAGTTTTTAATTCTGAAGTCCAAATTATCTATTTTTTAATTTTGTTGTTCAGGCTTTTGGTGCTATTATATATCTAAGAATCCATGCCAAATCCAAAGTCATAAAGCTTTCTCCTTATGTTTTCTTCTAAGAGTTTTGTAGTTTTACCTTCTACATTGAGGTTTCAGATCTATTTTGAGTTTATTTTTGTACATGGTGTGAGGCAGGTGACCAACTCCATTCTTTTGCATGTGGATATTTAGTTGTCCCAGCACCATTCCTGAAGAGACTATTGTTTCACCATTGAACAGTCTTGACACTCTCATCAAAAATCAATTGGCCACAGATGTAGGGGTGTATTCCTGGACCTTACATTTTTTCCCATTGGTCTACATGTCTATTCTTATGCCCATGAGGTGTTTTGTTGTTGGTAAATGCATGGGATTTTTTTATTTGTTGTTTTTTAGTTTGTCAGTAAAGCATATACATGTAACTATGATTTATAATTTTTGTTTTATATTCTTCAAACATGATGATTTCTTTGTAAAGAGGCATAATTCCCAAGAGTTTTTATTTTGTTGTTGTTGTTGTCATTTGTTTTGTTTTGTTTTGTTTTTGAGGCAGAGTTCCACTCTTGTTGCCCAGGCTGGAGTGCAATGGTGTGATCTCGGCTCACTGCAACCTCTGCATCCTGGGTTCAGGCGATTCTCCCGCCTCAGCCTCCCAAGTAGCTGGGATTACAGGCACATGCCACAACTCTCGGCTAATTTTTGTATTTTTAGTAAAGACGGGGTTTCACCACATTGGCCAGGCTGGTCTCGAACTCCTGACTTCAGGTGATCCTCCTGCCTTGGCCTCCCAAAGTGCTGGGATTAAAGGTGTGAGTCACCGTGCCTGGCCCCCAAGGGTATTTTTAAAAGCTTAATTGAGATATAATTCACATACCATAGAACTTATCTATTTAAAGCAAGCTTGTCCAACATGTGGCCCAGTATAGCCTTGTATGTGGCCCAAACACAAATTCATAAACTTTCTTAAAGCATTATGAACTTTTGGCTGGGCATGGTGGCTCACACCTGTAATCCCAGCACTTTGGGAGGCCGAGGCAGGCAGATCACCTGAGGTCAGGAGTTCGAGACCAGACTGACCAACATGGAGAAACCCCATCACTACTAAAAATACAAAATTAGCCAGGTGTGGTGGTGCATGCCTGTAGTCCCAGTTATTCAGGAAGGCTGAGGCAGTAGAATCGCTTGAACCCGGGAGGCGGAGGTTGCGGTGAGCCAAGACCATGCCACTGCACTCCAGCCTGGGCAACAAGAGCAAAACTCGGTCTCAAAAAAAAAAAATTATGAATTTTTTTGCAATTTTTGTTTTTAGCTCATCAGCTATTGCTAGTGTATTTTATGTGTGACCCAAGACAATTCTTCTTCCAGTGTGGCCCAGGGGATCCAAAAGATCAGACACCCCTGGTTTAAAGCATACCATCCAATGTTTCTTCGTATACTCAGAGGGCTGTGCAATCATCACTACAACATAGTTTTAGAACACTTTCATCCTTTGAAAGAAACCCTATTAGCATTCAATCCTCATTCCTATCTCCCAGACTCCACCTCCAGTCATAGGCAACTACTTATCTATTTTCTGTGTCTATAGGTCAGACTATCCTGAACATTTCAAATAAATGGAATCATATAGTATGTGGTCTTTTGTGACTGGCATCTTTCACTTAGCTTAATATTTCCAAGGTTCATTCATGATGTATTTTTAGTAGAGATGGGGTTTCGCCATGTTGGCCAGGCTGGTCTTGAAATCCTGACCACAGGGTGATCTGCCTGCCTCAGCCTCCCTCCCAAAGTGCTGGGATTACAGGCATGAGCCACTGTGCCTGGCCCTTCTAAGAGTTTTATAGGTTCAGTTCTTACATTTAGGTCTGATCGATTTTGAGTTTTTTAGTATTATGAGACAGAGGTCCCATTTAATGCTTCTGCATATAAATGTCCAGCGCCCCAAGACCTTGTATTGAACAACTCCTCTTTTTTTCACTGAACTGTCTTGGCAACCTTGTCAAAAATCAATTGACCACAAGGGATACAACACTTTGATTAGACTGGAGGAATAAGTTCAAATGATCATGCCTATAATCCCAGCACTCTGGGAGGCCGAAGCGGGCGGATTACTTGAGGTCAGGAGTTTGAGACCATCCTGGCTAACATGGTGAAACCCCATCTCTACTAAAAATACAAAAATTAGCAGTGCGTGGTGGCACGTGCCTATAATCCCAGCTACTCGGGAAGCTGAGGCAGGAGGATTGCTTGAACCCGGGAGGTGGAGGTTGCAGTGAGCCGAGATTGTGCCACTGCACTCCAGCCTCAGCGACAGAGCAAGACCCTGTCTCAAAAAATAAAAAAAATTAAAATTAAGAAATTAAAATTAATGAATTTTTAAAATATATATTTGCACTCTACTGATATTATTTTGATTCAGAGAAATATGTTCATAACTTATTAGAAATAACCTTGAGTAGTTTGAGACCAGCCTGGCCAACACGGTGAAACCCTGTCTCTACTAAAAACACAAAAAAAATTAGCCAGGCATGGTGGTGCACATCTATAATCCCAGCTACCTGGAAGGCTGAGATAGGAGAATCACTTGAACCCAGGAGGTGGAGGTTGCAGTGAGCCGAGATCGCACCATTGCACTCCAGCCTGGACAACAGAGCAAGGCTCTGTCTCAAAAGAAAAGAAAAAAAAAGAAATAACCTTGAGTAAATTTAAATTTATTTCTAAGTTGATGGTATGGCTAGGTTTTGATAATTTTTATTTGGTTTCCCTTCCCTTTAATCAGAAAATTAACTTTCATACCCTGTTCACAAACCATCAAAGCTGATTTTGAAACTTAAAAAAAAAATCGCCAGGTACCATGCAAAAGCAATCTTCCCTTTAGAATGACTGATGGTATGCTAAGGTTTTTCGTGGCATATTATTATTAAAGGTGAATACAAATAAATGGGCCGGGCGCGGTGGCTCACACCTGTAATCCCAGAACTTTGGGAGGCCGAGGTGGGCAGATCACTTGAGGTCAGGAGTTCAAGACCAGCCTGGCCAACATGATGAAACACTGTCTCTACTAAAAACGCAAAAATTAGCTGAGCATAGTGGCACACACCTGTAGTCCCAGCTACTCGGGTGGCTGAGGCAGGAGAATCACTTGAATCTGGAAGGTGGAGGTTGCAGTGAGCTGAGTTCGTGCCACTGCACTCCAGCCTGGGTGACAGAGTGAGACTCTGTCTCAGAAAAACAAAAAAAGAAAAGAAAGGAAAACAAAACCTGTTTTTTGGGCACATCACTTTTCTGGGACTCATCTGTTCTTTTTTTTTTTTTTTTTTTAATTTTAGAGACAGGGTCTTGTTCTATTGCCCAGGCTGGAATGCAAAGACATGATCATGGCTCACTGTAACCTTGAACTCCTGGGCTCAAGCAATTCTCCTGCCTGAGCCTCCCACGTAGCCAGGACTACAGGTGCATGCCACCACACCAAGCTAATTTGTTTGTCATCTATTCTCAAGTTAGTACCACATTCTATTTTTTTTAACTTTTTTAATTTTTTTTTAGACAAGGTCTCACTCTGTCACCCAGGCTGGAGTGTAGTGGTGCAATCTCAGTTCACTGTAACCTCCACCTCCCAGGCTCAAGCAATTCTCCCACCTCAGCCTCCAGAGTAGCTGGAACTACAGGTGCATGCCATCATGCCTGGCTAGTTTTTGCATTTTTTGTAAAAAATGGGTTTTGCCATGTTGCCTAGGCTGGTCTCGAACTCCTGGGCTCAGGTTATCCACCTTCCTCAACCTCCCAAAGTGCTGGGATTACAGGCATGAGTCACTGAGCCCAGCTAGTACCACATTCTGGATCACTGTAGGTTTGTGGCAAGTTTTAAAATTGGGAAGTATAAGTACTCCAACTTTTTATTTGTTTTATGGTTGTTTTGGCTATTCTGGGTTCCTTGCAATTCCACATAAATTTTAGGATCATCTTGCCAACTTCTACAAAGAAGCTAGCTGGTATTCCAATAGAGATTATGTTGAATTTGTAGACCAATTTGAGGAGTACTTCCATCCTAAAAGTATTAAATCTTCGAGTCCATGAACATGCAATATTTTTCGATTTAGATCTTCTTTAATTACTTCCAAACATGTTTTGTAGTTTTCAGAATGTAACTTTTGCACTTTTTAAATTAAATTTACCTCTAAGTATTTTATTCTTTTTGATGTTATTATTAATGAGATTGCTTTCCTGATTTCATTTTTGGATTGTTCGTTGCAAATGTTTAGGAACACAATTGATGTTTGCAAACTGATATTGTATTCTGTAACCTTGTTCAATTTGTTTATTAGTTCTAATAGTTTTTTACTAGATTCCTTAGGATTTCCATATACAAGCTTATGTCATCTGCAAATAGAGACAGCTTTAATTCTTCCATTTAAATCTAGATGCCTTTTTGTTTTGTTTTGTTTCTGAGACGGAGTCTCGCTCTTTTGCCCAGGCCGGACTGTGGTGGTGCTATCTCGGTCACTGCAAGCTCCGCCTCCCGGGTTCATGCCATTCTCCTGCCTCAGCCTCCCGAGTAGCTGGGACTACAGGCGCCCGCCACCGTGCCCGGCTAATTTTTTGTATTTTTAGTAGAGACGGGGTTTCACCGTGTTAGCCAGGATGGTCTCAATCTCCTGACCTCGTGATCCGCCCGCCTTGGCCTCCCAAAGTGCTGGGATTACAGGCGTGAGCCACCGTGCCCAGCCTAAATCTAGATGCCTTTTATGTTTTTCTCACCTAATTGCCCTGGCTAGAATCTCTAGTCCAAAGCTGAACAGAAGTAGCAAGAGAAGACATCCTTGTCTTGTTTCTGATCCTTGGGGGAAAGCTTTCAGTTTTTCAACATGAAGTAAGATGTTAGTTGTATTTGTTGTAGATGCCCTTTATCAGGGTGAGTAAGCCAAAGTCTTAGGTCTTGTCTCCCCTGTATATCTGCAATGCCACTGCCTTCATCTAGTCACACATGCTTCATATCTTCTGGGGGTTGCAGAAATGGAACAGAGCGTTCCAGAAATGGAAGTACTCCTTCCCTGTTTGCGTATTCTTAACCTTTCTCATACATGTCTCTATTCCAGAACAGACTACATGGTTTTGTTCCTGTATCTGCCTTTCAACTAGTCTCCTGGCCTCCAGTCTTCATGGTGGTCCATCTTCAACATCAATGATAGCATTTTTTCAATTCCACTATGCTGCTAAGAAGGAAAATTAATTACATCACTCTCACTCAAAACCTGCTACATAATTCCCATTGCCTGCAGTCTGGCCCCCAATCATCTCTCTAAGTCTTGCCCCTCTAGCTACCTAATATGCTTACCTATAGGTATCATCCACGGTGGGTGACCCCAGACTCCCAGAAAGAGCCATTCTCCTCCATTCTGTGCCTTTGCATACACTGTGTCCTTCCAAAGTGCACTTTAATAGCTAGCAAAATGCATCTTAGATCCCCTGTGTTGCAGGCTGTCTTGACTTAAGCTGCTCTCTCATGGCTCCCACAGTATTCTCTTCAAACATGTGACAGTTCCTTAATTACTAGAATTGTGCAGATACACCTTCCCCACTAGGCTATAGACAAATCATTCACTGGTCATCAGGATTGAATGACGAAGATCTATGTCCCAAGTGCAAACATCCTGTAGTCCTCAAGTATCTGGTGACTGAATTAGCCACCAGGAATGAAAAAAGGGGACGGGCGCGGTGGCTCACGCCTGTAATCCCAGCACTTTGGGAGGCCAAGGCGGGCGGATCACGAGGTCAGGAGATCAAGGCCATCCTGGCTAACACGGAGAAACCCCATCTCTACTAAAAATACAAAAAATTAGCCAGGCATGGTGGTGGGCGCCTGTAGTCCCAGCTACTGGGGAGGCTGAGGCAGGAGAATGGCATGAACCCAGGAGGCAGAGCTTGCAGTGAGCCGAGATCGCGCCACTGCACTCCAGCTTGGGTGACAGAGTAAGACTCCGTCTCAAAAAAAAAAAAAAAAAAAGGGAGGACAAAAAGATACTGCTTTCAGTATAATAGAATATGAGTTAGTAACATTCCAGTAAGTCCTTAAAATACAGTCTAAGAACTACTTCTTTTTTTTCCCATAAAATTAAATGCTTTTTAGTGTTTCAAATAAGCAGCATTTACACAGAAGCAGCTCTATGTTAACCATCTAGATGCTGGGACTTTGATACAATACCTACAGTGCAGACACACGGGGGCCAGAGATGCCAGGAAGGCCGCGTTGTGTGTGGGCCGTGGTGTGTGCGGGCAGTGTGTGCAATTACCAAGGACAGGCCAGCTGACCGCCCATTTCCCCAAGACCTCCCTCCCTGCGGCAGCTGTGCACATCGGGGCCCTTTGACCCCATGGGCCACGGTCCCTCCCTGCCCTGGCTGGGACGCAGTGGGCAGGATGTCTAGCCCTCTCTCGTCTTCCCGAAGGACTACTTCTTATAAAACTATGGGTTCCAAATTACTCTATAAAATTCCTCAACAACCTCTCAAAACAGTGCTAGAAATAGTTTATACAATGAACATCAGTAACCTGAAGGAATGCAGTAGTAGTTAATAGGCCAAAGGTAAATTAAGATTATTTGATCCAAGTTCAGATTTCTTTGTAATCTCTATTTCTCTCAGTTCCAGGCCTACTTTTGCCTTATACCTATAACCAACTTTTTTTTTTTTTGAGACAGGGTCTTGCTCTGTTGCCCAGGCTGGAGTGCAGTGGCGCAATCTTGGCTCACTGCAACCTCAAACCCCTGACCTCAAGAGATCCTCCCGCCTCGGCCTCCCAAAGTGCTGGGATTACAGGCATGAGCCACCGCACCTGGCCCTATAACCAACTTCTAATGATTTAACCACTCCATTCTAATATTGGGCTTTGAAGTTACATCAGACCAGCCCCTAAAGGCAGCTCAAGGCTTACCTGAGCCGAGATGCCTACGAGCAGCAGCCACTTCTGGTACTCATCAGTCCGGTAGTGAATCACCTGGCAGCCCACCAGACTGGTATGTCTATCAAACATCTTCATGGGCTGGGAGTCACCTTCCATGCTCCAGTGGTAGACCGCGGTCTCGGTCACCAAGGCAACAGTGTTCACAGAAACCCATTTCCAGAAAATCACTTCTTCTGCCATAGTATGAGCCTTCATTTTACTCTTCATCTCAATATTAAAGATCTGAAGTGTCTTCCCAGCTAGTATTTGATATAATAGAGATTAGAGAAAGACAAATTAAAAATCTGAAAGACAAATTCATATACTCTTAATTCTGAATTCTTTTAATATTACTTTAGGTTGTACTGCTAATCTGATTAACAGGGTCTGAAAGATGCTGCCAGAGTAGTAATTAAGCATACCTTAATGTCTAAATATTGAGAAGAGCCTGTATGCATTAAATTCTTCTTCAGAGGAATGTAAAAGTATGTAACTATTCATAGAAATATGTGAATAACAATGAGAAATTAGTTCTACTGAAGCAAGCCTCTCTTTTAGATTGGTTTCTTCTAGTTTTAAAATACTTTTCTGGATAACTCAGCAAAAACATAAGACACCCCTTCTCTGTGTGGTCTCCAATTTTCAAGAAAGACTACAACTATCCCTTCACATTAAACCAACTTCTCCAAATTTGTCTTAAATTCTAGACCAATGCTGACAAATGGAATTTTCTACAATGTTGGATATATTCTATATTTGTATCCATCACAGCAGATAATAGCTATATGTGGCTACTAAGCACTTAAGATGTATCTAGCAAGATATTTCAGGAACTGAATTTATACTTTTATTTAACTTTAATTAATTTAAGTGTTAAACAGCCCCATGTAGCTAATGTCCAATAGGGCAGTACAATTCTAGACAAAATATTTGGCATCCATTCTCTGGCAAGAGATCCATATTGTTTCTACATGTAGCAATGAACTAAATTTTGATTTTGGAATTATACAAAATTTAGACCTAACATAAAATATTAAAATATTGCTTCCCACAAAGATTGGGAACAAGGCAAGGATTATTTCTCTGACCACTTGTTTTGATACTGAGAATAACATAGCTGGTGTGATAAGGCAAGAAAAATAAAAGGCATAAAGATCAAAAAAGGAAGTAAAGCTGTCTTAACTCACAGACAACATAATTATTTACAAAGAAAATCCTGCAGAATCTACAAATCTACAAAACAACTATTAGAATTAATAGATGACTACAGGAGTGCAGCAAGATGCAAAGACAACCTACAAAAATTTCAATTGGGCTGGGCACAGTGGCTCACACCTGTATTCCCAGCACTTTGGGAGGCTGAGGCTGGTGGATCTCTTGAGGTCAGGAGTTTGAGACCAGTCTGGTCAACATGGTGAAACCCCATCTCTACCAAAAATACAAAAATTAGCCGGGCTTGGTGGCAGTCACCTGTAATTCCAGCTACTTGAGAGGCTGAGGCAGGAGAATCGCTTGAACCCAGGAGGCAGAGGTTGCAGTGAGCCAAGATGATGCCACTGCACTCCAGCCTGGGTGACAAAGTGAAAACAGGTCTCAAAAAAAATCAACTGAATTTTGAGATACTAGCAGCAAACAATTTGGAAATATAAAAAAGAATTCAGGCCGGGCATGGTGGCTCACGCCTGTAATCCCAGCACTTTGGGAAGCTGAGGCAGGTAGATTACCGGAGGTCAGGAGTTCAAGAACAGCCTGGCCAACATGGTGAAACCCCGTCTCTACTAAAAATACGAAAATTAGCCGGGCATGGTGGCACACTCCTGTAATCCCAGCTACTCGGGAGGCTGAGGCAGGAGAATTGCTTGAGCCTGGGAGGCGGAGGTTGCAGTGAGCCAAAATTGTGCCACTGCACTCTAGCCTGACCGACAGAGTAAGACTCTGTCTCAAAAAAAAAAAAAAAAAAATTCATACCACCACCCAAAACATAGCATTTTGGAGTAAATTTAACAAAGGGTAAGCAAAGTCTCTACACTATAAAATATTCCTGAAAGAAAGTAAAGGCTTAAATAAAAGAAGGGGCATACCATGTTCATGGATCAGAACACTTAAAATTGCCAAGATGTCATTTCCCCATAAATTACGTACAGGTTCAATGCAATCCCAATCAAAATCCCAGAATCCTTTTCCTTCTTTCTTTCTTTCTTTTTAATAGATACAGGGCCTCACTTTGTCACCCAGGCTGGAGTACAGTGGAGCAATCATAGCTCATTGCAACCTCAAATTCCTGGGCTCAAGTGATCCTCCTGCCTCAGCCTCTCAAGTAGTTGGGACTATAGGCATGCACTGCCACACTCAGCTAATTTTTCTTTTTTTTTTCTTTTTCTTTTATCTTTTTTTTTTTTTTTTTTTTGAGACACAGTCTCTCTCTGTTGCCCAGGCTGGAGTGCAGTGGCATCATCTCAGCTCAATGCAGCCTCCACCTCCCAGGTTCAAGTGATTCTCCTGCCTCAGCCCCCCGAGTATCAGGGATTACAGGCACATGCCATCACGCCCACCTAATTTTCGCATTTTTTTGTAGAGATGGGGTTTCACCATGTTGGCCACGCTGGTCTCAAACTCTTGACCTCAAGTGAGTCGCCTGCCTCAGCCTCCCAAAGTGCTGGGATTATAGGCGCGAGCCACCATGCCCAGTCTAATTTTTAATTTTTTTTTTTTTTTAGAGACTAGGTCTTGCTATGCTGCCCAGGCTGGTCTCAAACTCCTGGCCTCATGCAATCCTTCCATCTCAGCCTGTCGAAGTGCTGGGATAACAGGTGTGAGCCACCACCCTGGCCCAGCATCTTTTGTTTGCTTGGTGGAAAATAAAATGATGCTATAATGAATATGGAAATGCAGAGGACAAAGAATAGACATAACAAATTTGGAAAAGAGCAAAGCTGGAAGACTTACAATACCTAATGTTGAGATGTACTATAAAGCTATTAATAAAACCTATGTTATTGTCATAAGACACATAGATCAATGAAACAGAAGAAAGTCTAGAAACAGCTGCATGCACTGATTTGATAAAAGTGCCTCAAAAAACTCAATAGGCCCAAACACATTTTTTATAAAAATAGAAAAATCCATTCTAAAATGTATATGGAACCTCAAAGGACCTCAAATAGCCAAAATAATCTTGATAAAGATGAACAAGGTTGGATGATCTCACACTTCCTGAATTTAAACCTCATTACAAAGTTAAAGTAAGCAAATGTATGGTAACAGCATAGAAACACAGACACCAGTGGAATATAAGAGAGAACTCAAAAATGAACCTTCACATATATGATCAAATGATCTTTGACAAGGGTACTAAGACCATTCAATGAGAAAAAAGAATACTCTTTTCAACAAATAATACTGGGAAAACTGGGTCCACAAAATAATAAAATTGGACCCTTACCTTATACCATATACAAAAAGTAACTCAAAATGGATTAAAGACCTAAACATAAAAACTAAAATCACAGGCAGAACCTGAGTCCTGTTCTCTCACTTTCCTCCCCAGACAGCATGAGTTTCACCACTCACTCCACTACCTTCTCTACTAACTACCAGTCCCTGGGATCCGTCCAGCCGCCCAGCTACAGTACCCGGTTGATCAGCAGTCCAGCCGGCATCTATGCAGATGTAAGGGATTTGGGCTCCCAGATCTCTGTGTCCTGCTCCACCAGTTTCCAGGGTGGCTTGGGGTCCAGGGCCCTGGCCACTGGGATGGCCAGGGGTCTGGCAGGAATAGGGGGCATCTAGAATGAGAAGGAGACCATGCAAAGCCTGAACGACCACCTGGCCTCCTACCTGGACAGAGTGAGGAGCCTGGAGACTGAGAATTAGAGGCTGGAGAGCAAAAACCGGGAGCACCTGGAGAAGAAGAGACCCCAGGTCAGAGACTGGGCCATTACTTCAAGACCACTGAGAAGCTGATGGCTCAGATCTTTGCAAATTCTGTGGACAATGCCTTCATCGTTCTGCACACTGACAATGCCCATCTTGCTGCTGCTGACTTTAGAGTCAAGTATGAGACAGAGCTGGCCATGCACCAGTTTGTGAGGAGCGACATCCATGGGCTCTGCAAGGTCACTGATGACACCAGTGTCACTGGGCTGTAGATGAAGACAAAGATTGAGACTCTCAAGGAGAAGCTGTTCTTCATGAAGAACCATGAAGAGGGAGTAAAAGGCCTACAAGCCCGTATTACTAGCTTTGGGTTGACTGTGGAGGCAGATGTCCAAATATCAGGACCTTGGCAAGATCATGGCAGATATCTGGGCCCAATATGACAAGCTGACTCAGAAGAACCTAGAGAAGCTGGACAGGTACTGATCCCAGCAGATTGAGGAGAGCACCACAGTGGTCATCACGCAGTCCACCGAGATCAGAGCTGCTGAGATAACACTCACAGAGCTGAGATGTCCAGTCCAGTCCTTGGAGATTGGCCTGGACTTGATGAGAAATCTGAAGATCAGCTTGGAGAACAGCCTAAGGGAGGTGGAGGCCTGCTATACCACGCAGATGGAGCAGCTCAACAGGGTCCTACTGTACCTGGAGTCGGAGCTGGCACAGACCTGGGCAGAGGGACAGCGCCAGGCCCAGGAGTACGAGGCCTGGAACATCCAGGTCAATCTGGAGGCTGAGATCACCACCTACCACCGCCTGCTGGAAGATGGGGAGGACTTCAATCTTGGTGAGGCCCTAGACAGCAGCAACTCCATGCAAACCATCCAAAAGACCACCACCTGCAGGATAGTGGACGGCAAAGTGGTGTTTGAGACCAACGACACCAAAGTTCTGAGGAATTGAGCCAGCAGAAGCAGGGTACCCTTTGGGGAGCAGGAGGCCAGTAAAAAGTTCACAGGTTAAAAAAAACCCCAACAATTAAAATCATAAAATGTTTAGAGAAAACATAGGGGAAAAGCTTGATGACATTGGATCTTGCAATGATTTTTTTGGATATGACAATAAAAGAAAAAAAATGAATTGGACAGCATCAGAGGTCACAAAAGAGAGAAAAGGCAACCCACAGAATAAGAGAAAATATAGGCATACCTCACTTTATTACACTTTGTTTTATTGTGTCTTGCAGATATTGCACTTGTTTTGTTGTTTTGTTTTGTTTGAGACAGCGTTTCGCTCTTGTTGCCCAGGCTGGAGTGCAATGGCATGATCTTGGCTCACTGCCACCTCTGCCTCTCAGGTTCAAGAGATTCTCCTGCCTCAGCCTCTGTAGTAGTTGGGATTACAGGCGCCCACCACCATGCCCGACTAATTTTTGTATTTTTAGTAGAGACGGGGTTTTACCATGTTGGCCAGGCTGGTCTCGAACTCCTGACCTCAGGTGATCTGCCCGCCTCGGCCTCCCAAAGTGCTGGGATTACAGGCGTTTTTTTTGTTTTGTGAACAACAACAACAAAAAAAATCAAAGGTTTGCGGCAATCTTCCATCAAGCAAGTCTATTGGTATCATTTTTCCAACAGCATGTGCTCACTTCCTGTCTCTGGGTCACACTTTGGTAATTCTCATGATATTTCAAACTTTTTCATTATTATATTTGTTATACTGCTCTGTGATCAGTGATCTTTCATGTTATTACAGTAATTGTTTTGTGTCACCATGAACCACACACATATAAGATAGTGGACTTAATAAATGTGTGTGTTCTAACTGCTCCACTGACTGGCCATGCCCTAGTCCCTCTTCCTCTCTTCAGGCCTCCTTATTCCCTGAGACACAACAATATTGAAATTAGGCCATTTAACAACCTTCCTTGCTAAAGGAAAGTGAAAGTGAAAGGAAGAGTCCTACGTCTCTCACTTTAAGTCAAAAGTTAGGAATGATTAGGCTTTGTGAGGAAGGCATGTCAAAAGCCAAGGCAGACTGAAGGTTAGGTCTCTTGCACCAGTTAGCCAACTTGTGAACACAAAGGAAAAGTTATTTAAGGAAATTAAAAGTGCTATTTCAGTGAACACATTAATGATAAGAAAACAAACAGCCTTACTGCTGATATGGACAAAGTTGTAGTGGCCTGGATAGAAGATCTAAGCAGCCAGAACAATCCCTTAAGCCAAAGCCTAATCCACAGCAAGGCCCTAACTCTCTGCAATTCCATGAAGGCTGAGAGAGGTGAAGAAGTTGCAGAAGTCTGAAGCTAGCAGAGGTTGATTCATGAGGTTTAATGAAAGAAGCCATCTCCATAGCATAAAACGGCAAGGTGAAGCAGCAAGTTCTGATGCAGAAGCTGTGTCAAGTTCTCCAGACGACCTAGCTAAGATCATTGATGAACAAATTTTCAATGGAGAAGAAACAACCTCCTACTGGAAAAAGATGCCATTTAGGACTCAAGCAAGAGAGAAGTCAATGCCTGGCTTCAAAGCTTCAGAAGACAGGTTAACTCTCTTGTTAGGGGATAATGCAGCTGGTAACTTTAAATGGAAGGAATGCTCACCGACCACTCCAAAAATCCTAAGGCCCTTAAGAATTATGCTAAATTGACTGGGCGCAGTGGCTCACACCTGTAATCCCAGCACTTTGGAAGGCTGAGGCAGGCAGATCACTTGAGGTCAGGAGTTCGAGATCAGCCTGACCAACGTGGAAAGAAACCCCGTCTCTACTAAAAATACAAAAAATTAGCCGGGCATGGTGGTGCATGCCTGTAATTCCAGCTACTTGGGAGGCTGAGGCAGGAGAATCCCTTGAACTCGGGAGGTGGAGGTTGCGGTGAGCCAATATCGTGCCACTGCACTCCAGCCTGGGCAACAAGAGTGAAACTCTGTCTCAAAAAAAAAAAAAAAAAAAAAAAAAGAATTATGCTAAATCTCCTCTGCCTGTGTTCTATGAATGGAAAAACAAGAGTCGTGATGATAGTACATCTGTTTACAGCATGATTTACTGAATATTTAAAACTCACTGTTCAGATCTACTGATCAGAAAAAAAAAAAAAGGTTCCTTTCAAAAGATTACTGCTCTTTGACAATGCACCTGGTCACCTAAGAGCTCTGACGGAGATATACAAGGAGATGAAAGCTGTTTTCATGCCTGCTAACACATCAATTCTGCAATCCGTGGATCAAAGAGTAATTTCACCTTTCAAGTCTTATTATTTAAGAAATGCATTTTTTTTTTTTTTGAGACGGAGTCTTTGCTCTGTTGCCCAGGCTGGAGTGCAGTGGCGTAATCTTGGCTCACTGCAAGCTCCGCCTCCCGGGTTCACGCCATTCTCCTGCCTCAGCCTCCCCAGTAGCTGGGACTACAGGCGCCCAACCATGCCCAGCTAATGTCTTGTATTTTTAATAGAGAAGGGGTTTCACCGTGTTAGCCAGGATGGTCTCGACCTCCTGACCTTGTGATCCACCCGCCTCAGCCTCCCACAGTGCTGGGATTACAGGCGGAAGCCACCGTGCCCAGCCTAAGAAATACATTTTTAAAGGCTACAGCTGCCATAAATATGTCTCCTTTGATGGATCTAGGCGAAGTAAATTGATAACCTCCTGGAAAGGATTCACCATTCTAGATGCAACTAAGAACATTCGTGATTCACGAGAGGAGATCAAAATATCAATATTAACAGGAATTTGGAAGAAGTGTATTCCAACCCTCATGAATGACTTTGTGAGGTTCAGGACTTCAGTGGAGGAAGTCATTGCAGATGTGGTAGAAACAGCAAGAGAATTAGAAGTGGAGCCTGAAGATGGGACTGAATTGTTGCAATCTCAGGATCAAACTTGAACAGATGAGGGCTGCTTCTTAGGGATGACCAAAGAAAGGGGTTTCTTCCAATGGAATCTACTCCCAGTGAAGATGCTGTGAACACTGTTGAAATTACTACAAGAATTTAGAACAGTACATAAACTTACCTGATAAAGCAGCACCAGAGTCTGAAAGGACTGACTCCAATTCTGGAAGAAGTCTACTGTGGGTAAAATGTTAGCAAACAGCATTGCACGCTACAGAGCAATCTTTCATTAAAGGAAGAGTCAATCCCTGCGGAAACCTCACTGATGTCTTTTTTTAAAATTATTTATTATTTATTTATTTGTTTTTTGAGATGGAGTCTCACTCTGTTGCCAGACTGGAGTGCAGTGGCGTGATCTTGGCTCACTGCAACCTCCACCTCCCGGATTCAAGCGATTCTCCTGCCTCAGCCTCCCAAGTAGCTGGGACTACAGGAGCGTGCCACCAGGCCCAGCTAATTTTTTTGTATTTTTAGTAGAGACGGGGTTTCACCATGTTGGCCAGGATGGTCTCGATCTCTTGACCTCATGATCTGCCTGCCTCAGCCTCCCAAAGTGCTGGGATTACAGGCATAAGCCACCGCACCCAGCCTGATGTCTTATTTTAAGAAATTGCCAGCCTGTCGCGGTGGCTCATGCCTGTAGTCCCAGCACTTTGGGAGGCTGAGGCAGGTGGATCACGAAGTCAGGAGATGGAGACCATCCTGGCTAATGTGGTGAAACCCCATCTCTACTAAAAATACAAAAAATTGGCTGGGCTTGGTGGCAGGTGCCTGTGGTCCCACCTATTTGGGAGGCTGAGGCAGGAGAATGGCATGAACCCGGGAGGCGGAGCTTACAGTGAGCCGAGATTGCACTACTGCACTCCAGCCTGGGCAACAGGGTAAGACTCTGTCTCAAAAAAAAAAAAAAAATTGCCACAGCCACTCCAGCCTTCAGCCACCACCACTGTGATCAATCAGCAGCCATTGGCATCAAGGCAAGACCCTCCACCAGTAAAAAGTTTACAACTCGCAGCTGGGTACAGTGGCTCATGCCTGTAATCCCAGCACTTTGGGAGGCTGAGGCCGGCAGATCACTTGAGGTCAGGAGTTCGAGATCAGCCTGGCCAACATGGTGAAACCCCATCTCTACTAAAAATACAAAAATTAGCTGGGCGTGGTCGCACGTGCTTGTAATCCCAGCTACTCGGGAGGCTGAGGCAGGAGGATCCCTTAACCCTGGTAAACAGAAGTTGCAGAGAGTTGAGATAACGCCACTGCACTCCAGCCTGGGTGACAGAGAGAGACTCCATCTTTAAAAAAAAAAAAAAAAAAGATTACAACTCACTGAAGGCTGATAATGGTAAGCAATTTTTAGGAATAAATAAATAGATTATTCATTTATTTATTTATTTATTTTGAGACAGAGTCTCTCTCTGTAACCCAGGCTGACATGCAGTCATCAGACTCCTGGGCTCAAGATATTCTCCCATCTCAGCCTCCTTGAGTAGGTGAGACTACAGGCGTGCACCACCACACCCAGAATTTTTTTTTTTTTTTTTTGAGCTAAGGTCTCACTGTATTCTTTGCCATGCTGCTCTTGAATTCTTAGGCTCAAGCGATCTTCCCACCTTGGCCTCTGAAAGTACTAGGATTAGAGGTATATGCCACCATGCCTGGCCATAAATTATTTATTTTTATTTTTATTTTTATTTTTTGAGATGGAGTCTCACTCTGTCACCCAGGCTGAAGTGCAGTGGCGCAGTCTTGGCTCACTGCAACCTCTGCCTCCCGGGTTCACACCATTCTCCGCCTCAGCCTCTTGACAGGCTGGGACTACAGGCAACCGCCACCACGCCCAGCTAATTTTTGGGTTTTGTATTTTTAGTAGAGACAGGGTTTCACTGTGTTAGCCAGGATGGTCTTGATCTCCTGACCTTGTGATTCTCCTGCCTCGGCCTCCCAAAGTGCTGGGATTATAGGCGTGAGCCACTGCACCCAGCCAAATTATTTTTTAATTAAGATAATCCATTTTTTTAGACATAATGCTATTTCACACTTAATAGATTACAGCATAGTATAAACATAACTTTTATATGCACTGGGAAACCAAAAAATTCATGTAACTCACTATTGTAATATTCTTTTTATTGTGGTAGTTTGGAATTGAACTCAAAATATCTTCAAGGTATGCCTGTATATGGAAATCATATATCTGACAAGGGGTTAATATCCAGAATATATAAAGAATGCCTACAACTCAACAACAAAAAACACAAATAGTCCAGTTAAAAAATGACCCACGTGGAGTGGTTCACGCCTGTAATCCTAGCGCTTTGGGAAGCTGAGACGGGATGATCATGTGAGGCCAAGAGTTTAAGACAGCCTGGGCAACATGGCAAGACCCTGTCTCTACAAAGAAAAAATGTTTTTAATTAGCTGGTTGTAGTGGCGCATGCCTATAGTCCTAGCTACTTGGGAGGCTGAGGTAGGAGGATAGCTTGAGTCCAGGAGTTCGAAGTTACAGTCTCTTAAAAAAAAAAAAAAATGGCTACCATTAAAAAGAAAACAATACAAATAACAAGTGTTAGCAAGAATGTGAAAAAATTGGAACCCTGTGCACTACTGAGAATATAAAATAGTGCAACCACTATAGAAAAGAGATGGCAGTTCCTCAAAAAAATTAAAAATGAATAATGATATGATCCAGTCAATTACTTGTGGGTATAGAATTAAAAGGATTAAAAACAGGTTCCCCAAAAGACATCTGTACACTCATGTTAACAGCGGAATTATTTACAGATCTAGCTTTTTTTGAGGTACTACTATCTCTGAGGTACACAGCTAGAAAAAAAGAGTTAATCTGACTATCCAGTTAGTTAGCCAAGCTACGCAACAACTGATATTATTACAATATTATCATCAATTAGCAAAACTGGTTTTAAACCACAATTTGAGAAATAAGGCTGCTGTTGCTAACAGAAAGTCTTTAATGATATCATGATATACCTGGGCAATAATTAAGATGATTTCTTGAATTCACAAAAAGGAGCAACTCAATGGTGAAATTTCATGCAATTTTTTTTTTTTTGAGACAGAGTTTCGCTTTTGGGGCCCAAGCTGGAGTGCAATGGGTCGATCTAGGTTCATTGCAACCTCCGCCTCCCGGATTCAAGTGATTGTCCTCCTTCAGCGTCCCAAGTAGCTGGGATTATAGGCATACACCAACATGCCCAGCAAATTTTTGTATTTTTAGTAGAGACAGGGTTTCACCATGTTGGCCAGGCTGGTCTCAAACTCCTGACCTCAGGTGATCCACCTACCTTGTGCTCCCAAAGTGCTGGGATTACAGGTGTGAGCCACCGTGCCCAGCCGAAATTTGATACAATTTATATCCAAAACACATGATCAGTAAGATAAAGGCCTGCTGCCATAAAACAGTTCTAAAGTTAGCTATAACTATATTATCAACTTAAGTTTAAACTATATAAATTTATAAAACAACTGCTTTTGGACATAATTTAGGTGTGATGTAGTTTTGCTCTCTAGTCAAAATGGTAAATGTTAGACCCTCACTGTCTTCAGGCACTAACAGCTTATGGTAAATGACTTCTAATCAGACTGAACTAAGATGGGAGCTCAAATCCACAAAAAGAAATAAAGAGCACTGGATATGATAAATATGTTGGTTAGTATAAAGATTTCTCTTAATTTCATTAAATAATATCATTTAAAACCACAATAAAACTACAGGTTGTTGAGTTTATAACATATATAGATGCATATATGCATCTTATTTTCTCTTTTTTAATATATTTTATATATTCATATATATGAATGATAAAAATAGCACAACAGAGGGAGGAGGAAATGAAGCTATGCTGGAGTGAAATTTCTGCATTTTAACAGAAGTTAATATTAATAATCTGAAATCATTTGTGATGTTAGGATGCATTTTATAAACCCTACAGCAACCACCATAAAAATACACATACATACACAAAATAGTAAAAAGAAAAATTCAGAAGAATTAAAATGGTATGCTACATTTTAACAAGAAAGGCACAGGGTAGGCAGCTGTGCGCATGTTCCTGAAGCAGCCTATATACACCTTGCCAGAAGTAGGGTTTTTCAAAACAATCAAGAAAACTAACAAATCTTATTTATTTATTTTTACAGACAGGGTCTCACTCTGTTACCTAGGCTGGAGTGCAATGGCACTATCCCAGCTCACTGTAGCCTTGACATAATGGGCTTAGGATGATCCTCAAGCCTCAGACTTCTGAGTAGCTGGAACCACAGACACGTACTACCACACTGGCTAGTTTTTTGTTTTTGTTTTTTAATTTGTAGAGATGGAGTCTCCCTATGTTGCCCAGGCTGGTCTTGAACTTCTGGTCCCAAGTGATCCTGTCACTTCAGACTCCCAAAGTGCTGGGATTACAGGTATGAGCCACCAGGCCTGACCCAAACCTTAGTTAATGATCAAGAAAAAAACAGAAGACACAAATTATCAAAATTAAGAATGAAAGAGGGCACCACTGCCAACCCCAAAGAAATTAAAAGAAGCGAATATTATGAACAATTTTATGTCAACATACTAGAAGACTTAGATAACCTGGATACATTCCTAGAAAGACACAAATTACCAAAACTGACACAAGAAAACAGAAAATCTGAACAGATTCACAGCAAGTAAGGAAGTTGAATTTGAAATTTAAAATCTTCCCACAAAGAAAACCCCAGGACCAGAAGGCTTTCACTGTTGAATTCTATCAAATACTCAAAGAAGACAGAAATAAGTCCTTCACAGATTCTTTCAGAATATAGAGGAAGAAGGACCTCATTCTCTAAGGCCAACATTTGCCTAATTACAAAGTCACAAAAGGACATCACAAGAAAAGAAAACTATAGACCAATTATAAAAATAACAGAAAACCCTTAGAATATTAGTGAACAAAATCCAACAACATAAAAAAACCACCATACACCATGACCAAAAGAGATTTACCACAGGAATGCAAGGTTGGCTTAATAGCCAATAATTAATTTATGTAATACACCACACTAATAAAGGACACAAACTATGTGATCATCTCAGTAGACACAGAAAATAGAAGGGAACTTCTCCAACTTGATAAAGGATTTATCTACCCCAAATCCACAGCCAACATCATATTTAATTGTAAAAGGCTAAAAACTCCCCCCTAAGGTCAGAAATAATTCAACGATTTCTGTTCTTGTCACTTCTGTTTAATACTGTACTGGGTATTCTAGCCGATGCAATGTTGAAACAAACAGAATCTGGATTAGAAAGGAAGATGTAAAACTGTCTATTCACAGATAACATGATACAGTATGTAGAAAATGCCAAGGAATCCACTAAAAACTACAAGAATAAGTTTAATAAGTATATAGGATACAGAAAAATATACAAAAATTATTTTATTTCTATATACTAGCAAGAAACAATCCAAAAATAAAACTAAGAAAATAAGTCTGTATATAATAACATAAAAAAAGAATAAAATACTTGGGAATAAATTTAACAAAGAAGTATAGGATTTGCTCACTGAATATGCAAAACATCACTGAAAGAAATTAAAGATCTAAATAAACAGAGACATTAAATGACTAGAAGACTTAATATTGTCAAGATAGCAATTCTTACCAAATTGATAAATTCAATGTAATCTCTATCAAAGCCCCAGAAGGATTTTTGTAGGAATTCACAAACTAAACCCAAAATTTATGTGGCAATTCAAAGGATCTCGTTTCAAAGAGTTTCAAAAACTATTTTGAAAAACACTAAGTTGGAGTACCAACACTATCTGACTTCCAAATTACCATAAAGCTACAACTATCAAGTAATCGGTGCAAGAATGGGCACAGATCTGGGTCGGGCACAGTGGCTCACACCTGTAATCCCAATACTTTGTGAGGCTGAGGCAGGTGGATTACCTGAGGTCAGGAGTTCAAGACCAGCTTGGCCAACATGGGGAAACCCCATCTCTACTAAGCATACAAAAAACTAGCCAGGCATGGTGGCAGGCACCTGTAATCCCAGCTACTTGGAAGGCTGAGGCAGGAGAATCGCTTGAACCCAGGAGGCAGAGGTTGCAGTGAGCCAAGATTGCGCCCCTGCACTCCAGGCTGGGTGAGAAGAACAAGACTCTGTCTCAAAAAAAAAAAAAATTAAAACTACAAAACCATAGGCTAAGCACTCTTAGCTATGACTCCAAAAGCATGATCCATTAAAGAAAAAAAAAATAGGTAAGTTGGGCTTTATCAAAATTAGTAAGTTTTGCCCTTCAAAACATATCCTATGGTTTGAATGTTTTTTGTTCTCTCCAAAATGCATGCTGAAACTTCATCCCCAAGTGTTGGGAGATGGAGCCTTTTGGGAGGCAAGCCCTCATGTTCTCACAAAAGAGCTTGATGGAGGGACTTAGGTTCCTTTTTGCCCTTCTGTCACAGTGTTCCTCCCCTCCAGAGGATGCAGCAACAGGGGCCATCTTGGAAGTGGAGTGTGAACCCTTAACAGACACACTATCTGGTAGCATCTTAATCTTGGACTTCCCAGCCTCCAGAACTATGAGAAATAAATTTCTATTCTTTATAGATTTCCCAGTGTCAGCCATTTCATTATAGCAGCACAAACAGACTAAGACAAGATGTCATTAGGAGAATGAAAAGACAAGGTACAGACTGGGAGAAAATATATGTAAATCACATAGCTGATAAACTATGTATATCCAGAATATATAAAGAACTCTTATAATTCAATAATAAGATGGACAACACAATTAAGAACTGGGCAAATATTTAAATAGACATTTCTCAGAAAATATATATAAATGGTTAATAATCATATTTAAAAATAAAAGATATTTAACATAATTAGGCATTAGAGAAATACAAATTAAAACTGCAAAATGCTAGTACACAACCACTGGAATTGCTATAATAAAAAAGATAGTATCAAGTGTTGGCATGGATGTGTGGAGAAACTGGCATCCTCATACATTGCTGATGGGTACATAAAATGAGACAGTCACTTTGGAAAACAGTTGGGCAGTTTCTTAAAAAGCTAAACAGGGCCAGGTGCAGTGGCTCATGCCTGTAATTCCAGCAATTTGGGAGGCCAACGCAGGTGGATCACAAGGTCAGATCAAGACCATCCTGGCCAACATGGTGAAACCTCGTCTCTACTAAAAATACAAAAATTAGCCAGGCGTGGCGGCACATACCTGTAGTCCCAGCTACTCGGGAGGCTGAGGCAGGAGAATTGCTTGAACCCAGGAGGCAGAGGCTGCAGTGAGCCGCGATAGCGCCACTGCACTCCAGCCTGGGTGACAGAGCAAGACTCCTCAAAAAAAAAAAAAAAGAAGAAAAAAAGCTAAACAGGCCGGTAGTGGTGGTTCACGCCTGTAATCCCAGCACTTTGGGAGGCCAAGGGGGTGGATCATGAGGTCAGGACTTCAAGACCAGCATGGCTGAGATGGTGAAACCCCGTCCCTACAAAAAACACAAAAATTAGCCAAGCGCAATGGCAGGTGCCTGTAATCCCAGCTACTTGGGAGGCTGAGGCAGGAGAATCACTTGAACCTGGGCAGCAGAGGTTACAGTGAGCCAATATCATGCCATTGCACTCCAGCCTGGATGGGCGATAGAGTGAGACTCCATCTGAAAAAAAAAGCTAAACAAATTTATCATATGATCCAGCAATTCTACTCCACCCAAGAGAAATGAAAATATATGTCCACATGCACACATATGTTTATTGCAGCACTATTTACAATAGCAAAGACATGGAACCAACCCAAATGCCCATCAGTGATGGACTGGAAAATGTGGTACATACACACCACGGAATACTATGCAGCCACAAAAAGAAATGAGATCATGTCCTTTGCAGGGACATGGATGAAGCTGGAAGCCATCATCCTCAGCAAACTAACACAGGAACAGAAAACCAAACACTGCATGTTCTCACTCATAAGTGGGAGTTGAACAAGTGAACACATGGACACAGCGAGGGGAACAACACACACCAGGCCTGTCAGGGGAGTGGGGGGCGAAGAGAGAGAGAGCATCAGGACAAAGTTAATGTATGCAGGGCTTAAAACCTAGAGGATGGGTTGATAGGGGAAGCAAACTACCATGGCACATGTATACCTATGTAATAAACCTGCATGTTCTGCACATGTATCCTGGAACTTAAAGTAAAATTAAAAAAAAAAAAAAGAAATTGCAGAACAACAACAACAAAGAAAATATGTCCACACAAAGACTTGTCAGTGAGCATTGATAGCAGCAATATTCTTAATAGCTAAAAACTGGAAACAATCCAAATGTCCATCAACTGGTGAATGGAAAAACAAAATGTGGCATATCCATACAATGAAACACTATTAGACAATAAAAAGGAACAAACTACTGATACATGTTATAACATGGATGGACCTCAAAAACACTATGCTAGGTAAAGGAAGCCAGATGTAAAAGACTACATATTGTATGATTCCATTTATTTGAATTGTCTACAAGAAAGTCTGTTGAGGAAGAAAGCAGATGAGTTGCTGCCTCGGGCCGGGAGTAGGAGTGAGAATGGTTCTAAACAGGCATGAGGAAACTTTCTGGGGTTGCAGACATGTTCCAAAACTGTATTGTAGAGATGATTCCACAACTCTATGAATTCACTAAAAATCACCGAGAAGGAGTGAATGTTGGTCGGGCACGGTGGCTCATGCCTGTAATCCCAGCACTTTGGGAGGCTGAGGCAGGTGGATCACAAAGTCAAGAGATCGAGACCATCCTGGCTAACATGGTGAAACCCCGTCTCTACTAAAAATACAAAAAATTAGCTGGGTGTGATGGTGGGCACCTGTAGTCCCAGCTACTCAGGAGGCTGAGGCAGGAGAATGGTGTGAACCCGGGAGGCAGAGGTTGCAGTGAGCCAAGACCATGCCACTGCACTCCAGCCTGGGCAACAGAGCGAGACTCCAACTCAAAAAAAAAAAAAAAAAAAGAATAAGTGAATGTTATGGTATGTAAATTATACTTGAAAAAAGCAGACAAAGAAAGATATAAAAAAAAAATCTGGACCAAAAATTCTTGGTGGTACGCTGTCAGGATGGGGGTACCTTTTAGTGTCAAGCAGCCTTAGATCACAGAGGAAATTTCTTCTAGCTTGAAAACTTGTCAAGTTGTCCTTAGCCTGGTTTAAATGAACATGTGTTTATGAGGCACAAAATATTCAGCATCACTAAAAGGACCAAAAAAGGACCAGCCTTCTTTGGGAAATACTTCAGGTCAGACTTAAGTAGTCTAGGTGAGGAGGGGGCCTCCAGGGGGTGCCATTCCCCCTCTTCTATCCCCCACTGAGCTCAGTGCCAACTCTGCCGCACAGATACTAGATTAGCCTATACTCCATCTACTTCTAAAAATTAAGAGAAAAAAGGTAAAGTTTGTAAAAAGAGATACATATAAATACTGAAAAGGTAATGTGATATGGTTTGGTTCTGTGTCCCCACTCAAATCTCATCTCAAGTTGTAGTTCCCAGTGTTGGAGAGGGACCTGGTGGGAGGTGACTGGATCATGGAGGCAGATTTCCCCCTTGCTGTTCTGGTGATAGTGAGTGAGTTCTCACGAGATCTGATGGGTATAAGTGTGTGTGTGGCTACTCTGGACACACTGCCTGTGGGTTAGCCCTGCTCTGCAAGGAGCAGTTAAAAAAAAGTGTGTGTGTATGGCACTCCCCCTTTTGTTCTCTCTCTACTGCTCCGCTACGGTAAGACATGCTTGCTTCCCCTTCACCTTCTGCCATGATTATAAGTTTCCTCAGGCCTCCTAGCCAAGCTTCCTATATAGCCTATGGAACTGTGAGTCAATTCAACCTCTTTTCTTCATAAATTATCCTGTCTCAGGTAGTTCTTTATAGCACTGTGAGAACGGACCAACACACAATGTTTCATAATAAAATTGACAATATCACACCTGGGCCAGTAATGCAAGGTATCTGCCAACTTTCCCTATAAAAGGACATAAAAGACCTCTGTCTGTTTTGTTTTGTTTTGTTTTTACAACTCCTCATAAAAACCATTCTTGGCCAATTGAGGTGGCTCACATCAGTAGTCTCAGGACTTTGGAAGGCTGAGGTGAGAGGATCATTTTAGGCCAGGAGTTTGAGATCAGCCTGGGCAACATAGTCAGATACCATCTCTACAAAAAATGTTTAAACATTAGCTGGGCATGGTGGCATGTGCCTGTAGTCCTAGCTACTTCAGAGGCTGACGCAGGAGGATCGTTTGAGCCCAGGAGTTCAAGGCTACAGTGAGCCATGATCACATCACTGCATTCCTGCCTGGATGACAGAGAGAGACCTGATCTTAAAACAAACAAATAAAAAACATTCCTAGTTCAGGAGCAAAAAGCAGACCGTTTGCCAATCCCTCAGTTAAGGTGTTCCACTAAAATCACAAGCAACAGATGAGTAATTCTGCCACCACTTCATGCTCTTTAAGTCAAAGGCAAAATGTATCTGGTTTTAAAGAATTCACCACAAATCCGTCAGCAAAGAAAGTATGAACAGAGACTGGGTACTGGGTAAGTGAATCTGCTCCAGGCTTCTCCAGAAAGCCGGGCAATGACGTGGGCTGAGTATCTCTGAGCACTTGGGAGTTCACGGCCAGGCATGAGGACAGGCTGCAATGGTGTCCCTTTTAATTTTTTTTTGAGACAGAGTTTCGCTCTTTTTTGTTTGTTTGTTTGAGACAGAGTTTCGCTCTTGTTGCCCAGGCTAGAGTGCAATAGCACGATCTTGGCTCACTGCAACTTCTGCCTCCTGGGTTCAAGTGATTCTCCCGCCTCAGCCTCCCGAGTAACTGAGATTACAGGTGCACGCCACCACGCCCAGCTAATTTTTGTATTTTTAGTAGAGAGGAGGTTACTCCACGTTCGTCAGGCTGGTCTCGAACTCCCGACCTCCAGGTGATCTGCCTGCCTCGGCCTCCCAAAGTGTTGGGATTACAGGCGTGAGCCACCACGCCCGGCCTTAATTTAATTTAATATTATTTTTAGGGACAGGGTCTTGCTCTGTCACCCAGGCTGGAATGCAGTGGCACGATAATAGCTCACTACAACTTCGAACTCCTGGGCTCAAGTAATTCTCCAGCCTTGGCCTCCCAAAGCACTGGGATTACAGACATGAGCCACCTGGCCTAGCCCTTTTTGTAAAGGGAGGTCCGAGAGCTGCTTCACGAGCCCCTTTCCAATCACAAAACTTCACCAGCCAAAATGGGAAAAATCTGTGAGATACAAGGTGCAGCACCCCCCCACACACCCTGTATTTCTGCACTGGATCCTAGAAGCTAGTCAAGGTGTGTGATATGGCAGAGGACTCTGAGGAGCTCACTTACAAATCAATCATCTCCATCAACCAATCACTATACAAACAACTCTTTCTTCAAAGACAGTTTGCTCATTTTGGTGTAGGGCCTTGAAAACACACTGTACATCCTCCACTTGTCAACGATTTGTACTACAATGATCTGAGATTTTACTGCTACAGAATTAGCAGTAAAAATAAGATAAAGCCTTAAAATTATGTCCCTTTTTGGTTCCAGAGTCTTACACTTCCCCCACGGAAAAGAAAACAAGACTCAACATGTTATAGTTGAAGTGATCTATATGACCATTAAGAACGAAAATAAAAAGCAGCAGCCCCTGCCACCTGGAAGCTGGCCTGGCAATCACAGCAAGGCCATGCTGCTCTCCTGATGGACATAAACCACCTTGGAGAACACCAGCCTCAGGCAAGGGCCCTCTGAGACCACGATCAAGTGAGACACAGCAAGCACAGAAAAAACAAGGTTACTGCGCAACTCACAAAATACCAACACGCCTCTCTTTCAGCTAAAATGAGTGACTGCTACTTCTTTACCCATTATAGCTTTAATCTCACTCTAGTCTTCCCTCCCTAATAGATGAAATTTATTGAGATACGCAATCATAAAAATTACCCCCACTTGCTGCCAACATCCAATCTACAGCAAACCCCTGCTTCCTTAGACTACCCCCTAAATCATCCAACCAAAGCCCAAATCCTATAAAAGGCTCTAACACCTTCTTACTGAGACACTCCCCAGTTCCCCATGGCGTGTGTTCTCTCCCACTGCAACAGTAAACCCACCTTCTTCAACTGCAAGTGTGTTCCTGGTGGTCTTTGGCTGGAAGGGATTGACAACATCTAACTATTGCGTTCTCTTTACTCCCCGACTCCACACCACAACACACACACACACACCCTAGGAGCTCCGCACTGCACATTGTTAAAGAGAACTGTACCAGAAAACCAGGAAGATTAAAATGCAGATCATTTCTGAGACCTGCTGAAAACACTAAACAGCAAACAAAACCGCAAACAACATGCTAAATAAGGCCTCTCAAAAGTACTACAACAAGGCTGGGTACAGTGGCTCATGCCTATAATCCAAGCACTTTGAGAGGCCAAGGCAGGAGGATCACTTGAGGCCAGGAGCTCAAGACCAGCCTGAACAACATGGTGGGACCCCCTTCTCTACAAATATTTTTTTAAGTACTACAACAACATAAAATGCAGAAAAGGGCGACACTGCAAGGCAAATATTCCATCAAAAAGAGCCAAGGGGTAAGTGACAAAGTAAGAGACAGATAAAAGCATCATTAATATCCCATAATTGTAATAATTTCTAACCAAAATCATTTATACTGCTTACACTATATGTTCAAATAATTACTTTGACAAGATTACAAGGGAAAAGGTAGGGTTGGTAATAGAACAAAGATCCTTTCAAATAAAAGAATTTCAGTTATTTCTTTTTAAATAGAAAGGTCTTAACTTTCAGATGTCCTTCTACCTACTGAAATGACCAAGTAGACACTATTTCTGTAATAAAATAGAAGCCTAGGCAAAGCTAATATTTGGCATTCACAAATTTTACCTCCAGAAACAGTTTTTGCTTTTCTTTGTTTCTTTTTTTTTTTTTTTTGAGACCGATTTTTGCTCTTGTTGTCCAGGCTGGAGTGCAATGGCGCGATCTCTGCTCACCGCAACCTCCACCTCCTGGGTTCAAGAGATTCTCCTCAGCCTTCCTGAGGAGCTGGGATTACAGGCATGCGCCACCACGCCCAGCTAATTTTTTGTATTTTTAATAGAGATGGGGTTTCTCCATGTTGGTCAGGCTAGTCTTCGAACTCCCAACCTCAGGTGATCTGCCTGCCTCGGCCTCCCAAAGTGCTGGGATTACAGGCATGAGTCACTGCGCCCGGCCCAGTTTTTGCTTTTCAAAGTAAGTGATACTGCATTTCACACAAAACATTAAGTCTACTGCATACATAATCCTTTTATTTGCCAAATGAAGGCAATATAAGAAGATTCTATATTTTTCAAGATAACTAGAAGGCTTTAAGCACCCAAGACTCCCTGATTTCAAGGAAGTAAAATTCTATTAATTATCAGCTCCTCTATCATTGATGTGTTTCACAGGAGGAAAACCCCCGAGCCTGTGTCGTCGGATGACCGGAAGCACCACTGCAGCAGGCCCTCAGGCAAGGGGGCCACACAGCCTTCCTGGGAAACATGCACAGTGCTGTTGTGCGTTCCTAGTCGCATGAAGACAAAGGCCTGGGCATTTTCTTCCTCTCGGTGTGTCTGGCGCTGTGGGTGATGTTACCAAGAAGCTCTGGTGCTCAGGGGCCTCTTACTAGGGCACACTAAACATAACTTTTGCTAAAACTTTTGGAATTAAGTGGAATACTATTGAGGAGCACTTCGCCATGAGCTTAGTGACACTTGTTCAATATTTAAGGTAACAAAGCAGTTAAAATGAGGTAAGATTCCTTTCTAACAATCCCATCGGGTTTACCTTTCAGAGCTATCACCTTAGAGGCTGGATTCATGATGGCACTCTCTGCAGAGATAGGCCGTCGGATCGGAGCCATTGGGTCACTCATGTCAATGATCGTGACCTGTGCCTGCTCACCAACTTTCTCTCGGATACATATGAACTTGTCAGATTCCATGGTCAGTGTGCTGAATCCAATGTTAGCTGGATTAATTCCAAGGTTTTGGAGCTAAACAGAAAAAAAGCATTTGATTAAATTTTTTTCCTCTGAAATGGACTGACTGTAGCCAAAGGCAAAAGAGGAGAAGTTAAATAAAATTTAGAAAAAAGTTAACATTAGGTAAACACTTGAAGGAAACATTAGCTTGCTTTTCTACGCCTGTAATAGATCCACCCAAGCCTGTGAATCAACTCTCCTTGAGAGATTACCAGCCCACAGTGGAGATAAGACATGTGCAGGATGACACTAGGCAGTGTCAAGGACGCCACAAGTGATACAGACAGGAGGAGATGAGTTGGGGGTGAACTCCCAAAGAACACCATCAGATAAGGTGTCACAGATAAGCCCACCACCGAGGAGAGCTTTGGGAGGAAGGAGGTCTTGGAGAGGTGAAGGCGAGGGAAGTGGAAGGGAAAAAGGGAGGAAACACAAAACCTGATTTCTCCAAAAGGCAAGAAAAAAGAACTGGCCAAAAGTTTTTGCTTAAACATTTCCCTAGATATCATCAAACCTGTCTACATCTGACTTGAATGAATTTCTAAGTCAGTGTGAATACTTCCTGGAGAGTCTGGGGTTAATAAGAAAGTCAGCAGGTTTGGCACATCTTCCAGGGCCGATGGACTGCTACTACTGTGTAAACTGAAACCAAGCACCTTTCTCCAAAGGCCATCTTATACGCAGTGCCTGGGCTAAATCAAGACCTGCTAATGGGATAAGCTTCAGTGAAAAACTCTGGGAAAACACATACTCAATAAATGTTTATCACTCCCACAAAGCACCAAGCTTATTTCTATAAATTTCTCTGCTCTGACCTACCTACAAGACACCTTTATTTACTTATTTACTTATTTATTTATTTATTTTTTGAGCCGGAGTCTCGCTCTGTTGCCCAGGCTGGAGTGCAGTGGTGCGATCTCGGCTCACTGCAAGCTCCGCCTCCCGGGTTCACGCCATTCTCCTGCCTCAGCCTCCCAAGTAGCTGGGGCTTCAGGCGCCCGCCACCACGCCTGGCTATTTTTTGTATTTTTTTTTAGTAGAGACGGGGTTTCACCGTGTTAGCCAGGATGGTCTCAATCTCCTGACCTCGTGATCCGCCCTCCTTGGCCTCCCAAAGCGCTGGGATTACAGGCGTGAGCCACCGCGTCTGGTCGACACCTTTATTTTTAAACACTGTTCTGTTCAGCCCCAATTCTACTGCTACTGATTGGACCACTTAACATCTGTTACCTTGTGTAACCTTGAAGAGGCTCACACTAGCAACAAAGATCATGGACCGCTGCATTAAAATTGCACCACCCTTTGGAAGGAACACAAGTGAGACTGTTCATACTGAGAGTATAATTCAGGACGGTGCCTTGTTTGTCTTTTGTAGCAGAGTCTAGCACATACTGGATGTTCCAGCTGCTGAGTGGAGCAGGCTACAGGACAACAAGTCACCTCATCTCATCTTCCTGTTAACCCACTGAGACAAGCATCTCACACACACTTTACACTTGGGAAAAACAAAGTGTTGGGGTTAAGAAATCTTTCAGAAATTACAAAGCTGATTAATGATGGAGCCAGGTATAATAAAGCCTGTGTTCTGACCACAATACTGAGTTGTTTGAAATTCATATTCCATTTTAACACAGAAAAGATAAACTAAGTGGTGATTATGTTCCCAAATGAGTCCACCAAAACAAACAAAAACACATATAACAGCAAAAAAACAAAACATTACTTCATAACTGTAGTGAAATAGTTTTTTAAAAAATAGAACTTGCCAATTGATATTGCCATTATTACAAGAAAGTCCCTTCATGTTCCAACGTTGGGTTATAGCAAGGAAAATAATGCTAGGAGTGGTTTATTAAGCATAGGAAAAACCTAAGTATTTTTCCTGTTCTCACACATCACTCAACACAAGACTGCCAACGCCAGATGTGGGGGGGTTTCTCCAGCAGACACCACCTAGTTATCCTACAATTTAATTCAATTCTGACAATATCTACCTGGAAATAGTATCAGATCCCACAGGTTGAGGGCTCAGTCCCATAAGACTGACTACACTTCAGACACTAATCGCAAGCCCCAGGCTGTGGCCTGTACTTCTGACCATCCAGCTATAAAGCAGGGTTCCCATGACCTTCTTCCTGGGTTTGACTAATTTGTTGGAGTGGCTAACAGAACTCAAGGAAACACGTTTCTCATTTATTACAAGGGATATTACAAAGGATACTGATGAACCGCCAGATGGAAGAGGCGCATAGAGAAAGGCGCGAGGGGTGTCCTTGCCTCTCCCAGCACACCGCTCTTCAGGGACCTCCATGTGTTCAGCTATCATGGAGCTCCCGACATCTATCTACACATCAGCACCACATTATTTTATTTATGGAGGTTTTGTAACATCTGGTAGGGCCTGCCGTCCTCAGCACTTGTTACTTTTGGAATTTTCTTAGGTATTATATTGCTTAACATTTTGTAAGTCTAAAAAAAAATTCAAGCCCCAAAATAAGAACATGGGGGTCATTTGTGGCAGGCGAAGTCATGAAACTGGACGGAAGCACCAAGAGAGACCGTGAAAAGTGAGAGAATGGTTTGGAAGCCCAGGGCACAGAGCCCCAGGACACACCAAGGCTTAGAAGGCAGGCAGAAGAGCAGCCCATGAAGATGGACATAATTTACTTAAGTAAAGTTAACATATTTAAGTAAACCAAGAATAAAAGATAACAGAAGCCCCATAAGCACAACCACTGATACTTAGTAAACCAGGAAACCACATTATCACAACCAAAGAAAACCTCCCAGTCTCACCACCTTTTTCACAAATGAGCCATGTTCAAATTCCATCATCCTCTCCTAGTTTAGTTCCCTGCTGGCTTATACAACAACATCCAAGGTCATAAATTCCTGGAGGACACAGATCAGATTAGTGGGGTTTTTGTTTTGCTTTGTTTTTGAGACGGAGTCTAGCCCTGTCCCCCAGGCTGGAGTGCAGTGGCGTGATCTCGGCTCACTGCAACATCCACCTCCCGGGTTCAAGCGATTCTCCAGCCTCAGCCTCCTGGGTAGCTGGGATTACAGGCACTCACCACCACGCCCAGCTATTTTTTGTATTTTTAGTAGAGACGGGGTTTCACCATGTTGGCCAGGCTGGTCTCGAACTCCTGACTTGTGGTGATCCACCTGCCTTGGCCTCCCAAAGTGCTGGGATTACAGGCTTGAGCCACCACAACTGGATAGATTAGTGTTATTTACTCTGTCTGCAATTAATAGAAAAATCCTGAAAAATAGAATAATATAAATGCCCTAGAAGTTACAGTATTTATGTATTTATGTATTTATTTATTTATTTGAGACAGTCTCGCTGCGACGCCCATCCTGGAGTGCAATGGCACAATCTTGGTTCACTGCAACCTCCGCTTCCCGAGTTCCAGCAATTCTCCTGCCTCACCCTCCCGAGTAGCTGGGACTACAGGCATGCGCCACCACGCTCGGCTGATTTTTGTAATTTTTAGTAGAGATGGGGTTTCACCATATTAGCTAGGCTGGTCTCGAACTCCTGACCTCAAGTAATTTGCCTGCCTTGGCCTCCCAAAGTGCTAGGATTTACAATATTTATTAACAAAACAGAGGACAGTGGGATTCCAGAAGATAAGACTGCTGCATCTGAGGTTTCCCCTCCAAATTCTACAACATTATCCATCAGATTTGTGAGCCCTTTGAAAAGAAAAACATGAATACCTGCAATCAATATGGGCTCACTAAGAAGTCATGCCAAACCAATCTAATTTTCTTGAAGCCAAGTAAATGTGATAGAATAAATCTTCATTTCAGCAAAGTATCTGGCTTACCTCTGCTGAGGTAGCCAAAGTAACTTTCACGGATAATCAGTCCCCTACCCCAAGCCTTTTATCTGTGGCATGCTTATAGAATAGAGAGCTTTGCGCTTTGTGTTAGTTATTCATATTTACTTAATCTCTTGTTTCTTCTCAGAGTCAAATTCATTTTGAATCCATCAAAACATTTAGCACATAAAAGCCCAAACAATGTATGAAACAAAAGACTCTTGGAATGAGGTAGAAAAGCATGAGGTGAGCTTGTGTCCACAGCTGAACTGCACCTCAGTGGTGCTGGCCACATGGATCTGTCTGTCTGCTGCCAGGGCCCAGAGCTCTGACCTTAATCACCTGCTAGTCAATATTCTGAATAATGACTCTAACCAAAGTCATATACAGGGACTGTTTTATCGGCTAAGGTTATGCTTTGAGACTGTCAATATACTAGAGTAACAATCAGAATCTTAACAGATTTGAAAGGACTATGAAATTAAAAAGATAAATGTACACAAATAAAATACATTTGTGTTAAGTATAAAAAAAAGATCAAAGCTTGCTTCAAAAAGCAGCTCTAATACATAAAATGTCAACCAAATGCAATGCATAGGCCTTCTTTGGATGCTGATTCAAATAAAGCATTTGAAACAAATAGAGAAACAACACTGACAAGATACTGGATGATACTGAGAAACTACTGATTTTTTTTTTTTAGGTGTGATGTTATTAGAGTTAAAAAATAAAGAATTATTAGTGTATATCAATGGATGAATAGATAAGCAAAATGTGTTATACACATGCAATAGGAGTATTATTCAGCCTTAAAAAGGAAGGAAATTCTGACACATGCTACAACATGAATGAACCTTGAGGTCATTATGCTAAGTAAAAAAAAACCAAGGTCTGGTGAGATGGCTCACGCCTGTAATTCCAGCACTTTGGGAGGCTGAGGCGGGTGGGTCGCTTGAGGTCAGGAGATCGAGACCAGCCTGGCCAACACGGTGAAACCCTGTCTCTATCAAAAATACAAAAATTAGCCAGGCATAGTGGCGGGCGCCTGTAATCCCAGCTACTTGGGAGGCGGAGGCAGGAGAATCACCTGAACCCAGGAGGTGGAGGTTGCAGTGTGCTGAGATTGTGCCACTGTACTCCAGCCTGGGCAACAGAGCGAGACTCCATCTCAAAAAAAAAAAAAAAAAAAAAGACAGTCACACAAAAAGACAAATATTGTATGATTCCATTTATATCCAGTATGTAGAAGAGTCAAATCTATAGAGACAAAAAGTAGATGGGGTTGGGGGGAGGAGTGTGAATGGGGAGTCATTTCTTAACAGGTATGGAGCACCCATTTTACAAGATGAAAAGAGTTGTGGGCCGGGCGCGGCGGCTCACACCTGTAATCCCAGCACTCTGGGAGGCCGAGGCGGGCAGATCACGAGGTCAGGAGATCGAGACCATCCTGGCTAACACAGTGAAACCCTGTCTCTACTAAAAAAAAATACAAAAAAATTAGCCAGGCATGGTGGTGGGTGCCTGTAGTCCCAGCTACTCAGGAGGCTGAGGCAGGAGAATGGCGTGAACCCAGGAGGCAGAGCTTGCAGTGAGCCGAGATTGCACCACTGCACTCTAGCCTGGGCGACAGAGCGAGACCCTGTCTCAAAAAAAAAAAAAAAAAGAAAAGAGTTTTGGAGATGGATGGTGGTGATGGCTGCATAACAATTTGAATGTACTTAATATCGCTAAAATATACACCTAAAAATGGTTAAGATGATAAATTTTATGTTATGTATATTTTACCACAATTTTAAAACTTGGAAAAAAATAACAAAGAGTTCTCTCTTGGTGACACATCCTAAAGTGTTTAAGGATAAAACAAGATGTCTGGAATTGGCCTCAATAAAATTTGGCAGTGATCGGAGACGTAAGTAAATCAAAGCTGGCCACGTATTGGTAAGCAATCATTCTTGGTCTTGTCTACCTATCTGGATTTTCCGGCTTTAGCAGGATAGGACTGGATGCTCTCCAGACAGAGCAGTGCACTGAAGTGGGCCTGGGTTTTCTAAATTGTCCTTTTGTTCTCAGTTTGGGGATCGATGTTGGGTTAATACGGTGACATTCTGATTTCAACTCCAAATACCAAGAATTGGTAATCCTGAATAATTTGTATCCAATCTCTTGAGCATAGTGGGTTCTTAAATAATAGTAGCTGAGTCAAGTTCCTTATCTAAGAGCATACATACACATGTATGGCATTTGAAAAAGGTAAAAGTCCCTCACAAATAAGACAGTGTTTTAACAACTGAGAAGAGTGGATCCAAAAATAAGATAAAGACTATTAGAATCAGATTAAATTAAGACAGTAGTTCTCAACCAGGAGTGCTATTCTGCATTCTTCAGAAATGGGAAAGGGGCGGCCGGGCACGGTGGCTCACGCCTATAATCCTAGCACTTTGGGAGGTCGAGGTGGGCAGATCATAAGGTCAAGAGATGGAGACCATCCTGGCCAATATGGTGAAACCCCGTCTCTACTAAAAACACAAAAATTAGCCAGGCATGGTGGCGTGCACCTGTAGTCTCAGCTACTCGGGAGGCTGAGGCAGGAGAATTGCTTCAACCCAGGAGGCGGAGGCTGCAGTGAGCCAAGATCGCGCCACTGCACTCCAGCCTGGCGACAGAGCCAAGACTCCGTCTCAAAAAAAAAAAAAGAAATAGGCAATGGGTTCGGGCGCAGTGGGTCACGCTTGTAATCCCAGCACTTTGGGAGGCCAAGACGGGTGGATCACTTGAGATCAGGAGTTCAAGACCAGCCTGGCCAACATGGTGAAACCCCGTCTCCACTAAAAATACAAAAATTAGCTAGGCCTGGTGGCATGTGCCTGTAATCCCAGCTACTCAGGAGGCCGAGGCAGGAGAACCCAGGAGGTGGAGGCTGCAGCAAGCCAGGATCACTCCACTGCACTCCAGCCTGGGCGACAGAGCGAGACTCTGTCTCAAAAAAAAAAAAAGAAAAAGAAAAAGAAAAAAAGAAATGGGCAAGGGTAGTTTTAATAGTACAATGAGTGGGGAACTCATTCTCTACTCATTTAGCCAGGAATGCTCAATACAGGACAATCCCACAAAAATAACTTTTCCATCTAAGATGCCAGATACTACTGTGAGTTTTTCTCCATACGCAGGAACTAAGTCCCAGAAAAGTGATGTGCTGAAAAGCCAGGTTTTTTCTTTCTTTCTTTCCTTTTTTTTTTTTTTTTAGACAGAGTCTTACTCTGTCACCCAGGCTGGAGTGCAGTGGTGGCACCATCTCGGCTCATTGCAACCTCTGCCTCCCCAGTTCAAGTGATTCTCCAGCCTCAGCCTCCCAAGTAGCTGGGACTACAAGTGCCCACTACCACGCCTGGCTAATTTTCATATTTTCAGTAGAGACGGGGTTTCACCACATTGGCCAGACTGGTCTCAAACTCCTGACTTCAAGTGATCCACCCGCCTCGGCCTCCCAAAGTGCTGGGATTATAGGCGTGAGCCACAGGGCCTGGCCCAGGTTTGTTTTTTTTTTCACTAGTTAGTAGAAATAACCAAGGATTCCTGATCCCTAGTATATTATTCTGATAGGTAACCTAGCTACACATTTTTAAAAAAATTTTCTTTCTTTTTTTCTTTCTTTTGAGACAGAGTCTTGCTCTGTCGCCAAGGCTGGAGTGCAGTGGTGCAATCTTGGCTTACTGCAAAGTCTGCCTCCCACACTCAACCGATTCTCATGCCTCAGCCTCCCAAGTAGCTGGGAATACAGGTGTCCGCCACTGCACCTGGCTAATTTTTGTATTTTTAGTAGAGACAGGGTTTTGCCATGTTGGCCAGGCTGGTCTTGAACTCCTGGTCTCAAGTGATCCACTTTCCTCGGCCTCCCAAAGTGCTGAGATTACAGGCATGCACCACTGCACTGGACCTTAGCTACACATTTTAAATGGCATATATAAGATTTAACTAAAGAAAGGTAAAGAAGATGCTGTCTAATGATCCTTTTCAGTTCTCAAAGCCTGCAATTAAATCAATCAAAATTCAAATCTGACAATGGGGGCCAGACATGGTGGCTCATGCCTGTAATCCCAGCACTTTGGGAGGCCGAGGCGGGTAGATCACTGGAGGTCAGGAATTCGAGACCAGCCTGGTCAACATGGTGAAGCCCTGTCTCTAGTAAAAATAAAAAACTTAGCTGAGCATGGTGGCACACGCCTGTGGTCCCAGCTACTCAGGAGGCTGAGGAACAAGAATCGCTTGAAACCAGGAGGCAGAGGCTGGAATGAGCCAAGATTGTGCCACTGCACTCCAGCCTGGGTGACAGAGACAGACCCTGTCTCAAAAAAAAAAAAAAAAAAAAATCTGACACTGGGGAATATGCAAAAAGAAATTACTCATCTGATAGTCCTGTGGTTTCTATGTATAAGGGGCTTAAGGAAGATGTCTGCCTGGGAGGACTACAACTGTGTTTGTACAAGAGTATTAGTGAGAACATCAACTGCCTACATCAGTGAAGCCAGAATGCTTAAGTTGCACTGAACATCCCCATGTTTTCACACCTATGTGGACACCAATATTTTTTCTTTCTGTATCTGTCTCCTTCCCAGTCTCACTCACTGCTTTATCCTTGTGCCTAGCATATGGATGGTAAACAAATAGTAAAACAAATTACTTGTTTCAGGGCAGTAAAATTTAGTTCATCTACAGTTTTTAAAACATACTTTGAGGGCCTGGCGTGGCTGCTCACGCCTGTAATACCAGCACTTTGGGAGGCCGAGGCGGGTGGATCACCTGAGGTCAGGAGTTGGAGACCAGCCTGGCCAACATAATGAAACCCCATCTCTATAAAAATACAAAAATCAGCTGGGTGTGGTGGCGGGCACCTATAATCCCAGCTACCTGGGAGGCTGAAACAGGAGAATCACTTGAACACGGGAAGCGGAGGCTGCAGTGAGCCAAGACCACGCCATTGCATTCCAGCCTGGGCAACAAGAGTGAAACTCTGTTTCAAAAAAATAAATGGGCTGGGTGCAGTGGCTCACACCTGTAATCCCAGCACTTTGGGAGGCTGAGGTGGGCGGATCACGAGGTCAAGAGATTAAGACCATCCTGGCCAACATGGTGAAACCCCATCTCTACTAAAAATACAAAAATTAGCCAGGCATGGTGGCACGCACCTGTAGTCCGAGCTACTCAGGAGGCTGAAGCCAGGAGAATCGCTTGAACCGGGGAGGCAGAGGCTGCAGTGAGCTGAGATCATGCCACTGCACTCCAGCCTGGTGGACAGAGCGAGACTCTGTCTCAAGAAAATAAAATAAAAAACACATTTTATATTTGAAACACGCTGGGCGCGGTGGCTCACGCCTGTAATCCCAGCACTTTGGGAGGCCGAGGCAGGCGGATCACAAGGTCAGGAGATCGAGACCATCCTTGCTAACACGGTGAAACCCTGTCTCTACTAAAAATATAAAAAATTAGCTGGACGTGGTGGTGGGTGCCTGTAGTCCCAGCTACTCGGGAGGCTGAGGCAGGAGAATGGCGTGAACCCTGGAGGCAGAGGTTGCAGTGAGCCGAGATTGTGCCACTGCACTCCAGCCTGGGCAACAGAACAAGACTCCATCTTAAAAAAAAGAAAAAGAAAAAGAAAAAGAAACTTACCAAAGAGCCTTTCCTAGCCTAAAGAGGGAGCTCTGTAAATGAGGGCCTATGAAGAATGTTGACACTAAGGTCTCTTCCAGAACTTACATTCCAGGAGTAGGTTAGTTCAGGGATAGTTAACTACATTTATATAATGCTTTACAGAACTTCTCTCAAATTACACTATTACAGGTTTTCTTTATTTTAACACCAGTGCACAAGACTCTATATTTATCCCAGTTAAATGTCAACTAGCTGGATTCTGGCCTGTCAAGATATATCCGATTCTAATTTCATCACTGAACTTTGCTATCCCAGCTTTGTGGCATCCTTCTTCAGCCTGCCAAGAGTGATGGTCATCTCTCTGGCATGGAGGCCAGCAGCAGGCCTCAAGAGAAGTGGAAGAAAATGTGGGAGAAGAGCCTGCAAACTCAGTAAAGTCTCAGTGAAGAAGCAAAGGAAGGAAAAATCAGACAGATTGCAGAAAGATTCCCCCTTAGAGAAGGGGGTGACAGGGTGCCAGCAACTACTACCCTAGGGAATACTGATAAACAACATGTCAGATAGATGCAGTGATCTGTCTGTGATCCTATGGGAGGATCTTCAGTGTGTTAAGTTACAAAAGCAAAGGGCAGAAGCATATTTAAAGCAGGATTCTTTTGAACATTTTTGGAAGGATATGGTGGCTTCGTTTATAGTGGTTTCCCCTGGGGAGAGACAGACAGAGGCTGAACTGAAAGATTTTAATTCCCATCAGACTAGCCCCTGCAACAGAAATATCTCAGCAGAGAGGAACCTTGACTCAGATCCTCCTAGGACTTAATTCTTTCAACCCAACCAACTAAAAAAGCACTGGTTTGTGTAGCTTAGGCATTCTGAACATTTAAATGTTCTATGGTGAAGATCTGTTTTTCCAAAGAGTCCCCATTCAAATTCATTTACTCTTTGGTCACCCACAATGCCACAGCGGTAGGTACTCCCACAAGGCTCACCCTCGCAGACACCCTGGCTGAGGCAGGTTACTCTCCTTGCTTTGTAAATAAACAAGTCAGAAGGCAACTAACTGGCCAGTATGTATTTCCAATACCAGAAGCAGTGGTAGGCCAACAGGCAAAATTTAACAGTTTACATGGTATCTTAAAATGACATTTTACATGGGATGCAATAATTTTAGGATGCAATGAGCCAACTGCTGTCTTAGTACATCAAAAACCACTTCACAAAATGAGATAGCTACATAATGGCAACATAAACCAAATATGGACTGGATTACTATGGGTACGTGTCCCTTTTTGGAGCATGACCCCCAGAAGCCTCTCCAGACACACACGGGTGTGTGTGGATGGGAACTGTTTTCAGTTCAAGCTCAATCTACACCTTCACAGTTTTACTTTCCCCCCTCTTTCCTTAATGATTAATATTGACTAACATGTAGAAGGCTGTTTCACCTGGGCTGTGTGTAAGACTCACCTGGGAAGGAATACCAAAGCTCCATCTCCACCACTCAGAGCTTTGGATTTAACATCCAGCAGAAATATGTTTAAGGCTGCAGGCCATTCTCACATGCAGCCTAGGTAGAGAAGCACTGATTAAGATCTTGACCATCTTTCTCCTACAATTCTAATGCTCAAGGTCTCTACACCTGTTTCAAACACCGCCTCAGAGACACTTTGAGGGAACATGTTTACGTTTTCTGTGTATTGAGCTATGACACATTTCACAGCTTACAAACTTGGAGCTGCTTTTTTGATATAGCTGGGGGGAATTACTTAGGGCTCAAGAAAATTTTTATGTCACCAAACTATTCAGCCATTCCTCTTCTGAATCAAGATGTCTTAAGTGCTCAGCCCATCCTCAGATATTACAAACAGCAATACCCTTCCAACTCTCACATTTGAATATTTCTAAAAAGTTCAAATGGTAGCTCCCTGAGCTCACAATCCAGCAGAGAAAATGAACAGCTACAGTACCCTGGGAAGAGTGTCATTATAAGAGGAACCCCAAAGAGGCACAGAGGAAGAACTCCTAACTGACAAATCAGGGAGAGCTTCCAGAGACAGCGTCATTTCCACAGATACCAGAAGGCTCAGTAGGAGTCAGTGAGTAAAGAGGGGTGAGAGGAGAATGTGTTTTGGCAAGGACACAAAGGGAGCGGCAGCAGAGTTGAGCAGGTGTTGGGCTGGGAAGAACAGGAAAGAGCACGTGGGGATCAGTCTTTTCATGCCAGAGGAAACACGAAACCACTCCCTGAAGGACTTTAAGCAGATGCTCATCCTTGGAGATCATGTTGCCTGTGTGCTGGAGAATGGATCACAGGAGGGCAAGACTAGAAGTAGAAGGACAAAGCTAGCATGACCATCAAGGTGGGGAGGGATGGCATAGTTTAGGGAAACGGTAGTCATGATGACAGTGGCAGAACGATGCCAAAAGTAAACAGGAGAAAGGGACAACAGGATGGGGAAAACACATCCCAGGCTCCTGGCTGGACACTGGACAAGATACACATCTGGGGAGAAAGGGAACCCCATTTATGAACACTGTGTTTGAGGAACCTGCTGACCATTTCCTGGCCTTCTTCAGTAGGCAGCTGTCACAATGGCAGCAACAGCTCACAAGGACACAGTGCTTTACAGTAGTCCCTTCTTATCCGTGGTTTTTTTCACACTGTTACCTATAGTCTGAAAATATTAAATGTAAGACCCCAGAAATAAACAATTCATAAGTTTTAAATTGCATACCATTCTGCAGAGTGATGAAATCTTGCACCAGCCCACCCAGGACGTGAATTATCCCTCCTCTGCCCAGCATATCCACGCTGTAGACATTGCCAGCCCATTAGTCACTTAGTAGCGGTCAGTTACCAGGTTGACTGTTGCAGCATCACAGAGTTTGTGTTCAAGTAACCCTTAATTTACTTAATAATGGCCCCAAAGTCCAACAGTAGTGATGCTGGCATATTGTTATTATTGTTCTGTTTTATTATTAGTTATCATTGTTAATCTCTTACTGTGCTTAACATAAATTCAGCTTTATCATACATATGTATGCATAGGGAAAAAAAGTGTATAAAGGGTTCAGAACAATCTGCAGTTTCAGGCATCCTCTGGGGGTCTTAGAACATATTCCCCATGGGTAAATCGGGACTACTGTATTATGTAACAGTTATTGTTTAATGCTTTACATTTATTAACTCAAAAACCTCACAACTACCTTGTGAGATAAGAAGTATACCTTTTATCCTTATTTTATAGATGAAGATATAGAAGCACAAAAAAGCTACAAACATTGCCCTAAATCACACAGCCAGTAAGTGCCTGAGTCCACATTCAGTGCCTTCAGTTTGGCCTCAGTCTGTGCTCTTAACCAGGACCTGCTACTGCCTCACACACACACAGCAGTGAAACTGCGAAAACACTCGGATGGCTTGGGAACATCAAGCTTATGGGAATACATAACATCACCAGCAGCATGTCCTGAATGAAAAAGCAGAGGGGCTCAAGACAGATTCCAAGCTCATGCACAAGAGCCGCCCATGGGGCAGTGGGTGTGGGCAGAGAGGAAGGAGAAACCCTGGGAAACTGTGGAACCAAAAACAGTAGAGAAAGGACCCTCAGGAGGCAGTAAAGTGCAGCATCAAATGCGGCTGGACATCACAGAAGATGCGTGTGGTGTGATGGGCTTTATCTCACCTAGCTCATCGCATCTTATTTTTTGAGACGGAGTCTCGGTCTGTTACCCAGGCTGGAGAGTAGTGACATGATTTTGGCTCACTGCAACCTCTGCCTCCCGGGTTCAAGAGATTCTCCCGCCTCAGCCTCCTGACTAGCTGGGACTACAGGTGCGTACCAACACGCCCGGCTAATACTGTATTTTTAGTAGAGACGAGGTTTCACCATGTTGGCCAGGCTGGTCTCGAACTCCTGATCTCAGGTGATCCACCCGCCTCGGCCTCCCAAAGTGGTGGGATTACAGGTGTGAGCCACCATGCTCGGCCTGATTTTATTTTTTACAGCAAAGATTAGCCAACTGCAGCCTGCTTTTGTATGGCTAAACTAAAAGTCTTTTTCATATTTTTAGAAGGTTAAAAAATGTAAGAATATGGGACAGAGACAGAATGTGGCCCTTACAAAAAAGCCTGCAGGATGGCTTGTAACCTTGGCAAAAACAGATTCAGGGGAAAAAATGGGGACAAAAGCCAGACTGCAGGTTACTGTGGAACATAAAAATAATGAAGCACTAAAGCAGCTCTTTCATGACATCCAGCTATGAGACAAGAGCTTCGTGGGGACAAGAGCGGGGGAAGAAGTTTGCTGGTTGTACAGATGGAAGAGAGGTGAGCATTGCCCAACACAAACAGGAAGAAACAACAAGACAGAAGGATGAAAATACAGGAAAGGGAGGCTATGACTGAACGAGGCTCCCTTATAGGGAAGAAGGATACCAGATCCAGAACATAGACAAGAAAGGACACCTACTTTTGAGGTAACAGGAAGGCAGGAAAGGGTGGCTGCAGACAAACATCTAAGTCTGCAGCCATATAGGTGAGAAACATCCCAGTTATGGCTTCAGTTTTCTCCAAGTCATCTGCTGGTTGCAAGGCAGGAGTGGCAGGATCAGGGATTTAAGGAACAGGCTGAAGTCTCGAAATGTCTGTAGTGAAGGCAGTGTGTGCTGACTCAGTGTTTGCTCTACAGAATGCACAGCAGCCTCAAAGACCCAGTCAGTGTTAGAGACCACAAACCAGACTTGCATTCACGTGGCTGCCCACCACAAGCCACAAGCATTTTCCAGATAATGGAACATATCAACTCTGATGGACATTACAAATCCTGATGGACATTAGAAACTCTGATGGACACCTAAAATATCTTGTTGCTTTCTTGCCCTTTGAAAAGAACATATTTAGATAGTGGTTAAGCACAGGCATTGGAATCAGACCTGGGTTAGAACTCAAGCTTTGTCACTTACTAGCCATGTAACTTTTGCTGAAGGAATTAGAATATTAACCTCAGTGACCCATGGTAGAAAACAGGATATCACTATCTGCCTCAGTTATCATGAGGATTAAATTAAACCAGATTTATAAAATACAGTAGTCTAGTGAGTGGCAAGAGAAACGGCTCAGTAAATGATAACTACATCATCATCATTATTATGAGCAGCAGCAGTATTTTGCTACCTCAACATGACTGGTGCTGGCTTAGCTTAGTGGCAGAATGAAGCCCGGACAGATGTCAGGGCACTCCCACCTCCATACAACTTCCACTGTGTCACTAACCAAGTGACCCTGGCAGGATCCCCTGGATATCAAGTTTCCAGTCTGCAGAATGAGGGGACTGGACTGCACTACACAGTTCCCAAGGCTTTTCCCGTCTGCATCTAGGGCTAACAGTGCTCTGCACTGTGAAAATAGGAACTTTCAAGCAAGCACGTTCCTCGATGTACTACTTTGTGGTCAAAAAGACTTGAGTCTGAATCCTGTTCTTATTGAATGAAGATGAGTTCTTTAACACTTTTGAGACTCGGTTTCCTCATCTAGAAAAGAGTAAGCGAATCGCAACGAATGGTAGTGTGATGATTTAACACAGAGCACTCAGGGAGGAGCCGCTGGCTATCCCTCCTCTGCCGCACCTCCCAGGGTAAACGTGGGGACCAGCACCGCTCCCGGGCAGACCCGCGAGCGGCCCGCACGACGCCCGACCTGAGCCTTTGCTCAAAGCAGGGGGCCAGTCCTTATGTTTCTGAACACAAACAAATGGAGAACAAACTGGGACCTTATTAAAAAGGCAGGCTTTGGGGGTGTTACTGCATTGAAAAGCCCTATTTAGGCTTGGCCCTGAGAAATTTTTCTCTTGGGTCACGCATGTTCACGGTCCTCCCAGGCGAAGCCGCCCTGGGGACGAAAACCGATCACAGAGGCAAACTCAGGGGCGAATAAGGACCGCAGGACGCCAAGGAGGGGCGTGGAGCTGTGGGATCCGCGCGGCCCTTGGGTTGCCCTGCCTGCAGCGGGAATTTGTGTGCCTCCTCGCGGGCACTGAGCGGGGCGTCCCAGGGGGCGTTGGCTTCCACCCCCACCATTCCCCAGCCGGCCCCGCCGGTAACGGGCTTCGGCGACGGCACCCAAGCGGGTCCTCAGGAGCGGCCGCCGCGCCCGGGACGCCGCAGCCCCAGCCCAGGTGGGAGGTCGGAAATCGGCGCGGCCAGCTGGGCAGCGGCTCAGCGGGGCTGGGGGCGCGGGGTCAAGCCTGGCAGTCCGGCCCGGCGGAGGCGCGGCTGACAGGGCAGCCCCCCAGCCCGCCGGGCCTCACCTGGAAGTGCTCCTGAAAGCGAACAGGGAGGATCTGCGCCATGGCTGGTGCGGGACCTCGGCGGCGGCGGCGGCAGCGGCAGGAATGAACGCCGACCCCTCGCGCGGGCTGACCGGTGGCGACGGCGCAGGCGCAGTGCCCCGAGCTCCCGGTCCTGGCCCCCGCCCTCCTCCCTGACCGCGCCCCGGCCCGCACCCCCTTTCCCCGCCCCTTCCCCCGCCCCTGCCCCGCCCCTGCCCCGCCTCTGCCCCGCCCCTGCCCCCGCCCCTGCCCCCGCCCCTGCCCCCGCCTCTGCCCCGTCCCGCCTGCGCGGATCCCTCCGCCCGCTCCGAGGGTCCGCGGAAAGTAGTCCCGCGCGCCCTCTGCCCTGACGCGGTGTGTGCCAGCTACCCGAGTGAAAGGTTTTCGGGGGATTAATCCTGATGGGGTCTGCGGCGGCCCTTGCCCAGCGCCTTCCACATGTGGAGCGGGCCAGTGGTGCTAGTTCTGCCGCCAACTCTGGACGGTTGAGTTCAGGGCCACTTTTTACTCAGGCACGGATGTGACAGAAAGATGGAAAAGGGTCTTGGAAGAACCACATGTGCCGTATAACGAACGACCTTTTGGTCTGAGGAGGACCGTGTATATGACGGTGGTCCCATAACATGATAACGGAGCTGGAAACTTCCTGTCCTCTGGTGAGGGCTTAGCTAAGGACATTTCCTCTCCTGTATTTGGAGATACACGTACAGGTATGTCATTACCGTGCCAGGGGAATAACGCACCTCACACGCGGTGCGGGTTTGCGGCCTAGCAGCAGCGGACCGCATCAGCTGCCTAGTTGTGTAGTGGCTGTGCCATCTGAGTTTGTGTAAGTTACCTTGTGATGATCCCACAACCGAGACGCATGTCTCAGAATGCATGGATGCATGGGACGCGTGACTGTACGTGTTACAGACGTGTTTCGGCGTGAGGCTCGGCCCCTGCTCCTTTAGGAAACACCTTTCCTGGCTCATGCGGTTTCTAGAGAACACTGTGTCGGAATATCAATGTAGAGAGTCAGCGAAGGTCATCTAGCAGCAGATGACCAGCCCCAGGCCAGTGAGGATCACCCAGAGTGCCCGTGGCTGCACGACAGTAGTAGCAGGTGGAAGCTGGAGCCCACACCTGGTTTGCCCAGCAGCCAGTTGTTTTTCCGAGGCACCGTTGGCTGATGTTTTGCATACAGATGATTCAGCTGCATAAAAGATGTCTGTCAGGAAAGGGAAGCCCTTGGCATTCAGCACAGGCACTCCCTACGGGGTAATCGATAGCCGTCTCTGCTGCTTCCCATGTTGCTCACTGGTAATTTTAAGAAATGAACGGCCCACCTTGAATAAGACAAGGATGGTGCAATTATTTGCGCAATGGCTTGACCATCTAGTAGCCAAAAATATGTTAAGGAATAGAACAGACTGTTCACTTTCAAATTAAATCTCTTTTCCAGTATTAGCCAAGACCTCTGCAGCCCGCCCTTTCTAAAATCCATGTGGCCTCATCCGCTAAATATAGAGCTGGGTTTTGCTGTGGTTAGTACTACATTTCCCAAATCTCTTTATTTTGGCAATGATGCCTGTGACTCCAAGTACCCTTTACCCCAAACATTATATAAATTTTTTAGTAATTAATACCATCACTCCCTAAATCACCTTCCCCAGGGCTTTTTGGGGATTAAAACTAAAATTTTATACCCTAAAAGAAAGAATTTAAGAAAATCATAGTTAAGCAAAGTGACAGGATTGTTAATACGTCGGGACCTCAAGTGGGGATTAAGTTTCAACATTAATTTTAGAGGAGACACAAATCTTTCTGTCTCTTCAAACCATAGAAGAGACAGAAAGCACAACAGTTATTTGAATAGACAGAAGTGAATATAAGTGATAGTTGTAGTTAACAGGAAATAAAGTTGTTAATATACTTGTAAAAAAATTAAATGTTCTGACTTGAAAGGGACTTTAATATTCTCACCACTTGTAGGTAACTTGCTAAGTAACCCTAAAAAAACCTTTCAATTCTTTTTTTTTTTTTTTTTTTTTTGAGACAAGAGTCTCGCTCTGTCGCCCAGGCTGGTGTGCAGTGGCACGATCTCTGCTCACTGCAACCTCTGCCTCTCAGGTTCCAGCCATTCTCCTGCCTCAGCCTCCCAAGTAGCTGGGACTACAGGCGCACGCCACCGCACCTGGCTAATTTTTCATTTTTAGTAGAGACAGGGTCTCACCATGTTGACCAGGCTGGTCTCAAACTCCTGGCCTCAGGTGATCCATCCACCTCGGCCTTCCAAAGTGCTGGGATTACAGGTGTGAGCCACCGCGCCTGGCCCGGGATTAAGTTTCAACATTAATTTTGAAGGGGACACAAACCTTCAAACCACAGAAGAGAGAGAAAGTGCATCAGTTATTTAAACAAAGGGAACTGAATATAAACAATAGTTAACAGGAAGTAAATTTAAAATAATAAAAAGAAAATCCCAAGATATGGAGTTACAAACATAGGACACAGCTACCACCCCTAGAGCTCAAAGATGAAAGAGAAGCTGGAATTATTACAGCTTAAAGGAAGGGCTTGCAGAGCTGGAATTCAGATCTCTGAGGAGGTGTGTTGACCAGCTGGGGCTGGGGTCATTGAGCCCAGAGGAGAGATCCCATGGGGATGGGACTCAGACCTCTGAGGAGGGTCCCTACGGGACTTAGACACACACTATGGATGAGGGGTGGCTGTGGAGCTGGGAGTAAGCCCTCTAAAGAGGGCACTGGGAGACTCTCACCCAGATCTCTAAGGAGAAGGCATACTGAGGCTGGTTCTGCAAGTCTTGGAAAAACTTAAACTGGATTCAGCTTCTGTGGGAAGAATGTGCTGCTGCCTTGTTGAAGAAGCCTAGCTGGGGTGATGCTCACAGGAAGTGGCCCTGTGGTCTCCCTCTATCAACCTATCAGCTTAGTCTAATAGGGAATATTAGATCAGATCTTCTTTATTTGCCAATGAGAAATATGTTTTTTAGAGTCTCAGCCCTGGCATCAGAAGCAGTGTCTAGAGGTGGGAAGGGAGAATAGAGCTGAAAGACATTATTTAATAACTGGTACAAGAAACGACATGTTATAGCTAAATTCCAATTCCCATGGGACTTTCCTATAGGTGGAATTGAAAAGTCTGTGGAGGCGTATAATCGCAGCGCTTTGGGAGGCTGAGGTAGGAGGATTGCTTGAGCCCAGGAGTTCAAGACCAGCCTGGTCAACCCCATCTCTTCAAAAAAATTTAAAAATTAACAGGGCATGGTGATGCATGTCTATAGGCCTAGTTGGGAGGCTGCAACAGGAGGATCACTTGAGCCCATGAGCTCAAGGTTACAGTAAGCTATGATCGTACCACTATACTCCAGCCTGGGCAACAGAGAAAGACCCTGTCTTTAAAAAAGAAAAAGTCACTGGAGGACTTTAGTTTTCAGACAGCTTCAGAGAACTAAAAAGGCAGTGAATAATTATGAGGCCAATATCAGAGAGAAAGGACATGAGAGAGGTGAGTGGTTTATGGCTGCTTTTTCTTGAAAGGCATCTGCCAATTCCAGATGAATGTTTGAGACACTAGGACTCTGAGCAGCACTTTTAACACTCTCATTGCCCTAGGACGACAAAATTTGGAGGCTTGGTACCACCAAGGAGGTATCCCACTGTACTGTTTTGGGACCACAAGTTGTTTGGGACTCCATTCAAATCATGTCAGTCCTTGCCAGCAGCAAATGTAAATCTTCCCTGGGAATGATAACCTCATCCATGGTCTCAAATTACTTCTACAATTGTTCATATGCAGTGTTCAACACTGAATCAAAAATAAGTAGGCATCCAAGGAGAAAAGACAAAATGGTTGCAAAAAACAAGAGCAAGCCTGGACAACATAGTGACACCCTGTTTCTAAAAAACTAATAATAATAATAATTAGCTGAGCATGCACCTCCAGAGTCTGAGGCAGGAGGATGGCTTGAGCCCAGGAGGTCAAGGCTGCAGTGAGCCAAGATCACACTGCTGCACTCTAGCCTCGGTGATAGAATGAGGCCCTGTATCTGAAACAAAAACAAGAACAGTAACAGACAAGTGAGCTCTAGGGGATCAAAAAATGGAGTTTTCACAAAGACTTTTAAATAATTATGCTTAATATGGTTAAGAGGATAAAAGACAAGGTTAAGAATTTTATCACAAGCCTGTAAATTATAAAGAACCAAATGGAAATTCTAGAACTGAAATTGTGAAAATTCACCAGATAGTGTTAGCATATTACACACCTCTGAAAAGAGAAAGCTAGTGATGGTAGAGTTAAGTCAGAAGAGTATATCTAAATTAAAGCACAGAGATAAAAGGACAGAAAATAAAGCATATGAATAAATTAGATATAGAGGATACATGTAGAGGTCTAACATACAGGTAACTGAAGTCCTAGAAGTATAGAGAAAGAGACAGAAGCAATATCTAAAGAGATAATGGCTTAGGGTTTGAAAATTAATGAAGGATATCAATCTTCAGTTTCCAGAAACATTACAGATTTTAATTGGAATGTGTAAATTAAGGCAAAATACACTTAGGCATATCATAATGAAATAGCTCAAAACTAGGGAAAAAAAACTTAAAAGAAGCCAGAGGGAAAACAATGGATTACTTTCTAGGGAGAGATAATTAAGCTTAACTACTGACTTCTCAAACAATGAAGCAGAATAATCGTATCTTCAAAGTGGTCAAATAAAATAATGAGGTTGAAACTGGAAAAGTTCCCTTGTCCCCCTTGCAGGGCATGCGATGGGGGTGTAGCGCGCTTCTTCAGTGCCCCACTGCTCAAACCTCGAGGGGAGCGTATGGACGGACAGGCTGTAGGGCTCCAACCCCACAACAGTGTCTAGGAGTGAATATTTACAGCTCCTGAAGCCCCAGTGGGCGTGTGTTACAGGGTGATCTTTTAGTTTTGCCGTCTATAGGCGACTTGTGTTAACCAGCTCAATTAGTGCCTCTACTTGTCGCATGGACAGAGGGCTTTCTGTATCCCGGGTTCTCGCCTTGGTGTACCAGAAGAATCAGATCACATCTGAGCTTGGAGAATGGGTGCAAGGTTTTATTGAGTGGAAGTAGCTCTTAGCAGAAGCTGAAAGGGAAGTCAGAAGGGGATGGAGTGGGAAGGATTTTCCCTGGAATTGCACTGCTCACCAGCCCTGGGCTCTCCTCCAACTGCCCCAGCCAAACTCCACGTTGTTCAGCTTCACCAGCATGCTGGTTCCTGTCAGTGCCTTCCTCTGGATGTCCAGCTACCTGTGTGTCGCTCCCCTCCCCTCAACGTCCAGCCACCTGTGTGTCTGCCAGCTAGGGTCTCTGGGGTTTTTATAGGCACAGGATGGGGGCACGGCAGGCCAGGGTGGTCTTGAGAAATACAACATTTGGGCAGAAAATGCCTGTCCTCACCTAGGTCCGTGGGGGGTGGAGCCCTAGCCAGGGGCCACGCCCTCCTCTACCCAGCGCTTCCCTTCCCCTTTTCCATAGCATTTAAAGGGACCACATCCTTCTCTACCCAGCACTTCCATGTCAACATTAGGCTGGGCGTGGTGACTAACGCCTATAATCCCAGCACTCTGGGAGGCCAAGGTGGGCAGATCACTTGAGGTCAGGAGTTCGAGACCAGCCTGGCCAACATGGCGAAACCCCATCTGTGCTAAAACCCCGTCTCTACTAAAAATACAAAAATTACCTGGGCATGGTGGCGCATGCCTGTAGCCCCAGCTACTCAGGAGGCTGAGGCAGGAGAATTGCTTGAACCCGGGAGGCGGAGGTTGCAGTGAGCTGAGATGGCACTACTTCACTCCAGCCTGGGCAACACAGAGTGAGACTCTGTCTCAAAAAAGAAAAGGGAAGGGAAAGGAAGGGAGAAAGGAAGGGAGGGAGGGAAGAAGGGAAAGGAAAGGAAGAAGAGAAGAAGGGAATGGAAGGGAAAATAAAGAAAATAATGACATTGGCAGACAAACAAGATCTGAGAAAATTTGTTACCAAAAGATCTAAACTAAAGGAAATACTAATGGGTTTTTATCAGGTCAAAATAAAATGTTCTCAAGTGGAAGCTCAGAGATATAGAATGGATAAAATTCAACAAAAAGTATATATTGGTAAATCTAAATGAAAGTTAACTGCATGACACAAAAATAATAAAGCCTTCTGGGATTAAAAATATGTCAGAATTTAGGCCGGGCGCGGTGGCTCAGGCCTGTAATCCCAGCACTTTGGGAGGCCGAGGCCGGTGGATCACGAGGTCAGGAGATCGAGACCATCCTGGCTAACATGGTGAAACCCCGTCTCTACTAAAAATACAAAAAATTAGCCGGGCGTGGTGGCAGGCGCCTGTAGTCCCAGCTACTCGGGAGGCTGAGGCAGGAGAATGGCGTGAACCCCAGAGGCAGAGCTTGCAGTGAGCCAAGATCGTGCCACTGCACTTTAGTCTGGGCAACAGAGTGAAACTCTGTCTCAAAAAAAAAAAAAAAGTCAGAATTTAAATATATAAAATCTATAGTAAGTCAGAACTGGGGTAATCCAGGCATCATCTGAGAAAGGGGTATAAAAAAGGTTAGATTTGTAGTTGATTGAATAATTGGTCCCAAGTCTTAAGGCCTTGTAAGAGTTCTATTCCTCTGCACTCTTGCCATGGCTTTGTAGTGGATTGAGGGTGCTTCTTCACCCCTTGGTTCCAGGTTTCACCCTGTGCCTTGCTTCAGCTCATTGGATGTTAGAAGTGTGATATGAGCAGAAATTTAACTGTCCCACATTGTTTGGATTGCACTCTTGCACTTCTGTTGTGTCCGTGAGTACAATTTGTCCCCCCTAGCCATTGCCTTTTGAGCTTGGAGCTCAGGATGGCATGTATAAAGTAGATCTCAGCCCAGTCTGCATCTTGGATGCAAGATTAGCTAAGATTGGCCAAACTCCAACTGAACCACTGACCTGTGAGTGAGAAAAAATAAGTAAATGAGATTATAAACTACAGAGATGTTGAGGTTGTTTGTTATGTGAAAATAAGAAATTCAAAATCAAAGTGGTTGGAACTTTAAATTATTTTGAACCTTAAAGAAATGTGGTTATGAGGCCCAAGTCATACAACAGGCAGCTGTAACCTAGGCAGCTGTAACCTTTGTTCCTCTAATTATGGATTAGCTTTTTCTTTACCTACATTGTTTTATAAAATGTTGTAAAAGACTAAAGGATGCCAGAGAAGACCCTTTCTCTCTTAACTGTTGATCTTCATTATAGATTAGCTTCCTTCTTTCTTCTCTTACACAATGACCTCACAACTATCACATTGTCTAAAATAAAATGTTAAATATTCTCTTATACTCCTTTAAATTGGGAAAGAAAACAAGCTATAACTAATAAAGTTGCAGTAACTCATAAACTACCCTTGTATGAAAAATGTAATTCTGTTAAATTTCTTTGTTTGCTGCCTATATAAGTAAGACCATAACCTTTCAGCTTGGGATCACTGACCCCATTCCTTTGGGGTCTGTATTTCCGGATATTCATCCTCAACTTTGTGCTTGCATAAACTCTTAAACTGGATTCTGATGCTTTAAATTATTTCAGGTTGACATACTAGTGACCCAGATGGGACCTGAAGTTAGCTTCTGCCACTGACTCCTGCTGTTTTGCTAACAGATAGGTGGTACCAGTACAGACTGTTGCTGGAGTTTATGGGAGCCCTAAGTGAGACCCCTCTTGCATTTTGAATCTCCCTGGCTTAGATGAGATTCGTATATTGTTCAAATGACCTGATTCCATACTCAATGGGGCTGGAATTAAAGTTCTACTTTAAATCTTTAAGGTAGGAGTTTCATTTCTTATCTCTCGAGAGATTCTGTTGTTTGCAGGTTTACGGTTTCATTCTTTTTTAAGGTTAAGGTTTTGTTTGCCTTACTTGCTAAAGTTTGCAACCTTTTCTCTCATGCAAAATCTGGTTAAAGGAAAAGCAGTTTCCCTTTAATAAGATATGAATTTCTGTGGCTTAAGCAAAATTGTGACCTTAAACTAGCCAGGTTTTGAAGCTCAGTTCAATTTGGCACATTTAAATTCTTTTTTTGAGTGACCAAAAATTTATAAAAGACCTTTATTGGCTGGGCACAGTGGCTCACTCCTGTAATCTTAGCACTTTGGGAGGCCGACGCTGGAGGATCACTTGAGACCAGGAGTTCGAGACCAGCATGGGCAACATAGTGAGACCCTGTCTCTGCAAAAAAATAAAATAAATAAAAATAAAAAAAAAATAATTAATTAAAAAAAAATCTTTATGAGAATGTGATAAGTCCTGAAGGCAACGTACACTGTTCATCCTGACCAAAAGGCACCTTAGGTGACTGAGGTCTTGTAGGAGTGCCAGAGATTATCACTTGTGATGAGAAATGGTCACACAGGGGATCCCCAAAGAAGAACATACAGGGAAATTTGCTTAAATTCAGTAAATATATATAAGGTACTGATGTCCCAGTGCCTTAAGCTCCCAGAATTTCTGGGTTTCACTGAGACACATAAGAGGAAAGAACTGATCCAAGGGTAACACACGGGGGAGCTATTCCCATAAATAATACATTTGATCCAAAACATCTTTCCCTTTCACTTAAGAGGAGAATACAAATTATAGGCGATCAGCTATCTAAAATAGAGTCCTCCTTGTGGAGAGGTCCATCTTTAGAGACTCCAGCTGGATACCTGTACAGTACTTACGGTTTTACTTCTTGTCATTATTTAGAAAAATTGTCTCTTGAAGAACTCACGAAGAACCAAAATTGCAATGGCCAAAGTAGGGTACTTTGAAATGCCTAAACTAAATTATTTGTGTGCTCAATTAGAAAAATCCGGTTCTGGCCGGGCACCGTGGCTCACGCCTGTAATCCCAGCACTTTGGGAGGCCGAGGCGGGCGGATCACCTGAGGTCAGGAGTTCGGGACCAGCATAACCAACATGCAGAAACCCCATCTCTACTAAAAATAAAAAAAAATTAGCCGGGTGCGGTGGCACATGCCTTTATTCCCAGCTACTCAGGAGGCTGAGGCAGGAGAATCGCTTGAACCCAGGAGGCGGAGCTTGCGGTGAGCTGAGATTAGGCGTCATTGCACTCCAGCCTGGGCAACAACAGCGAAACTCCGTCTCAAAAAAAAGAAAATAAAAAAGAAAAAGAAAAATCGGGTTCTAGGATAAAATAGAATAATTGGGAGATTTATTTTTAGAGGTATTTAGAAGCATCCAGAAGAGGTTCTGATAAAGTTACTTCACTGCAGGAGGAAAATAAAAGATTGCCTAAAGGCTGGGCACGGTGGCTCACGCCTGTAATCCCAGCACTTTGGGAGGCCGAGGCAGGCGGATCACAAGGTCAGGAGATCAAGACCATCCTGGCTAACACGGTGAAACCCCCATCTCTACTAAAAAAATACAAAAAAAAAAAAAAAAAAATTAGCTGGACGTGGTGGCAGGCGCCTGTAGTCCCAGCTACTCGGGAGGCTGAGGCAGGAGAATGGCGTGAACATCGGAGGAGGAGCTTGCAGTGAGCCGAGATCGCACCACTGCACTCCAGCCTGGGCGACAGAGCAAGACTCCATCTCAAAAAAAAAAACCAAACAAACAAAAGGTAGTCAACTGGCATAAAATATAACCATATATACAAAATCCAGAGTCAGTTATGTTATACTTTGAAAGATGTAAAAAGACTTTTAGACAATATTCAGGCTTATGTGAGGTGAGTGATGCTAATCATAAAAATGATACTTTCCTGGGCTGGGTGCCGTGGCTCACACCTGTAATGCCAGCACTTTGGGAGGCCGAGGTGGGTGGATCACCTGAGGTCAGGAGTTCGAGACCAGCCTGACCAATATGGTAAAACCTCGTCTCTACTAAAAATACAAAAATTAGCCAGGCGTGGTGGCATGCACCTGTAATCCCAGCTACTTGGGAGGCTGAGGCAGAAGAATCACTTGAACCCAGGAGGTGGAGGTTGCAGTGAGCCAAGTTGCGCCATTGCCTCCACCCTAGGCGACAGAGGGAGACTCTATCTCAAAAAAAGAAAAAGAAAAGATACTTTCCTCAACTCCAACTTTATGAATGTTCTAGATAAAGAATTCACTCTAATAGTAAAGAGACAGTGCCTTAGTTGGGCCACTTCTCAAACCCATGATTTGATTAATCTTGCTGACGGGTCGTTGTGTACTTTAAAGAAGAAAAAGATAAAGAGGCCATACCAAAGAATAAAGTGAGTAAAGTTATGAATTTGCAACTAAAACAAGTATCCACCAAGTGTAGACAGTCAAAATACCCCAATAAACCTTTGAACAGGTCTAATCCTTCAATCTGTAATAACTACAATAAAACTGGCCACTTTCCAAAAAAGATTACTGAAAACTAAAACAGAAGGAATGACAACAGATGAAGGAGGAAAATACGGAATAGAGGTGCTCCAAGAAATTTAAAGGGAGCTTTCCTTTTCTGCTTACTAATATTCTGGGAAAAATAGAATTTATTTATTTATTTATTTATTTGAGAGGAGTCTTCGCTCTGTCTCCCAGGGAGTGCAGTGGTGTAATCTCGGGCTACTGCAACCTCCACTTCCTGGGTTCAAGCAATTCTACTGACTCAGCCTCCTGAGTAGCTGGGATTACAAGCATGTGCCACCATGTCCAGCTAATTTTTGTATTTTTCGTAGAGGTGGGTTTTCACCATGTTGGTCAGGCTGATCTCAAACTCATGGCCTCATGATCGGTTTGCCTTAGCCTCTCAAAGTGCTGTGATTACAGGTGTGAGCCACCATGCCCGGCCTCAATAGAAATTATTTTAAGTAAAGAACAATACCAAGTCCTTGTTGATACTGAGCAACATTATCTGTAATAAATCTAACCTTATCACAAAGTCGGGGTAAACATTTCTGAGGGTAAACACTCGGTCTAAATGGTAGGTGTCACAAATACTTCCATATCAGCACACAAGTCTCACCCTGCAACTTCTCAACTAGGTATCTTACAAGGGAATCATGTTTTCCTTTTGGTTCCATCAGCCCCCATCCATCTGATAGGAAGAGACTTCTTAAAACTATATAATGCCTATATTTCTTTCTCCCAGAAGTGGGAAATATATTTAGAATTAGATGGTATGGATGACACAACAGAATTAACAGACACAAGCAAAAAATTTTTAAAAATTTAATCCAGTTACTATCCATCTCACCATTGAGGACACTGAATTATTAAGCAATGAAGAATTAGAAAACCTACTAAAGGTAGTACTTGATTGATTGTGGTCAAAGTCCTTCACTGATACAGAAACTATTGTTTCAGCTACTTCAATAACATCTCATAATATTCATCAAAACCCCTTCCAAATATCAGATACTATCCCACGATAACCTTAGGAGGGGTAAAACCTATGATTTCAGATTATATAAAAAGAGGACTGATCAGGCTGGGCACGGTGGCTCACACCTGTAATCCCAGCACTTTGGGAGGCTGAGGCAGGCAGTTAGTCTGAGGTCAGGAGTTTGAGACCAGCCTGGCCAATGTGGCAAAACCCCATCTCTACTAAAAATACAAAAAAAAAAAAAATTAGCCAGGTGTGGTGGCATACACCTGTAGTCCCAGCTACTTGGGAGGCTAAGGCAGGAGAATCACTTGAACCCGGGATGCAGAGATTGCAGTGAGCCAAGATTGCGCCACTGCACTCCAGCCTAGTGACAGAGTGAGACTCCACCTAAAAAAAAAAGAAAAAAGAAAGAAAAAGAAAGAAAGAAAAAAAAGGACTGATCATTCTCTATACAAGCCCTCATAATACACCAATTCCCCGTTAAGAAAACCAAATGGTAGAGGATGGAGACTTGTACAGAATTTGATAGCAATAAACGACATAATTCCACAGCATCCGGTAGTGCCTAATCCTCACACATTGCTCATATCTATTCCATTGAATGCAGAATTTATTATTTTGTGTGTGCGTGTATCGGAGTCTCGCTTTGTTGCCAGGCTGGAGTGCAGTGGTGTGATCTCGGCTCACTGCAACCTCTGCTTCTTGGGTTCAAGTGATTCTCCTGCCTCAGCCTCCTGAGTAGCTGGGACTACAGACATGCGCCATCATGCCCAGCTAATTTTTGTATTTTTAGTAGGGATGGTTTCAGCATGTTGGCCAGGATGGTCTTGATCTCTTGACCTCGTGATCTGCCTGCCTTGGCCTCCTAAATTGCTGGGATTACAGGTGTGAGCCACCATGAATGCAGAACTTTTTACAGTCATAGATTTATGCAGTGCATTCTTTAGCATTCCTATAGATAAAACTGGCCAATTTCTCTTTGCCTTTACTTGGGAAGACAGACAATATACTTGGACATTCATGCTCCAGGATACACTGAAAGCCTCACTTACTTTTCACAAACATTAATAAAAGACCTCTCAGATGATAACTTCATTGAGAAGCCTGTCTATTTTTTTTTTTGAGACAGTCTTGCTCTGTTGCCCAGGCTGGATTGCAGTGTCACAATCATAGCTCACTGTAGCCTTGAACTCCCAGGCTCAAGTGATCCTCCCACCTCAGCCTCCAGAGTACCTGGGACTACACAATACAAGCCACCATGCCTGGCTAATTTCTGGTTGTCCTTTTTTTTTTTTTTTTTTTTTTTTTGTAGAGACAGGGTTTGCCTTGTTGCCCAGACTGGTCTCAAGAAAACTCCTGGGTTCAAGTAATCTGCCTGCCTTGGCCTCCCAAAATTCTGGGATTATAGGCATAGGATTATAAGCATACCACAGCTTTTTTTTTTTTTTTTTTTTTTTGGAGACAGGGTCTCACTCTGTCGCCTAGACTGGAGTGCAGTGGCGCTATTACGTATCACTGTAGCTTCGGCCTCCTGGGCTCAAGTGATCCTCCCACTCAGGCTCCCAAGTAGCTGGGGCCAGAGGCATGCACCCCCATGCACGGCTACTTTTTTTAACTTTTTGTAGAGATGCGCTCTTACTATGTTGCCCAGGCTGGTCTCAAACTCCTGACTGATCCTGAGTCATCCTCCCGCCTTGGCCTCCCAAAGTCAAAGTGTTGGACTTACAGGCATGAGCCACCATGCCTGGCTGAGAAGCCTGTCTGAATACAATACATAGATGATTTACGTCTTTGCTTAGATAACAAATAGGCTTCCACAGTAGATGGAATACACCTGTTACAATTGGCCCTAATGGATCATAAAGTGTCTAAAGAAAAACTTCAATTTTGTAAAAACAAAACAAAAAAACCAAAACAACTACTTAGGCCACCTAATATCCAAGGAATGACTTTCTATTAATCCCGATAGATTGAATGCAATTGTAGCTGTTCTGACACTGAGAACCAAGAAACAGTTAATGTTTTAGGGACTAGCAGAATTTTGTAGAAATTATACTCTAAACTTTTCTTTAAAAGCTCTGCCCTTACATGCTCTCTTAAGATAAGACATGCCAGACTCTCTAGATTGGACAGAAGAAATTCAACTAATATTAGAAATGATCAAAAATAGGTTGGGCGTGGTTGTTCACTCCTGTAATCCCAGCACTTTGGGAGGCCGAGGTGGGCAGATTGCTTGAGGTCAGGAGTTTGAGACCAGTCTGGCCAATGTGATGAAACCCTGTCTCTACTAAAAAGTACAAAAATTAGTGGGGTGTGGTGGCACACTCCTGTAGTCCCAACTACTTAGGAGGCTGAGGCACAAGAATCACTTGAACCTCAAAGATGGAGGTTGTAGTGAGCCAAGATCATACCACTGTACTCCAGCCTGGGCAACACAGTGAGACTCTGTCTCAAAAAAAAAAAAAAAAAAAGAAAAGAAAAGAAAGGAGAAATGATCAAAAATGACCTTGCTAACACTCCAGCTTTGGGGCATCCAAATTATAACATTTCATTATTTGTGTATGAAAGTGGTGGAAACAACACTTTAGGGGTCCTAACCCAAAAAAAGAGTTCAAAATAGACCTATAGGGTATTAGAGCCAACAATTAGACACTGTAGCAAAAGGACTCCCACCTTGTATGAGAGCCATAACAGCCACCATTTGTTCATTAGGGCAACTGAAGAAATTGTCATGGGAACACCCCTTACTATCTTCATCCCTTATTCTGTGGAGGTATTGCTATACTCACGCCATACTTAACATTATTCAGTTAGTAGACTGGCTTCATATGAGATGTTGCTTATTTTAGCTTCTCATATCATCATCTCTAGTGTAACGATGTAAGCCCTGCATTCTTTTGCCTTCATTTTTACATGAAATGCCACACAACTGCATAGCTCTAAGTGATCAACATTTTTCTTCTAGGTCAGACCTCCAAGAGACTCCCTTTATGAATACTGATGCTATTTGGTTCACAGATGGATGTTACTTGAAGGATGAATCTTGAATCTACCAAGCAGGTTGCACTATAATGTCTTTAAGTGAGGAAATAGAAAGTGCCTATTTTCTGAAAGCCATCTCAGCTCAATAAAAGGAATTAATAGCATTGAATAGGCCTGTCAATTGGCAAAAAGAATATGTGCTAATATTTATACAGACAGTAGACATACTTTTGGAGTAGCCCATGATTTGGAAATGTTATAGAAGCAAAGAGTGTTCGTAACCTCTTAAGGCCAATCCATAAAAAACAAACTTCTTATTTCATGACTACTAGAAAAAATCCCTGGCCATTATTAAAATTTTGGGTCATTCCAAATCAGATACTCCAGAAAGCAGAGGATATCAGCTAGCTGATAAGTAGCAAATAGAGCTGCTCTAAACACATCTAAACAAGAGAACCAACCTGTGTTAACTTTTAAGGAAGGACCTGAATTTGACATAAAATTAGCTCAATTCAGAGCCCTAAAATCAGAACAAAAAGATTGGGAAACAAAAGGGGGGGAATAGATTCCCCAAAAGATGAGGTATGGTATGGGCCAAACAAGTTGCCCGTACTTTCTGCTGAATTTTAGTTGTTATTATTATTTTTTTTGAGACAGAGTTTCACTCTTCTTGCCCAGGCTGGAGTGCAGTGATGTGATCTCGGCTCACTACGACCTCTTCCTCCTGGGCTTCAGCAATTCTCATTCCTCAGCCTCCCAGTGAATGGAGTTTTGCTCTTGTTGCCCAGGCTGGAGTGCAGTGGCGCAGTCTTGGCTCACTGCAACCTCCACCTCTCAGGTCAAGCAATTCTCCTGCCTCAGCCACCACACCTGGCTAATTTTTCTGTATTTTTAGCAGAGACAGGGTTTTCATCATGTTGGCCAGGCTGATCTCGAACTCCTGACCTCAGGTGATCCACCCGCCTTGGTCTCCCAAAGTGCTGGGATTACAAGCATGAGCCACTGCGCCCTGTCATTTCCACATTTTTTAGGTATTTCTTACAAGCAGCACCCCACTCCTCACGTTAATCTCATCTAGAAATGCCCTTACATACACAGCCAGAATAACGTTTAATCAAATATCTGGGCACTGTGTGACCCAGTCAAGCAAGTTGACACATAACCATCATAAATATCAAAGTATTTGTGGAAATATTTTAAAAACTGCTACAACATGTATATTGGCCTGGTGTGGTGGCTCACACCTGTAATTCCAGCACTTTGGGAGGCCAAGGCAGGCGGATCACCTGAGGTCAGAAGTTCAAGACGAGCATAGCCAACAGGGTGAAACCCTGTCTTGACTAAAAATACAAGAAGAAGATTAGCCAGCCATGGTAGTGCACGCCTGTAGTCCCAGCTACTCAGAAGGTTGAGGCACAAGAATCGCTTGAACCTGGAAGGCGGATGTTGCAGTGAGCTGAGATCGCACCACTGCACTCCATCCTGGGCAACAGAGTGAGACTCTCTCTCAAAAAAACCCAACACTGCTACAACATGTGTATAGGTTTCCTTGTGATATATTTATATTTACAAAATACATACTTACAAATATATACATCTGTATTTACTAAAACGTGATTTTTTAAAGACAGAATCTCACTCACATTGCCCAGGCCGGAGTGTAGTTGCATGATCATGGCTAACTGCAGCCTCAACTTCCCAGGTTCAGGTGATCATCTCACCTCGGCCTCCCAAGTAGCAGAGACAATAAGCATGCACCACTACACCTGACTAATTTTTTAATTTTTTGTAGAGACAGGGTTTTGCCATGTTGCCCAGGCTGGTTTCGAGCTCCTGGGCTCAAGCCATCTACCTGCCACAGCCTCCCAATGCGCTGTGATTACAGCCATGAGCCACCACACTCAGCCTCAAAAGTATTTTAATAAGAGAGACTAGAAAATATCTTCATGGAACAGTTAACCATAAGAAATGACCCAACGAGCCAGACATGGTTGTTCATGCCTGTTTATTGATTTGGTATCCTGCTACTTTGCTGGATTCACTTCTTAGTTGTAACCACTGTGTATGCATGTGTGTGTGTGTGTGTATGTGCGTGTGTGTAATCCTTGATTTAAGATTGTGTCATCTGTGAACACAGATCATCTTTTTTCCTTTCCAATTTGCATGCCTTATATTTCTTTTTCTTGTCTAACTGCTGTGGCTAGAGATTCCTTCCTATGTAGAATAGAAGTGGCAAGAGTAGGCATCCTTGTCTTCTTCCTGATTTTAGTGGAAAAGCTTGCCATTATTGTGTTGAGGCAATTTTCTTCTATTACTAGTTTGTTGAGTGTTTTATCATAAAAGACTGTTGAATTTTATCAAATGCTTTTTCTGCATCATTGAGATAATCATGTAGTTTTTCCCATTCATTCTGTTAATGTCATGTTTTGGGTGAAGTAATCTGTTTACGCCTGTTAGGTTTAATTGGGGTTTATTGTGTTAAGTCCTCTGTTTCTTTAGTTACCGTCTCATCTGATTGCTCTATACCTATCATTGAAATTTGGCAGTTGAAGGCCGGGCGTGGTGGCTCACGCCTGTAATCCTAGCACTTTGGGAGGTGAAAGCGGGTGGATCACGAGGCCAGAAGATCGAGACCATCCTAGCTAACATGGTGAAACCCCATCTCTACTAAAAATACAAAAAATTAGCCAGGCATGGTGGTGTGTGCCTGTAGTCCCAGCTACTGGGGAGGCTGAGGCAGGAGAATGGCATGAACCCGAGAGGCGGAGCTTGAAGTGAGCTGAGATCGTGCCACTGCACTCCAGCCTGGGCAGCAGAGTGAGACTCTGTCTCAAAAAAAAAAAAAAAAAAAAAGAAAGTTGGCGATTGAAGTCTCTAACAATTATTGCAGAACTATCTTTTTCCCTTCATTTCTGTCCATTTTTGCTTCATATATATTGAGGGTTTGCTATTAGGTGTGTAAATCTATATGATTCTTATATCTTATTGATATATTGAACCGTTTGTTAATATATAATATTCTTATCTTTTGTAATCTTTTTAATTTAAAGTTTATTATATCTGATATTAGCATAGCCAGTCCAGCTGTCCTGTATTTAATATTTGTATAGGATATCTTTTTCAATCCTTTTACTTTTAACCTATTTGCATCTTTAATGGAAAGTGAACATCTCTTATAGGCAGCCTGTATTTAAATCATGTGTTTCTAGCCAGGCATGTTGGCTCACGCCTGTAATCCCAGCACTTTGGGAGGCCTAGGCGGGTGGATCACTTGAGGCCAAGAGTTTGAGACCAGCGTGGCCAACATGGCAAAAGCACATTGGTACTAAAAATATAAACATTAGCTGGGCGTGGTGACACGCACCTTCAGTCTGAGCTACTCAGGAGGCTGAGGCATGAGAATCGCTTGAATCTGGAAGGCAGAGTTTGCAGTGAGTGGAAATCATGCCACTGCCAGCCAGCCTGGGCAACAGAGCTAGACTCTGTCTCAAAAAATAAATAAATAAATAAATAAAATAAAAATCATGTGTTTCGATTCTTCTGCTAATCTCTCATTTAACTGGGAATTTTAATTCTTGGTATTTTGCTATTTGTTTTCTATATGCCCTACAGTTGTTGTTTTTTTTTTTTTTTGTACCTCATTTCCTTCATTACTATCTTCTTTGTTTAGTTTATTTTAAATAGTGAACCATTTTGATTCCCTTCTCATTTCCTTTTTTTGCTTTTTTGAGACAGAGTCTCACTCTGTAGTCCAGTCTGGAGTGCAATGGCACAATCTTGGCTTATTGCAACCTCCACCTCCCAGGTTCAAGTGATTCTCATGCCTCAGCCCCCTGAGTAGCTGGGATTACAGGCGTGTGCCACCACACCCGGCTAATTTATATATTTTTTAGTAGAGACAGGGTTTCGCCATGTTGGCCAGGCTGGTCTCAAACTCCTGGCCTCAAGTGATCTGCCTGCCTTGGCCTCCCAAAGTGCTGGGATTGCAGGCGTGAGCCACTGTGCTGGCTTCTTTTTCCCCACCTTTTTTTGGAGACGGAGTCTTGTACTGTCGCCCAGGCTGGAGTGCAGTGATGTGCTCTTGGCTCACTGCAACTTCCACCTCCAGGGTTCAAGCGATTCTCCTGCCTCAGCCTCCTGAGTAGCTGGGACTACAGGTGCCCACCGCCATGCCTGGCTAATTTTTTGTATTTTAGTAGAGACCAGGTTTTGCTGTGTTGTCCAGGCTGGTCTTGAACGCCTGAGCTCAGGCAATCCACCTGCCTCGGCCTACCAAAGTGCTGGGATTACAGGCGTGAGCCACGACGCCCAGGCTTTTTTTTGTTTTTTTTTTGAGACAGTTTCTGTCACCCAGGCTGGAGTGCAATGGCATGATCATGGCTCACTGCAGCCTCAGTCTTCCTCAGTCTCCTTGAGGTGATCCTCCTACCTCAGCCTCCTGAGTAGCTAGGACTATAGACATGCACCACTACACCTGATTAATTTTTGTACTTCTTGTAGAAACAGGGTTTCACGTTGTTGCCCAGGCTGTTCTCAGACTCCTGGGCTCAAGGAATCTGCCTGTTTCAGTCTCCCAAAGTGTTGAGATTACAGGCATGAACGACTGTGTCTGGCCTTCATTTCCTTTTGTCTACAATTTATAGATTTTTTGAGATAACCATGGGAATTTATTTTAACATCCTAAATTTGAATACAATTTTAACTTCAATACTGTATAAAACTCTGCTTCTGACAGGGCGTGGTGGCTCACGCCTGTAATCCCAGCACTTTGGGAGGCCGAGGCGGGTGGATCCTGAGGTCAAGAGATTGAGACCATCCTGGCCAACATGGTGAAACCCTGTCTCTACTAAAACATACAAAAATTTGCTGGGCATGGTGACACACGCCTGTAGTCCCAGCTACTCGGGAGACTGAGGCAGGAGAACAGCTTGAACCCGGGAGACGGAGGTTGCAGTGAGCGGAGATTGTGCCACTGCACTCCAGCCTGGGAGACAGGGCAAGACTCCGTCTCAAAAAGCAAAAAACAAAAAACAAAACAAAACAAAAAAACTCTGCTTCTATACAGCTCATTCCTCCTACTTTCTTTTATTGATGTTACAAATTACATCTTTATATATTGTGTGCTCAGTAACATTGACTAATAATTGTATTTATGCATTTGTCTCAGAAATCATGTAGAAAATAAAAAGTGGAGTTATTAACCATAATTATAATAATTACCCATGTATTTACCTTTACCACAGATATTTATTTCTTTTTACTTTTTATTTATTTATTTATTTATTTATTTTTGAGACAGGTTCTCGCTCTGTCACCCAGGCCAGAGTACAGTGGCACCATCATAGCTCACTGCAGCCTCAACCTCCCAGGTTCAAGTGATCCGATCCTCCCACCTCAGCCTCTTGAGTAGCTGGGACTACAGGTGCATGGGAACCACACCCAGCTCATTTTTTTTGTATATTTTGTAGAGACAAGGTTTTGCCATGGTGCTCAGGCTGGTCTCAATCTCCTGAGCTCAAGCAGTCCACTCACCTAGGCCACTCAAAGTGCTGGGATTACAGGCATGAGCCACCATGTCTTCCCTGTTTATTTCTTTATACAGCTTTGAGTTGCTGTGTAGTATTCCTTCATTTCTGTATGGACTTCCTCTGTCATTTCTTGCAGGACAGCTCTGGTGTTAATAAATTCACTCAGATTTTAGTTATCTGGGAATATCTCAATTTCTGGATCACTTGAGGTCAGGAGTTCAAAACCAGCCTGGTCAACATGATAAAACCCCGTTTCTACTAAAAATACTAAAGTTAGCTGGGTGTGGTGGCATGCAACTGTAGTCCCAGCTACTTGGGAGGCTGAGGCAGGAGAACTGTTTGAACTGGAAGGCAGAGGTTGCAGTGAACCGAGATCACGCCACTAAACTCCAGCCTGGGTGACAGAGTGAGACTCTGTCTCAAAAAAAAAAAAAAAAAAAAAAGGCCGGGCACAGTGGCTTCATGCCTGTAATCCCAGCACTTTGGGAGGCTGAGAGAGCTGATCACGAGGTCAGGAGATCCAGACCATCCTGGCTAACGTGCCGGGTGTGGTGGCGGGCACATGTAGTCCCAGCTACTCGGGAGGCTGAGGCAGGAGAATGGCGTGAACCGGGAAGGCGGAGCTTGCAGTGAGCTGAGATGGTGTCACTGCACTCCAGCCTGGATGACACAGCGAGACTCCTCTGTCTCAAAAAAAAAAAAAAAGTTAACCTTCTTACTTAGCAATTCTGTTTCAAAGCAAGCTGAAAGATGGAAATAAATATCAGAACATAAATCAATGAAAATAGAGGCCGAGTGCAGTGGCTCATGACTGTAATCCCTGCACTTTGGGGGGCTGAGGTGGATGGATCACTTGAGGTCAGGAGTTCGAGAACAGCCTGGCCAACATGGTCAAAGCCTGTTTCTACTAAAAATACAAAAATTAGCCGGCCATGGTGGTGTGTGCCTGTAGTCCCAGCTACTTGGGAGGCTGAGGCAGGAGAATGACTTGAACCCGGGAGGCAGAGGTTGCAGTGAGCAGAGATCATGCCACTGTACTCCAGCCTGGAGGACAGAGTGAGACTCCATCTCAAAAAAAAAAAAAAAAAAAAAAGAAAGAAAATTGAAAGCAGAAAAGATTTAGAAAATTAAACTAAAAGCTAGTTCTAAAAGATCAATAAAATCGACAAGCTTCTAGCATGACTGACAAAGGGAAAAAGAGTGAAGAAAAAATTAATAGGAGTTATCAGTACAGAGCGTGCAGACATCAAAAAGATAAGGAAATACTACAAACACCTGTACAAACATAATTTGACAAGTGAGATGAAATGGACAAATTCCTCAAGGCAAAGCAAGACAAAACAAACTCCCACTACCCATCTATAATGAAATAGATAATCCAATTAATCATATAACTATTAAAGACATTGAATTTGTAGTTAAATAATTTTTGAAATAGAAATCCACATCCCCAGATGGTTTCACTGGATAATTCTATCAAATGCTTAGATAATTAACACCAATTCTATATAATCTCTTCCAGAAAACGGAAAGCAAATCACTTCCAAATTTATTTTAAAGTTAAGAAAAAATAGTACATGCTGGGCCTGGTGGCTCACACCTGTAATCCCAGCAGTTTGGGAGGCTGACGTGGGCAGATCACTTGAGCTGAGGAATTTGAGACCAGTGTGGGCAACATGGTGAAACAATGTCTGTACAAAAAACAAAAATTATCCAGGCATGGTGGCATGCACCTGTAGTCCCAGCTACTTGGGAGGTTAATGTGGGAAGATTGCTTAGACCTGGGAGACAGAGGTTTCAGTGAGCTGAGATCACACCACTGCTCTCCAGACTGGGTGACAGAGTGAGACTCTGTCTTAAAAAAAAAAAAAAAAAAGAAGAAGAAAAAGGAAAAGGAAAACAATACAAAGAAAGAAAACTATAGACCAACATGAGTCATGAATATATGTGCAAAAATTCTTAACAAGATATCATAAATGGAATTCAGCGATATATAAAAATAATTATACACCATTACCAAGTGGAGTTTATCCCAGAAATGTAAGGCTGGTTCAATGTTCAAATACCAATCAATGTGATCCACCATATTAACAAGCTAAGTAAGAAAAATCACATGAGATTATCAATTGAATTCTGCAGAAAAGGCATTTGACAAAGTCCAACACCCATTCATGATAAAAACCACCAGAAAACTTAGAGAGGAATTTCTTCAACTGAATAAAAAATATTTAAAGAAAAATCATGTGGCTATCATATTCAATAAAGACTGAATGCTTTTTCTCTAAGATCAACAACAAGGCACTCATTACTACTATTCAACAAAACACTGCAAGTTCTAGACAGAGTCTCACTCTGTCACCCAGTCTGGAGAGCAGTGGTGTGATCTCAGCTCACCGAAGCCTCTGTCTCCCAGGTCTAAGCAATCTTCCCACATTAACCTCCCAAGTAGCTGGGACTACAGGTGCATGCCACCATGCCTGGATAATTTTTGTTTTTTGTACAGACATTGTTTCACCATGTTGCCCACGCTGGTCTCAAATTCCTCAGCTCAAGTGATCTGCCCACGTCAGCCTCCCAAACTGCTGGGATTACAGGTGTGAGCCACCAGGCCCAGCATGTACTATTTTTTCTTAACTTTAAAATAAATTTGGAAGTGATTTGCTTTCTGTTTTCTGGAAGAGATTATATAGAATTGGTGTTAATTATCTAAGCATTTGATAGAATTATCCAGTGAAACCATCTGGGGATACAGATTTCTATTTCAATAAGGAAAAAGAAATCAAAGGTACAATAGCCAAGATTTGGAATCAACCTGTGTATCAGCAGACAAATGGATAAAGAAAATGTGTTATATATACATGATGAAGTACTTTTCAGCCATGAAAAAGAATGAGATCCAGTCACTTGCAACAACATAGATGAAATTGGAGAACATTACGTTAAATGAAATAGGGCAGGCATAGAAAGACAAACTTCAAATGCTCTCACTCATTTGCAGGAGCTAAAACTTTAAATAATTGAACTCATGGAGAATAGAATGGTGGTTACCAGAGGCTGGGAAGAGTAGTAGCATTGGGGTTGGGGGGAGTGGGAATGGTTAATGGGTACAAATTTAGTTAGAATGAATAAGATCTAGTATTTGATAATGCAACAGGGTAACTACAATCAATAATAGTTTATTGTACATTTAAAAATAACTAAAAGAGGCCAGGCGCGGTGGCTCACGCCTGTAATCCCAGCACTTTGGGAGGCCAAGGTGGGCGGATCACAAGGTCAGGAGATTGAGACCATCTTGGCTGACAGGGTGAAACCCCATCTCTACTAAAGATGCAAAAAAAATTAGCTGGGCATGGTGGTGGGTGCCTGTAGTCCCAGCTACTTGGGAGGCTGAGGCAGGAGAATGGCATGAACCTGGGAGGTGGAGCTTGCAGTGAGCCAAGATTGTGCCACTGCACTCCAGCCTGGGTGACAGAGCGAGACTTCATCTCAAAAGAATTAAAAAAAAAAAGAGTATAACTGAAATATTTGTAACACATAGAAATGATAAATGCTTGAGGTGATGATGGATATCCCATTTACTCTGATGTGATTATTACACATTGAATGCCTGTATCAACATAAATATATGGACCCCATAAATATATACACCTTCTATGTCCTCATAAAAATTAAAAATAATTAAGTTTAAAAAAGAGTCTAGGCACGGTGGCTCATGCCTGTAATCCCAGCACCTTGGGAGGCTGAGGCTGGCGGATCACAAGGTCAGGAGTTCAAGACCAGCCTGGCCAACATGGCAAAATCCTGTCTATACTAAACATACCAAAATTAGCTGGGCATGGTGGCAGGTGCCTGTAATCCCAGCTACTTGGGAGGCTGAGGCAGGAGAATCGCTTGAACCTGGGAGGCGGAAGTTGCAGTGAGCTGAGATTATGCCATTGCACTCCAGCCTGGGCAACAAGAGCAAGACTCTGTCTCAAAAAAAATAATAATAATAATAATTAAAAGGCATACTAATCAGAAAAGAAGAAAAATTTGTCCCTATTTTGAGATGACGTGATTTAACTATATGGAAAGCCCAAAGGAATAAAACAACAAAAACAAACAAAAAACTCCTAAAAAACTAATAAGTGAATTTAGCAAGGTTGCAGGATATATCAACATATCAAAATTAATTGTATTTCTATATACTAGCAAGGAACACGTGGGCACTGAAATTAAAATATAATACTATTTATAATTGCTCCACAAAAATACTTTGGTGTGAATCTGCCAATACAGGTGCGGAACTTACATGATGAAAACTAGACAATGCTGATGAAAGAAATCAAACAAGATCTAAATAAATGGAAAGGCATAGCATGTTCATGGACTAGAAGACTCAATTGTAAGGACACCCGTTTTCCCCAAATGGTACACAGTTTTAACACAATTACTATCAAAATCCAAGCAACTTTGTTGTTGTTGTTGTAGATGCAGACAAACTTATACTAAAATTTGTTTGGAAACATACAAGCCCTAGAATAGCTAAAAAGTTTTGAAACAGTTCTGAGGTGGGAATTAAAGAAAGAAAGAAAAATAAAATTAAAAAGAGAAAAATATGTTCAAAAAAACAAGCTTTCTGTATTAGGCTGGCTCATCCCAAAGTCAGTAACAGGCAAAGCCCAGACCCAGGCAAAGTCTCGATAACATTATCTAAGAAGCCAGGGCTCAAAGGAATGTGCTCTGGAGACTCTCCCAGCACTCCCTCCACATAAGGAGAAGAAAAACAAATTTTCCTTATTTTCCTTTCCCCTATGGTATGAGTACATTTATGACTTTATAGATTCCCGTTTTCTTTTCTTTTGTTTTCTTTTTCTTTTTTTTTGAGATGAAGTCTCGCTCTGTCACCCAGGCTGGAGTGCAGTGGTGCAATCTCAGCTCACTGCAAGCTCCGCCTCCTGAGTTCACGCCATTCTCCTGCCTCAGCCTCCTGACTAGCTGGGACTATAGGCGCCCGCCACCATGCCTGGCTAATTTTTTGTATTTTTAGTAGAGACGGGGTTTCACCTTGTTAGCCAGGATGGTCTCGATCTCGTGACCTTGTGATCCACCTGCCTCAGCCTCCCAAGGTGCTGGGATTACAGGCGTGAGCCACTGCGCCTGGCCAGATTCCTGTTTTCTGTAACTAGTAACCTCAAGTATTCTGTTTTTTATCCGAGCAGCACAGCAAAGGTCATGAGACATGCCTGAGCAGGCATAATCTAACTGTCATAGTTTGATTAACTGCCTTTGTTCTGCTTCTATACACTTGCTTTCACACCACTACACTTCGCATCACTGTAACCTTGTTTCAAACTAGCCAACCCCTTTTCAGAAGTGTGTATAAAAGTCAAGTTCTGTCTTTGTTCTAGGCCCGGTCTTTGGATGTTAATCCACTAGGCCAGAGTGCACTCAATAACATCCCCCTGTTCTACCTATTGGTCTCTCCAGTCTCCTGATTCCCACAACAGTTCCACTGGATCTTTCACTGTCTTTGTAGTTTTACCTTTTATAGAATGTCACTTAGGTGGGGCGTGGTGGCTCATGCCTGTAATTACAGCATTTTGGGAGGCTGAGGCGGGTGGATCATTTGAGGTCAGGAGTTCGAGACCATCCTGGCCAACACGGTGAAACCCCGTCTCTACTAAAAATACAAAAATTAGCCAGGTGTGGTGGTATGCATCTGTAATCCCAGCTATTCAGGAGGCTGAGGCAGGAGAATTGCTTGAGCCTGGGAGGTGGAGGTTGCGATAAGCAGAGATCATGCCACTGCACTCCAGTCTGGGTGACAGAGTGAGACCCTGTCTCAAAAAAAAAAAACAAAAAACAACAAATTGTCACTTAGTTGGAATCATACAGTATGTAGCCTTTTCAAATTGGCTTCTTTCACTTAGCAATATCCATCTAAGGTCTTCCATGTCTTTTCATGGCTTGGTAGCTCATTTCTTTTCTTTTCTTTTTTATTTTTCTTTGAGATGGAGTCTCGGTCTGTCGCCCAGGCTGGAGTGTAGTGGCACGATCTCAGCTCACTGCAACCTCAACCTCCTGGGTTCAGGCAATTCTCTTACCTCAGCCTCGCAAGTAGCTGGGATTACAGGCACGCACCACCACACCCAGCTGATTTTTGTATTTTTAGTAGAGAAGGGGTTTCACCATGTTGGCCAGGCTGGTCTTGAATTCCTGACCTCAGGTGATCTGCCTGTCTTGACCTCCCACAGTGCTGGGATTACAGGCATGAGCCACCGTGCCCGGCCTGAGCCACTGCCCCCAGCCGGCTCATTTCTTATCATTGAATAATATTCCAATGTATGAATGTGTCAGTTTGTTCATTCACCAATTGAGGGGATATCTTGATTTCTTCCAGTTTTTGCAGTTTTGAATAAAGCTGCTATAAACATTCATGTGTAGGTTTTTATGTGTATATAAGTTTTCAACTAATTTTGGTATATACCTAGGAGTGAAATTGCTGGGCCATATGGTTAGGCTATGTTTAGCTTGGAAGGCACTACTAGATCATCTTCCAAAGTGGCTGTATTCTCAAGAGCAATGAATGAGAATTCCTGTTTTTCTATGTCCACATCCTTGTCAGCATTTGATACTGTCAGGTTTTTGGATTTTAGCCTATCTAATAGGTGTATAGTGGTTTCTCATTGTTGTTTTTGTTATTTATTTATTTATGTATTTATTTTAGAGATGGGTTCTTACTCTCTTGCCCAGGCTGGAGTACAGTGGTATGATCATGGCTCACTGCAGCCTCAAACTGCTGGGTTCAAGAGGTCCTCCTGTTTCTGCCTCCTAAGTAGCTGGACTACAGGCATATGCCACCATGCCCAGCTAATTCTCATTGTGTTCTGAATTTGTAATTCCCTAATGACATATGATGTAGAGCGTCTTTTCATATGGTTATAGCCATATGTATATCTTCTTTGGTGAGCTCCGTTCAGATATTTTGTCCATTTTTAAACTGGAATGCTTATTTTCTTATTTTTGCATTTTGGGAGTTATTCGTATATATTGGATACAAATCCTTTATCAGAAAAGTTATTTGCAAATATTTTCTCCAAGTCTGTGGGTTTTCATTCTCTTAGCAATGATGTTCTCAGAGCAGCAGTTAAAAATTTCTGTCTAGATTCTTTTTTTTATGTTTGCATGTGTAAAATGCAAAACTTCCTGAGTAGAAGGGACTACAGGTGCATTTATTAGAGCAGTATTTATTGAAAAGACTAATATTTTTCTATTGAATTGCCTTTGTTCCTTCATCAAAGATCAGTTGATTTCATTTGTTTGGGTTTATTTATGGGTTCTCTACTCCGTTCCTTTACCAATGTCACACTGTCTTGATTACTGTAGCTTCATAGTAAGTCTCAAAGTTGAGTAGTGTGAGTACTCTGGCCCTGCTTGTCTTCAATATTGAGTGGGCTATTCTGCATCTTTTGACTTTCCATACAAACTTTAGAATTTGCTTGTCAATATCTGCAAAATAACTTGCTGGAATCGTTATTGGAATTAAATTGAATCTATAATTGGTAAGCGCTAACACATTAATGTTGAGTCTTCCTACCCATGAACATGGAACTTATCTCCATTTATTAATTTAGATTTTTTATTTATTTCATCAGAGTTTTGTAGTTTCCCTCATATAAAGCTTGTATGTATTTTGTTAGATTTATACCTAAGTATTTTGATTATTTGGTGTTTATGTAAGAGGTATTAAATTTTCAATTTCAAATTCCAATTGTTCAGTGTTGGTTAAAGAAAAGCAATCAACTTTTGTATGTTAACCTTATATCCTGCAATGTAACTATAATAACTTACTAGTTCTCAGAGTTTTTTGTTGATTCTTTGGGATTTTGTACATAGATAGTCATGTTATCTGCAATTTTTTATACTTTATTTCCTTCTTCCTAATTTTTATACTTTTATTTCCTTCTTTTGTCTTATTGTATTAGCTAAGACTTCTAGTACAATATTGAATAGGAGTGGTGACAAGAGACATCCTTGCCTTTTCCCTGATATTAGGGGAAAAGCATATAATTTTTCACCATTAAGTAGTGTATGATGTTAGCCATACATACATACATAGTGGAATTATTGTAGATGTTCTTCATCAATTGAGAAAGTTCCCTTCTATTCCTAGTTTGCTGAGAGTTTTTATCATGAATAGGTGTTAGATTTGTCAAATGCTTCTTCTAAATGTATTGATATAATCATGATTTTCTTTTTTAACTTAATTGATGTGATTGATTACAATAACTTATATTCAACCATTAAACAAGTATGCATATCTGGAATACATCCCATTTGGTCATGTTGTATTTTTTTCATACAATGTTGGATTTGATTTGCTAATATTTTTATCATGGATAAAAGGGGCATTACTATCGGGTAAAATTCAGCCCCCGATATTTCACCTGGGTCCTTTTCTATTTTCCCTAAGTGTTGGCTGGTCTGAGAAATAAAGGGAAAGAGTACAAAAGAGAAATTTTAAAGCTGGGTGTCTGGGGGAGACATCACATGTCGGCAGGTTCTGTGATGCCCCCCAAGCCGCAAAACCAGCAAGTTTTTATTAGTGATTTTCAAAGGGGAGGGAGTGTATGAATAGGGTGTGGGTCACAGAGATCACGTGCTTCACAAGGTAATAAAATATCACAAGGCAAATGGAGGCAGGGTGAGATCACAGGACCAATGCGAAATTAAAATTGCTAATGAAGTTTTGGGCATGCATTGTCATTGATAACATTTATCAGGAGACAGGGTTTGAGAAAAGACAACTGGTCTGACCAAAATTTATTAGGCGGGAATTTCCTCATCCTAATAAGCCTGGGAGCGCTACGGGAGACCGGGGCTTATTTCATCCCTTATCTATGCCCATAAAAGACAGACGTCCCCAAAGCGGCCATTTCAGAGGCCTCCCCTTAGGGATACATTCTCTTTCTCAGGGATGCTCCTTGCTGGGAAAAAGAATTCAGTGATATTTCTCCTATTTGCTTTTGAAAGAAGAGAAATATGGCTCAGTTCCACCCGGCCCACAGGCAGCCAGACTTTAAGCTTATCTCCCTTGTTCCCTGAACATTGCTGTTATCCTGTTCTTTTTTCAAGGTGCCCAGATTTCACATTGTTTAAACAATTTGTGCAGAAAACGCAATCATCACAGGGTCCTGAGGCGACATTCATCCTCAGCTTACAAAGATGATGGGATTAAGAGATTAAAGTAAAGACAGGCATAGGAAATCACAAGGGTATTGACTGGGGAAGTGATAAGTGTCCATGAAATCTTCATAATTTATGTTCAGAGACTGCAGTAAAGACAGGTGTAAGAAATTACAAAAGTATTAATTTGGGGAACCAATAAATGTCCATGAAATCTTCACAATTTATGTTCTTCTGCCATGGCTTTAGCCGGTCCCTCCGTTCAGGGTCCCTGACTTCCCGCAACACATTACATCACAGTGGAAAGTGAGATAGTAAAGGAATATTATGAAGTACTCTATGCTCAAAGGGGGCATGATCCCTATGACAAAGGGATCCATTCTTCGAGAAGACATAACAGGCTGGGCATGGTGGCTCATACCTGTAATCCCAACATTTGGGGAGGCCAAGGCAGGAGGATCATTTCAGCTCAGGGGTTCGAGACCAGCCTAGGCAGTGTAGTGAGATCCCATCTACAAAAAAAAATTTAAATTGGCCTGGCATGGTTGTGCCTGCCTGTAGTCCCAGTACTTACGAGGCTGAGCTGGGAGGATCACTTGAGCTTGGAGGGTAAGGCTGCAGTGAGCTGTGGTCACACCACTGCACTCCAGCCTGGGTGACAGAGTAAGACTGTCTCAAAAAAAGGGGAAAAGACATGAAAATTACTATATTTCACTGAAGATTTATGAATTGCAAATAAGCACATGAAAAGATGTTGAACATCATTAGGTATTACGGAAATGCAAACTAAAGTTACACCTGTCAACATGGCTAAAATTAATAGTGACAACAAATGCTGGTGAGCATGTGGAAAAACTTGATCACTCATCCATTGTTGGAATGTAAAATGGTACAGCTTTGTGGAAAATACTTTGTCATCTTGAAAAAAACTGCACTTGCAGCTACCATAAGACCCAGTAGTTGCCCTCTTGGGAATTGCTTCCACAAAATCAAATGCTTATGTTCACACAAAAAATTTAATATCAGGGCTTAACTGTAATCACCAAAAATTGAAACTAGCCCTGATGTCCTGAGCAGATGAATGGTTAAATCAACAGTGCAGCAAAACCATGAAATACTCATTAGCAATAAATAAAAACTAATGAAGTAATAATATACACAACAACTTAAATTAACTCCAGATAATTATTCTGAGTGAAAAAAAAATCCAGTAGGTTAGGTAAGCATGACATTGACATAACATTGTTGAAATCAGGAAATTACAGAAATGGAAAACAGATTGGTGGTTAGCATGGGTTAAGAAAGTGGAATGGTGAAAGGGAAGTGGTGTGGCCATACGTGAGCAACACAACCCCACTTAGGTAGAATACACATCTTCTCAAGTAGACAAGGAACATTCTCCAGGGTACAGCATATGCTAGGTTGTAAATCAAACCTTAGTAAATGTAAAGGATAGAAATAATACAAAGTATTTTTAAAAACACAACGGAATACTATTAGATCAATAACAGAAAGAAAGTCGAGAAGTTGGGAAACCCACAAAGGTGTGGAAATTTAACAGCACACTCTAAATGACCAATGGGTCAAAGAAGAAATCAAGAGGGAAATTAGAAAATACTTTGTGGGCCGGGTGCAGTGGCTCACGTCTGTAATCCCAGCACTTTGGGAGGCCGAGGCGGGTGGATCACGAGGTCAGGAGATCGAGACCATCCTGGCTAACACGGTGAAACTCCATCTCTACTAAAAATACAAAAAATTAGCCGGGCATGGTGGCGGGCACCTGTAGTACCAGCTACTCAGGAGGCTGAGGCAGGAGAATGGCGTGAACCCAGGAGGCAGAGCTTGCAGTGAGCCAAGATTGCACCACTGCACTCCAGCCTGGGTGACAGAGTGAGACTCCATCTCAAAAGAAATTTTATAAAAAAACTTTTTAATTAAAAATTAAAGAAATACTATTATATATAGAGAATGAGGGTTTAAAAAAAAAAGAAGAAATACTATAAACAATTGTAGCTTAGATGAAATGAACAAGGCCGGGTGTGGTGGCTCACGCCTATAATCCTAGCACTTTGGGAGGCCGAGGCAGATGGATTACCTGAGGTCAGGAGTTCGAGACCAGCCTGGCCAACATGATGAAACTCCGTGTCTACTAAAAAAAAAAAACAAAAAATTAGCCAGTCGTGGTGGCAGGCGCCTGTAATCCTAGCTACTTGAGAGGCTGAGGCAGGAGAATCACTTGAACCTGGGAGGCAGAGGTTGTAGTGAGCCAAGATCACACCACTGTACTCCAGCCTAGGCAAGAAGAATGAAACTCTGTTTAAAAAGAAAGAAAGAAAGAAAGACAGACAGACAGACGGAAAGAAATGAATGAACAAATTTCTAGACAGACACAAGCTTCCATAACTGACTCAGAAGAAACAGACAATCCAAATATGCCTATAATAACAAATAATGAGATTGCTTTAGTAATAAAAAAAAACTACCCAAAAAAACTGCGGGCCCAAATGGCTTTACTATTGAATTCCACCAAATATTTTTTTTAAATACCAATTCTTCACAAACTCCTCAAAGAAAAATAGAAAAGGAGGGAATACTTCCCAACTCATTCACGGATTCTATAAGGCAACATCACCCTGACACCAAAACCAAAGACCTAACAAGAAAAGAACTCTTTAGACAATATATTTTATAAATGTGGACCCACGAAAACCCTGAAAAATACAATGACATGTAAAAGTATTGTATACCATAGCCAAGTGGGATTTATCTCAGGAAGGAACAGATGGTTCAGCATAAAAAGTCAATTAGGCTGGGTGCAGTGGTCACACCTGTAACCCCAGCCCTTTGGGAGGCTGTGGCAGGAGGATCACTTGAGCCCAGGAGTTCGAGACCAGCCTGGGCAACATGGTGAGACCTCACCTCTACAAAAAAAATCACATTAGCTTGGCGTGGTGGCACAAGCCTGTAGTCTCTGCTGCTTGAGAGGCTGAGCAGGAGGATCATTTGAGCCCAGGAGGTCGAGGCGGCAACTGAGCCATGGTTGCACCATTGCACTCCAGCCCAGGTGACAGAGCAAGACCCTGTCTTTAAAAAAAAAAATCAGCCAGCCACGGTGGCTCATGCCTGTATTCCCAACACTTTGGGAGGCTGAGGCGGGTGGATCACCTGAGGTCAGGAGTTTGAGACCAGCCTGGTCAACATGGTGAAACCCCGTCTCTACTAAAATAAATACAAAATTCAGCCGGGCATGGTGGTGAGTACCTGTAGTTCCAGCTACTTGGGAGGCTGAGACAGGAGAATTGCTTGAACCCAGGAGGCAGAGGATGCAGTGAGCTGAGATAGCATCACTGTACTCCAGCCTGAGTGACAGAGCAAGACAACATCTCAAAAAAAAAATCAATTAAGTAGAATTAGAAGGGAACTTCTTCAACCTAATAAAGGACATCTGTGAAAAGCACACAATTAAATATAATACTTAATGGTGAAAGACTGGATGCTTTCCTCCTGAAATCAGTATTAAGACAAGGATGCCCACTCTTGGCACTTCTATTCAACATTGTACTAAAGGGTTTGGCCACAGCAATTAGGCAAGAAAAAAAAAAGGCATCCAGGTAGGAAAAGAAGTAATACTATCTCTATTCACAGATGACATGATCTTATGTAAAGAAAATTCTAAAGAGTCCAAAAAAAACTATTAGAACTAATAAATGAGTTCAGCAAGATTGCAGGATATAAGATCAATATACAAAAATCAATGTATTTTTATACACTTGTAATGAAATGGAAGTGAAATTTTAAAAACACTTCCTTAGCCAGGTGTGATATGTGGACTTGGTAGTCCCAGCTACTTGGGAGGCTGAGGTAGGAGGATTGCTGGAGCTCAGGAGTTCTAGACGAGCCTGGACAACATAGCAAGATTCCATCTTTTGAAAAAACCAAACAGCTCCACTTACAATAGCATCAAAAAGAATAAAATACTTGGGAATGAATTTTACAAAAGAACTATAAAACTTATATTCTGGAAACTTCAAAACATTGTTGGAAGAAATGAAAGAAAACCTAACTAAATGGATAGATGTTTATGTTCATTGATTGGAAGACCTGATACTGTTAAGATAGCAATCTCCTCAGATTAATCTATAGATCATCACAACCCCTAGAACTGCAGCTGATTTCTTTCTAGAAATTGACAAATTGACCCTAAAATTTATAAGGAGACTCAGGGGCCCCAGAATAGCAAAAACAACCTTGAAAAGAACAATTACATTGGAGGACTCACACTTCCTTATTTCAAAACTTTCTATAAAGCAACAGTAATCAAGACAGTGTAGCATAGACATATTTCAACACAATACAACTGAGAGTCCAGAAACGACCCAAGTGTCTCTGGTCTCCTGATTTTCAACAAGGGTGCCAAGACCATTCAATGGGGTAAAAATAGTCTTTCAACAAATGATGCTGGGACATCTGGATGGACACACGCAAAATAATGACATTGAACTCTTCACATAATATACAAAACTTTACTCAAAATGGATCAGAGTATTCAATGTAAAAGCTAACATTATGAAACTCTTAATAGAAACATAAGGGTGAATGTGTATGAACTTGGATGTGGTAGTGGTTTCTTAAATATGAGATCAACAGTGTGAGCAACAAAAGAAAACATTTGAGATAGGGCCTTAGTCTGTCACCCAGGATGGAGTACAGTGGTGCCATCACAGTTCACTGCAGACTCAACTTCCGGGGCTCAAGTGATCCCCCCAGCTTAGCCTCCCTAGTAGCTGAAACCACAGGTGTGTACCACGATTCTGGCTAATTCTTTTATTTTTTGTAGAGATGGGGTCCCACTATGTTGTCCAGGCTGGTCTCAAACTCCTGGGCTCAAGTGATCCACCTGCCACAGCCTCCCAAAGTGTTGGGATTACAGGCACGAGCCATGGCACCCAGCTGATAAGGAATATTTTTTATGCAGAATAGATAAAAACTCTCACAAACTCAATGATAAAGACAATCCAATTGAAAAGTTGGCAAAGGATCTGAAAAATAAGACACACAAGTGACTAATATGCACATGAGAGGTTGAGCAACATATCAGTCACTAGGGAAATACAAATCAAAACCACTCTGAGATATCATGTTATACCCACTAGGATGCCTTTACTTAAAACAACCTGATAGGCTGAATGTGGTGGCTCACACCTGTAATCCCAGCACTTTGGTTGGCCAAAGCAGGAGGACTGCTTGAGCCCAGGAGTTCAAGATCAGCCTGGGCAACAGCGAGACCCCCGTCTCCATAAAAAAGTATAAATATACATACATACATACTTGGTAATAGGAAATGTTGGCAAAGATGTGGAAAAATTGGAAATCTCATACACTGCTGATATGAATATAAAATGGAGCAGCCACACTGGAAGGCAGAATGGTAGTTTGTTAAACAGTTAGTTATAGAGTGATCATACGGCTCAGCAATTCCACTCCTAGGTCTATATATTATATATCCGAGAGAAATGAAAACACATTTCCACATAAAAACTTGTACGCTGATGTTTATAGTACCATTATGCATAATTGCCAAAAGGTGGAAACAATCCAAATGTCCATCAACAGATGAACAGGTAAGCAAAATGATGCATACAATGGAATATTATTTGGTCATAAAAAGAAGTGGAATAGTGATACATGCTACAACATGGATGAAACTTGAAAATATTATGCTAAGTGAAAGCAGCCAGACAAGAGCAATATTCTGTGATTCAATTTATATGAAATGTTCTGAATAAGCAAATCTATAGAGACGGAAAGCAGGTTGATGGTTGCCTCAGAATGATGGGGATCGGGGATAGGGCATGATAAAGTGTATGGGGTTTCTTACTGAGGTGATGAAAAGATTCTAATAATGGCTGTGGTTAAAGTGTATGGGGTTTCTTACTGAGGTGATGAAAAGATTCTAATAATGGCTGTGGTGATGGCTGCACATATGATGTGACTACACTGAAAATCATTAGATTGTAAATCGCATGCTGTTAACTATTTCAGTAAAGCCGTTTTTTTTTTTTTAAGCAAAACATGAGCCATCCTTTTCTTTTTTTTTGAGAGTCTCGCTCTGTTGCCCAGGCTGGAGTGCAATGGCATGGTCTCGGCGCACTGCAACCTCTGCCTCCTGGGTTCAAGTGATTCTCCTGCCTCAGCCTCCCAAGTAGCTGGGATTGCAGGTGCGTGCCGCCATGCCTGGCTAATTTTTTGTATTTTTAGTACAGACAGGGTTTCACCATTTTGGCCAGGCTGGTCTCGAACTCCTGACTTCAAGTAATCCGCCGGTCTTGGCCTCCCAAAGTGCTGGGATTGCAGGCGTGAGCCACTGTGCCTGGCCATAATCTTTTCTTTTTTGAGATGGAATCTTGCTCTGTCACCCAGGCTGGAGTCCAGTGGCACAATCTCAGCTCACTGCAACCTCTGCTTCCCAGGTTCAAGCGATTCTCCTGCCTCAGCCACCTGAGTAGCTAAGACTACAGGCACCTGCCATCACACCTGGCTAATTTTTTTTTTTTTTTTTTTTTTTTTGTAGTTTTAGTAGAGGCAGGGTTTCACCATGTTGGCCAGGCTGGTCTCGAACTCCTGGCCTCAAGTGATCCACCTGCCTTGGCCTCCTAAAAGTGCTGGGATTACAGGCGTGAGCCATTGCACCTGTCCTGAGCCATCCTCCTGAGGAAAACGTACTCCATCTTGAGAAAAACCAACAGACGTAGGAATAGAGTACCTAGGTTATAGAGCAAGTATATGTTTAATTCTATGAGGAACGATCACACTGTTTATCAAAGTAACTATTCTTCCTACCAGCAATGCATGAGAGTTCCAGTTGCTCCACATCCTCACTAATACACATTATTGTCTTTTTAAAAAATGTAAGCCATTCTAATAGATATGTGTTGTTACTGTTATTTCTTTTGCTGTACAGAAGCTTTTTAGTTTGTCTAATTTGTCTACTTTTTTGTTGTATTTGCTTTTGAGTCCTTAGTCATAAATTCTTTCTTTCTTTCTTTTTATTTTTTTATTTTTTTTGAGACAGAGTCTCACTCTTTCGCCCAGGCCGGAGTGCAGTGGCGCTATCTTGGCTCACTTCAAGCTCCGCCTCCCTGGTTCACGCCACTCTCCTGCCTCAGCCTCCCGAGTAGCTGGGACTACAGGCACCCACCACTGCGCCAGGCTAATTTTTTGTATTTTTAGTAGGGACGGGGTTTCACCGTGTTAGCCAGGATGGTCTAGATCTCCTGACCTCATGATCCGCCCGCCTCAGCCTCCCAAAGTGCTGGGATTACAGGCGTGAGCCACCGCGCCCAGCTTTTTAAATTTTTTTTGAGACAGTCTCGCACTGTCACCCAGGCTGAAGTGCAGTGACGCGATCTCAGCTCACTGCAACCTGTCTCCTGGGTTCAAGCGATTCTCATGCCTCAGCCTCCTGAGTAGCTGGAATTACAGGTGTGTACCACCATGACTGGCTAATTTTTTGTTTTTGAGGCGGAGTTTCACTCTTGTTGCCCAGGCTGGAATGCAGTGGTGCAATCTTGGCTCACTGCAACCTCTGCCTCCCAGGTTCAAGTGATTCTCCTGCCTCAGCCTCCCAAGTATCTGGGATGACAGCCATGTGCCACCATGCCTGGCTAATTTTGTATTTTAGTAGAGAGGAGGTTTTACTATGTTGGTCAGGAAACAGTGTGATCATTTTGGGTCTTGCTTTTATTTTTTGGTAGGTGGATCTGAAGCAGTGCTGCCTTAGTCTCCTTGGACTCTCAGCTCCATTTCCTCAGCTCAAGTAGTCCACTGGGCTCTACCTCAGTTCTGCCTCCTCTTGCTGTGGCCTAGAAATTCTCTCTGGATATCAGAAAACAAAGGACAGTAATCCCTGCCAAGATGGGATACAAACAAGGTGAGCCCCATGATTGCCCAAGCGTACTACCTGGAGTGTCTTCTTCTGTTTTTTTCTTTTTCTTTTTTTTCTTCAAGATGGGATCTTCCTGTGTTGCCCAGGCTGGAGTGCAGTGCCATGATCATGGCTAATTGCAGCCTTGAACTCCTGGCCTCAAATGGTCCTCCCACCTCAGCCTCCCATGTAGCTAGGTCTCCAAGCGCATGCTACTGTGCCCAGCATGGTATCCAGTGTCTTGAAACCACCATTGCATGTATTTTTGACGGGCTCCTTTGGTTGTTTCAGGTAGAAGGGTCAACCTGGTCCCTGTTACTCCATCTTGTCTGTAAGTTGAAGGCCTTGATGTTTTCTGCTTATCTCTTCATCATCTCCAAACGGTGGTGGTAAAGTCACTCACGACTGCTGTTTCCTTCAAGGGAGGAAACGTGCGAAGACTTTGCCCACACAATCTCAATTTGTCCTCATAACGTTGCAGATTTTTTTTTTTTTTTTTTTTTTTGAGACGGAGTCTTGCTCTGTTGCCGAGGCTGGAGTGCAGTGGCGCGATCTTGGCTCACTGCAACCTCTGCCTCCCGGGTTCAAGCAATTCTCCTGCCTCAGCCTCCCGAGTAGCTGGGATTACAGGTGTGTGCCACCACACCCAGCTAATTTTTGTATTTTTAGTAGAGACGGGGGTTTCATCATGTTGGTCAGGCTGGCTCGAACTCCTGACCTCGTGATCTGCCCACCTTGGCCTCCCAGAGTGCTGGGATTATAGGTGTGAGCCACTGTGCCCGACCCCAGTGCAGATTTTTTTAGTCTCAATCTCTATTTGACAGCTAAAAAACTGAGGCCCAGATGTTTGCTGGTTTGGAGCCCAGACAGGCCTGTTGGCATATATTGCTTCCTGGAGCTCCACAAAGCTCGCAATGTCTTGCTGCATAGTTGCTAAGGGAGCTGCCTCACCTGCACAGCAAGTCTCTGGCTCTTCATTCCTTAAGAGTCCCACTTGCAGCCTGGCTTTTTATGTGTACACACACACACACTCACACAAACTATCCTGGCTTTATTTGGCATGAACACATGCCTGGGTCTCATCCAGCCACTTGACATCCGAGTGAGACATGGAGTGGAATGGCTGCTAGGCCAGAGATCAGTGGTCAGTTACCCCGGCCTCTGACTCCAAGTCCAAGGCTCCTTCTCCAGGCTCAGACCCACACACTGGGTGGTGGTGACAAAGATCAGGACCCAGGAGTGGGTGGTACTCAGCCCTCACTGTGCTTAAAGATTCTGTGATTCTGTTTCTTCTCCTGTAGATCAACGTCTGGATCACTTTCTAATAAAATTCCAACTTTGCTGATAATTCTCCAATATACCCAAGACTGTAAATACTGATTTCCTTTCATGAAATTGTCCAAACAGCTGCAGCCCTTGGTGCACAGTATGATCTGGACCTGGGGCACAGCAAGACCAGAACCATGAACCACCATGAACCATGACTCCTCACTTGTGAGATGACGTGTGCAAGGTGACCTATGGTGCTTCATGACCACAGAAGTGACCACTCTACACTGTGAAATGAATTTCTGCATGGGGGGTATATTAGGGTTCTCTACAGGGACAGAACTAATAGATATATATGAAAGTTTATTAAGTATTAACTTACACAATCACAAGGTCCCACAATAGGCCATCTGCAAGCTGAGGAGCAAGGAGAGCCAGTTCGAGTCCCAAAATTGAAGAACTTGGGAGTCCGATGTTTGAGGGCAGGAAGCATCCAGCACGGGAGAAAGATGTAGGCTGGGAGGCTAAGCAAGTCTCATCTCTTCACATTTTTCTGCCTGCTTTATATTCGTTGGCAGCTGATTAGATGGTGCCCACCTGATTAAGAGTGGGTCTGCCTTCCCCAGCCTGACTCAAATGTTAATCTCCTTTGGCAACACCCTCACAGACACATCCAGGATCAATATTGCATCCTTCAATCCAATCAAGTTGACACGCAGTATTAACCATGACAGGGGGGAATGAGATGACACAAAGGATCCCTTCTGGCTCTCATGTTCTGTCACCATCTACTTCAGGAGAGAGATGCACTGTGTGGGGAGGATGAAAGTTAGAAGGAAAAGGCAAGAGAAATCAGGAGGGTTTGGTATTCAATGCGTGTTCATTTATTTTACACTTACAAAAGAAATCGCCCACCCCTTTGCCCCATTCCCCCAAAACAGTCTCTTTTTACAAACATTTAAAAATTAAAACCAAATGAAGATAGACAAGTTAATTTCAGTACAATTATTTTTCAGTGTAGCTGTCATAATTAGAGTTTAAATTTCCTACAAGTGACCAATGTCCAAGTGACTTATAGGGAAATCCTGATTATCGGCCAAAGGAAATTCAATATTACAAGTTAGCAAATTCTAGTACAAAAATAGTCCGTGTGTTGGAACAGCTTTCCTTTTACATAGGTCTTAGGTCAGTCTGCTGTAATACCTAACGCTTCCGGATTCTCTCTCACAAATGGCTCAATCGTCACTGCTGAAGCAGCATGGTGCCTGCAGCAGCAGGGGCTAGTGTCCACCTTGGGGCCGTGCTGGAGACGGCAGGCCTGGGACTGCCTTGCTGGCCCCAGGGCACCTGGGCAGAGCTCCAGCCCTAGCTCCGCATCGGGGGCTTGGAGGGAGGGATGAGCTTCCCCCTCCTGAGGCAATGTCAGACCCAGGACACAGGGCACATCTGCCCAGGGAGCTGGGCTGGCGCTGGTGCAGGACAGCACATCTCCTGCCAGTGTCTCCTCCCCCTACAGCCTGGTCAGGTGAGAGGCGGTCCTGCATGTCATCAGCGGCGAGAGTGTGGCCCTGCCCTTGCTGCAGCCAGGGCAGGCTGGGGCAGGCTACTTGTCCCTCAGGATGTCGAGCTGTTCCTGACACTCGGTGAAGAGGCGCTGGAATCGGAGGTTCTGCCCGATGACTGGTAGCAGCTCCTTCAGCAGCTCCCTCTTCCGCAGACCCTGTGGACACAGAGTGACAGCTGAGTGCAAGTGTCAGTGAAGAGACCTAGATTGTGGGGACTTTCCTGGCCTGGCAGAGAACCTTGTGTCTGCTCACGGGAGAAGGAAAGAACAATTCCTCTGCAGGTGAGAAACTGTGAGAGAGCTGTGGGGCAAATGTGCAGGATGAAGTGGCAGGTGGAATGGGAGCAACACAGTGTGGGGATAAAGGAGGATGAGGCCAATGCAGGGTCTGCTCCTCCATCCGTGGGCACAGCCACTGCTGACCTTATAGTGACTGAGCAGTTCCCTGACCATCCAGGGCAGGATGAGAGTAGAACAAGGCTGAGGGTCAGGTGGCTGGCCATTCAGGAGGGGCTGTTCCCTCATGCTGATGTTTGCCAGGGGTTTGAGGTCAAGCCCCAGGGCAAGGATGCACCTGGGGGGCAGTGACTGGCTTTAGTTTTCCAGCAACACAAATGAGGTGCCAGTATCCCCTGATGTGGAGGATGTTCGGATGCTGACCAAACTATGCTTAGTTGCCTAAACATCCTCCACGTCAGGTCATATTGGCACCACAGTCTGAAACAAGCATTGCCAGTTGGGGTCTCTGCTGCACAGACCAAAAGAGCAGACTCCTGAGCAGTACGGCTGCTCCAAAGGGAAAACTACCAGCCAGACAACTTTAACACTGGACGAGAAGGTCTAAGATCTTGAATTAACGGTGACAGATATACCTGCAACAAGTCTAGAAGTGACAGTAAAGAATAAGTGTAACTATTAGGTTTGAGTAACACAGAAGTTGTTAGAGATGGGATAAGCAGGAGAATGGCTGCTGTTGGCGACCAAGTTTGATGGAGGAGCAGCCCACACTCCAACAGGGAGGCTCTGACACCAGAGTGCCATAGTCAGAACAGAGATGGTATGGATTTGCAAAGGCTGAAATGTTTACTATCTGGTCCTTTACAGAAAAGTTTGTCAACTCCTAAAATAGATCATGTTTTCTAACTAAAATAATTGAGTAAAACTCATAGGTCAAAGGGGAATTCTAATTAAGTGAAATTAAAAATGACTTGCAAGAGAATGGTAAAAAAAAAAAACCAACACAAAATACTCCAAAAGTGGTAAGATTCAGCAAAAGTGGGCACTTTAGAGGCATTTAGAAACAACAGCTTATACTGTATTAGAGAACATGAAAGAATGACAAGCCAAGACTCCAACCTAAAGCCATCAGGGGAAAGGAAAAAAAAAAAGACTAAAGAAAAAAAGGACATGAGAAAAAAACATTTTTTTTAAAAAAAGGAGATAATAAAAATTGAAATAAATAAAATAGAAAACAAAGATTTAATAGAGAAGATTTAGAAAAACAATTTTATTTTATATATTTTTTTGAGACAGGGTCTAGCTCTGTTGCCCAGGCTGGAGCGTAGTGGTGCAATCACAGCTCGCTGCAGCCTCAACCTCCCAGGCTCAAGTGATCCTCCTGCCTCAGTTACCCGAGTAGCTGGGACTATAGGTGTGTGCCACCATGTCTGGCTAATTTTTATATATTTAGTAGAGCGGGGTTTCACCTTGTTGGCCAGGCTGATCTCAAACTCCTGAGCTCAAGTGATCTTCCTGCCTTGTTCTCCCAAAGTGCTGGGATTAAAGGCGTGAGCCACTATGCCTGGCAAAAGTCATTTCTTGAAAAGACTAATGGACAAACGTCTGGCAGGATTAATCAAGAAAGAGAGAGAAAGCTTAAAGAAATAATATTAGAAATAAAAAGAGACATAACTACAGATATAGAAGAAAGAAAAAGATATGATTACTATCAACTTTATGCTAAGAAATTTGAACATTTAGAGAAAATGGAGAAATTCCTAGAAAAATATAATTTATCAAAACTAGCTCAAAAAGAAATAGAAAGGAAAAGTTAATTATTACCATAAAGAAAACATCAGGAATACTATTTTAAAACTGACATCAAGGATGAGATTTTCTTTGTCTTTCCTTTCCCACAGTTTGACTAATGTGTCTCAGTGCAGGTTCCTTTGGGATTTTCCTACTTAGAGTTCACTGAGGCTCTTGTATTAGTAGACCCCCGTCTTTCCTCAAATTTGGAAAATTTCCGCCAGTATTTCTTCAAATAAGCTCTCTACTCCTTTCTCTCTCTTACACTTCTAGAACTCCCATTATGGATTCATGGGTATACTTGGATGGTGTCTGGTAAGTCTCTTAGACTCTGTTTGCTTTTCTTCATTCTATTTTCTTTTTGCTCCTCATACTTGATAATTTCAAATGACCTGTTTTCAAGTTTGCTGATTTACCCTTTTGTCTATTCGAGTCTGCTGTTGAACCCTTCTAGTGAACTTTTCAATTCAGTTATTGTATTTTTAAACTCCAGATTTCTGTTTAGCTCTTTTTTTGGAATTTCTATCTCCTTGTTGATACTCTCATTTTCTTTTTTTTTTTCTTGAGATGGAGCCTCGATCTGTCGCCCAGGCTGGAGTGCAGTGGTGTGATCTCGGCTCACTGCAAGCTCCGCCTCCTGGGTTCACACCATTCTCCTGCCTCAGCCTCCCGAGTAGCTGGGACTACAGGCGCCGGCCAGCACGCCTGGCTAATTTTTTTGTATTTTTAGTAGAGATGGGGTTCCACCATGTTAGCAAGGATGGTCTCGATCTCCTGACCTTGTGATCCGCCCGCCTTGGCCTCCCAAAGTGCTGGGATTACAGGCATGAGCCACTGCACCCGGCCCTCATTTTCTTCATATATAGTTTTCCTGATTTTGTTTAGTTGTCTGTATTCTCCTTGAGCATTTTTTAAGACATTTATTTTAAAGTCTTATGTCTGATGGGCACAGTGGCTCATGCCTGTAATCTCAGCACTTTGGGAGGCCAAGGCGGGCAGATCGCTTGAGGCCAGGAGTTCGAGACCAGTCTGGCCAACATGGCGAAACCCCATCTCCACTAAAAATACAAAAATTAGGCCAGGCGCGGTGGCTCACGCCTATAATCCCAGCACTTTGGGAGGCTGAGGCGGCTGGATCACTTGAGGTCAGGAGTTCGAGACCAGTCTGGCCAACATGGCGAAACCCCATCTCCACTAAAAATACTAAAATTAGCCAGTCCTGACCTCAGGTGATCCACCTGCCTTGGCCTCCCAAAGTGCTGGGATTAAGGCATGAACCAACGCACCCGGCAGTCCTTTTACTTTTAAGCCATTGTGTTATTACATGTAAGCTGGGTTTCTTATAAGCAGCATACAGCTGGTTGTTATTAATTCTAATCTGATAATCTATGCCTTTTAGACCTATATTTAATGATTATTGATATATTAGGGTTTAAATCTACCATCCTATGTATGTTTTTCTGCCTTCTTTTGAATGAATGTATTATTTTCTATCATTCAATTTTATCTATTTGTTAGTTTTTTAGCTACGATTCTTTTTACTGCTTTGGGATTTGTATGTGTATGTGCATGAGTTTTATTTTTTGGTTTTGGTGGTTGCTCTAGGGCATATAACATACAGTATATGCCTTTACTTATCATAGTCTGTCTTCAAGTATTATATCACTTTGCATAATGTGTAAAAATCTTTTAATGGTATACTTTCATATCCCCACTCCTGGCGTCTGTGATACTGCTGTCATGCCACTTCACTTCTACATATGTTATAATTACAAACTACATTTTCATTATTTGGCTTAAAAAGGCAGAACTTTTTGACTTTTTTTTTTTTTGAGACAGGGTCTTGCGCTCTGTTGCCCAGGCTGGAGTGCAGTGGCGTGATCTTGGCTCACTGCAACCTCTGCCTCTCAGGTTCAAGCAATTCTTGTGTCTTCGCCTCCTGAGTAGCTGGGACTACAGGCATGTGCCACCACACCCGGCTAATTTTTGTATTTCTAGTAGAGATGGGGTTTCGCCACGTTGGCCAGGCTGGTCTTGAACTCCTGGCCTCAAGTGATCTGTCCACCTCGGCCTCCCAAAGTGCTGGGATTACAGGCGTGAGCCACCGCGCCGAACGAGAACTTTTTTACATTTTGACATTTAGATGAACACTTTTGACATTTAATTCTTAACCCTTTGGAGGTATATTTTTATGAACTGAAGATCTGCTTTTACTTAGTTACATATAAATAACCAGTTTCCTAAACTCCATTTATTGAATAGCCCCCCCTATTTTTCCCACTGTATCTGTTTTGTCTTCTCTCTCATATAGCAAAGTATCTAAATTACTCCGGCTTCATAATAAACCCAAATATCTGGTAGCATAGTGAATGTCTTAACTATTCTTGGCTTTTTACTGCTCCATATAAATTGTTGAATTAGCTTGTCAAGTTTCATTGAAACCTCTAGTGGGCATTTGATTAGAGAGGCATTGAGTCAGTAGGTCTGTTTAGAAACGGTTGGCGTCTTTTACTGTACTGCACTTTCTCATCGTTTGTCCAGGTTTTCTTTAATGACTTTAAGTAAACGTTTATAATTCTTAGCATATAGGCTATGTACATCCTTTGTTAGATTTATTCTTAGATACTTTATAATTCTCAAAAGAGACAATCTTGAAAGTGGCAAAAAAAAAGTGACTCATGAGAGGGATTTGAAGTTTGTGAAGAACTACACGCACAATTGCTGGCTTAAAGATGGAGGAGGCAGGTGGAAAGCTAACAAGGAAATGAATTCTGCTATTCCAATAACGACTGAGCTTGGAAGAGGACCTTGAACCCTAGGTGATCTCATCTGGCCAGTAATTTGAGTAGAGAATTCAGGAACCACTGCAAAAGCACACCAGGAAGACCGAAAGAAATCACAGATCCTTTGAAAGAAGTGGCAGGCTGCTGCAAATTCCACAAGACAGGTGAAAAACTCTGGTGCTCTCTCAAAAGTGCCATCTCCTGGCTGGAGGCCAATTAACTCAGGACATTACAGCAATTCATAACAGAACAACCCTGCTCCAAGGAAGGAGAAAAACAACAGCTAATTCCACTGCCTGCAACATCCTTTCTAACCAGTGGTCCTGAGTGTGTCCACATGATGACTTCACTGGTAGCATAACCAGCATTTGAGAAAGCCTGCACACTAAACATATCTACAAACAAGGACTCTCACAGAGTCTACGCCATTCCCCTGGCACCACCACCACAGCAGGTGCTGGTATCCACAGCTGGGAGATCTGAAGATGGATCACATCACCGGGTTCTTTGCAGACGTTCCCCAGCATGGGCCCAGAGCCTGGTAGCCCCACTGGGTGGCTAGACCCAGAAGGGCAATAATAATCACCGCAGTCTGGCTCATAGGAATCTCCATCCCTAGGGGAAGGGGAAGTGCACCAAATCAAGGGATCACCCTGTGGGACAAAATAATCTCAACAGCAGCCTCTGAGTTCCAGATTTTTCCACTGAACTAGTCTACCCAAATGAGAAGTAATCAGAAAAGTAATTCTGGCAATAATGACAAAACAAGGTTCTATAATACCTCCAAAAGACCACACTAGCTCCTCAGCAATGGATCCAAACCAAGAATAATTACAAAGTACATTTTCATTATTTGGCTTAAAAAGGCAGAACTTTTTGGCTTTTTCTTTTTCTTTTTTTTTTGAGACAGGGTCTCGCTCTGTTGTCCAGGCTGGAGTGCAGTGGCGTGATCTCTGAATTGCCAAAGAATTCAGAAGGCTGATTATTAAGCTACTCAAGGAGATACCAAAGGTGAAAATCAACTTCAAGAAATTTTAAAAAATATATAGGATATGGATGAAAAATGCTCCAGAGAAATCGGTATCATAAAGAAAAAATCAAAAAATCAAAAATCAAAACTTCTGGAAATAAAAGACACACTTAGAGAAATACAAAATGCACTAGAAAGTTTCAACAATAGAATCAAAGAAGTAGAAGAGAGAACTTCAGAATTCAAAGACAAGACTTTGAATCAGACAAAAACAAAGAAAAAATAATTTTTTAAAAAAATGAACAAAGCCTCCAAGAAATTTGGGATTATGTTAAATGGCCAAACCTAAGAGTAAGAATAAATGGTGTTCCTAAGAAGAGAAATCTAAAAGTCTGAAAAACGTATTTGTGGGGATAGTTGAGGAAAGCTTCCCTGACCTTGCTAGAGATCTAGACATCCAAATACAAGAAGCTCAAAGAACACCTGGGAAATTTATCACAAAAAGATCATCACCCAGGTACACAGTCATCAGGTTATCTAAAGTCAAGACAAAGGAAAGAATCTTAAGAGCTGTAAGGCAAAAGCATCAGGTAACCTATACACGAAAGCCTATCGGATTTTTTTTTTTGAGACAGAGTCTTGCTTTGTCATCCAGGCTGGAGTGCAGTGGTGCAATCTTGGCTCACTGCAATCTCTGCCGCCCTGGTTCACGCAATTCTCCTGCCTCAGCCTCCCAAGTAGCTGGGACTACAGGCCCCTGCCACCAGGCCTGGATAATTTTTGTATTTTTATTAGAGGTGGGGTTTCACCGTGTTGGCCAGGCTGGTCTTGAACTCCTGACCTTAAATGATCCACCCACCTTGGCCTCCCTAAGTGTTGGGATTACACGAATGAGCCACTGCGCCTGGCCAGAATACCTATCAGATTAACAGCAGATTTCTCAGCAGATACCCTACAAGCCAGAAGGGTTTGGGTTCCTATTTTTAGCTTCCTCAAACAAACTAACTGCCAGCCAAGAATTTAGTATCCAGCAAAATTAAGTGTCATATATGAAGGAGGCATAAAGTCTTTTTCAGACAAATGCTGAGAGAATTTGCCACCACCAAGCCAGCACTACAAGAAATGCTAAAAGGAGTTCTAAATCTTGAAACAAAACCTTGAAATACACCAAAATAGAACTTCCTTAAAGCATAAAACTCACAGGGTCTATAAAACAATAACAAAATGAAAAAAAAAAAACCAACAAAAAAAGAAGGTATTCAGGTAAAAACAAGCATGGTAAATAAAACAGTACCTCACATCTCGATACTAACATTGAATGTAAATAGTCTAAATGCTCCACTTAAAAGATACAGAATGGCAGAATGGATACAAATCCACCAACCAAATATCTGCTAACACATATGGACTCACATAAGTTGAGGGTAAAGGGGTGAAAAAAGATATTCCATGCAAATACAAACCAAAAGCGAGCAGAAATAGCTATTCTTATATCAGACAAAACAGACTTTAAAGCAACAATAGTTGAAAAAGACAAAAAGGGACATTACATAATGATAAAAGGATCAGTCCAACAGGAAAATATCACAATCCTAAATATATATGCACCTAGCACGGGAGCTCCCAAATTTATAAAACAATTAGTACTCAACGTAAGAAATGAGATACACAGCAACACAGTAACAGCGGGGACTTCAACACTAGACAGGTCATCAAGACAGAAAAGCAACAAAGAAACAATGGACTTACACTATACCCTAGAACAAATGGACTTAACACATATTTACAGAACATTCTACCCAACAACTGCAGAATATACATTCTTTTCATCAGCACATGGAACATTCTCCAAGAAAGACCATATGATAGGCCACAAAACAACTCTCAATAAACTTAAGAAAATCGAAATTATATCAAGTACCCTCTTAGACCACAGTAAAATAAAATTGGAAATTAACTCCAAAAGGAACCCTCAAAACTATACAAATACATGGAAATTAAAAAATATGCTCCTGAATGATCTTTGGGTAAACAATGAAATCAAGATGGAAATTAAAAAGTTTTATGAACTGAATAATGACACAGCTTATCAAAACCTCTGGGACACAGCAAAAGTGGTGCTAAGAGGAAAGTTGATAGCATTAAATGCTTACATCAAAAAGTATGAAAGAGGCCAAGCACGGTGGCTCGTGTCTGTAATCCCAGCAATTTTGGAGGCCAAGGCAGGAGGATCACTTGAGGTCAGGAGTTCAAGACCAGCCTGGCCAAAATGCCAAAACCCCGTCTCTATCAAAAATAGAAAAAAATTAGCTGGGTGTGGTGACGCATGCCTGTAGTCCCAGCTACTTGGGAGGCTGAGGCCTGAGAATTGCTTGAACCTGGGAGGCAGAGGTTGTAGTGAGCCGAGATGCACCACTGCACTCCAGCCTGGGCGACAGAGCGAGACTCCGTCTCAAAAAAAAAAAAAAAAGATCCAATTAAGCTAAATTAGAAACAAAATGAAAGATATTACAACTGATACCACAGAAATAGAAAAGATCATTCAAGACTACTATGAACACCTTTATGCACACAAACTAGAAAATCTAGAGGAAATGGATAAATTCCTGGAAATATATAACCCTCCTAGATTCATTCAGGAAAAAATAGAAACTTTGAACAGACCAATAATAAGTAGCAAGACTGAAACAGTAATTTAAAAATTGCCAACAAAAAAACAGTCTGGGACCAGATGGATTCACAGCTGAATTCTATTGAACATTCAAAGAAGAATTTGTACCAATCTTACTGAAGCTATTACAAAAGACAGAGAAAGAGGGAATCTCCCTAAATCACTCTATGAAGCCAGTATCACCCTAATACCAAAACCAGGAAAGGACATAACAAAAAATGAAATCTACAGACCAATATCCCTGGTGAACATAGATGCAAAAATCCTCAACAAAATACTACCTAATCGAATCAAATGGTGTATCAAAAAGATAATACACCATGATCAAGTGGGTTTCATACCAGGGATACAGGGAAGACTTAACGTACACATGTCAATAAATGAGATACATCACATAAACAGAATTAAAAACAAAATCATATGATCATCTCAATAGATGCCGAAAAAGCATCTGACAAAATCTAGCATGCCTTCGATTAAAGCCCTCAGGAAAACCGTCATAGAATGGAAATACCTCAAGGTAATAAAAGCCACTATGACAAACTCACAGTTGACTTTATACCGAAAAGGGAAAAGATAAAAGGGTTCCCCCTGAGAACTCTAACAGACAAGGATGCCCACTGTCACCACTGCTATTCAACATTGTACTGGAAGTCCTAGCCAGAGCAAACAGACAAGAGAAAGAAATAAAGGGCATCCAAATATGTAAAGGGGAAGTCAAAATATCGCTGTTTGCCAATGATATGATCGTATACCTAGAAAACCCTAAAGACTCATCCAAAAAGCTCCTAGATCTAATAAATGAATTCCGTAAACTTTCAGGGTACAAAATCAATGTACACAAATCAGTAACACTGCTGTATACCAACAATGACCAAGCTGAGAATCAAATCAAGAACCTCTTGTTACAATAGCTGCAAATAAAATAAAATAAAATACTTCGGAATATACCTAACCAAGGATGTGAAAGATCTCTACAAGAAAAACTGAAAAACTGATTGCTGAAAGAAATCATAGACAACACAAATAAATGGAAACACATCTAAAGCTCATGGTAGGTAAAATTAAAAATGACCATACTGCTAAGAGCAATCTACAGATTCAATGCAATTCCCATCAAACTACCATGATTATTCTTCACAGAACTAGAAAAAACAACCCTAAAATTCACAAGAAACCACAGCAGGGTGTGGTGGCTCACGCCTGTAATTCCAGCACTTTGGGAGGCTAAGGTAGGCAGATCACTTGAGCCCAGGAGTTCGAAACCAGTCTGGGCAACATGGCGAAACTCTGTCTCTACAAAATATACAAAAATCAGCTGGGTGTGGTGGCTCACGTCTGTAATCCCAGCACTTTGGGAGGCTAAAATGGGCAGATCACTTGAGCCCAGGAGTTCGAGACCAGCCTAGACAACATGGTGAAACCCTATCTTTACAAAACATACAAAAATTAGCCGGGTGTGCTGGCACATGCTGTAGTCCCAGCTACTCAGGAGGCTGAGGTGCAGGATCACTTGAGCCTTGGAGGCAGAGTTTGCCATGAGCCGAGATTGTGCCACTGCACTCCAACCTGGGTGACAGAGTGGGACCCTGTTTCAAAAAAAAAAAAAAAAAAAAAAAATCATATGGAACAAAAGAGCCCAAATAGCCAAAGCAAGATAAAGCTGGAGGCATCACATTACCCGACATCAAACTATACTACAAGGATATAGTTACCACCAAAACAGCATGGTACTGGTATAAAAATAGGCAAACAGACCAATGGAACAGAATAGAGAACCCAGAAATAAAGCCAAATACTTACAGCCAACAGATCTTCAACAAAGCAAACAAAAATACAGAGTGGGGAACAAACACCCTATTCAACAAGTGGTGCTGGGATAACTGGCAAGCCACATATAGAAGAATGAAGCTGGATCCTCATCTCTCATCTTATACAAATATCAATTCAAGATGGATCAAAGACTTAAATCTACGATCTGAAACCACAACAATTCTAGAAGATAACATCGGAAAAACTCTTCTAGACATTGGCTTAGGCAAATAGTTCATGACTACGAACCCAAAAGCAAATGCAACAAAAACAAGGATAAAGAGATGGCACCTAATTAAACTTAAAAGCTTCTGCACAGCAAAAGAAATAATCAGCAGAGTAAACAGACAACCCACAGAGTGGGAGAAAATATTTGCAAACTATGCATCTGACAAAGGACTAATATCTGGAATCTACAAGGAACTCAAACAAATCAGCAAGATAAAAACAAATAACCCCATTAAAAAGTGGACAAAGAACATGAATAGACAATTCTCAAAAGAAGATATACAAATGACCAACAAACATATGAAAAAAATGCTCAACATCACTAATTATCAGGGAAATGCAAATCAAAACCACAATGACATACCACCTTACTCCTGCAAGAATGGCCATAATTAAAAAATAAAAAAAATAGATATTAGCATGGAGGTGGTGAAAAGGGAACACTTTTACACTGCTGGTGGGAATGTAAACTAGTACAACCACCGTGGAAAACAGTATGGGGACTCGTTCTGGAGATGGAGTCTCACTCTGTCACCCAGGCTGGAATGCAGTGGCACGATCTCGGCTCACTGGAACCTCTGCCTCCTGGGTTCAAGTGATTCTCCTGCCTCAGCCTCCTGAGTAGCTGGGACTATAGGCATGCGCCACCATGGTTGGCTAATTTTTTGTATTTTTAGTAGAGACAGGGTTTCACCATGTTGGCTGTGCTGGTCTTGAACTCCTGACCTCAGGTGATCTTTCCGCCTCAGCCTCCCAAAGTGCTGGGATTACAGGCATGAGCCACTGCACCTGGCCAGAGATTCCTTAAAGAACTAAAAGTAGAACTACCATTTGATCCAGCAATCCCACTACTGTGTATCTACCCAGAGGAAAAGAAGTCATTATGTGAACAATACACTTGTACACACGTTTATAGCAGCACCATTTGCAACTGCAAAAATACGGAACCAGTCTAAATGCCCATCAACCAATGAGTGGATAAAGAAAATGTGGTATATATACACCATGGAATACTACTCAGCCTTAAAAAGGAATGAAATAATGGCATTCACAGCAACCTGGATGGAGTTGGAGACCATTATTCTAAGTGAAGTAACTCAGGAATGGAAAACCAAACATTATATGTTCTCACTTATAAGTAGGAGCTAACCTATGAGGATGCAAAGGTATAACAATGATGTAATGGACTTTGGGGACTCAGGGGGAAGGGTGAAGAGGGTGAGTGATAAAAGACTACACATTGGGTACAGTGTACACTGCTCAGGTGATGGGTGCACTAAAATGTCAAAAAAAGAAAAAAAGCAACTCATGTAAATAGGATATTCAATAAGATTATCAGCATAGTCAGTGGGATGACATATTCAAAAGAAAGAAAGAGGCCAGGTGCAGTGGCTCACACCTGTAATCCCAGCACTTTGGGAGGCTGAGGTAGGTGGATTGCTTGAGCTCAGGAGTTTGGGACCAGCCTGGGCAACACAGCAAAATCCCACCTCTACCAAGAAAAAAAATAAAAATAAAAAATTTGCCAGGCATGGTGGCGCACATCTGTGGTCCCAGCTACTCAGGAGGCTGAGGTGGGAGGCCCACTTGAGCCTGGGAGGTGGAGGTTGAAGTAAGTCGAGATTACACCAATGTACTCCAGCCTGGGTGGCAGAGTCAGACTCTGTCTCCAAAAATCTACAACATCGTGGAAGTTGGAAAACACACTGTTATTTTAAATTTCATGTATTTTTATAAAAACAGATGGAGTTGGTTGGGTGTGGTGGCTTACACCTGTAATCCCAACACTTTGGGAGCCTGAGACGGGTGGATTGATTGAGCCTAGGAATTTGAGACCAGCCTGGGCAACATGGAGAAAACCCCATCTCTACAAAAGATACAACAATTAGTTGGGTGTGGTGGTGCACGCCTGTAATCCCAGCTACTCGGGAGGCAGAGGCAGGAGGATTGATTGAGCCAGAAGGTTGAGGCCACAGTGAGGGGAAAAAAAAAAAAGAGAGAGAGAGAGAGAGTCTTGCTATGTTGCTCAGGCTGGTCTCGAATTCCTGACCTCAAGTGATCTTCCCACCTCAGCTTCCCAAAGTGCTGGGATTACAGGTGTGAGCCACCACGCCTGGCTGAAAAAACACACTATTAAACAAAGTGAGACAAATGAAAATGAAAATACAACATACCAAAACTTACAGTATGCAGTGAAAGCTGATCTCAAATCAATAATCTAACATTACACCTTAAGGAACTAGAAAAAGAACTATACCTAAAGCTAGCAGAAGAAAATAATAAAGATAATGGGACAAGATAAATGGAAAATAATAGAGATAATCAATGAAACCAAAAGTTGATTCTTTGAAAAGATGAACAAAATTGACAAACTTTTAGCTAGACTACATAATAAAAAGAGAGACAAGATCCAAATAATGAAAATCAAAAATGAAAGCAGGGACATTACAACCAATGCCACAAAAATAAAAAAGATTATAAATAAGAGAACAGCATGAACAACTATATGACAATAAATCTGATAACCTACATAAAATGGAAACAACTTACCAAGACTGGCTCATAAAGAAATTAAAAATCTGGACGGATCTCTAATGAGCAAGAAAACTGAATCAATAAAACAAACCCTCTCATAAAGAAAAGCCTAGGATCATATAGCTTCTCTGATGTATTCTACCAAACACTTAGAGAATTAACACCAATCCTCCTTCCAAAATAGGTAGGAACACTTCCTATTTCATTCTATGAGGACAGCATTACCCTGACAAAGCTAGACAAAGATACTACAAGAAAACTATTAGATCAATATCCTTTGTAAACAGTGACCCAAAAATCCTCAACAAAATGCCAGCAAACAGAATTCCAAAGTACATTAAAAGAATTATACACCATGACCAAGTGGGATTTATTCCTTGAATGCAAGAATGGTTTAACATATGAAAACCAATCACTGTAATACATCACATTAATGAAATAAAAGAAAATTTTAAAATGACACGATCATCTTAATGCAGAAAAAGCATCTGAGAAAATGCAACATTCTTTCTTGATAAAAGCACTCAACAAACTAGGAATGGAAGAAAACTATCTCGACATAGTAAAGACCATAAATAAAAAGCCCACAGCTAACATCGTACTTAATGGTAAAAGACTAAAAGCTTTTCCTTTAATATCAGGAACAAGAGAAGGATGCCTGCTTCCAGCACTAATATTTAACGTAGTATTAAGAGTCCTAGACAGATCAATTAGGCAAGGAGAAGAAATAAAAGGCAACCAAATTGGGAAAAAAGAAGTAAAATTATTTCTGTTCACAGATGACATGATCTTATATATGGAAAACCCTAAAGATTCAGCGAAAAACTACTATAAACAAAGCAAAACATTCTGCCTGCCTGTGGTACTAGGAAGAAGCTGCAAGAGGACTTGCCCTCTGGCCTGAAGGCAATGTAAAGAGCAGCCAAGTATTATTGATATTTCCTCACCCTTCGGCTCTCAGTAAAGGATGGTTTTTCCACTCTTTCAGGATGCGATGTATAGCTCTTTGTACAGCCTGCAACACACAACTTAATCACCACCTCTCTGGCCACTGCCACAGGTCTTACAGCAGCAGTCCCCAACCTTTTCGGCACCCAGGACTGGTTTTTTTTTATGGACCAGTGGGGGAGGGGAAGACGGTTTCAGGATAAAACTGTTCCACCTCAGATCATCAGGCATTAGATTCTCATAAGGAGCACACAACCTAGATCTCTCATATGTGAAGTTCACAATAGGGTTTGTGCTCCTATGAGAATTTAATGTTGCTGCTGACTGGTCTGTGGCCCAGAGGTTGGGGACCCCTGTCTTACACTGAAGACCACAGCAAAGGGAGGCTTCCTAAGAACAGGGCCTGGCTGGGGAGGCTGGAGCCAGAACAAAGCCCAGGAACCTGAAAGGTGTTTGCTTAGTGCCCCAACCTTCTGCTTCTCATTTTCCTCCCATGCACACTGAACCATGCAAAGGATCCTTGAAGTTGAAAGAAATCTGAACCTTTGGTGTCCCTGTGGTGCACTGGCAGCTCAAATCAGAGTATATAAAGAGCTCCTATAATATACATAGAGTTCCTACAAACCATTGAGAAAAACAAATGGCAACAAGTATTTCAATAGATAGTTCAAAAAAGGGAAACACAAGCGGCTCTTAAGCATGTGAAATGATGCTCTCCTAACAAGCCTTCTTGGGAGGGCTGCTGAGTCAGCATGGCTGGTTGGAAGTCCACCCTCCAACCACAGCTATATTTTCCCAGTTATTTGAAGGATCAGTTCCACTTGAATGACCAATTCTCACCATAAATGTTGATAAATAAGGCCAGGCACGGTGGCTCACGCCTGTAATCCCAGCACTTTGGGAGGCTGAGGTGGGCCACTGCATTCCACACTCCAGCCTGGGTGACAGAGAGAGACTTCGTCTCAAATAAACACATAAATAAAATAAAAGAGTGTTGATAAATAAACCCAAGAAGAGCACAGAAGGCTCATGCTCACTCATCTCCTCTGCCCCAACATCTAGATGAAAAGACAGTAAACATACAGAAAAAAAGGAACAAATTCAGAATAGTGTTGAGATCAGGAGAGGACCTGGCAGAAGACACTGGGATTGGCTATGTCTACGTCTGCTCTAAATCCTCTTCTCTTACATATTCTTTGTACAGAGGGAGAAAACCTGCTCATTTTCCCAGCCTCCCTTGCAGCAGAGGTGGGTGCCCAAGTGATTTAATGGTTGCCTGTGAGGCACAGACTAGTTTCTGGGAGAGCGTTTCTTTTCTGATGAGAGGGTGAATGTTGCTGTTGCCAGATTTCTCCTGTTCTCTCTCCTTCCCTGATCTTGGACATGGAAGCCACCTTGTAACCATGAGGGAAGGGCTAGGAGACCTTTACAGAGGGTGGTAAGCGGGTGGTACATACTGACAGGTGACTCTGGGAGGGGAACCACAGATTCTCTTAGGCAGAGCCTCAGTGAAGTGTCCTGTTTGGAGTTGGTAAGAATAATCAGCAGGAAGGAGGGGAGAAGAAGAAATCATGGCCATCAAATGGTAGCCTGTTTGTGGCTCCTTCTGTCTATACCACCACGGCCCAGAGTGCTTACTTTCAGGCTGAGAAAGAGAACTACTATGGTGAGCTTTGGCGGGCATCTTGGGCTAAGGCTGACAGAATGAAGCTCCACAACCTGCCCATGAGGGGGACTCACTGGGCAGGTTTCTGCCTGCCTCCCACTCTAGTAGATGGCTCATCGGCCTGTCCTGGAGGTGAGATGTGCTAAGCTGTGCTAAGCGAACAGCTGTACTCTTGAAAAGGAAACCTGAGGCCACTATCAATCTGGGTTCTTCACTTGTAACTACAACCTGATAACCAAGGATTTCCACATAGGGTAAAATGTCCTCAAGTAAAGACCGCAATGAACAAATCAAAGATTGAACCCAGAAAAGCCAGATAATTCAGGGAACAAATTATTTTAGAAAATGTTAGCATCTGCAGCTGATATCTGAGAAGATATCACAAGCCTTTCCTTCCATTAATAGACCATGCAATTCAGAACAGCCTTCCTCACTGACAACAAAGAAAAAAAGGTGGACAAATAGCAGCAAACTTCTGAGAGCTAATGTGTTAATGATAAATGACTGAGCCATGCTGTGGGGAAGACAGAGATCCAAAGAGGGATGCCTTTGCTTTGGAAATATTTATCCATGAGGAAGAAGCTAGGCAGAACTTCTACCAAACTTGAGGGCCTGGGTTGGGAGCGGTGGCTCATGTCTATAATCCCAGCACTTCGGGAGGCTGAGGTGGGTAGATCACCTGAGGTCAGGAGTTTGAGACCAGCCTGGTCAACATGGTGAAACCCCGCCTCTACTAAAAAAATAAAAATTAGCTGGGTGTAGTGGTGTGTGCCTGTAATTCCAGCTACTTGGGAGGCTGAGGCAGGAGAATTGCTTGAACCCAGGAGGCAGAGGTTACAGTGAGCTGATATTGTGCCACTGTACTCCAGCCCGGGTGACAGAGCGAGACTCCGTCTCAAAATAAACAAACAAAACAAACAAACAACTTGAGGGCCTAGGGGGACCATAGCAGGGGCTAGGGCCCTGTTAACTTACCCCTCCTTTGTCCTGGTATTCCAAAGGTACGCAACCTAGAATAAGCGTCAACTGGAAGTAAACTAGCCTCTATACCAGCTGGCACCCAGCTTTGAGTTCCAGGCAGCCTAGAAAACCTCAGTCCCTGAACGGGATCATGGAGTCCCTACAGTGCTACTCCCAAGAAGTTGGCAGAAGCAAATAGAAGTGTTCTGTAGAAGAAGATAACATCATCTTAGGCCTCAAACTATTTCTACAATAAATTTTTCAAATACTATGTCCACCAGATAGTAAAAAATAACCAGGTACATAAGGAGATAAGACAATCTGAATGAGAAACAGCAGAAATATTTATAGGCAACGGAAATAGATCTGCAAAGGCTCCTGATACTAGAATTATCAGACATAAAACTTTAAAATAACTAAGATTATTATGCTAAAGTAGATAAAAGCCTAAATTAAAAATCTGGTGAAGAATTGAAAGCATGAAAAATGATACAGCTGATTTTTTTTTTTTTGAGACAGAGTCTCACCCTGTCGCCTGGGCTGGTGTGCAATGGCGCGATCTCGGCTCACTGCAACCTCCGCCTCCTGGGTTCAAGTGATTCTCCTGCCTCAGCCTCCCAAGTAGCTGGGATTACAGGTGCCCGCCACCATGCCTGGCTAATTTTTTGTATTTTTAGTAGAGATGGGGTTTCACTAAGTTGGCCAGGCTGGTCTCAAACTCCTGACCTCATGATCCGACCCCCTTGGCCTCCCAAAGTGCTGGAATTACAGGAGTGAGCCACCACGCTTGGCCTTTTTATTTTTTATTTTTTGAGATGGAGTTTCGCTCTTGTCGCCCAGGCTGGAGTACAATGGCGTGATCTTGGCTCTGCCTCCTAGGTTCAAGCGATTCTCCTGCCTCAGCCTCCCGAGTAGCTGGGATTACAGGCACATGTCACCAAGCCCAGCTAATTTTTTTTTTTAGTAGAGTCGGGGTTTCACCATGTTGGCTGGGTTGGTCTCAAACTCCTGACCTCAGGTGATCCGCCCATCTTGGCCTCCCAAAAGGCTGGGATTATAGGCATGAGCCACCACGCCTGGCCTGATACTTGATTTTACTTTTTTTTAAATTTTCCTTTTCTTGAGACGGAGTTTTGCTCTGTCTCCCAGGATGGAGTGCAGTGGTGTGATCTTGGCTCACTGCAGCCTCCTCCTCCCGGTTCAAGCGATTCTCCTGCCTCAGCCTCCCCAGTAGCTGGGATTACAGGAGTGTGCCACCACACCCAGCTAATTTTTATTTTTAGTAGAGACGGGATTTCAGCATGTTGGCCGGGCAGGTCTTGAACTCCTGACCTCAGGTGATCCACCCATCTCGGTTTCCCAAAGTGCTGGGATTACAGGCATGAGCCACTGTGCCCGGCGATACAGCTGATTTTAAAAAGAGAGGATATTACATCTCTCAGATGATGGGGAAAATGAAAGGGAAGAAATAATCAAATAGGAAAACCGAAGAAAATCACTGGTCTCTGTCTCTGTTTCTACAGAATGAATGAGCTTTCTGAATCTTCAAAACACCAAGATAGGATCCCAAAGTACTTACAAAGCAATGGAAATTAGATTTACAATAGATTTTTTTAGCAATAACACTGGATGCAAAGTCTATGGAACAATGCCTTCAGGGACTTAAGGGGATTTGACTTTGAACCCAGGATTCAAAGTACCTAGTCAATTAAGGTACACCACAGTCAAATTTAAGAATGGAATAAAAAATTAGGCCTCTGTACACACCAAGGCCTGTGAGGGCTGACCCTCTGGCCTTTTGATGTCAACTCCTTTCACCCTTCTGCTACCATCCCGTTGGGCTGTTCCTTTTAAACTCCAAGCTCTCCCACCTCAGGCCTTTGCACTTTCCCTCTGCCTGGATGTTCTTCTCCCAAATATATGCATGGTTTCATCCCTCACCTTTTCTGGTCTCTGCTTATCTGTTTGTTTGGCCTTTCCTTTTTCTTTTCTTTTTTTTTTTTTGAGACGGAGTCTCGCTCTATTGCCCAGACTGGAGTGCAGTGGCGCGATCTTGGCTCACTGAAAGCTTAGCCTGGCCTTTCTTAATTGCCCAGCATGAAATAGCAGCCTGCCAGTATTCTATATCTCCCTGCCCTTTTAATTTTTTTCCCATGGCATCCATCACCACTCAAGACACTACAGATACCTCTTCTCATTTGCTTAGTCTGTCTCTCTCCATAAGAAAGCAGATCCATGAATGCAGGGACTCAGTCTGCCTTATTCACTGCTGCCTGCCCCATTCACTGCTGCCTGCCCTATGCCTATAACATGCCTGGCCAGGGGAGGTGCCCCATCAGTAATTGCTCAATGATTGAATGAAGCTGTGAGCTAACTCTTAGATCCATACCTTCTCCCATCCCCCACCAACCTGTTACCTTCTTGATTTAATGAATGGTTCTGGCATCCATTTTTTGCAGCTGAACCTGGAGGTGCCACATGTTCATTATGCTTTTTCCTTCCACATCCAACCACCCATCAAATCTTATTGGTTCTGCCTCCAAAATACATCTTGAATCTGTCTCCTTTCCCCTCTCCATGGCCACCACACTGATCCAAGTCACCTTCATCTCTTCCTGGGACTGTTACAGAAGATACTCCCTGACTGTTTTTCTATTTTAGTTCATGACACCTCTGTGCCAACTCTGCCAAGAAGAAAACGCTAGCTCCTGTAAAGGTCTCTGTGGTCCACCTCCTGCCTCATTTCACACCACCCTCTCCTTTTGCCTTCTATGTGCCAGCCACAGTGGCTCCAAACAGATCAAGCACTCCTTGCTTTTACTCTCACTTCTACTAGGAAACACTTTCTCCAGGTCTCTGTATGGCTGTCTCACTCTTCTCCTTGGGTTTCATCCGCAGTGTCCTCTCACAAGGCCTTCCTGGTCACTCCTTCCCAGGCACTCTCATCTGAAGACCCTGCTTACTTCCTTCTTAGTCTGAATCTAGTCTGAAAATATTTTGTTGACCTAACTGCCTCCCTGTTTATGTGTGCATCCCTACCAGACCGAGCTCCACGAAGGCAGGGAAGTACCTTCCGTCTTTTGTCTTCACAACCAAGCCCAGAGCCCCTGCAGGCAGCCTCCCTCAGCACAGGCACGTGGCGGAGCACTCCGTGGCTCCTGATGTCCAGGGCCCAGCTCCTGCCAGGTTGTGGAGGGCCGTCGGCATGTCACCCTCTCACTGATGCTGGGACCTGAGGCTGGGTGCTGGAGAAGTCTAACGGGACACAATTTCAAAGCACTTTGGCTTATTTAAAAAATCTCCACCTTCATGTTTCAAGAAAGAATTCTTGCAGCAACAATGAAAGAAGCACCTACCACTACTGTTGACTCCCACTGGCTTCCAGTGGAGTAGTGAACCGGACCCAGTAAGTCCTTGCATATTTCTCGAAGTCGGTATTCAAACCCTAATTACAGAAAAACAAACAAACAACAACAACAAAAAACAAAACAGAAATAGGAACACATTACAAAAAGAAATAAAATCAAGAATATGTTGTTGTGTCTATCAAATCAGAATAAACACATGCGTATTTTATTGCCTACTATGGGCAAGACGCCCCTGCATGTCTCTCAGCGGGGGGCACTGAGACCCATAATCACAGATTTTCACTCACTTGCTCACTCCCCTGACATCTGTAGTGCCTCCTCTGTGTGTTGGGCCCAGAGGAAAAACGAGATATGGCCAGTTCTGTGATAAACTCCTTAAGGTGATGGGAAGATATGGGAAATTGTGGGCTGGTGAGATCTGTCTTTGAGAAGATGCGCTGGCAGCTGGTGTTGAGGGGAGGTCAGGAGGGTGGGACGGCCAGCCCGCAGGAGGTAAGAGATGGCAAAGGCATGACTGAAGAGGGGCAACTGAGTGGAGGGGGCATAGGTCCATTAACTCAAGGGTTATGGGCACCACCCAGTAGGGCTGCTAGAAAGGCTGGAGGTAGAGTGTCGGGGTTTGTCAGCACTTGGGGCAGCTAAAGCAATAGGGAATGGATTAAACTGTCCAAAGAAAAGGGTGGAGTAAGAGAGATGAAACTGGAATCTGAGGAATTTTGGAAGTGAATGGGGTCCACTTTTATACTAGATTCCTCCTTTTACAGCCAAGGAAACAAGGGACAGAATGGAGGGTGGGTAACTGGTGTATGGACACTAGAACAGGCAGGTGGAAGATGGAGAAAGAGAAGCAAGCAGCAGAAGTCATCCCAAGATGGGTGGCGGGGCGGAGAGGAGGTGGGGACTTGATGCAGGGCATCAGAGCAAGTCCCAGTCAACACCCAGGATGAAGCAAACCAGAGTGGAGTAAGAGGAGGGGCTCCCAGGGAAGACGTGACTAGAGCACCACAGGAGAGGTATGAGAGCCTGGGAAGGCTGAGTATTCAGAAAAGCTGGGGACCACACATAATGGCAACCACATAGACCTGGTGGGAAGAGTAAACATCAAATTCATCATCGTGGTCTGCAGGGAGGGAGGGGAGGCTTCAAGTTGATCAGTAATATTTGCTGTCGTTTACAAGTGTATGTACACACACACACACATACACTCGTATTTACACAGCCAGAGGCACATGTGACATGTTAGTTCTGGGAATTACATCCGTGAAGGTCTGATTATGATTTTCTCTGTCTTTTCTGTACTTAAATTTTTTTCTAAATTATAATCAAAATGGGGAGGGTGATGACAAAAATAAAGCAAAAAGCCCAGGAAGCTGCACAGAGAGAGCTCTGGGAGGGCCTGCCCCATGCCGCACCCTGAAGGCTGCACTCAAGTGGGAGGAAAAGTTGGTAAGGCTATTGGAGTCACTGTGAGGACAGTGCAGCCACCTCTTCCAGCACACCTGGCTTTCTGCAAGGGAGGCAGCAGAGTGAGAGCTCTGGCGGGAAGTGCCAGAAATGGAGGGCCTCAGTAAGTGCAGGACATCAGGCAAGCCTGTCCAGGGCAGGAAGGGCTGGGAGGAGGAAGAGAACCACTGCTACAAGATGCCCTCACTGATTAGCAGCACTGCCAAGTTGTGGTGCAGGGCAGGAGCCAGAACATAGAATCTGCTCCTTCAGACCATGTCTTTCCACCCAGGCATCTATTCCTCCGTCCTGCTGCCTGTCCTGCTGCTTCTCTGCGGGAACACCCTCAGGGTCACTCTATTCAGAGCCTCAGAGCCTATAAGGGGCTGGGTGCCTGCTGAGCTGCCTTGACTGCAGCTCAGGCTGGGAGGTAGAGGCTGCTGGGCCATCACATCTTTTCCCTGATTTCACAGGGACTAAGTGAGGCCTGGGAGGATGGAGGGGCAGAAGGAGAAGGCTGCTCAGGGCTGCCAGGAGCCTCACCTTCGTTTACGAGGTACCGTGCGTAGACGAGGAGCCAATGGCGGTACTCGTGGCTGGACTGCAGGGTGAGTGCTGCTGCCACCTGGTTCTCTAGGTAGGCCAGGGTGGTCTCTTGCTGCACCACATGAGGCACGGAGAAGAGCCGGGCAGCCTGCCTTCCCGAGCTGCAGAGACCAGGAGAGTTTCCATGATGGGGCAGCAGGCACTACACAGAGTCAGGAACTGCCCCCGTGTGCAACAGGCAAGGAGCTGGCAGGAGGCAGGCACCAGGGCTGCCAAGGCCTCCCGTCCACTAGCCAGTCTGTTGGCAGATGCCAGATCTGTTGTCTGCCCATCCCCACGCCCCAGCCATGTGCCTCCTGGCACCCTTGGGGTATCTCACCCAGCACCTGCCATCTGGGCCCCTGAAGTGACAGGGCCAGTGATTGCTGCCCCCAACCCCAAGATATTACCTGATGCAGGACCACTACCCTCAGCACCCCTAGTCCGTCCTGCCCAGCCTGCCTGTGCTGACCAGCACCTGGGGCACAGGGGAAGGGCAGGTGGAGACCAGGCCTGGGCAGGGACTGTGCGTGCACTGACCCAGGCACTTCCCCAGGGCAGGACTAAGGACAGTGGCCATGGCATTCAGGTCACGTACTTGGAGGTGCGGCCCTGGATTATGGCTAACGGTCCTGAGCACAGCATGGCGTCCTGGGATGGCAGGCTGCTCCTAAAGTCTGCACACTGAGCCAGTGAGTCCTGCTTGTCAGAAACCAGGTTCCTGGGGAGGCAAAGGCAGGAGCAGAGCTCAGGAAAACCAAGAGATCTGGTTGGCCTCTTTGCCAACCAGAGAAGGCTGGCAAAGAGGCCACAGAGAAGCAGCCCCTGCCGACACAGAAAGCCAGTAGAGGCTGAGCGCCCCTGCACTTCCGCACAGGCGCCTATCACTGACAGGTTTCATGGTAATGGGTCTGATAGATCACTGTTCCAAAGGAAAAATGAGTGAAGTGAAGGCTGTGGATAGGGCCCTTGCTGGGAACACTTCAGCTCCATATGTTGGTTCCTGATGACTGCAGGCCTCTGTGTGCAGTGTGCTCTGATGCTCAGCTCAAACACTGCCATGGTCTGCCCACAGGGCCACATGGCCTGGGCCCTGTAGCTAGCGAGCAATGCCAGGCCTCTACCTGCCTGTATTTCTACAACTATCCCAGACTGGCAGTCCTTCCACCTTCTCTGGACCCTTCTCATCCTTGTGAAGAAGACTCTTCACACACTTTTAGAACAGCTAGATGTCTTTGTAAATGTGTCCAAAATACAAAGATGCCTACAGAGAGTCAATATTTCTCTTCTTAAATAATCAGCTTATTTCCATTATTACAGCAATCATATATAATAGACAACATTTTGCAATTTGGGGGAGCAGGCAGTGGAGATTTTTTTTTTCCTTTGAGACAGGGTCTTACTCTGCTGCCCAGGCTGAAGTGCAGTAGTGTGATTACAGCTCACTGCAGCCTCGACCTCCTGGGCTCAAGGGATCTCCTGCTTCAGCTTCCCAAGGAGCTGGGACTACAGATGTGTGCCACTGCACCTGGCTTATTTAAAATTTTTTTTTTTTGGTAGAGACAGGGTCTCACTATGTTGCCCAAGCTGGTCTCAAACTCATGGGATCAAGCAATCCTCTCAGCCTCCCACAGCGCTGGGATTACAGGTGTGAGCCATCGCACCCAGCAGATTTTTTTTTTCCAAATTCAAGAAAGAAGTCTCAGTGTGAATGTAGACTTCTGCATGGCAGTTCTTAACAGAAAAGGGGCTAGGAGGTAGCAAGCTTTGGTTCTTAAGGACCAAAGGTATAGACAGAAGAAAAGAACTTGGAGTGGCTGGAACACAACGTACATAATTCACGTGTCTGGGTTAAGAGCTCTGATGTATAAATTATTTTGCAAGTACAAAAAAGGGCTCCAAATTCCTGAGTGGACAGAGGAAAAGTACAGACCATCATGCCTGGGTAAGTGGATAAGCATCCTTACTAATTCACTGAGGAAGTCTGAAGTGCTTACTAAGCTCACAGAAATTGACTAGTCCTGTTAAGGCTCCTGTAAAGCCCACTAACCTATGCTCATGGTGGCTAAGGGGGCCACAGCAAAAACCATAAAAATTTTGGGGCTTTTTCAAAAAGTGCCTCCTGAAAATAATGCAGGAGGACAGTGCTCCTGCACACAGGCTCTGAGGGCAGAGGCCATAGGCTGCAGTGTCCTGCTGGGACAGGGGAGCATGCACAGATAGTCAATGCAGCCTGCACTCCAGGGCCTGACTCTCAGGAAAAGCAGGGCTAGGCAGCCCTGTAGGCCACGACCCTTTGCTCTGCTGTCTAGAGCAGACAGACACTCTTCCAGGGAATAGGACTGGGGGTCAGCTTGCTTACCATGTGGAAAGTGACGGATTAAAGCAGTACGCCTTCCCATCGGACAGGTTCATTACTGGGATTCCATGCTGCGTCAGCAAGATCTGTGATACCGTCATATCACTTCCTGAGGACAGCATGGGAATGAGTTCTGGGTGTGCTCTGATCAGCAAGTGTTTTCAAACATATCAAAGGAGAAATCTGTACTCTAGGCTCCCACAGTCCCAGCAGCAAATGCATCAACACTGCCTTGGCAAATAGGGAGGGCAAGCCATTCTCCTTGCCACACACCAGGCTTTTGTCACCTCTTGGGGACCCATTCAAACATGCCCCCAAAAAGTGTGTGTCTCCTGCAGCGTAACCACACCTCCTGCCTCACTGAGAGCCCTGGGCTGAGGCCAGAGCCTGGCTCTCTGAGCGGGGCCCTTCTGCAGCATCAGACATGAACTTGGGCCCCCAAAAGAGTAGGGACAGCCTGTTGCCTGCATTACCTGCCAGGATGGAGTGTAGAGACTCTTCTTTCACCACAACCACCTGTCTGTGAACATCCCTAGGAGGGAGACAGGGAACAGTTTACTCACCAACCCAGGTAAACACATCAGAGTGTGCCTTGGCTGCTCAGACACCCTGGCCCTACTGCATGCGACCCTAACCCTGGCCTCTCCTAGTGAGAGGGGCTCTGGGCTACGAGTGGCTTCTGCTCTCCATGTGCCACTACACTCCCTCTGCATTAAGGCTGCAGCACAAAGCCCAGGCAACAGAGCCATGGGGAACCCTCAGCGCCCACACCACTTTGGGGGAAGCCAGGCCACAGCAGCCACATCAGGAACATGGCCACATTCTGCCAGCTAAGACTCCATTTCTGATGAATCTTGCATAGGACCCTGGCAGTGCAACTGGTCGCATGGGCTGCTCCAGTAAGGAAATAATCGAGCAGGCAAGCTGCCTCCATCCCCCTTGCACACTACCCCTCAGCCCTCAGCCTACCCAGGGCACCCAACACAAGCAATATCACTAACTGCTCAGGGCCTCTTCTGGGGCCTGATGGCCAGCCTTGTCCACTGCCTTCCCTGCCCCTGCAGTGAGGTGGGGCCTACACAGCCCTGTCCTGCCCTGGCTGAAGCCCACCCCACCCTGTGCCTGCCTCTCACCAGACAGAGAGTGTGGCTGCAGCGGTGAGCGCCATGACGTAGGAGCCTGTGCAATGCAAAGTAGAGATCGGGGATGGCAGGAGGATGGGAGAGAGGAGACGGCGACCACAGGTGGAGAACACTGACAGCATCCTTTTTTCACAGGCGACACACACCACGTCACTGAGAAGGCAGAGTGGGGGCAGGTGTCATGGGGGCTGAGTGCTGCAGCCAAGACAGTAGCCCTGGAAGTGTGGGCCTTCCCTCTGCCTGGGCCCAACAAGGGCCTCCCCTGAGCAGGTACAGCCAGAAGGGAAGGTGGATTGGGTCAGGGTAGGGCTGGTGGGGCTGTTGGAGCCTCCCTGAGATCTTGGATGAAAGAGGCTTCTGTCCTATTTCCACAGGCTGCCTGCGCTTTCCTGAGCTCATGCTGATGCTGACCAAGGGGTGTGGGGGCTTTGGAGAGCCAATGCCTCTGATGATCACCCAGGAAACATGCCTTGCTCATCAGATAAGGCCACATAGTACCCACAGGACAGTCTCCTGGCTGCAACTAGTCAGACCAGTCCTGAGAAGGTCTCTAACAAGGCAGGCTAAGAGAAGTATGGGGATGACAGCATGCACCTCTGTGTCCAGGGGGCTGTCTGGCTGGCGTGGGAGATGTGTGTCGCTCCCAAACAAGGAGTGCGTTACAGAACAGTCTGGACACTGTCCAGCTTCTCCCGAGTGACCACCAGGCCCCTGGGTGGGCCCTGCACGAGCAGGCTGCTGCCTTCCCAGACAGAGCCCCCTAAGGCACAGCCACAGGCCCAGGGTGAGGCTGGAGCTCAGACGCAGGCAGGGGTAGCAGATGTACAGCCAGTACAGTGAGATCCTGGCCACAGTAGGCCACCCAGAGCCCTGCTTTGTGTCACTTCTATCCTGGTGAGCCAGTCACTCCAGCAGGCTCAAGGAGGTCAGTTAAGGAAGGAGCTCTGCCAACTGCCTTCCTAATGAGCCACTATTGCTACTGGCTCCAAAAAGGGAGAGGCAAGTGAGATGCTTTTGTTTACAAATGTTTACTTGGAGAGTATGAATCAGAGAACACTCTAAGCAGCACGGGCAACAAGGAGCTCTCTGCAGTGCTGTGACTGAATTCTTATTTTTTCTGAGACAGAGTCTCGGTCTGTCGCCCAGGCTGGAGTGTAGTGGCGTGATCTCGGCTCACTGCAACCTCCGCCTCCCCAGTTCAAGCGATTCTCCTACCTTAGCCTCCCGAGTAGCTGGGATTACAGGCACATGCTACCACGCCTGGCTAATTTTTGTATTTTTGGTAGAGATGGGGTTTCAATATGTTGGCCAGGCTGGTACTGTGACTGAATTCTATCTGCCCATCTCTGGTGGTCAGAGCCTGGCTCAAGCCAGCCCACTGCAAAGAAAGCCATCATTTTTGGGCTGTAACACTGGGGAACAGGTCTGCAGGCTGGGCCTGAACTGGGCAGGACTAAGCAGGAGGAGAGGTCCCACGTGGTCCAGCAGGCTTGCCCCACAGCTGCCATGTCACTGTGGGAGAGGCTGTGCCGACACCCCTTAGCCCTCAGCTGGGCAAGCCACCTGCCTTGAGGGGAGGGACAGAGAGTGGGAGCCTGTGGAAGCATCTGATACACAGGTGCCTGGGACTGGGAATTTAAATGGCTCATCTGGAGGGGGAATTTGAGGGAGGAACAGAACAAACAGTGGGGTCCCCTAGGCCTAAAAACACAAAACTCACTCAGGGCCCACGAGAATTGTGGTCTAAGACCTAAGGCCATGTGCTTTGACACAAGTAAAAGCATTTACATGGGACCTCATGGCAGATGATTAAGGGTGTAATTATGATGACTGTATCTGGTCCTGACTGGGATGCTACATCAGACAGGAACCTGAGGAGAAACATTGGTTCCCCTTCCACATTGAACACAGGTAGGGACAGGGCTCACGTACAGTTCTAGGAACCCAGGGGAAGATACTGGGTGACTAATCACTGAATCAAGGTCCCCCTCACAGTGCAGAATCTGGCATGGGCTGGGATGGGGACTTCAGGGACAGTCAGAAATCCATCCTGACCAACTTGGATGGAAATCTGGGATCCAAAAAAGGAACCAGCCCAGGTCAAGGTGAGCCAGGCACACCTCAGTGTGGAATTCGAGACTTTGGGGATCTGGCTGGACAAGGGAATCAGGCCATCAGGTTCAAAGCTTGGCCTGGGTAACCCTCAAGGGCTCAGTTTCCCCATCTGTAACACGGGGATACTGATGCTGACCTTGCTGGGTGCTGCAGGGACTGAGATGACAAGCACATATGCTTGGCCTGGAGTGAAGCCTGGTGTGAGTCTCTGTGGGAGCTGGTGCTCCCAGGGTCATGCACCTCCCCTAGACAGGCCCAGGCCCAGAATGATGGCATGTGTGCCTGTGTCACCTGGGCCGGCTAAGGACCTGCCCACCCTTACCAGCTGCCCGCAGCAGTGAGGATCCGGCTGGTGAGTACCGTCTCCCACTCCTTCCCTTCCCGGTTGCACTTCAGGCGGCTCAGCTTCACGCCCCCCACCACTGTCACTTCATTCTCCACCTCAATGTACATGGAAGGATCGGAGCTGACCTGGATGAAGTAAACACACGGGTCTGCTCAGACAAGGGCCGCAGCCCAGGTGACATGCTCCAAGGCTCTGTAGCCTGGGGCCCCAAGGCAGCAGCAGGATACAGAGGCAGACTGGCTGGCCAAGAGAGGAGAGGGAGGGCAGGTAGGGCAAAGGGGCTGAGCGGGAGGCCCAGAGGGCCAGACATGTGGCCCCCAAGGCAGGGAGAATGCTGGGAGCTGGTTTCTACCCTGTCATTTGTGTAGTTGAACAGCCAGAGAAGAGAAGCAGTGCCAGGGTTAAAGACCCCAAAGTCTCCCAACCCTGCCACTTCATCTCACAAGGGAGTAACGTGCCCAAAAGCACACTGCAAAGGACCGAGCTGGGAGTGAGACTTGGGTTTCTAGCCTCCTACTTGAAGAATCTTCAAAGATGGCAGTGTTTGGCAAGATTAGAGACCATGTCAGTGCTTGGAGGGAATGTTTAGAAAACCCCCAAAGGGGCTCTCCAGTTCCTGTGGTGGTGAGACTTGGTCTGCTCAACTGAGACTAAACTGGCAGGGGTGTTTATGGCACAGCATGTATGAAAAGCACCTAATTCAGTGTCTGGCACCAAATGGGCTCAGCCACACGCGTGTGTGGGGAGCTGACCAACAGATTTTCCCTGTGGTAAAATAGGCAGAACCACCAAACAGTCTGTGCTTGTGTGGCCACTCAAGTGGGTGAGCTGGGCCGAGGGCTGACTGCCCCCTTCACAGACCCAGAAATGACAGTCCCAAGCAGTGCTTGGAGGGCAAGATGCCTAGGGGAAGGGCTGGAGGAGTTTGGGAGAGTTCTGTGCTGAGAAGCAGGGCACCCAGGAGGGAACCTAAGTCAGAACACCTCTGAGTGCAAGAGCACGTCTGAACGCTGCTGACCACTGGAGGGCCCCTGCCTCCGTTCACACCAGCAATAAGAACAAACCCTATGGGTTCCTACCCTTTGGCTTCCCTGCTTCATTCCTCTGCACTGTGGCCCAGAAGGACCTATGGTAGGAAGGGCTGACGCCTGCTCTCTGGTGCCCTGTGAGGACCAACCTGGGCTCAGAGCAGTGTGTAGCCAGTGGGAAGTGACCCGCAAGCAGGGTCCAAGAAGGCTGCTCGAGGACACGCACCTGAGCTGAGGTACAAGGGTATGCAGAGAGGCAGCAGTGTGTGTGACGGCACCATGGCAGGAGAGGCCTAGATACTATGCTGGGCCAAGTGACCAGGAGGGCTCTGGGTATAAAGGATTATTTACTCCAGAATTGTGTTTTGGATAACCACATGCTTACAAGCTTCCATTCCAAGAGCTCAAACAACTCTGATGATTGACTGTGCCAGACACTGAGAAGACAAAGCTAGCAGGATGGTTGGGAGATAGATTATGACCACACATTCCCACAGACACCAAGCCTGAGGCTGCCCAGGGCTGTGTGTGGAGGTGGAGGTGGCTTCCAGCCAGGACACCTGAGAGGAGTCCTGAAGAGCACCAGAACATGTGGTGGTAATGGCAGCCCCAGCAGCTGGAATCCCAAGGGCAAAGCCAGACAGAGGCTATGGGTGAGTGAGAGTGGAGGCTGGCAATTTCGCTAAGAGTTGGTGGGTACCCCGATCTGCTATGACTTCTCCCAGAAGGTGATGGAGAGCCACTGGAAACCAATCTCCAAGGAAGTGACAAGATAGGATTTGTATGCAGTAGGGGACAGAGAATGTCTGGGTGTGCCTGAGGGAGAACTGGCAGGGTCCTAGAACTTACCTGGAGGGTGAATGCTCTCTGGGGGCTTGGAATTGGCAGCTTCAGTGCAAGTGCTGGTGCAGACAGACACATGGCCTCCTTCTCTGCGGTTAGGGCAGCTGGAGACTGGAAGAGCCAGAAACGTTCCTGAGCCTTGCTCTAACACTACGGGGTAGCATTTGGTAAAGGCAGGTCACCCAGAAGTGAGGCTGAGCCTGCGACCAGAGCATTTCCACCCTGGGAGGGAGGAAGCAGAGGGGAATGCTACAAGGATCCTAACCTCATGGACAAGCCAGTTGATGCCAGGGAACCTGCTCAAGGGCCCTGGGTGAGTCAAGGGCACATCTGAGGGAGAGCGTGGCCTCCATGCTACATTCCAGGGGCTGCATGTCTAAGCCAGCTGGTTCCCAAGGTGACCCACCCAGCTGAGGCTTACCATGCACACAGGGCCTTCAAGCTCTAAGTACAGAAAGGTGGGCTAAAGAAGGCAGGATGGGCCCACTGGCCTCACCTGGACAGACAGAGACACAGGCATGAGACGAGAGTCCTTCCGAGGCCGCCCTTTCTTCTTCTTCTCTACTGTCTCTACCTCAAGCTCAAGTTTTCGCTTGGACAGTGAGGAAGCCTTAGCCAAAGGGACTTTCTCATCGCTGTCACTGCTGCTCTCCAGGAGGTCTCGGGGCCTCAGCTCTTTCACAAGGTTCTGCTCTTTTAACCTGCACAAAAACATTACATCACACTTCCCTTCAGAAACCATTCATGCAAGAAAGAGTGAAGTGAAATATTTAAAGTGCTTAAACAAACCTCTTGCCAACCTAGAATTCTGTGTCCAGTGAAATTATGCCTCAAAAGTAAAGGAGAAATAATGACTTTGTCAGACAAAAATAAACAAAGAGACACCGGAATCTGTTGCCAGAAGACCTGCCTTGCAAGAAATGTTAAAAGTCTTTCAGAGAGAAGATAAATGATGCAGGCCAGAAACTCACATCTGCATGAAGAAAGGAAGAGTGATGTTAGAGAAAAAAAACAATGAACATAAAATAGAATCTTTTGTATTTCATATTCCCAACTGATCTGAGAGACAACTTTCTGTTCAAACAAATAACAGCCACCATGTCTTGAATTACTATAGTTTATGAATGAGTGAAATAAGTGGTACCAATGTCATAGGGCATGGAAGGAAAGAGTGGGGAACTCTTTCTACTACCCATGAAGTGGTATAATATTATTTGAAAGTAGAGTTAGGTTATAAATGTTTATTGTAAACTCTAGAGCAATCACTAAAAAAAATTTTTTAAAGCATAATTAATAATGCTGAGAGGAGAGAAAATTTATTTTTATTTTATTATCATTTTTTTTTTGGAGATGGATTTTCACTCTTCTCGCCCAGCCTGGAATGCAATGGTGTGATCTTGGCTCACTGCAACATCCACCTACTGGGGTCAAGTGATTCTCCTGCCTCAGTCTCCCAAGTAGCTGGGATTACAGGTGTGTGCCACCACGCCTGGTTAATTTTTGTATTATTAGTAGAGACAGGGTTTCATCATGTTGGCCAGGCCAGTCTTGAACTCCTGACCTCAGGTGACCTACCCGCCTCAGCCTCCCAAAGTGTTGGGATTATGGTCGTGAGCCACCATGCCTGGCTGAGAAAACTGAATCATATAAAATACTCAGCTAAAACCAGAGAAGGCAGAAAAAGAAGATAAAAAGAAGTGAAGATTAAAAAAAAAGAATAAGGCCGGGCACGGTGGCTCACGCCTGTAATCCCAGCACTTTGGGAGGCTGAGGTGGGTGAATCACCTGAGGTCAGGAGATTGAGACCGTCCTGGCCAACACGGTGAAACCCTGTCTCTACTAAAATACAAAAAATTAGCCGGGTGTGGTGGCGTGTGCCTGTAGTCCCAGCTACTCGGCAGGCTGAGGCAGGGCAATTGCTTGAACCCAGGAGGCAGAGGTTGCAGGGAGTCAAGATCGTGCCACTGCACTCCAGCCTGGTGACAAAGTGAGATTCCGTCTCAAAAAAAAAAACAAAAAAAACAAAAAAAAGAAATGGGTTTATGTTTTTAAAAATTTAATTTTAACTACAAAAGACAAAGACAGATTAATAGTAGGTGGACACAGTGGCTCATGCCTGTAGTCCCAGCTACTTGGTAGGCTGAGGCAGGAGGACTGCTCGAGCCCAGAGGCTTGAGAGCAGCCTGGGCAAAATAATGAGACCCCATCTCTAAGAACAAAAAATAAGTAAATAAATAAATACAAGAAAAGGGGTGATTCTAACTATATGACAACCTGGAACAGGCAAAACCATGGAGACAATAAAAAGATCAGTGGTTTCCAGGGGTTGGGGAAAGGAAGGTAACTATATGAAGCACAGAATTTTTAAGGCATTGAAACTATTCTGGCTGGGTGTGGTGGCTCTTTCCTGTAATTCCTACACTTTGGGAGGCCAAGGTGGGCAGATCACTTGAGGTCAGGAGTTTGAGACTGGCCTGGCCAACATGGTGAGACCCCATCTCTACTAAAAATACAAAAATTAGCCACGTGTGGTGGCATACACATGTAATCCCAGCTACCTGGGAGGCTGAGGTAGGAGAATTGCTTGAACCTGGGAGGCGGAGGTTGCAGTGAGCCGAGATGCGACTGTGCCACCGCACTCCAGCCTGGGCAATAGAGCGAGACTCTGTCTCGAAAAAACCCAAAAAACTATTCTGTAAGATATATAATGATGAATATATGTCATTATACATTGGTTAAACCCGTAAAACGTACAACATCAAGAGTAGACCCAAATGTAAACTTTGGGTGACGGTGTGCCCCACTCTGGTGGGGGATGCTGAAAGTGGGGGATGCTATGGGTATGTTGGGGAGGCGGGCATGTGGGAACTCTTTGTATTTCCTGTTCAATTTAGCTGTGAACCTAAACTGCTCTAACAAATAAAGTCTATTAAAAAAAAAAAGCGAGGACTGGAGAAAGACATGCCATGATAACACTAATCAAAAAAAGGTGGTGTAGTTACGTAAGCAAAGCAGGCATCAGAGACAGTAAAGTTATCAAGGATAAAGAGGGACATTACACAGTGATAAAGATGAAGGAGTCAATTCTTCAAGAAGACAGAACAATTCTGAATAAGTACACAGGCATACCTTGTGTTATTGTGCTTTACTTCACTGTGCTTCGCAGAGACTATGTTTTTTTTACAAGTTGAAGGTTTGTGGCAACCCTGCATCAAGCAAGTCTATTGGCGCCATTTCCCCAACAGCAGGTGCTCATTTCGTGTCTCTGTGTCACATTTTGATAATTCTCACAATATTTCAAACATTTTCATTCTTATTGTATCTGTTTTGGTGATCTGCCATTAGTGATCTTTCATGTTAGTATTATAACTGTTTTGGGGCACTGTGAACCACACCCATGTAAGATGCTGAACTTAATCAATAAATGGCGTTTATGTTCTGACTGCTCCACCAACTGGTTGTTCTCCTGTCTCCCTTCCTCTCCCCAGGCCTCCCTATTATCTGAGACAAAACAATATTGAAATTAGGCCAATCGATAACCCTATAATGGCCTCTAAGTAAGTGTTAAACCAAAAGCTAAAAATGATTAAGCTTAAAGAGGAAGGCACATTGAAAGCTGAGACAGGCCAAAAGCTATACCTTTTGCACCAGTTAGCCAAGGTGTGAATGCAATGGAAAAGCTCTTAAAGGAAGTTAAAAGTGCTACTCCAGTGAACACATGTTTGAAAAGAAAGCAAAACAGCCTTATTGCTAATATGGAGAAAGTTTTAGTGCTCTGGATAGAAGATCAAACCAGCCACAACACTCCCTTAATCCACAGCCTAATCCAAAGCAAGGCTCTAACTATTTTCATTTCTATGAAGGCTGAGAGAGGTGAGGAAGCTGGAGAAGAAAGTCTGAAGCTAGCAGAGGTTGGCTCATGAAGTTTAAGGAAAGAAGCTGCCTCTATAACATAAAACGGCAAGGTGAAGCAGCAAGTGCTAATGTAGAAGTTGCAGCAAGGTATTAGAACATCTAGCTAAGATCATGGATGAAGGTGGTAACACTAAACAACAGATTGTCAGTGTAGGTAAAACAGCCTTCTATCAGAAGAAGATGTCATCTAGGACTTTCCTAGCTAGAGAAGGGAAGTCAATGCCTGGCTTCAAAGTTTCAGAAGACAGGCTGGTTATCTTATTGAAGTGAATGCAGCTGGTGATTTTAGGTGGAAGTCAATACTCATTAACTATTCCAAAAATCCTAGGGCCCTTAAGAATTATTCTAAATCTATAAATGCAACAAGAAAGCCTAGATGACAGCACATCTGTTTAGAGCATGGTTTACTGAATATTTGAAGCCCAATGTTGACACCTACTGCTTGGAAAAAAAGATTCCTTTCAAAAGATTGCTGCTGACTGGCAATGCACTTGGTCAACCAAGAGCTCTGACAGAGATGAATGTTGTTTTCATACCAACTAACACAACACACATTCTGCAGCCCATGAACAAGGAGCATTTTCATCTTTCAAGTTTCATTATTTAAGAGGTACATTTTTGCCTGTGGTCCCAGCTACCTGGAGGCTGAGGCAGGAGGACTGTTTAAGTCCAGAAGTTCTGAGTTATAGTGCGCTATGCCAATTGGGTGTCCACACTAAGTTTGGCATCAGTATAGTGACCTTCTGAGAGCAAGAGACCACACCAGGTTGCCTAAGGAGAGGTGAACTGCCCAGTTTGGAAACAGAGCAGGTAAAAACTCTTGTGTTGATAAGTAGTGGTACTGTGCCTGTGAATAACACTGCACTCCAGCCTGGGCAACATAGCAAGACACTATCTCTTAAATAAATTAAAAATAATAATTAAAAAATTTTGTGGGCCAGGTGTGGTGGTTCCCGCCTGTAATCCCAGCACTTTGGGAGGCTGAGGCAGGCAGATCACAAGGTCAGGAGACCGAGACCATCCTGGATAACACGGTAAAACCCCGTCTCTACTAAAAATACAAAAAATTAGCCAGGTGTGGTGGGGGGCGCCTGTAGTCCCAGCTACTTGGGAGGCTGAGGCAGGAGAATGGCGTGAACCCGGGAGGTGGAGCTTGCAGTGAGCCGAGACCGCACCACTGCACTCCAGCCTGGGCGACAGAGCGAGACTCCGTCTCAAAAAAACAAAAAAACATTTTGTAAGCTATATCAGATTCCTCTGGCAGATCTGGGCAAAGTAATCTGGAAAGTATTCACCATTCTAGATGTCATTAAGAACATCAGTGATTCATGGGATGTCAAAATATCAACCTTAACAAGAGTTTGGAAGAAGCGGATTCCAACCCTCATGAATGACTTTGAGGGGTTCAAGACTTCAGTGGAAAAAGTCATTACACATGTGGTGGAAACAGTAAGAGAACTAGAAGTAAAGCCTGAAGATGGGACTAAATTGCTGCAATCTCATAAAAAACTTGAACAAATGAGGAGGTGCTAGTTAGGGAAGAGCAAAGAAAGTAGTTTCTTAAGATGGAATCTCCTGGTGAAGATGCTGTGCATATTGTTGAAATAATAAGGGATTTATTTATTTTTATTTTGAGACAGATTCTCATTCTGTTGCCCAGGCTGGAGTACAGTGGCACAATCTCAGCTCGCTGCAACCTCCGCCTCCTGGGCTCAAGGGATTCTCATACCTCAGCCTCCCCGAGTAGCTAGGACTACAGGCATGCACCGTGACAACCGGCTAATTTTTTGTATTTTTAATAGAGATGGGGTTTCACCATGTTGGCCAAGCTGGTCTTGAGCTCCTGACCTCAGATGAACCACCCACCTCGGCCTCCCAAAGTGTTGGGATTACAGGTGTGAGCCACTGCACCTGGCCTTTATTGGCATACATTGAAATATCATGCCATCGAAATCCTTTTTGTAAGGTTGGTACTAATGCCTCCTTTCATTTCTGATTGTATTTATTTATATACTAATCATACTTTAATACAACTGTATGTCGGGCTTTTTTCAAATAACATTCCATCTGAACTATTTTTCCATAGTACAGTCATCCTTTGGTATCTGCATGGGGATTGATTCCAGGACCCCCAGGAGATATCAAAATCCAAGGATGCTCAAGTCCCGTATATAAAATGATTTAGTATTTGCATATAATGTAGGCACAGCTTCCAATGTACCATTTTTTTTTTTTTTTTGAGACGGAGTCTCACTCTGTTGCTCAGGCTGGAATGCAGTGGTGTGATCTTGGATCACTGCAACCTCTGCCTCCCAGGTTCAAGTGACTCTCCTGCCTCAGCCTCCCAAGTAGCTGAGATTACAGGCACGCACCACCACGCCCCGCTAATTTTTGTATTTTTACTAGAGACGAAGTTTTGCCATGTTGGCCAGGGTGGTCTCGAATTCCTGACCTCAGGTGATCTGCCTGCCTTGGCTTCCCAAAGTGCTGAGATTACAGGTATGAGCCACTGAGCTGAGCCCGGCCAGCCTCCTATATACTTTAAATAATCTCTAGATCACGTATACATAGTACAATGCCTAAAAATAACTTCATTTGCATGGATTCAAAGTAGTACTTGGCATGTAGCAAATTCAGTTTTTGCTTTTTGGAACTCTGTGGAATTTCTTTTCCCAAATATTTTTGATCCATAGTTGGCTGAATCCATAGATGTGGAACCCATGGATACAGAGGGGCGCCTGTACTTTGGTCCTTATAAACATTAAAGAGAGGCACAACATAATGAATAGCTTACTTCCTCAACACCTCTCTTTTGAAGAAGTTGGTAAATGTTTCTCATAATGCTGTGTTAAACATCTCTAAATATGACAGACTCCCTGGATCACAGGTGCTATCACTGATCTTATTTCCTCAAGGAGTTCACCATGAGTGAACTCCTGTCTAGTATCCAAGAGCCCTCATCCCTGCCTGCCTTCCCACTGCTAACCAGCCTCTGGCCTGTTAGCCCCTCCTCTGGGCACTGTCTTCAGCTGTTTTCCCTGCTAGTCACCTGGGTCAAAGAAATGTGGGCAGATACACACACCAGCGTGTAGAATCCTGGATTCTTTTCATTTGTATCCATGTGAAAAACTGGGAAGACAAGAGGCCCATGACGCTGCTCTGTGAAACTGAAGTGTCTGTTCCCCTTTCTTCTAATGTCCTACAACAGGGCAAAGCATCCATCTGTGGGTGTAGCTTAATATTCTGGAAGTCCTGAGTCAGTGCTCCTCAAAATCCTTTAAAAATTTTTTTTTTTTTAAATGTCAGACATTTGCCTCTTCAAAGAGCTTGTTTTACTATGTTGTAAAAATCAGATCATGTACATTTTCATATTAAATTTTTTGTTAAATAAGCTTTTGGAACAGTCAAAAATGCTTTCTCTCAGATGTTCTGAATATGGAAATGGAATATTAGCTTGTTCTAATTTTTTCTAACATGAATTTTCCTGGTTCAGACTGATCTGAAAGGGTTTCATGTATTAAAATGAGAGAATCCTATTGTGAAACATGGAAAAAAAGTCAGACTTTTATGTAACTATCGTTTTGTAAAATACAGCGAGAATGTCACAGCAACGTCCAACTATCATCTAAGTTTCTAAGGCGGGCGGTGGCTTCCTGAGCTCACCACAGCACTGGCCCATGACATACACTTGCTTGGCACTGCCGAGCTCCAGCTGCTCCACCCTCTCTGGTTGGGACCCCTGAGAGCCCTTAGGAGTCTCCCCACCTCCTGCCTCTGCCAGATGCCCCATTCAGGGACTCTGGGGCCAGTGGCCCACTGGGAACTGCACCTCCCCAGCCTGCATGTGGGCTTGTATCAGTTGTTACAATATCCCTGGGAGCACCAGGTAAATCGATCTACAGCAGTTGCCCAATGGGTCTAGACATCTGTGAAGCAAGAGCACAGCTGGCCAGGGCTGCCCCCCTTACAAATGGGCTCCATCCTAGGTTCTGTCTGCTCAGGCCTACTTGCCCTGTAGTCACTTACCTCAGGTCCCTACGTGCTTCTGCCTGACACCTGGCCTTAGGAGAGGGTGGAGCAGAAGACCCACAGTTTCACCCAGGGCTGCTACCCTGTACCTGGGATGCTAGCATTTGGCTCCCAATCCACCTGAGGCTCTTGGCTAGGAAGTGCCAGTCAGGTTGCAGGGGTCTCACTGCCCAACCACTGTGACGCACAATGAAGGAACAACAGCAGGAGCTGACATGTGCTGCTCACCGTGAGGCAAGGACCAAGATACGGCTTTACAGGCCTAAGGTTAAGGGATACCTCCTATGAGGAGAGTTTTCCTGGGAGGTCCATTCTGCCTGAGAGGAGATGGACTCAGAAAGACCATGTGTCTCAAGATTATCCCTCCTCCCTCTCTGAGGAAGTGGGGGACCTGGGCCTAACTTGCAAGGTGTATTACTTTGCGCACCACCCCTAACCACTGCATGACACTGTGCCTCAAAGAAAATCTCCACTGAAGGCCAGGTGCGGTGGCTCACACCTGTAATCCCAACACTGGGAGGCCGAGGTGGGCGCATCACTTGAGGTCAGGAGTTCAAGACCAGCCTGGCCAACATGGTGAAACCCCATCTGTACTAAAAATACAAAAATTAGCCGGGCGTCATGGCATACACCTGTAATCCCAGCTACTAGGGAGGCTGAGGCAGAATTGCTTGAGCCTGGGAGACAGAGGTTGCAGTAAGCCAAGACTGCGCCACTGCACTCCAGCCTGGGCGACACAGCGAGACTCTGTCTCAAAAAACAAACAAACAAACAAAGAAAATCTCCACTGATGGGTGTTTTCTTGTTTCGTTTTGTTTTTGTTTTTTGAGACAAGTCTTGTTCAGGCTGGAGTGCAATGGTACAATCTCGGCTCACTGCAATCTCTGCCTCCTGGGTTCAAGCGATTCTCCTGCCTCAGCCTCTCGCCACTACACTTGGCTAATTTTTGTATTTTTATAGTAGAGACGGGGTTTCACCATGTTGGCCAGGCTGGTCTCCAACTCCTAACCTCAGGTGATCTGCCCACCTCGGCCTCCCAAATTACAGGCATGAGCCACCACGCCTGGCCTGTTTTGTTTTTATTCTTGTTTTGAGACAGGGTCTCACTCTGTTGCCCAGGCTGCAGTGGAGTGATTTCTGCTTACTGCAACCTCTGCTTCCTGCGTTTAAGGAATTCTGCTGCCTCAGCCTCCTGAGTAGCTGGGACTACAGGCACGCACCACCATGCCCAGCTAATTTTTGTATTTTCAGCAGAGATGGGGTTTCACCATGATGACCAAGCTGGTCTCAAACTCCCGGACTCAAGTGATCCACCTGCCTCGGCCTCCCAGAATGCTAGGATTGACTACAGGCATGAGCCACTGCACCAGGCCTCCAGTGATGGGTGTTTTAAAGGGCTCCTCCTGGTTTTCATTGAGAATCAATACAAGAAAACAGCCACATCAAGAAAGTATCTGCATTTTCTGTAAGGCCTTTGTTAAAGATACTGGGACTTGTTTTATTTCATTTTCCTCATATAAGGATCCAACCCAACCTGAGAATTCAGCACCAGGCTCCTAGAAGCTCACTATACTCATTCTGGCTGGAAAGCAGGAAGCTCAGCCCCAAGTGAATGCTCACTCACTGCCACTTTCAAGTGAGAAACTGAGGATGACAAATGTGATGGTGGCCCCTTATTATACAGATCTTGCTACAGCTGTATTTATGGCTGGACGGTCTTGTGAGACCCTGTGGACATAGCTGCTGAGGAACCAACCCTTGTGGCACCAGGACCCAGGATATACAGTCAAGATTCTGTCTCCAGAAGCCAATCTAAGGGCTATCCTCCTGGCTTCTCATTCAGGGTATGCACTACATGAGAGATAAGGGCCACAGAAAGCCACAAAGCAAACATGAGTGTCTTCCTCAATAAGCAGGACTGTCTGTGGCACACTGTAGTTTCTCTCAGGTGGGGAATTCATTTTATTTATTTTGTTCAGAACTTGCTCCATTTCAAAATCTGAGGTTTCTTCACCTTCTGGTAAGCCTCTTAACTCCCTCTTGACAACTACCCCGCAGCACATCCTCCTGGGGGGACTCCTCTCTATTGCCCTGTCTTCAGCTCCACCTCCTCACCTCTGTGCCACTCTGGCCAATTTTGTAGACTGAATGTTCTTTTCAGCTGGTTCTGATCTGCTCTCTGAAATGCTTGTTGACTTTTAAACTGCAATGATTATTATTTTTCTTTTCTAAAAGTATTTTTTTTGGTTCATTTCCAAATCTGGTTTTTTTTTGATAGTGTATTATTCTTTTAATTTTTATTGAGATATATATATCATAAACTTCGCCACTTTAAAGTATAGAATCATTAGCTTTTAGCATATTCATAAGGTTAAGCAACCATCATCACTATCTAATGCCAGAACATTTTCATAATTCCAAAAACAAACTCTGTACCCATTGGTACTCACTCCTTATCCTCCCTCCCTCAGACCCTGGCAACCACTGTTACTCTACTTTCTTTATGGATTTTCCATTCTGGACATTTCCTATCAATGGAATCATACAACCTATGATCCTTTGTGACTGGCTTCTTTCTCTTAGCATAATGTCTTTAAGGTTTATCGTTATTGTAGCACATGTAAGCATTCCATTCCTCTTTATTGTTGAATAATATTCTATTGTATGGGTAAACCATATTTTGTTTATTCATCACCTGATGGACTTTTGGGCTATTTCCACTTTTTGGTTATTATGTACAGATGTGAACATTCATGTATGAGTTATTGCATGGATATATGTTTTCAATTCTCCTGGGTATGTATCTAGGTGTGGGAACTGCTAGGTCAGATGATAACTCTATATTTTACCATTTGAGGAACTTCCAGACTGTTTTCCAAAGGTGCTAAAAGACTTTACATTCCTACCAGCATGTATATGAGGGTTCCCTTTAGAGCTAATTTTTGTTTACAGAATAGAGTATTAATCTTTCCTCACATTTTGTTTTAGCTTTCATGTCCTTCAAGACTTAAGCATACTTTATAGTGCCATCTGACAATTCTATGATCACAGGTTTATAGGACCAACACTTATTATCTGACTATCTGATCTTTTAATTACAGACCTCCAAATGGGTATGAAGTATTTCATTGAAGTTTTGCTTTGTATTTCCCTGATGGCTAATGATGTTGATTGAATTTTTATGTACCTGTGCTTTGTATATATTCTCTGCAGTTTCTCTTCAGATCTTTTGCTCATTTTTAAGCTGTGTTATTCGTCTTTTTATTGTTGAATTGTAAAAGTTATTTATATAATTTAAATTCTGGACTTTAATTAGATGGGATTTGCAAATATTTTCTCCCATTCTGTAGGTTGTCTTTCAATTCTGATAGTGCTTTGGAAGCAAAAAAGCTTTTAATTTTTTTTTTTTTTTTTTGAGATGGAGTTTTGCTCTTTTGCCCAGGCTGGAGTGAAGTGGCGTGATCTCTGCTCACTGCAACCTCTGTCCCCCGAGTTTAAGTGATTCTCTTGTCTCAGCCTACTGAGTAGCTGGGATTATAGGCGCCTGCCACCATGCCTGGCTCATTTTTGTATTTTTAGTAGAGATGGGGTTTCGCCATGTTGGCCAGGCTGGTCTTGAACTCCTGACCTCAGGTGATCCACCCACCTCAGCCTCCCAAAGTGCTAGGATTACAGGCGTGAGCCACCGTGCCTGGCCAAGCTTTTAATTTTTAACATGGTTTTGTAAAGATGAGGTCTTGCCATGTTGCTCAGGCTGGTCTGAATTACTGGGCCTTCTGTCTCGGGCTTCCAAAGTGCTAAGATTATAAGCATGAGCCATTGTGTCCAGCCAAAAGTTTTAAATTTTGATGAAGTCCAATTTATCGATTCCTTCCTTTAGTTGTTTGTGCATTAGGTGTCATATCTAAGAAACAGTTGCCTAATCCAAGGTCACATAGATTTCTATCTATATTTTCTTCTAAGAGTTTTATAGTTTTTGCTCTTACATTTAGTTCTTTGTTCCCTTTTGAGTTAATTTTTGTTTATAGAATACAGTATTAATCTTTCCTCATTTTGTTTTAGCTTTTGTTCCAATTTTGTTTTAGCTTTCATGTCTTTCAAAATTTGTTCCAATTTTGTTTTAGCTTTCATGTCTTTCAAGACTTAAGCATATTTTATAGTGCCATCTGACAATTCTATGATCACAGGTTTATAGAAACCTAAGTCTCCCAGTAAGTATGTCTCCTGACATTTGTGCATGACAGGCTCTTTCTTCTTGTGACTGTGGATTTTATGATCATCTAAACAGTGCTTTATCAGTGGTAATGCTGTACACCCTGGCCCAAGGAATGTCACTGCATGGTGGATACGCATCTCTGCCAAGTGCCTCTGAACGTCAATTAGACCAGGATTTCGTTTGTGTTCATTTCTCGGCTTGGCGATTTCTATACAACACAAGTAGTATTAAACTGGCCCTGAATCCACATGAGGGCAGACCTGTGGTTACACAGTCTCAAGGGAAGACTGTTATCCCAACCCAAAAACAGGCTGAGACATTCCAACTTCTCTGCTAGTTCTTGTGCTGTCAGTTGGGTTTTCCCAGGTCTGCCTCAGTCCTTTTTTAAGCAGCTTGACTTTATGCTGGTGACTTAATTCCAACTCCTACATGGCTTAGACCCCAGGCCTTGTCTCAAGTCGATGTGGTCATTAAAACTCAAGGTCCTCAGTCAAGACCCCTAGCCTTGCACCCATGGTGCAGTTCTGCTCACTGCTCTGGCTTTTTTGTTCACTCTTAGATTTTAGACTCTGGGTACTGCTCTTTCCTGTGAACTAGTTATTCATTTTAGGGACGAGGGTTGCATTTAATCCAGCATTTCAAAGTATTTAGAAGCATGGAGACCGCGCGCGGTGGCTCACGCCTGTAATCCCAGCACTTTAGGAGGCTGAGGCGGGTGGATCACCTGAGGTCAGGAGTTTGAGACCAGCGTGGCCAACATGGTGAAACCCCATCTCTACTAAAATTACCAAAAATTAGCCAGGTGTTGTGGCAGGCGCCAGTAATCCCAGCTACTTGGGAGGCTGAAGCAGGGGAATCAATCAAACCTGGGAGGCGGAGGTTGCAGTGAGCAGAGTGGCTAGGACAATAGACATAAGCCACAACACCTGGATAATTTTTCTGGTAGAGATACGGGTCTCACTATGTTGCCCAGGCTGGTCTCAAACTCCTGGCCTCAAGCGATCCTCCTGTCTTGGCCTCCCAAAGCATTTGGGATTACAGGCATGAGCTATCGCATGTGGCCTGCATTGAGTTAATTATGAAACAAGCATGATTAGATTACAGAGCAGACTACAAGATTCCACACCAAGTTTATAGATACAGCATCAAACTTGCAGAAAGGGTCCTCCCATGCTAGCTTCCAGGAACTGTTTTCCAAGGAGAATAAATCCTGTCCAGACATGCAGTTCTGGACAGGGCTTTTCATAAGCAAAGCCCCAGAGGTAGCATGCTGTGGCTTTAGCTCCAAATCACCATCTACTGCAAGGACAGGTCACATACAAATGCTCCTTTCATTGGGCACCTGCTGGCTGTGTGGCTACTGCAAGTTTCTGACCAGTGTCCTTGTACTTGGCTGATGGTGGCACAGGCTAGGGTGTGTCTGCCCAGGGCTGCTGAGCCCTATAAACCTCGCAGTGGGGTGCAACTCTTAAGGGACAGCTCTTAAGCCCCCAAAGTCCAGCCCACATCTGCCTCTCCTCTCCTAGGCTCTGACTCACTGGGATGTGAACTTAGCTCCTTGTCAAGCTAGGCTTGGAGGGAGGGGCCCTCTCAGGAGGCAGAGAACTTCAGTGCCAATGGCAGAGGCTGCAGACATTCGCTCTGGCCACCTCAGGAGGATGCACTACTGCAAAACTCCAAGAAATAAAGAACTACAACCTGCGTGATGTCACAGCTGTGTTTGAGGGGAGACCCAGAGAATGGATAAGCAGCATAGTGTCCACAAGAGCTCAGAAGCCAATCTGACTTGACAAAGACCTCACTTACATCATTTTTATTGCAGCTCTCTACCTCTGGTCAGTTTCTGAGTGGAAGGCCGTCACTTCCATGATGTATCAATATCAGAGTCTTCCACCTCTCCAACTAATCTCATGCTCTCTTCCGTGCAAACTCTGGGCTCCATCCAAACACCATTATTCTCAGTTCAGCCTCTGCACTGACCAATCCTTGTGCCTTTGACCTTGTGGTTCTTTTGCCGCGTCCTCCCCCATGACTCCTTCCAGCCACCTTCCCACTTCAAGGAACCACCTCTTTCTCCTGGTGGCTCACTAAGGGCTCTGCAGTCTTGCTCCCATGTATTGAGTGGCTAGAGTCTTTTCCCCAACAGGAAGGCAGGTTGCTTGGTGGGAACACTGCCACTGTGCTGTTGACCCATGCCTGCACCCTGCCTGGTCCTTCAGGGTCCTGCAGCTACCACCTACCTTTCCACAGCTGTCGGAGTCATGCTGGTCAGGGCAGGAGCACCTGGTGTGGCTTTGGACCGCTCTGTGAACCGGGAGTCAAACGCTTTCATGGGTTCGATCTTGGACGGGGTCGTTAACACAGAAGGTGACAATGCAGCAGGAGTAGAGGTAGCATTCATACTGGGGTGAAGAAGAGGGGAGGCATGTCAAGCGCAATCCTGAAAGGATCTGGAGGTCTAGTATTTGCATTATTTGGAGCCTACTAAAAAAGGCACAAATATCAAACTTCCATAAACACAAAAAATGTCAAGATACAATCTACTACTCCCATTTCTTTAAAATTTTCATGTGTCAAAATTATGGACACCTAGAAGGTTGTGAGCAAATGCATTCACATTTCCCCCTTTGCACTGTTCTGAGAGCTTTTGCGGGTAGAATGAGGCCTAGAACATGGTTCTTACAACCCTTTTCTCTAGTCACACTGCCCTATCTCCACAACTTAAATACAGCACCTCTACCCCAAACCACTCCAGCCACTCACCTTTCCCACTTTGACAATGAGTCTCATGAGATAAGCCTGCACCTGGGGTCCTGAAGCCATGGTCTGCTTTTACCCTTAGTCAGGCATCCTCCATCCTGAGCGGCCCCTCCCATATCTCCCTGTGACAGTGTCACATTCTTAGCATTATGCTCCAAGTGCTCATCACACAACTTTCATCTTCTATTCCACAGAGAAAGGAGAGGCCAGGCAGAAGCCTGCCTGGTCCATCCTTCATGTCCAAGCCCACACCACACGCTTTGGGACCATGGCCACTGGACCTCCTCCTAAGCACACCCAGGCTAACACCTTCCACTCCTATCTGCCCAGACACCACACCACATGCCTGGTAGTCACCCTGGACAGCCCCATTCTTCTCCTCCATGATCTGTGGCCACTAGAATGGGCCATCCCCACAGAGTTCTCAGATCTGGCATGGTCTGTCCTTCCCAGGCTCCCTTCGTCCTGGCATGCTTTGCTTCCTCACTGGTCTTGCTGCTCAGTCTTCTCTTCCTACCCTCTCAGGGTCCCCCCAGGGCAGTGACCTAATGTTTGGGCATGCCTTCACAGCCATGGTGCTAGCACCCAGAAGTAGGAGGCTGAAGTAACATAAGACTCCATTCCACCAATGGAGAATTGCTCTGACGGTATCAGCTGTATCCCAGAAGCAGGGGGCTGCAGTAACACAAGACTCCATTCCACCAATGGAGAATCGCTCTGACGGTATCAGCTGTATGTGCCAGGGAGTGGCCTATTTGGGGCACCACCGCCTAACAGAGTCACTTTCCTAAAATGGAGATCTCAAAGCCTTCTACGTCTCCACTCTGGGGAAAAGCCCAGACTACCTGATCCAGCACAGACACCTTGGCCTTCTCCCTCTTCTTGGCCTTCCTCAGGGGACTGGGGGGCTGCTGCCCCTAATCCCCAGGCCTCATCCCCTGGTAGGCCTGTATGAGTCCTGTGGAGGGTACCCTCTGAGGCACCTCCCTGATCCCTGAGATACCAGCCCCTCTTTGGATGGCTAGCCATTTCTATCCAGGGGACCTGAGGGGCCACCTGCAACCCTGTGGCTACCTCTCCCCCACCAGCCTACACACTCCCTGAGGATGAGGACCCACCCATTAAGCCCCTGCGATGCCTGGGGCCTAGCAGGGTGTATAACCCAGAGCAGGTGCTGAGCAAACGTTCACTCCTGGCTTTCATTTGTGCTTGCCTGGTTCTTTCTGATTTCTAATTTGGTTTCCAAGTAACAATGGGTGAGGACACAGGCTCTGTGAGTGAATATAATTCTGAGAGTATAAGGGGAGTCTGTGCCCTCCCACAGGAGAACCCTGCCTAAGATGAATGCTGTGTGATGTGCTCAGCAGAGTGAAGTGGAAGCTGAGGCCCCAGAAATGTGAAGCACCTCCAGTGTAGAGCTGCCAGGTGGGGCTGACCCTGCAGCACGTAGCATTTCACTGGTAGTTCCCACCCTTAGCAGCCTGACCCTCGGTCAGCCTTGATACACTCTGTGAAATCCTCAACAGTCCTGTGCATCAGAGACTCACTGAACAAGTCCTCCCCTCTGAGAAGTCCCCATTTCAAATCACGCATTTTTTTCTTTCTTTTTTGATTGAAGGGGCCACAAAGTGCAAACAGAATAAAATTCTCTGTCCTCAAAACTATGTGCAAACCTGAACTTTCCCCAGGGACAGGAACAAGCCTTGGCACCCACTAACCTGTCTTTATTGACAGAATCGCCTGCAGGTCTGGCACTGGCAGCCACCACAGGCTCTGTGCAAGGCTTCGAGGCGCCGAAGGAGTTAGGGGTACTGGAGTCCAGTGGCAGTAGCTGTGGACTGCTATGAGAAGAGAGCATGGTGCCCGCCAGGGAGCCCGAGAGGGGGATGCTGTTAAAGAATGCCGTGGAGAAGTCCCTGTCATCAAGTAAGAACAAAAGTCAGCCTTGAAAGTCAGGTGCCACATCCAGTACTTTATACATTCAAATAACTTTTTTCTAGGTCCAAAGGCAGTATGTTTTCATGATAGAAAATCTGCAAAGTTACAGAAAAGTAAAAAGAAAATTAAAGCCACTTAATATACTATATTTAATTGAATCTAGGATTTACAGGTTCTATATGTACTACTAAGAAAGAAAACAATGCTACTAATTGTCAGATGCCATTGACTGTACAACACACCCAAATCTCAGAGGTGTTAAACTGTGCAAACACATGTCTTAGGAGGAATGAAATGCAGCAATACAGAAAGGGCCTCCCTTTCATGAAGGGCCATGGGGCATGCCACTAGATGGGTGTGCCATAATATACCTAACCCAGCCTCTACTGAGGGACCACAAGACTGTCTCCAGCTTTTTCTAGAACAGATGCTGCTGCACCAGGAAGCAAGGTATTGCAGTGTCAGAACTGAGGATTCTGGGACAGCCAGGTCTGACTCCTCTGCCATTTGTTAGCTTGTGACTTGCTCTAACTACTCTTGTGCCTCCAGTCATGTCTGCAAAATACAAAGTGCCAGGACTCTCCCCATGGGGTTGCTGTCAGGACTAAAGCAGTTGGTGTAGGACACTCTTAGAACACACATTGGCTGCTCAAAGAATTATGAAATTCTAATAATTGTCATTACACCTAAGATTCACATAATATATGGGATAAATTCTTAGAAGTGGAATTGTAGCAGCAAATGAAATGTTCACTGATGATTTGGAATAAATATTTCTAAAGTGCCCTCCTCAGAGGTTTAAATTACAAGCCATGTATGAGAGCGCCTATTTCTCCACATAGGTGCTTAGTAACACTTTTATCAAATTTCTTGACACTTAACAATCTGACAGAAGAAAAATGGTATCTTATTTTGATATGAGTGACGTTGACATTTTTTCTTTTTCTTTTTTTTTTTTGAGACAGAGTCTCTCCCGCCGCCCAGGCTGGAGTGCAGTGGCGCGATCTCGCCTCACTGCAAGCTCCGCCTCCCGGGTTCACGCCATTCTCCTGCCTCAGCCTCCCGAGTATCCCGCCACCATGCCCGGCTAATTTTTTGTATTTTTAGTAGAGACGGGGTTTAACCGTGTTAGCCAGGATGGTCTCGATCTCCTGACCTCGTGATCCGCCCGCCTTGGCTTCCCAAAGTGCTGGGATTACAGGTGTGAGCCACCGTGCCCGGCCGGCAGTTTTTCAAAGTAGAAATACTTGATTTCCGGCCAGGCGCAGTGGCTCATGCCTGTAATCCCAGCACTTTGGCAGGCCGAGGCGGGTGGATCACGAGGTCAAGAGTTCGAGACCAGCCTGGCCAACATGGTGAAACCCCGTCTCCACTAAAAATACAAAAATTAGCCGGGCATGGTGGTAGGCGCCTGTAATCCCAGCTACTTGGGAGGCTGAGGCAGGAGAATCTCTTGAACCAGGGAGGCAGAGGCTGCAGTGAGTTGAGATCACACCACTGTACTCCAGCCTGGGCAACAGAGTGAGACTTCGCCTCAATTAAAAAAAAAAAAAAAGAAATACTTGATTTCTTTTTTTTTTTTTTTGTGAACTGCTTGTTCATATGCTTTGTCTACTGTTTTGTTATTGGTCTTTATTACTGATTTGTAAAAATCATTTACATATTAAAAAAATTCCTTATATGGTAGGAAATATTTTACCTGGGATGTTGTGTTTCAACTATTTATGGCCTTTTTTTTTGAGACGAAGTCTCGCTGTGTCGCCAGGCTGGAGTGCAGTGGCGCAATCTCGGCTCACTGCAACCTCTGCCTCCTGGGTTCAAGTGACTTTCCTGCCTCAGCCTTCCAAGTAGCTGGGACTACAGGGGCGTGCCACCACGCCCAGCTAATTTTTATATTTTTTAGTAGAGACGGGGTTTCACCATGTTGGCCAGGATGGTCTTGATCTCTTGACCTTGTATCCATCTGCCTCAGCCTCCGAAAGTGCTGGGATTACAGGTGTGAGCCACCACGCCCAGACAGCCTATCTTTTAAATGCACTAAAATTTTAAAATTTTTGTGTACTCTAAATTGTCATTTACAGAAAACACTTTTTTGACCTCTGAGATTATAAAAAATATTCTTCCAGGGAATCTTCTAAAATTTTAAACAAAAATATTTTAAATAACAATTTAAAAAGAAACAAACTATAAGCTGTTTAGAATGTATGTAATGATAAGTTATGAGGCTGGGACCCAACATTGTTTCTAGGAGGTGCCATGTAGTCCTGTCTTCCATTTACCGAATTAGCCAATGTTTTATCACTGATGTGAAATGCTACCTTTAAAATTCCCATAAATATTCGGGCCTGTTTCCTCATATTCTATCATATTCCACTGCACTATCTACTCATGTGTCAGTATCTCACTGTTTTGAGTTATGACAGCTTTTAAGTCTTAATTTCTGGTGGGGCTAGTCTTCCCTGGCTAATCTTCTTTTTCAGAAATATTTCGGCCATTCCTATTTATTTTTCCAGATAACTTTATTTTATTTATTTATTTATTTGATACAAAGTCTCACTCTGTCACCCAGGCTGGAGAGTGGCACTATCTTGGCTCACTGCAACCTCCCAGGTTCAAGCAATTCTCCTGCCTCAGCCTCCAAGTATCTGGGATACAGGTAGTAGCTACAGTAGCTACAGGTGGGCACCACCACTCCCAGCTAATTTTTATATTTTTAGTAGGGACGGGGTTTCACCATGTTGGCCAGGCTGGTCTCAAACTCGTGACCTCAGGTGATCTGCCTGCCTCGGCCTCCCAAAGTGCTGAGATTACAGTTGTCAGCCACTGTGCCCAGTCGATTTTTCCACATAACTTTATAGTTACCTTGTCTGATTCCCAAAATTCCTACGGTTATTTGTACTGGTTAAATTTATAGGCTACAAGAGAGCTGACATCTTTATGATGCCATCCTAGCTAATCAATGGTATGAATTTCTAGTTATTTCTTTGAGTTTTCTTTGAAGCCTCTCAGTAGGGTTTTTAATTTTTTCTTCATTAAGATATGCATCTCTGGTTGCATCCTAGTTATTTTATTTGTGAATATGACTTATTTCTTTATGTGCTCTGAGGGTAGTTGGTGCTACCTGACTTCATGTTGATTGTATCCTGCCATGTGACTATCTTCTTTCATTGCCTATGGCAGCTTTTCCAGTTGATTCTCTTATAAACCATATCATCCTTAAATAATTATCCTTTCCAATTTGTTCTTTCCTTTGACTAACTACATGGGCTAGGACCTATAGAACAATGTTAAATTATAGTTGCAAGAGTAGGCATTTGTTTAGTTTTTGAACTTAATTTGAAATAAGATAATTTATCAAGTTAAGGAAGCATCCACCTATTCCCATTTAACTGAGTTTTAAAACAACGTTGAATTTTACCAAAACGCCTATTAAGCATCGATGAGAGATCATATAATTTTTTTTCTTTTGATCTACTGATACGTAGAATTAAATAGTTACCTAAAATTTGAACCTCCTTACTTTCCCAAAACAAACCTCACTTGGTCATGGTATATTAGCCTTTTAACAAGCAGTAAGGTTCTGTTTGTTACTATTTTACTTAGGATTTTGCACTGACATTCAGAAATGAGAATGATCTTGAATTTATTATGTTTTATCCTTGTAAGATTTTGATATATTATGTTCATTTCAAAATAAAAATTTGCACATTTCTTCTCCATGCACTAGAATATTTAAAATGGTATTAACAGTTACCTGAGTTACCTGTTCCTTAAAAGTTCCTGAAGTTTCCCTGTGAAGCCATCTTAGTCCGGTGGCTTTGGTGGGGTTAACTCTGTCCTCTATTTCTTCCACAATAATTTTTCACTTTTAGTAATTTTATTTTCTTCAAAAACCATCCACTTTCTGTGCAAATTTATTTGCACAGAGTTCAGCAAAGAAGTCTCTCATCTTTTTGATTTGTCTATTATTTCTCACTTATACCTACTTTGTATATTTATGCTTTTTCTCTTCTTTCTTGATTAGCTAAGCTAATAAGGACCTATCCTGTTGCTACGTGTTAGAACGTGGGAATCAGGAGGGCAAAAAGCTTTTAATACCAAAAGGATCAGGTCCTGATGCTAGAAATATGCATCCTATGTCAGAAAGTTGGCCCCAGACCAGTTAGGAAGCCACCTACACCTTCTCACCAGGTAACGCCTGGAAGGATCCACAGAACAAAGTGTCACCATCACCACCACCACCTCCCCATCCCACAGGCCCAGTATGTTCAGAGCTCAACCACACACTGGGTCTCACTTGGTCTCAATAAAAGGTAGGTAGGGGCATTACCCCCTACAGGGTCACAATAGGAAAAAGACTTAGTCAAAAGAAAATGAGTGCTCTGTGGGGAGCCAGCAGACCTGGTTCTTGCTCTACTCGTGGGGACCTCAGAGCCTGCACATCTAACATGAGGAGACTGGATCTGTACACTGTACGAGTGAAGGTTTCTTTAGACACCAAGGAAGATTTGGAATAGCTCGTGGATGGACAACTGCAAAACGCAGAGGCCTAAAGTGTGTGGCCTCCATGAAGGGCTTACAAATGCCCTGAGCAGATAGACGGAATGAGAATAAAACCCAGAGTGAACTGCCTTGACAGTGGGGGTCTATTTCTTTCACACAGTGCTTTATCATTTTTCTTTCTTTTTTTTTTTTTTTTTGAATCAACACACATCATTTTGGGAAGAATAACCAATTCAAAAACAATCTTCACTATATACACTGGGACAACAGCAAGTGGTGAATGAGTCTCTTCCCCCTTCTCTGTCCCCCACAGGGAAATATGTTTGGGAGCCCTACTCTCTGCCCAGTAATTCCACTTCTAGAAGTTATCCTGAGAGAACAACCACAGGTGAGCTCAAAGACTCATTTATAATCACGAGAAACTGGACACAAACACAAGTCTACAGTGAGCTGGCTAAGCAAATCCTAGGATGGGAATCTGGATAATCAGATAGCAAACACCTCAGAGGACTAGTTATTAAAATGGATGAATGGGCATGAAACAGTAACGAGTGGGGAAAAAAAAGACTGGAAATACAGATATAAAAACATTAACAGTGACTGTATCTGATTATGGATAATGTTTTTTTCTTCTTTGGGCTTTTACTATTTTCTAAATTTAACCATGTGTAAATATACCTTTCATAATCATAAAAATAACTTTATGAAAGAAAAAAAAGAAAAAAAAAATCAGCCTGACTGACTGCTTTCCTTGTGCGTCCTCTGGTGCCCTGGCAACAGTGAAGTGCAGCAGATGTGCTGGCCGCCTTAGCACTCCCACCCCTCACATGATTCAGGTGTGCACAAGGGCTCCAGGAGGAGTATGGGCTTTGAGACTGCGGGAAGCTGAGCTTCACTTCCTTGCTTCCATGTTCTACCAGTCAGGTTGTGAAGGACCCGTGAAGATCCTCACTGTGAAAGTGTTAACCGCTGAAAGAAGACAGGAAGATCTCGCCAGATAAGACCATGAAAGGGGAATGAACCAGTACCCAGTGTCCAGCTGTGCTATGCAGAGAGGCGTGATTCTTCTCCGGCCATCTGCTGTCCGAGTCTCAACTTGTTTCTTCAAAAGATTCTGGCAAAGCAGAGTTACATAAATGAATGCAAAAGTTTTGGCCAACTATTTCCAAATATTAAAAAATAAAGTCTCTTTTTTTCCTGGTGATAAGAACACTAAGCATAAGATCCACCCTCTTAGCAAAGTTTTAAGTATGCAATATCATATTGTGAACTGTAGGCACTATGCTGTAGGGGAGATTTCTAGGACTTATTCATCTTCTATAACTTAAACTTTATACCCTTTGGCTAATAACTCCCATTTTCCTCTGACCCCAGTATTCACCATTCTATTCTCTGTCTCTGTGAGTTTGACTATTTTAGATTCCTCATATAAGAGGTATCAGGCAGGCCAGGCACGGTGGCTCACGCCTGTAATCCCAGCACTTTGGGGAGGCCGAGGTGGACAGATCACAAGGTCAGGAGATCGAGACCATTCTGGCCAACATGGTGAAACCCCGTCTCTACTAAAAATACAAAAATTAGCTGGGCGTGGTGGTGTGTAACTGTAATCCCAGCTACTCAGGAGGCTGAGGCTGAGGCAGGAGAATCGCCTGAACCAGGGAGTCGGAGGTTGCAGTGAGCCAAGATTGCGCCACTGCACTCCAGCCTGGTGACAGAGCGAGACTCCATCTCAAAAAAAAAAAAAAAAAAAAAGAGAGATATCATGCGGTATTTGTCCTTCTGTGTCTGGCTTATCATTAATTTGTACACACTAAGTATGTATAACTTTTTATATGTCAATTGTACTTCAACACGGTAGGTTTAAAAATAATAAGGCTTCTAAGGAAATGTATTCTAAATTGCCCTCCTGGTACAACTAAATAAGACACCCAAGCAAAGAACAAGCAGTGGGTACATGCCACACTGGCCGCCTCGCACAACAGCCATGGGACCAATGAAAGGGCTAAAGGACTGAGCTCTGTACCCGTGAACCACACATCTGTCACTAAGCTAGGGATTTTCTTTCTTTCTTTTTTTTTTTTGAGACAGAATCTCACTCTGTCTCCCAGGCTGGAGTGCAGTGGCGCAGTCTCGGCACACTGCAATATCTGCTTCCCGGGTTTAAGCAATTCTCCTGCTCAGCCTCCCATGTAGCTGGGATTATAGGCATGCACCACCATACCCGGCTATTTTTTTTTTTTTTAAGTAGAGACAAGGTTTCACCATGTTGGCCAGGCTGGTCGGAACTCCTGACCTCAAGTGATCCGCCTGCCTCAGCCTCCCAAAGTGCTGGGATTACAGGGGTGAGCCACTGCGCCTGGCCTGAGGTAGAGATTTTCAAACTGACTTTCAAAATAGAATCCTTCCTTCCACAGAAAGCTTGTAACTAGGGGTTTTCTCTCATACTTTATATCTGAATTGCCTGGAGGAGGTTTGTCAGCCTACACAGGCTCCTGGAGATGGTTTATACTCCCCAGGCAATAACGTTCCCTACCCTTTTCCCGCCCCATTTCCAACCCCTTCCCATCAAACATGGCTTCCAGATGAAGAAGGGGGAGCCCATAGAAGTCTCCTAAGGGCAGAGCCTGAAATCCACTGTTGTTAGCATCTAGGATTTTTAGAAAGACCAGAAGGATAAAATTCGTAAGTTCTTACAAGAGATGACCTCCTCTGGGCTCCTGGGGATAAGGAGGCCTTTGATAAAGAGGATCCAGGCCCCATTACTGCATCATGCAGCAGTGGGCAAGGGGCCAACAGGCCCGAGGCTGGCTAACCCACAGATCCCGTACCACTCTAAACAAACCCCTTCCTTACCACCACTGGTGTCTGCCCCTCACCCTGTCCCTGGGCATATGTCCATGTCTTTAGCGCCACCAGGCAGGGCTCTCACCTTCCTGATATCTTCAAGACTCTCCCCGTTGACAACGCCTGCGACTGAGGTGGCTGAGCCCATCTCCCTGGTCGCAGCACTCTTCTGGTCCAGCTGCTGCTGCTGCTGCCTTCGCTGGTACTTGAGCATCTCAGGGTTCTCAATGACGGCTGTGGAGAGCTGGGCCTCGGTCATGATGGCTAGGCTCTTGCCATAGGTGGACTGGTGAATGCGGCTCTGGGGAAGCAAGGAGAGGCATGACATGCCAGCATGAGTGCCAGTGTGGCCAGTGCTGCCCACCAGCAGGCAAACTACAGCAGGGCTCTCCTGGCTCTGAGTGGAGAAGGGACCCAAGGCCAACTCCCCATCGCCTCCCATCCTATTCTGCCTGTCCCTCATTCGACAGCTCTGTTGATGTCTCATGCCCACCCTTGATTTTTATGGCCTCCCTTGTATCTGTAGCTGGGATGACAGTAAATGAGACAGCCAACAAGACAACACCTGCCCCACAGTCTGGTGGAGAACAAATGACAATCCACAGTGCTTCAGTGGAAAGGAAGATACTCAAGGTGCTAACTTAAGGCTCTTAAATCACTCCTAGGACCCAAATGATTTTGGGAATCAGATCCTAGAACAAAAGTCTACTTTCACAGCTCATCTGCAGCCATAAGCCCTGTGGTTGGAAGTCCCCATTGGCCTGCTTAGTGTCTCTAAGAGTATGGGAAGGCCTGGCACAGCAGGGCTGGGGAGCCTCCTTTACTCCCACCCCTCCTAGTATGTCATCATACTCCCCTCCTTCTAGGCCCTCATAGTCTTGTGCCCTAACAAGCTAGACAGGAGCCTCATGAGAGCAGAGATGGTGTCCCCAGCACACTGTAGTGACTGCTGTACATGAAAGTGCATGAGGAACACACTTCCATGGGATGTGCAAATGTCCAATGTGGGATTCTGCTCAAGAACAGGGACTGTGGTTAACAGGACATCTGCTTTACAGCAGAGCATGGGTTGAGAGGCAGCGTTCCAAGAGAGGTGCCTTGGGACCTGCTCCTGCAGGGCTTGAATGTGGCCAGGAACCTCCTTTTCTTGCCATCTTGGCTCCTGCCCTTCTCTCCTGAGTCTATCCCCTGGAATCTCGAAGCAGAATTCAGTGTTTGGCCAGGGTTTCCCTAGTGTTCCTCCAACATGGAGTCCCAGCCTGACTTGGGAAATGGTAAGCAGATGGGTTATTAGGCTCCCAGAGTGACTCCAAGGGAGTGCATAGTGATCCCAGGTACCTGATGACAGTGACAAGGTTGGAGGAGGACCTGAGGCCTCTGAGATACTCATTCCTTCATGGAAAAATGATGGGGTGGCAGGCCCCATTCTAAGTGTAGTCATTAAGGCAGACCTCTCCCCCAAAGGGGTTCACATTTTAGTGGGGAGGTCACACTGTAGGTTAAGAGGAAGCTTCCACCAGCAAATAAGGTCATGAGGAGAGCTGCCAGCCTGCTCTGGGCTTTCACAGAGCTCCCTTCAGACACATACACACAACCCACCAAGTGGGGGCAGGTTTCTAAGCCTCTGGTAGGTGAAGCAGGGCTTTTCTCAAAGCCTGGCAGAAGGGCAGAGAGACCCCATCACCCCAGCAGAGCACAGAGGGGAGGCAGCCTGGCCCAGAGGCAGCAGGCCTTGTTCACTCTTCTGACCTAAGGGTCACATACAGTCTGGGCAAAGAGCCATGCTATTTTCTGAGGCTTAGTTTCCATATCCACGAAATGGATGAGCCTTGCCTTGAAGGGTTTTGTGCAATTTAAATGAAATCATATGTGCAAAACACATTCCCAGAGCCTGGCAGACAATGCGTTCTAAGAAATGACCAATATTACTACCATGAAGGTGAAAGTGACATGAGCAGGGGCCCCTGAGGAGTCACTTCAGCTCTTTCCCAGGGCAAAAACCTCCCAGTGGATGGCCTATTATCAGCTCAAAAAGAGATGCCTAAAATAGTTCTACTCTTAACTCCAGGACTTATTTCTGAAATGGGGACTCGTTTTTTAATTAATCTATTTTGTAAAGAAGGATTACAAGATATAAAAGATGAATACCCCATTACATGTTAAGAAATGACTTGTCTGTGTATCTCACAAGAAGAGGGTGTAGTCAAAGGGGTCTCTCAGAGCTATTGTGGCAATGGCCACAGAGCACCCAGCAGCACAAGAGCCGTCAGCCTACCTTCTCCTCCTCGCTCAGGGGATCGCCAAGCTCATCCTGGGAGAAGTCGAGGAATGCCACAGAGCCGTCCATAGAGCATACCAAGATGCCCAGCCCATTCAGAGTCCTGAAAGACATGGCCATCAGCAGCCTGGTAGCAAGAGCCCCAGGCAGACACATGTGCCGCAGTAGCTGGCCTGTGAGGATGGTGGGCAGTGTTCTAGGGAGATGCTGGAAACTCCTGGTTCCCTTCTGTGGCCTGGTTCCCTTCTTTGGCCTGGGCGGGGGGGGGAGGGGGCGACAATTGTATCCCAAAGGGCCCTGGTGTTCTTTAGCTCTAAGCAGGTGTACAAAATATCTCCTTTACCATATGTTCTGTAAGAATTTTCAATTTTACTTATCTTACTTTTGAAACTATTAAAATAAAAAAAACTTGACAAAGTATACATATAAATCAGGTCACTGAGAAGCAGAAAGTGTGCTTCTGACTTTGGTTCATGCACTGACGGAGTAAAGTGGAACATACTAGGATCACGTCATTCTCCTCGTCTTAGACAAATCCTGAAAAGGCATTTTCCAGTGGCAAATTCTACACAGGCAGGACATTCTCGCAGCAGCAGGTACACCGCTGCCAGTTCCCAAATCACGTGCAAACAGCACTCTTGGTCTGCGCTACTATGACACCTGGGGAGGGGCCACTGGCCACCTGACCCTAGTCACACCCAGAAGGCCTCATGTTCCAATGTGTGGCTTCTCCTTTCTTAACCTATTCCTGTAAGTAGAATCCACCTTACCAGGAAATATCCATGATGGATTTGTCAAACAGTTCATGGATGACCACCAGCGGCCGTTTCAGACATGTGAGCTGGAAGGAAAGACACAGTCAAGGTTAATGAAATTACTGAAATCCCCTTCTGTATTCAGCTCAGTTAACATAACCAACCTAGAAGCCTGGGTCAAAGTGGCTGCTGATATTTAAGGCATCTTCAACTCTATTCAAACTGCAGCTGCAGAGATCCCAAACTGTGGGAACCAAAGCCTGCCAAAAATGTGCATGCTACCTAGAGTGGACCCTGCCTCCAGGGCTTGCTGTGGTCTGACAGGGGAAATAGCTTTATACACAGATAACTAGCAACAGAGAAGGCAGAGTGGGAGTGGGTTTCTGAAGGGCTATGGTCGGAGGAGAGGGACAGCCCCAGGGTGGACCTCTGAGAGGGTCTATGGAGCAGGAGACACGATGCCAAAGCCTAGACAGGGGATGAGGCACCCTGAGAGAGAACACAACACATCTTCCCTGGGCCCAAGGGACTCTGGTACACATTTATCCAAGGCTCATTCTACACTATGTGTAGGTAGTACAGAAATACACACCTGGGCCCTTAATCTGGGCCTAGTTACCGACTATTAATACTTTGATGAATTATTATCTTCTATTTTGTGCAAATATTTATTTTATTCTTCAAAGTAAGAATTTATTTTATTCTTCATAGTTGTGTCTGTTTTTTCATTTAACACACAATAAGTATGTCATTAAATATCCTGTAAAAGTCTCTTCTGGATGACTGCATAGCATGCACTGTGCATATTCTCTATCGAGTCACTCAATTGCTGGCATACACTCTGACTCCACGTTCCCACAACTATGGTAGGCCTTTCCACTTGTGCACAAGTGCCTGGCTACCCTGCTGGCTGGCCCTGAACTGCAGGACAATGGGCAGGGAAGAAACACACTTCCTCACGGGATGGTGGGCTCCCATAGGTGCTGCTGCAGCTTCTGGGAGGCTGTGGGGCTGAGCGTCCCAGTGCAGCCTGAGACTGCTATGTGGGGAAGGAGAAGCTGTGTCTACCCTAGTGGTGGAGAGGGGGCTGAAGTCTGAACGATCTGGAACCCACATTAAGAATCTCGCCTCCACCTTAATTCCACTTCTAGAAAAAGCTGCCTTGTCCCTCCTCTCATAAATGTGCCTACAGACCCCTCAGAAATCTACAGGCCGTGTGACTGCCTAACCTGAGCATTCTAAGAAATATGGGCATCACAGTCAGTGATGTTTTGGTTGCAGCGCCACAAACAGGGCCTCTGGCTGGGAGGAAACAGGGAAGGTCCCCTGAACGGCAATCTGTGGTACTGTGGTTCAGGTTCCAGAATGGGTGTTAAGTGAATACTTGGCCTAAAAAAAAAAAAAAAAATCACAACGCACACAGTAATATATTTCTCTATACCAAACTAATAAATGCAGCCAGAGGATAACCTTCAAACCCAGAACTTCCAACTTGCTCTGCTTATAGGGACACTTTTTTACAAAATGAAAAAAAAAAAAAATTAATGTGTGTGCACTTTGCTTTATCAAACTTTAAATATATTGGCACCTTGATGCTCAGCACCAAGACTGCTCCCTGCACTGCATGCGGAGGTGTCTCTTACCACACAGTCAGGTCACAGCACACCAGCCCCTGGCAGTGAGAAACTTAACCCTTCAGGAGCCCTCACTTAGAAACCGCCACAGTTCTTACCCTTGGGTTCTCACTCGCCAACTACCATTGAGTATATCTGCTGAGAACCTGCTCTGTAGAGGGCACTGAGTTAGGAAGGTGAGGGGAACAATGAAACTGAAGACACATCGGGCTGGGTGTGGTGGCTCACACCTGTAATCCCAGTACTTTGGGAGGCCAAGGCGGGCGGATCACCTGAGGTCAGGAGTTTGTGACCAGCCTGGACAACATGGTGAAACCCCATCTTTACTAAAATTACAAAAAAATTAACCGGGTGTGGTGGCCTGTAATCCCAGCTATTCAGGAGGCTGAGGCAGGAGAATCTCGCTCGAACCCAGGAGGCAGAGGTTGCAGTGACTCAAGAAGCCAAGATTGCACCACTGCACTCCAGCCTGCTGGGCAATAGAGGGAGACTCTGTCTCAAAAAAAAAAAAAAAAAAAAAAAAAAGAAGCTGAAGACATCGCCTCATCTCAGGGGATCCAGCGAGTGAGGAGTACTAGGCTCACAACCTTACCCATCACAGCATCACCCAGGGGTGAAATGGACTAATAGAGGCGTCAGCTTTCTGTGTGTCTTTTTCTGTGGACATAAGCACTTATCTGTCTTGGTTGTATGCCTAGGAGTGGAAGTGCTCTAGGTCATATGCTTAGCTGTGGTAGAAACTGCCAGACAGTTTTCCCAAGTGCTCATGCCAGCGTAAACACCTGTCAGCAACACGTGTCAGCAATGTATCAGTTCCAGCTTATCATGTCCTTGCTGACACTTGGTACTATTTTTTTGTTTTTTTTTTTAATTTTAGAACTCTACTCATAGGTATGTACTCATAAATGAAAACGTACATCCACATAAAGACTTATACAAGAATGTTCATATCAGCTTTAGTCATAATATCTCAAAACTGGAACAATCTTAATGTCCATCAACAGGAGACTGTATAAACAAATTGTGGTGTATTCATACAGTGGAATGCTACACCGAAATTATAAGGAATAAAATACTGTTAAGTGCAGCAACATACACGAATCTCAAAAACACTGTGCCAAGCAAAAGAAATGAAGACACAAAGAAGCAAGTACCACACAATTGCATTTATATGAAGTTCAAGAGCAGGCAAAACTCATCAGTGTAACAGAGGCCATTAGAGTGGTTGCTTTGGTGGTGAGGGAGGTCTTGACTGGGGAGGGACAAAGGGACAAAAAGGAGTGCTCTAGGCAGTGATGACACTGGTGTGTAAACATGTATGACAACTCACCAAACTGTACCTTTCAGGTGAATACACTTTATATAAAGATTTTTCTTTTTCTTTTTTTTTTTTTTTTGAGACGGAGTCTCGCTCTGTTGCCCAGGCTGGAGTGCAGTGGCGCGGTCTCAGCTCACTGCAAGCTCTGCCTCCCAGGTTCACGCCATTCTCCGTCTCAGCCTCCCGAGTAGCTGGGACTACAGGCGCCCACCACCACGCCCAGCTAATTTTTTGTATTTTTAGTAGAGACGGGGTTTCACTGTGTTAGCCAGGATGGTCTCGAACTCCTGACCTTGTGATCCGCCCACCTCGGCCTCCTAAAGTGCTGGGATTACAGGCGTGAGCCACCGCGCCCAGCCATATAAAGATTTTTCTAATAGGAAGCAAGCCCAACATGCTGCTCATGGCATTGACCACTGAGGGTGCTGCCTGAGTCTGGACACAAGAGCTGGTCTAGGTGGGGGTCAAGGTGGCCTCTCCTGGCTGGGCACAGACCCAGTCTTCAGCACTTCCTTCTGGGAGAGCAGGAGAGCCTGTGAGCTTCCAAGGAGGGGCTGACCCCAGGTGCAGAATAGAAATACACTCTTAGCATCACCCAAAGCAGGTCTCTTTCCTCCACTTGCTACTTTACCAACCTACACCTCCCGTCCTGCAACAAAAGCTCAGGATAGCAGGCTCACCCAGACAGAAAGCGAGCGGTCCTTGCTGCCAACAGCACAGCAGCAGTACGGGCAGCTAGGCTTCGCAGAACTCCCATTCTTCTGCTTCTTTTTGAAGATTTTTGGGTTGAATTTCTAAAGCCAAATAACAGATGTTAAAAATAATTAATCAAGCATCAGGCATGTCCCCTGTGCCCAAGTCCCAGCCCACTGAAGGGAGTCTCCCACAGACATTCTCTGAGCCCAGGCACTGAGCATGCATTTCATCTTCCCGACCACCTATGAGGCATCTGGCTGATGATGGAAAGGAAGCTTAGGGAGGTCAGAAAGTATGTGCGGAGGCACCAAATGAGTAAGCTGGGAAATGCAGATTTGAAACTAGAGCTACCAAACTCTCCATTTCTGGAGCTTGCCAAGTAGAAGGGATGCGTAGCTACTGAAACTAGCCTTCTCAATTCCCTCTGGCCAGGCAGGGCCAGCCCTAGGACCTGCAGAAAAGCTGAGCCTGCAAGGGGGCTTCAGAAACAAAGACCTACTCACTCCCTATCTCCTAAGGGAGGCCAAGGGGATGGGCAGGAGGGGTGTGAATCTCTGAATTCCTTATTGCCTCACTGCATTTGTTGTTCAGTCATAACCGTCTAGCAGAGATCTGCTCAGTCAGAGAGTCATTTGTGATCTCCCTGGGCCAGTGACCATGGCAATATCACACAAAGGTGCTTGGTTGGCTGCTTAGTCCAGGGAACTACCCCGAGAGTAACTTGTCTTTGTTTCTGCAAAGGATGAAAGCACTCACTGAGCTCCCAGACACCCTCCTGGATTTAAAGGGGTGGGCGCTCTGGGAATCCCCAACCTAGGACAACTGAGGGCAGAAGAAGGAGGGTTCCTGAAAGCCTGGTGTCAGGTAGCCTAGAGATGTTTTAATTCCAGAGGGCAGGCAGGAATGGCCGGGGTGCACAGAGACTGGAGAAGATGGAACTCAGAGGCGTGTCCCTGGGCTTGCTGTCTCTAACACCAATGAGGCTGCAGGGCCTTAGGAGCTCTGTGAGCCATAGGCAGGCGTCGTGATCTCCCAGAGCTGCTAATAAAGTGGTTGTGAGGACTGCATGGGAGAATCACGTAGAGCACTAACCATGAAGCACTGATTTCCAAAGACTTTAGCAACAAAGCTCTGGTTCAAACAAAACCCTACATGAACTCCAAAACAAAAAAATTTAATAAGTAATATTTTATTCATATAAAATTTGTGTTTTAAGGTACAATATATGATACTTATTATCTTTTTTTATTTTTATTTTTGAGACGGAGTCTCGCTCTGTCGCCCAGGCTGGAGTACGGTGGCGCAATCTCAGCTCACTGCAACCTCCGCCTCCCGGGTTCAAGTGATTCTCTTGCCTCGGCCTCCTGAGTGGCTGGGATTACAGGCGCATGACACCATGCCCAGCTAATTTTTGTATTTTCAGTAGAGACGGGGTTTCATCATGTTGGTCAGGCTGGTCTTGACCTCCTGACCTCATGATCCGCCCACCACAGCCTCCCAAAGTGCTGGGATTACAGGCATGAGCCACCGTGTCCGGCCGATACTTATTATCTATTTAAACACGGGCAAAAGTGAGTCTATTTTCATCAGGGTCTTGGATGATCCTTCACTTTTATCAACCTTAGTCCACCAATCTGTTTATTTTATTTGGCTGCCCAGTGTTGAGAAAATCCTGGTTCTCACAGATTATTCGCAACTACTTAACAGCTTGCCTTGGGCTCTGTCAGGACACTATTTAATTAAAGTCATGGAGAAGCATAAGACGAGTGGCCAGACAACTCTCATGCCTAAGGACTGACAGCAGTTCACGCCTCTGAGCTCTTCACCTGCCGCAGCAAGATCTGGCAGCAGCTCCCAACTCAGTGATCCATGGCATGGCCTTGCACCTGTGGTTGATGCTGCCAGGTGTGGGGACAAGCACAGTGCTTGGTGGGTATACCAGAATTGTACCTGTATTCACTGGAGCCAGGTGAGGGTGGCACCGTGCTTGGGCACCCCAAGCATACCTGAGTGTGTAAAAGGCTGATGTGGAGCTACGATGTTCCTAACCCAAGACTGATTTTGGTGATGTTCACATGTAAAGTTTGCCAATAAATCAACCAAGTACATACTCTATTTTGTAAAATTAGCTTTTAAATATTTAAGTATAACTATTCAAAATAAACCAAGAATTAATATTTGCTGAATCTTGGAGCCCATCTCCCTTTAGTTCCCTGGGCACTCACCACGACAGTCACAGCTTTCCGGTGCCCAACAAAGTCCATGTTGGTCTTCCATCCCTCCCGTTCGATGATCTGGGCAGTGGGGCCTGAGTTGTTCATGGCATGGGCAGACACCAGGTAATGCCCATCAGGTGACCAGCTGAGCCGCAACACATGGGTCGTTCCTCCACACTGAAAGAAGCATCTGCACTTGAAAGGAGCTCAAGGCCACCTTTGTGACCAAAACTCTGGCCTCGAGGATAAAGTTAAACTTCAATTTATAAATGTGTGATGGTGGAGCATGCACCCCAAGCTTCTGGCTACACTGACAGCTTCTGTCTCACCAGATGGCCCAACCAAAAAGGGCTCTGTGAAATGAATTTGGAAACTGCAGCATCCTACACTCCCCCAGAGGAGCTGAACAAAGAAATATAGTACAGAAGTGTATGCCCTGAGGAGATCTGCAGGAAGGCTACCTGTTTGAACCATAGCCTCTGCATGGGCCAAATCTCTCTGGCCACTGACCCAATTCTTCTGTGTAGCACCTGTTAACCCACAGCATGGCATCTGCACAGCATCCTCAAGATATACTCTGGTGGAGAAAAAGCCCTTTTTAACCCAGGAGCCTGGCAGAAGCCTGTGTCTGTAATGTAGCTGATGACTGTGAGGCACCACCTACTCTCTTGAGCCTGTTGCCTCACCCAAAGGGTGGTGAGGATACCCGCAAGGGAGAAGAGGTTTGTAACATCCTTATAAACTATAAAAGGAACAGTAGAAAGGCACTGCTCCCCCAGTCTGGACTGGGGGCTGAGGCAGAGCATCCCTCCACATTATCCCTCCTGCAAAAAGAGATGACATGGGTCCAGAGCCAGCTCCTTGAAGCTCAAGGTGGGCCCAGGGCAGCTCTAAAGACTTAAGGGTTAAGATCATGACCTCACAGCTCTAGAGCAGGACATGACAAACCAGAGCCTGAGTATAGTGAAATCACCCACCTCAGCTCTCAGCCTAGGTGACAGAACCACCCCCTACCTGGAAGGATGGGCCCACCCAGTAGAGGCTGAAGAGTACTACCACCTCCTGCTGGTACTCAAGACACTCCTAAAGCCGTCCCTAGGAGTCCACCTCATGGGACCCCACTGCCTGGCAGTCAGAGCCCTGAGGAACTCCAGAAGGAGCAAAAGCTCCTTAGGGCAAGACTAAGTAAGGTAAAAACCAGTACTCATATACCTAGCCCAGGAGCTGGTGTTGTGCGGGAAGAACTGAACATATGACTATCACTTTACTTTTGCAGCCATCCTGACCAGTGGGCAAATGCGTGCTCTTCCTGCAAACCTTCCCTCATGTGTCCCTCGCTCTGTGAAGTCTTTCCTGATGCACTCACCTCTCCTGGGCTGTTTCTGCACTCTGGACAACTCCATTATCATGCAACTAATGGGAATGCCTGTCTTTCCTATGGGGCTTTAAGCTTCAAGAGGAGAGACTCCATCTCAATCCACTTTTATTTCCCTGTGCCCAGTTATTGCCTTCTATACAGTAGACACTTAATAAATGTCTAATGAACAATGGTGATCTTGAGCTCTCATTCCATTTGAAATCAGAACTCAAATAACGGAAGAGAGATTAAAATACCAGAGAAGCTACTGCAGTCTGATCTCCAAACATGTGCAAACTGTACTGCTAACTCCAGCCAGGAAAAAAGGCCCCTGAACTGCAGGGTGCATATCAACAAGCACAGCACAGTCGAGGATGGCACAAGAGTCTCCTCCATCCTCCCCAACAAGCTGCTCTGCGGGAGGCTCAGAGTAAACTCCGCACTATAAGAAGCAGTTTTATCCACGTCTGTGGGAGTGAGCTGGGTGACAGAATGATGTGGAGACATCTCTAAGGTTCACTTCAACTTTAAACCTATAAATCCGGGCCAGGCGCAGTGACTCATGCTTGTAATCCCAGCACTTTGGGAAGCTGAAGCGGGTAGATCACCTGAGGTCAGGAGTTCGAGACCAGCCTGGCCAACATGGCGAAACCGCATCTCTGTTAAAAATACAAAAATTAGCTAGGTGTGGTGGTGGGCACCTGTAATCCCAGCTACTCAGGAGGCTGAGGCAGGAGAATCGCTTGAACCCAGGAGGCGGAGGTTGCAGTGAGCTGAGATCGTGCCACTGCACTCTAGCCTGGGCAACAAGAGCGAAACTCTGTCGCCAAAACAAAGCAAAAAACAACAAAACTATAAATCCCTTTTATTTCAAAGTTGGAAATTAAACAGCGTCTCAGAAATGAAGGATTCTGTATTATCTGACTCTTAGGGCCAGAGTCCCACCCCAGAGAGCCTTGGTGAATCCGCTCAGGCCCCCGGACTCTGTGCATTCCCCAGGTGGCCTGGCCCATGGCCAGCTCCCTCTCTGTACACAGAAGTCAGGAAGAGGCTGGGGCAGCTGCGGGGGCTCAGCTCCCTGAGCTGTCCCCACTTACCTCATCAAAAGGCTTGGTGATGCTGGTCTCCAACTGCCAGTCCAGCGTCCTCCACACCTTTAGGCTGCGGTCATCAGCTTGAGAAGCTATGTATTTACCAACAGGGTCCCATGTCAACCCTTTGACCAAGCCAGAATGACCTCTCAGAGTAGCTAGAATTTCTGTGAAGAAAAAAGGAATGTGGAGAGGTGTTGTCTGAGGGAAACATGACCTGCAATCCATGGGCCATGGGATGGATATGCAAGAGAGGGGACTCAGCAGTCTGCCATGGCCAGCCCCCACACCAGACAGAAGCAGAAGGGCCTCCTCATTTGATCTCCACCAAGGCAAAAGCCAATTGAAGAAATGACAGCATCAAGGAGGCAGGCACCAAGGGGCTAGTTCTGATCCAGGTCTTATCTGTATCTAGCGGCCCTGCCTATGGCTGCCCTTCCTGGGCTGTGACACCAGCACTTCTGACGTTAGCCTCCCTGGTAGCTCCCTGATAAGGAGGAGGCCTACTAGCTCAAAGGGCCTGACTGTGGCTGAGTCTTTTATAAGTTATGGCTGAAGACAAAGGTGTGTACGACGGTACCCCATATAGATCTGTAATCCAAATGCTACTCCGGTCTCTAAAGCTTCCCTCTCCATAGCCAGACTGAGTGTTTCCACACATGCTGGTGGCTTTCAAAGAGTTAAAATGACCTGGATCCATAAGGAAAGCATACTTCAAATACAGAGCTGAAATATGAGAAGAATTTTACTAGTTATAAACTGCAGCACTGTGCCAGGTTATGCCATCTGTTGTGACTTTAAACACAATGAATAAGAAAAATCAATCTTTTGCAAAACTGGGTTTGTGTTAGCCCGTATCTGCTCAAGGGTTTCACAGAGGAGATGGTGACTGAGCTGAGCCCAGAGCCCAGTGGTGGGGGTGCACACAGCAGGTTTAGGAGCATCAGGGTCCCCAACAACAGCTGCCCATCCATTACCCTCCTGATCTGTGGCATGCCATGCTAGCACTCAGTTACCATTTTTCTTAAGCATGAATCTCTTTTTAAAGCTTAAACAAATGTAACTGACAAAGAAAAACTGACAAGACACATAAATCCTAGGCCACTGTGACACATCTGTTGCCACCAAGACTAAGGAGACAGCCCAACCCCTGCTCCAGAAACTGACAGGCAGTACTGCTTGCTGTTAACCAGTCAGAGGAGGCCCCAGACCTGGGAACTTTACAGCATTCCAGATGACGACAGTGTTATCCACGCTGCATGAGGCTAGCCAGGCATCGTGGGGAGACCATGCTACATCCATCACATCTGAAAGAAGACAGAGGGTTCTGGTGAGATCTCTTACCTGGTGATGCCCTTGTCTATTAGCTTGGCCAGTGCCCCTGGGACCTGGGACCATCATAACCACTCTGGTATTTTTTAACCAACCTGAAAAAACTCCCCCCAGAATTTTTCAATTGGTCATAAATTTAAAGCATCTAACCGACCCCAGTGCCTCACTCCTTTTACAGACGAAGCAACTGAGGGCGTGGTTCAGAGCTTGGGCACCATATGGCACCACACCCATGCATGAGAGCCTGCTACTTCGTGGGTCTGTGGCCTGGAGCATGCTCCTCAGCCCTGCTGACTTGCTTTGCCAATCATAACAGGGCCTTCCTCCGAGAGCCTTCTGAGCATGAGACACAGTGGGTAAAGCACATGGCAGAATGCCTGGCACAGTCAGAACTCCAGGGCTGCTGACAACTGAACACAAGTCATCTTGAGGCCCTCGTCTGGTTCATGGACTGGGTCTCATCTCCCAGACCCTGACAGGAGTACCCCTTCACTATGGAGCCTCCAAACAGAATTATTCACATTCACTTCTTTGTGACTCCATTTTATCATTTGTTAAGTGCAGATTAAAAAACAAAATCTAGGCCAGGTGCAGGGACTCACGTCTGTAATCTCAGCATTTTGGGAGGCTGAGGTGGGCAGATCGCTTGAGCCCAGAGGTACAATACCAGCCTAGGCAACATGGCAAAACCCTATCTCTACAAAAAATTGGCTGGGCTTGGTAGCACATGCCTGTATCCCCAGCTACACAGGAAGTTGAGGTGGGAGGATCACTTGAGCCCAGGGAGGTTAAGGCTGCAGTGACCATGATTGCACCACTGCACTCCAGGCTGGGCAACAGAGTAAGACCCTGTCTCAAAAAACAAACAAAAAAACCAATGAAACAAAAAACCCCAAAACCTATCCTCATAGGGTCACTGTAAGGATTAAATGTGATAAACTGCTGCAACACCATGCCAGGCACACACCAAGGCATCGATGAGGGTCCGCTGTGACGATGGTGCCAACCTTGCCTATCCTGCCATCAGGGGTGAAGGGCGCAGTCTTAGTTATTTCTCTAACCTCAGCGCCTGGTGCAGTGCTAGGTATACAGAAGAATGATTGGTGAGTTGAAGAAACAAACATAGCAGCAAGGTAATAGCTATCAAGTCCTTTCTTTGTACAAGAGGTTTAAGCAAAATATTCCAAATATCTATTGTATTTTTTCCAGTTAAAAAAAAACTATAGTAACAGCTTAACAGGTTTTTTTTTTTTTTTCAAATTGTCTCACATGCTGTGGTTCACATTTTGTATTCTAAATGCCTATGTGATCTTCACAGCTTCTTTCCTTTTTTGCCCTGCATTCTATGTGGTTGAGAGTATTCACTACTATTAATTGACCTAATTTAACACTGAAGATTAACTGGATTCTGGTTTTTTGGGCCCGTGTGTATTTGTCACTCTCCATACTCCAGATTATTACTCTGAGACGCATACCCTAGAGTGGGAATCCTGGGCAGAATATCTGAGCATCCTCATAGGTCTGGATTCTCATAAAACTGTAGACTGCTTTTCCAAGATCCCTGTGGTTTTACATTTCTACATGCAGACTGTTTGCTTCAAAACTCCCTTATTAGCATTGAGGATGATGACTTTTTCCCCTTCCGACTTATTTATTCAATACAATTTTATATTTAAAATTTTTAATTAGATTATTAGTGAAAGCGTTTGTCTCTTATCTAATGTGTTTTTGGACTGATTTGCTGACTTATTGTGACCATTTACTGGGAAGTGTTTCGGGCAGTGGGTCTAACAACATAAATGCAGTGCCTACAAAAATGAAGAAAACAACAACTTTCTCTAGTAACTGAGAGTCCTGGAGGGGCACACATGCAAACGCCAGGACAGCAGGGGAGTGCCCACATCCTAGAACAGAGAATATGTGGTTAGGTGGGAGCCCAGAAAGGAGAAGGGATTTTCTTAGCAATCTCCACAGACACATATAATGCAGCTATTAACTGCAAATTTCACCTCTCTACTTTTTTATACTGTAGTAGTTTTATGGAGTAAAGTCTGTTATTCTCCTTTGTGATTTCTTCTATTGCCTTGTTAACCTTGAAAAATATTCTCTCTGCTAGAGGTCTGGTAAATATTCAATTCTATTTTTTCCTTGTGTAGTTATTTAGAATGTTTCTCTCTTTAGTATCTGGTTTGGTGTGTGCTGTATTTGGTGAGGATTGAAATTAATTTCTCCTCACTAACTGCTTAACAGTTACTATGCTCCATGTGAGGAAGAATCCATTTTGATAAGCGATGCCTCCTTTCACAACACACCAACTTCTTAGGTATACTGTAGCCTCTTTCAGTGTTACGAGTTTACCCTCAAACCCATGATGTTTCTATCACTGGAACTTTGAATGTTTTCATCCGTAACATTCTTATCCTTCCAGATACGATCCTTTAGAATCACTGCTGAGTAAATCCACATACATGACATAATTTTCTCCTAAACTCCCAGTTTGGAGTTTCTGTCTTCAGACTATATAGCACCTCCTTTTTATGGTGCATCTACACACACAGGAGACCCTCCCCTCACTTGTAGATTTACATTTCTGGCCACTGTTCTCACCATCATTCTTGGTGACTCCAAGAGGATGATTCTTCTAACACTCCAGGCTCTTGGTTCCTTAAATTCCTCCTTCCCTTCTGATGACCGTGGCTTCCACTACTTTCACCCCACGGTCATGTCCAGAGGCCTTCCATGACAAATCACTGCAATCTGTCTCAATTCCAACCTTCCCACAGGCCAACCATCAGCCCCGTGCTCCTAGCTCACCCTCAGCTCCAACAGCACTTTCACGCCACCAGGAACTCCGATCTACTGATGCTGCCGTCCCCTCACCACTTGCCAACCACCTGGTCCTTACCTCTCTCCTCCAGCTGAGAGCCCACCACCACTCCCCCTTTTCTTCTCCTCCATCTTCCTACACGCCTGACAAAGCTCAGCTCCTCTCCTAGTGTTTTTTGAGTACTCTCCAATGACACCTTTGGCCCAATGACACCACATGAATATTGCACTTGCCTAGGCCCCCAGCACCCTCCATGCTGTCAAGCCCAGCAGTCTATCCTTGGTCTTCACTTTGCCCCTCAGCAATAAGCAATACGCTGCCTGTTCCCCTCTCCTTCAAATACTCTCTTCACTGTCCGTTTTGTTGTTGTTGCTGAGACAGGGTCTCGCTATGATGCCCAGGCTGTTGAGCTACTGGCCTCAAGTGATCCTCATGCCTCGCTTCTTTTCACTGTCTTAACTGGCCTCTCCTTCTAGCTTCTTTTTCTGGTTTCAGCTCTCCAATCCCTAGGCTCATCCTTGGACTCTGCTCATACCCAGAACCTCATATTTCCAAGATTCATATTTCCAAATGTCTACACAGTATGTCCATTTACACTGGCAAACTTAACATATCCAAAACCAAACTCTGAAAACACTTCCCTTAACAAACATTTCTGTCCCACCTGCAGACTTCCTGCTTCAGGTTACAGCCACTGCATCCTTTCCACTGTTTGGACCATAGTCCGGGAAGCCATCCTGACTCCTCTGCTTATCTCACATCCCATATTCAATGCACCAGGAAATCCGCCTCTGATCACTTCTCACCACTTCTGTGTTATGACTCCAAACCACCATTGTCTCTCCCTTGTTTTTCGGAGCGGCTCCTTTACTAGTCTTCCCAGTGCAGCCCTGAGACCCCCATGGTAGAATCCACACTGCTGCCACAGGTCTCAACTCCTCTGCCTAGATCCCTGCGGAGACTTCATATTCTTGCTCAGAGAAGAGCCTCTGCCACGGTCTCAAAGGCACACTGCCTCCCGCACCCTCCTCCCCCGCCCCAGCTCCCAGGGGTTCACTGGGCACAGTAAGCACATGTCCATGCTCCAAGGCCTTCGCACTGGCTGTCCCCTCACTGCCGTCCAGTCTTCCCTCAAATGTCATCTCCTCACTGGCCCCCAGCACTCATCTTCCAACTCCTTACAGGACTCTGCCTTCTAGGCTCATCTTCAAATCTCCTATACTACTCACTCGTCTGTCTCTTTTACAAGAACAAATCTCCTTGAGAGAAGAACAGTGCCTGGAACATGGCAGGCACTCAATAAATGTTTGGTATGTGGACAAGTAAATATTAATTTGGGAAAAAATGTATTTCATCTAGCCTTTCAATTTAGGAAGCCATTTTCTATCTCTCAATGTCATTTTGTATCTTAAAACGTTTGTGATTTAAGTCTTACAAAACTAATTCATTTCTTGGTAAGATTACTTATTCCTGGATATTTATAACTTTTGATCCCACTCTGTATAATTCTCTTTTTATCATTAGATATTCTAATTGGCTATTAGTAGCAAAAGACCAATAATTTAAAATTGTTCTGTTATGAGGCCAATATAAAGACTCATTTTATTAGTTCTAAGTATTTTTCAGTGCTTTATTTGTTCCAAGAGCTTTATCCCCCTATGGTTTTTCCTAATATGAAATAATGTCACCTTCATTTCCTTTTTGCCTTATTTTCCAGTTTCTATTTAACTGTGTTGCAGAAATTCCAGAGCAACAAATTAAATGACAGCACCCATCATTGTCTTTTCTTGATATAAACCGCAACCAGGCTTAACTGTGAACTGTAATATTTGCCACTGGTTTGAAAAAGACTAAGGACTCTACCATGTTAAGGAAATAGCTTTAGGACAGGTGTGGTGGCTTATGCCTGTAATCCCAGCACTTTGGAAGATGCAGGTGGGAGGATCGCTTGAGCCCAAGAGTTCAAGACCAGCCTGGGCAACATAGTGAAACCCCATCTCTACGAAAAAAAAAATCAGCCAGGTATGGTGATGTACATCTGTAGTCCTAGCTACTCAGGAGGCTGAGGCAAGAGGATCACCTGAGCCCAGGAGTTCAAGGCTGCAGTGAGCCGTAATTGCACCACTGCATTTTGCCTGGGTGACATAGTGAGACACAGTCTCAAAAAAAAAAAAAAAAAGAAAAAGAAAAAGAAATATCTTCCTATGGGCATTTTAAAAAAAGCATTTTTAATAGGAACTGATGTTGAATTGTCTAATGTTCCTTTTAAAACACCTAAGATGACTGTAGCTTTTCCCATCTAACTTCCTAGTATGTAAAGTTATATTAATAGATTCCCTTGTACTACACTTACAAGTCACATTTAATCATAATAAATTACTATTTTCTGGCCGGTCATGGTGACTCATGCCTGTAATCCCAGCACTTCGGGAGGCCAGGACAGGCAGATCACGAGGTCAGGAGATCAAGACCATCCTGGCTAACACAGTGAAACCCTGTCTCTACTAAAAATACAAAAAAAAAGTGGCCGGGTGTGGTGGCACGTGCCTGTAGTCCCAGCTACTCAGGAGTCTGAGGCAGGAGAATAGCTGGAACCCGGGAGGTGGAGGTTGCAGTGAGCTGAGATCGTAACACTGCAGTCCAGCCTGGGCAACAGAGCAGGACTCTGTCTCAAGTAAATAAATAAATAAATGAGTAACTGCTTTCAAGTGTTATTATATTTACTAGTATTGTTTCTGATTTTTCTATCTTTATTCATATTATTCTATGCTTTTGTTACATTATTTTTCTTAGGTTTTCTTGTATTTTCCAGATACAATAACCCTGGCTTATATCTTCCTTTCAATTATAAATATTGCTATTGTTCTGTATAATTTTTCTTAAAAGCTCAAAACAATGCACCTACAACTAATTTAGAACCAAGAAGCATTTCTGAAGACAGCCTTTCATTTCTTCATTGGTTACTATTCTGTTCAGTTTTTCCTAATCCTATGGTATCAATTATGAAAGTTCCTATTTTCTAGAAAATTATTTTTTAGTATTTTGTTCTTTAGCTTAATAGTACAAACATTATATTGTACTGTTTGATGATTTTTTTCTGTCTGGGTTAAATGTTTTTCTAGATCTTTAAACTCTAATTTTGTCTAGGTTTTTTCTTCCCAACCCCCAATTAAATATACCAAGTATATATTTCTCACACTTTGCTTTTCAAAGATCCGGTTCTTTCTTATTCATTTACTTCTGCTTTTCATTGATTTTTCTTCTTGAATGGTTCTGCCTGCACCTGCTACCAGGACCAGTGAGTAATGAGTGTCAGGTCCCCAGCTGAAGGTGGTCAACTCTACTTGTCTGGTAAAGGAGCCCCACTGGGCGGTGGGTAGGAAAGAGAATGCAAGGCTCTGGTTAGGGCCTTGTAAAAGTCCTCACTTGAGGCCTACCCCACACTTGGGCACCCTCATAGACATGTGCACCAAGTTCCAGAAAAGTCCAACTAGACTTCACTGTTAGTACTGTGACACAAGTAAGGGCCAATTACACAATTTAATTATCAAACAATAACACAACACTAACCGTTTCAGCTTTCACAAATGTGGACTCAATCTATGGCCGCCACCAAGATGGGTTTGTTCTCCTTTTAACAGTCTACAGGGAATCTGCTAAGCATACACTAACAATGGATTATAGCTGATGCCACCTCCCACACCTCTCACTCCTGCCCTGTCCTCGCCCAGAGCTCCAGGCTCAATTTGAAGGTTTCTTGACATTTCTTCCCCTACCCCTCAAGCCAGGGGCAACTCCATTCTGAACTGGTATCCGTCCCCATAAGCCTGTTGTCCTTAGGGTCTCAGCAGAGGTGATACCTCTGACTATCTAGGCATCCAGCCAAGAATCTATCTCATACCTCTCTGTGCCCTATCCTAAGTATTCCCAAATCAATCTCCTCTTCTCTACCTCAATTATCACAGGCCTAGCTCAGGCCCTGACAGTGTCCATCTAAACGACTGGAAGAACCTCCACTTCACTGAGCTGTCACAATGACCTCTCTGTTGTGCTTCAAAGCTTTTAGTGGCTCCCTATCTCTTCCATGACAAGGGACTCCCTCAGTAACAGGGAGCACAAGCTTTCCATGATCCGACTCTGGCATACCTGACCAGCCTCACTTTGTGCTGCTCCCTGCCTTGTCTATAAAGATCCAGCCATGGTGAAATGCCTCCAAATCCCCATTCACACCAAGACTTTCTCACTTATGCTGTACCACCCTGCCTGGAAAACCCTTTGGTCCATTCCTGGACCAAACGGACTCAGACTCCTAAGTCAAGTCTAAATTGCACTCAACCTGGTATCCTTGACACCTGAGTGTACAGTGCATGGGCAACCTTCCCCCTCAGTCTAAATTCATAAAATGTGCTTCTTTCCATGCCAAGTTTATTTAAAACACTGCAAACATACTCAAGGTCAAGTTGAGAAACTTTTCAATGGGCATCTGTGAGCTGATTTCTGGGGAATAAACAAAGTGTGCTTACGGACTTAGTGATCCGCTGATGAAGGTACTGATTCTGTTCAGCAGGACAAACAGCAGAACGTGGGAAGTTCTACATTAAAGATATAAACATATACCCCATGAGGGCAAGAGTGGGGAGACTGAATGCAGCTGGAGACAGGTAGTGGACCCGGTGACTGCACAGATCTTAAGGGACAGGCAGGGTGTGACTGATTGTGATGGGGTGGGACAGCCCAGACATAGGGCTGCTTTAAGGACCAAACAGTCCCACAGGGGACGTGGCGGTGCTGCTGATCTGAGCCAGGTGTCAGGGGCCCACCCACCCCAACAGGCAGTCCCACTCACCGCCTGAATGATTCCGGAGGATAGAGACACACCGCCACTGCTCCACATTGGCAAGCTTACCACTGGAGCCGAACACGGTGCTGGGGCCGATGTACCTGTGTGAGAAAGGGGCCAAAAAGGCACTCATGGAGTGCTCTGGGCACTGCATAGAAATGCTCCCTGCAGCCAGCTTATCAGGGCACACAGAACAAAGCAAAAACAAACAAGAACTGGAAAGCACTGGGTTGTTGAATAAAAGGGGCTGGTTAGGTGAATTATGATCCATGCACTTGATGAAATACTACACAGCCATTACAAATCTTGCATGGGAAAACGTTCACAATAAGTGAAAGAAGCAGGCCACAGGACATCACATACAATATGATATCACTTATGTAAAGGAAAAAAAACCACATGACATGGATAGCATCTATGCATGGAAAATGGATTAGAAGGACACACATCCCAAAATGTCAAAATATTAACTGTAGCTTTCTTTAGGTGGTGTGATGAGGGATATTTTTTCTTTTGTATTTTTAGTTTTCTAAATTGTATACTAAATGTTACTTATGTTGGCTATTTAAAGAAGCAAAATCAACAGTATTTTATTTTTAAGCATCTCACAATGAATCAAATGGCTTTGACATCTGAGGCAGAGAAACCACGCGATCTATAGGTACTAGCCCCCACCACAGGAGCCAGAGGAGCATCAATCACCTGGGGCCTGGTGGAGGCAGTGCTGACACACCGATGATCAGAGCCTCTGATAACACCTTTTGCTCTTGTAGAGCTCATCACAAATCCACAGAAAGAGTGTGCTGAGATAGCCAAGTAGGCTGAAGAGACAGCCTCTGCCTCTGCTCTTGAAGCCACAGCCACAGGGCCACTCTTGGTGAGCAATGGTGCAGGGTCTGGTGCCCCAGACTGACTGGCCCAGAGACCTGGGAGCAATAGTTTTCCAGGTGATGGTTAGCTCCTTTTGAGAGTAGAGCAGAGGCTGCCCCAGGTGGGGACCAACAGAGAATAAAGTAATGGCAAAGAGGCTGGACTCTGGATCCCCTGCCCCAGATCCTGGGCAAGAACCAGAGCACCCTGACTTTTAACCATTTTGTATATTGGGCTTCCATGTGAAATTTCACTTGAAAAAACAAAAGCAACGAAGCCCCACCCACATCGGCACTAGAAGAGATCAGACTTTCCTTTTCAGGTGAGAGCCTGCAGTCCTGTGAGGGGGCAGCTGACCAGGTCTCCTGAATTCCTGGTCAGGCTCCACCTGCTCCTGACCTACATGCACTTTCCACTACTTATGAGGTCAGGGCTATGGGAACTTCAGTGACAGGGTAGGGAAAGGTGACTTTGATAAAGACCAGCAAAGCAGCTTCTAAAAATAAAATGTGAAGAAAGGAAAATGATGCTTACGTAGCCCGCTTCCACACCATAATCAGTTTGTCATCTCCCCCAGAAGCTAAATACATCCCACTGTTTGACCACCGCACACAGTTCACACATGCTGGGAAGAAAAAAAAATAAGGTGATGAAAATCCAGTAGTCATGCCCATTTGCTTTATGTAGAGTTTGGCAAGATGTAAAGGGTTTATAAAATCTAATCTATCTAATCTATTTAAGGCATCTACTGTGTGAGAGCCCCAGAAAAACAATTCAGTTTAAGCACTAACCTACTTGTGCTATAAAAACAAATTACCAGAACAGTCTGGAGGGGGAAAAATATACATTATCTGAGAATCGTTAGTGCTGAATGACATAGTCAATAGAAGGCTTCTTTCTAAGAAAATCAAAAAATGATAACCAAATCTCATTATTTCAAAAGGGTCATCTATTAATGAGACACATTTCTGAGTAGAGATTATTCTCAAAAAAAGAGTACGTGCTAAAAAGGGTCAGATGCTTTTTCTAGATTTTTCAGATGAACAGTCTGTTACAGTATAAAACTCTGACTTCATCTCATCTGTCAGAGCCAGCCCTGTCACATTCGGATTTTCCAAACTCGCCAGCACTGCAGATTGACTGACTCTGCGCTTATAAGCTAAGATCAGCAGAAATTCCCCCAGGCCCCTGATGGGCCAGAGCCTCCAAGAGCACTCACAACTTGGCCTTTGGAAGACCTGAAAGATGGCTATCAAAGTTGTAGCCCCCACATGGCCCGTGAGTAACATGCTCCAGGTCTGAAGACACTGAGAGGCATGTTGAGAGGACAAGAACACACAGAGGAAAGGAAGGAGCTGATGTCCAAAGGCCAGTGACTGTTCATTAAGCATCTCAGGGGTGGGAAACTAAGGCACTACAGCAGGAAAGGAAACCATCACACTGTCTGATGGCCAAAAGGGTCCTGGCAGAGAGCCTCAGAGTGACACAGTAACAACCTGAGATGTTTTGGCAAATTGTCTCTTGCGCACCCTTCCCCAGAACCCTACTGTGTCCAGGTCGCTGGCCCCAAAGCCCCATGGAATCAGGCAGTAACGACTCATGAGCAGGAAATCACCAGAGGTACCTGCAGACTGTCCAAAGATGGTTCTGTGGGCGGGCCGAGTCTTCTGCTGAATAACTCACCCAGGTGTGCAGCCAACATCTGTGCCTTCAGACAGCAGGCCGAGGGGAGTTACCGCCGCACGGGGCCTTATCTTTCTAATTACAAACACATGTGCTAACCTTGGGCACTCTGCCAACACGCAAAGCCTGCAAAGGGCCACTCTGTAATACCTAAGTGATTGTCCATCTGGCAAAGCATCTTGGGAATATTTTCATCCTTCTCGTCATCCTCCTGGAGGACTGGAGACATATTCCAGATCACAACCTTCCCAGAATCCTGCCCTGGAACAAAGGAGCAGAAATGGCTGAATGTGCAAGGAGTAGAAATTTGATATTAATATTTAATGTCAAATTAAATTAGGAGAAGTCCTCACTTAGCTTCCATAAACAATAATTAACTAGATCTAAGGAGACTGAATTTAAATTACTAATTTAAGTTACAGAAAAGATGATAAGTACTCATGGGGACGAAACGGAGCGGACTTAGCAGTCAGCAGAAGTCAACCTGACTTTACAAAAAGAACTTTAGACTAGCAATCAGGAGGGAACTGAGCTCTGATCTGGCCTCTAACACGGATCCACCAGGGGTCCCTAAAAGGTCTTCATCCCTGCCCAGCACCTAGACTCCGACTCCTTGACTCCTCATCTGTGAAATGAGGAGAAGGGAAAGTCAATGTCATAAGACCTTTTCTGTTCTGTGTACACCCTAAAAAGCAAACAGAAAAGCACACCCTAGTGGGGTTTCCCTCCCCTTCCAGGTGCTGCCTGGAATTTAGGCTGTTCCAGAGCCGACTGTTTTGAGACCCAAATGTACCCTGAACACAGGAAAAATGGCTCATTATCTTGTTATCCACCCTTTGCAGTTACCTACAGACGAGAGACCACCAAAAGAGGGGATTTAGGGCTCCCGTGGTCATGAGTTGATGTATTGCTCGGCTAAAAAATATACCCATGCCTTTTAGTAATGATTTCTTTTCTTTTTTTTTTTTTGAGATGGAGTCTCACTCTGTCTCCCAGGCTGGAGTGCAGTGGCACGATCTCGGCTCACTGCAACCTCCGCCTCGCAGGTTCCAGCGATTCTCCTATCTCAGCCTCCCGACTAGCTGGGATTACAGGCGAACACCATGACACCTAGCTAATTTTTGTATTTTTAGTAGAGACGGGGTTTCGCCATGTTGGCCAGGCTGATTCGAACTCCTGACCTCAGATGATTCGCCTGCCTTGGCCTCCCAAAGTGCTGAAATCACAGGCGTGAGCCACCGTGCCCAGCCTTAGTAATGATTTCTAAGCTTTCCATCACTGATATCTAACGAAGTTTAGCCCCTCACTTAATTTTCCTATTATAATAGGGCCAAATCCAATGAACATGCCAAAATTACCATAAAGCATGTTTGAAACTGCCTCTTGGCCAATATGTAAAAGTATTTCCAAAACATCTCTGCTGGACCAAGGTGGCAAAATGTGTGTCTTCTGGGTACAGGTGCGAACCCTCTGATTCCTTCAGCTAAGTCCATGTGTTCTCTCTCATGTGCTGCACCTCCTCCTCTCGGGTGCAGTCCACAGCATGGAAGGAGAGAAAGGCTTCCCTGCCCACAGCTTCCCTACACTCCCTTCCAGCTCCTTGATTCTGGGTGGAAGCATCTGCTGGAAACCCACCCTGCAGCACCTGGCCTGAGGACCTAGAGCTCACAAAGGCACTCTCTAAGTGCTGCCTGGGGAGGCCTGGTTGGAGGGAGGCCCCGCTCTGGGGTAAAGATGACAGAGGGCTGGGCTCTGTGGAATGCTACATTGTGTCACTATATATACATCTTGGTATTGTGGCATGAAGAACAGCTCTGTCTTTCCAAATAGAACCATGCAACATTGCAAAAGATGCTGGCTGAAGCATAAGGGCAATACTACCAATAACAGTTTCAAATGGTGTGGGCTTTCTTACTTGCCCACAGTGTGCTTTCTCTTTAACCTAACTGAATTCCTTTGACGAGAAAATGGGCCTAATAACTACACGATTGCTTTAGAAGCTTAAATTACCCTCATTCCCTTTTTTCAGATGAGAAAAATGCTGACAGAGCCCTTGTCTCTGGGGCTGGGCTTTGCCCACTGGACCACCTACCGCTCTCGATGCTCTACAAGTTTGGGGATACAAACTGATTTTAATATTAACTCAATAAACAGAAATTAGAATGATACATCCGCTGCCAAAATACTTACAGAGAGCACACTAAAGCCATAAAAGGATTTTGATTTTATTCATTCAGATAACACATTATAACTGTACATTTTAAACAGCGTTGCATCCATCCTGAAAAATAGCAAGTATTCCCTCTACAGCTAAATGGACAGCAGGAGAAGAGCAAGGTGGCAGGGCTGTTAAGCTTTCCCTTTCTTTATTCCATAAACATACCTTGTCCTCCAGTTGCGAACTTGGTCCCGTCAGGGTGAATATCAACTGAAAAAATCGGCTTGCCTGGAAACAAAGAAAAAAAAATACAGTATCTAAATTGGCTTTTATTCATTGAAGTGTATCAAACTCAACAGATTCAGTTAAAGTCTAAACTGCTAGAAGATTCTCCAAACATCAGACAACTGAAAGTCCAACAGTGGGAGAAAGCATTCCATCACTGAGAATGGCTGAGCCCATAGGATGCCTGGGCATTTGTCTGCCATCTTGTAGGGATGTGTGTTTGTAATGGCTATGAGCTGTTCATGATTGAAGTTCTGAGTCTCAGGTACTTAGTGAAAAGGGCACACAGCTGTAACTCCAGACATCTCCCTATTGCATGGATCTGCACTTGACTGGCAGCCTAGACAGAAGGACTGCTATTTGTCTTTTCTGGCTGACAGCTGAGCAGGACCAGCGCTGGCTGCAACCAAGGAGCATTGCTTCGCTTGTCATACTTCTGCTTCCAAACAGCCCTCTTTTGTTTGTGCTGTGAAGTTCCCATACCGTCTGCCATCTCAGCATCTCCTCTGGCTGAACCTCCTTCACAGTTTGTACTCTATGTTAAATTAGCTGTTCAATTCCTCCAGGAGAAAGGACTGTGGCTATTAGTTCTTAGAAGCCCCAAAGAGCCCAGTATGGGCCTAGGCTTGCACTAGGATCCCATGAAGCTAGCTGGCTGGCTGGGTGGGTGGATCAGACCGGCAAAAGCACTGTAGGAGCTTGAAACCCAGCAGACCATAGAAGGCACTCACGCCTGGTGGGCATTTGTCCAGCTCCCTGCTTCTAGGACAAAGGTTTAAGAGCTACAAGTGGCATGTCAGTTGCTGTTGAGTTCATCACATCTTCAGCCTCTAGCACAGTACCCAGTGTACAGTAGCGCAGTAATATTTGTTCATTGACAAAGGAGATACATGACAATGATCTGAGCATCAACAATTGCTGATATAGATGGGCTGTTGCCAAGAGTCTCTTAATTGAACATGTTCTGTCTCTGTCACCCAAGAGGAGGCAATGTGGACACAGTACCAGAGTCACCAGCCCTAGAATCACTCAGCAAGTACTGGGATCAGGAGTGTGTGGGCAGGCAGTGGCTGTCTGAGAACTGTGAAGTCCTGCCAGGGCTCCCATGCAAGTGTGAAAATTAAATGCTGGTGCCCAAAAGGCACTGCCCAGCATGGGACCCAGGCAGCACCCAGCTGTGGAGAGCCGCAGCCATGTAGTCAAATCAAGCATGAACTTGAGATAAAATACACTTTCCTTCTTACTGGTCACTATGTAGTATAGGTTGAGTATCCCTTATCTGAAACACCTGGGACCCGTTTTAACCAAAGGGAAATGACAGAAGTAATGTTGCTCCAGTTCCAGGTGTAGGCCTTAAGAGTCTAGCAGTTCAACTTTGGCTCTCTGGAGAAACCTAGTTGTCATGTGAGAAGTCCAAGTACCCTGAGACCACCATGTTTTGAAGAGGCCCAAGCTGGCCACATGTAGAGCATCAAAGAGCCCGGACAAGTGAGAATCAAGGTCACAGACACAGGCCTGGTGAGGTGTTCTATCCCCAAGCTATTCGAGCCATCCCAGCAGATTCCATAGAGCCAAGATGAGCTGAACCTGCTAAGTCCTGACAAGCTGCAGAATTATGAGCAAATAATAAAACTGTTATTGGTTTAAGCCAGCAAATTTAGGGGTTTGTCATATAAGAGATAAACCAAAATGCCAATTCATTTGCTTTTCTGCTTAAGCCAGCTTGAGCTGGGCATTTGTCATTTTAACAAAAAATGTTCTAGCTGACAGCTTTGGTCTTGACGGGCAATCAGGGCGGAACATTCCCCTCCCCTTGGAGTGCTTTTCAGTTCCATAAGTCTGTGAGACATTGTATTACATCAGTCCCCTCAAGAAGCACACCAGAAACCCTTACCTGCAAGTCACAGTTCCCCTGACTACCCAAGAGCACGTACAGGCTGAGCCAGGCTGTGCTGAGGGCTCAGCTGCACAAGTAACCAATTACAGCCCATGCGCTTTAGATCATGCCCACTCACAGCATCAACTGCATGTTTTCTCACTCAGTCTCTGTTTGCAGATTTCTACTATGTGCCAGGCATTAGGCTAAGCAATGAGAAAGTAAAGATACATAATCATACAAACTCCCCTAGTAAGATGTCCACTGATGGACACTTCACAAGCAGAAAGCCACCTGACTCAGCCTCGGGCTTCCTGCAGAAATAATAACTGAATTGGGTCCCAAGGGTTGAGTAAGAGTTAGCCAGAAGATCGGGTGAAGGAGAGGGTTTTCAGGCTGAGGGGACGCACGGCATGGAATCAAGAAATAGGCTGATGTAATGTTGCAGAGCAGACTGCAGGTAGAGAGTGTGAGAAAGAAGAGGAGACAGAGATGGCTCAGCAAGCATCAGTAAGGAGCTGAGACATTTCTCTAAAGGTACTTTCAAGGCAGGGTAATGCCAAGGTCAGATTCACATTCTGGCTCCACAATAGCAGTGTGGAAAATGGGGGTGGGGGCCTCAAGGCTCCAGGGGAAGGCAGGGATGGAGGCTGGCAACAAGTTTGGGTTTTGGCATTAAACATCATGGGCTGAATCTTTAGCCCTGCCACTTACCCAGCTACAAAGCCTTGAGATTTTATTTTATTTTATTTTTATTATTTTGAGAAGGCGTGCCTGGTTCATTGGCACCAGGTTTCCTTTCCTAGTGCTATGCAGATTAGATGAAATATGGTAGGGGACCTACACAGATACCAGCGCAGTGCTGGCTCCCCGCCTCCTTACAGCACTAGGCCTTTCCATCCCAAGGAAAGCAGTCACTCACATTCCATTAGTGGGAATGAAACTATTTATTTATTTATTTATTTATTTATTTATTTATAGACAGAGTTTCGCTCTGTCGCCCAGGCTAGAGTGCAGTGGCGTGATCTCCACTCACTGCAAGCTCCGTCTCCCAGGTTCACGCCATTCTCCTGCCTCAGCCTCCTGAATAGCTGGGACTACAGGTGCCTGCTACCACGCCCAGCTAATTTTGGTATTTTTAGTAGAAACAGGGTTTCACCATGTTAGCCAGGATGGTCTCGATCTCCTGACCTCATGATCCGACCACCTCAGCCTCCCAAAGTGCTGGGATTACAGGGGTAATCCCGGCCACCGTGCCCGGCCAGGAATGAACCTCTTCTAAAGGGCTCTCTGAGGTGGAGCTAAGGAAAGGGACCTTCTGGCTGAGCTAGTTAGACAACTCTTCCTGTGGCACAGCATGATGATGACAAAGATGAGTTCCCAACTACCTCCAGTGTCTGGCCTTTCTTTGTAATAGAGACAGAAAGAAAAGACAAATTAACACACCCTAGACTCTAGAGACACCAAGCAATCACCTATCCTTAGATCAACCCCAGATCAGAATGTTGTCCCTGCACACCCAATACACAGCCAATATAGTCAGCCACTGTCTACTGTCTGGGGATTTGCTGATTTGACAAGAGCAGCACAAATGCTTTCCACCTGGCAGGGAATAAAGAATACATTAAGGAAGCTGGGATTATGACAGGGCATGCTCAGGTAGAATCGTACCCTCCTTCACACTAGGGGAAAGATTCCTAGAAGAGGACTAAACATGGGAACTTAAACTCTGAGCACAGAGAGGTGGCCAGAGGCAAAGCAGAGAGGGCACAATGGAGAGCTGCTGGCCCTTCCCTCTCAGCAGTCCCACAGACCTTTGGTTTGGCTCCAAAAAGTCTCTGGGCTTTTATGTTCTGATAGTTCATTGGGTAGAGCTGACTGGAACACATGTGCATATGTCCTTTTGGAATGAAGCTTGGGAAAGTTGAGGCTTTTGCCCAGTGAATGTTGCTCCTGGGAACACTTCCTGCACTGCCCAATAGAACTTGGTTTTAACCAATGTTGACAAATTTAGAATTAAAAATAAGAAAATGTTTGAAACATTTATTAAATGAAACAGTTACAGAACAATACTAAAATATAAGGTGGGGCCGGTCATGGTGGCTCACGCCGGTAATCCCAGCACTTTGGGAAGCCAAGGCAGGTAGATCACTTGAGGTCAGGAGTTTGAGACCAGCCTGACCAACAGGCGCACCATTGCACTCCAGCCTGGGTGACAGAGTGAGACTGTCTCAAGAAACAAAACAAAACAAAAAATATATAAGGTGGGTGCAAACAACACAAACTTATTTATTTATTTATTTATTTATTTTGAGACGAAATCTCACTCTGTCACCCAGGCTGGAGTGCAGTAACGCAATCTCAGCTCACTGCAACCTCTACCTCCTAAGTTCAAGCGATTCTCCTGCCTCAGCCTCCCGAGTAGCTGGGACTATAGGTGTGTGCCACCATGCCTGGCTAAAAAGTGCTGGAATTACAGGCTTGAGCCACCCCGCCCAGCTACAAACAACATAATCTTAAATGTAGAAAACCCTAAAAATTCCACAGAAAAACTATTAGTGCTAATAATGAATTCAGCAAAGTTGCAGGATACAAAATCAACAAACAAAAGTCATCTGCATTTCTATACACCAACAATGAACAATCTGAAAGGGAAATTAAGAAAACAATTCAATTTACAACAGAATCAAAATGAATAAAATTTGTAGGAATAAACTTAGCCCAGGAGGCGAAAGACTTGTACACTGAAACTATAAAATATAAAACACTGCTGAAGGAAATCAAAGACACAAATAAATGAAAAAACATTATATATGTACTCATGGACTAGAAGATTTAATAACTTTAAGATGTTAGGCTGGGCACAGTGGCTCATGCCTGTAATCCCAGCACTTTGGGAGGCTGAGGTGGGTGGATCACATGAGGTTGGGAGTCCAAGACCAGCCTGATCAACATGGAGAAACCCTGTCTCTACTAAAAATACAAAAATTGGCCGGACATGGTAGCACATGCCTATAATCCCAGCTACTTGGGAGGCTGAGGCAGGAGAATTGCTTGAACCCGGGAGGTGGAGGTTGCAGTGAGCCAATTTTGTGCCATTGCACTCCAGCCTGGGCAACAAGAGTGAAACTCCGTCTCAAAAAAAAAAGATGTCAAAACTCTTAAAAGTGATTTGTAGGCTTAATGCAATCCCTATGAAAATCCCAATGGTACTTTCTGCAGAAATAAAAAAAAAAATCGATCCCAAAATTCACATGGAATCTTAAGGGACTCTGAACAGTCAAAAGAATCTTCAAAAAGTACAAAGTTGAGGATCTCGCATTTCCTTATTTCAAAACTTACTACAAAGCTACAGTAATCAGAACAGTGAAGTACAGGCATAGACAGACACCTAGAACAACAGAATACAGAGCCCAGAAATAAACTGTTGTGTATATGATCAAATGATTTTGACAAGGGGCCAAGACCATTCAATGGGGAAAGAACAGTCTCTTTTACAAATGGTGCTGCGAAAACTGCACATGCAAAAGAATGAAGTTGGATCCCTATCTCATACCATATACAATTAACTCAAAATGGATCAAAGACCTGCATATATATCTTAGAAGGAAACATAGGGGAAAAGCTTCACAAGATTGGATTTGGCAGTAATTTCTTTTTCTTTTTTCTTTCTTTCTTTTCTTTTTTTTTGAGACAGCACCTCATTCTGTCGCCCAGGCTGGAGTGCAGTGGTATGATCTTGGCCCACTGCAGCCTCAACCTTCCAGGCTCAAGCAACCCTCCCACCTCAGTCTCCTGAGTAGTTGGGGACTGAGGGCACAACCACGCCTGGTGCGCACCACCACGCCTGGCTAATTTTTGTATTTCTTGTAGAGATGGGGTTTCACCATGTTGCCCAGACTGGTCTCAAACTCCTGAGTTCAAGCGATCTGCTACCTTTACGTCCCAAAGTGCTAGGATTATAGGCGTGCACCACTGCATCTGACCATGAATTTGGCAATAATTTCTTAGATATGAGACTAAAGGCACAGACAATAAAAGAAAAATAAACTGAACTTTATCAAAATTAAAAACTTTTGTGCATCAAAGGAAAATATCAACAGAATAAAAAGGCAACCCATAGAATGGGAGAAATATCTGCAAATTACATATCTGATAAGGGATTAATGTCCAGAATATATAGAGAAATCCTGAAACTCAACAACGTGACTCAAAATTGGGCAAATAACTTGAACAGGCATTTCTCCAAAGAAGATATACAAATGAGGCACGGTGCAATGGCTCACATCTGTAATCCCAGCACTTTGGGAGGCTGAGGTGGGTGGATCACCTGAGGTAAAGAATTCAAGACCAGCCTGGCCAACATGGTGAAACCCCATCTCTTCTAAAACTACAAAAATTAGCCAAGCGTGGTGGTGGGTGCCTGTAGTCCTATCTACTCTGGAGGCTGAAGCAGGAGAATCACTTGAACCCAGGGGGCAGAGGTTGCAGTGAGCTGAGATCGTGCCATTGCACTCCAGCCTGGGCGACAGTGTGAGACTCTGTCTCAAAAAAGAAAAGAAAAGAAAAGAAAAGATACACAAATAACCAACAAGCACATGAAAAGATGTCAACATCAGTAACCAGTAGAGAAATGCAAGTCAAAACCACAATTACGTATTACCTCACATCCATTAAGATGGCTACTAACGGCTGGGTGCGGTGGCTCATGCCTGTAATCCCAGCACTTTGAGAGGCTAAGGTGGGTGGATCAAGAGGTCAAGAGATCAAGACCATCCTGGCCAACATGGTGAAACCCCATCTCTACTAAAAATACAAAAATTAGCTGGGCATGGTAGCGTGTGCCTGTAGTCCCAGCTACTCGGGAGGCTGAGGCAGGAGAATCACTTGAACCTGGGAGGCGGAGGTTGCAGTGGGCCAAGATCCCGCCACTGCACTCCAGCCTGGAGACACAGTGAGACTCCGTCTCAAAAAAAATAAATAAATAAAAAGATGGCTACTTACAAAAAACCTCAGGAAATAAGTGTTGATGAGGGTGTACAGAAATTGTAACTCTTGTTAAAAATATAATTACCATATGACCTGGCAATTATACTTCTGGGTATATAACCAAAAGAAAGGGTCTTGAAGAGCTATTTGTACACCCATGTTCATAGCAGTACTATTCACTACAGCCAAGAGGTGGAAGCAACCCAAGTGTCCCTTGACCGATGAATGGATGAACAAAATGTGGTATATATCCATACAATGGAATATTATTTAGCCTTAAAAAGGAAAGTAGTTCTGATGCACACTACAATGTGGATGAACCTCAAAGACATTATGGTAAGTGAAAAAAGACAAATGTCATAGGATTCCACTTATATGAGCTATCTATGAATAGTCAAATTCATAGAAACACAAAGTAGAATGGTGGTTGCCTACGTCTGAGTTGAGGGGAAAATAGGGAGTTGTTGCTTAATTGGTATAAAGGTTTGCAAGATGAAAATGTTCCGGAGACTGGCTGCACAATAATGTGAATTGTGACAGTACTGAATTACATACTTAAAAATGATTAAGATAGTAAATTTTATATTGTGAATATCTGACCACAATTTTTAAAATGCTAATAAAAACCAAACAAAACCAAAAATAAAAATAAATAAAATGGAGGAGTGTAGGAGGGAGGTGGGTGTAATTATAAAAATTGTTGGCGGGGTGCGGTGGCTCACACCTGTAATCCCAACACTTTGGGAGGCTGAGGCGGGTGGATCATGAGGTCAGGAGATTGAGACCATCCTGACTAACACGGTGAAACCCCGTCTCTATTAAAAATACAAAAAAAAAAAATTGCCAGGCATGGTGGTGGCAGGCGCCTGTAGTCCCAGCTACTTGGGAGGCTGAGGCAGGAGAATGGCATGAACCTGGGAGGCGGAGCTTGCAGTGAGCCGAGATCGCGCCTGTTCCAGCCTGGGCAACAGAGCGAGACTCTGTCTCAAAAAAATAAAAATAAAAAATATATAAAAATTGTTGGAACTGTTCAGCATCTCGACTGCAGTGGTAGATACATGAACCTGCACAGGTGACAAAATTGTATAGAACTAAACATACACACGCACAAATAAGTACAAACAAAACTGGGGAAATAAATTTTAAAAAATAGGTAGCATATGTCAATGTCAACTATAGTTTTGCAAAATGTTAACATTGGGAGAAACTGGACTAAGTCCAGAAGTACCTTCTCAGTATTTCATACAATTCGGTGTGAATCTATAATCATCTCGATAAGAAATAAACACACACACACACACACACACACACAAGGCCTGTTTTTAAAAAACGATATATATGTGTGTGTACTAATATATAAGGCAGTAGAGGTAAATATCCAAACACCAGAGGTTAGGTCATAATAAAAATGATTCTTTTCATGTGCAGGTGACAATATGCACACTCTATAACAAGCAATCCCTCTGGAGAAACTCATCAGCCAAACACACTAATGTGACCTATATGCAAGTAACTCCTATGGCTGACTGCCTTCTAGACACCTCACCCTGATCTTCTCTATAACGGTCTGATCTTTCCAAGAAACCTGCTCTACCCACTGTCTGCCCCAACACAGTTAAGGCCAGACCTTGAGAGGAGAGGCCAACAATCCTTGCACAATGGCCACCCCGCCCCCACGACTTTTCTGACCTCATCTCCTACTAACCCCCACCATCGCTGGTCTTCCTCTTTTCTTGGACTGTACCAGGTGCGCTCCTATCTTGGGCCTTGTACTGACTCTTCCTTGCCTCCTTCAGGTCTTTGCTCAATGTCACCCTCACATTGAGGCCTACTCTAACAACTTTAATTTAAAGGATTATTTCCCCAATGTGGCACAACAAATCCCCTTAGTCCTGATCTATTTATTTCCTCGGGAATTTCTTACATATTAATTTCCTTTATTGTATGTCTGTCTACTCTGCCCACTAGAATGTAAACTCCAGTAAGTAGATCAGCTCTTTTGTCTGTTTTATTCACTAATTCATCCTCAGGACCCAGAGCTGTGGCTTGGCACATAACAGGCACAACAATAAAAACTTGTTGCTGTTGAATGGCTGGAGAAAGCTCATGACAGAAGCACTACATTCAAACACCTTCAGTATCACTGGTGTAACAATCTTTGGAAGGCAGGCTCCTGATCTACTGCTGTGGGGACTCAGATTTCGCCAACTGCCTGCAGGTGGGAAGCACACCCTTGGCTGGTTCACAGCCATCTGCTGCTGTTATCTCTACCACTTTCGACCACAAAAACTTATCCCCATCTTCTTTAGTAAGCATGACACAATGACATCTCATAGGTGTCAGATGCCTAAGAGATTGAAAACATAGCACAGGAAGGAAGCTGTTGCACCATACAACCATTGTGTGTGTGTGTGTGTGTGTGTGTGTGTGCACGCGCCACAAACTAAAGTGGAAAAGTGTCACAGGTATATCATTTAGGAGACCTTAATCACTTCTCCTGAAGCATCTGCCAACATATAATCAACAAAGTTTTGAGATTGGGCGCAGTGGCTCACTCCTGTAATCCCAGCACTTTGGGAGGCCAAGGCAGGCAGATCACTTGCTCTGAGGAATTCGAGACCACTTTAGGCAACATGGTGAACCCCATCTCTACAAATTAAAAACAAAAAACAAAAATTACCCAGTAGTGGTGGTGCAAGCCTGTAGTCTCAGCTACTCAGGAGGCTGAGGTGGGAGGATCTATTGAGCTCGGGAGGTCGAGGCTGCAGTGAGCCGTGATCACGCCACTGCACTGCAGCCTGGGCAACAAAAAAAACTGTCTCAAAAAAAAAAAAAAAAAAACCAAACCAAAACAAAAAACAAACAAACAAACAAAACCCCAAAAAACAAAAAAGTTTTGACGAAAGGCATTTCTGTTTCTTAATACTTCTTTCCCCCCTCATTTTGCAAAACAGAGGTATTCCCTAAAAAGTATCTGCACAGGAGGATTGCTTGAGCCCAGGAGCTCAAGGCTGCAGTGAACTATGGTCATGCCACTGTACTCCATTCTGAGCGACAAAGTAAGACCTTGTCTTTAAAAAAAAAAGTTATCTGCAAGGGTACAATGTATATTATTCAGGTGATGGTTGCACTAAAAGCCCAGACTTCATCACTAAGCAATATATCCATGTAACAAAACTGCACTTACATCCCTTAAATTTAACAACAAAAAGTTATCTGCAAAATGTACTCCTATAAATCTAGTCCCTTCCACCTACTTCCATTAGAAAATTAAAAGCTACATTTCCATAGTGGGAAAAATCTGCTAGCTCAACAATAACCACAATTAAGAAGACAACAAACCTACAATACTATTTAAGTGAAAAATGCACAGCAGGCTGGGCGCAGTGGCTCACGCCTGTAATCCCAGCACTTTGGGAGGTCGAGGCGGGTGGATCACCTGAGGTCAGGAGTTCAAAACCAGCCTGGCCAACATGGTGAAACCCCATCTCTACTAAAAATACAAAAAATTTATTGGGTGTGGTGGCAAGTGCCTGTAATCCCAGCTAATCGGAAGGCTGAGGCAGGAGAATCGCTTGAACCCTGGAGGCAGAGATTGCAGTGAGCCGAGGTTGCACCATTGCACTCCAGCCTGGGCAACAAAAGCGAAACTCCGTCTCAAAAAAAAAAAAAAAAATGCACAGCAACATTTTAGCTATGCCAGTTATCTGTACAATGCAAGGTCTGTAAGGGAGGCTACACACCAAAGACATTGGATTTGCTATGGTGACTGATGGGGATTTGGTTAAAGTCTTAAAAAAATTCAGACACTTGTATAATGTGCATACACTAAATGCGTCTTCTAAAATCACAAAATCACCCAGTTGTTTTTTTCCAAATGGTTTGAAAGACCACATTAAAAGTTTTAACAATGTGTTTTCCTTTGTGCATTTTCTAATTTTTCCTAACTTCTTTCACAGTCTTACTGAGCTCAGTAGATAGCAACTCTGCCCTTAGACTGGAACTCATCCTTCTGTTCTCTCTTAACTCTTTTGTGTGTGTGTGTGTATGAGATGGAGTCTTGCTCTGTCACCCAGGCTGGACCGCAGTGATGCGACCTCAGCTCACTGCAACCTCCCACTCTGGGTTTCAAGCAATTCTCCTGCCTCAGCCTCCCGAGTTGCTGGGACTACAGGTACATGCCACCACACCTGGCTAATTTTTGTATTTTTAGTAGAGACGCATTTTTGCCATGTTGGCCAGACTGGTCTTGAACTCCTAACCTCAAGTGATCTGCCTGCCTTGGCCTCCCAAAGTGCTGGGATTACAGGTGTGAGCCACCATGCCCGGCCTGTTCTATCTTATCTCATACCCCATATTTGACCCTACCTTCCCAACATACCCATAACCCAAACTTTCAGGAGAGATGCAAATGTTCCTTAACTTTATCAGGGAACAGGTTACAAAGTACATTAACTTGTCAAAAGTCAACACATTATACATTTAAGGTCTGGACATTTTATTTATACCTGAAAAGAATGTGTTTATATATACACACACACACACACACACACATACACATATATATATATACATATATATATTACATATACATATAAACACATATATACATGTAATGTATTACATAAACACACACACACACAGAGTCTCCCCCACCAGCTCCAACCATTTCTTGCCATCACAGCCATCACCATCCTGATCCAGACCATCTCTTGCTTGGATTACTACCAGTAGTTGGCATTATAACTGGTCTCCTGGCTCCTCCCTCCCTCTGGTCCCCCACAACCAATCTAGTCTCCACGTAGCAGTCAGAAAGATCTCTAAAACTCACGTCAGATCACAGTAGTCCTCTGCTCCCCTTGCAGTGAGAATCAAGGCCTTCTAGTAGCCTACTAGGCTCTCCCAATCAGTCTGCTATTCACTCTCTGGCCTCCTCTCTCACAGCCCTTGCCTTGCTCCAACCACAATGACATCTGTGCTACTGCTCAAACCCTCCAGGCAAGTTCCAGCTCTTCTTTCTGCCTGGAATGCTCTTCCCTCAGATGGCACCTTCCTCATCTCCATGAGGCCTGCAGCGAATGCTGTGGTATCATGCCCAGGTCCCTACCCTCCAGGGACTAAAGCACACTCCCATAGCTATCTGTGGAGTGTTGGCAGCCCCAACAGCTCCCTGTAGTCTTCCTCCAGGTCAGACCTGCCCTCAGTGGAAGCACTCTTTTGGCAGGGTCAGGTCTCCTTTCCAAAAGAGCCTATATCCAGGCTGTGGACACGGGAGTAAAGGGCCCTGGTCTCCCACCCCAATCCACGACAATTCTGAAGGGCCTCCCCAGCTACAGAACTCCCAGCAGGGCTGGCTGCGGCTTTCTCTGTGCTTACATCATAGCTTGCCTTCTCCCTCTGTCTGGTGCTGCTTCCTTCACTCCTTCAATGGTGTGGATCCCGAGAGCCCTCCCCAATAATCCTGCATGCAAAAATCTGCAGCTCAGAATCTGACTCCTGCAACAAGGCCTTTGCTCAAATGTTACCTTTTCACTCAGGCTTTGCCAAAGCGTCCCACTTAAACCCGTCTATCCCCCGCCTCTGCCTCAGCATTCCTCATCTCTAAGTCTGCTGTTTCTCCAATTCACAGGATCTTGTTTGTGATTCCGCTATGTGTCTCACCAGGAAGCTCCCCTCCCACATCTCCTCTTTTCCACTTACACAGGAAACCCCCAGCAGATCCCATCCCAGTCTCACTGGCCAGGATGCATAACAGGCTGCTCCTCAAGAGCCTGGCATGCTGCTTGGTTCACTGCTGTTTTAAGAGCTGAAAACATACACACACTGACTCACACACATGCATACACACACACACACACACACACACACACACACACACACACACATATTTTCAGCTCTTAAAACAGCAGTGAATTTATCAACTGTTTTTTCCATGTGAGACCTTCTGTTAGAGGATGCAGCAGACCTGGAGTCTGCTCCAACGTAGGTCTATCCCTGGACCTCAAATAAGGCCTGCTGTCCCTTCTGTCTGGTCTTCACCACAGTGGCTTTTGCCAGGGTAGCCTCCCAGGGAATTGGCCTACCCTAGGTTTGTTAATGCATCGAGGCAGACAATGCTTTTAGGAGCAACAAATGTTAATCTAAATGGGTTTTCTTTTTGCCAGGAGTGTTTTAAAACCATTTGCTATCTGTTTCATCCACTTCCTTTCCTAAAATGGAAGGCTCTAGAAGACAGAATCATGTAAATGAACTCCTTGGGTAAGGCTTGGGCAGAATGTTTCCCCTCATCATTGGAATTGCCAGCAGATTCCACTAGAAAGAGCCAGCCAGGATGAACAAGAAGTTTATTTGCAGTACATCAACTCTACCAGCCAAGGACAACAGACACTGTTAGCTGCCCATCCATCAGCCACTTTCCATCACCAACTTCCAGCACTCAGCACTCCTTCAACATTTACTGAGTGACTACTATGGTGTGTACCAAGTACCATTCCTGGCCCTGGGAAAAGGGCATGAGCAAAGACAAAGTCTGTTTTCCAGGAGCATATGCTCCCCCAGGGAGGTGTCTAATAGAACTCCAGTTTTATTCAGATATCCACTCTGCCCGTTATGTAAGCCAGTAGGCAACGATGATTGATGCAAGAGAGGGCACATGACCTAGTTGGACCAATCAGCCAATGGGGAAGACCCAAAGTCCAAGGCTGGGGCACAGACCTCTCCCTTCTGCTTCTCACTGAAAACATTCTCGATACCCCACAACCAGAGAACTCTTGAAAATCAAATGCCAGAAAAGGCTCACCAAGCACATTTCAAGAGAAACCTACCAGGTTAGAAGCCCCAAGGCACTCAGAATGGCTACAGAAGCAGTCAGAGGACAAGCTCCAGGGACCAGACTCCTGGTCCCATGCTGTACCACGTGGTTTCTGAAAGCTGTCCTTCTGAGGAGGAAATGGGCCTGAAGCTCTCCAGGACGGAGTGGCCAGCCTCAGCACAAAGACCAGTGCTTAGCAAATTAGAAAGAGTAAGTCTGGGCTTGGGCTGGAGTCTAAGTGTGACTCTCAACACATCTCCATCACATCTAGTGGAATCTTGGTGCCAGGGGGTCACCTCATCTCACTCAGCCTAAGTTTCCATCTGTGAACTGTAATGCTGCAAGTCATAGAGAATTTCGAGGGTAATCTTCTATCGTATATAACAAGTCCTGAGATAGGTCAGCTTCAGGGTGCATTAATTTAGCAACTTAAAGAGACGTGTCCCTCTGTCTTCCTCTCCTGTCATCAGTGTCGGCCCTGTTCCAAGCTGGCTTTTACACGCAGACCTAGTAAAGTCCAGCAGAAGAGACTAGCCTGTCAAGCATCTCCTCTTATTTAATTCCCTAGGAGGTCCCAGCAGACGTCCCCTCCTAGTCTCAAGGGCCAAAATGGCATCACATGGCTGTTCCTCAACAAATCCTTGGCATTTACCCACACATCAGCTTAGGGCTATCAGCAGGTTGGCCTGCAGAAGGCAGACCAAAAAAATTGGGGTTCTGCTAACAAGGAACAAGGCAGGCAACCCTACAATATTTGCAACACTCCCTTTGTGCTATTTGACAATATGCACAATGTTCACAATCCCACTCACTTCTAGGTGTTGTTGCTGACTCTGGCAGGATGATAAAATGTGCTTTGCATAAATTTTTGGTCCCCAGGGCTCATTCCATACCTCTGGTTCATGTGCTAGACACTTCTGCAGTCCATAGGCAAACACCCCGGATGAACAGAACATGCTAGCAACCTCTGGGGAAAGGGAGGGGTCAAGCCAGACACAGAGCATCCTCTTCCTGGTCACCGACAGGACCCAAGATCAGCACAGTGGAAGCAGGTCTCCTACTTGGCTTCAGTGGTCAAGGCCAGACGCTCCTCAGAAGTCCCTCCCAGCTGTGTAACTATGATTCTGCTCATAAAGTGAAAATAGTTTTCAACCACTTCTTAGAGTAAAACAAATGTTTAAGAAAATCCCATTTCCTGGCCTTCATCCATATTCTTTCTGCAGCATATTAAAGAAATAAATTCAGAGAGAGGCTGGGAGCGGTGGCTCACACCTGTAATACCAGCACTTTGGGAGGCCGAGGCGGGTGGATCACCTGAGGTCAGGAGTTCGAGAGCAGCCAGGCCAACGTGGCGAAAATGTGTATTAAAAATACAAAAACACTAAATACCGAATACTAAAAATACAAAAATTAGCCAGGCGTGGTGGCATGTGCCTGTAATCCCAGCTACTCGGGAGGCTGAGGTAGGAGAATCACTTGAACCCGGGAGGTGGAGGTTGCAGTGAGCTGAGACCATGCCACTGCACTCCAGCCTGGCCTGGGTAACAGAGCGAGACTCTGTCTCAAAATAAATAAAGAAAATATATAAGTAAATAAATACATTCAGAGTGGCCCAAATCTACAGTCACCTGCCTACATGGCCAAGTCCCATTAATTCTACCTCTACCCTGTCTTTAGTGCCTCTCTATTTCTCACCTCCATCACCTGTGATCTCCCTGTCTCCCTGAGCATCTCACCAAGACTAGAAATTCCTAACTCCTCTAGGGCCTGCCTAAGACACAGGTTGGGTGTTTCATCCAGCTTCCTCAGAAGCCTCAATGTTCTCCTCTCTCCCCTAACCCCAAGAAGGAAGTTCAAGCTGCTGGCAAGGCTCTGCCTCCCAGCCCCATTCTCCCTCTTGCCCTGTTTAGCCTCCCTCCTAACATGTTCTATGTCTTTCCCTAAATGCTTTCACCCTCTGGGCCTTTTCTCCTGATGGTCTCATGTGCTGTAGCGCCTTCTCTGCCATCACAATTCTAGTCACGTCAAGGTTCAGTCCAAGGACACATCCACAAACCCGACTCTGCTGGTGAAGTGCCCTTCCTCCTTGGGCTATCACGCTTATTCCTCTAGCTCCTGTTTCCCCTGCCCTGCATTCTAGAATACGGTTTGTATGTCAATCTCTCTCATCTATCTTCCACACAGCTTTCTGTTCAGAGAGAGAGCCTTATTTACCTCTGGTCCCCACAGAACTCTTACCAGAAAGGTTCAATGTTTGTTGCATAAATCAGTGAAAAATCCACAGCAAAATCTCACCCAGTTTTCTTCTGACTCTTCAGATGTACTCTGGTTATTTTCCTAAATCAACCTACTGTCTTCAGGCATAAGTCAGGAGAGAAATTGCTGAGAGAATTTGCATTTTCTGAGCTACCACATGGAGCAGGTGAGGCAAGAATTACTGACTTCATGAACAGATTAGGAAGAGATGGAAAAACTTTTTATGTCACATATTTAGTAAGCAGCAGGGCACAGAGACTCCAGAGCAGGATATCTGATTCCAAAAACAGAAGACAAAATTCTTGTCCTCAAGAAACTTACAGTCTAGTCGGAACTGTAAGACAAATACACCAAAAGGCAAATAACTTATTCAGAGCGGGGTTTCTCACCCTTAGCACTATTGATATTTGGGGCTAGATAATTCTCCATGAGTGGGCTGTCCTGCATGCTATACGATGTTTAACAGATTTGTCCCCTACCCACTTGATACCAGTAGCACGTACCCTGCCCAACCCTGTTGTGACAACCACAAATGTCTCTAGACATTGCCCTGTAGAACCACTGATCTAAAGCAACTGCCATGTTTATCTCTCAACCACTGCAATCATATAACCTCACCATTAGGATCCTTTCCCTGCCAATTCTCAGACATAGGTCTGCAGTGCCCTCCGGCAGCAGGCTGGACCTTACCCACCCACTCCTAACTTTATCATTATATGATTCTGCCTACATTTTCCCTTCAAGCTGAATTATTTAATTTTCATGCTGATGTCTCAGTAGGACAGCTTCAAATCCTTTTCAGAATGACACAAGGTAGGGGTAAAAATAATCCAATCGCAGGACAGGAGAAAATACACACCATAAGGCCATGTGATTACCAGCAAATTACCCTGTTCTTGAAAATTTCCCAAATCCCTTTTCATAACACTGCCATCAAAGTGTGAACCAAAGGCCAAAGGTGGACAAGAGCTCTTTCAGTCCTGGCCCTCTTGGTTAGAACTGGCTTCACCAAAGAGCTGAGCATAAGCGCTGTCTGCCCAGGCATGAGAATTCCAGAAAAAACTCAGGAGCAAAGGCCCAGAGTTGGGAAGAGCCATGAATCTCAACGAGATTTTCTAAACATACAAACTCCATATTTCTACAAACTTTAAAACCAGAAACCTAGTTGTTTTTACTTTCTGACCTTAACCTAACTTAGAAATAAAGCTTATTTTGGTCAATTCTAAAATAAAATATATAGAGAATACTGTATCCAAGAACACGAAGTAAAATGTGTATGTATGAACAATAACTGACACATCTTCTATATAAATGATAGCTATTATATTTCAATTTAACAATCTTTTATATTTGGTCCCAGGATAAAATGGAAGAGGTAAGTCTTATTTTACCAAGGCCCAGAAGTAGAGTTATAAGTCCAAGAATTTACAGCTAGTAAATGATGCAGTTTTGAACCCAGTCTGATTCCACATTCAAGGCTCATTTCACTACAACGTGACAACTTCAAGATTAACTTATTGATAACCTTAGACAAGTGCTTCTCAATTGGGGGTGATTTTGGCTACCAATGGACATTGGCAATGACTGGAGATATTTTTGGTTGATACAACTAGAAGTTGTATCAACTTACTCTAAGAAGGTGTTTGTGAAGTGCTACTGGCATCTGGTGGGTAGAGGCCAAGGATACTAGAAACATTCTATAACATAGATGACAATCACACAATTTTATGGCCCAAAATGTCAACCTGCTGAAGTTGGGAAACCCTACCTTAGAGGTGTCTCTATTATCAGCCAAGAAAATGAAGACCAAAGTACACCCACATTTCAATAAATACTTCTTCTCCTGTTCTAGCTACCCTCTCCACTTTGAATGGATTCCCTGCCACACCAGAGAAAAATGCTGAGCTGTCTGCTACTTCCCCCTTTAGACTCTCGAAAAACAGAAAAAGTATGTTCATGCTGGGTGCAGTGGCTCACGCCTGTAGTCCCAGCTACTCAGGATGCTGAGGCAGGAAGATCCCTTGAGCCCAGGTATTTGAGTCTAGCCTGGGCAACACTGCAAGATCCCATTTCTATTAAAAAAAAAAGTTATGTTTGTGCTTCACAAAATTGGAGACATGAATATAGAACAAGGAAGCCAGAAAGTGCAATGATGGCTTTACAAAAGCAAGCACAATTTTACTGGCCACTACCCACCCCTCAGGCTTCCGGCTGAGCAGCCCCTGCTCCCAGCAGCCACCAATACTCCTACAGTATTTAAAGGCCTGCTCGGTAGTGATTCAGACCAGCATCATCTCCTCCAGGGCAGTGGTAATTTACCTCTTGACAGTCCTTCTGAACATTCCATGAGATTTTAAAAGAAAGGAAATTTAACAAAGAACAAGTTTAAAAGAAGTTAAATCCCATCCTGCCAGAGTTGCCATATCTTTTTTTTTTTTTTTTTTTTTTTTTGAGATGGAGTCTCACTGTCATCAGGCTGGAGTGCAGTGGCGCGATCTCGGCTCACTGCAACCTCTACCTCCCGGGCTCAAGCGATTCTCCTGTCTCAGCCTCCCGAGTAGTTGGGACTACAGGTGCGTACCACCACGCCCAGCTAATTTTTGTATTTTTAGTAGAGACGGGGTTTCACCATGTTGGCCAGGATGGTCTCGATCTCTTGACCTCGTGATCCACCTGCCTCAGCCTCCCAAAGTGCTGGGATTACAGGCATGTGCCACCGTGCCCAGCCTCTTTTTATTATTACTTATTATCTCAGATTTCTAAAGCACTTAACAGTTTGGGGAGCATTTTTATATCTACGCTCCCAACTGAGTATCACAAGCATACTATGAAGTGGTTAGAGTAGATATTATCATGCTCCATTCTAGGGCTGTAGAGAGGCCCTCAGCAATAAGGGCCACTGTTGTGCTTGCTCTGCCAGGCTGATGCACTTGGCTGCTGATCTGAGTGTAGTCTCTTATTCATTTGTACCTAGTTCGTCACTTAAGCATCTTGACTTACTTATGTTTACATAGCATAAAACTTTTGGCCTACAAAGGAGCTTATCAAAAAGGAACAAGTTATATGACAGTAGAAGAGAGGCTGGAGAAGGGTAGGCTATTCACAAAAACTGATTTAGGTAAAGCATTTTAAAATAAAAATTCTATCAGACCTTCACACAGTAAACTAGTTCATAATAACATTTTTCCTTTCCTAATCACAAGCATCATAATTCATAATTACAATATTTGTCCAGTTCTCCAGGGAAAGATCTGCACAGTACACATCAGGAAATGCTCTTGGAGATCAACAGGAGAAATGAAACTAAAACTCAAGGCTTCGGCTTTCATGCACAGTAAACCTAACTTCATCTTGATAAATTATGAAAACCTCAGCTTTCTTACCTGTTTTAGCCAATATTTATCACATACCCATCATGTGGAAGAGGTTGTTCAATGCAGTAGGGCATACAGAAGGGACTGAGGCAGTCCCTACCCTGGGGGCATATGGAAAGTACCCTCACACCTTCCATGCCAGGCAAAACACACAGACAGTGATACAGCACATCTACCGGGGTAACTCAGGATGAACAGTTTCAAAAGAAACACGTGAACCTAGTCCCTGAAAAATGGGAAAGATGTCACACAAGATGGAAGGAGAGAGAGGTGGCAGGAGGAGAACACACACATGATCAGTTCAGTTTAGTTGTGGTAGTAGAGAGCATCCTGGGACCAAATTCAAAACGAAAAAGCCACATGTTAAAATATCTATTCTCGCTCCTAAAGAAAACGGTAGCACCCTGTAGTCGCACTGCAAAGTAGAAATGAGGAACAAGACAGCATCAGGGTGACCCTTTGCCTGTCAACAGTCAGACAGGCCAGAATCAGGCCCTGGGCTGGAGGAGTCTCCCTGGGTTGATTTCTGTGCTACAGTGCTGTCAGCAGAGTGGGGTGGGGGAGGGGGAGGCGCGCTTTTTTCATCTACCCGGGGAGCAAACACCAACTCCTGCAGCAGTTCTGCCAACAAGGCAGAACTATGACGAAACTGATTACCACTAGCCTCTCTGTATCAGAGTCAAGATATGGGGTGGATGAGTCCGTTCCCCAAGGGTGTGCTTTGGAGCCACTGCCACAGAGCTAAGAAGCCCCTCTGCTAGAACACACCTGTGCCCTATCTGCCCAACCCTAGTTCACCCTGATGTCCCAGCTCAGCATTAATCGTGGATCCTTCGCGGGGGCCCGGGGCCCCCAAACCCTCCTATTTAGGGACCACAATTCCCCAACTGGGGGCACTGTCCCCAGATCCAGAGGGGCAGTAACAGTCCCTCTTGCAGATTTCGGATCTTCATCCTGCCACTGAAAGGCCACAAGGGGGATTTCATCCCGGTTTCACCTTCAGGACCGTCTGAGCACTTCTCGGGCGATGCAGACCAGTGGAAGGCACTGGCTGGCACCAAGGCCCGCTCCTGGGAGCCAGGCCGCGGCCCCTCCAAGGACCACAGGTGGGCAGCGGAAGACTCAGAGCAAGAGCCAGGGGCGAAGATGGCCCTCGCTGCGGTCAACCCGGAGCACGTGCTGGGGCTCACCAGCCTCTCCGCGCTGAGGACAAAGTCCGCTCCCGCCGGCTTCTTGGCTTGGGCACCGGGTACCGGGCGTCAGGGGCGAGACAGGCAGGACTTGCGCGCGCCCCGACTCGACTCCAGACCCCGACCCGACTCCGGGCTCGGCCTCCCGCGACCCCTGCGCGCACTCACCATTGTGGTTGACCCAGGTCGGCTTCAGGAGCTTCATTGTTCGGCCGCCGCCGCCGCCGGGCTGAGGCGAGCGCCGGGTCCCTCAGCGCGCCCGGGCCATGGAGCCACCGCCGCCGCTTCCTCCCGCGCCACCCGCCCTCCGGCCGCCGCCCGCCCCGCGCCCTCAGGGCCGCCGCGCCATCGCCGGCCCGCGCCCCCCTCCGCCGCCACAGCCGCCACCCGCGCTCGGCCGCCGCCGCCGCCACCACAGCCGCATCCCCTGCGCCGCTCCTCCTCAGGCGGCTCCCGGGCAACGCCGGAAGTCACGGCGCGCACCTGCCAAATCGCCCCGGCGGGAAACCGCTCCCCACGCGGACTGGGCCGCCCCGGCTCCTCCGCTGGCAGGGGCTTCGGGTCGGGCCCGGGCGCGGGCGCCCCAGAAAGGGCGGTTCGCCTGGACGGCGGACAGCGAGCGGGGCCTGCAGTTGCAACCCGGGCCGCCCGCAGAGGCAGGCGGGGCCCAGGTGGCGTGGACCGCCCGTCACCAGCTCTGCCTCGCCAGTCTGAGTCCGACTTATTAACTAGCTTCCGTCATTCATCAACACGCGCTATTGGGCATCTTGCGAGCGCCGGGCTCCGCGCCGGCGCCGGAATGCGATCCGGGCTTCGGACTCGAACGAATGCGGGGGACGAGCCAACCCTGGTGGGGGAGGCTGGGGCGGACGCGTTTATTAGAAGATCGGGGCCGTTTGCCTAGACATGAACATTTGGACTCGGAGGAGCAGAGGGACGCCCCCTCGGCCGCTCCGGCTGCACTGCGGAGCCGAGGCCCGCGCGAGGGCGCAGACCGACCAACCGGCTAGGGCCTGACTGGCTAGACTGTGCCCGCTGCAGAGGCGCGCTCCCAGCACAGGGCGGGGACGGAAGGGAGGACCCCGAGCCGCGTGAAACGCAAGGCCCTCGTGTGTGCGCAGCTGACACCCTAGGCGGGGCTGCGTCGGGGGCGGGGACAGGCGCGTCCCAGCCCACGCAGCCGGAACGCCTGAGCGCTGGGCGCCTGGTCTGCCGGACCTCAGCAGGGGGCACCGCGGGCCGGACTGTGGAGGGGCGCACGCCCGGAAGCGGCGAGGGTAGCCATGACGGCCTCCGTGCTGCGAAGTATCTCGCTAGCCCTGCGCCCGACTAGCGGGTGAGTGCGGACGCTGGCCGGATAGCGGAGTGCCCAGGGCGCGTGCGGGGTCTTCGCGACTGTCCGCCAGGACTCGCCTGTGCTCCCTGCTCGCCTCCCAGTCCACGAATATCTCAGGGATGAGCCATCTGGTCGTGACTCTTATGCATGAAAATCTGAGCACCCTGGCGAGCAGCGGTCCTGCTTAAGTCCTCTGTGGTCTGAACGAAAGATTTTGAAAAACCTTCCACGTTGACCTTGCTGTCATATCAAGTAGTTAGAAGTGCCCCGGGTTTGGGAGCATTGCAATTTTTTATTTTCCTGTGAAGTGGGAGAGAATCAGATATTTATTTATTTATTTGAGACAGAGTCTCGCTCTGTCGCCCAGGCTGGAGTGCAGTGGCGCGATTTCGGCTCACTGCAACCTCTGCCTCCCGGGTTCAAGCAGTTCTGCCCCGGCCTCCCGAGTAGCTCGGATTACAGGCGCCCAACACCACGCCCGGCTAATTTTTGTATTTTTAGTAGAGACGGGGTTTCACCATGTTGGCCAGGCTGGTCTTGAACTCCTGACCTCGCGATCCACCCGCCTCGGCCTCCCAAAGTGCTGGGATTACAGACGTGAGCAACCGCGCCTAGCCTGGAGAAGCAGATATTTATACATACTCTTGTATCTTTCAGGCTTCTGGGAACTTGGCAGACGCAGCTTAGAGAGACTCACCAGCGAGCGTCATTGTTGTCTTTCTGGGAACTCATTCCCATGAGGTAAAACTCAATCGAGGGCCTGACCTCTGGGGGTAAAGGTGTCAGTCTATGTGTAGAGAACAAAGCAAGAATGCTGGATGTGTGGTTTGCAAAATTAACAGCCTACAAAGTTTCTCAGTTAAATTTAGGCCGATGCTTTTCTGTTTTTCCAACATTTTCCAAACCATAGATTGTTGTTTGTAATTTTTAAAATTTGAGCAGTTTCTCAAGAAGTAAGTATTCTCCTTGAAGGGATTCTTGTGTGTTTTAAAGGACACAGCTTAAGTTTCTGTTTCTCCATGACCCTTCCTCTTCCCTGCCCATTCGGAGGCCCTGGAGAGTGTGGGGAAGATGCAAGTATTAAAGGTATTTCCATCTGGCACTCTCGACTCTTTGTAGATACTTGATTCAGTCAATCTTGATAGTAAAGGATTTGATTTTTCTTTTTTTTTTGAGATGGAGTCTCACTGTGTCACCCAGGCTGGAGTGCAGTGGTGTGACCTCGGATCACTGCAACCTTCGCCTCCTGGGTTAAACTAATTCTCCTGCCTCAGCCTCCCAAGTAGCTGGGATTACAGGCGCCCACTACCACGCCCGGCTAATTTTTGTGTTTTTAGTAGAGACGGGGTTTCACCATGTTGGATGTTGGTCAGGCTGGTCTCGAACTCCTGATCTCAGGTGATCCACCCACCTCAGCACCCAAAGTGCTGGGATTACAGGCCTGAGCCACCGCACCCAGTCCACAAATCAATTTTAATAGTAATAAGCTTCTAATCTAACAGTTTGGTATTTTCACTTTTGAGTGTAATCCCAAGGCACACCTGAATCCCAGCAATAAAGAGGAACACTTCCCGATTTTATACCCTGATGCCTCTTGTTGCTTTTGTACTTTTTTTTTTTTTTTTTTTTTTTTGAGACAGAGTCTCGCTCTGTTACCCAAGCTGGAGTGCAGTGGCGCGATCTTGTCCTACTGCAACCTCCGCCTCCCAGGCTCAAGTGATTCTCCTGCCTCAGCTTCCCGAGAAGCTGGGATTACAGGTGCGCACCACCACACCCAGCTAATTTTTGTATTTTTAGTAGAGACAGGGTTTCGCCATGTTGACCAGGCTGGTCTCGAACTCCTGACCTTGGGCAATCTGCCCGCCTTTGCCTCCCAAAGTGCTGGGATTACAGGCCTGAGCCACTGCACCCGGCTGCTTTTGTACTATTTCTTGTAATTGATGGCACCTACACAGTTCTCACAAGTACTGTGGGGTGGAGTACCTCCTCACCACGCTGAGCTCATGAGTTAGTCATGCACAGCTCCTTCCCCCAGTGGAGAGGTCAGTATGGGGTACTTACCATCTTGTCTCTCAGTAGGTTCATGAGACCAAAGAGGAAAATGTTTAATATTTGCTTTATCTATTAGATCAGAACCTCTTCGAAAAAAGAAGAAGGTAGATCCTAAAAAAGACCAAGAAGCAAAGGAGCGCTTGAAAAGGAAGATCCGAAAACTGGAAAAGGCTACTCAAGAGCTAATTCCTATTGAAGATTTTATTACCCCTCTAAAGTTCTTGGATAAAGCAAGGTAAGGATCCTTCTCTAGGGATGAAGTCCTCAGGACAAAGGAGTAATATCAACTTCAGGTAGTTGTGTCTGTAGTTCACACCTGTGATAGTCATTGGTCAGTAGGCTTGAGCTGACTTGGCCCTAATGAGTCCTTGCTCCTTTTGGAAGCAGGAGAAAGCATCCTTGGGTGGTACTCTTGAATGGCTCTGGGTGGGAAAGAACCTAAGACATCTAATAATCCAGATGCTTAAGCACTGCTCTGGAGTTCATGTTGTTGCTGTCATGCATGAGGAGTCTTGGCTGTTTCTGATCCCTTGGGCCTGGAGTCTGAAGCCCTCGCCTCATCCTAACAGTAGAAAACCCTTGGCCTCCTGTTTTATCATGCAGATATCTTTGGTTGGTATTTGTTGGGATTCTACTGTGTGCAGGGTTAACAGCTCCTGCTGCCGTTTTGTAAGCAGTGTGCACCATCTATAAAGGGGCAGGTGTTAAAAGTCTTCTCTCACCCAAGGGAGTATTTGCTTGGGCAGAGGAAGTGCTACCAGTCTCCTCAGATCATCTGTTCTTTTGACAGAGAGCAAATGACCTTGGTTCCAAGCATCAGTTGCAGCTGCAGCCACATTCAACATTCCATTTCTTAATTTGTCCCAAACTTGTTTTATCTCCTAAGTCCTGTCTGTGTCTGGCAATGGGAATACTTGTGTCAGTTGCAGTCACAGACTTACATGCCAGTGAGATTGGTAACCCTTAGCTTCTTTGCAGAGAGCGGCCTCAGGTGGAGCTCACCTTTGAGGAGACTGAGAGGAGAGCTCTGCTTCTGAAGAAGTGGTCCTTGTACAAGCAGCAAGAGCGTAAGATGGAGAGGGACACCATCAGGGCTATGCTAGAAGCCCAGCAGGAAGCTCTGGAGGAACTGCAACTGGAATCCCCGAAGCTCCATGCTGAGGCCATCAAGCGGGATCCTAACCTGTTCCCCTTTGAGAAGGAAGGGCCACATTACACACCACCGATCCCTAACTACCAACCCCCTGAAGGCAGGTACAATGACATCACCAAGGTGTACACACAAGTGGAGTTTAAGAGATAGACTTGCAGGCTGCTATCCTTAACATGCTGCCCCTGAGAGTAGGAATGACCAGGGTTCAAGTCTGCTTTCCACAGAATCAGGCATGCTGTTAATAAATACTGGTTTAATCAAAATGCTCCTTTGTCTTGTGTTAGAATTTTTTTTAAAAAATTTTTTTTTGAGACAGAGTCTCACTCTGTTGCCCAGGCTGGAGTGCAGTGACGCAATCTCGGCTCACTGCAAACTCTGTCTCTCTGGTTCAAGCGATTCTCCTGTGTCAGCCTCCTGAGTATCTGGGATTACAAGTGTGCACCACCACGCGTGGCTAATTTTTGTATTTTTAGGAGACAGAGTTTTGCCATGTTGGCCAGGCTGGTCTCGAACTCCTGACCTCAAGTGATCCGCCTACCTTGGCCTCCCAAAGCACTGGGATTATAGGCATCAGCCACCACGCCCAGCCAGAATTAAAATTAATTCACCAGGCCAGGCTCAGTGGCTCATGCCTGTAATCCCAGCACTTTGGGAGGCCAAGGCAGGTGGATCACGAAATGAGGTCAGGAGATCGAGACCATCCTAGCTAACAGTGAAACCCCATCTCTACTAAAAATACAAAAAAAATTAGCTGGGCATGGTGGCGGGCGCCTGTAGTCCCAGCTACTCAAGAGGCTGAGGCAGGAGAATGGTGTGAACCTGGGAGGTGGAGCTTGCAGTGAGCCGAGATCACACCACTGCACTCCGGCCTGGGTGAAAGAGCGAGACTACATCTCAAAGAAAAATAAAAAGTTTATTCACCTAAGATGGATGGAGGTGACAGATGCTGCCCTTCGCCAGGTAATGGGAAGAAGATAACAAAGACATCAACTGCTGCCCTCAAATGGGGAAAAAAAAATGTGTAAAAAGAAGATCCCAAGGGTATAGTGAAAATACCAACAGGAGTCAGAGTAACAGAGGAGTGGTGGGAAAGGAAGTTGCCAGCTGGAAAGGCATGTGGAGAAGCAGGGCCTTCCTGATGGGAAAGACCAAGGAGCCACCTTTGTGTTTTCAGCTGGGGTTAGGGGGAGGCAGAAGAGTGTGGAGCAGGCCAGGAACATACTAGTTAATAAAGATGCTGTGGCCCCCAAGAGGGTGTGAGGCCTGGCTGGGGCAGCGGACTCTGTCTCAAGTGCTTAGTCTAGAATGTGAATGTATTAGTCTGCTCAGGCTGCCATTACAAATTACCATAGACTGGGTGGCTTAAACAAAATAAATTTATTTTCTCACAATTCTGGGGGCTAGAACTCCTGAGATCAAGGTACCAGCAGGCTTGTTTTCTGAGTCTTTCTCCTTAGCTTGCAGATGGCTGCCTTTTCCCTCACATGGTCGTCCCAATCTGTTTCCTAATTTTTTATAGACACCAGTTATACTGGAATAGGGCCCACCTAATGACCTCATTATAACTTTAATTATCTCTTTAACGATGCTACCTCCAAATACCTCCAAATACAGTCACATTCTGAGGTATGGGGTTGGGGGGAGTGGGAGGGTCGTATGGGTAGGACTTCACCATAGGAACTGTAGGGGACACAATTCAGCCTGTCACAGTACAAGCCCAGTGTACGAATAGAGCCATTTTCCCCAGTGGCTTGGATCACAACCTCAGAAAGGATTTTTTTTTTTTTTTTTTTTTTACCACCTTAGTGCAGGTAAACCAGGGAAACATTTCATTGGAATAAGAACTTAGGTTGTCTTCCTAGCGTGTGGTTCACTTTTTTCCCTTTTTTAAAAATTGTGGTGGCCAGGCACCGTGGCTCACGCCTGTAATCCCAGCACTTTGGGAGGCCTAGGTGGGCAGATCATCTGAGGTCAGAAGTTCGAGACCAGCCTGACCAACATGGTGAAACCCCGTCTCTACTAAAAATACAAAATTAGCTAGGTGTAGTGGCACATGCCTGTAATCCCAGCTACTCGGGAGGCTGAGGAAGGAGAATCGCTTGAATACGGGAAGTGGAGGTAGTGAGTCGAGATCACGCCACTGCACTCCAGCCTGGGCAAGAAAAGCGAAACTCCCCATCAAAAAAAAAAAAATTGTGGTAAAATACACATAAACTTTACTATCTTCATCATTTCTAACTGTATGGCTCAGTGGTATTGAGGACATTCATACCATCAGACAACATCACCACCATCCATCCATCTCCAGAGGTCTTCATTGCAAAACTGAACTCTACCCATTAAACCATAATTCCCTGTTCCCCTCTTCCCCCAAGCCCTGGCAACCACCATTCTACCTTTTCTGTGATTTTAACTATTCTTAAGTACCTCACAGAAGCGGAATCATAGTGTTTGTCTTTTTGTAAGTGGCTTATTTCACTGAGCATAATCCTCAAGGTTCATCCATGTTATATAGCACGTATCAAATTTCCTTTTCATGGCTGAATTAATGTTCCATTGTACGTACGCCACATTTTCCTTATCCATCTGTTGATGGACACTTGGGTTACCTTCCGCATTTTACTATTGTGAATAATGCTGCTATGAACACAGGAGTACAAATATCCCTTCAAGACTGTGCTTTCTTTTAGATATACGCCCAGAAGTGGAACTGCTGGATCATATGGTGAGTCTATTTTTAATTTTTTGAGGAAGTGCCATATGGCTTTCCATGGCTGCTGTAACATTATATATTCCCACCAATAGTGCCCAAGGATTCCAATTTTTCTTTGCTGTTTTTTTGGAGTCGGAGTCTCACTCTGTCGCCTAGGCTGGAATGCAGTGGCATGATCTTGGCTCACTGCAACCACCACCTCCCGGGTTCAAGCAATTCTCCTGCCTCAGCCTGCCAAGCTGGGACTACAGGCGTGTGCTACCACGCCCAGCTAATATTTTTTTTTGTATTTTTAGTAAAGATGGAGTTTCGCCATGTTGGCCAGGCTGGTCTTGAATTCCTCACCTCAGGTGATCTGCCCGCCTTGGCCTCCCAAAGTGCTGGCATTACATATGTGAGCTACCACACCCAGCCAAGGTTCCAATTTTTCTACACCCTTATCACACTTTTTTTTTTTTTTAATAGTAGCCATCCTAATGGGTGTGAGGTGGTATCTCACTGTGGTTTTGACTTGCATTTCCCTAATGGTCAGTGATGTTGAGCATCTTTTTATGTGCTTTTTGGCCATTTGTATGTCTATTCAAGTCCTTGTCTTTTTTTTTTTTTTTTTTTTGAAACAGTCTCACCCTGTTACCCAGGCTAGAGTACAGTGGCGTAATCTCGGCTCACTGCAACCTCTGCCTCCCGGGTTCAAACAAATCTCCTGCCTCAGTCTCCCAAGTAGCTGGGATTACAAGTGCATGCCACCACACCTGGCTAATTTTTATATTTTTAGTAGAGACGGGGTTTCACCATGTTGGCCAGGCTGGTCTCGAACTGCTGACCTCAGGTGATCCGCCTGCCTCAGCCTCCCAAAGTGCTGGGATTACAGGCCTAAGCCACAGTGCCCGGCCCCTTGCCCATTTTTGAACTTTTTTTCTCATTGAGTTTTAGGAGTTCTCTATAATTCTATTAATCTCTTATTAGAGATATGATTTGCAAATATTTTCTCCCATTCTGTGGATTGCCTTTTTATTCTGTCGATGTGTCTTTTTTTTTTTTTAAGAGATAGGGTCTTGCTCTGTCACCCAGGCTAGAGTGCAGTAGTGCAATCATAGCTCACTGTAACCTCAAACTCCTGGGCTCAAGCAATTCTCCTGCCTCAGCCTCCTGAGTAGCTAGGACTACAGACACCACCATGCCCAGCTACCTTTTTTTTTTTTAAACTTGTAGAGATGGGGTCTTGCTATATTGTCCAAGCTGGTCTTGAACTCCTGGCCTCAAGCAATCCCCTTATGTCAGCCTCCTGAAATGCTGGGATTACAGACATGATCCACGGTGCCTGGCCTGATAGTGTGTTTTTTAAAAAATTTTTTCTATAAGGAATGGAGGCAGGGTTTTACTATGTTGCCCAGGATGGTCTTGAACTCCTGGGCTCAAGTGATCCTTCCACCTCGGCCTCCAATAGTGCTGGGACTACAGGAGTGAGCCACCATGCCCGGCCAATAGTCTTCTGATGTGAAATTTAGTGCCTTTAATTTTCATGAAGTCCAATTTATCTATTTTTTTCTTTTTAATGTTGATGACTTTGGTGTCATATCCAAGAAACTACTACCAAATCCAACGTTGTGAAGATATTCCCTATATTTAATTTTAAGCTCTTACAATTTCGGTCAATTTTGAGTTAACTTGTATATGACGTTTGGTAAGGGTCCAACTTCACTCTTGGATATCCAGTTTCCAGGCATCAACCATTTGTTGAAAAGACTGTCCTTTCCATAGCCTGGGCGATCCTCTTACCTCAGCCTTCCAAGTAGCTGGGACTACTGCTTTTTTCAAAAAAAAAAAAAAACTTCGTTTTAAAACTCTTATCAGTCCTGGATAAAAATGTTGCCTAAGGATTCTAAGTCCTTTGGCCCCACCTGAGACAAATGCTGAATGGAACCACTTTTCATGACCTCCACTGCTGCCTCTGAGGTCCACGTCATCGTCAGTTTTTGCCTGTTCTATTGCAGTGGCCAACTGATCTAACCACCCCATCCCTTCTCCACACAGCAGCCAGAGGTCTCTAGAACCAGGTCAGGTCAGGTCTTTGGCTACCTGCCACCCAGAGAATCGCATACCCAGATTCCTGATCACAGCTCACAGCACCCGCTCTGGTCAAAACATGGTGTCAGGTCCCTTTGCCTTTGTGGGTCCCTTTCTCTGCCTGACAGGAGTTGAGCCTCTTCACCCAGGTCTGGGCTCAGACACTGAGGCCTTCCCCACCTCCCCGCCCAAGGTAAGTGTCCAGCACAGGTGCTTGATAGCAGTGTTTTTTTTTAAACAGTAGGTTTCATCTGTTAGGTTGTAAAATCAGTTTGGTAGGTCATGGCCGACAGTTTGTTTTCAACTTTTTATTTTGAAGTAATTATAGATTCACAGGAGGTTGCATAGGAGGTTGTCTAGGGAGGTCCTGGGTACCCTTGCCCCAGCCTCCCCCAATGTTAACACCTTATACACTACAGCACAGCATCAGGACGCAGAAATTGACATTGGTACAGTCTACAGAACATACTCAGTTTCCCCAGTTACATCTGTACTCCTTTGTGTACCTAACTCTACACAATTTTAACTTCATGTATAGCCCTGTGTAACCACCAGTCAGGCTGACAGATGGTTTTCAACACCACAGGACTCCCTCGTATGAACCACCCCCTCACCATCCCTAACCTAAACCCCTGGTAACCTTTAATCTGTTTTCCATCTCTATAATTACATTATTTCACCAATGTTACATAAATGGAATCCTGCTACATGTATGTTTTCAAGATTGGCTGTTTTTGCTCTGAAGAATTTCCTTGAGTTTCATCTGAGTTGCTGTGTGTACAGCAGTTACTGAAAATGGCACTATATCACATACAGTACGGATACATATTGTTTTGTATTTCAACAATAATATGCTATATATAACAGTCTATGCCAGATAATAATGTAAAATACTTATTATTAATATGGGGTTTTATCCAAAACATTTATTTTTATTTTTAAAACATTTATTTAGAGATGGGGTCTTGCTCTGTTGCCCAGGCTGGAGTGCAGTGGCACGATCATAGCTGACTGCAACCTCAAACTCCTATCCTCAAGTGATTCTTCTGCCTCAGCCTCCCAAGTAGCTGAGATTACAGGTGTGAGCCACCACACTTAGCACCTGTCCAAAAAGTTTGAAAGATATTGCTCTTATTACAGTATTTGTTTTCTTCATACCACCACCATAAAATACCAAACTGCTTCAGAAATTACCACCATTTTATTTTTATTTATTTTGAGACAGGATATTGCTCTGTCACCCAGGTTGAAGTGCAGTGGGGCACAATCATGGCTCACTGCAGCCTCAAACTCCTGGGCTCAAACAATCCTCCTATCTCAGCCTCCGAAGTAGCTGGAACTACAAATGCACGCCACCATGCATAGCTCATTTATTTTTTGTAGAGATGGGGTCTTGTTACGTTGCCCAGGCTGGTCTCGAACTCCTGGGCTCAAGCAATCCTCCCACCTCAGCCTCCCAAAGTGCTGGGATAACAGCCGTGAGCCACCACATCCAGCCACCGTTTTAAATTCCTATTTATTGATGTTTAATGTCTGTCTTTTACCCAAACTACAACAGAAACTCTTTGAAGACAACTTGTCTGTTTCAAAACTGTGGTCTTATAAGCCTCAAACCCTGTCCAACATGTGGACACTCAGATGTTGTGAAGCAATTGACATAGAAACAAATGCAGGAACATCCTGTCCAGAGAGATTATCTGTTGATGTGGAACTTGAGTAGTGAAGGAGGAGGCAAAACATGATAGTCACACTACAGAGGCAGGACTTAATGCTTCCTAACAGAGCATGCAGCCGCACAATGCATACCTTGCTAAACAAGCAGGTGGCAGGGAGCGTGGCTGCACTGAGGGGAAGCCCCTCATGGACTGGGGTGCTGGCTGGCATGCCCTGGCTTTTGCTGCACTCTCCAGCTCTGCCCCAGGAACCTGAAGGCAGCTGCTGCAATCCCAGGCATCACATGCAGGCTGCAAACTCATTTTATTATTTTATCTTTGAGACAAGAGTCTCACTCTGTCGCCCAGGCTGGAGTACAGTGGCACGATCTCAGCTCACTGCAACCTCTGCCTCTGGGGTTCAAGCAATTCTCCTGTCTCAGCTTCCCGAGTAGCTGGGATCACAGGCACGTGCCACCATGCCCAGTTAATTTTTGTATTTTTAATAGAGATGGGGGGTTTCAACCATGTTGGCCAGGCTGGTCTCAAACTCCAGACCTCAAGTGATCCACCCACCTTGGCCTCCCAAAGTGCTGGGATTACAGCAGACTGCAAATTCAGATGCCCCGTCCCTGTGTTTAAGAGTAAGAAAAACCTTGTAGATCTCTAGCAGTCTTCCTCTCTTCCCTCACTGGGTGGAAATGCTCATTATTAAACCAGCCACAGCCATGCTGGAGGCACCCTGGTTGCCTTAGACACATCAGTACTCCCCTGATGATGGGGGAACGCTGGCTCCTCTTTAGATGCTCCTGCTCTTGGGATCCCGTGAGCACAACCCCCACCCCCACCCCCACTGTTCACAGACACAGGGGCTCTTAGGGAGCACAGGAGAAAACACACTCAAGCAGGGAAATACTGTTCTTTAATGGACACCCTTCTAACGTGATAGATTATTCTGCCCCAAAGAACAAATTAAAAGATATTCAACTTGCTGCCTGTGTCCAGGAAGAGAGCAGGGAGGGTGCTGGGCACAGACCCAGCCTAGCCCTCAGCATCACACAACAGGGCCACCATAGGATGAGAAACCATTCTATTAGTAATAAACAGACCTCTTCAAGAAATAGTGTTTTTGGTGGTTCATACATTTTAAAACACTTAACAAGAGAATAAGCATACAAATTTCTAATACTGTCCAGGTACAACACTGTTACACACAAAATCTAACAAGTGTGAACTTAATTTTCAGCTTCTATTTGAAATCAGATGAAATAGCTTTTGATACATTAACCACCAGGGGAAATTTTGAGGGAAGGAGTGCTTAATTCCATATGTCTTGGACTTGGATTTCTTCAGCTGAGTCCACAAACCCTCTTTATGCAAGGTTGTGTGTTCTGTAGCTGTGTGCATTTCTTAAAAACCAGAGTCTCCAGGGGCCGACCTGGGAGCCTAAGAAGTGAAGCCTGCTGGTGCAGAGGGGCCAGCAAGCCCTACCTGCTCGGCACACCTGCCTGCATGTGCAGTGGAACTGAGCGAGTGGAGCAGAGTGTGAGCACTCACAATGCTCACCAAACCTGGGACGTGGCAGGCAGTTTCCCAAGGACTAGGAAAGACATTCACAGTGGCACAACTGTTTAGCTACCTCATTATGACCCACCTGTGTGTCCACACAGGTCAGGGCTACCCTTCAGTTTACCTGAGAAGCCTAGACCTCAGGACCGCCATCTCCTATGCTACCATGCCCAGCCTGACCTGGCTGCTCACAAGTACCTGCCATAATGCTTGGCCTCCTGGAAGCTCTAAAGCGGTGCAATTGTCCTGCAGAACATCGCAGTGTCAGGGTATCCTGCATGCAGGTGAGGGGTGGGCAAGTAGGGCTAGCAATGTCCTGCTCCATGTTCCTGTGAGCAAGAGCTCACAGGGACCCACCAGACTGTGTAGGCTGGTCACAGTCCCCAGGGCTGTGCAACAGCAACTTGAAACAGACTGAGGAAGCTGCACAGGCCAATGGCAGGGATGCTTGTCACTCGTCCTTCTCCTGTGGCAGAGGGAGATGCCAGTCTGGAGGGGGGCTCTGCCTCGGGGCCCACACCAGGATGTGCTTCCGTGCAGCCCGGACTCGTGCCCGCTCGCTCTCACAGAGGGATTGCTGTGCAAATGAGACTCTAGTCACTCCCCAGGCTCTGAGCACCCTCAAGACCCCTGTACCTCCCCCCTCTCATCACCCTCTGAAACACAGATGGACAGGCAGGGCCTATGGTACACACCACTCTGCAGCACAGCTGCTTCCACCTACTATACCTTGGCGATTCTTCCATATTAGCGCACAGAGATGGAGATCATTTTTTTTCTCACAAGCTACTGTGAAAAACTACTGAATAGGTCATAATAATTTGAGGAATTTTTAAATATCTTCTCCTGGACCTCAGGGCTCAATGGCTCTGGTTGACCTCGTGAGTCTGGGGCATATTCACCTGCTGAGAGTGAGCCTGGGGGTGCTGGGTGGAGAGGAGAGAAGAGTCTGAGAGAGCAGCTGTGGGGAGCTGCAGGGAGGAGTGTGTTAGGGAGAAGGGAGGAAGACGGGGAAGAAATACATGTCCTGGGTATCCTGGAAGGGTGGGAAGAGTCCAGAGGACAGACCACCCGCCTGAGTGGTGCCACAAGTGCCACTTAACCCATCAGCTTCTCTTGGCTACTGTCTCCCAATACAGACACAAGTCAGTGTATCACAACATGGGTGACCTTTGCTGTCAGCCCTTGGTAGGTATCAGGTGCTATGTGAGCCTCTTTACACAGATAACTTAATCTGTCTACATGTCTGTCTTTGTTCAAGCTCTATTGCCTCAAATAAAATATTTTGATCGTGTTTAAAAAGCTATCAGAAATGTAGTACAGAATATTAAAGATTCCCAAATGTCCATTCCCAATGCGGCAGTTAACAGCTTCCCTGATATCTTTTTTTGGTCCACATTTTAGAGCTAACATGTTTCCCTAAAGATAGGATAATCTTTTGCTGGCTAGTCTACTTCCTGCTTTCTTTTCACTAAACAATACACTGTAGGCACTTTTCCATACCCAGGGAGATGACCGACCATTCTTTTCAAAGGCTATCTGGTATTTCACTTTGTGGAAAAAGCTATTTGGTCAAATGTCTATTAGTGAAATTTAGGTTGTTTTCAGCTTTTGCAGTATCAAAAACATAATTAGCATTCTAACTTTTAACTGTACACTGTTATCCAATTACTTCCCTGGGATAAAGTTCCAGAAGTAAAACTTAAGGTCAAAAGGTATGTATCTGACATTTACATAATCAGAACACCTGACACCCCCACCAACACTGCACAACTACCCAGAATTCTTCAAACCTCTATCAACACCACTTTCTGCTGTTACTGTCATTTAGACTTATATACCTGACACCTGGCCATTTGATTTTTTCTTTTTTTTTCTTGAGAGGGAGTCTTACTCTGTTGCCCAGGCTGGAGTGCAGTGACACGATCTCGGCTCATTGCAACCTCCGCCTCCCAGGTTCAAACAATTCTCCTATCTCAGCCTCCCGAGTAGCTGAGATTACAGGTGTTTGCCACCATGCGTGGCTAATTTTCGTATTTTTAGTAGAGATGGGGTTTCGCCATGTTGCCAGGCTGGTCTCAAACTCCTGACCTCAGGTGATCTGCCCACCTCGGCCTCCCAAAGTGCTAGGATTACAGGCATGAGCCACCATGCCCAGGCTTTTCTCCTTTTTTATTATTTTTATAAAGATGGAGTCTCACCATGTTGCCCATGGCTGGTCTCAAGCTCCTGGGCTCAAGCGATCCCCTTGCCTCGGCCTCCCAAAGTGCCGAGATTACAGGTGCCCACCACCATGCCCAGCTGGCTTTCTTTTTTAATGAATTGCTTCTTTGTGTCCTTTGGCCATTTTTCCATTCTGAAATAATCCCTATATTTCTTATTGATATATATATAACAGCTCTTTATACACACACACGCACATATATATACATTAAAGTTATCAATCTCTTGCTATATAAGCTGTCAGCTTTCTTACTTTTTTTGACTTTCACATATTATGGAATAGTCATCATTTTCTTTTATACAGCAGTCTGGTTTCCACATCAGTTCATCTCTTTCAGATCACTGTATACACTTAATAATGTTGAAGTGTTGATCAGTCCCATTGATTCTCATTCCTTGGCACTCCCCATGAGCCTCGCACCTTTCGGCTGGCTTCTCTCCATCTCCTCTCCCACAAGGGGTCCACCGTAGCACTGTATTCTACACTACAGTGTGGGTGCCAGGAGGGCAGAGACTCTTCTTATCACTCGTGCATCCCCAAGAGCACCCAATGTGGTACATATTTGCTGGACGAAAAAACAACTAGAACCACCTCCTTACCGGTCTCTCTGCTCCTGTAATATATTCTCTACACCCTAGCAAACAGATTGAACTTCTTTTACCCTCTCTCTTTTTTTTCCCCCCTGAGACAGGTCTCCCTCTGTTATCCAGGCTGGTGTGCAGTGGTGTGACCATAGCTCACTGCAGCTTTGAACTCCTGGGCTTAGGCGATCCTCCCGCCTCACCCTCCCAAGTAGCTGGGACCACAGGTGCACGCCACCACACTTTGCTAACAGACTGATCTTTTAAAGATATAAATCGAATTATGCCTCCCAGCACACTTTAGACTAAACTCTAAACTCCGTATCAAAAGGCCCGCCAGGTCCCTGGTATACCGCTCTCCAACCATCCACCTACCCTCTGCTTCAGGAACCCAGGCCTTATCTGTTTCTCAGCGGTGTCTACCGGGGCTGGATGAAGGCTGGCTCCTGGTCACTCAGGACTCAGCAACATCACCTCCTGCGTAGGCCAGCTGATGACCCTAACACCGGACGGCTGCCCTCTTCCCTCTCTAAACCACTCTACACCCCCTCCTCGCTGGTCTCCTCCTTTGTCTTTCACGCCCTCTGAAAGTCCTGTTGATATGCTAATTTACACAATCTCTCAAAAGAAAGGAAGCGTGAGGAGGATAGGGACCCCGTCAGTCCCCGGCTAGGTCGCGGGGCATGGGGCGTGGAGGGGTGGGGAAAGCTGGGCCCCGCAAGGCGCTCCGAAGCGCCGCCCCGCTCCCTCCCGGCGCACCTGGGCCTCGGCGTTCCGGCGCTCCTCCCAGTCGCGGCAGCTGGCCAGGTCGCGCTGCCACTGTTCGCAGGCCGGCCGCTCGCCGTGGACGTAGTAGTGGTGTAGGAAGTGCCTGGCGCTGCGGCAGAGCTTCCACTCGGCGCGGTAGGCCTCGCAGGGGCGCGGCGGCTGCGGCGAGAGGCGGCGCCTGAGCGGGGCCCGGCGGCCGCGCCCTACGCCCCGAGCCAGTCCCGTTCCCTCCCTCCGGAAGACCCCGGTGGTTCCCGGCTCCGACCCAGCACACTCACCTGCCAGCCGCTGCCGTCCGCCATGTCTGGGCGACCGGCGCGCCAAGCCCGCCCCTCAGTCCGCCAGCCAATGAAAAATGAAGAAAACGGCACCTCGTGATCGACTGACAGAAGAACTAATGAGCACCGACACATTCAATCACGTCTTCGCCCCCTTCTTCGAGAAGCGCCGACAAACAGGACGAGCAACCAATAGCAACCGAGGGCGGCTGCGGCGCGCGCGGAGGGCCGGGGTCGCAGGGTAAATCCGGGGCGAGACCTGGCGCGAAGCCTACGCGACCACCGCGACGACAGCGCCATTCACCCCGGGCCAGGCGGGCATCCTGGGCCGCGCAGCTACCTTACGTCAGCCGCCTCTCAAATCACACGGCTCTGGCCAGTTCTTTTCAGCAGCTTTATGAGATTTTCTCAAATCTCAACAATCCGGTATATTTTCAAAAGTACATACTGAGCATCAAGGTGGTGCAGCGAACCTCCCAGATCTGCAGCTCCAGCAGTCTTGCTTGAGCGTCCACTCAGGATGGAGGTGAACTCGCAAAGTAACTGAGATTGGTTGGGCATGACATATGGTGGATCTAGGGTTGAATGACCTCCCCAGGGAACGCAGGCTTGAAGTGGAGGCTGAGAATGCAATCCGAGTACAGCCATAGGCCGGTCAAAGGTATGGAGGCGGTGTGTAGCAGGGGTGAGCGGGGTAGGAGTGGCTTGGATGTCTGTAGTTCTATTCTAAGGGTGCGGGAGACATGTAACATTTACCTTATTCATTTTTCGAGACAGGGTCTTGCTGTGTCACCCAGGCTTAGTGCAGTGGCGTGGCGTGTTCATGGCTTACTGCAACCTCAAACTCCTGGACTCCGAACAGCTGGGACCAAAAGCATGCACAGCCTCACCAGGCTAATTTTTAATTTTTTTTTTTTTTTTTTGTAAAGATGGGGTCTTGCTAAGTTACCCAGGCTAGTTTGGCCTCAAGCGACCCTCTCACTTTGGCCTCCCAAAGTGCTAGGATTATAGGCGGAGCGCCAGTGCCTGGCTGGGACGTTTATAAAAAGGAGCAATGCACAAGAGGCAACAAAGGCAAGTAAAGAGGAGGCTGGTGGGCTTGCAGAAACGCCCTGCAGTACCTATGCTGCGGTTCTCCCACTTCACTGATAACAAATCCTCAGTATCCACTGATACAAATCCTGGGACTGCTGGGCCAGTCCCAGGAATGACACTGGGACAGACTCCCTGGAGGTGGATCAGAAAGCTGCAGTTTTACCAGGGGTCCTGCTGTTGAGGCAGCCGGCTCAAGGACCAAGCCCAAATAAGACACTGAGAGGAAGGCTGCAGGCCAGGGTGCAGGAGTAATGACCAGGATCAGTGCTCCAACTGGCCCCACTGTGTCATTAAAAGGCTCTGCAATGGAATCCATCCTGGTCCAGGCAGGGGAGTGTGCCTCCAGCAAAGGACCAGGCGTTTCACTGCATACACAGCAGGTGTTGCTTAGTGAAGACAAAAACCCAGAGCCAGAGGTACTGTAACATTCTTCATTATGCATAAAGTGACAGTCTGTTAGCTGATGTGATCCTGCAAATGAAGGCTGTCTACCCACCAAGGGTTTCTCCCTCTGCTAGTAAAACTGAGACTTTGTCAGTGGAGGCTCAGGTAAGTCCCCACAGTGCTCATGCCTTCCAAAACCACGCCCATTTCCAGTGATGATGGTTTGTGCCACAGGCCAAGTACTGAACATCATGACACTCATAGACACTCTTCACTGAAGACGTGGATAGACCCTGGGGCCACCATTCTCTCCTCTCTGGAGTGTTGGAGGGGCCCTGACCAGGGCAGGACCCCCATGTCTGGAAGCAGGGTTAGCCCTGGCTCATGGGGGACCCTGCTGGGCTTAGCCATTGCCACCTAGGGATCAGGCAGCCTTGTTTCTTCCTACTTTCTCCAGGAGAAGCCCCAGAGGGACACTTTTCTAATGGTGAGATGGAACACGGAGCACCTGCCAACAGGCCTTCAGTTATGGTCAGAGGCCCAACCACCAGTCTGTGTTAGTACCTAATCAAACATTTAGATTTAGGCTTTAGTTATTGCCTGTTTTTACTTGAAATTCTTGGCTTAGAATTATTCCCAATGGGGCCAGGCACAGTGGCTCATGGGAACAAATTTAAAATAATCAGATTAGCATGTCAAAAGATCTCACGTTATAGAAAGTGAAGATCTAAGACCAAATAAATACTGATAAAAAATACAGGCCAGCAGAAGCTTGGATGATTTAATAAATTAAAATTGGGAGTTGGGGAGTAGGGAAGAAGGAGAGGAACATCTCTTTAGCATTTGTTCATTCTAACATTCACATGTTTGCTTCTCCATGGAGTTGTTTCACTATGAACAGGTTCACTAAGGAGCCAGTTATGTCCATATGAAATGAGAATAAAAGTGCAAACTCATTCAGATCAGGTTCTTCTGAGTGGTGTTTTTGAAAAAAATATGTAAAATAAAAATAGAAACATTCTTTGTCAAATACTTAAATTGCAGCCACAGTAGTGGGACAGCCACTACTTATAGAACACATGTCTATTTAAAGCCTTTTTTTAGGCCAAAGACTGACACCTATGCAATTGATGTAGGAAAAGAAAGGATAAATGAAGAAAAAGAAAGAACACTTCATGTTAGACAATTTAGTCACCTTCATAGGTTTTGACAGAATTAGGGATGCAGAATTGCTCCTGCTGAGGCAGTGGGAGCTCCCCTCAAGCTGAAAGCGTGAAGAGGTGAGGAGGCAGCTATCTACAGGCCCTCAGGGACAGCTCTTTGTCTTTCCCCAAATCAAGCATACAACTACAAAGTCCTGCTGCTCCACTTCCAAGTCAAACTTAATAATTCTTAGGTAACTCTAAATAAATCTTAAGTAACAGAGTATTCTCTGATGAGGCTCGTCCCTGTCAGTGCCAGTAACTAAAAGCCAAGATGTTGCAAATGATTCTTTTATTATTTTCCAATCAGCCAACAGTCCTCACTTAGGGCTTTCTTCCCTTTTTACGCAATGACTGTCCTTCTCCAGAGAAAGCGACGAATCTGCCTCCAGCTTCATCCTAGGTTTGAAGAGAAGATACTATTTTCAGAAACTCCCTGGAGGTTTACAATAAATGCCTTACTCTATGGACTCACGTACCATCCACATTACTCATAAGAAATATCTCAGGCTGGACACGATAGCTGACACCTGTAATCCCAGCACTTTAGGAGGCCTAGGTGGGAGGATCACTTGAGCCCAGGAGTTCAAGACCAGCCTGGGCAACATAGTGAGATCCCATCTCTACCAAAAATAGCTCAGTGTGGTATGTGCCTATGATCCCAGCTACTTGGGAGGCTGAGACGGGAGGATGGTTTGAGCCAGGGCCATAGTGAGCTATGATTGTGCCACTGCTCCAGCCTGGATGGCAGAGCAACAGAGCAAGACCCTGCCTCAAAAAAAAAAAAAAAAAAAAAAGTCTGTAAGTTCATCACCCAAAAACATTTCAGGTCACTTTTCTGTACATGCTTAAAGAATTGTTTTCCCACTTAATTCTGAAATCTCATGCCAATAAACTTCCTGTCTAGTATACTCCCAAGGCTACAGAACTGAATTCTGTAAAAAAGAATTCCATGATGTAGGAGGGCCAGTTTTCTACCAGTGGACATTGTTGTGGTAAGCAGCTTAATGTATTTGCACACAACTCTGATTTTTTTTAGAGCTCAAATTCCTGGGTCAAAGTGTGTACACACTTTTAATGCTTTTAACATATAGAGACCAACCAGCCCTCAGAAACATTCCACTAAGCTATCCTTCCATCAGCAGAAAGAGGGATTGTTTTTTCCCAAACCTTTGAAAACTGCACATATTTTTTTTCACATGCTTTTATTGCTAGTCAGTCTGAGGCATTATCTCAACTTTTCCCTAGGAAGAAGAGGATTCTGGAATGTTCAACACACATCCCTGCACCTGGCTCCCCACTAACTGTAGCATGTTATACCTGCAATAGAGCACTGTTTAGTATTTATGTGGTCACATTCATGTAAATTTGAGTCACAGCTGCATTTAGTCTTCCTTTGCCGCACAGCCTTCCATTCATCCTGGTGTCAATAGCTGTGTTTGGCTTCTTCCTCTATTCAATCACAGCCTGCATTGCATGGAGTTCATCTGTTTTGACAAACCTGTGTCTCCTGGGCCTTCGCCCTGCCGTACCTGGACTGGCCTTTCTCTAGGTGCCGTACATGTTAGTGGGGGCTCCTTATTTCCTGGATTCTATGACTTTCTTATTTCTACCTTATTCCTTCATTTTAGTGAGGAACACCTCCTAGGAGCTTCCTGAGAAAAGATGCATGAGGATTATCTTCTTGTGAGTTCCTTTTTTCTAATCTCATATTTCATTGATAGGCTGGTTGGTATGTTAGTCTGCTAGGGCTGCCATATAAAATGCCAAAGATAGGGTGGCTCAAACAACAGAAATTTATTCTTCATAGTTTTGGAGGCTAGAAGTGCAGGATCAAGGTGTCAGCAGGTTTGGTTTCCTCTGACACCCTTTTCCTTGGCTTGCAGATGGCTGCCTTCTTGCTGTGTCCTCACATGGCCCTTCCTATGTCCAAATTTCCTCTTCTTAAAAGGACACCAGATTGAATTATGGCCAACTCTAATGGTCTTATTTTAACTTAATTGCTTCTTTAAATGGCCCTATCTGAGTTACTGGGGGTTAGGGCTTCAACACAGAAACACTGGAGGGACACAATCCAGCTCATAAGAGTTGGTACAGAATTTTAGGTTGGAAAAAATTTCCCCTCAGAATTTTGAGTATATTGCTCCACTATCTTCTAGTTTCCTCTGTGTCCTGCTAAGATGATGTCCCTTTTTTTGGGAGACAGGGACTTACTGTTACCCAGGCTGGAGTGCAGTGGTGTGATCTCAGCTCACAGCAGCCTCCACCTCCCAGGCTCAAGTGATGCTCCCAACTCAGCATTAAAGTAGCTGGGACTATAGGTGCGTGCCACCATGCTTGGCTAATTTTTAAAATTTTCTGTAGAGACAGGGTCTCCCTATATTGCCCAGGCTGGTCTCAAACTCCTGGGCTCAGATGATCTTCCCGCATCAGCCTCCCAAAGTGTTGGGATTACAGGTGTGAGCCATGGCGCTTGGCTGATGATGTCCTTAATGCATGGTGATACCTCTGTTCTCTCTCTAGAAGCTTTAGGATCTTTCTTTGCCTCAAAGTGGGGCTATTTTCATTCATTTTGCTGGAACTCAGTGAGCCCTTCAAATCTGCAAAATTGTGCCCATCTTTGGGGAAACTATTTCCCTGATGATTTCTGCTCCTTTGGTTTCTGTGGCTGTTCTTCCCACAAATCCTCTATTATTTAGATGCTGGAATGGAAAGCTTTCTGACTGTGGCCTTCACTTCAGAGATAGTAGTCTAGAGACCTACTGGAGTCGAGCCTCCAGCCTTCTGGGATGGGGGAGGGAGGGTAATGCAGCTCTAACTGCTTAGTAACAGAATTCTGTCTTTAGTCCCTCATTTCTAGAGGTGCCTTTTGAGAATTCCACAATCTACACAGAACTGCTTCTAGGCTTTCTATGGTCTACTAAGGTACCTGGGGCTTCCAAAGCCTTGTAGTTGCCTCCTCTTCCACTGTCTTTCTTACCTCATGACCTTTAGCCACAGCCTTAGTGGGGCTGCAGGATGGAATAGAGCTAAATATGTCTTCAATCCCATCTTTAAACATATACTTCTTAAATACATATTTATGGTCAAACAGGCCTGCTGTGCCCACTGGCCTCCCCTGCCTTCTGTAAATTTGCAACAGTCAGGTCACAGTCAGCCTGGGGGACGTCCCATGCTAAGGTCTTAGGTCGGAGTCAGGCACTGGCTTTTAGTGAGAAAGGCAGCCTGTAGCTGGTGAAGCCTGGATGGTGCCTGAAGGAGGAGCTGGAGGGTGAGGTCTGACTGGCCACTATGTTTGCTCCTCTGAGCCTGAAAGGTCCCAATGCCCAATGCTGTTTCAACTTGAACATTGAGCCCAGAAGTGGTTGTGAGTAGGACCAGGTGTGCAAACTTCACAGTGGTCTCTGTCCCCAACCACCCCAAGTGCTAGAGAAAAGAGTTCAGTAATTGGGATGGCTCCCATGTAGCAGCTGGTCCTGAATGGGTGGCTCAGTACATCTGCCCTCTGCCCTGATCCTGGATCCTCAAGGGTCCAATCCTTTGAGAAAAGGAACCAGGAGAGCGATGGGTCTGAAGCGCTGGTGTTGTAGAAATCCTCATCACAAAGAGGTGACTGCGTTCCAGTTGCTGCCAGGCCTGGCCATATTCCCACAAAGTGCCCATGTCTACAGGATGCTCAGCCCTTGCCTTCCTCTGTCCCGCCACCACCCTGCTCAGCTAGAAGGTGCTGCCTATATTTGAAGTTCAAGGTCTCTGTTGGAAGACGAAGCCCACCCAGGGCACACAGTTCTGTGATAACAGAGCCTGGAGTCGGCTCTAGAGCAAGACAGAGCTCCTGACCCCCATGCTGCAAGTCTTCTGTTTCATACACCCTACACCAGCTCTACAGAAAAAAACAGGACACCAGGGAGCAGAGGGACCCTAGGAAAGGGAAAACATGACAGACACCCTCATGTGGTTTGGCTGCGTCCCCACCCAAATCTCATCTTGAATTACCACGTGTTGTGGGAGGGACCAGGTGGGAGGTAACTGAGTCGGTGGGAGGTAACTGAGTCATGAGGGCGGGTCTTTTCCGTGCTGTTATCATGATAGTGAATAAGTCTCATGAGATCTGATGGTTTTATAAGTAGGTGTTTCCCTGCACCAGCTTTTTCTCTGCCTGCTACCATCCATGTAAGATGTGACTTGCCCCCTGCCATGATTGTGAGGCCTCCCCAGCCATGTGAACTGTAAGTCCATTAAACCTCTTTCTTTTGTAAATTGCCCAGTCTCGGGTACATCTTTACCAGCAGCTTGGAAACAGACTAATGCACACCCCTACTCAGAATGCCAAGAACTTCAGTCATCACTAGCAAATAAATCTCCTCATTACCAACCAAGGAAATACAAGGAAATACACTCACCTCTTCAACCTTTTTGACAAGGGGACGTGAATTTCTGATGAAAGTTATCTTACCAAGTTTAAATTCATAATTGGGAATTCCTCTGTAAGAAGAGACAGAGACAGAGAAATGTTATTTCCAGGAAAAAAGGACTAAAATTCATTTTTGACAGTCAAGAGGAACGCAGAAAAGATGCTGCTGCACCCCACCTGGGCCCTTTGGTGCTTCCTGGCATCCTCCCAGGAGGGAAGCAGAAAGTAACTGACTTCTTGGTTTGGTATCAATATTGGGTATAGGGCCAGGGGCTTTAGGCTCTGTACCTGTCTATGGAGAGGGGTCATCTGAAGGATTGGGAAGCCCTCACTGTCACTGTCCTGAGCTTCACAGAACCCCCTGAGGTGGCTAGACTCTCACTCCAGTATTCTGATTTCACACACACAACAGACAACTGACACACCTCAGCCCTGCCCCTGCCATCATGGCCACCAGAGGAAGGGTCTGCTGTGGGTCCCCGGACCCAGCAACAGAAGCACATCTGAGGTAGCTCCTCAGGGAACTTTCAGGGGAACTGAGATAATGTGACCTGATTAATAATTCCAAGTCACAAAACAGGAAAATAGGCAGATCACCAAATAGGGACCAGAAAGGTTTTGAGTAAGAGACAGATCTAATCAGACTCGCATCTTAGGAAAGCCAGTGGGGGCAAGAAGAGGCTGAATTGGGGGTATGGAGAGGTATGGAGAGAGGCTGGACCACAGTGGTACTGGGGGTGGCACTGTGGAAGGAGGGGCATGTTGTGCTCCACCCCACCAAGGAGAGCAGCTAAGGGTTTTAGTCCCTTGGGAGACTACTGACCCAGGCTTTGTCTCCAGAACTGGGGTGAGGCTGCCCGACCCCAGCGGGCTGGCACAGATCCTCCTCCTGTCCTGGAGGAGAGCCAGGACAGACCTACCTTTTAATATCTCCAGGCTTGATTGGGGAGGGGCTGGGCTCTACCCCTTTCTTCTTTCCATCCAGTCTATTGCCAGATCCAGAGAAAGCCTAGACAGGAAGTAGGTGAGTCATATAATAAGCCCAAGTGTGAGGACGATATGTCCTTTGCTTGGAGATCACTGCAGGGATGTGAGCTGGGGGTGCTGTGCAGACCCCTTCAGGACTGAAGCCCTGACTCCTCAACTGCTGGGGTGCTGGCAGCTAAGAACTCTGCCCAGTTCCTCAGGGGGTGGCCATGAGCTGAAGACAGCCACTTGGCCAAGGGCAGCCAGCAGTCAGTGTTGGGTTAAAAGACCTGATCCCTGCCTCTGCAGGGCCACCCAGTTCAAGCTCTATGGGTGGGCTAAGGCTACTGTTGTGACTGCCCCATAGCTCAGCTTCCCATCATTCTGCCCTCTCTGCTGCTTCCTGGCACCTCCTGCCACCTCAGTGCCCACACATGAACCACCTCCACCTGTTTCCCATGGAGCCTTGCCAGTAGTTATGCTAAGGGTCATGTTTGCAACCTACATGGTACAGGCAAAGAAAAAAGGAAACATGATTTACAAGAGAGAGAAAGCAAATGTGGTAACTTTTGGTGAACCTAAGGGAACAGTATATGTCTACTGTACTATTTAAACTCTTCGGTAGGTTAGAAATTCTTAAAAATCTGGGCTGCCTTATGGGGCTGTTGGGAAGATTCCAGGAGAGAGTGGATACAAAAGGGTTTGGTAACTGAGCGAGTGGCAGATTTGCATATGCACAGGTACCCAGAGGCCTAACCCCTGCTGATGTCCATCGAGCATCATGGAGAACACCTTGAGTGAGTGCTCTAATTTCAAGGAGCAGAGGGCACAGCAATATAAGTCAAGTGGTCTGGTACTCACGCGGAAGCCCAGCTCTCCAGCATAGCCACTGTGGTCGGCTTCACCTTCCTGACAGGGAAAAAGAAAAACAGGTGAGCTCCTCAGCGGGGACACCCAGCTTCCCTCTCACCCCCACCCCCGGCTAGGATGTCCCCCGGAAGCATGGCTGGAAGGGACGCAGAGGATATGACTACACCAACACTAGCAGAGGCCACCCACGAGCCACTGCCAGGAACTCAAAAGCAGCATGCAGCAGGACAGCAAAGGACACTGAGGATAACACTTACTGTCGACTCCTCATGCTGGACTTGTCTTTCGGGTTCTTTGTAGCCCAGGGGAGCATCAAAGTCCACCTGTGTTTCCAGGATTTTAAAAGTAAAATATTGAGACATGACCACCCTTGGCTTCCTTTTTTGTTTTTAATTGAGACAACTGTAGATTCACATGCAGTTTTAAGAAATAATACAAAAGATGCCTTGTACACTTGCCCAGTTTTCCCAACGGTAGCATCTTACAAAATTACAGTAAAGTATTGCTGCCAGGATATCAACACTGGCACAACCCACTGCTCTTATTCAGATTTCCCCAGTTTTACATGTTTTTGTTCATGGGTATCTTTAGTTCTACACAATGTAATCACTGTGTGGGGCATGTATCCACCACAGTTGAGATGTAGAACAGTTTCACCACCACTAGGACTGCCCATGTTGTCTTTTTATAACCATACCCAGCTGTCTCCCAGCCCCCTCCACCAGTCCTAAGCCCTGGCAACCACTGGTCTGTCTTCCATTTCGAAAGTTCTGTCACTTTGAGGATGTTATATAACGAAGTAACTTTTTGGGATTGGCTTTTTTTGCTCAGCAGTATTCCCTAGTAATACAACCAGGATGCTGTGTGCATCAGCACTTCATTCCTACTCAGAAGGTTCAGTACGCTTCCTTAGCTCTTAAGCATATTCACTCCTCGGCCAGGCGCGGTGGCCCACACCTGTAATCTCAGCACTTTGGGAGGCCGAGGCGGGTGGATTACCTGAGGTCAGGAGTTTGAGACCAGCTTGGCCAACATGGTAAAACCCTGTCTCTACCAAAATACAAAACTAGCCGGGCCTGGTGGCACATGCCTGTAATCCCAGCTACTCGGGAGGCTGAGGCAGGAGAATCGCTTGAACCTGGGAGGTGGAGGTTGTAGTGAGCCAAGATCGCACCACTGCACTCCAGCCTGGGCAACAGGAGTGAAACTAAGTCTCAAAAAAAAAAAGAATATTCACTCCTCAACGGGTCAGAGCTAACCATGGCAGCACTGGCAGCAAACTCTGTTGCCCCAACTGGCCCTGAGATAGATCACAAGGTCACAGTCTCCTCATGATGTTCTGACAGCATCTTCCTCCTCTTTACCCAGAGTCCCAGGGGCTGTTTGATGCCCTCCTGACACCCTGGCCTGCAGTGGTCACCAACTGCCCATCCTCCCAGGGCCCAGGCTCACTGTAACTGGACAGAGCCACTCACGTTCATGTCACACTCAATGATGGACACTGCCTTGTCGGGTTTGGTCTCCATCACACGCAGTTCGTAGATCTGTGGGGCAAACACAGAAATCAGTTGGATGGTTTCCTGGCAGCACTGGAGCTGTCGCTGTCCATGTTACTGTGGCTCTACTGGCTCCTGCGAATGACACAGCATTCATGCCCATGACACAACCTACAGCTGCACTTCTTGCTGTGACAACACTGCCATAAGGGACAGGCTGCCCTGTGCCCATCGCTGAAGAGATGCTGTTCCCCAGATATGGTTCAAATTAGACAAGGTAGTTATACAGCTAACTGCAAAAGACACTAACAACCTTTAACCTGGAAAGTTCACTTCTGGAACTTTACTATTTATTTTATTTATTTATTTTTAGACAGAATCTCGCTCTATCGCCCAGGCTGGAGTGCAGTGGTGCGATCTTGGCTCACTGCAACCTCCGCCTCCAGGGTTCAAGCACTTCTCCTGCCTCAGCCTCCCTAGTAGCTGGGACTATAGGCATGTGCCACTACACCTGGCTAATTTTTGTATTGTTGTAGAGATGGGGTTTCACCATGTTGGCCAGGCTGGTCTCGAACTCCTGACCTCAGGTGATCCGCCCACCTCGGCCACACAAAGAACTGGGATTACAGACATAAGCCACCGCACTCGGCCTTCGAAATTTATTCTAAGTAAATAACTAGCTATACCCAATGAGAAAATTCTAAGAATGCTCATACCAACGTCACTAATACCACTGTACAGATGCTCCTTGACTTATGATGGAACCAAGTCCCATAAACTTATAAGTTAAAAATGTATTAATATTCCTAACCTACCAAACATCATAGTGCAGCCTGCCTTAACCATTCTCAGAACACATACATTAGCCTACAGTTGGGCAAAATCATCTACTATAAAGCTTATTTTATAATAAAATGTTGAATAACTCATGTAATTTATTGAATACTGTACTGAAGATCAAAAACAGAATGGTTGTATAGGTATTCAAAGTATGGTTTTTACTGAATGTGTATCATGTTTGCATCATAATAAAGTTGAAAAATTCTAGGTAGAACCATGGTCAGGGACTGTCTGTATACTCAAAATGCAGCTGAATTATATTTCTTCATATGTAAATTTACAGTTATACAATGGTATGCTACGCAGCCAACAGGAAAATAATTGTAAAACCAGTCATGTTGCTTGTGTCTAAGATGACCTCACCTATGTAAAAAAGGCACATAAAAAATGTCCAGAAGCAGGGCCGTGCGTGGTGGCTCACGCCTGTAATCCCAGCACTTTGGGAGGCCGAGGAGGGCAGATCACGAGGTCAGGCAAATGAGACCATCCTTGCTAACATGGTGAAGACCCGTCTCTACTAAAAAATACAAAAAATTAGCTGGGAGTGGTGGCAGGTGCCTGTAGTCCCAGCTATTCGGGAGGCTGAGGCAGGAGAATGGTGTGAACCCAGGAGGTGGAGCTTGCAGTAAGCTGAGATCGGGCCACTGCACTCCAGCCTGGGCAACAGAGCGAGACTCTGTGTCAAAAACAAACAAACAAACAAGCAAACAAACAAACTCCAGAAGCATAGAAATTAAAAGTGGCCCTATCTACTTTTTCCTGCATCATTTCAGGTTCTTTGCTTTTATCTAAAGTCTGTCTTGCTTTTTTTTTTTTTTTTTTTTCGAGATGGAGGCTCGCTCTGGCACCCAAGCTGGAGTGCAATGGTATGGTCTTGGCTCACTGCAACCTCCGCCTCCCGGGTTCCAGCGATTCTCTTGCCTCAGCCTCCCAAGTAACTGGGACTACAGGTGCGTGCCACCACACCCAGCTAATTTTTGTGTTTTTAGTAGAGATGGTGTTTCACTATGTTGGCCAGGCTGGTCTTGAACTCCTGACGTTGTGATCCACCCGCCTCAGCCTCCCAAAGTGCTGGGATTACAGGCATGGGCCACCATGCCCGGCCAGTATGTCTTGCTTTTACAACCATTTTAAAAAGTCTGGATAGTCCCACCATTTAAAAAAAAAACCTAAGCAGGGCCAAATCTACTTTTAAAAGTGTCATAATTATTGAATAGATAAGGAATAAAAAAAGGATCTGTCATTGTGTGGATATACTACCACTTATCCACTGAGCATCCGGCCTGTTTCCAATCATTTTGCTGTGTTAATGACACTACTATAAACATTCAAACATGTCTCCTAGGGCTTGGCTCATGCTTCTCTACCGTTTTCATGTTTTCAAAAGGCCACAAATAATCAGTGGGTCATAAAACCAACAGGGCTGCAAGCAGAACTGAAAAGGAAAGAATTGGAAGACAGTACCCTAGAAGTACTATTGCATTTAGTAAGGATAAATATTCCTGTGACATTTTCCATTTACTTTTATGTATTGGCATAATATTAAATACTTTTTTTTTAAACTATGGGACCAATTTTCTAGGTTGGTGCTCCTCAAACTACCTGGGAAGACCTAGTTTTTAAAAATGTGCAGTCTGCTGGACTGCCATGTGGTCCTCCTGCACAGAAGCAAGACACAACACACACCAGACGCCCAGAGCTCACCAAGACAAGTACTGGTTCTGTGGCCATGTGTGTGGAGGTTATGACAATGCCAAATTACTATACGTTTCTAAACATTCACTTTTGATTCCTGCTTCCTCGAGGCCCTGGCAACCACCATTCTTTTTTTTTTTTTTTTTCCCTTGAGGCAGGGTCTTGCTCAGTCCCCCAGGCTGGAGTGCAGTGCCTTGACCCTGGCTCACTGCAGACTCAACTGATCCTCCCGCCTCAGCCTCCTGAATAGCTGTAACTAGGCACATGCCACTACGCCCAGCTAATTTTAAAATTTTTTCATTAATTTTTTGTAGTGACAGGATCACACTATGTTACCCAGGCTACTCTCAAACTCCTGGGCTCAAACAATCCTCCAACCTTGGCCTCCCAAAGTGCTGGGATGCCAGGTGTGAACCACGGTGTCCAGGTGATTCTACTTTCTGTCTCCCATGAGTTTGACTACTCTAAGTACTCATGTAAGCGGAATGTAGTATTTGTCTGTCTGCATCTGGTTTATTTCACTGAGCAGAATGTTCATCCATGTGGTAGCATGTGTCAGAATTCCCTTCCTTTTTAATGTTGAATAATATTACATTGTATGTGTGTACCACATATTATTTACCCATTCATCTGCAATTTATTTTTGACTATGGTATGAGTTAGGAACTCAATTTGTTTTTTCATCTTAGGAATAGTCAATATCCCAGATTCCGCAACCCCAGTATCTCCTTTGCCTGGTGACATCAATGCTGCCTCAGTGGTGGACCAAGATTCTTTGTATATAAAGCTTTCTTCCACTGGCCTACTTGTCTACTCCAGAACCAATGCCATATGGTGTCTTAACTACTGGAGCTTTATTACACTCAGCTGCCGTATAGAATCTTCCTTATATATGACCAGATTCTTTTGTCAATATTTTATCTACAATCTATGTATCTGTATCAAGTGACAATGATCTGTAGTTTACCTTTCTCCTATCCTTGTGTGGTTTTGGTGATCAAGGTTATGCCGACCTCAGAGAATGAGTTGGGGGATATGTTCTTTCTCTATTTTTAGAATATCTAAGAGCAATTTATTGCTTGAGTGTGAGGAAGAACTTGCATATATAACCATCTGGGCCTGTGTTTCCTGGATTAAGATTTTTCTGATTGAATTACTTGACTGGCTATACAATTATTTAGGCTGTTTGTTTTTTTTTTTCTTTAGTCAAACTTCAATTACACTTTTCTCTAGGAAATAATTTATCAATGTCAAATAAGTTGGCTCATTTCTTAGTATAAAATTTTTCACAGTTTTATCTTTCAAGATATTTGCTTTATCTAATTCATTTTATTTGTTTTTAAACATTCAATATGCATGTAGACTTTTCAGGGTTTGCTTTTTTTTTGTTTGAGGCAAGGTCTTGCTTTATCACCTAGGCTAGAGTGCAGTGGCACGGTCACTGTTCACTGCAACTTCTGCCTCCCGGACTCAAGTGATCCTCCCACTTCAGCCTCCCAGGTAGCTGGGACTACAGGTGCATGCCACCATGCCCAGCTAATTTTTGTATTTTTTGTCGAGATGGGGTTTTGCCATGTTGCCCAGTCTGGTCTCAAACTCCTGGACTTAAGTGATCCACCCACCTCAGCCTCCCAAATTGCTGGGATTACAGGTGTGAGCTACCACACCCAGCTTCAGCTATCTTTTTTATTAACTTTATTGAATTGTAAACAGAGAACACTTTAATTCTAAACAACTCTCTCAAGAGAGTAAGTCTAGGCCAGGCGCGGTGGCTCACATCTATAATCCCAGCACTTTGGGAGGCTGAGGCTGATGGCTCACCTGAGGTCAGGAGTTCGAGACCAGCCTGGCCAACATGGTGAAACCTCGTCTCTACTAAAAATACAAAAGTAGCCGCAAGTGGTGGCACATGCCTGTAGTCCCAGCTACTCAGGTGGCTGAGATGAGACAGGAGAATTGCTCGAACCCAGGAGGTGGTAGCTGCAGTGAGCCAAGATCGCGCCACTGCACTCCAGCCAGGGTGAGACAAAGAGAGACTCTCTCAAAAAAAAAGAGAGTAAGTCTAAAGACTTACTCTTTTCCAACATTTTAGATGTCATTTTTTAAGCTTCATACATTAAACATTATTACTGCTTTATATGGCAACATTTACCCTGGATTCATATTTGCCAATTTATTTATTCCCTATTCCTTCTTGCTTTCCTTCTAGGATAATGCTTATTCCTAAAGTACATGCTTTTAAAATTCCATTGGTAAATAACCTCTCTCAGATTTGGTTCATCTGAAAATATTTTCACTTTGCCCTTATTCTTTAAGGAAGGTTTTGATGATAGTTACTTGATACTGGCTGTAACTGTTGCTATTCAAAGACCTGCTACTTGCTGTTCTTCTGAAGGTACTGTGTTTTCTCCCTGCTTACCTCTCTGTATTTGGTATTTTCTACCTGTAGCTTATTCTGTTTGTTATACATTATAAATTTCCTGTCATGATGGGCTGACCACCAATTCTAAATCAATTTCAGTTACCATCTCTTCAGATTATTGCAATTCCTCCATTCTTTCCTACTGGGATTGCAATGGGCATGTTTGACTTTCTCAGTGTCTTCAACATCTCAAGCTCTCATATGTTCCATCCCCTTGCTCCTCTGTGTGAAATTCTGTTATTTCTTCAGATTCATCTTTCATTAACTCTTTTATAGCTGTTGTTTAACATTGTTTTTCAAATCTTTCTGGTTATTTTTGATAGCCTTTTGTTGCTCGCTATTATAATTCCATTTTAAAAAATATCTTTGAACATTTTATATCTAATTATTTTACATTTGTATCTAGAAATTCTAATGCTGATTTCCTTAGGGATCTAATTTTTATTGTCTCTGCTTTGGTGTAGTTTAATTATGTGTTCTTTGCTTGTTCAATTGACAGCAATCCCAAAGACGTAACTAAACTGGAGTGCTTTTTCCAGAGAGGATCTGTTTATTTCTCCTGAGACAATGACAACACCCACCTCTGTGTATATTTTACTGCTTTTAAGGGTTCCCGTTCAATCCTGATCTCTGACTCAGATCTCCCACTAGAGCACTGATATGGCCATCTGCCCTCAGGGCAACCCAGCTTAGAGTGTTTAAAATTCTCTATAAGCACAACAGTACATTAATCAGAAGGGCCCATTAGAGGATCTAGTTTTCCCTACTTCTAAAAGTGGAAGTTCAAACCTGTGTTTCAATTTTACATACACTCTTATATAATGTACCCTCCCTTAGAGTGCAAAGTATCAGTACTATCCTTTATCATCAGTTTAGGAGTTATATGTAGTATTACTACCTTAACATTAAAAACAATAACATTAAACTGCCTGTAATTAATTATAAAAGCTTAGAGTATTCAGTTAAGGTAAACGATACCTAAAATGTTCTCCACAAAGCTAAAGGGAACAAGATTATTTCTTAGTTTATTAAAAGGAAAAAAGAAAGTGTGATTCGAAACCCAAGGAACTGAAAAATAAGGTCAGATGCCTCAAATATGAGGAAACTGCCAGAGAATAAGCTGGATCCCTGCACTGACACCAAGGGAGTAACTGGCTAAACCACAGGCAGCTGTGACACAGCTGTGACGGCCCAGTCCCCGAAGGGACCAGAGAGTGCTGTGAAGGAGCTAAGTGCTAGCTTCAGGGAAAGCCCAGCCAAGCCAGGCTGTGGTCACTCCCGAACACTAAGGCTAGCCCTGGCAACAGCTCTGTGGGAGGGTCAATTGTCAACAGTCACAGTGAACAGGGGCACCCATATTACTGTGCTCCATGCCTGTGGTGGGACAGCCTGATGGCAGGATTGCCAACTATTACATCCTCCTGCAGGCATATTCCCATAGGTAATAGGAAAGTGAATGCTTTCTTGAATTTTGGACTAAGTCCTGTCATTTCACTTTACAGTTAAATTGTCTAGATCCAGACACCTAAACAGCATAAAATCAGGGATGAAAACAGAGGCATTCAGACCTGAGAGACTTGTGTCAGAAAGGTCAAGCCTAGAGAAGCTGCTAAGTGAAAACGGAAGCTGAAGAAAACAGGAGGTGGAGGAGGATGTGGGCTCCCAGGAGGAGAGGTGAGCCTAGGAGGTGTTGCCCTAAGGCAGAGCCAGGCTTTGCTTCTCAGATGCCACACAGCACTTGGCCCCACTGAAGGGCCTGTCAGCTTCTGTGGGGCAGGTATCCCAAGGACAAGGACCCAGCAGGGTTGTTATTGTGTCTCCACAGCCCTGCAAAGGGCTTAGCTCAGATTAGAGGTGCAGTGGGGACCTTTCAAACCAAGACAGAACCAGCAGCCTTGCCACCAAGGTACACAGAGGTATGACTAATAAGTCTATCAATGTTCCCCTGTAAATGCAATCTATCCTCAAAACAGAGTTACCAAATGAATTAGGGCTCTAAATATGAACCCGGGAAAACTTAATAACCAAACAGTAGGCAGTAATTAGGTGATAAGATCCAGGCATACGCTGCTTAAAAAGAAGCCCCATTCAAACATTAGAATGGACACTGCAGGTGGCTCTTGTCAGGAATGACCTGCATGAACTGGGCTCACCTTTTCATTATAGTTGATGGCAATCACATCCCCGGTGGTCAGACAGGCAAAGTTCCTAAGTGCGTTTTCTAATCTGCAGACACATTCTGTCAAGGCAACATGGCAAGATGGATACCTTAATCTGAAACAAGTTTCCATGTTAGATGATTACTGGTAGGTAGAGACTGTACCATGATGGTACTTGAAACACGAAGCTTTTAATACAATAAAGTACTACTTGGCAATAAAGAAGGATGGAACTCCTAATATGCAATAATATGGATGAAATGCCAAGCTGGGGTAACAAATGCCAAGCTGGGGGAAGGGGAAATAACCAACCACAAAAGGGCAGTGAGATTCCATCCACATGGAACCCTGAGAAAGACAGATCTATGAGGATGGGAGGTAGCTGAGAGGTTTCTGGGCCAGGGGATCAGGTGGGGACTGACAGGAAAGGACCTTTTGGGGACATGGAAATGTTCTGATTACATGGGTGTATACATTTTCAAACTGGCTGAACTGTGTGCATTTTATTGTATACAAATTATACCATGGGATTTTAAAAAATCCTGTGGGAGTACTAAAGAACAAAAAAGATTTAATGAGTCAGATAGGTCCTCTCAAAAGTTCCTCAAAATCAAAGATGCTTTCATTTATACTTCTGTTGTTTCTATCTTTTGAGCTGATAACTTTAGTTAATAGAAATTAAAATAAAGAAACCAGCAAATACTTTTTATAACAGTAAAACTGTAGAACCCAAATGCCCACACAAGGAAATGTCTATTCATGTGGAATATTTTGCCATGTCTTCCTCATCAATTTGCTGAAGGACTTTACATAAAAAGGTCACATGAAATGTGGCTCCAGAGCCTGCCACTGTGAGTCCAACTTGAGGGTGAAAGGGTGAGGCTATCTAGGTTCACCTCGCTTGGTCAAACAGCTTTCCAGAACCAGAGCAACTTTGTGAAAAGCGCCTTATGTGGTGGATGCTTTCTTTGCTCCCAAATATGAAGTGCCACGGTACGAAGTGCCCTTCCCTCCACTCCTCTAGTGACCCTGCCAGGGCATCTTCTCTGACTTCCACTGCAGCAGCTGGAGGAGCAGAGCCAGAGCCCTCAGGCTGAGAACACGAGGCCTCTGCAGGCAGGGCGGGCTCCCCATATGGCCTCTGCGTACTCTGGCACCTGCTGCAGCACCAGCTTCCCACTTTCTCTGCTCGGTGCCAAGACTGCTTTCATCCAGACCTCAGCCAGACCAGAAAACACCAGGCTCTCAACTGATGGAAGTGACGCCCTTTCTCCACACACTAACAAGTTAATTGTGCTGACAAAACAGCATCTGAGATCAACCTGATAAGTCTGCATTGGGGCAGGGCGCGGTGGCTCATGCACGTAATCCCAGCACTTTGGGAGGCTGAGGCAGGTGGAGCACCTGAGGTCAGGAGTTCGAGACCAGCTTAGGCAACATGGTGAAACTCCGTCTCTACTAAAAATACAAAAATTAGCCGGGTGTGGTGGTGCACACCTGTAATCCCAGCTACTCAGGAGGCTGAGGCAGGAGAATCACTTGAATCTGGGAGGCAGAGTTTGCAGTGAGCTGAGACCGTGCCACTGCACTCCAACCTGAGCAGCAGAGTGAGACTCCGTCTCAAAAAAAAGTCTGCATTGCAACACATGTAAAAACCCTGAGAAAATGGGCATGGCCCATTCCTGGTCACTGACAGCCAAACAAGCATGTCTAGGTCAGAGCTCTGAAGGACAAGTTAACTAGCTCTTCCCATAGGACATCCCCCTGCCTGTGGGACAGGAGGCTCAACAAGGCCATCGTGTCCAGAACATAGGCAGCAAAGAATATACATGGCCCATATGCATCCAGAGCACACCCAGCAGTGCCTTGCTCCTAAGAAAACATGCGGAGAGAGCGCTACTGGGAAAGGAGGCAGCTTTTCTTAACTTCCTATCTGTCTGTGTTGTTTGACTGTTTGTTTTTTTTTTCAAGTATGCATTAAAAAAAAATAAAAAAAAAGAAGTAGAATGGAGTGGCCACTCTTATGCCATGATCGTAACAGGAAAAATCAGGGCCATGGAGCTAGAGATCTTGATTGGTGCACACAGCACCGTCCCGTACCTGCACTGCCTACTTCCTGATGCTGTCAACACATACACCTGGCTTAAGTTCAGAGGTGAACAAAAAGAATCCACTAGAACCTGATACCTTTGCTTTCTGCTTGGTGACATAGAAACTGCAGTCATTGCTACCTATTGGCCTGGAGTGAATCAGCTCTCAGGCTGGCATGCAGTGAGGTTGACGGGCCAGTGCACAGCTGGGCGGAGGTACTAGGGAGCCACAGAAGGGGCTGGAGCTGAAGGCAGATAAGCTGCTCCCTCCTTCCACTGGACATACTGTGCATCCTGGCTTTGTGCCAGGTGACACAGACCAACTGAAAGAAGGGCTTCATTGTGGTCTCCATGAAGTGTCTGGAAAGTGACAGAGGTGGCCCAGACAGCACCCAGTGCACTTGGCCAGGGCCACGCAGATGTGCTAGCTGAACCCCATTATTCTCAAATCACAACTTGAATCACAAATGTGTGATCCCCAAAGCAGGCACAGATTCAATACAGTACATGATGTTTAACAACCGCCAGCACACTCTCCTTTGTCTAGAAGAACTCCGCTTATTTGAAAAAGATACACGGCTTTGGGGTTGGTGATGTCCAGGAAGTCAGGGCTCTGAGGTTGGAATTTGGAGTAGGTGGCCACTTGAAGGTTGACGCTCTCCACCTGGACCAGGCCGCCTTCTTCCAAGAGTAAGTTCTGCATCATCTGAAAGGAAGAAGAGGCTACATGAGACTCCTAGAGATGAAGCAGCCTCCACAACCACTGCTCCCTATACACTGGGCAGGCCCGTCTTACTTGGGTCCTTGGAAGAGGAACCTGAGCCAAGATAAGTAATTCGTGATACTATGTCAGGAAGGAGGGAAAAATCAAGTGATGTGGAAGGAAGAAGGCCAATAAAGGGGTGCTACTGAAGCTGTATAGCTCACAGTGTGAACGCATCTCTGCAGGGCTGCCCGGATTACTCACTAGCTCCAGGCTTCCCAGGGGCAGAGCATTTTCCTGGAATAGTCACTCACTGTACTTCCAAGCTGTCCCACAAGCAAATTATAAGGCCCTGCGTCAAGTAGGGCTGCACCTGAGGTAGGACAAAAGCAGCACAAGGCAAGGCTGACCTGGCAATGGAATGGCCCACCACAGCTGAGGCTGCAAGATGGTGACAGACCCCAGAGGTCTCTGCTAAGGAGGTTATAAAAATCTGACAAAGCCTCCACATGTCTCTATTAAACAACCCAGCCAGGTAGACGACGGCTGAGAAGTGAGACGGAAAGAGATAAACAATGCCCATGAGTACTGGGTGTGCAGGGAGTCCAGACTCAGGTCAGAAGCTCTATGTCTCTTGCAATGAAATTTTGCTTGTCTTATTTGAAACCGTCTTAAAAGGGGTGTCAGACATATACATCAGTAGAAAGAGCCGTAGAAGAGAGCTCCCACGCACCGAGCCCTGACAGTTGGACAGTGCTCACGTCGTGGCTCAGTCCATCGATCAGCACTACCTCACACCCAGTCCCAAGCCACATTAGATGCCCTGAAGCAAATCCCAGGTATCACATCCCTTCAAGAATGTTTCATCGGGAGTGGCAGTGAGAAGGTGACTTTAACAGCCAAGGGAAAAGGGGGCTGAGGGCTGTGTCACAAATGAGAGGGAGCTCATGAGGAGGGAGAGGCATGCTGAGGCCGAGGCTGTGCCTGGGAAGCCGTGCCTAGGCCATGAGTGAAGCCTGAGTGGTGGGCCCTATGGATAGGCTTGCAGAGGACCCCATGCACTCACGCTGACAGCTGCTTGTCAGGCTAGTAAGGGCAGAAATAGAGGGTGGTCACTCTACCAAATGCCACAGGCAGGCACAGAAGGATGCAGAGGTGACTGGCTTTGGTAACGGGGGTCTGGCATCCCCAGGAGTGATGTTCTAACAGGAAGTATTCTAAGGCTCAGAGTTAGCCAGTCGCAGGCCAGGCGCACTGTCCCTGGGTAGATTTTTGTGGGAAATTTGTCAGCGAGGGGAAGGATACTGGGCTGCAATTGCAAGCCTGAGGGAAGGCTGGCCAGGGATGGGGGGTGGCTTCCTCAGCCAGAGGCAGGACACTGCCATAGGTGATGTGAGGAGGACAGGCAGAGAGGTCAGACTAGGGCTTGAGGTGAGAAATGGGCTGCTGGAAGAGGCCTGAGAGCACTAAGCAGGCAGGAGGAGCTGATGCCTGGCCCTCCCCATGCAGCATTTTAGAGCATACAGCACAACGGGCAGCCGAGTACCCACATGTCACAAACGGCTAGTCCAGGGCTCGGATCTAGGTCAGCAGACGAAGCCTTGGCTACAAGGAAAAAGGCCAGTACCTATTCCAGGCTGGCTCGCCCTGAAGAAGCTTGGGAGCATGGGTGGGATGGAGTCCACCAGCCAGCCCAGAAAAAGCACTGGCTCACATGCCCTCCAAGACAGCAGATGGGGTATACCTGTCACCCGCCTGCCCATGCCAGGAGCTGGAAGGCCAGCTCAGGGGAAGAGGTGGCCTGATGGCTTCACACCCCAAACCAGCTCCAGGCTACCTAAAGAGGCTTTCCAGGGGAGAAAGGGTTCAATTAGTTTCCTGGTCTAAAGCAGTCCAACAGCTTGGACAAGAGGCCACCCAAACTTCAAGTCTATGGGTTAAAGGAGAACCTTCGAGATACAGTGTATCCCCAGCATCACCACCTCCTCTTATAGGTGAGCCACAGAAGGGACTGGGGAAGTAGTCACTGCCTGACACTTCAGCTACCTAGAGTGGCTTCAGTGACCAGGTGTTCTACCGGATGAGCACAATGTGGCCTCAGGCCCTTGGGGGCACCTGCAGACAAACACAAGAATAGCAAGGGGCTGAGCAGCAAATACTGGGGAGGGCAGGTGAGCCAATCTGGGCTTTGAGGCATAAAAGCCCCCCAACAGGCCAGGTTGGGCAGGCCTAGTCAGCTGAGGTGAGGAGGCAGCATGGGAAGGCCAGGCACTAGGAGGTGCAATGGGAGTGCAGGGCTCTTGTCGGGGAGACACTGGCCAGGCCCAGACCTTGGGAAGGACCCTGGGACCCAGGCTGAAGAGGATGCCACTACCATGGCAGCATGGGCAAGGTCACCTGCTACAGCAGGAAAGAGACCTTCAGAATTTTGATTCATATTATTGTTGTTTTTTTTTTTTGAGATGGAGTCTCGCTCTGTCGCCCAGGCTGGAATGCAATGGCATGATCTCGGCTCACTGCAACCTAAGCCTCCTGGGTTTAAGCCATTCTCTTGCCTCGGTCTCCCAAGTAGCTAGGACTACAGGCACGTGCCACCACACCCGGCTAGTCTTTGTATTTTTAGTAGAGACGGGGTTTCACCATGTTGGCCAGGCTAGTCTCGAACTCCTGACCTCAAGTGATCTGCCCACTTTGGCCTTCCGAAGTGCTGGGATTAGAGGCGTGAGCCACCGTACCTGGCCAGAATTTCAATTCATATTTAATCTCAGAAAATATTAGTTAAGGCCATCCCTTCTGAACGTCTGGCGGCCACCATGATAGGGCATCAGCAGGAGAGGTGGGCTGTGCTTCAGACCACCTCCCTGGTGGCAGCCAAGCAAGCACTCCTGAGAGTTTCCAGCCCACAGCTCACTGCGGGGTCTCTCAGTATGCCTGATGTAATCCAAGCACAAAGAGAAGGACAAGCAGGTCCCTTTGTGAACTTCCCTAATGTGCCAGAGCTGGGGAGAGGAGTGAGGAGAAGAAGGAGCCAAGTGGGCCACAGCTACCTGTGTGGAACTCTCACTGCTGCAGGCTCCTCCCTACAGCACTGGCACAGTTCTGCTCACTTCTCTGAGGGGTACAGCCTTGAGGGCAGGCTCTGGTGGCTCACACGCCCTGGATATCCCAGCCCAGATCTGCAATGACATCCTTCAAGTCAACTTTCCAAAGAGAGCCTGCTTGTAAGGAAAAAGACGTCACTCCCATGGCAGCTCAGTTGAGAGATTTGGGAGACTACGTCAGAGGTAACTGAAAACATGTATGCTGTGACAGACTACTAAAAGTAGGGGAAAAGCATAAAAACCTCAAACACCCTACTTACTAGACCACCTAAAAAATACTGTTGCTCCATTATTTTTAAAAACGCCTCACCCAGGAAATCACAGATGAACAGTTCAGCTGCGCAACTATCAAAGAAAAGGCCACTCCCACAGCACAGTGGCCCACAGGTGCGTCCAGAGCCCACCAGCCCGCATAAGGCACAGTGCACTGCTCTGGATCCCTTCTCTCTCGCTGGGTCGGCTCAGGCTAAGACGCTGAGCAGGAGGAGTAGGCGGGGCCACCTGCTCCAGGGCCAGGACTCTCGAGTGCAGGAGATGTCTCTGCCTAAGTGGCTGCTCTCTAGAGACCCTGGCAGCCCCACTCACCCAGTGTGGGAGGTAGCAGATGCCCTCATCAGCCACAAACTCCAGCACGCCACAATGCGTCATGCGGTCCGAATTCTTATTGGTCAGTTTGAACAGCATGGGATAGGTAATGTTAAGTCGGCCTGAAAATAAGAGAGAGACTATGAGGCACAGCTCCTATGAAGGGACACCTGTTCGGCCCACGCCTTCCCATAGAAGGAGCCTCCCCACAATCCTGCCCTCAACCCCACACTCCTCTGGCAGATGAATCCCCCTCTGTGAGAGCACAGTGCACGGCTCAAGGAGGAACCTGGCAACTTGGTAACACAGCACTGGCATAGACTTGTGATTTTCTGAAGTCAACATTTTAAAAAGTGATGTGTTCATTCATTTATTCATAAATAATTTCAGTGCCCACCATGCCCTGGACAAAATCCCGACCTTCAAAGGTTTCTAGTTTGAAGGTAGAAACCTTCCAACAAAGAAAACCACAACCAGATGCTGCAGGTGCTGTGGGAAGAGCTGGCAGGAGGGGGCAGAGCTACTGGGCTAGGCTCCTAGAGGCCGAGTTCTTTAGGCTGGGCACTGGGCGGGCAGACCTGGGAGGAAATCCAGGCAGAGGTGGCAGCCTGAGCAAAGGCGTGGAAGGGAAGAGGAGCCCAGGCAGTTCAGAAATGGTGGATAATTAGGCAAGACAGGCTGGGGACAGGTGTGCGAGTGGTTGGGAAGGGGAGGGGCACCACACGGGGTAGAACCTAGGGCCTGGGCCCAGCGGGCAGTGTGAGCTCTCAGCAGGGTCATGACATAGGACGCCCCCTCTCTCTGATGGACCTTGAGGTGTGGGCTGAAAGCAAGGCCAGAGGCAAGTAAGCTGGACTGGTGACGTGCTGACCCAAGAGGTGCACAGGCACATAAAGGAAGGGCTGGCAAAAAGAGGCAGGAAAACCCAGGAGACACTGGGCCCCCGGGAGAAGACCGAGAAGGAACTGATGGTAGTGATGGTGTTTGCCATGTGTAAGGCCCTTGTTCAGTCTTCCCAGAACAGTCAGGTAGGTACTATCATTATCCCCTTTTATCTATGGGGAAACTAAGGCCCACAGGTTAAGTAACAGCACACAAGTGGTGAGCACACAAGACCTCACAGCACACAAGTGGTGATGCCAGGATTCAAACCAAGGCTGCTGGCTTAAGTCCAGGGATTCAACCATCAAAGCAGAATTTAGCTTGTTAGTTCAGACAAATATTCCAATAAAAATCACACTTAGTGTTAGGAAGTAACGCAGATTCCATTTGAGATCTCCCTAAAAATTCTAATAAAGCAAATCAAGTTAAAAGCTTGGGCAGGAAGCTACAGAGAACCTCTGAGAGTAGCATGGAGGTACAGTAAGGGTGGGCACTCCCTCCTATCACCAAGGGTGACTCTCACACTGGCAGTAAAGGGGCCAGGACCTCTGTCCCGGTCCACCTCTCAGCTGCACAGCCATGGAGCTGACATACAGCTGGTCCACAGTAAACTGGACTGGGCTCAGCCAAGGGTCTGAGATTGTTGCAAGTGAAAGAGACTCCAATGTCCCTCAGTCCACTGACTCTCAAACTGCATTTTGTGACTTAGAGGCTCCCAGTGCCCTGGGGCTCCCAGTCCCTCTGTACCCCCTCACTTTCTCCAAAAAAAGCAGAGAACCTCATTTTATGAATTAGAGGACTTCCTATAAGATTTAGACAGAAAGAGTTTCTCCCATCACTTAAAAGATTTGAACAACACTGATCTGAGCTACACCTCAATGACCCAGCCCCTGAGTCTCTTCTGGACACCTGTGCCAAGGGTCACCCCTGGTGTCTGGCTCCTGGGTCAGCATGACTTGAAAGGAAGACCTTTTTAGGGAGCCTGTTCTCTCCTCTGTAATGACAGGGTCTTCGTGAGAACTGTGAACTCCATAGCTCTGTTGACCTACTGGTTGAGCTGAGGCCTCCACTGGGTATAGCCACAGCCAGTGCTGGCTCAGGGGCTACCTCCACCTTGTGGTTGGAATCGGATAGCTTAGGTTGTCACAGACACTACAGTACTTCTGATGCACAGACACTGTAGATATCCCCAATTAAAGAAGAGGACATTGAGGTTCAGAGAGGTCAAGTTGCTACTCTGGAGTCAGGCTGGGCAAAGAGCCCGAGGTGAGTCACACCACAGCCAGCACCTGTTCTCTGCTTGCTGCCACCAGAGGCCCCCAAAACCAAGCATGAACCTGTCCTCCTGGCCAACCCCAGTCTCCTGCCTCACACAGGAAGAATTCACACCAGAAACACTCTTTAAGTCTGGAAGGCAATGACTGCATCCTTGATTGGGTTGTCCATGATAGGGATTTTCTGTGCCTGTGTAGTATGGGGCTAGGGCATGGGTTTCCAGGTTGCTCTCATGGGATAAGGGGTCAGAGAAAAGGGAGGAAGAATGTGGCCACTCTTAGAACCCCTGTGGGCCTATCTCACTCCTGGTAAGAGGCAGGAGCCCAGCAAGAGGAGTGGCTTCTGGATGGAAGACAATAGCTCAGTTTTTGACATGCTGAGGATGCATTGGTGCACTGGAGATTAGAAACGGGGGTCTGGGCCGGGCATGGTGGTTCACGCCTATAATCCCATAACTTTGGGAGGCCGAGGCAGGCAGGTCACCTGAGGTCAGGAGTTCAAGACCAGCCTGCCCAACATGGCGGAACCCCATCTCTACTAAAAATACAAAAAATTAGCCGGGCGTGGTGGCGGGTGCCTGTAATCCCAGCTACTCGGGAGGCTGAGGCAGGAGGATCACTTGAACCTGGGAGGCAGAGGTTGCAGTGAGCCAAGATTGCGCCACTGCACTCCAGCCTGGGCGCTAAGAGCAAAACTCTGTCTCAAAAAATAAATAAATAAATAAATAAAAGAAAAGAAATGGGGGTCTGGAGCTCAGGAAAGATGTTTGGTGAGGGGATGAGGAACCTGCTCACAGCGCCCTCTTGTGAGCTGACCAATTCTTCCTTTAGGAAAAAAATCTAGTGAGCCCAGCCAATGGCATCAGCTGCCCTGGCACGGTACAAAGCACTTGATACTTGTACCTTCACTTAATCCTGACAGAATACTGAGAACAGTTGGGGGGTGGGTGGAGGTGGTGATCAGGAAGGGAAAGGGAACCCCCTTCACAGAGGAGGAACCTGAAGCACCCAGGGCAGTGATGAAGCTGAGGTTCAGGGGGCCCTGGCCTCGCCCTAGGTACCTGTGACCCAGGTTCTCCCAGCCCAGCGCATGCCCTCCACGGACAATTCACAACCAGATGCTGACAAAGGGCACTGGTGTCTGGATGTACTGAGGAGCCCATGCTGACTCTTGGTGTCCATATGTACATTATCTAAGTCCTTAAGTCACTCAGAAGATACTTACTGAGTTGGTCCAGGGCCGAGGGTGGCATAATTACTGTGGAAAGAACATTTAAGAAATATTAAAAAATAAAAATAAAAAGGACAGACCAAAGGCAAGATGCAGTTTCTTTATATCTAACAAAAAGCCTTAAACTGTTTTTAGGGTAGCCAGAATGTCCCAGTGATCTTTCATGAAGAATCTTACTTGATGTAATTTATTTTGGGAACTGAATGGTTATCAGCCATAAACCTAACCATAATTAGCACCCCACCCCAACAGAGCAAGTCAGGGATAAATCCCAGCACCATTTTCACAGTAACACTAGCTTCTGACTCCCACATGCAAAGTAAGTACTGTTGAAGGCTACAGCATTGCAGACTTAGGGCAGGAAAAGTTACTATTCAAATAAAAACAAGCACATACTCTTCCCTCCTTTCTCCACATCTGACCTGTCATTAGGCCCTGCTAGCATGGACACAGAGAAGCAGCGGTACTGTGTGGAGAAGCGGTTTTGGAAGACCCTGGGAATAGGGTGGTCGAACATGTTGAAAGAGAACTAGAAGGAGGAAAGAGAAACAAGTATTAAAACAAAGGTACATTTCTTCATGTCAAAAGCCAAAACATGTCAGAGTAATTAATGCTACTAAACATTGTCAGAGAACACAATGTACTGAAATCTTCAATGTAATCTTACTAAATACAAAACAGGCCATGCCAAGCCTGTCCTGAACCTTTTTCAGGGCTATGCTCCCATCTTCATCCTCAGGATCAAGGCCCAACCTCTTGCATACCTCAGAGACTTGTACTGACAGCCCCACAGACTCCTGCCTGGGCTAGTTCCTCTGCCTTGAACACTTTTCCTATTATCATTAATCTAAACAATATTTGTTAATTGAAACATCTCTTTATTGAGTGCCTACTGTCTGCCAGGCTCTGATATGAGCACAAGGGAAGCACCACTCCAGTGATGTCTGTCCACTAACAAAATAGATACCACCCCTGTCCTGGTGAAAATGACACTCAAAGCAAGAGAGATATACACTCCAAGCAACGGACACACACACATGTGTGTCTGGCAGTTCTGAAGACAAGCAGCAGGGTAAGTAGACACAGGGCTCCTGGGAATGCTATTTTAAATAGGTGGTTAGGAAGGGACTCTGCACAAAGACCTGAATGCTATGAGAGGGAGCCAGGCAAAAAAGAGGGAAAGACATTCCAGGCAGCAGGAAGAACAGGTACCCAGTGGTTGCACCCCTTCCCCTGGGTTCCAATTACCATCCTTTCCTTTCCCCAGGAAGCCTCTCTTGCTCTGCTGAGGGTCAGGTCTAGTGCCTCTCCAGCGTGCTCTCACAGCACAAAGTAGGTACACGTTACACTATGTTATGATGCTTTCTTACAGCAACAAGCAAAGCTAAAACATGATGCCATTAAAAAGATAAGATCCTAGATCTTAAACTGTAGACTAAGATGAGGCTTAGCAAACATGTATCAATTTGAAGGTTTTCTCAAAGTACAGTATTCCTCCCACCCCCCACCCCCATATCCACAGGGGATACATTCCAACATCCCCAGTGGACGCCTGAAACCACAGATAATACTGAAATCTATACATACTATGTTTTTTCTTATACATATCTACAATTTTCTTATACATATCTACAATAAAGTTTAATTTATAGGCTGGGTGCGGTGGCTCACGCCTATAATCCCAGCACTTTGGGAGGCAGAGGCAGGTGGATTACCTGAGGTCAGGAGTTTGAGACCAGCCTGGCCAACATAGTGAAACCCTCTCTCTACTAAAAATACAAAAATTAGCCGGGCGTGGTGGTACACGCCTGTAATCCCAGCTACTCAGGAGGCTGAGGCAGAAGAATCGCTTGAACCCAGGAGGTGGAAGTTGCAGTGAGCCGAGATCGTGCCACTGCACTCCAGCCTGGGCAACAGAGCAAGACTCCATCTCAAAAAAAAAAAAAAAAAAAAGTTTAATTTATAAATTAGGCACAGTAAGAGATTAACAATTAATAATAAAACAATTACAACAATATACTGTAATAAAAGTTATGTGAATGTGGTTTCTATTTTAATATTTTTGGACCATGGTTGACCTCGGGTAACTGAAACCACCTAAAATCTCACAGGAGGATATATATTCAAAAGAACTGGAGGCAGAATCAAGAAGAGATTTTTGTACACCCCGTATTCATAGCACAATTATTCATAATAGCTAAAAGGTGGAAGCAACTCAAGTGTCCAATGACAGATGAATGAATAAACAAATTGTGGTATGGTATATACATACAATGAAATATTATTCAGCTTTTAAAAGGAAAGAAATCCTGTCACATGGATGAACCTTGAGGATATCATGCCAAGTGAAGTAAGTCAGTCATAAAAGGACTTATATTTTATGAGTCCGCTTCTAGGAAGTACCTAGAGTAGGCAAATTCATGGAGACAAAGTGGAACAGAGATTGACAGGGGCTGTGAGGAGCAGAAAATGGAGAGCTATTGTTTAATGTGAGTAGAGTTTCACTTTTGCAAGATGAAAAAGTTCTGAAAATCTGTTGCTCGTGAATGTACTCAACACTATTGAACTATAGACTGAAAAACGGTTAAGATGATAAAAATTTGGTTTTTTTAACCACAACTAAAAAAAAATCTGTATTAGAGAAAATTTCTTGACTTGATTCCAAATATATATTTAGTAGAAGGAATGCCACCTACTGACAAAGCAGTTTACTAGCAACTCCAAAATTAGCAAGCTGAATTAGCCATCTCCCAAAATGCAAACATAGCATGTTCCCGCCTAAAATCTGGGATGGTTCTTTACTCCCTGGCACTCTAACACAGTAATTTCCAATCTTTTGTCTTTCTTCTTTTAAGCAGCATAACTGTTCAGCTAAATCTTGGCCAGAACCATAACACAGGAAATAGCGTTTCTGGGTGAACAAGGCCAGAACAGGGTAGGGGCTTGCTTCCCTTGAGTGCTTCTCACTAGCCAACCTATGTAAGCCATTTCTTCTCTTTGAATATAAAAGGTAAATCCGCACAAAGGGGCAACATACTTAACAACCTGCCTGCAGTTTACCCATGAACCCGACCTTCTGCCCCTTCTTTGCTGCTCCCGATCCCATCTCTCACTTTCCTTTTCAATCCCGAGACCTAGCACACTGCCTGGAACATATCAGGTATTCTTGAGTGGATGAACTCAAGAATAGAAATAAGCCAGGGTTTGACAGTGACACACTTGGGATAAAATCTAACAATCATTCCTTGTCTTTACTAAAATAAACAGGTGACAGGAAGACAATACCGTAGAGTGCTTTGCAGCCAGACAGACTTGGCTTCAACTCTCCAGTCCCTACTTCTGTGACTCGAATAAAGTACCTCTGTAAACGTTAGTTTTCTCATGTTTAAAATCATCATCATCCTTGCTTCCAAAGGGATTGTAGGGATTAAAAGAAATAAGCCGCGATGAGGGAGTACAGGTGTTAAAAGCTGTGTAACAGGAAATGTACCAGCAGGTATTAGCTTCCATCGTTATCATTACCGAACACAACACCGCTGTACAGATTCGAAGGCACGAACCCGTAGGCACGGAGCTCACGGAGCTGGGGCAAGAGCTGGGTGTCCCCCAAGAGCGGGGGATGCCCACTACGGATTCTCCCTGGGGAGCGCCCTGATTCTGTTCCCATCCCCAGCAACCTTGCAACTAACTTTGGGTTTATGGAAACCTGTTGCGCGTCCAGCACTTGGGAAACCCGTGAATGGACACAAACCTTCCTTTCTTTCGTCAAGGAGGGCAAGTCCGGCTGAGACAGAATGCGAGCCACGTTCAGGACCGGCGGACGCGACCACAGGCGGTTAGTGGTCAAGGGTCCTGCTTGTGCCCGGTGCGGCCGATGAGCCTGCAGGCCGGACTCAGGCCCGGGTGACTCGGCACCTCCGCCGCCGTCCCGCCCCGCCCTGCCCCGCCGGGCCCTACCTCAGGCCCCGGGCCAAGGCCCAGCCCCCGCCCGCTGCCCGTCAGCGCTTACCATGATGGACACCACCTGGCAGACTCCGCTCCTCTCAGGCAATGCAACGAAGAAACCCCGCCGACCGCTCTCCCAGCCGCCGCTGCCGCTGCCGCCGCGCCAAGCCGGTACGCCCCAGAGGCTCACCGGAAGTGCCGGACCCGAGACCCGGAGGGGGGGTGCCCGGGACAAAGCGTCGGCTGCAAAAGAGAAAAGGCCAGGCGAAGACGCTAGGCTCTAAAACACCCTCAGTAGAAGCATTAAAATGCCCTTTCGTGATTTATTTCCCCTTTTATAGGTATTTTTAAACGTTATTTTAAATTACGTGTTGACAGTATTCCCCTCCAGACGAATTTAGTAGGGCCCATTGTCCTTACGACTACACTACCCACAATGCACTACCCAGACTGCCTCTGCTTCAGCCATCGAGGACTCGGGCGGAACTAAGCTACAAATCCTTCTTCAAACCACACCAAAAACCTATTGCAAACGTAAATGCTGCCCCATTGGGTATGTGACTGAGTTTAATGTATGGTTAGAAGTATACTTTCCCTGAGGGTTCCCAGTGGGAGGCAGTAGGCTTCTCTTCCCAAAGTAAAGATGTCCGCCCAGCGTCGCTTTTCTGGGTAAAAGCGAGTCAGAGTTGAAGGGGGCAACAGTGTTTGCGTTCGGCCTCAGAGGTGACGCTTCTTTGGGGGCGGGCTGGAGTTTTCTGGCCGTGAATGGCAGAGCGCTAATGGCCGCCTCCAATGTGGCCCAATCAGAAAGAAAGGAAGGCTGGGAACTAAGAAGCTATTGGTTGGTGATCCCTGGACCAATCGGAGGAGCCGTGATTTGGCGGGAGTCTTGACCGCCGCCGGGCTCTTGGTACCTCAGCGCGAGCGCCAGGCGTCCGGCCGCCGTGGCTATGTTCGTGTCCGATTTCCGCAAAGAGTTCTACGAGGTGGTCCAGAGCCAGGTGACGCCCAGTCCGGGACCCCCGCCGAGGCCTTGCCGGTGGGGAAGGGATGAGGGGGAGCGACCGTGGGTGACCGGGAGGCAGGGGAGGGCCGGGGTTCGGGTCGCCGTGTTCAGCCGGTCTGCTCTTCCCCGATAGAGGGTCCTTCTCTTCGTGGCCTCGGACGTGGATGCTCTGTGTGCGTGCAAGATCCTTCAGGTGAGTTCTGCGGACCCTAGGAGGGCGGGGCCGGCGCGCGAGGTGAGGGTGCTGCGTGGGGGCGCAGGGCGGGCAGAGTGTCAGGATGGGTGCTGAGGGCTTAGGGTGGGAGAGGGAGCAGGGCAGGAGGTGAACAGCAAGTGAGAGGAGAGAGACTCGGAGGAGAGGTTGCCTCCCTGTCCCAACGGTGTGGGGTGGGATAAAGGATTAAGTAAAAGGTAAAGAGACTAGTTTGTATTTTTGCAATAAGCTATTAATATTAATAGGTGAACACAGCAGTTGCATTTGGGGGAAACTTTGGATCTGTCGTGGCCTCTCAAATGGGGGATTTGAGAGAGAGGAATCTGTGACAACTGTGGGTATAGTCGTGTCACAGGTGTTGCTGGGAATATGGGAGCCCCTAGTCTATTAGGGAAGATCGTTAGTTTGGTTTTGAATAGGGCATAGTATTTACGTTGTTTTGGTCAGGCCCTTGGATCAGGAACTTTTCAGAAGGCCTGGAAGTTAAATCGGCATTTCTCCCCGATGTTTTACTTTGGTAATTTGCAAAATTCACAGAATGGTATGGTAAACGCTCATATCCCTAGCACCTAGCTTTTCCCGTAAGCATTTCACTAGCTTTAATGTTATCCCGTGTCTTTTGTCTCTCAACCCGTCTAATCTTCCTCAGTTTCTTTTCAAGGTAAATTGCTAATGTCCTAAATAAGATAGGCTTTGAAAACACTCTCTCTCCAGGCCTTGTTCCAGTGTGACCACGTGCAATATACGCTGGTTCCAGTTTCTGGGTGGCAAGAACTTGAAACTGCATTTCTTGAGCATAAAGAACAGGTATTGAAGATGCGTTTTAGAATAACGTGGCTTTTTACTCAATTGTAATTTCTTGACACAGCATTCTATTTCCACGATAGATTAAGCGTGTATTTAAGTATCAGCTACATTAGGCAATATGGAAGAGAAAAACATGCTGTATTTACTGGTGACTTACCACGCCCAAGTTGTAGAAGCAAAATTGACAGCAAAAAAAGATAATGAATGTGGATAGCCCCAACTTTGAACTTGTTTTAACTTGTTTTGCAGAAATTTGATTGTAAGGTGCTTGGAATCTAGCAGTTTTTAATATGGTCTAGTTAAAATTATTTTATTTTATTTTGGTTTATTTTTTTATTTTTTATTTTTTTTGAAACGGAGTCTCGCTGTGTCGCCCAGGCTGGAGTGCAGTGGCACGATCTCGGCTCACTGCAAGCTGTGTCTCCTGGGTTCATGCCATTCTTCTGCCTCAGCCTCCTGAGTAGCTGGGACTACAGGCACCCGCCACCACACCTGGCTAATGTTTTTGTATTTTTAGTAGAGACGGAGTTTCACCATGTTAGTCAGGATGGTCTTGATCTCCTGACTTTGTGATCTGCCCACCTCCGAAAGTGCTGGGATTACAGGTATGAGCCACCACGCCCAGCCTTTATTTATTTATTTTTGAGACGGAACCTCGCTTTGTCACTCAGGCTGGAGTGTCATGGTGCAATCTTGGCTCACTGCAACCTCCGCCTTCTGGGTTCAAGCGATTCTCCTGCCTCAGCCTCCTAACTAGCTGGGATTACAAGTGCCCACCACCACGCCTGGCTAATTTTTGTATTTCTAGTAGAGACGGGGTTTCGCCACATTGGCCAGGCTGGTCTCGAACTCCTGACCTCAAGTGATCCGCCTGCCTCAGCCTCCCAAAGTGCTGGAATTAGTTAAAATTATTTTAGAATACACTACTATTTTATGTTATTTCTCTGAGAAAATGCATCCTGGTTTCCAACTTAAAATCCAGGAATAAATTTAAACAATAGATGCCAGGATTCCTCCCACCTCTGCATGGGGCCAAATGAGAGATGGGACATTGTACACCCCACAGAGAGGGGATGGGACATGGAAGAGGGTCCCTGGAGTCCCTAGCCATATCTAGGATTGTTTTGGCAGAGACAAATCCTCTCCTGATGTTCCTGTTATTATGTCAAGGACCCGCACCAGCTTGGTATTTATAAGGAAAGAAAGTGCTATAGTGATAGAGTGTGATAAAGGACTTAATATTTAAGTACCCATAAAGTATTTGCTAAAAACTTAAACCTGTACGATGCCATTAGCCTGGAGAGGCACGCAGCATAGTACTGTGAGGTCTGGAGAGACCCAATCACGTGCTCGAAGTCTTGGTCTGCTCCTCATTAGTTTCTTGAGCCTGTCCACGAGACTTGGGCTTGCTGAGTCTCAGCGTGCTCCTGGGGAAAACTGGGAGCCCCAGGGCCCACCCTGCTGTGTCACCATGCTAAAGCACTTAGCATGCCAGCCTGGCCATTTTTTGGAGTCCCTTGCCACGTGGGCCTCGCCACATGTCAGGGACTGAGTGAGTTTAAGCAGAACAACTCAGAGGCTTAGTGATGAAGGAAAAGGGGCCTCCTCGATATAGCTACTTTACAATATCTTCCTTTTTTTCAGTTTCATTATTTTATTCTCATAAACTGTGGAGCTAATGTAGACCTATTGGATATTCTTCAACCTGATGAAGACACTATATTCTTTGTGTGTGACACCCATAGGCCAGTCAATGTCGTCAATGTATACAACGATACCCAGGTACTTTTTGTGCTATGCCCTCAAACTGTCTGTACTTTTTATGCCATGTACAATGTCTCACCTGGTGTTCTTGGTAAGGTGTGTGTCTGACTACCCTGTGGGACTGGGAACAGCCTGAACACAAGAACTTGGTCTTTGTCATCTTTTTTTTTTTTTTTTAAGGAGAGTCTGGAGTACACTGGCACAATCATGGCTCACTGCAGCCTCAAACTCCTGGGTTCAACTGACCCTTCCTGCCTCAGCCTCCTTAGTAGGTGGGACTACAGGCACATGCCACCACGCCCAGCAAATATTTGTTTTTATTTTTGTTGAAATGGAGTCTTGGCTGGGCGCGGTGGCTCACGCCTGTAATCCCAGCACTTTGGGAGGCCGAGGCAGGCGGATTACGAGGTCAGAAGATTGAGACCATCCTGGCTAACATGGTGAAACCCCGTCTCTACTAAAAATACAAAAAATTAGCCAGGCATAGTGTTGGACGCTTGTAGTCCCAGCTACTCAGGAGGCTGAGGCAGGAGAATGGCATGAACCCAGGAGGCAGAGCTTGCAGTGAGCCGAGATCGTGCCACTGCACTCCAGCTTGGGCGACAGAGCGAGACTCCGTCTCCAAAAAAAAAAGAAAAGAAAAATCAGCCTGGAGTTGCTTTCAGACAGGAGTTTTAGTCACCACTTAGGGGTTACACATCTTCATGTCCTATATCAGACAGAGGCCAAGTTGTGGGGCGTTCATTTTATTGGTGTATGACGTAAGAGGATGCTGTGTTTCCAGACTTAAGTAGACTAGATGGTTCTCAAAGAACTGTTTTCAGATTTTCATAATTTCTGCATACCACGTATGGTGTAACTCTGGTGCCTCACTGGTAATGAAAACAAGAAAATTCCTTAGAAGCCTGGAACTCTTGTTAAATAGGTAGCTATTTGTATGAACAGGAAACTGAGTCAGCTTATTAGGAAATGATAAGATTCTGCAGAAGAACATATTGTATAGTTTTCCGTAGAAAGAGGAGAGGCTTAATTCCTTTTTGTTTTGAACTTAGATCAAATTACTCATTAAACAAGATGATGACCTTGAAGTTCCCGCCTATGAAGACATCTTCAGGGATGAAGAGGAGGATGAAGAGCATTCAGGAAATGACAGTGATGGGTCAGAGCCTTCTGAGAAGCGCACACGGTTAGAAGAGGTGAGTTTGGGTCTCTCACAGCTATCCCAGAGGAACTTGCACTCCCAGAGGTCGGAGGTCATCCTGAAGCCTGCCAGGCCAAGGTGTACTGAGGGCAGTGGGAAGTGGAAAAGTTAGCAGGCATGGATGCTGACCCTGGGCTCTGCTGTCCCCTGGTTATGTGGCCTCAGGCAGGTTACTGGACTTCCCTAAATAGTGGCTTATCTGTCCAATAGGATCCTGTCAGAAGAAATGAAATTTAGGACAGCTCAGCTCTGCGGCTAGATAGCAAAAAAATAATGTAGAGAAGCAATAAATAGTGTAACCCCCACCCCTTCCTTTTCTACTGTCTTCTAGCATCACTTACTATGCAGTCACTGCAGAGGAGCAATGTGGGTCTGCATCCCTTGGCCAGGCCCAGTCCCAGACAATTACTGCAGGGGAGGTATCTTGTATGTGAAGATACCAGTGGTTTTCACCATGTGGACCTTGGGTCTGAGCTGCTTAGTGATCTGGGGCTGGGCCCAGTGGCCTACCCAACACTACGGCTTCTGCAAGATGTAAAATGACAGGCAGAAGGTGGTTGTTCCCATAGCACGGAGGGCCACGTGATGCTTTTGAAGATGGCCTCTGGCTCCTGATCTTGGTGTGTGACCTAGAATTTGCCCCCGTAATGTTCTAGGGTCTTCCCTTCATCCTCAGCCTGACATTTCCCGGTAATGTGCTTTTGGGAAGCCTTTTTGAGCCATATTTGAGATGTTCAAGACATTCTTCATTTGGGGAAGGGGCAATGCCCTTCAAACTGAGGCATGCTTCTCTCTTCTTTCTCACCTTTGTCACCCCTTTCACTAGGTTTGGGTGTCTCATAGGGAACCTCTTGGACCCACTGTTATATTTTCTTACCTCTTGCCCAGCTCTTTGTTCTATTTTTTGGAAGACTTTTTGTTTTTTGTTTTTTTTTTGTTTTTTCCCCAGACGGGGTCTCTCTCTGTTTCCCAGGCTGGCCTCAAACTTCGGGCTCACTCGATCTTCCCACTTCAGCCTCCCAAGTAGCTGAGACTAAGCACATGCCACTACACTCAGCTTGGTCTTTATCTTCTAATCTTTGGTTTGTGAGGGGTCCTTTTTGTTCTCTGAATTTTTTTTTATATAGCATTCTTTTAACTATCGATGAGCTGCATTTCATTGGTTCCCAAATGTCAGTATCCAATGGGATTTCCCGGGAAACATTCATGTTCTACAGATAAGTCTTGGAATTTTCCACTCTGACTAATAAACAAATATTTTTTAAGCACTTACTATGTGCCAGGTACCAGTTAGGCCCTGGGGTGCGGGTATGAGAGCAAAGTCCTGCCTTTGCAAAGCTTTCCATTGGGGGAGACAGATACTGATCATGTAAATGAGCACAATTAGGGAAAGCTTTCAGGTATCAAACATGAGTTAGCAGGGGATGGAGCCAAGAGGATTCCTGGGCAGAGCATCCATAGACACTGCAGCTCTGAGGTGGGAAGGAAAGTTTCAAGGAAGGCTTGGCCAGCAGTGCCAAAGGAACAGGCAAATGAGAACAGACCAGTGGGTTTGGCAATAAAGAGAAGGTAGGTTGTCTTGATGAGATACAGGAAAATAATCAGCGTTTCCTTTTACATACTTAACACATCAATTTGGAATTTGTGTTTGTAAATGTTTAACATAATATTCATGGATTATAATAGGCATAATTTCCCACCAACTTTTTATTTTGAAATTTTTTGAAATGTATACAGTGGTTGAAAGGATAGTACAGTGAATATCCATGTACCTTCAATCTAGAGTCAACAGTGGATCATGACTGTAGGTGGTCTCAGCTACTTGGGAGGCCAAGGCAGGAGGATTGATGAAGCCCAGGAATTTGAGAACAGCCTGGGCAACATGAAGAGAACCTGTCTCAAAAAAAACAAAAACAGTTTTTCACATTTGCCACATTTGCTTTCTTTCTGTGTATTCTTTTTTCTGTATTATTTGAGAATAGATTGCAGAAACTGATATTCTTTTTTATTTTTTATTTTGTTTTTTCTTGAGATGGAGTCTCACTCTGTCACTGAGGCTGGGGTGCAGTGGCACGATCTCGGCTCCCTTCAACCTCTGTCTTCTGGGTTCAAGCGATTCGCCTGCCTCAGCCTCCCAAGTAGCTAGGATTACAGGCATGCACTGCCACAGCCAGCCAGAAACCATGATATTCTACACATTCTTTCATAAGCAGCTCCTAAGAATAAGGACATTCTTCCCCATAAACACAATGCCATTGTCATACATAAGAAATTAATAATATCCTAATATCATGTAATATTCAGCCCATATTCAGGTCTCTTTAATTGTCCTCAAAATATATTTTGCAGCTATTTTTATTTCTGAACTATTCTCCAATCAAGATTAAGACATTTAGCTATTCCTCTTTACTGTCTTAACCTAGAACCATACCTTACCTCTTTTTTTTCTTTTGTTTTTAATGACATTGAAGGCCAGTTCTCTTTTCTAATATTTACTACTACTTGTTTCTTCATGGAGTACTTTAACTTGCTTCTCTATCCCTGCATTTTCTATGATCTGTAAATTAGGTCTAGAGCGTTGATTTTAATAACATTAAGCATTCTTGAGAAGAATACTTTTTATATAATTAAAACCTGTGCATGATTTATAACTAAGTATGTGTATATTAGAGGTATATATATATTTTTTTGAGACGGAGTCTCGCTCTGTCGCCCAGGCTGGAGTGCAGTGGTACGATCTCGGCTCACTGCAAGCTCCTGGGTTCATGCCATTCTCCTGCCTCAGACTCCCAAGTAGCTGGGACTACAGGTGCCTGCCACCACGCCCAGCTAATTTTTTATATTTTTAGTAGAGACGGGGTTTCACCGTGTTAGCCAGGATGGTCTCGATCTCCTGACCTCATGATCCTCCCACCTTGGCCTCCCAAAGTGCTGGGATTACAGGCGTGAGCCACCGTGCCCGGCTGCTTTTTAGAGGTATATTCTTAGAAATATTTTTACCAGCCTGGTGTGGTGGCTCAAGCCTGTAATCCCAACACTTTGGGAGGCCAAGGCGGGTGAATCACCTGAGGTCAGGAGTTTGAGACCAGCCTGACCAACATGGAGAAACCCTGTCTCTACTAAATACAAAAATTAGCCAGGAGCAATGGCAGATGCCGGTAATCCCAGCTACTCGAGAGGCTGAGGCAGGAGAATTGCTTGAACCTGGGAGGCGGAGGTTGTAGTGGGCCAAGATCACGCCACTGCACTCCAGCCTGGGCGACAGAGCAATACTCTTGTCTCAAAAAAAAAAAAAAAAAAAGAAATATTTATACCAGACTGGACAACATAGCAAGACACTGTCTCTACAGAAAAATAAAATAAAAATTAGCCAGGCATGGTAGCATGGTCACATAGGCCCGGCTACTTGGGAGGCTAGAGTGGGAGGATGCCTTGAGACCAGGAGGTTGGTTGAGGCTGCAGTGATCCATGATCACATCACTGCACTCCAGCCTGGGCAACAGAGCAGGACCTCATCTCTTAAAAAGAAAAGAATGAAATATTTTTATTAATAAGGGTGCACATTCAAAGAGGTTTAGAGACAATAGGTTATAAATAATTGTTTTAAGGAGTTCTGCTATAGGCCGGGCGTGGTGGCTCACGCCTGTAATCCCAGCACTTTGGGAGGCCGAGGTGGGTGGATCACGAGGTCAGGAGATTGAGACCATCCTGCTAACACGGTGAAACCCCATCTCTACTAAAAATACAAAAAATTTCCCGGGCATGGTGGCAGGAGCCTGTAGTCCCAGCTACTCAGAAGGCTGAGGCAGGAGGATGGTGTGAATCCAGGAAGCAGAGCCTGCAGTGAGCTGAGATCCACCACTGCACTCCAGCCTGGGCAACAGAGCAAGACTCCGTCTCAAAAAAAAAAAAAAAAAAAAAAGAGTTCTGCTGTAAAGAAAAGAGGAGACATGGGGTCGAGAATCATTTTTACTTGTCTTTTAAAGGTTGGATGTTAGAGCTGGACCCCAGCAAAGATGAGAGTCCGCTATAAAAATAACCATAATTATACTTAATCTACAGGTGCTATAATATCGTGGCTCAGGTCACGGGTTTCAAATTTTGTATCTGCTATAACAGCTTTGTGACTGTAGGCAAGTGACTTAACCTCTGTGTGCCATTGTAAAATAAGGAGAATAACTAGACTTAATTGTTTTGGTTCCTACTGATGTTTAACAAATTACTCCAGAACCTAGCAGCTTAAAACAACCTTTTCCTTATGCTCATGGATTCTGTAGGTTAGGAATTTGGGCAGAGCCCAGTGAGGATGACATCTTTTTGATCTGTGATATCTGGGCCCTCAGGTGGGGACTCAATGGCTAAGAACTGGAAGCATGGCTCAGACATCTGCTGGGAGGGCTCCAAACCAGGACTACTGAGCCAAGCACCTGCAGGGTCTCTCCATTGAATGTGACTTCCTTACAACATGACTGCTCAGGCTTCCAGCATGAATATTCCAGTCACCCGGGCAGCCACTGCATGGCTCTCCCGACCAGCCTTGGAGTACCTCAGCATCCAGTAGCCACAAGGGAGGGGACAGGACCCCACCATGCATTGTGGCAGGGTCAAAGAAATCTCAGGCTGTGGGAATTTTGTTACTTTATTGAGGCATAATGTCTACACAATTCACTAGGTGGTACAATTCAATGAGATTTAACAAATGTATAAAGATGCAACCACCATCCCACCATGATAGAGAACAATTCCATTACCCGCAAAAAGTTTCCTCACCAGGACCATGGCTTTTTTTTAATTAAAGTTTTTCTTTTGAGATAATTACAGATTCACATGTAGTTGTAAGAAGTAATATAGAGAGATCACTTATATACTTTGCCCAGCTTCCCCCAATGGTAAAATCCTGTAGTATAATATCACGGTCAGGATGGGAGGCTAAGGCAGGCGGATCACTTGAGCCCAGGAGTTGGAGACCAGCCTGGGCAACATGGCAAAACCCTGTCTCTACAAAAACTACAAAAATTAGCCAGGTGTGGTGGTGCACACCTATGGTCCCAGCTACTTGGGAGGCTGAGGTGGGAGAATCACCTGAGCCCAGTAAGTCGAGGCTGCAGTGAGCTGTGAGCACACAACTGCATTCCAGCCTGGGCAACTGAGACTATCTCTAAAGAAAAGAAAGTCTCCTTTCTAAATTTATAAATCATGTGATTTTTCAGTTGGCACTCTAAAGGTTAGAAATCACTGTGAAAGTTCTGCCAGAAACTGAATATGTCTATTCCATTTATGCATTCAGAAACTGCCAAAATAACCCATGGGTATTGCTTTAAAAAAAAAAAAAAAGATACAGAACATTTCCAGCACTGTAAGGATCCCTCTGTTGCCCTTTTATAGCCACACCCACTTGTCTGCTGCCTGGTAACCACTAGAGAGCTCCATTTCTGTAATTTCATTTCAACAATATTATGGAAATGGAAATGGAATTATACAGTATGTAGCCTTTTGGGATTGGCTTTTTTTCGCTCTGCATAATTCTTGGAGATTCATCCATGTTTGCTTGTATCAATGGCTCATTCCTTTCTCGTCCATCAGCATTGTGCAGTTTTCAGTGTATAAATTTTCTGTTTTTGTTAGATTTATACCTGCATAAAAACAAACAATATTTATTATTTCTGCGTGCTAGCCATAAATACGTGGACACCAAAATTTAAAATACAGTATCATTTGCAGTCAGTCAAAAAAATGCATAGTCTGCTGTTGTTGGGTAGAGTTTTTTAGAAATGTCACTTACATACTGAGAGTTGGTGGTGGTGTTGAGTTCTGTTTGCTTGCTGCTTTTCTGGCTAGTAATACTTTCAACTCTTCAGAAAGGGACATTGAAGACCCCAACTCTGATTATAGATTTGTTTGTTTCTCCTTCCAGTTCTATCACTTTTTACTTCACGTATTTATAGCTCTCTTGTGCGCACACATTTAGGATTGTGGTGTCCTTTTGGTGGATTGACCCTTTTATTCACTTAGTGTCCCACTCTGTCTCTGGTAATTTGCTTTGCTCTGAAGTGTGATTTATCTGATATTAATATTGCCACTCCTGCTCTCCTTTGATTAATGTTTGCACGATATATCTTTTCACATTCTTTAGTTTCATTCTGCCTATATTGTTACATTTGTAGTGAATTTTTTAAAACAGCATACAGTTGGCTCATATTTTTAAATCATGTTTTTTAAAGCCATTCTCTATCTCTTAATTGATAAACTTAGCTTACTTACATTTATTTTAGTTACTGACATGTTAGGGCTTAAGTCTGACATTTTATTTTCTGTTTCCTGGTCTCTGTTTTTTTTATTCTATTTTTTTCTTGTTCTTTGTTATTTGTATTTTTATTTTTTTGAGATGGAGTTTCGCTCTGTTGCCCAGGCTGGAATGCAGTGGCGCGATCTTGGCTCACTGCAACCTCTGCCTCCCAGGTTCAAGCAATTCTCCTGCCTCAGCCTCCTGAGTAGCTGGGACTACAGGCACGTGCCACCACGCCCAGCTAATTTTTTGTATTTTTAGTAGAGATGGGGTTTCACCTTGTTGGGCAGGCTGGCCTCAAACTCCTGACCTCAGGTGATCCGCCCACCTCAGCCTCCCAAAGTGCTGGGATTACAGCCACTGCGTCCAGCCTGTTTTCTTTCTTTTTCTTTCCTCTAGTGTTTGTGAGTCTATCTCCTTGTATAGATTTTTTAGTGGTTGTTTCAGGTTATTACATTACATATCCATAACTTATCACAGTCTACTGGTATCATCATTTTACCAGTTGAGTCACATGTAGAAACCTTATCTTCTTTTTTTTTTTTTTTTGAGGTGGAGTCTCACTCTGTCACCTAGGCTGGTGTGCAGTGGCACAATCTCAGCTTACTACAACCTCTACCTCTCGGGTTCAAGCAGTACTCCTGCCTCAGCCTCCCGAGTAGCTGGGACCCCAGGTGTGTGCCACCATGCCCGGCTAATTTTTGTATTTTTAGTAGAGATGGTTTTCACTCTGTTGGCCAGGTTCGTCTCAAACTCCTGACCTCAAGTGATCCACCTGCCTCAGCCTCCCAAAGTGCTGGAATTACAAGCATGAGCCACTGTGCCTGGCCTTGTCTTCTCTTAATGTCTTTTACTCTGCCCCATTTATAATATAATTTTCTTAAATATTTCCTCCACATATACAGTGTTATAATTTTTGCTTCAGTAATTAAGCATAATTACAAACTCAAGAGGATAAGTAAGGAAAGCCTATTGTATTTACCTCATTTTTGCTTACTGTATTTTTTTCTTCCTTTCCAGTATTCTAAGGTTTCTTTTCCATTTCCTTTCTATTTAAGAGTCTCCTTTAACCGTTCCTTTGGGGGAGAGCTACTGGAGATAAATTCCCTTAGTTTTCCATCTTTGAGAATTTCTTGATTTTTTTTTTTTTATTCCTAAAAGGTACTTTTACTGGATGTAGAATTCTGGGTTAATACTTATTTTCTTTCAGCATTTGGAAAATACTGTGCCACTTACTCTGGCTGCCGTGATTTCTCATGAGAAATCCTCTGTCATTCAGGCTTTATCCCTATCATGAAAGTCTTATTTTTCTTTGGCTGTTTTTGAGATATTTTGGTTTTGTTTGAGTGTTCAGAAGTTTAATTAGGATGTTAGGATGTGTCTTGGTGTGGATTTGTGTCTATCCTATTTGTTTCTCTTATTTTTTTGAGACAGAGTCTTGCCCTGTCACCCAGGCTGGAATGCAGTGGCACGATCTCAGCTCACTGTAACCTCCACCTCCCGTTACCCAGCTTCTTGAATCTGCAGGTTTATGTCTTTTTTTTTTTTGAGGCAGAGTCTCACTCTGTCTCCCAGGCTGGAGGACCTGCAACCTCTGCCTCCTGGGTTCAAGCAATTCTGCCTCAGCCTCCTGAGTAGTTGGGATTATAGACATGTGCCACCATGCCTGGCTACTTTTTTTGTATTTTTAGTAGAGATGAGGTTTTTCCATGTTGGCCAGGCTGGTCTCAAACTCCTGGCCTCAAGCAATCTGCCCGCCTCGGCCTCCCAAAGTGTTGGGATTATAGGTGTGAACCACCACACCCAGCCAGCAGGTTTATGTCTTTTGCCAAATTTTCAGCCATTATGTCTTCAAGTGTGTTTTCAGTGCACCCTCTTTCTCCTCCTCCAGGGCACTGATGACGTGAATGTTAGCTCTTTTGTTGTAGCCCCACAAGTCCCAGAGGTTCTAGTTTTTTTGGTCTATTTTTTCTCGGTTGTTCAGACTGGGTAATTTCTGTCTTTCTGCCAGTTCACTAATTCTTCCCTCTGTCCCCTTCATTCTGCTCTCGAGCCTATTTGCTGAGTTAATATTCCAGTTGTATTTTTCAGTTCTAAACTTTCTTCTATATATATATATTTTCTTTCTTTCTTTCTTAAACTTTGTTTAGAACACTTGTCTCTTCTTTAGATCTCTTATTTCTTTGCTGAGGCTTCCCGGCTTTCATTTGTTTCAATCGTTTGTCATTGCTCGTTGAAGCATTTTTATGATGGCTGCTTTAAAATCTTGGGCAGATAATTCTAACAACTCTGTCATCTTGCTGTTGGCATCGGTGGGTTTTCTTTTTTCATTCATTTTGAGATCATCCTAGTTCTTGGTATGATGAGTAATCTTCAAATGAAACCAGGAGATTTTTGTATTATGTGATGAGATTTCGTGTCTTCTTTAAGTCTTCTGTTTTAGTTGGCTTTCTCTGACACGGCTCAAGCAAGGAGAGTGAGTGATGCCAGGTAGAGGTAAAAGATCAGGTTCCCCACCTGATGTCTATCACCTGGGGCAGTGAAGGTCCAGGCTTCCCACTTTGCTGCCTCTTACCCTCCTAGCAGGGAGGGGAGGAATTTCTCATTACTAGAAGGTGGGGGTGGAAGTCTGGGTTCTCCCACCATTGGTTCTCCCACCCAGAGGTGGGGTGTGGACTTGTCACCAACCAGCAGGGGTTGCAGTCTCAGTTCCCTCCTTGGCCTCTCTGATACCACCAGACAGAGGGCTTGGGGTGCCTTGCTACAGCTTCGCAAGGATGGGAGCCTAGGCTCCCACTGGGCCTTTGCTGGGGTGGATATGGATGTTCTTGGTGGTGTTGGCTAGAGTAGATGGGCTACTGCCTAAAAGCTTTCTGTCTTGGGAGGTTGCTCCTTCCCAGTCCTTTGACTAGACAGAGCAGCTTTTGTGGGTTTTTTTTTTTGTTGTTTTGTTTTGTTTTGTTTTGTTTTGTTGTCTGCACCTGTTGGTATTTCTAGGTTGCTGGCTTTTCAGCTCCAACTCTGGCATATATGAACCAGAAGGAAAACTCAAGGAACACTGTGTTGTTCCTCATGTCCCAGAGTCCCTAACTGCTCTGCCTTCACCTCTACCTTTCAGAGTCTTACTTTGTTTTTTTTTTTTTGTTGTTGTTGTTTGTATGTTTCTGAGGCAGAGTCTTGCTCTGTTACCCAGGCTGGAATGCAGTGGCACAATCTCGGCTCACTGCTACCTCCACCTCCTGGGTTCAGGCAGTTTTCCTCCTCAGCCTCCCAAGTAGCTGGGATTACAGGCATGTGCCACCACGCCCGGCTAATTTTTGTATTTTAAGTAGAGACGGGGTTTTACCATGTTGGCCAGGCTGGTCTTTAACTCCTGACCTCATGTGATCCGCCCGCCTGTCTCCAAAGTGCTGGGATTACAGGCGTGAGCCACTGCGCCCAGCCTTACTTTGTTTGATCTATGATGTCGAAGGGTTTTCGGTATATTTAATGAATGTATGGGGAAAAACATATCTACTCCATTTTCCCAGAAGCAGGAGTCTCGGGACCATGGATTTCTAAACCTACCACATTATTCCAGGCCTTTGTTGTGAAGATTAAACGAGGTTGTGCCTGTAACATTAGAATAGTTCCTAACGCATGGTAGAATATAAGAAATGTTAGCTCTCATCCATCCTGATGTGGAAGCTGGTACAAAGTGGGTGTGAGCTTACCTTGGATCCCATAGTGCTGTGGGTGACAGCAGCTAGGGTGGATGAACACAGTTTTGCCTGGAGCAGGTGCTTGGGAAGCCCCTACTCTTTCTGCCCATGGTGTCTGGAGAGCTGGGAGCCAGAAGGGGTCACAGCCATCCCTTGCCTCCATGCCTCTCTTCCGTAGGAACAGGCTGTGCTCGGGGCACTGGTGTGACCGTGTTCTCTCTCAGGGGTCTGGGCCTACTGACTTCTGCCAAATTGGAACCTTCTTGGGCTGTGGGGATAAATTCCTGGTGCATTTGCTCCACCTTTTGTTCTCTTTGTCCCTGTATCAGGAGATAGTGGAGCAAACCATGCGGAGGAGGCAGCGGCGAGAGTGGGAGGCCCGGAGGTGAGTCTGTGCTTCCAGCTGCTCCCAGCACCAGAAGCCCACTTGCCTGGGGGTCTGTGGTGCCACCCATACCTCTGACTTCCTGTCTCAGGATAATTTATTGAGTTTAGAACCTTTGGGCCAGTGGCTCTGGGAGTGAACCTGTGGCCGCTGCATTGGAGAAGAGCTCCAGGTTGTTCGCCGGTCCCATGAGTGACAGGACAGCCCCAAGGTCTCCCAGGTACATGCCATCCATTAGAGACCATGGCCCTGGCTCTTTATTTTTATCAAGTTTTTCCAATGTAGATACTTTGATTTACAAATTATTTATAAGAAGTGCTCTAAAATGAAAATATTGGAAAGGTTATTCTAGCTTGAAGTGAGCATGCAGCAGCGCCCTTGAGGTGGGTCCCGGGGGAAGCCCTTGCTGGATCTCTCATGGAAGGTCTCCCAGGCCATCCAGCTGATGTTCCCCCTGTTTCAGCTGAGGGCATGCACTCCTGCCGCTGCCACAGGAGGAAGGCTGCCCCCTCGGATAAGGACAACGTAAGACAGGTGTGGTGGCTCATGCCTGTATTCCCAACACTTTGGGAGGCCCAGGCAGGAGAATCCAGGAGAGTTCAAGGCTGCAGTGAACTATGATTGTGCCATTGCACTCCAGCCTGGGTGACAGAGCGAGACCTTGTCTCTAAAAACAAACCAAAAAAGGATAATATAAAACCATTTCAGGAAGCATAAGGAAAGAAAAGTGAAAATAATCCATAATCACACTGCCTAATTAAAAGAGATTCTGGGTTTGGGTTTCTATTCCTGGGTTATACATACTTGTGCATATTTTACATGATACATCTGATTTTGCATCTTTCTACTTAATATAACCATTTAAAATAGTTCTGAACAGGCTTTCTAAACAGCCTAGTACTTAATTGGCAGTTTCCCTTCTTTTTGAAATGTAGGTTACTTCCAATATTTTGCCATTATAAATAAGGCTTCAGTGAATTACTTTGTGCACACAGCAAGTTTTGTCTTGCTTTTTCCTTTGAATTGTAATTATGGGACAATTTCTCTGAAATGGAATTCTGAACTATACCACTTTACATCATACATTGCCACTGGCAGTTTGTGTTAATTTCCCAACGTTACACATATACATTCTGCTAAAGAGTCAATAAGTGGCCAGGTGTTGTGGCTCATGCCTATAATCCCAATACTTTGGGAAGCCAAGGTGGAAGGACTGCTTGAGCCCAGGAGTTTGAGACCAACCTGGACAACATAGTGAGACTTTGTCTCTATTAAAAAATTTTTTTAAAATTAGCTGGGTGTAGTGGCACATGCCTGTAGCCCCATCTACTTAGGAGGCTGAGTTAGGAGGATCACTTGAGCCCAGGATGTCAAGGCTGCAGTGAGCTGTGATCACACCACTGCACTTCAGCCTGGGAGACATAGCAAGAACCTGTCTCAACAAAAAAGAAAAAACCAAGAGTCAATATGTGAAAACAAATAGTACCATGATTTAATTTGCATTTCATTGAATACTGTCAAGTTTAGCATTTTTCCAAAATATTTGGCTTCCTGTACTGCTACTTCCTGTTGAAGACCTGCATTTTATGTCATTACAGAAGAGACATCCTCTTTGACTACGAGCAGTATGAATATCATGGGACATCGGTAAGTATGAATAGGTGGAACTCACTATAAAGTTCTGACTCCAGGGGTCAGTGTCCTCAAATGTGAAGAAGAAACGTAGATTTTAGAGCCACAAAAGCCTGGTTTGAATCTGAGCTCCATGTCTTCCCCCTGTGTGACCTTGGGCAGGTGTTGCAAGCTCTCTGAGCCTTAAACATCTCCTCCTCTGTAAAGAGAATAATCCTCATTTCAGAGGTAATTATTAAAATGGTCGTTTGCACCCAATAGGTGATCAAAGAAGAGCAGCGTTTATTTTTGTTCATCAAAAACACAGAATGAGTTTGTACCAGTCTCTGTGCGAGAAGATAAAACGCTATAGACTTATAATGGCCCATCAGTGTGTGTCTTTTACAAAACAGAATTTAGTGTAGAAAACCTACTATGTCAATAGTGTTGAGCAGAGCTCAAGGCCTTAAGGAGCCCTAGAAAATAAGTTTCAATAAAACATCCTGTATTTAGTCTTAGAATTTAATACTGGGACCTTGAACTCTAAGCACCGTATTTCCAGTGTCCCTTTTATTGTCAAGGTTCCATTGTCCTTTGAAGGATCATCCTTTTGCTGTCTCTGCTCAGTCCTTGCTAATGGAAAATTCTAAACAGTTGGTGGGGAGGGTGCTGATGCTCACTTAGAGAAGATAACTCCCTCCAGATATATGGGGCCAGTTCCCTTGGAAATTCTCTCCCTGGAGGAAGCCCGCATCTCACGGCAAAGGGGATCTTAGGGTCTTCTGGTCAGACACCAGTCTTCCTCAAGGTCTTTTACCAAATAGAGACCCTCTGCTTATGGGAGTTAAATGCTCCGATGTGGACAGCCCTGTTGGAAAGAGAGGTGCTGAGGCCCCTCCCTCTTTAATATTCAAATAATTGGACCCAGGGCTCTGCCTCACCTGGCCTTCCTGGGAATGTGTTTGAGGACGCCAGCCAAGCAGGAGGAGTGTGCGGATGCAGAGCCAGGCAAATGATGGGGTCTCCTGGCCTTTGGGATTCAGTGCCTGCCTTGGGCATCACTGAGGAACACAGGGAGATACAAAGAGGCCCCAGCCAGTGCTGCACCCGGGCTGCCCCTACCAAGTGAATTCTTCCCTTGCTACAGGATAAAATATACAGACAGTAATGATTTTAGGTAGCAAAGGAGTTACTTTCAGTCTTCCTCTTCTCAGTTTAGCGTGTACTCATCCCACATGTCGGGCTGGAATCCACCCACATGCCCTGGCCAGGTAGACCCTCCATCCGCAGGGGTTTGCCAGGGCCCTTCTGGCTCAAGTCCAGTCTGGCTGCATGGCCCAGCCCCAGCACATGCCCCTCCCATGAGCCTTAGACTTCTCTGCTTCCTTACAGTCAGCCATGGTGATGTTTGAGCTGGCTTGGATGCTGTCCAAGGACCTGAATGACATGCTGTGGTACGTAGCCCCTGCGGCAGCTGTGTGGGAGTATTTGTTGCCTTGGTCAGTGCCACATAAGCAGCTCTGTCCTCCCACAGGGAGGGTGTTTCCCTTGTCCCCACCAGGAGTGTCAGATGCAGCCCCTTTCTGGGTATGTGTGTGATTTTGGTCTTTTTCCTAACTGTGAAGCCCTGGGAGCTTCACACAAACATGGGACTTGGAGTGTCGGAGAATGCAGAGGAAGAGAATACAGTACAGCTTCACCTTCCCCACTCCTGCTGCTCAGCCTGTACTCAGTAAAGTCAAGTGACAGGAGGAGTGTGAGATTTGAAGGAGGCAGCCTTTGCAGTGGCTCACATCCTTAATTCTACATCCGTAATCCCAGTACTTTGGGAGGCCGAGACAGGAGCATCACTTGAGTGCAGGAGTTTGAGACTAGCCTGGGCAATGAAGTGAAACCCTGTCTCAAAAAAAAAAATTGTCTGGGCATGGTGGCTCACCCCTGTAATCCCAGCACTTTGGAAGGTCAGGAATTCGAGACCAGCCTGGCCAACATGGTAAAACCCTGTCTCTACCAAAAATAGAAAAAAAAAAATTAGCCAGGCGTGGTGGTGGGTGCCTGTAATCTTAGCTACTCAGGAGGCTGAGGTAGGAGAATCGCTTGAATCCGGAAGGCAGAGGTTGTAGTGAGCCGAGACTGCGCCATTACACTCCAGCCTGGGCGACAAGAATGAAACTCTGTCTCAAAAATTAGCCAGGTGTCATAGTGTGTACCTGTAGTCCAAGCTACTCAGGAGGCTGAGGTAGGAAGATTTCCTGAGCCCAGAAGTTCAGGGCTGCAATGAGCTACAATTGTGCCATCGTACTCCAGCCTGGGTGACTGAGTGAGATGCTGTCTGCAGAAAAGGAGGCAGCTCTTGCTAGGCATCCTTGCAGTCCTGGCACACGGTGGCAAAATTTGATGTAGGAAGAACCATCCCTCCTCTGAGTCCGCTGTGCGGGCTGCACCTGGCATGACCGAGCACAGTGGGGCCCAGTCACTCTTGCTGTGGGCTGGCCGTCATGCTGGGGAAGCCAGGCCTTGCCTGGGTCTCAGGTAAAAGATGAGCCTGAAGATGGGAGCCTTGAAGGCTCACCAGAGGCCTAAACACTGCTACTCTACATCCTGCTACTTTAAGCTGCAGGATGAGTAGATGTGAACACAACTAGGGCCCCCTGTGCTGGGGGCATGTGCCATGAGGGGCTCAGAGAGATGAAGTGATACCAGGGTCACCAACAGCTCAGCACAGGCCTCTGCCATGATACTGTATCAACTCCACTCCGAGTGTTGGGGTCAGGAGTGCAGGACAAGAGCAGAGCATGGCCTAGGAGTGGGTGGGAGTGCTGGCTCCTATTATAGCTGCCATGGCTCTCCTGGGAGGTTTTCCTCCTCTGAGTACCTAAAGCTCCCACAGTGGCAGACACTGCACTGCAAGGCCCCAATTACCCTTCTAACCTCTTCACCTCAAGGAGAGAGGCCACCTGACTGAGGCAAGCCAGGGTCTGGCCCCACTGGCAGGACATTCCCCAGAGTGCTGAGCTTGGGCCCGTTCCATCATCTCACTCCATCCCCCAGGCCTCATTGAGCCCAGGTGGGCTATAGGCCGGCTCCACTGCCTTCTCTTCTTCCAGGTGGGCCATCGTTGGACTAACAGACCAGTGGGTGCAAGACAAGATCACTCAGTAAGGACACACTCCCTTGCCTTGCAGGGTCAGCCCTGTGCTGTGGCCAGGTGCACAGCCTGACCATAGCCACTAAGTTTTTAGCAGGGTCCCTGTAGGGTCCTATTGAGAAGTGAGGACTGGCCCTCCTCCTTGGGCCCAAGCATTTGTCACTGAGGAAGGGCTAACTGAGTACCAGCCGAGTGACCGTGGCCTTGTGTGGCGTCTTCATCTGGCAGGTAGAGCCAGCCTCCCCAGTTCTCTCCCAGTGCCCTGCTTGTGCTGGGTGCTACCAGCAGGGCCAGGCTTAGAGGCAGGTGCTGAGGTGTGGCCCTTGCAGTAGGTGGGGGGATGGGGGAAGACAACACAGGAGCAGGTTGGGGGCGGGATGAGAGCCCCTAGTGAGGACCCTGAGTATCTTGCCAAGCAGTAGGGGTTTGACCCCAAAGGTAAGGGGAAGGCTCCAAAGGTAAGGGGTCTGGTGTGAAGCAGAACCCCTTTTGCCCTCAGTGGTGGGCTCCCCATCTGATAGACTGACGGTGAGCTGCAAGGCTGCCTCAGAATGCAGATGCTGCAGGGCGAAGTGGGGGTTGGCTTCTTCTTTCATCCCTGCTAATGCACGAAGTGGCCCAACCTTCTCTAGTGGCCATCAGGCAGAATCTCTTAGGGATTGGCATGGACCTAGACCCCAACATGCTGGTCCTCTCCTAGGGGACCCATGTAGATGTCCCCAGGCTGTCACCTGGCACAGCCCTAGGCGCAGCCTCCAATTGGGTGCTGGTCTCCTCATGCAGTTTGAATAGGCCCCATGCCACTATTTCCTGCCTCCCCAGCCCTGCCCCTGTCTGGATCCTGCAATAAGGCCCACAAGGCAGGAGAAGCCCAAGTTTCAGGCCTGGAGCTACGGCCTGGACAGGTCACCTTGGCACAGCCCACTGCCCTGTTGGGCCCTGAGTCCCTTCGTGTGTTAAGAGTAGCATGGAATTTGTGCACAGATAATGTAGGGGCTAGAAACACCATGGTGTATGCACTGATAGGCACTGTTCCTGGTCTGTAGCAGTCTCTCAGGTGAGGCCCCCACGGTCACTGTCCTGGTTGGTGGCCCTTTGGAACCTAGAGTGGGGTCTTCCTGCTCTCATTGTGCTCAGTGGCACTTCCTGTACAGGATCTGTACCTGAAACTGTCCCTATAAACTTTACAAAATTAATGAGGGCAGGGGGAGGGGAGAAATGAAAATGAACCCAGCTCGCAGCACATCAGCATCAGTCACTAGGTCGGCGTGCTCTCTGCCTGCTTCCTCGTAGCTGCTTGGTGTCTCATTGCCTCCGAAACATGTAGACCCTGTCACAAGATTGTAGTTCCCCTAACTGCTCCATAGATCACAACTTGAACCTTAGGAAATGCCGTTTTCCCTTTGAGATATTTCTTTGGGTCCCACATACTGATGGAGCTACTGACTGAGCTGCTCCGAAGGACCCCACGAGGAGCTGACTAAACCAAGAGTGCAGTTTGTACACCCTGATGATTACATCCCCCTTGCCCCACCAATCAACTATCCCAATTTTCCAGCCCTCCACAGTCTCCCTAAAAGCCCCAGCCCAAAACTCCTCAAGGAGATGGATTGAAGATCTCCTCCCATCTCCTTACTTGGTGCCCTGCAATCATGAAACTCTTCCTCTGCTGCAAACTCTGCTGTCTCAGTGTAACAGGTCTGTTACTGCACAGTGGACATATGGACCGCCTGGTCCTATAACACATTTTGGAGGCCGGGCGCGATGGCTCACCCCTGTAATCCCAGCACTTTGGGAGGCAGAGGTGAGTGGATCACCTGAGGTCAGGAGTTCGAGACCAGCCTGGCCAATATGGTGAAACACCGTCTCTACTAAGAATAGAAAAATTAGCTGAACATGATGGCACACCTGTACTGTAGTCCCAGCTACTCGGGAGGGTGAGACAGAGGAATCGCTTGAACCCAGGAGGCGGAGGCTGCGGTGAGCTGAGATCGTGCCACTGCACTCCAGTTTGGGCAACAGAACAAGACTCCGTCTCAAAAAAAAACAAACCAAAACAAACAAAAAATTATGGAGAGCCTACCTGAAGCCCCTTATGGGTATTTGCCTGCGGCTAGGTGCCCCTTCACTGTTCGGTGGGCAGGACCTAGAGACAAGCCCAAGTGGCCACTGGGCTCCATTGAAATATGGGCTGTTGCTGGTGCCCTGCCTGTTGACGGAGCAGTGTCAACCTTCGGTGCATAAACTGCTCGCAGCAAAGACAGTTTCTGGTTTTCAAAGGCATTAGAAAAGTTTTCTCCATGCAACTGGCACCCCTTTCTCTTCTGATTTGCTGGCCTCCTTGGAGGTCTTGTGGCCTCCTCAGAATCTTGTGACATATTATAACCCTTTCTTAACTGGAAATGACCCAGACACCCAACAAGCATCTAAAATAATTTTAGGATTTTAAGCTGCATGGAACGTTTGCCTAGAAGCATTCATACAATTTACATTTCATGCATTTTTAAGTTTGCCTAGATTACTTATGAAAACTGAGAGACAAAACTAGTCATCATTTCAAATTATTTTATTGTTAACCTTTTTCTTTTTTTGAAATGGGGTCTTGCTCTGTCTCACAGGCTGGAGTGTGTTGGCATGAACGTAACTCACTGCAGCTTTGACCTCCTGGGATCAAGCAATCCTACCACCTTAGCCTCCCATGTAGCCGGGACTACAGGCATGTGTCGCCATGCCTGGCTAATTTTTTTGATTTTTTTGTAGAGATGGGGTCTTACTTTGTTGCCCAGGCTGCTCTCAAACTCCTAGGCTCAAGCAATCCTCCCTCCTCAGCTTCCCAAAGTGCTGGGATTACAGATGTGAGTTGCCACACCTGGCCTTCTTAATCATTTTTATAGCCTGTGACCATCAGATGTTCACCTAAGAACCTTAAAGTTAAATGCATGTGTATTTTTGCTGACAACTCAGAAGATTCAGCTGTTATCATTAAACCAACAATATTCATCTTATTTGTCAAAAAGTCATACAAAGATCATTCTGGTTTTGGTTAGTTTTACAGTCTTAAAACCTTTTATGCAAAGTCCTGACACCCTAAATATCCAGTAGAGACAAATATAAAATCGTTCAGTCAATAAACTCAGAAAAAAGATGTACGCTGATAGTTTTGAAGACGTTTCTATTTTTATTTTACCAATAATTTTAAAGCCAGCTTATTTACTAAAGATCATTTAAGTCACATGAAGTTGAAAAATATTTGAACTTATTTACTTTGTTTATGAGCACTCATTTATTTATAAGCCAATTTGGTAGCATGTAGGCACAACACATAACACAACATGTACATACATCTAAATTTATTTTAACCCACATACACACACATACAAAGGTACAGCTTTTACTGCAGAACTCTAGCCATGAGACAGCAGTACAAACTCACCAGTTTATAAAAGAGGGCTGGATCCAAATTATTTCTGACAAAATTGGAACCATTCACATAAATAAACTTTGTTTATCCCAGTAGGTAATTCAGTGAAGGCTGTGAACTAAAATTTTGAATAAAGCAGTTTCTATAGCAGTTTGATTTTAAAAACTTACCCTTTCTTTTTTTCTCCAGTTTCAAGTTTTCAATGATTACATTTTAGCTACAACTGGCTGAGCTGTATAAGCAAAACAAAATCTCCAAGTAGCTCTGAATAATACCATAGACAGTGAGTCTTTTCTCAATACCAGTAGCTTAATAATACCAGATTCAAAGCAGACAGAAAAGAGACAGGGGTGATGGCTCATGCCTGTAATCCCAGCACTTTGTCGGGGGTGGGAGGATTGCAGGAATCCAACCTAGGTAACATAGAACCCCTCTCTATAAAAATAAAAAAAAAATCAGCTGGGCATGGTGGTGCATGCCTGTGGTCCCAGCTACTTGGGAGGCTGAAGTGGGAAGATTACTTGAACCCGGGAGGTCAAAGCTTCAGTGAGCTATGATTGTACCACTGTCCTCCAGCCTGGGCAACAGAGTGAGACCCTGTTTTAAAAAAAGAAAGCAGGCAGAAACTTTCTCATAGTTTTTCCACAGGAATTTCTTCTTTTAGTGGGTAGGTTACCCACTGCACTATCCTGATGAAGATGTACGTCTCTTGTCTTCCCAGTTTCACAAGATGCAGCCCAGTGCCCAGCTTGGAGTAACCAAATCAATATTTCTCATTCCAGCTGAGACGATATACACACAACAAAAATGCAGACACTGATCATTCCACTCTGCGCCCAGATTTGACGTGGCGAGGCTCATACTTGCCCCTGTCAGCCCCCAGCACCTTTGATCTACTCAAAGTTGGGAGGAATTACCTCCAACCAGGAGTTCAGCGGGTGGTCTCTGGGCAAGATGAAAAAGTATATGGTCAACCTGAGTTAGGCCTGCTGAGCTGCTGCTAGCAATTCCTTCAGGGATCCCTTTCACAAACATAAACCTACATAACAAGACAAAGACAAACAAAAGGCCTTCCGAAATCAAGTTCCAAATTTCAGAAGTCAAGAGGATTTCTCCCAAGCAGTGCTCTTTGGTCTCCTTCCAATGCAGAGGAAGTCCCCTCAAACGAGGCCCTTCCTATTATTAGGGAGGGTCGACAAGACCTCAGAAGAGGCCTCGAGACTTCAGAGGGAGCCACAAAACCTTTGAAGAGGCCACAGGACCTCCAAAGAGGCCAGCAAATCAGAGGAGAAAAGGGTGCTGGTTGCACGGAGAAAACTTACCTAAGATGCCTTTCAAAACCAGAAACTTGCTTTGCTGCGAGCAGTCTATGCACCAAAGGTTGACATTGCCCTGTCAACAGGCAGGGCACGGGTGGCAGCCCATATAGTTCAATGGAACCCAGTGGCCGCTTGGGCTTTGGGCTTGTCTCTGGGTCCTTCCCACTGAACAGCGAAGGCGCACCAAGCCGCAGGCAAGCAAATGCCCACAAGGGGCTCGAGGCTAGACTCACCATAATGTGTTATAGGACCAGCAGGTTTGTATGCCTGCTGTGCAGTAACAGACTTGTTACACTGAGACAGCAGAGTTTGCAGCAGAGGAAGAGTTTCATGATTGCAGGGCACCGAGTGAGAAGATGGGAGGAGATCCTCAAATCCATCTCCTTGAGGAGTTCTGGGCTGGGCTTTTTTGGTTTTGTTTGTTTGTTTGTTTTTGAGATGGAGTTTTGCTCTTGTTGCCCAGGCTGCAGTGCAATGGCGCTGTCTCGGCTCATCGCAACCTCCGCCTCCCAGATTCAAGTGATTCTCCTGCCTCACCCTCCCAAGTAGCTGGGATTACCAGTATGCAGCAACACGCCCGGCTAATTTTGTATTTGTAATAGAGACGGGGTTTCTTCATGTTGGTCAGGCTGGTCTCAAATTCCTGCCCTCAGGTGATCTGCCCACCTTGGCCTCCCAAAGTGCTGGGATTACAGGCATGAGCCACTGTGCCCGGCCTGGGCTGGGGCTTTTAAGGGGACTGGAGGGTGAGGGGCTGGAAAATTGGGAGAGTTGATTGGTGGGGCAAGGGGGATGTAATCATCAGGGTGTACAAACTGCACTCTTGGTTTAGTCAGCTCCTCGTGGGGTCCTTCGGAGCAGCTCAGTCAGTAGCTCCATCAGTATACAGGACCCAAAGGAATATCTCAAAGGGAAAACAGCATTTCCTAAGGTTCAAGTTGTGATCTACGGAGCAGTTAGGGGAACTACAATCTTGTGACAGGGTCTACATGCTTCTGAGGCAATGAGACACCAAGCAGCTACGAGGAAGCAGTCAGAGAGCACGCCGACCTAGTGACTGATGCTGATGTGCTGCGAGCTGGGTTCATTTTCATTTCTCCCCTCCCCCTGCCCTCATTAATTTTGTAAAGTTTATAGGGAACATTTCACCCACTCTGCTGTGGATCCCTGTCACTTACGGAGTCTGTCATCTTGGCTGTATGGGCTGTGGCCTCTGCGGTGCCCATTCTCAGGAGGTGTGAGACCCATGAGGACCGGAGGTGGACAAGGCTAGAGACCACACCCCCCCGCTCCATCCAATCATGTTTTCCTGGGTGCTTGGTTTCTATGCAGGCTGCATGTCCTTAGTCCCTGCATGGGAACAGCTCCTGTGGTGAGCAGGCCCCTGAGGAAGGCCTTGAGCGGGAATGGAGCCTAGGCTTAGGCTGCCTGGTAAGAGCTGGAGGGAACCAGCCGAGGCTTGTGCTACTTTTTTTTCCAGAATGAAATACGTGACTGATGTTGGTGTCCTGCAGCGCCACGTTTCCCGCCACAACCACCGGAACGAGGATGAGGAGAACACACTCTCCGTGGACTGCACACGGATCTCCTTTGAGTATGAGTATCCTTGTGGCCCAGCCTGAGGGGCACAGGCAGCACCCCTGCTCAGCAGGCCTTGTTTGCTTTGTCACCCTCTGTGGGTTCTGGCCACATCCCCAGGAGGGAAAGCAGGTGGGGCAGGAAGTTTTGGGGGAAGGGGCTGTGGTGTGCTACCCCAGCTCATCTGTGTGGCTTTGGCTTCTAAATGCCAGAGCTGAGTTTGGAAGTATCACCCTTCTCCAGCACATCCCTGTAAAGTGCTTATTGTGGGCCTGGCTCTGGACATGGTAGCAGTGCGGGCAGTGGTTCACGCAGTCAGGAAAGAAGGCAGCTGCCATGTAATCACACAGCGTGACGTGTCTTTTGAGAAGCACATGGGACATTGGTGGAGTGCTCAGAAAAGACCATGGGGAGACCACATCTCACACAGTCTCAGCCACACTCAGTGTGGCAGCTGCTGTACTGAGCACAGGAGGGGCTGGGGGACTGGCTGGGGTCAGGTGTCAGGAGGCCAGAGCAAGCCTTGTGAGCCAAGGGCAGCGGGAGGCTGTGGAGTGACCAGAGTTTGAGTCAGGGTTTTTAAAAGGTCCCTTGGCTGCCCAGTAGAGGTAGGTTGGGGGCAAGGAGATGGTCACTGCTTTCCAAGGCCACACAATAGTGGCTTGGCCCAAACTGCAGCAGTGGCTGTAAGCAGTCAGATAGCATGATGTCAGGGACGGAGCTGCCCTGTCTCTGCACTGTGATGGCTGGGAAGGAGGAAGAGTGAGGGTGGACACGTCAGTAGTCAGGTGGCCATCGGAGCCTGGGGAGCGGGGTGGAGCTGGCTGAACTCCTGGGGAGGGGAGCCGCTGTGCACTGGAGCTGGTCCCATCATGTGCGTGGCAGGGTGGGCTCACTTACCCAGGGACCATGGGAGTGTGTGACTGAGACAGGAGGGAGGGAGTCAGGGAGCTGAGGATGCTGGGGCTTGAGGAAGCTGCTGGAGTGTGGGCAGGGAGCATGGTGGTCTGAAGGCCTGGGAGTTCCCAGGAGTTGGGAGGGGCAGTGGTGGGAACTGAGCATGCCGAGGAAGCAGGCAGGACCAGGCTCTCGTCCTGTAGAGGGGAAATCCACCGTGGGGGACAGTCCACACTCACAACTGCGCTCACGGTGCCAGGGGCAGTGATGGATATGTTTAAGAAAAGGGCTGAGGAGGTCGGGCGCTGTGGCTCACGCCTGTAATCCCAGCACTCTGGGAGGCCAAGGCAAGTGGATCATGAGGTCAGGAGATCGAGACCATCCTGGCTAACACGGTGAAACCTCGTTTCTACGAAAAATACAAAAAATCAGCCAGGCATGGTGGCGGGTGCCTATAGTCCCAGCTATTCGGGAGGCTGAGGCAGGAGAATGGCGTGAATCCAGAAGGTGGAGCTTGCAGCGAGCCGAGATCGTGCCACTGCACTCCAGCCTGGGCGACAGAGCGAGACTCCGTCTCAAAAAAAAAAAACGAAAAAAGGGCTGAGGATGGGGGCGCTTCGTGGATGGGGTCCCAGTGGAGGGCTCTCCGGAGGAATGGGTTGTAGGGAGGGCTGGGCTAGGTGGAGCAGGAGGTGCAGGACGACAAGCTGGTGACGCCCAGCCTCCTACGTCATGTGTGGCCATGACTGCTCCATGTGACCACAGCACCTGGACTTTGCAGACCCCTGTGCTCCAGATTCTCTGCCTGTCAGACGGATGGTGGTCTATGCCTGTCACTTCACAGGCTCTCTGTATGGGTCAGCTTAAGCTAAGAAGGTCAAAGGGCTCCAGGTCACTCTTGGGATACCTGGTTTTGCAGGCAGGCCTGGTGAGAAAGGGCCCCGCCATCAGAGTGGCCCACCTGCTGGAGTTACGAGAGTGCTCAGGGCGGCCAGTGGGTGCTTGCATGCTCCTTGACTGCAGGCCCAGCCTCCGCCTGGTGCTCTACCAGCACTGGTCCCTCCATGACAGCCTGTGCAACACCAGCTATACCGCAGCCAGGTTCAAGCTGTGGTCTGTGCATGGACAGAAGCGGCTCCAGGAGTTCCTTGCAGACATGGGGTGAGTGACTGCCTGGGCCTCTGCAGTGCCAGCCCTGGCCACCCCCAAGGGAAAAGCCCCTCTGCTTTGTTGTGACCAACTTAGTTATAAAATGCAGCCTGTTCTGCCATAAGCTCCTTGCCCTAGATCCCAGAATATCTTCTGAATGCTGGTGCGGGGACATCCTCGCTTGCCCTTGGTTTGGGTTTCTTTCCACCCTGTCGGTGTGTGGTGACCTCACTCATGTGGCTTGGGCTTGCTCTTTCCAGTCTTCCCCTGAAGCAGGTGAAGCAGAAGTTCCAGGCCATGGACATCTCCTTGAAGGAGAATTTGCGGGAAATGATTGAAGAGTCTGCAAATAAATTTGGGTAAACACACATTTTTCTGGATTTATCTTCATTACATCCAGGTTCATTAAAGTGAAGGGTTCTACTTTAACTGTGCTCCTAAAATAATGCAAAAAAAACCAACGTGCTCCTAAAATAATGCAAAAAAAACAACAACCCGAGAATGTACAAATGAGTGTTATCTGAGTCTGGCCATTCCTGAAGTCTTGAGTTCTTTTTGGGTTAAAAATAAGACTTCTTCAAGCTTGTGAGGTTTAGGATCCTAGGATCCTTGGATCCTAGGGCTGCTGTGGGACCTGTGAGGTCGACCCCAGTCTGTTTCACTGGAGACAGCAAATGGGCCACAGGGCCAGGTTCAGGTGAACTCTGCCCGACCAAGTCCATGGGCACTCCTGGAGGCCCCTGGCTTCTCCCACCCCAGCCAGCTGGCATGCTAAGGTGTGAGAGAGGACCCCACACACCCCCTAAGCCAGCCATAAAGCTGTTGACAAGAAGGCACCCGGCCACTCTGGGCTGCAGGGCTGGTATGTCTGGACGTTCTGACCTGCCTCATCCTCTGAGCAGCATGGCTGTGCTGGAAGCATTGACTTGGGCCTGTGAGGGACATTAGCACATCTGTTGGCCTGCCTGGCAGTGAGAGCTTGCCCACAATTTGAGGGTGACAGCTGTGTTTGCTCCCATGACAGGATGAAGGACATGCGCGTGCAGACTTTCAGCATTCATTTTGGGTTCAAGCACAAGTTTCTGGCCAGCGACGTGGTCTTTGCCACCATGTCTTTGATGGAGAGCCCCGAGAAGGATGGCTCAGGGACAGATCACTTCATCCAGGCTCTGGACAGCCTCTCCAGGTAGCAGGAGGGCTGTGGGTTTGCCTCATGGGGCCACCACTGGTTCTCACACTGCCCAGGGAGGTCAGTTACGGGGACCCCAGGGCTGTGGGAGTGACTGTGTCCTGCAGAAACTGCTTGGGTGAACTGGAATCACAGTGCCAGTGTGGTGTGCACCTGACACATTACCTGCCCCTCTTCAGTATTTGTCACTTTCTCTTGAATCTTTTTTGGCTTTTTTTTCTTTTTGATTTTTAAAATTTTCTCTTTTTTTACCTTTTGTATCTCTTAACAAAAGGCATTATTTGTTATGTATATTCGTTCTTGTGTTTAATCTTATAGTTGTCATTTCTCAATTTTTTAATTTTCCAATTCTTTCTTATCTCACTTCCTGAGATGTCCTATATTTTTCCATGTCTTTTCGCTTGTTTTGAAATGGAATGTGACAATTTGGATCTTTTTTTTAGCATGTCTGTCTAGTGTCAGACTAAAGACATCAGAGAAAAATATCTCCAAATACACTGAATTTATTTGGGAATTAGAAAAGAGGATTATAGTGTCTGCGATGCACAGCTATGGCAAGCCAAATATGCATCCAAAGAGAGGAGGCTAAGGGGACACTTTTATTGGCAAAAGGAGAAGTTCACGAAAGCTAGCTTGGAAACAATTCATTGGTTTCAGAGACTCAGAGCCAGAGTTGGCGTCAGTTCAGTGGTGAAGATGCATTACTGGGCAAGTGTTATATTTTAAGAGCATCTTATCTGAATTGTTGCAGTCCTAAAGAAGGGATTTCTTGTGGGGTTATTTAGAAAGTCTTTGAGTCTTTATTCCAGACATGCAAGCAGGAGCTCTCCTTGGTGCTTTCCCAGCTTTAATTTGTTTGGGCCTGTCAAAAAGTGATTTCATCCTGGGATCTGCAACTTTCACATTAGTGTACTTTCATTATCCAGAGAGGTGTTATTCTGTCCCTTATTCTCTTTTTTTCTAATAGTGACTTTGAGGGGATTTGACTTTGCTACTTCTCTCATGCTTTTTATGTATAAATTTCATTTCCCTGACTTTTTAGGAGGAGGAGGCATGATTCAGACAGCTTTTCTGGCTTCACAGAGCTGCCACTTCTGTTGCTTTTGTGCAGTGGTAAAGATGCATATGTATATATGGGGGCCTGCTTTCTGGGATTTCCTGGTTCTGCTCCCAAGCACACTTTTTTTTCCACTGCTTTATTGAGATACAATTTGCATGCCATACAATTCACCCATTTAAAATGTACAATGTGATGGCTTTTATTTATTTTATTGTTATTTTTTTAGAGACAGGGTCTCGCTCTGTTGCCCAGGGTGGAATGCAATGGCATGATCATAGCTCACAGCAGCCTTGACCTCCCAGTCTCAAGCAATCTTCCTACCTCAGCCTCTTGAGTAGCTGGGACAACAGGTGCATGCCACCACGCCTTGCTAATTTTAAAAATTTTTGTAAAGATGTATCACTATGTGGCCCAGACTGGTCTCAAATTCCTAGGCTCAAGCAATCCTTTCACCTCAGCCTCCCAAAGTGCTGGGAGGAACAGGCATGAGCCACTGTGCCCAGCCTGCAATGACTTTTAGTAGGTTGCAGTTAGGTTTTGCAAGGTTGTGCAGCAATCACCACTATCTAATTTTAGAGCATTTTTGTTGCCCCAGAGAGATCCTCCCAGCCTCTGGCAACCACCAGTCTCCCTTTTGTCTTTATGAATTGGCTGTTCTGAGCATTTCATACAAATGGGATCATATAAGATATGGTTCTTTGTGACCGGGTTCTTCACTTAGCATCATATTTGCAAGGCTCATCTATATTGTAGGATGTATCGGGATTATATGTCTTTTCCCTCGTCCGCCACCTGAGACAGAGTCTCACTCTCGCTCAGGCTGTAGTCCAGTGGCACGCTCTCGGCTCACTGCAACCTTCGCCTCCTGGGTTCAAGCAATTCTCCTGCCTCAGCCTACCGAGTAGCTGGGATTACAAACGCATGCCACCAAGCCTGGCTAATTTTTGTAGTTTTAATAGAGACGGGGTTTCACCGTGTTGTTCAGGCTGGTCTTGAACTCCTGACCTCTTGATCCACCTGCCTCGGCCTCCCAAAGTGCTGGGATTACAGGCATCAGCCACCATGCCCGGCCAGTGTCTTTTTATTATAAATAATATTCCATTGGATGGATATATTCTATTTCATTTATCCATTCATAAGTTGATGGGCATGTGGTTTGTTTCCACCTATTGACAATTATGACTAATGCTGCTGTGAACTTGCATGTACAAGTTTTTGTGTAGTCATGTCTTTGTTTCTTTTGGTTATATACCTACATGTGGAAATGCTGGGTGACATGGTAACACTAGGTTTCAAGGAACTGCCAGATTTTTGAGGAACTGCCAGACTTTTCCACAGCAGCTGCACCATTTTACATTCCCACCAGGAGGGAGGGTTTCAATTTCTTCACATCCTCACCGACACTTGTTATTGTCCATCTTTTGGATTACATTCATCCTAGTGAGTATGAAGTGGTATCTCGTTATGGTTTTGATTTGCATTTTACTGATGACTAATAGTGTTGAGCATCTTCTCATGTGCTTATTGGTCATTTGTGTATCTTGTTAGGAGAATTGTCTATTCAAGTCCTTTGTCTTTTTTTTTTTTTTTTTTTGAGACAGGGTGTCACTCTGTTGCTCAAGCTGGAGTGCAGTGGTGCAGTCATGGCTCACTGCAGCCTCAAACTCCTTGGCTCAAGCCATCCTCCCACCTCAGCCTCCTGAATAGGTGGGATTACAGGCATGAGCTACCACACCTGCTAATTTTTAAATTTTTAGTAGAGATGAGATCTTACCATGTTGCTCAGGCTGGTCTCAAACTCCTGGGCTCAAGCAGTCTTCCAGCCTTGGCCTCCCAAAGCACTGGGATTATAGGTATGAACCACCGTGCCCAGCCTAAAACTTTTATATATTCTACATACAAATCCCTTATCAGATAAGTAATTTGCAAGTATTTTCTCCCATTCTGTAGGCTGACTTTTCACTTTGGCAGTGTCCTGTGAAGTATAAGATTTGTTAATTTTGATGACATTTAAGTTACCTACTTTTTCTTTTGTTTCTTGTGCTTTTGGTGTCATATCTAAGAAACCATTGCCTAACCCAAGGTCATGAAGATTTCACATTATTTTTTCTACTAACACTTTAATAGTTTTAGCCCTTACATTAGGAGTATGATTCACTGGAGGTTTTTTTTTTTTTTTTTTTTGAGACAGGGTCTTACTCTGTCACTTAAGCTGGCATGCAGTGGCATGATTTCCACTCACTGCAACCTCTGCCTCCCAGGTAGCTGGGACTACAGGCATGTGCCACTGCACCTGGCTAATTTTTGTATTTTTTGTAGAGACATGTTGGTCAGGCTGGGCCCCTTACTCTTTACTATAGTCTCCTTACACTTCAGCAAGGCCCCTTGCTCTTTACCATGCCCCCTTATACTTTACCAGGCTCCCTTGCTGTTTAACAGGACCCCTTGCTCATTACCAGGACTCCTTGCACTCCAGGGAGGCTCCTTAAACTTTCCCTTGGCCCACTGCACTCACCTGCTCTTGCATAGGGCAAAACTCTCAGTTTGGGCCGCTGCTCTCCAGTTGCCTGGAGTTTTAAGTCTTCTTAGGTCTCACTACCTCTTGGCTTTCTCTCGCACTGATGTAGATAGTATACCTGTCTGGCTGTTCATGGTCTCTTTTTACCTGCTTACACTTTGGGGTTTGAAGTGTTCCCTTGTTCTCTTAATTTGTTGCAAATGTGGGTCCTAGGTTTTTGGTTTTGCAATCTAGTTGCTCTACTTTTATCTAGAAATTTGGGAAAATCCAAAAACTATTTTACCACTGTTGCTGCCATCATCCCAGCATTGATGGGTAGGCTTTAGACATTGTCTACCAACTTCCTGCTATGACAAAGGAGCATTTATCCCACTCTTGTCCACCTTCCCTCCTGTTGGTACAGTTTTGCCACTATTTTTAACTTCTTTGTAACTTTAACATATTTATGTCTTCTTTCATCACTAGTATCTCGTCTCCCTACTTTGTAAGAAAAGGATATTTAAAACACTCTTAGTCCATTTTGTGTTGCTATAAAGGAATACCTGAGGCTGAGTAATTTATAAAGAGAAAAGGTTTATTTGCCTCATAATTCTGATGGCTGGAATGCTCAAGATTGGGCATCTGCATCTGGTGAGGGCCTCAGGCTGCTTCCACTCATGGCAGAAGGGGAGCTGGTGGGTGCAGAGACCATGTGGCAATGGAGGAAGGAAGAGAGAGGAGGAAGGTACTAGGCTCTTTTTAACAACCGTCACGGGAACTAATAGAGTAAGAACTCACTTACACCCCCTAGCCCCAGGGAGAGCATTCATCTATTCATGAGGGGTCTGCACCCATGACCCAACACTTCCCACTAGACCCCACCTCGAAGATCTTGGATCAGATTTCAACATGAGGTTTTGAGGGGACAAATGTCCAAGGTGTAGAAACAGCCTTACTTTGCTCTTCAGTGCTGCTCAGTACTTTCTGAAATTTGTGCTTTTACGTTTTCAAGACTGATAACAATCTTGGGTTAGAGAAAAAGATATAAATTGTCTTATCTTTGGTTACAGGTTGATTTTAAAAGTTGAAAGTAAACAAATAGTTTTACTTTATTGTGCTAATAAACTATTCCAGAGACAATCATGTGTAGTAATAGATTACTATCTGGCACGGCTCTTTGTTTTTCCTGCTGTTTTTAATTGCCTCCTTTATCACATCCATTTTTTTCTCCTCCAAACTCCTTCCAGCTGTTTTTCTGTGAGCCCCTTTTTGCTGGAGAGTCTGGGGTTCTGTCTTCCCACCACAGCCTGGACCTACAGCTCTCTAGACCTGCTTTCCACTGTCCCCATGGATGTCCAAATCTTGGCTGTGCCTCTTAGTTTAGTCCAATGTTTCTTGGGATCTTCATCTTTGTTTCATTTACTCCCTCATTAAATTAGAGCACAGTTCTTAAGTAACATTCAAAGAAAGGGCGCATGTGAGATAAACTTTCTGAGTTCTTATATATCTGACAATATCTTTATTTTACTATTTCTTTACTATTCCCCCCACAGAAAACATCCGTGTTTTTTATTCTTGCTTTTCAGGCTTCCTGGAATGACGATGCTCTGTCTTATTTTTTTGCCTTACATTTTCCATAGCTTTGTCTTGTTATCTATGTTGAGGAAGTTTTTCTTGACTCCAGACTTGGAGTGGATGTTTTATCTTTTGCAACTGTTTTAATTTCCATCAACATTTCCTAGTTTTTAACTCTTCCTTTTTCATAGCATCCTGTTCTTGGTTTAGGAATGTAAGAGTTGCACACATCTCTCTGAAGATACTAATTAGAGTTCAGTTTAACTTTCTTTAGTTCTCCAAATTATCTGTTTCTTCAGGGTTATTTTTTTAGGCCATAGGCATTTCTCAAATGGTCTGATGTCTTTCATATTCAAGAACGGGATTGTGGACCCTTGGCTGGGCCATGGGTATCTGGGCACAGCTCACTGGTCATAAGACATCGTTTCACCTTAGCAGGCAGGAGCCAACTGTGACACTTTGGGACTCCCCACTGTAGGGCCCAGAGGCTTTGCTTGAGGATTCTACTTATTCACAGATGGTACATTTCATATACTCAGAGGGGAGCCTCCCTTTTTGTGGGGAAGAGTAAAAATCTATCTGTTGGGTTTGAGGGGATCCCTTGTCCAACCTCCAGCCCTTGCCCAAGCCTCCCCTGTGTCAGAGTCCTCCTGGGCCTTCAGGATCTTCCCTTTGTTGGCTTTTAGTTTCCTGTCTTCTGATACTTGCACCCGCTCCACCTCTCATTTGCATTACTGTGGGTTTATACATTTTAAAAAATTCTTTCCTTTCATGTGAAAGACAACTCAGGAGGGAAAGAAGATAAATTCTTACCCCCAAACCTCTTCCTGAACCAGGAACCAAGCAAACTATTTGTGACTTTGGTATTTTACCAAGAGTTCCTGACAAGCACCACCAAAGCCATGTGTCTGCCCTGTTACAGGAGTAACCTGGACAAGCTGTACCATGGCCTGGAACTCGCCAAGAAGCAGCTGCGAGCCACCCAGCAGACCATTGCCAGCTGCCTTTGCACCAACCTCGTCATCTCCCAGGGGCCTTTCCTGTACTGCTCTCTCATGGAGGTCAGGCTTCCCACAGAGCACAGGCGCCTGGTCACAGCACCAGTGGCTTCGTCTGACCATCTGTCTCGCCTCCGCAGGGCACTCCAGATGTCATGCTGTTCTCTAGGCCGGCATCCCTAAGCCTGCTCAGCAAACACCTGCTCAAGTCCTTTGTGTGTTCGGTGAGGGGCCAGGCGGGTGCTGTGGGTACAGGAGGGCAGGTGCTTGGAGAGCTCCCTGGATGGGGAGTTAGATGCTGGCCTTGGGGTGCCTGTGGCTGTTGACCAGCTGCAAGGTCTAGGCACATCCATTACTTTTTCTGAGCTGTCTTTTTCTCAGCTGACCCCTAGGAACCTTCCAGTTCTCTCAAGCTCTGATTCATCACTGGCTGTCTAAGTCACTCAGACAAGTAGGGAGGGGCCCTTGCAGAGTGAACAGGGCTGGGGCTTGTGTCCTATTGTTGCAGGTCAGGGAAAGCGGGATGGTTGTAGCACCGACTGGCTTCCCAGCAACAGCTTGTCCACTAAGCTGATTTCCTGTGCCTGGCTTTGTCTTCTGTGTGGCCTAACCCCCTCTTTGCGTTGGCGTGGAACACACTCCTAACTTGGCTGGCTTTAGGGCAGGGGTCCTCACCTAGCCGACATGGGGCTCCTCCCAGATGTGACATGTCAATAATTGAAGTCCTCCTCTGCTTCGAGGATGAGAGTTTATGCCGGGGGCTATTTCAAACAAAATGTGCTAACAGGAAGTTGAACTTTTCTTTTGCCGCTGAACTAACCAGTAAAATGATGACAGATGACATGTGTTCTATCAACCAGGTAATGTCAAAGATAAACTAGGGACAGAGCATGGGCCTTGACGTCCTCTAGGCTGTGTTCAAAGATGAGCCTCCTCATTTGCCAGTTGTGTGACGTGAGGTAGATGATCTGACCTGATCCTCAGTTTCCTCATCCGTGAAATGGGTGAACACATACCCACTTTACAGGATCCATTCATTTACCAGACATGTATTGAACATCCACCACCTGCCCGGCCCTGTTGTGGAGTGACTGCCCATCCTGGTGCACATCCTGGGACACCCCTCAGTCCTAGACACACCAGGAATACTGGTCACCTGGGCTGTAGGGTGTGGGTGCAGCAGGCACAGCAGAGAAGGAAACCCTAAACCTTTATCCTGAAGGAGCGTGCCGGCGGGGGGGACGAGGAGTGGCAGCTGCGGTTAAGATGAGGGGATGTGCTGCCAGGGGATGGAGCAGGATGAGGCGGGGTGGGCTGGGGCCTCCTGGAGAAGGTGGCAGCTGCTGCAGGACCTGAAGGAGGTGAGGGAGAGGATAGCAGGGCAGGCTCCTTGCAACAAACAGCCAAGGGGCAGTGGGGCTAGGCTGGTAGACAAGGAGGCTCGGGGACACAGCATCACAGCCACAGTACCATGCTGTGGGTACGGGAGGGCAGGTGTTTGGAGAGCTCCCTGGACTGGGAGTTAGACACTGGCCTTGGGCATCTAACTTGGGGTGGCTGGGTGGGGACCAAGGCGTCTCCTGGTGACAGCGTCCCTGGAGGCTTTGGGGAGTGGAGTGACTGGGCGCTGTTGGGCTCTGGGCTCTGAGTGTTGAGCTGGGGCCCACCATACCCTGACGGAGGGTGCTCTCCGACTCCATAGACAAAGAACCGGCGCTGCAAACTGCTGCCCCTGGTGATGGCTGCCCCCCTGAGCATGGAGCATGGCACAGTGACCGTGGTGGGCATCCCCCCAGAGACCGACAGCTCGGACAGGAAGAAGTGAGCAGCTTCCACTCGTCCTGGGACTGGAGGGTCGGGGGTGTTGGGGTTATCAGCTTATTAGCCCTGCTGAGTAGAGTGGTATTTGCCTCTAGTGTCTGTCCTGGGGCGGGGGGTGGGAAGGGTCCATTGCAGGCCGCCTGGCCCCCGACATGTCTTGTGTGTCAGCAGCTTTTTTGGGAGGGCGTTTGAGAAGGCAGCGGAAAGCACCAGCTCCCGGATGCTGCACAACCATTTTGACCTCTCAGGTGAGAGTCTCCTGCCACTCTGCCACACTTTCCCACCTGACCCTTTGAGGCTATTGCAGGCCCTGGAACCAAGCAAGTTGGCATGGCTGGAGGAGCCTGGCCAGCAGCCCTCTTGACCTTCCAGATCTGGCCCTGGGACAGGCTACTCCTGGTGGCTCAGGGAGCTCTGGTGAACCTCAGGCCCCTGAGAGGGAAAAAGTGTTTTCCAGGGAATGACTGGCCTGGCTGTGGCCTTACAGCGGCCTTACAGCCAGTGCTAAGGATCACTTTCCCAGCAAGCCTAGGGGACTGGCCACCAGGGCCCGTGTGCCCCGATCTCACCTGTCAGGGTTGGGTTGTTTCTGTTTCATGGGGTGAGGGAACAGCAGGGCCCGTGATGACCCAGGACACCAACCCTTGCTGCGCCAGCCACCTCTCCACAGGCCGGGGTGTGTGTCGTGATAGGTGCTACCTGTGAGATGGCTGGGACACCGGCCCCACCTGTGTGTCAGATGAGCCCAGAATGGATAGGCCTGCCTGCCCACTGCTTCCCCAGCACCAGCACGGAACATGGTTCACATTCGGCTGTGTTGGCGTTCTTATTATTGTTGACAGGTTTTAAAGTAAAACAGACGTATTGATATTTCACCCCGGGTTAGTTTGCTAAAGCTGCCATAACAAAGTGCCACAGACAGGGTGGCTTCAACCACGTGTCTCCTCCCAGTCCTAGAGGCGAGAAGGCCCAGGTCAAGGTGGGGCAGGGCTGGCTTCTCCTCAGGCCTCTCTCCTTGGCTCACACAGATGACCACCTTCTCACTGTGTCCTCACGTGGTCTTTCCTCTGCATACCTCCTTGGTGTCTGTGTCCAAACCGTTTCATCTTCCAAGGACACCAGACAGATTGGATTAGAGCCCACCCTAACAACCACATTTGAACTTAATTACCATAGTCACATTCTAAGGTCCTGGGGGTAAGGGCTTCAACATAGAGATGTGGGGGAGACCGTTCAGCTCATAACACCCTCAGTACTTCCTGCACCTCTGAGAAAGGATATTTTCTTGCCTCATCACCACGGATTCCTCAACAATGATAGACACTGTCATGGGAGATCCAGCCTTTGTTGAAGTGGCGTCAGCCATCTCAGAGCTGCCTTCCTTGAGCCAGACCCAGCCATGGCTGTGGCACTGTGTGGCATTGGTTCACCCCGCACAGCAGCCCCTGCTAACTCTTTTGTGCCTGTGATGTGGGAGAGGTGGATGGACACCCACTGGCCTGCAGAATATCTGGCCTTCAGTATACAGGGAGGACTCGGGCTGGGAACTGCTTGGTTTCCCTGAGGGTGGAGAGCCAGGGGTGAGGGTGCAGAGTGGGCCATGTCTAGTGCCCACCTGCGTGGGCTGGGTCTGGGGCTCTCGGGGCTGTGGCTGGCAGCATAGATGGCTCCCAGGGCCAGGCCAGCCCCATCCTGGGGCCTGGTTTTGCTTTGTGGTGAGGGTCTGGGTGCTCAGCTGAGCCTGAGGGCCCTGTGAGATATGGGCAGTTTGCACCATGTCCCCTTGTGCGGAAGAGAACACTGAAGCCGAGGAATTGGCCAGAGTGCGGCCAAAAGTGACCTGCCCCACCCAAGGACTTCCACAACCCACTCTGGGGACGGGGGTTCATGCCAGCTGGGGTGGGCAGGCCCGTGTTTGTCCAGGTCTGTAGGGCCCTTCCCTGTGTCACCTCTATTGTCTTCCCGGGGGGGAGTTCTCCCTGCAGGCCCCAACCCTGACCTCTCTAGCAGTGCAGACAGCAGTTGTGAAGATGAAGTACAGTGAGACAGACACAACCACTGAGTGCAGAATACCACAGGCCGGGAGGAGCCGCGCACTTTGGAATGCAGTGGAGGGCAGGCAGCGGAGGGGAGTTCTGTGCCCTGTCTTGTGTTCCCACTCCTCCCTTCTCACGGCTGTTTTTCTTTCATTACTTCAGTAATTGAGCTGAAAGCTGAGGATCGGAGCAAGTTTCTGGACGCACTTATTTCCCTCCTGTCCTAGGGTGAGTTACAGGGGTTCTGCAGGGGTGGCTGCAGCAGCCCCCTCAGAGCCCGACCCTGATGCCCTGCTCTGTCCTCCCTCAACGGAGGCTTCTACTTGGGTTTCAGACCGAAGCAGGGTTCTTGAGATTGGAGCCAACACATTTTTCCCAAGCACATCTGTCCTTAGGCTGCCAGCAGGGCCACAATGGGGCATTTTGAGGCAGCTAATTTCATTAAGCCCCTGCGATCCCTTCAGAAAGAGCTGGTATTCACCCTCTGCTGACCACACTTGGGCTGGGCATCGCGTGTGACACATGTCACACACAGACTCCCTGGTGCTGCCCTCGAAGGCCACCTGGAGCCTCCTGTCCCACAGCCTTCGTGTCAGGCGCTGGGCAAGAGCCCGCAGAGCAGCCATCCGGGCTTTTGTGTGCTTGGCTCATGAGAAAGCAAAGCTGTTGGCAGCCGCTTAGCTGGGAATTCCAAAGCGCTGGTTCTGCTGGGGCCTTCACCAGCACACAGCTGTCCTGAGGGCCCCATTGGGATTCACTGGCAGGTCACTGTCCCGGGACACCTCCCACTGCCCCATGTGCTACCTCTTTCTTAAGGGTTCCCAGGAAATAGGCCTGCCTTGTGTCTTTGTAACCATCTCTCAGCCCAGGTTCCCCACAGGGAATGCCACATCCAGCCCTGCATCTCCCAGAGCCCTAGCCTGGAGGCTGCGGCTGTGGCAGATGGGCCCTGCCAAGACTCTGTTGCAGGAGGTCCCTCAGGCCAGGCCTGGGGTCCTCCCCACTCTCCCATCCGTCCGTCCATCCATCCATCTGTCCATCCCTCCAGGGGCAAGCACCTGTTCTCCTGTTGGGGCTGGAGTGGGGGTTTCTGCTGACAACAGCATAGGGGGCCTCAGGGACCCCACAGTTCCTCTCAGGGTGGCCTGGGCTACATGGGGCCCATTTTGGGCGCGGGGCTCTGAGTCAGACCCTCGGGGTTTTTGGCAAGTTCTGTAGGGTCATCAGCAGTGACCTTGGGCCAGCCACCTAATCAGGCTTAGCCTGTTTCCTCATCCAAAAATGGGGCCCACTCTCTCCTTAGACGATGAGTGTGAGCATCACAGGACTGCATAGGGTGGGGCGGAGGCAGAGGTGGGGCTCTCTGGCAGTGGAGTGGGTGCTAGAGGCAAACCCCTCCCCTGCAGCCTGCTTGGTGGTGATGTTATGCTGCTGTGTGTCCTTCCACTGAGGCAGGGGCACAGGTGGCCTGGGCTAGGAGGGCTGAGCAGCAGAGTGCCGAGGGATGGAGGGAGAGCCCCCATGGGAGGGTGCCAGGGGGCTGGCTGAGCAGCTGGGCGGGGTCCGTGAGGTAAGAAGGTGCCCGGGCCAGGGGGCAGGAGCTCTGATGTAGGACAGCTCAGCCCAGTCAAGGGGTGCTATGAGGACAGCAGGGGCCTCCGAGTCTGGGGTGGCCTCACCCCCACAAGCAGTCCTGGCTACTCAGCAGCACTACCCAGAGGGGACGCCTGGGCAGTTTCTTCAATTCGGTGGCACATCAACATCGTTTGAAACTTGTTTTTTCTTGTTTTGTTTTCTAGAATTTGATTCTTCCAGAATGACCTTCTTATTTATGTAACTGGCTTTCATTTAGATTGTAAGTTATGGACATGATTTGAGATGTAGAAGCCATTTTTTATTAAATAAAATGCTTATTTTAGGCTCCGTCCCCATTGTGGCTCTGGTCTCGAGGCCAGTGCTTGAGTGTGCTCTGAGCCTTCTGTGGGTCTTGGGCCCCAGGAGCCCTCAGTGCCTGGCAGGAAATCAGCATGGGGATTGGCCCCAAGGACAAGATCTCCTTACTCTGTCCTCCAGGCCCTCCGGGTGGCAGTGGACAGAGGTCAGGACCCCTCGGCATCCCCGCCTCCTCATAGCACCTGCACCGGCCACTGCCTGGTGGTGCCAGCCAGCACCTGGCTCTGTCCACCTACCACTTCCTCTGGTCCACCTGGCCTCAGCCACATAGCAAGTCCACCCTCTCAGCCATCCCTCCACCTGTGGGTCTCACCATCCAGCACTCTTTTCCAGGTCTTTGAAGGCAGGAGTGATTTGGGTAGGTTTTAAGTCAGTGGGGAAAAGCTCAGAAAGAGTGGCCTGGAAAAGAGCACACAGGTAGGTGGGGCTGGTCTTGGTGCAGCCCTTGGCAAAGGGCAGTGGGCACAAAAGGGTGAGAGCTGGACTGGAGGCTGGGCCCCTCCCCTCACCTCTGGTGGTTTGCACAGCTTCCCGGGACCCTTGAGCTGCCTACCCTGGCCATTTGGGAAAATTCAAAGGCTGTGCAGCTTCCTTTCCATGCCCTTTCTTTCCTTTTTTTGAGACAGAGTCTCGCTCTGTCACCAGACTAGAGTGCAGTTGGTGCGATCTCGGCACACTGCAACCTCTGCCTCCCGAGTTCAAGTGGTTCTCCTGTCTCAGCCTCCCGAGTAGCTGGGATTACAGGCACACACCACCACGCCCAGCTAATTTTTGTATTTTTAGTACAGACGGGTGTCACCACGTTGGCCAGAATGGTCTTGATGTCCTGACCCTGTGATCCGCCCACGTCGGCCTTCCAAAGTGCTGGGATTACAGGCGTGAGCCACCGTGCCCAGCCCCGTGCCTGTCCTTTCTTAGGAAAAGGCTTTCTTAGGAATGCCCTCCCAGGCAGCCTTGGGCCTCAGCTTCTGACCAAACACACCAGACCTGGTACTACCCAGTCCCGGTGGCCAGGTGCAAGAGTGTAAGGACCATTGTTTTTGGCTCTGCCCAGGGCCACAGCTCTGGGATCACACACTCCCAAGCTTGGGGACTATTCTTGGTCCCTGTTGTACAGGCCCAGGTGGGGTACAGGTCAGGCCTGCTGAGGACCTCTGCACCGTGGGGCCCCTCTCCCTGTAACTCATCCCACCGGCTGGTTCCACAGCAGCTCCCAGGAAGCTGCCACACATTCCAGCAGCTGCCCTAAGCCACTCTGAGCCTGCATTCTTGGGGTTCTCCCACTGCTCCATGATGGTAGCCTGGCCAGACCTAGGAGACTCCCTGCCACTGGATGTGGCCCAGACATTTCTGGGCAGGGCCCCCAAGTCCAGTTTGGGGCAGATACCAAGTCTCCCTTCCGGCTGGGCTTAGAGCTCTTCCCTGCAGCATGCCCCCTTCATCAGCTGCTCTCTTCTGCTTCTAGCTTTATGTCAAATGTCAAAAATGTGTTAATTCAAAGTGCCTAGAACAAGGCTAAAAACAGTGAGCTCTCAGTGGCTATGTTAGATGGCTCTAGACACCCCCATTCCGAGGTGCCTGGCAGGGGCCAGCACTGACTCCCAGGCCACACAGCCCCTGGAGGAGGAAGGTTACCCAGAGTGCCCCCAGCAGGGGCTGGCACAGGTGCTGGTTGTGAGCACCATTCTGGGCAGGCTGCCAGGCCAGCAGGGTGGGTACAGGCTCTGTAGGGAGCTGCGCTGGGACTGGCAGAGGAGCCAGGACGAGGGGCTAGAGCCAAGCTGTGGTACTCCAGGCAACCAGCTGCCAGCACCTCCTCCCATGGCAACCCTACTGTTGACCGGCGTGTCCTGCATTCACCCCTGTTCCTGCCCCACCCACCATTGGAAAGGGCCTGGTCGGGGATTCTACAGACCTCTGTGGCCACTTGATGGGGCTTGGGACTAGGCAAGCCCTGAGAGGGCAGTGGAAAACCTCACCCTGTGCTGTGTGGGGCTTGGCCCTTTCTGGGAGAAGCCAGCGGCCTGGCTGCTCACCCCCAGCACTTCCCACACCGCAGGACCCCCACTCACCAGCCTGTGTTGAGGGCGCTTCACCCCGCATCTTCTGCTGGGGTCTGCCGCTGCCCCCGCCCCTGTCCCATCCCGGGCCCCAGGGCCCCATGACGCAGCAGCTCTTCTGACCGCAGATCCCGCCTTTCTGGGCTGTAGTAAGTGGTGGCTGTGTCTCCCACCTGGTGGGAAGGTGGCAGGGAGGATGGGGAAAAGAGCCCCAGCCTCCAGCCCTGGGAGGAGGTCTCCACAGGAGTCCTTGGGAGGGCGGGGCTGGTGGGTGATGAATGGGGCTGCTGGACACGGAAGATGGCTGGACAGAGAACAGGACACAGGTGGGAGAGAGTTCAAACCATTTACTAAGCAGATTCTTAGCCTTCCCACTCCCGCCCTCTCTCAAGCTCCGGTGCCCACAAGCCTTGCCTGGGGAGATGCTGGAGTGAGACCGGGAGGTCCAGGCCAAGTCACTGGTCCCTGGGCTCGGGCCCTGCCGATGGAGTAAAGACCAGCTGTACACATCTTCCGGTGGGGGCCCTGGGCTCTGCATCCGCCCCTCCGAAGTCAGCAGGAGCCTCTGGGAAGTAAGGCAGCAGCCAAGACCCCCAGCGTCTTGGAGGGGAAGCGAAATCCTCAGTCTGACACCCGCTCTGCCTATGGAAACAGCGCCGCGCACAGAAAAGGAAACTTCATTCCGTCTGTTAAGGGCAGGGCCGGGCTAGTGGCAGGAGAAGGTCAGCTGCGGGCGCAGGCAGGAGCGGATCCAGGAGCCGCGTCGGGGCGCAGAGCCGGACGTTCCGAGGAGCCTGCGCGCCGCGCTACCCGGCGGAAGCCGCGGTCCATGCGGGGCTCCCCAGGCTTATCCAACGCCTCGCAGGCGTGGCTGGCAGGAGGGGCCCGGCCGTGCCCAGCGCCCTCAGACGTAGTTCTTCTTGTCGTAGTCGCCGGTGGCCGTGGGCCGCCGCGGCGCTGAGTACTTCACGGGGAAGCTGAGGTCGGGACGGCCGGTGCAGACCCAGGCGCCGCAGCACAAGAGGCAGCCGCCTACCATGAGCAGCGCGGTGGCCGCCCAGCCGATGTACAGCGCTGCGCCCAGCTCGTACTTCTGCGACACGGGCACAGACGGGTCGTAAAACTCGCGGACGACAATGTTGGCGAACCAGCAGAGTGGCACGAGCGCCAGCAGCCCGCAAAACAGGTAGAGCACGCCTCCCGTGAGGGCCACACGCGCCTTGGCCGGGCCCGGGGCCACGCAGGTGGTGCACTGCGCGCCCGCCAGGGTCACGAAGAGCGCAACGAACGCCAGCAGCACGGCGCTCACGGTGAGCGCCCGCGCCGCCTGCACCTCGGTGCTCAGAGCCAGCACCGAGTCGTACACTTTGCACTGCATGTGCCCGGTGCTCTGCACCACGCACGACATCCACAGCCCCTTCCAGGTGGTCTGCGCCGTCACGATGTTGTGGTCCAGGAAGGCGGTCACCTGCCACATGGGCAGCCCGCACGCCAGGATCAGACCCCCCCAGCCCACCAGGCACAGCACCAGGCCCAGGATCTCCAACGCTGCGGACCCCATGGCTAGAGGCGAGACGCGCACCCGAAGGCCCGCAGAACCCCCAAGGCCGTGCTGCGCGGCGCCCTGGGCGGGCCCTGGTGCCTTTGCGCCCGCGCTCCCGGCTCTTGGCCCCAGTCCGTTTGCCCCGCGGGTCTGTCGCACCTCCTGGGTCTGCCAGCTCCTGCCGGGGGGTACCCTCTTTGAAGGTTCGGGGGCGGATTCTGTCCCCCGGGCCCGGCCCCCCGGCCCGAAGCAGCCAATCCGTGCGCGGGTCATCGTGCCGCAGCCAATCACAGAGCCTCTGGCAGCTGAAGTTAGGGAAACAACGGCTCTTGAGGGGTAGCTGAGGGCGCGGGACCGCTCCCCGCCCGGCAGCCGCCCCCAGCCCCACCCGCCGTTGTCCTAGTCGCGGCCGAGCGCATTCTGGGCTGGCCTAGGGCGCGCTTCTTGGGCCGCCTCCCTGCGCGTCCCGGCCCCGTCACTTCAGAAGGCGCTCGACCCCCAGTCTGCACCACCCAGTCCACTCCCACATCCCCGACTGAGCCGGGTGGTCTCTTCCACTCGAGCCAGCTCCACTTCCCTGACCAAGGTTTGCAGAAGCCCCCCACCCCGTCACCGCCGTAGAGGCCCTCGTAGGGGGGCTCTCCAGAAAGCCCGCCCCGGGGTCCAAGCCCCACCCAGGCCCTTTCTCGCACTCTCACTCTCCAGCCCCGCTCTGAGTCCCAGCACTGTCTCTCTCATCCCATGGCAAACAGAGAGGCCAGGCAGGCGTGTGGAGGTCAGGCCCAGGGCCCCAGCCTCACCCCCCATGCCACTCACTGCCTCTCTGGAGCCTGAGTCTCTGGCAAAAAGCGGTGGCACAGGGGCTTTCCCCCTGCCTGGCGACCCCCACTCTCCCAAGCCGCAGGGGCTTCCCAGACCTCTCAATCTTCACAGGGGCTGCTCCTCTTCCTGCGGTACTGCCCGCACCCCATCCTTGGGGGCCCAGTTCAGGTGACACCACTTCAGGAAGTTCCCAGTGACCCAGCACACTGGGTGTAGCACCCAGGGGCAGTGGTGGCCCCAGGCCTAGCAGCCTGCTCTGGCCTTCAGACAGGAGAGACAAAGGGACACGGAGGGGCTGTGCCCTGCCCTCCCACCAGTGGCGATGGTGTCCCTGGCACCCCAGCCCCCAGGCCACCCTCCGGAAGCCAACTTGGAGTTTCCTGGCCAGGAGGAAGAGCCCCCATCCTTGCTGGAGGAGGGAGGCGCGGGATTTCCGGGCATTCTTCTGCACAATGGCCCAGCCATTTCTCGAAAGGTCCACTGGTGTGGACACTCCGGGCCCCCTGAGGCTCAGGTGGGGGCACGCGGCTCCAAAACCCACAGCCCCATGGGGGCACCAGCCCCTTTCTAGTAGTTCTTTCCCCAGTCTCTCTCGGCCCCTTTGTTTCCAGTAAAGTTTGAACTCCAGGCCCTGGACTGAGGCCACTGGGTGCCCAGTTCTTTTATCTGGTCTGTGCTCAGTTCCATTGGACAGGGCCCTCCATAGAAAAAGTATGGCACTGAGGCTGGTCACAGATGTGGGAGGTTTGATGACTTTCTCCCTCCTGGGGCCCGGTTCCCTTCTCCCCCTTCAGATGGCTCTGAGATGGTAAATGAGATAAGGCCAGCGTCTGGCTCACCTAGTGTGGGGAGGTTCTGAAGGCAAGTGTGCCCAGCCCTGAGGCTGGAAGGAAATCATACCCTCTTTGCTCAGCCCCACGTGGCCTCTCCCCACCAGGTATGGCTCTGAGGACCACTGCCTTCTCCCAGCTATCACTTTAGTCACTGCCTTCCTCCTGCTGCAGACCCATGGGCCATGCCCCTTCCTCTACAGACCCTCCTGGACATCTCCTCCTCTGTGTACTCCAGGGGTACAGCTGACCCACCCACCCTCTCACTCTTACTACCCCCTAACCCAAGCCCAGGGAACTTCCCCAGATCCCCCTACTCCCAGCCCTTCCATGCCACCATCTTCCTGGGATGACTGCTGCGGCCTCCTCAGGTCATCAGGGACCTGCCCTTGCCCAGCTAGGCCACCCACCCCACCAGGCCCCTCTCCTGGGCCTCACCCTACCTAAGACCCTCCATGGCTCACATTGCCCATGGACGAAGAGCCGACTCCCAGAGCAGCTGGATTGATGTGTACCTGCATGCGCTAGGACTGGCCAGTCCAGCCACCAGTCTTGGTGCGGCCCTGAGCACACACTCTGCCCCAGGAGACTTACCTGCCTATGGGCCTCACATGGGCCGTCTCTTACCTTGGCCTCTTCTGCCCGCAGCGTGTATCTGTCAGGTTGGGTCCTGCTCATCTTCTAAGATGTGTTGCCGAGGTCATTTCCAGGAACACCTTGCTGCACCGTCCCCCAGCATTGCTTTTAGAAGCTTGAGCTGGACCTGTCCTTTTGCTTGCCGACTTTCCCACCTAGTATCCAGGAATAACCTCCACAGGGTGGCTGTCTTCATGCGTCTGTCCTGCACAGGAGGCTGCCTGTTGCCCTCTAGCCAGCTTGGAGCTGCAGCCAGCCCAAGGCTCTCCCTTCTCACCTGGCTGCCTGTTTTTCTTCTCTCCTAGCTGTCACCCTAGGGTGGCCCCAGCAAGCTCATGTTTCTTTGGCGGCAGCCTCACAGCATCTCAGGGACGTGGCAGAGGAGTCTCAGGCTTCACCTTTCACAATCTGGTTTCTACCCTGACCCCACTATGTTGGTCGAGGCCCCAGGCTGCAGTGGAACAATGCCAATGCAGAGAGGCCCAGAGAGGGCCGCAGGGGCTGACGCCACCCCAGACAAACCCACCTCAGATGGAGGCTGGCCTCTGAGTAGCCCAGGCCAGACTCCGGAGGGGCATGAGGGTGCACCCACCTTTCCTGCCACTCATGGAGGGTCTGCTCACCTACTTCGTGGCAAGCACTGTCTCTAGGCAGAGCACACAGCACAAGAAGCTCCTGCCCAGAAGGAGCTGACAGGAACCTATCAACCAAGAACTGGGCAGGAAAGACAGTGGTGAAGGCCTCTCTGAAGAGGTGACATTTCACAGGGATCCGGGGAAGAAGTTCCAGGCAGAGCAGAAGCAATAGCCAGTGCAAGATCCCAGAGGTGGGAAGGGGCTCGGCGTCCAAGGGGCAGAAGCGGCCTTGTGTCCACAGTGCCACAGTGGTCCAGGGCCTGCAGGTGGAGATCGGAGGTGTCCTGGTTAGGCAGGGACACAAACCCCTGATCTCTGGTAAAGGGCCCTTGGGGCAGAGCACTGGCCAAGGCCACCTGCTCACCCCCAGCCATTGTTCTGCTTTCCCAGGGGAAGAATGGCAGGATCTCATTAATTGTGTGTGAGAAGAGCCTGAGTCTGCAGAAAAGCCAAGTTTATCTTGAGCAGCTGCTGGCTGACCCTGCCCCAGGGTAATCCCGTGACCTTCCAAGGATAAGCTAAATTTAGGCTCAAGATTCCTGGGGATTTGGGTTTGGGAAACTCCTAGTTAACAGATTTGATTTCAGGGGAAGTGAAGAACAGCGTTTCTTCTATCTTTCAGTTTTGAAACAGTTAAGGATGTGTCCTTCTATTTCCGCAAATGTTTGCAGAGCCTCCAAGCACAGTGTGGCCTGGTGCTCTTTCTTGACACAAGCCAGTACTCCTGCAGGCCGAGAGCAGCAGCTGGGGTCCTCCTGCATCCCTGACCACTGCACCAGGTGCCCGAGGCACCCTGTGTGGGGCCCCTGGGCGGCTGTGACGATGTGAGCAGCATCCAGAGTGGACAGTGCCAGACTCGGCGGTTTTGCGGGCATTGTTGTTACTCTTTGTGGTTAAACACAGGCATGGAGTCAGATTCGCTCCCGCAAGCAAGAAACTTTCTGGACTAGTGAGGTGGCCTCTCTGCCTTAGTTCCTCACTGGTAACGAAGCCCCCCAATGGTGGAGGCTGCGAGGCTGCAGGGGAGGCCGATGCCAGTCCCGGTTCTCTTCTGCCTTTCCTGAGTGCCATCCACCCAGGCTCCCAGGGCCTTCACAGCTCATCCAACCTCAGCCGCACCCCTCAGGGTAGTCATCGCTGGCTGTTAGTCAGAATTGGAGGTCACTGTGGCTTTAACTTCCCCAGCGGGTGAGGGAGTGGGGGGCAGGGAGCTCTGGTGTGATCCACGAAGGGTCAAGGGTTCTATAGAATGGCAAGCCAGGCCAAGCGCAGTGGCTCACGCCTGTAATTCCATTCAGGAGGCCGAGGTGGGCGGATCACTTGAGGTCAGGAGTTTGAGACCAGCCTGTCCAACACGGTGAAACCCCGTCTCTACTAAAAATACTAAAATTAGCTGGGCGTGGTGGCACGCACCTGTAATCCGTTACTCGGGTAGCTGAGGTGGGAGAATCCCTTGAACCTGGGAGGCAGAGGTTGCAGTGAGCCGAGATCATGCCATTGCACTCCATCCTGGGCAACACAGCAAGACTCCATCTCAAAAAAAAAAAAAAGTCCACCAAAGTACATCATAAACCAAATTTCGTAAAACTGGTGCTAAAGAGAAAGTCTTAAAAGCATGGAGAGGAAAGGCCGGGCGCAGTGGCTCAGGCCTGTAATCCCAGCACTTTGGGAGGCCGAGGCGGGCGGATCACCTCAGGTCAGGAGTTCGAGACCAGCCTGACCAACATGGAGAAACCCCGTCTCTACTAAAAACACAAAAAATCAGCCGGGGGCTTGGTGGCAGGCGCCTGTAATCCCACCTACTCAGGAGGCTGAGGCAGGAGAATGGCGTGAACCCAGGAGGCGGAGCTTGGAGTGAGCCGAGATTGTGTCACTGCACTCCAACCTGGGCAACAGAGTGAGACTCCGTCTAAAAAACAAAACAAAAAAAAGCATGGAGAGGAAAAAGACACATTGTGTGCAGAGGAATCAAGAAGAAGGAGATTTCTTGTTGGAAACAGTGCAAGCAAGAAGATAGTGTAGCAATATCTTTAAAGTACTGCAAGAAAAAAATCCCTGTAACCTAAAATTCTTTTTCTTTTTTCTTTTTAGACCGGGTTTCACTTTGTCATCGAGGCTGCAGTGCAGCGGCACAAACATGGTTCACTGCAGCCTCAGCCTCCGGGTTCAAGGGATCCTCCCGCTTCAGCCGCCCAAGCACCCAAATAGCTAGGACTACAGGCGTGCGCCACCACACCCGGCTAATTTATTTTATTTTATTTTTGTTTTTTAAATTTTTTGTAGCGATGGGGTTTCACCATGTTGTGCAGGCTGGTCTCAAACTCCTGAGCTCAAGTGATCCATTTGCCAATCCCAGTGCTCGGATTACAGCGTGAGCCACCACGCCCAGCCTTAACCTAAATTCTATACTCACCAAAAATGTATTCCAAAAATGAAGGCAATACCACATCCATGGATGAGCCTGAAAAAAATAAATGAAGGCAGCTGGGTATGGTGGCTCACGCCTGTCATCCCAGCACTTTGGGAGGCTGAGACAGGTGGATCACCTGAGGTCAGGAGTTTGAGACCAACCTGGCCAACATGGTGAAACCCTGTCTCTACTAAAAATACAAAAATTAGCTATGTATGGTAGCAGGTGCCTGTAATTCCAGCTACTTGAGAGGCTGAGGCAGGAGAATCGCTTGAACCCAGGAGACGGAGGTTGCAGTGAGCTGAGATTGCACCACTGCACTCCAGCTGGCATGACAGGGCGAGACTCCATCTCAGAAAACAAAAACAAAAAAAATGTTTTTAAATAAAGACAAAACAGACTTCTGCTTCCTAGAAGACAGATAAACATATGTTTCCCTATTCCTTCCACAAAAAAACCCTAAATGTTATAAATAAAGCAAACATAAGAAGATGCTAAGTGTTACAAAGAAGGCAGACAAGCTAGAGACTTAGAGCCAAGGACGAAATGGTGGTGTTTCTCTGGGTTGCCTTTTTGTTTTTTTTTTTCTTATTTTATTTATTTATTTTAGAAATAGTTCTCATTCTGTCACCCAGGCTGGAGTGCAGGGACACAACCATAGCTCACTGCAACTTTGAACTCCTAGGCTCAAGTGATTCTCCCACCTCAGCCTCCCAAGTAGCTGGGACTACAGGTATGCACCACCACCCACCTAATACTTTTAAAAAATTTTTGTAGAGACGGTCTTGCAATGTTGCTCAGGCTGATCTTATAACTCCTGGTCTCAAGGGATCCTCCTGCCTCAGCCTCCCAAAGCACTGGGATGACAGGCATGAGCCACCATGCCCAGCCTCCTGGGTTATCTTTTTGACTCATGTATCCCAGACTGCATACAGAGGAGCTGGCCACCCAGAAACACCAATGGGTACAGGCAAAAAATAAGTCCTAAGCAAAGCCGGTTCTGTCTAGCCAAAAGATCAGGACAAAGACAGACTAACAAGACAAAAATATTTTAGACAATAACCACTCTACTCAAGCTATACTACTACAGAAAAAAACTGTGGCCCCAACCCTGCCCTCAATAGCAAAGACCAGTGGGGAGCTTAGACTCCTACCCTTGCCAGGCTGTAATGAGATGCTCCAGCCTCCTACTGGGGTGTCAGAGGAGGCCAAGGAAGACTTGGGTGGAAATAGGTCCCCCTCCCTGACCACAGTGTCAGTGGAGACCACATGGGGAGCCTGGACTTCCACTCCTAATGTGGTAATAAGGGCCCCCTCCAGGTCCTCACTATGGTACTGTCAGAGGAACCTAGCAGAGGGTAAGGACATTCTTCATTTTCCAGAGGTGATGAGGCTCTCCCTGCCCACACATGGTGCCAGTGGAGGCCACGTGGGGATCAGCAGCAGGCATTCCTCCCATCCATGCCTGGGGTATCACAAGAGGCCGAGTGGGGAGCAGGAACTCCCAGCCCCACCCAGCAGTCACAAGGATCCCCGTGGCCCCAGGTGTCAATGGAGGTAGGGTGGAGAACCTGGACTTCCACTTCTGCCTGGCAGTAAAGTGTCCCCTGTCATTGCCAGAATGGTGTCAGAGGAAGCTTGCTAAAATACAAGATTTAAATAAGATCCACAGTCTTGTAATAACCAAATTATCCAAGTTTTGATTGAAAATAAGTCATCAGGCTGGGCGGGGTGTCTCACGCCTGTAACCCAGCACTTTGGGAGGCTGAGGCCGGCAGATCATGAGGTCAGGAGATTGAGACCATCCTGGCCAACATGGTGAAATGCCATCTCTACTAAAAATCCAAAAAAATTAGCCAGGCATGGTGGCACACGCCTCTAGTCCCCGCTACTCAGGAAGCTGAGGCAGGAGAATTGCTTGAACCTGGGAGGCAGAGGCTGCAGTAAGCCGAGATCATGCCACTGCACTCCAGCCTGGGCAACAGATCAAGACCCTATCTCAAAAAAAAAAAAAAAAAAAAAAAGAAAAGTCATCATACCAAGTATCAGTAAGATATTAAACTAAATTGGCCAGGTACAATGGCTCATGCCTGTAATCCCAGCACTTTGGGAGGCTGTGGGCAGATCGCTTGAGGTCAGGTGTTCGAGACCAGCCTGGCCAATATGGTGAAACCCTGTCTCTACAAAAAATTAGCCAGGCTTGGTGGTGCACCCCTGTAGTCCCAGCTACTCCAGAGGCTGAGGCATGAGATTAGCTTGAGCCTGGGAGGCGGAGGTTGCCGTGAGCTGAGATCGTGCTACTGCACTCCTCCTGGGCAACAGAGCAAGACCCCGCCTCAAAAAAAAAAAAAAAGAAAGAAAGAAAGAAAATCGACAAAGATGGCAATGTCACAGATGTGAGAATTACTTCATATTTCAAAGCAGAAATGATAAAAATGCTTCAGTGAGCAATTACAGATATGCTTGAAACAAATGAAAATATAGAAAGTCTTACAAAGAAATAAGAACCACATAGAAATTTTAGAACTAGGCCAGCCATGGTGGCTCATGCCTGTAATCCTAGCACTTTGGGAGGCCGAGGTAGATGCATTGCCTGAGCTCAGGAGTTCGAGACCAACCTGGGAAACATGGTGAAACCCTGTCTCTACTAAAATACAAAAAAATTAGCTGGGCGTGGCGGCGTGCACCTGTAATCCCAGCTACTCAGGAGGCTGAGAGAGGAGAATTTCCAGAACCCAGGAGGCAGAGATTGCAGTGAGCTGAGATCGTGCCACTGTACTCCAGCCTGGGTGACACAGCGAGACTCTGTCTCTGAAAAAAAAAAAAAAATTTAGAACTAAAATACAGTAACCAAAATTAAAAAAAAAAAAAAAGGTCATTGGGGCTGGGCGTGGTGGCTCACGCCTGTAATCCCAGTACTTTGGGAGGCCGAGGCGGGCGGATCACGAGGTCAGGATCCTGGCTAACAAGGTGAAACCCCGTCTCTACTAAAAATACAAAAAAATTAGCTGGGGGTGGTGGAGGGCACCTGTAGTCCCAGCTACTCAGGAGGCTGAGGCAGGAGAATGGCGTGAACCTGGGAGGTGGAGCTTGCAGTGAGCCAAGATTGCGCCACTGCACTCCAGCCTGGGCGACAGAGCAAGACTCCGTCTCAAAAAATAATAATAATAAAAAGGTCATTGGATATCAGCTGGACAGCAACATGGAAGGGACATAGGAAACTATTGGTGAATTGGAAGCTAGAACAGTGCAATTTTCCCATCTGGGCCAGCCACAGTGGCTCACACCTGTAATCCTAGCAGTTTGGGAGGCTGAGGCAGGAGGATTGCTTGAGGCCAGGAGTTAAAGACCAACTGGCCAACACAGTGAGACGTGTCTCTATTAAAAACAAAATTTTAACCCAATTATCCCATCTGAACAAGAGAGAGAAAATCACTGAAAAAATAAGAATAAACAAAGGCTCAGAAAATGTGAGATCATAACAAAAGACCTAACATCCATGTCATGAGAGTGCCAAAAGGAGAGGAGAAAGGGGGTGGGGTTAACAAAGCATTCAAAGAAATAATAGCTGGAAATTTCCTGAATTTAGCAAAAAGAAAAAGAGAGAGAAAAAAACCCTACAGATTCAAGAAGTTAAGTGAGGCCGGGTGCGGTGGTTCACACCTTTGGGGGCCAAGATGGGTGGACCGCTTGAGCCCAGGAGTTCAAGACCAACCTGGGCAACACAGTGAGACCCCTGTCGAGAGAGAGAGAGGAGAAAAATTAAATGGAACCTTAAACATGATAAACTCAAAGAAATCCACACTAAAACATCTTTTTTTTTGGAGACAGATTATTGCTGTGTCGCCCAGGTTGGAGTGCAGTGGCACGATCTCGGCTCACTCCAACCTCTGCCTCCTGGGTTCAAGAGATTCTTCTGCCTCAACCTCCCAAGTAGCTGGGACTACAAGCACATGCTGCCATGTCCAGCTCATTTTTTTTGTATTTCAGTAGAGACAGGGTTTCACCGTATTGCCCAGGCTGATCTTGAACTCCTGAGCTCAGGTGATCTGGCCTCCTCAGCCTCCCAAAGTGCTAGGATTACAGGCGGCAGCCACCGCTCCAGGCCCAAAACATCTTAATTGAACTTCTGAAACCTAAAGACAATGCAGCTAGACAGAAAAATGACACCTCACCTATTGGAGAAGAAAATGAATCAAATGACAGAGAATTTCTCTTCAGAAACCAGGGAGACCAGAAGAAAGTAGCACATTTTTTAAGTGCTGAAAGAAAAAAAAAAAAATCTCAATCCAGAATTCTATGTCTAGTGAGCATATTATTCAAGAATGAAGGGGGAAAATTTTTTTTTCAAGTGAAGGAAAATGAAGAGAATTTATTGCCAGCAATATATGCTGAAAGAATGCTAAAGGATGTTCCTTAAACAGAAAGGAAATGGTAAAATAAGAGTCTTGGAACATCAGGAAGGAAGAAAGAACATGATAAGCAAAATACTGGTAAATATTAATACAATAGATTTTCTTCCTCCTCTTGAGTTTCCTAAATTATGTTTGATGGCTGAAGCAAAAATTATTACACTGCCTTAAGTGGTTCTCAATGTATGTAGAGGAAATATCTAAGATATATAATTATATTATAAATGGGGGAGGGTAACAAGACATTAAGGGAGGTAAGGTTTTTTGTTTGTTTGTTTGTTCGTTTTTGAGATGGAGTCTGGCTCTGTCATCCAGGCTGGAGTACAGTGGCAAGATCTCGGCTCACTGCAACCTCTGCCTCCCGGGTTCAAGTGATTCTCCTGCCTCAGCCTCCCAAGTAGCTGGGACTACAGGCGCCCGCCACCAGGCCTGGCTAATTTTTGTATTTTTAGTAGAGACAGGGTTTCACCACATTGGCCAGGCTAGTCTCAAACTCCTGACCTCAGGTTATCCGCCTGCCTCAGTCTCCCAAAGTGCTGGGATTACAGGCATGAGCCACCATGCGCAGCTGGGAGGTAAGGTTTTTTTTTTTGTTTTTTGTTTGTTTGTTTGTTTGTTTGTTTTTGAGATGGAGTCTTGCTCTGTTGCCCAGGCTGGAGTGCAGTGGCGCAATCTCGGCTCTCTGCAAGCTCCACCTCTGGGTTCACGCCATTCTCCTGCCTCAGCCTCCCGAGTAGCTGAGACTACAGGCGGCTGCCACCAAGCCTGGCTAATTTTTTTTGTATTTTTAGTAGAGATGGGGTTTCACCGTGTTAGCCAGGATGGTCTCAATCTCCTGACCTCATGATCCACCCACCTTGGCCTCCCAAAGTGCTGGGATTACAGGCATGAGCCACCATGCCCGGCCACCGGGAGATAAGGTTTTTTACACTTCATTCCAACTGGTAAAATGTTGACACCTGGAGACTTTGATTATATAATATAAATTTTATATATATTTATCCTACAGCAACCACTAAAAAGCTATACAAAGGTATCAAGAAGAAAAAAAAAATAACAAATGCTGGTGAGGTTGCAGAGAAAAGAGAACTCTTATACACTCTTGGTGGGAAAGTGCACCCATCTGGTACCATAAACTAGCCCAACCACAATAGAGAACAGCACGGAGGGTCCTCATAAAAACTGCACATAGAAATACCATACCATCTAGCAACTCCATGACTGGGCATTAATCCAAAGGAAGGAAGTCCGTTTATCAAAGACACATCTGCACCCTTATGTTTACCGCAGCACTGTTCACTAGCCAAGACATGGAATCAACCTAGGTGTTCAACAGCAGAGGAATGGATAAAGAAAAGTTGGTACATATACACAATGAATACTATTCAGCCATTAAAAAAAAAAAAAAGAAATCCTGTCATTCATGGCAACATAAATGGAACTGGAGAACAATATGTTAAGTGAAACGAGCCAGGAACAGAAAGGTTATTTATTTATTTATTTTTCACTTATTTATTTATTTATTGAGACAGAGTCTTGCTCTGTTGCCCGGGCTGGAGTGCAATGGCATGATCTTGGCTCACTGCAACTTCTGCCTCCTGGGTTCAAGCAATTCTCCCACCTCAGCCTCTCAAGAAGCTGGGATTACAGGAGCGTGCCACCATGCCTGGCTAATTTTTGCATTTTGAGTAGTGACGGGGTTTCACCGTGTTAGCCAGGTTGGTCTCAAACTCCTTACCTCATGATCTGCCCGCCTCAGCCTCCCAAAGTGCTGGGATTATAGGCATGAGCCACTGTGCCCGGCTGATGTTTTATTTTTTAGAGATGGGGTCTCACAATGTTGCCCAGGCTGGTCTCAAACTTCTGGGTTCAAGTGATCCTCCTGCCTCACCCTCCCAAAGTGCTGGGATTTCAGGGAGGAGCCACCACACACAGCTAAGACAGAGTTAAACACCACATATTCTTATTCATATGTAGCAGCTTAAAAAAGTTGATCTTGGCTGGGTGCAGTGGCTCATGCCTGTAATCCCAGCACTTTGGGAGGCCGAGGGCGGGTGGATCACGAGGTCAGGAGATCGAGACCATCCTGGCTAACACGGTGAAACTCCATCTCTACTAAAAATACAAAAAATAATAATAATAATAATTAGCCAGGTGTGGTGGCGGGCACCTGTAGTCCCAGCTACTCGGGAGGCTGAGGCAGGAGAATGGTGTGAACCTGGGAGGCGGAGCTTGCAGTGAGCCAAGATTGCGCCACTGCACTCCAGCCTGGGCAACAGAGCGAGACTCCGTCTCAAAAAACAAACCAAAAAAAAGATAAATAAAAAATAAAAATAAGTAATAAAAATAAAAAACAATAAAAATTAAAAATTAAAAAGTATATTTAAAAAGAGGTAGAGCTATATGCACTGACCTGGACATATCTCTAACAGATCTTATTTAGGGAAAAAAATCATTCAAGTTTATCACATTACATATACAATGATACTGTGTAAACTTAAATTCCCACAAAAATGAAACTATGTAATTTTTTTTGTTTTGTTTCATTTTGTTGTTGTTTTTTAGTGAGACAGAGTCTCACTCTGTTACCCAGGCTGGAGTGCAGTGGCATGAACATGGCTCACTGCAGCCTCTACTTCCCGGGTTCAAGCAATCCTCCCACTTCAGCCTCACAAGGAGCTGGGACCACAAGTGTGCACCACCACGCCTGCCTAATTTTTGTATTTTTCTGTAGAGAGGGGGTTTTGCCATGTTGCCTAGGCTGGTCTCAAACTCTTAGGCTCAAGCAATCCTCTGCCTCGGCCTCCTAAAGTGCTGGGATTACAGGTGTGAGCCACCTGGCCAAAACTATGCACTTTTTTTTTTTTTTTTTTTTTTTTTTTTGAGAAAGAGTCTCGTTCTGTCGCCAAGCTGGAGTGCAGTGGCAGGATCTCAATTCACTGCAAGCTCCGCCTCCCGGGTTCAAGCGATTCTACCTCGGCCTCCTGAGTAGCTGGGACTACAGGCGTGTGCCACCACACCCAGCTAACTTTTGTATTTTTAGTAGAGATGGGGTTTCACCATGTTTGCCAGGCTGGTCTCGAACTCCTGACCTTATGATCCACCCACCTGAGCCTCCCAAAGTGCTGGGATTACAGGCGTGAGCCACCGTGCCCAGCCCCAACTATGTACTTTTATGTTTATTTTTATGAATACAAATGGACAGATAAAAGTCTAAGGCATAGATGCCAAATTGATATCTATTATTGCCTATGTGTAGGAGACTCTGGGATTTACTGGGGGAGACATCAGGGATTTTTTACTTTCTTTGTATTCTGTACTTTTTCTATATTTCACGACTTTCTATATTGTTTGAAAGTTTACAACATAAATGTATTTACATCTTACCTACAAAATTATTATTTCTTTAATGAACAGTTGTAGCTTATATATAATTCCTTCAGAATAAATAAATAAAAGAAAGGAAGAACACGGGGGAAAAGCTATACAAAGAGACACACTCAAAAACACTGTAGATAACTCAAAATGTAATTTTTTTTTTTTTTTTTTGAGACGGGGTCTCACTCTGTTGCCGCCCAGGCTGGAGTGCCGTGGCGCAATCTCGGCTCACTGCAACCTCCGCCTCCCAGGTTAATGACATTCTCCTGCCTCAGCCTCCCAAGTAGCTGGGATTACAGGCACCCCCCACCATGCCCGGCTCATTTTTTGTATTTTTAGTAGAGATGGGATTTCACTGTGTTAGCCAAGATGGTCTCGATCTCCTGACCTTGTGATCCGCCCGCCTCGGCCTCCCAAAGTGCTGGAATTAACAAGTGTGAGCTACGGTGGCCGGCCTCAAAATGTAATTTTAAGGAATATTCAAGTAAGCCACAGGAAAGCAGGGAAAAGTAAAGAGAAATGAACAAAAAGAGACACAACAAACAAAAAAATAAAAATAAAATAGCACTCTTGGGCCAGGCGCGGTGGTTCATGCCTATAATCTGAGCACTTTGGGAGGTGGAGGCGGGCAGATTACTTGAGGCCAGGAGTTTGAGACCAGCCTGGCCAACATTGCAAAACCCCATCTCTACTAAACATACAAAAACTAGCCAGTCATGGTGGTGCCCACCTGTAATCCCAGCTACTGGGGTGCCTGAGGCATGAGAATCGCTTGAACCCAGGAGGCCAAGAGGCAGAGGTTGCAGTGAGCTGAGATCACACCACTGCACTTCAGCCTGTGACAGAGCAAGCAAGTAGGCAGGCAGGCAGAGAGAAAGGAAGAAAAGAAGGAGAGACGGAGAGAGGGAGGGTGGAGGGGGGAGGGAAGGAGGAAGGAGGGAAGGAAGGAAGGAAGGAAGGAATAATTACTAGAACAAAGACATTACATAATGATGAAAGGGTCAATTCACCAAGAAGACACAGCAATTCTAAATATATAGGCACCAAACAACAGAGCTTCAAAATATGTGAGGCAAAACTGATAAAACTAAATGGAGATATAGATAAATGAACAATTGTAGTTGAAGCTTCAACATTTCTCTCTCAAAAATTGATAGAAAAAGTAGACAGAAAATCAACAAGAAGACAGAATCTCAAACACCATCAACTAACAGGATTTACTCCACATTTACAGAGCACTACCTAACAGCAGTGGATACACATTCTTTTCTAGTGCCCACAGAACCAACCATATCTTGGGCCGTAAAGAAACCTCAAAATCAATGAAACCAAAAGTTGGTTCTTTGAAAAGTTCAACAAAATTGACAAATCTTCAGCTAGATTGACCTAAAAAGAGGGAGGAAACCCAAATTACCTAAATCCGGAATGAAAGAAGAGATATCACTTGTGGGCTTACACAAATAAGAGTGATTTTATTTATTTATTCTACTTTATTTTATTTTTTTGAGATGGAGTCTCACTCTGTCACCTAGGCTGGAATACAGTGGTGTGATCTCAGCTCACTGCAACCTCCACCTCCTGGGTTCAGGTGACTCTCCTGCCTCAGCCTCCCGAGTAGCTGGGATTACAGGTGCCCACCAACATGCTGGGCTAATTTTTGTATTTTGTATTTTTAGTAGACACGGGGTTTCACCATGTTGGCCAGGCTGATCTCGAACTCCTGACCTCAGGTGATCCGCTGGCCTTGGCCTCCCAAAGGGCTGGGATTACAGATGTGAGCCACAACACCTGACCAAAATAGTGATTTTAGAGGAATACTATGAACAGTTGTATGCCAACAAATTAGTTAACCTAGATGAAATTGACCAATTCTTAGAAACATAGACTACCAAACCTGACTCAAAAAGAAATAGAAAATCTGAATAGATCTATAACAAGCAAATATAATACAAAAAATTAGCCGGGCATGGTGGCAGATGCTTGTAATCCCAGCTACTCGGGAGGTTGAGGCAGGAGAATCACTTGAACCCAGGAGATGGAGGTTCCAGTGAGTCAAGATCGCACCATTGCACTCCAGTCTGGGCAACAAGAGCGAAACTCCATCTCAAAAACAAACAAGCAAACAAACAACAACAACAAAAAACACAAGCAAATATAACAAACAAACGGATTGAGTTAGGAAAAAGAAAAAAAAAAATCCAACAAAGAAAAGTCTAGGACCAGATGGCTTCACTGGTAAATTCTACCAATTTTTTTTTTTTTTCGATGGAGTCTCGCTTTGTTGCCCAGGCTGGAGTGCAGTGGCGCAATCTCAGCTCACTGCAACCTCCACCTTCCGGGTTCACGCCATTCTCCTGCCTCAGCCTCCCAAGTAGCTGGGATTACAGGTGTCTGCAACCATGCCCAGCTAATTTTTGTATCTTTAGTACAGACAGGGTTTCGCCATGTTGGCCAGGCTGGTCTCGAACTCCTGACTTCATGTGATCCACCCGCCTCGGCCTCCCAAAGTGGTGGGATTACAGGCGTCAGCCATGGCGCCCGGCCCTATCAAATGTTTAAAAAACAACTAGCACCAATCCATCTCAAACTCTCTTACGAAAAAGAAAAAAAAGAGAGAGGGAATTCAATCCATTCTATGAAACCAATATTACTTTGACACCAAAAGTAAAGCAAAAAAAAAGAAGAAGAAGAAAGGAAAAAGAGAGAGGAAACTACAGACCAATATTCCACATGAATATAGATGCAAACATTCTTAACATTTTATAAAATAAATTCAGCCGTATATAAAAATAATTATACACCATGATCAAGTGGGATTTATTCCTAGAATACAAGCTTGGTTCAACTTCCAAAGATCAATCAATGTATACCAATGTAAGCTAAAGAAGAAAAATCACATGATTATATTAATTGACACAAAAGAAGCATTTGATGAAATTCAACACCCATTCATGATAAAAGCTGCTGGTAACCAGTAATAGAAACTTCCTCAACTTGATAAACAGTGTCTACAAAAAACCTACAGCTAAAAATTATACTTAATAGTGGAAAGCTGAATACTTTTCTGTGAAAATTAGGGACAAGGCAAAAATTCTGCCTTCACTACTCTTACTCAGTATAGTGCTGGAAGTTCCAGACATCACAGAAAGGGGAGAAAAGGAAAGAGATAGAGATCAGAAAGGAAAAACCAAAGCTGCTTCTATTTGCAGATGACATAAATCAATTCCCATGGAATCTTTTAAAAAGCCTTAGAACCAACAAATGAGTTTAGCAAGATACAAGGATTCAAGATCAACATACAAAAATCAATTGCTATTTCTATGTTCTAGCAATGAGCACATGAAAACCAAAATAAAAAATAATATCATTTGCAATCACTCAAAAAATGAACTAGGTGTAAATCTAACCAAATATGGGTTTGTATGGATAAGGACTTGTATGCTGAAAACTACAAAACCCTGGTGAAAGAAATCAAAGAAGATGTAAATAAATAGAGAGGTATGGCCTGTTAATGGACTGGAAAACTCAACATGGTGAAGATGTGAATAGTTCGATTCCTTTCAAAATTCTAGAAAGATTTCTTGGCCAGGCACGGTGGCCCATGCCTGTAATCCCAGCACTTTGGGAGGCCGAGGAGGGCGGATCATGAGGTCAGGAGTTTGAGACCAGCCTGACCAACATGGTGAAACCCCGACTCTACTAAAAATACAAAAATCAGCTGGGCGTGGTTGTGTGTGCCTGTAGTCCCAGCTACTGGGGAGGCTGAGGCAGGAGAATCACTTGAACCTGGGAGGCAGAGGTTGCAGTGAGCCAAGATCACGCCACTGCACTCCAGCCTGGACAACAAAGCGAGACTCCGTCTCAAAAAAAAAAAAAAAAGAAAAAGAAAGATTTCTTATAGATATAGGCAAGATTATTCTAAAATTTATAAGAAAAAGCAAAAGAATTAAAATAGTTAAAACAATTCCAAAAAAGAAGAATAAAGTGGGAAGAGTCACTCTACCAAATTTCAAGATTTGTATAGACTGTTTGGCATTGGTGAAGGGATAGATACATTTTGTTCAATGAAACAGCCTAGAGAACCCAGAAACAGCCCCATGCAAGTATAGCTGGCTGATTTTTGACAAGCATGTACAAGCAATTCAATGATACAAAGGAATCGAAACCAGGAACTCAAACAGACATTTGTACCTCAGTGTTCATAGCAGCATCATTCACAACACCCCAAAGGTGGAAAAACCCAAATATCCATCAGTGAATAGCAAGATAAACAAATAACCAAACCTAAAAGTGGCATATCCATACAATGGAACTTTATTCAGCCTTAAAAAGAAAGAAGATTCCAGTACATGCCACAACATAGATGAACCTTAAAGACATGATACCAGGTGAAATAAACCAAACGCAAAAGGACAAATACCGTATGATTCCACTGACATGAGGGAGAGGCCTGGAGTAGTCAAATTCATGGAGACAGAAAGTGGAATGGGGATTGCCGGGGTGGGGGCGTGGGACAGAGTGCAAAATAGGGCTTTTCTGTATCTATTGAAATTTTGTTGCTGTTGTTGTTTTATTCTGTTAATGTCGTGATTCACACTATGTAATTTTATATCAACCCTGTATTTTTGCGATAAACCCAACTTAGTCATGATGATTTATGTTGTTTTTTTCTTTTTTGAGACGGAGTCTCACTCTGTCGCCCAGGCTGGAGCCATCTCGGTTCACTGCAACCTTCACCTCTCGGGTTGAAGAGATTCTCCTGCCTCAGCCTCCGAGTATCTGGGATTACAGGCGCGTGCCACCACTCTGCCTGGCTAATTTCTGTATTTTTAATAGAGACGGGGTTTTACCATGTCGGCCAGACTGGTCTTGAACTGCTGACCTCAGGTGATCCACCTGCCTCGGCCTCCCAAAGTGCTGGGATTACAGGCGTGAGCCACCGCGCCCAGCCAATTTCTGTATTTTTAATAGAGACGGGGTTTTACCATGTTGGCCAGGCTGGTCTTGAACTCCTGACCTCAGGTGATCTGCCTGCCTCGGCCTCCCAAAGTGTTGGGATTACAGGCGCGAGCCACCGCGCCTGGTCGATTTATCTTTTTTATACATTATTGGATTCAGTTTGCATCTCTGTTCATGAGTGAAATTTACCAGTAATTTTATTTTTTTGTCCTGTTCTTGTTCAGTTTGTATGTCAAGATTACGTTAGTTTTATAAAACTGAAGTGAAAGTGTTTCTCACTTTTCTATTCTCTGAAATAATTTGTACAAGGTTGGAATTATCTGTTTTTTGAAAGGCAGAATTTGCTTGCAAAGTTATTTTAACATTTTTGGGGGAGGAGGGGAATATTTTAAATTACTGATTACATTTCTGTAATTGTTGTTAAGACAATTGAGGTTTATTTCTTTTTTATTCCATTAAAAGAAACCTGTGTTTTTCCAAGAAATTATCCAGTTCATCTGTTTTCAAACTTGTTGGCATAAAGTTGATATAAGAGCCTCTTATATTTTCATATACTTGCTGACACACCCATGTTAAATCTGTTTTGTCCTGGTGTTTTTTATTTGTGCATCCTCTCTTCTTCTTGTTAATACTTCCAGAAGCTTGGCTTTATATTTGTATTTCCAACAAATCAATGTTTGACTTTGCTGCCTTAAATTTTATTTAATCTGATATTGACCAAATTAACAATTTTTCTCTTGGTTAGTCTTTGCACAGTATATCTTTCTTTCCCTTGACATTCAATTTTTCTTTTTCTTTCTTTTTCTTTTCTTTTCTTTTTCTTTTTCTTTTTTTTTTTTTGAGTCAGGGTCTCTGTCACGGAGGCTGGAGTGCAGTGGTGCAATCATAGCTCACTGCAGCCTCCAACTCCTGGGCTTAAGTGATCCTCCCAACTCAGCCTCCCAAGTAGCCGAGACCACAGGTGAAACACCACCACACCAAACTTCTTTTTCTTTTGCAGAGACAGGGTCTCACCATGTTGCCCAGGCTGGTCTTGAACTCCTGCCTCAAGCAATCTTCTGCCTTGGTCTCCCAAAGTGCTGGGATTACAGGCGTGAGCCATCACACCCAGCCCATTTGGGTTTATTTGTGACATTTTCTGCCCAGCTTTCCCACTCATTCCTCCTTTCTTGCATCTTTTGGGTGTGAGAGAGAGAATGTGTCTTTTTTTTTTTTTTTTTTTTTTTTTTTAGAGACGGAGTCTCGCTGTGTCACCAGGCTGGAGTGCAGTGGCAAAATTTCGGCTCACTGCAACCTCTGCCTCCCGGGTTCAAGCAATTCTCCTGCCTCAGCCTCCTGAGTAGCTGGGACTACAGGCACACGCCACCATGCCCGGTTAATTTTTGTATTTTTAGTAGAGACAGGGTTTCACCATGTTGGCCAAGCTGGTCTTGAACTCCTGACCTCAAGTGATCCACTCGCCTCAGCCTCCCAAAGTGTTGGGGTTACAGGCGTGAGCCACCGCACCCAGCCACGTGTGTGTCTTTTATTCCCTGCTTTCCCTTCTGCCTGTTTGGCACTTATAACTACTGTGCCTATTTCATGGATGCCCTCCAAAGTTAATATCTGAGGTTAATGTTTTTCCCTCCTCCCATTCCAATGGGTATTCTCCCAATACCAGAGCCTTAGCATGTATCACCTGCTACCAGCTCACATGCCATTGTTGCCCAGCGCACGTGCTGGGTGTACTGGTGTGCAGAGTCCAACGGGAGGGCTGGGAGAAGGCCCCCGACCTCCCTGCCCTCTCAGACTGTGGCCGCACCCAGCTTGCCAGACGGAGAGCCCAGGAGCAGGAAGCTGGTGTAAACACAGGGCGGGCACCCACACTGTTCCCAGGAGCCAGTCCTTAGATCCTATCTGGCTCTCACCCTGCCTTTGTCAAGCCCTCAGGACTTGGCACCCAGGTCTGATCTGGGTGGGCGTTTGTCCAAACAAGAAGTGAGCCAGAGCTGGACATCCAGGACCAGACCATACCACACAGAGGGCATGGGGACACTCTCCCAGGGCCTGCAGCCCTTCCCGGGGCTGCTCTTGGCAGCCCAGGCACCCTGGAGGATATGCAGTGCCTCTCTGCCCACCCACACCCCTCTGGGGCTGGCAGGGCCTGGAGTGTGCGTGGGCATGCAGACGCATACACATCTAGCCCTTGGCTCTCCTCATTGGACCCCTTCAGACACTCCTTTCTCTTCACACTTTTACGGAAAAGGCACAAGTGGGGATGTCCTGCCCTGTGACTGGCCTTGGCTGGCCTGGCCCCTGTAGCACACGCTGGTGGAAGGAATGTCCACAGTGCAGAAGGCGCTGCTGCAGACCGTGGGCTCACCCGTTCTCATTCCACCTGCAGGTGGACCAAGCCTGGGGTGGCGGGGACAGGCCCCACAGACTGAAGTGACAGGGGATGGAGAAGGGCTGGGGACAGAGGGGACACAGCCACCTACCTGGCAAGCTAAGAGGTCGGGAAGAGTAGCTGCCACTTACATGGGTTTAGACAAACAAACAGGAGTTCACCAGGGTGAAGGGAAACGGGAGACCTGGCTAAAAGCAGGAAAAAGTACCAGCATGGGAGCGGGGGCAACAGCAGAACCCCAGGGAGGGTCAGATGGGGTGCAGCGCCGGGAGGCCAGCCAGTTCCCTGGAAGAGAGTTTGCAGGACTAAAGCCTAGAGCCTAGATTGCTGCAAAGTTTCCCAGAAGCGGCTGTTGAACAATAGTCACGGCCGGGCACGGTGGCTCACACCTGTAATCCCAGCACTTTGGGAGGCCAAGGCGGGCGGATCACGAGGTCAGGAGATTGAGACCATCCTGGCTAACATGGTGAAACCCTGTCTCTACTAAAAATACAACAAAAATTAGCTGGGCATGGTGGCAGGCGCCTGCAGTCCCAGCTACTTGGGAGGCTGAGGCAGGAGAATGGCATGAACCTGGGAGGTGGAGCTTTTAGTGAGCCGAGATTGCGCCACTGCACTCCAGCCTGGGCGACAGAGCAAAACTCTGTCTCAAAAAAAAAAAAAAAAAAAAAAAAACAACAATAGTCACACGGCCACATCTAGCTGGGAGGAAAGGTGAAATATGTTTTAGCTGGGTGGCCACGACTAGTGAAACATGAGGCCTGTATTTTTGCTGGGGCAGTGAGCATCCTTGGCCACATGCTGGGCTCCAGGGGGACGGCCAGGGGCATTGGCCAGGGAAGGAGCCCAGGAGAGCAAACAGAACCTGCATACTCACTCCCCTCCCTCCCAGTCCCATTTAATCTAACTGTGAAGACAGTGAAAACTAATAAGCCCACAGTAAGAGGGGAAATACTCGAGACTGCCATCAGTTGACCAGAAATTTTGGAAGAGTTTGAAGAATTTTTGGGAGACAGGAAGCAGATAGGATCAGGGCATAGTTAAGGGCACCCAGGCAGAAGCCACGGCCCTGAAGGAGCCCCCGGCAAGGGCAGGGATGGCTGCAGTTGCCAGCTTTAGCCCTGAGAGCAGCTTTGTGAGGCAGGCAGAGCAGTTCCCGGGAGGGCCCACCACAGTGGTCAGAGAGGCAGCAAACTGGCTCCGCCGTGCAGCTTTGGGCGGAAAGGCAGGTCCTGCCAGGAAAGAAACCAAGCAGAGTCAGTTAAAGGAGGTCTCCTGGTGGTCCTAGAGTGTTGTGGGGGAGGTTACGAACAGGTCTTCCACACACCTGGTGGGAGTGTGAGGTGACACAACCACTTGGAGAACAGTTCCCCAGTATCTCACAAAGCAGAACGGGTGCGTAGCCCATGAGCCAGAAAACAAGGACCCGTGTGTGCCAGAGTAGTGATACGAGAATATCCATGGGAGCATTGCCCTTAATCCCTTAATAGTGCTAACTAGAGTGCACACAAGTGTCCATCAACAATAGGCTGGATGAATGCACTGTGGTATATTCACACAGTGGAATACATGCAATGCAGAGCAACACACAGCTTGTATGAATTTTATAAAGGTAACAGCGGGTGAGAGGCACAAGCCCCTGAACTGTCTACTGTATGATTCTGTGGCAGATTGTATTTTCCAAAGATGCCACCAAATGTAGAGACATTCAAAGATATCACCCATTGGACATTCTCTTTTTCATTTTACTTTTGTAAAAATTGCGGGCGGTGGTGATGGTTGTACAACAATGTGAATATACTATTGCTACTGAACTGCATACTGAAAATGGCTAAGATGAGGCCGGGCGCGTTGGCTCATGCCTGTAATCCCAGCACTTTGGGAGGCCAAGGCAGGTGGATCACTTGAGGTCAGAAGTTTGAGACTAGCCTGGACAATTTAGCAAGACCCTATCTCTACCAAAAAACAACAACAAAAAACACATTTTTTTTTCATTAGCCAGGTGTGGTGGCACATGTCTGTAGTCCCAGGTGTTCAGGAGGTTGAGGCAGGAGGATCACTTGAGCCACGAGGTCAAGGCTGCAGCGAGCTGTGATTGTGTCATTGCACTCCTGAGTGAGATCCTGTGTCTAAAAAAAGAATGTGGTAAAATATACATGACATGCACTTTACTTTTTTTTTTAACCGAGTTTTGCTCTGTCTCCCAGGCTGCAGTGCAGTGGCGCAATCTTGGTTCACTACAGCCTCCACCTCCCGGGTTTAAGCAATTCTCCTGCCTCAGCCTCCCTAGTAACTGGCATTACAGGTGCACACCACTACACCCAGCTAATTTTGTATTTTTAGTAGAGACGGGATTTTGCCATGCTGACCAGGCTGGTCTCGAACTCCTGACCTCAAATGATCCACCTGCCTCAGCCTCCCAAAGTGCTGGGATTACAGGCATGAGCCACTGCGCCCGGCCTCATCTTAACCATTTTCAGTATGCAGTTCAGTAGCAATAGGTACATTCACATTGTTGTGCAGCCATCACCACCGCCCATCTCCAGAACTCTTTTCATCTTGTAAAACTGATACTCCATACCCGCCAAACACTACCTCCCCAGTACCCTCCTGTTCCAGTCCCTGGCAACCATATCTACTCTCTGTCTCTATGAATTTGACTACTCTAGGTACTTCATGTAAGTGGAATCATACATGAGGTATTTGCCCTTTTGTGACTGACTTGTTTCACTAAGCATAATGGCCTCAAAGTTCAAAGTTCATATATTTTGTAGCATGTATCAGTACTTCATGAATTTTTTTTTGTTTTGAGACAGAGTCTCACTCTGTTGCCCAGGCTGGAGTGCAGTGGTACAGTCTCAGCTCACTGCAACCCCCACCTCCCAGGTTCAAGCAATTCTTCTGCCTCCGCCTCCCGAGTAGCTGGGACTACAGGTGTGCGCCACCATACCGGGCTTTTTTTTTTTTTTTTTTCGTAGAGATGGGGTTTCTCCATGTTGGCCAGGTCTCAAACTCCCAACCTCGAGTGATCCACCCACCTTGACCTCCCAAAGTGCTGGGATGATACAGGCATGAGACACCACACTCAGCCTTGTTGTTGTTGTTGTTGTTGAGACAGGATCTGGCTCTGTCACCCAGGCTGGAGTGCAGTGGCCTGATCATGGCTCACTGCAGCCTTAACCTCCCAGGTTCAATCAATCCTCCCACCTCAGCCTCCCGAGTAGTTGGGACTACGGGTGCACGCCACCATGCCTTGGTAATTTTTTTGTATTTTTTGTAGAGAAAGTTTTGCCATGTTGCCTGGGCTGGTCTCAAACTACTGGGCTCAAGCATCCACCTGCCTCTGCTTCCCTGAATGCTGGGATTACAGGCGTGAGACACCATGCCTGGCCCTTCATTCCATTTTTTTTTTTTTTTTTTGAGACAGAGTTTTGCTCTTACACCCAGGCTGAAGTGAAGTGGCGCGATCTCTGCTCACTGCAACCTCCGCCCCCCAGGTTCAAGTGATTCTCCTGCCTCAGCCTCCTGAGTAGCTGGGATTACAGGCGCCTGCCACCACGCCCTGCTAATTTTTGTATTTTTAGTAGAGATGGGGTTTCGCCATGTTGGCCAGGCTGGTCTTGAACTTCTGACCTCAGGTGATCCACCCGCCTCAACCTCTCAAAGTACAGGCATGAGCCACCGCGCCTGGCCCCTTCATTCCTTTTTAAGGCTGAGTAAAATTCCCCTATATAGTTATATTACATTTGTTTATCCATTCATCAACCAAAAGTCCACTTGGGGCCAGGGATGGTAGCTTGCGCCTGTAATCTCAACACTTTGAGAGGCCAAGGTGGGAGGACCACTTGAGCCCAGGAATTCAAGACCAGCCTGGGCAACATAGCAAGACCCCTTCTCTACAAAAAAAATTGGCCAGGCATGATGATGCATGCCTGTAGTCCCAGCCACTTGGGAGGCTGAAGTGGGAGGATCGCTTGAGCCTGGGAAGTTGAGGCTGCAGTTAGCAGTGATCGCACCACTGCACGTGAGTCTGGGTGACAGTGAGACTGCCTCAAAAAATGTTTTTAAAAATACAGTCGTATTGGCTGTTCCAAATGATGGTGCCATGAACATGGGTGTACAAGCATGTGCTGCTCTTATGATACAATGCTGATGTGCTCCCCATCAAAAGCTGGGGTCTATATTCCCTCTCCTTGCACCTGGGAAGGTTGTGACAGAAATGATGCTATGTGACTTCCAGGCTAGATCATAAGAGGTGATACAACTTGCTCCTCATCCTCTTTAGTGGCTCACTCTTGGAGCCCAGTCGCCATGTTGTGAGCAACTCAGACCAGACTTAGAGGCCACATGTAGATGTTCCAGCTGGCAGCCAGCATCAACTACCAGATAGAGGGAAAGAGTTTTCCAAGCAACCCCAGCCTCTGTGACTATCTGAGCAAGAACCACCCAGGCGAGCCCAGTCAACCCCAGAGCCATGAGAGATGACAGAAATGACTGTTGCTGTTTCAGGCCACTGAGGTTTGGGGTGTTTGGAGTGCAGCCACTACATGCACCCTACAAAGAAGTCTGCCCTGGGATGGGACCCCCCACATCCCACAGCCACCTCCAAACACAGGACCAGAGACCCCAGGATCAGCAGGCCAAAATGACCATAAAGGAAGCCCAAGCTTGCCACCCTGTCAACGAGGAAGTCCCAGATGGGAGATAGTAATGCGAGAACAAAGGAAAACGTAAGCAACCTTGATGATGTGAAATAATAGTAAAGCTGATGGAAACGGGGAGGTAGAGCAGGAAGATTTCTTCATCTTGCACAGTGGGGTCCGTCATAAAATATCTACAGCAATAGAGGTCTGGGGCAGGTCCAGGCTCCACTAGGTGGCTGTAAGGTGGCTTGTTGGACGGACCCGAGTCACTGGTGTCACTAGTCCCTGAAATCACAGCATCTCCACTGCTCTGACAATGACAGGTTTAGAGGTTAGGCCCCAGCCTGCTGGGTATGCATTTCCTTTAGTGCTGGAGATGGACTCAGAATGCGTATGTGACCCTATGTGGGCCAGCAATTGGCCAGTGCAAGATTGCTGGGGATTCTGGGACCGGGGTCCTTATTTTCAAGATACAGCCATGTGAAAAAATGGCTCCTACCAACACACGAAGAGGGAAACTCCGCACTCCTATTGCTTGGCAGCCATCCTTCCATCACTAAGGGAACCAGCCTTAGGATAAAGCTGAGGGGTGGAGCAATGGAAGGTACTCAGGTTTCTATCACAGTTTTTGTTTGTTTGTTTTTTGAGACAGAGTTTTGCTCTTGTAGCCCAGGCTGGAGTGCAATGGTACGATCTCAGCTCACTGCAACCTCTGCATCTTGGGTTCGAGCGATTCTCCTGCCTCAGTCTCCCAAGTAGCTGGGATTACAAGCGCCCACCACCACGCCCAGCTAATTTTTTTGTATTTTTAGTAGAGATGGGGTTTCACCATGTTGGCCAGGCTGGTCTCAAACTCCTGACCTCAGGTGATCTGCCCGCCTCAGGCTCCCAAAGTTCTGTGATTACAGGTGTGAGCTACTGCGCCTGGCCCCAGCTAATTTTTATATTTTTAGTAGAGATGGGGTTTCACCATGTTGGCCAGGCTGGTCTTGAACTCCTGACCTCAGGTGATCTGCCTACCTCAGCCTTCCAAAGTGCTGGAATTACAGGCATGAGCCACTGCGTCCAGCCTCTATGATGGTTCTGTAAAGCCTGTAAGCTGAACAGCCCTGGAGCCTGCCTTACCTCTGAACATCCACTGGCATGAGCCAATAAATTGCTATATTAAGACCGTTCTAGTTGGATTTTTTTCCTTTTTTTTTTTTTTAGACAGGGTGTCACTCTGTCACCCAGGCTGCAGTGCAGTGGTGTAATCATAGCTCACTGCAGTCTCAAACTCCTGGGCTCAAGCGATCCTCCTCCTTCAGCCTCCTGAGTAGTTTGGACTACAAGAACGTGCCACCACACCTGGTGAATTTTTAAATTTTTCTTTTGTAGAGACGAGGTCGTGCTATGGTCACCCCGGCTAGTTTAGAACTCCTGGTCTCAAGTGATCCTCCCACATCGGCCTCCCAAAGTGCTGGGATTATAGGCATGAGCCACCATGCCCAGCTGTTTCTTTCCTTTTTAAAACATTTTTTATTGAGATACAATTCACATAACATAAAATTAATCACTTTAAAGTTTATACTTCAGTGGCTTTAGTATATTCACTATGCTGTACATGCATCGCCACGGTGTAATTCCAGAACATTTCCATTTCCCCAAGAGAAACCACAAATCTGTTGGCAGTTATTCTCCACTTCTCCCCACCCCATGCCCTAGGTATCCACCAATCTACTTTCTGTCTTCGTGGATTTGCCTGTTCTGGACATTTCATAGAACTGGAATCACACAGCATGTGGGCTTTTGTGTCTGGCATCTTTCTCTCCGTAGATTTTCCTATTCTGGACATTTCATAGAACCGGAATCACACAGCATGTGGGCTTTTGTGTCTGGCGTCTTTCTCTCCATGGATTTGCCTGTTCTGGACATTTCATAGAACCGGAATCACACAGCATGTGGGCTTTTGTGTCTGGCATCTTTCTCTCCGTAGATTTGCCTATTCTGGACATTTCATAAAACTGGAATCACACAGTATGTGGGCTTTTGTGTCGGGCGTCTTTCTCTTAGCACAGTGTTTCCAGGTTCATCCGCGCTGTAGCCTCATTCAACACCTCATTATCTGTGACGCTAAATAATATTCCTTTATTCTGTTTATCCATTTACCTGTTGGTGGTCATTTGTGTTGTTTCCATTTTTGGGCTATTGTGAATAGTGCTGTTATGAACTTTTTTTTTTTTTTTTTTTGAGACAGAGTCTCGCTCTGTTGCCCAGGCTGGAGTGCAACGGCATGATCTTGGCTCACTGCAACCTCTGCCTCCCGGGTTCACGCCATTCTTCTGCATCAGCCTCCTGAGTAGCTGAGATTATAGGCGCCCACCACCATGTCCAGCTAATTTTTTTGTCTTTTTAGTTGAGATGGGGTTTCACCATGTTGGCCAAGCTGGTCTCAAACTCCTGACCTCAAGTGATCTGCCCACCTTGGCCTCCCAAAATGCTGGGATTACAGGCGTGAGCCACCGCACCTGGTCGATTACTATAGTTTTGTAGTAAGTTTTGAAATGGAGAAGTGAGTCTTCTAACATTGTTCTTGTCCAAGACTGCTTTGGTTCTTTCTGTGTCCCTTGCAGTTCCATATGAATTTTAGAATCAGCTTGTCCATTTCTGGAAAAAAAAAAAAAGCTGTTGAAACTTTGATAGGTATTGCATTAAATCTGAAGATCTTAATGTTAAGTTTTCTAGTCCACGAATATAGAATATCTTTCCATTTTCTTTCAACAATGTCTTGTAGATTTTTTATAGCAGCCTTGCACTTTTTAAATTAAATTTATTTCTAAGTATTTCAAGACTATTCTTTTGATGCTGTATTTTCTTAATTTGATTTTCAAATTGTTCATTGCCAGTAGATAGAAATGCAACTGGTTTTGTATATTAATCTTGTATCCTGCAACTTTACTAAACTCACTTATTAGCTCTACCAGTTTTTGTGCAGATTCTTTAGGGTTTTGTTTGGTTTTGTTTTGACAGGGTCTCACTCTGCCACCCAGGCTGGAGTGCAGTGGCATGATCATGGCTCACTGTGGCCTTAATCTTCCAGGCTCAGGTGATCCTCCCACCTCAGTCTCCTGAGTAGCTAGAACTACAGGTGTGTGCCACCATGCCCAGCTAATTTTTTGTAGAGATGGGGTTTTGCCAGGTTGCCTGGGCTGGTCTTGAACTCCTGGGCTCAAGCAATCCACCCACCTCAACCTCCCAAAGTGCTGGTATTAAAGGCATAAGCCACCATGCCCAGTTTCTTTAGGGTATTCTTTATACAAGATCATGTCATCTGCAAATGGAGTTTTACTTCTTTCTCTCCAATCTAGATGGCTTTTTGTTATTTTTTCTTGTCTAGTTGCCCAGCCTAGAATTTCTAGTACAATGTTAAGTAAGTGGCAAGAGTGGCCATCTTTGTCTTGTTCCTAATCTCAGGGGTAAGGCTTTCAGTTTTTTACCATTAAGTATGATATTAGCTGTGGGCTTTTCACAGATTCCCTTTATCAGACTGTGCGAGTTCCCTCCTATTCCTAGTTTAGTGCATGATTTTTATCACTAAAGGGTATCCTGACTTTGTTAAATTTTTTTTTTTTTTTTTTTTTTTTGAGATGGAGTTTCACTCTTGTTGCCCAGGCTGGAGTGTGTGATCTCGGCTCACTGCAACCTCTGCCTCCCCATTTCAAGTGATTCTCCTGCCTCAGCCTCTTGAGTAGCTGGGATTACAGGCACCCGCCACCACGCCCCACTAATTTTTTGTATTTTTAGTAGAGATGGGGTTTCACCATGTTGGTCACGCTGGTCTCAAACTTGTGACCTCGGGTGATCCACCCGCCTTGGCCTCTCAAAGTGCTGGGATTACAGGCATGAACGAACCACCACACCCTGCCTGTTAAAGGTTTTTGTCAAATTCTTTTGTGCCTATTTAGATGACCTTGTGGTTCTGTCCCTTTATTCTATTAATATGATGTATTACATTGATTAGGTTCTGTGTTTTAAACCAACCTTGCATTCCTGGGATAGATCCTACTTGGTCATGGTGTACAATCCTTTAACATGTTGCTGAATTTGGTTTGTTAGTTGTTTGTTAAGGATTTTTGAATCCAAATTTATAAGGGATATTGGTCTGTATTTTTTATTGTGATGTCTTTGTCGGGCTTCACAGCATAAGTCAGTAAGTGTTCCCTCCTCTTCTGTTTTTTGGACACATCTGAGAAGTACTGGTGTTAACCCCTCTTTAAACATTTGGTGGAATTTGCCAGTAAAGCCGTCTGATCCTAGGCTTTTCTTGCTAGAACTTTCTTTCTTTTTTTTTTTAACTAGTAACTCCAAATTCATCAAATTTGGGAAGATTTCAGCCTTTATTTCTTACTAAGAATGAGGCATTTCTCTTGAATGTTTTCCTCATGTTGCTACAAACCTTTTTTTGTTTGCTTGCCCTTTTTTTTTTTTTTTTTTTTTTGAGATAGAGTCTTGCCCTGTTGCCCAGGCTGGAGTGCAGAGGCATGATCTCAGCTCATTGCAACCTCTGCCTCCTGGTTCAAGCGATTCTCCTACCTCAGCTTCCCAAGTAGCTGGGGTTACAGGCATGCACCACCATGCCTGTTTTCTGTTTGTTTGTTTTCTTTGTTTTGTTTTGTTTTTTGTATTTTTAGTAGATACTGGATTTCACTATAAGGCTGGTCTCGAACTCCTGATCTCAAGTAATCCACCCGACTCGGCCTCCCAAAGTGCTGGGATAACAGGCATGAGCCACCATGCCTGGCCTGCTGCAAGCCTTTTAATGTCCAGAGCTATTTTTAAAAAGTTGATTTTTGAGTTTTTTCCCTTTTTTCATTGTTTTTTGTGGAGGGGTGAAATTTGTATTTCTTCATCCTCCATCTTCACTGATGTCCTTCCTTAGCTGGGTTTCTGATAGGGCAGACAAAAATGCCCCAACTCCTAAGACACTTATTTAGTTATAAGGATGATGGTTTTCAAACTTTAGTGAACACAATTAACTAGGGGAGACTATTATAAATACACATTCCTAGGTCCCACCACAAATTCCAATGAGTTTGTCTGCGGCCTGGGAACCTGCATTTTGAAAGCACTGGATTACAAGATCTAAAAGTAATGAACAAATTGAGAGGTTGAGAGGAGGAGAGGTTGTCTAAATATGTTAACTTCACATTGATTTCATACAATAGAGCCAAAAGAAACTACACAGTTGAGAAATCAAGATGTGGGTTGTATGCTTTAGAATTACGAAGGCAACCACTGTAAGAATTAGAAACAAAAATAGTTAAGACAGGCCACCTTCAGGGAATGGAGTTGGAGTAAGACAGGGCAATTTTAAATTTTCTTTATAGTTTGAGCTTTCTTTCTCAAATACAGCTGTTATCTTTATAATAAAACAAACACAAAAATGACAAGAAAATCAGTAAAAGGGGACTATTGGCCAACAATTCTGTCTTCCCTTCCCAGTGCCTCTGCCAGTGTACTCATCCATCCACCAGCAGCTATGGCCCAGGGGCGTGCAGCCTGGCTCCTCAGAATGGCACATGGAGCTGGGCTCCTCCCAGGAGCCACATTCCTTCCCACCTCCCCCCAGAGGCAGGCATGGGCAACTGAATGCAAACAAGATGAAGAGGAAGGACACTGTAAACTAAACAATTGTTAGCTTCCAGACGCAGCCACAACCTGGAGTCACAGAGCCCTCCTGGACTCAGGGCCAAAAGAGACCTACACAAGGTCACATAGTGACCCAGTCCTTCCCAGAACCAGTAGTCTTTGGAGCTTAAAAACATAAGCATAGGCCGGGCAGGATGACTCATGCCTGTAATCCCAGCACTTTGGGAGGCCAAGGCAGGCAGATTGCTTGAGCTCAAGAGTTCGAGACCAGCCTGGGGAACACGGTGACACCCCGTCTCTACTGAAGTACAAAAGAAATTAGCCAGCGTGGCGGCGTGTGCCTGTAGTCCCAGCTACTGGGGAGGCTGAGGCAGGAGAATTGCTTGAGCCAGGGAGGCGGAGGTTGCAGTGAGCCGAGATCGTGCCACTGCACTCCAGCCTGGGTGACAGAGTGAGACTCTGTCTTTAAAAAATAAAATAAAATAAATAAGCATAAATCTAAAACACTTTGCTTGGAAGCTGGCCTCAGGCTTAGCTTATACCATGAATTCATCTGCCAACTGTTTCAGAGGTCTGGGCAGAAGGGCTGCCCAGCAGGAACCAGAGGTCTGGAACAACCAAGTGGGGATGGCTGATTCTGAGGGAGGGATGGGCATGTGACAGTGTGCCCTCTGAACTGTGGGGGAATGTGGCTCCCCCGACCCCTGGGCTCTGGGGGGCTGTTTTCTGGGTGAAGGTGATCCAGACTGTTCAGGCCAAAGCCCCAGTGCCAGAGACTCATTGTCCCTCCCACGGTGGAGATGTTCCTCTCTCAAGGTGTCCTGCATTAGCATGGGACGTTCTCCTCCACTCCACCGTGCCTGGAATCCATGTGGGCAAGGATGAGGAGGGAAGCAGCTGTTAGTGGGAAGTGAGGCTGTGGGACTCCAGCGTTCTGGACAGTCCCAGCCCGAGGTGACACTACTCTGATGTGCTGAGTGGCTGACTTGGTAGGGAGTTAGTGTTTGGAGGTTTTCTCACAATTCCATGAGAATCCAGGGCAGGCCATGATAGTGGGGAAGGCTTTCACATGACGCAGCACTGGAGCTGGACCTGCTGGCTGGGCAAGCTTCAGACACAGGAGGGTGGTGGCATATCCTTTGCTGTAACAGGCAGAAAATATAATGATGTGACATGCCCCACCTGGGCCCATCTTGCCTCTGGCCCTGCAGGCCTTCTGAAACCAGCTCTAGGAGGCCCAGGGAACCCCACAGGCAACACCAGATTTGACCCCACCAAGGAGGCCATGACAGGTCCCAGTCCACAAGATGAACACTATGCTCTTTAAAAAGAACTCCTGTCTTAGTTGGTGTTAGTTCCCAGCCAGTGAAGTCACAATGATGGTAGCAACAGGTACCATCACCTGGCACCTGCTGAGTGCCAGGCATGGTTCCCAGGGATGCACACACACAACGCTACCCCGCAGCCCCAGCCATCCATGTACCCCTGTGGAAAGGAAGGCACAGAGACACATCACGGGACTTGAGAGTGGCAGAGTCAGGATCTAGGCGGGCAGTCAGCTCCAGTGGGGGTTCACAGCCCCTCGCTACTCTGCCGTTACCTTCATCCATGACAATGTGACCAGTCATCTCTGCAGCTGCAGGGGCCAGTAAAGTGCGAGACTCCTAATTCCAGTGCATATTTGCTGAATGAGAGAATGAAAATGTGTACCCACATACCTCAGGTACCTACAACAGACTGTCATTATAACTGCAAGAGACAGAGTGAAATTAATAGACACCGACATGTCCTCAGCAATTCCAACAAAACAAATAGTGACAAGTACCCAAGTTAGTATGACCTACTAGTCTCCAAATCATAGTAACTGGTGGTCAAAATGAAGAGGCAGGACATTCCACAACAGTGTGGACGCACCAAAGGAATGGGCAAAAACACACACCTCCTTCTTCTCAAAAGTATGTGTACTGGTTTTCTATGGCTGACATACAAATTATCATAAATTTAGCAACTTAATACATCCTAGCACTTTGGGAGGCCAAGGTGGGAGGATCACTTGAGCCCAGCAATTCGAGGCTGCAGTGAGCTATGGTCAAGCCACTACACTCTAGTCTGGGCGACAGAGTGAGATGTTGTCTCTAACAACAACAACAAAGCCCAGTTCGGGTGGTAAAGGTGGCATTTCATAGCGATGGGATGGTGCAGGGTGATCCTGGCAGGGCAGGTGATGAGAGTGTGGAGGCAGAGCCTGGGAAACCTCCATGTCAATATGATCACAGAAACAAGGAGCGCTCCATCGCAACTGGGGCAAAGTAGAAAACGCACTGAGGGACTGACCTGATGAAGGTGGAGGGTGCGAAATGCAATCCAAAGTAAAGAAGAGATGAGGGTGCAGAAAATTATGGGCAAGAAACAATGCTCTCAGGTTCTAGATTTGTGGTCTTAATTGAATCACAATTTGGAGAGGCTTATTTTGTTTTTATTTTTTTGAGATAGTCTCGCTCTGTCGCCTTGGCTAGAGTGCAATGGTGCCATCTAAGCTCACTGCTACCTCTGCCTCCCTGGTTCAAGCAATTCTCCTGCCTCAGCCCCCTGAGTAGCTGGGATTACAGGCATGCATCACCACGCCCAGCTAATTTTTGTATTTTTAATAGAGATGGGGTTTTACTATGTTGGCCAGGCTGGTCTTGAACTCCTGACCTCAGATGATCCACCCGCCTTGGCCTCCCAAAGTGCTAGGATTACAGGCATGAACCACTGTGCCTGGCCGGAGAGTCTTAATTTATAAACTTTAAAACTTCAGAACACTAAAAAAAAAAATTAATTAAAAAAAAAAATATATATATCCATTTGGGCCACATGTGGTGGCTCATGCCTGTAATTCCAGCACTTTGGGAGGCCAAGGCAGGAGGGTTGCTTGAGCCCAGGAGTTCGAGACCAGCGGGGGCAACATAGCAAGACCCCATCTCCACCAAAAAAAAATACAAAAATTAGCTGGGCGTGGTGGTGTGCACCTGTGGTCCCAGCTACTCTGGGGGCTGAGGTGGGAAGATCATTTGAGCCTGGGAGGCAGATGTTGCAGTGAGCTGTGATCGCTCAACCTGTCCCCCCCACAACAAAAATTTTGAGAATCTGTCTCAAAAAAAAAAAAAATTTGTTTTGTTGAACCATGGTCTAGAGAATTATTAATAGTAAAGAAAATAGAAGTAAAAACTTATTTTTAATAATTGCTCATTTTTGTTTTCTAAATATAACTCTTTTATTTATTTTATACTATTCATTTATTTATTTTTGAGACAGGGTCTCACTCTGTCACCCAGGCTGGAATGCAGTGGTGGGATCACAGCTCATTGCACCCTTGACCTCCTGGGCTCAATCGATCCTTCTGCCTCAGCCTCCTGAGTGGCTGGGACTACAGGCATATGCCATCACACCCGGCTAATTTTTTTGTTTTGTTTTTTGAGACAGAGTTTTGCTCTTTTTGCCCAGGCTGGAGTGCCATGGCATGATTTCGGCTCACTGCAACCTCCGCCTCCCGGGTTCAAGCCATTCTACTGCCTCAGCCTCCAGAGTAGCTGGGATTACAGGCATGTGCCACCACACCCAGCTAATTTTGTATTTTTAGTAGAGATGGGGTTTCTCCATGTTGGTCAGGCTAGTCTTGAACTCCCAACCTCAGGTGATCCGCCCGCCTCGGCCTCCCAAAGTGCTGGGATTACAGGCGTGAGCCACCACGCCTGGCCAACACCCAGCTAATTAAAAAAGAAAATTTGGGGGATGGGCACGGTGGCTCACGCCTGTAATCCCAGCACTTTGGGAGGCCGAGGCGGGTGGATTACTTGAGGTCAGGAGTTCAGGACCAGCCTGACCAATATGGTGAAACCCCGCTTCTACTAAAAATACAAAAATTCGCTAGGCATGGGGGCACGCACCTGTAGTCCTAGCTACTTGGGAGGCTGAGACAGGAGAACTGCTTGAACTGGGGAGGTGGAGGTTGCAGTGAGCTGAGATCGTGCCACTGCACTCCAGCCTGGGCAACAGGGCGAGCGAGACTGTCTCAAAAAAAAAAAAAATTTTTTTTTTGTACAGATGGAGTCTCACGAGGTTGCCCAGGCTGGTCTCAAACTCCTGGCCACAAGCAATACCTCCCACCTTGGTCTCCCAAAGTGCTGGGATTACAGGCGTGAGCCACCTTGCCCAGCCAAATAAACTCTTCTAAAGATTGTTCCCAGGACAAGTTTAGGGCAAATGTTCCACAAACTACTACATGTAAGCACATGTGTGATTACGACTGAACTTTCACCTGATTTGTGAGGCCCCAAAGTAGCCTCAGAAGGAAAGAGCCAGGCCCCTCAAACTGCGGGGAGGTGAGTATTCCACGCTCACCTGGGCCAGCTCCTCCTCCTGCAGCTCAAGGGCTCAGCCTGGTGGGGTGCTGTTCCCCAGGGCGCTAAGGAGGAGCCAGTTTCTGTCTCACATGGGTTGATGGCCATGCAGCTTGATTTCCTCTCTGAGTCAAAGGAATCTTGTCAGGGCCAGGCCCGCAGCTGCCCTCCTGTCTTGGAAAACTAAGAACTGCACCCCACCCCTGCAAGTCTGTCCATAGCCCCGGCAATGCCACGTGCTGCCTTCCTTTTCTGCATACTGGTCTTGGCCACCTGCCATCACCATGTGGCCCCAGTCACCTTCCATCACCATGTGGCTTCTCCTATGCCCTGGTCCTTGCCCCTGAGGCATTTAAGCACATCTCCACACCCGCTCAACACTGCAGTGCAGCCATTGCTGTGTGCTTCTGATCTCGGTGAGTTCGCATGCTCAAGAAGTCTTTGGCACAGAGTTTACGACCTCAGGCTCTCCAGTTCAATGGGCCTAGGTTCATCCCAGACCTGTTCTATTTACTAGCTAAGTGCAGTTGTCTTAACCTCAGTGAGCTCATCTAGTTATATACAGAATGGTGATGGCAATACCTACCTTATAACATTGGACTGATCCACCCAACAAGCATACCTTGGGCACCTTCCAGTGTTCTCTGTGTGGGGGTACAGCTGAACTGCCACAGGGTGACAAAGGAACTAGAGCTGGGGTTGGGGGTGGGGGCTGCTGGGGCTGGCCCAGGCAGGACCTTCAGTGCCTGGCTAGGAGCCTTGGACTCTGTCCTCAGAGCAGTGGGAACCCACCGGAGGGCTTCCGTTGCAGGGTGGGAAGGGTGATGGGGTATGCCAGACTCATCCAAACAAAGCCACAGTCTTTGGGGAGGGGGCAGCAACTGGAGGCAGGGGGACTGCACAGGCAGCTATTTGCAAGGATTCTGCAGGCAAAAGTAGTGTGGGGGGAAATTGGGGATGAACTTGAAACTTAGGTGATGGGTGGGGATGTAAATTCATTCAACCTTTATGGAAAACACTAGGAAGATTTCTCAAAGAACTGAAAATAGAACTACCATTCGATCTGGCAATCCCGTTGCTGGGTATCTAAAGGAAAAGAAATCATTACGTCAAAAAGACACCTGTATTTGTATGTTTACTGCAGCACTATTCACAATAGCAAAGACAAAGAATCAGCTTGAGTGTCCATGGATGGAAGAATGAAGAAAGAAAACATGGTATATATACACAATGGAATACTATTTGGACATAAAAAAGAATAAAATCATATCTTTTGCAGCAGCATGGATGAAACTGGAGGCCATTATCTTAAGTGAAACAAGCTGGACACAGAAAGACAAATACCACAGGTTCTCACTTGTAAGTGGGAGCTAAATAACATGTACATAAGGACTTAGAGTGTGAAATGATAGACAATGGAGACTTTGAAGGGTGAGGGGTGGGAGAGAGGTGGCTGGTGAGAAGTTACTTAATGGGTACAGATATTTGGGTGTTGGATACCCTAAAAGTCCACACTTCACCAATATACAATCTATGGATGTAACAAAACTGCACCTATACCCCATAAATTCATACAAATAAAAAAGAAATTTAGGTGATAAGAGCTATGGGCCTTGGTTACCAGTTCTGTGCATGTGCATGAGTGTGTGACTTGTGGCATCACACGGTGTCAGGGAGCCGATCGGGGCACTGGGAGAGGTGATAAACTAGAATTTGGAAATGCTGAATTCGAGGTGCCTGTGAGGTAGCAAGTGAGGAAGTCCAGTAGGCAGTGGGCTAGACATCTGGAATTTAGGAGAGATCTTAATGGAAGAAAAAGATTTGGGAATTAGGGTTTTCGGGGGGTAATTGGCAGAGAATTGAGGGAGGAGATGGTGTGGGGTATCTTCTTTTTTTTTTAAATAGAGTCTTGCTCTGTTGCCCAGGCTGGAGTGCAGTGGCACAATCTTGGCTCACTGTAACCTCTGCCTCCCAGGTTCAAGCAATTCTCTGCCTCAGCCTCCTGAGTAGCTGAGATTACAGGCTACTCGGGATTACAGGCCTGGCTAATTTTTTGTATTTTTAGTAGAGATGGAGTTTCGCCATCTTGGCCAGGCTGGTCTTGAACTCCTGACCTCATAATCTACCCGCCTCAGCCTCCCAAAGTGCTGGGATTACAGGCATGAGCCACTGCACCCGGCCCATATCTTAATTTTTTTTTTTTTTTTTTTTGAGACGGAGTCTCACTCTGTCACCCAGGCTGGAGTGCAGTGGCGCGATCTTGGCTCACTGCAAGCTCTGCCTCCTGGTTTCATGCCATTCTCCTGCCTCAGCCTCCCGAGTAGCTGGGACTACAGGCACCCACCACCATGCCTGCCTAATTTTGTGTATTTTTAGTAGAGACTGGGTTTCACCATGTTAGCCAGGATGGTCTTGATCTCCTGACCTTGTGATTCACCCGTCTTGGCCTCCCAAAGTGTTGGGATTACAGGCATGAGCCACTGCGCCCAGCCCCATTTCCATTCTTGTTTCCAAAGGACTGTATCGGCTGTACTATCACCCCTGTAGGGACACTCCCTCAAACACCAAGGACTCCTTGGTATAACAGCTGCACTTTCAGTATCTGCTGATCAAGAAAATATATAATGACAAAAGTGCATTATAAGGTCAGCAATGTAGGTATTATTTTATAATTTTTTTTTTTTTTTAAAGACAGGGTCTTGTCATGTCCAAGCTGATCTCAAACTCCTGGGCTCAAGTGATCTGCCTGCGTTGGCCTCCCAAAGTGCTGGGATTACAGGCATGAGCCACTATGCCAGGCCAAGCTCAGCAATATCTTAAGTGAGTCCGTATTTTATTTTTTAATTTTTTTAAATTTATTTTATTTATTTAATTTTTGAGATGGAGTCTCGCTCTGTCTCCCAGGCTGGAGTGCAGTGGCGCGATCTCGGCTCACTGCAAGCTCCACCTCCTGGGTTCACACCATTCTCCTGCCTCAGCCTCCGGAGTAGCTGGGACTACAGGAGCCCGCCACCACGCCCGGCTAATTTTTTGTATTTTTAGTAGAGACGAGGTTTCACTGTGTTAGCCAGGATGGTCTCGATTTCCTGACCTTGTGATCCGCCTGCCTCGGCCTCCCAAAGTGCTGGGATTATAGGCGTGAGCCACCGCACCCAGCTGAGTCTGTATTTTATTAACTGCAATGGCATCTATATATATTTGGAAAATACAGTACTGTGTCCACATGCTCTGTGGAAGCTCTGTTATACTAATTTAATGATAAATGCAAATTACTGAGCTATCTCATCTCAGGAGGTATAAATTACTTTCTCTAATTGCTACCTTCAATGAATCTCTGTCAAATTTCCCATATTTCCCTTAACAATACTTTGGGCAGATCCCGTAAGTTCCCAAGCAGTTATTCAAAGTCCAGCTAGTTCAATCTCAAATACAGGGTAAGCCTTTGCCCACTCCCATCACCATGTGGGTTTATGGCTTAGGACTCTTTAAGAGAACAGGTGGGATGTGCTGCCTCTGAATTCCCACCACTCTCCTTAGGGTCTCCCTTCTCTGATGTCAGGTCATGGAGAATGAATTAGGGAAAACGGCAAAAGTCTTTCCACGTACAGGGTACACTGGCCGTATTTTTCTCAGGCTAACACTAATTTAATTTTTTTTTAAATTGAGGTATACTTTACTTACAACAAAGTTCACCAATTTTAAGCACACAATTCAATTTTTGACAAATAACTACCACAATTATGATACAAAATATTTTCACTGCCGAGCCCACTTTGTGCTCCATGCAGTCAATCCTTTCCCCCAACACCTAGCCCCTAAGTACTCATCTGCTTTCTCTCACCACAGTGTTGCCTTTCTAGAATTTCACAGTATGCAGCCCTTGGTGTCTGGCTTCTCCTGCTGAGCCTGACAAATGTGAGACTCCTTCTTGCTGTGTGCAGCAGCAGTCTGTTCCTTTATTCTGCCAAGTGTTATTCCACTGTATGGATCTACCTGTTCCACTTTTTGTTTGTTTGTTTGAGACGGAGTCTCGCTCTGTCACCCAGGCTGGAGTACAGTGGTGCAATCTTGGCTCACTGCAACCTCTGTCTCCTCGGTTCAAGCGATTCTCTTGCCTCAGCCTCCTGAGTATCTTGGATTACAGGCATGCACCACCATGCCCGGCTAATTTTTGTATTTTTAGTAGAGACGGGTTTCACCATGTTGGTCAGGCTGGTCTCGAACTCCTGACCTCAGGTGATCTGCCCGCCTTGGCCTCCCAAAGTGCTGGGATTACAGGCATGAGCCACTGTGCCCGGCCTCCACTTTTTGACTATTATTCATAATGCTTCTATGAACATTTTGCTATAGGTAAGTCTTGTGGTGACATGTTTCTATGTCTCTGGGCTAAGTACCTAGCAGTAGGATTGCTGAGCTGAATGGTTAAGCGGTTACAACTTCATGAGAAATTACCAAAATGTTTTCCAAATTGGCCTAATCATTTTGCATTCATTCCTACCTGCTATATGTGAGAATTCTAGTTGCTCCACATCTTCATCAACACTTGCTACTGTTAGTCTTTTTAATTTGGGTCATTCAAGTGGACATGTACTGGTTTAGTGATGTCTCACTGGTGGTTTTGTGTTTCTCTAACAACAGATGATGGCCAAGCATCCTTCAGGTACTTATGTGTCATCTGTATTGTATTTCTTCTTTGGTGAAATATTATTTTGTTTGTAAATCAATCAATCAATCTACCTATCTGTCTATCTATCTATCTATCTACTGAGACAGGGTCTCACTTTGTCACTCAGCTGGAGTGCAGTGGTGCAATCACAGCTCACTGCAACCTTTACCTCCTGGACTCAGGCGACTCTCCCACTTCAGCCTCCTGAGCAGCTGGGACTACAGGCATGCACCACCACACCTGGCTAACTTGTTTTTTTTTTTGTAGAGATGGGGTTTTGCCATGTTACCCAAGCTGGTCTCAAACTCCTGGGCTCAAGCGATCTGCCCACCTCGGCCTCCCAAAATGCTAAGATACTGCATTCAGCCTGTTTGCAATTTTCTTATAGAGCCAAATGAGTTCTTTATGTATTCTGAGTAGAAATACTTTATGAGATATGTGTTTAGATATTCTCCTAGTCTGTAGCTTGTCTTTCATTGTCTAAATGAGGTCTTATTAAAAATTAATTTTCTCTGGGTTTATTGAAGTATAATTTACATTTAATAACACTCACCCTTTTTAGGCAGAGTTCTGCGAATTCTACCACTACAATCAAGATATAGAATTTTCCCATCACCCTCCCAAAATTTCCCTATACCCTCTTCTAGTCAATCCCCTCCCCTCAAATGCAACCCCTGGCAACCAACCACTGGTCTAATAGTGTCTTTTGAAGTGGTCAAAGTTTAAAATTTGATGCAGTATGATTAATCAATTTTTAAAATTATGTGTCTTAGTCTGTTTGTGCTGCTATAACAAAATACCTGAAACTGGATAATTTGTAAACAGCAAATTCATCACTTACAGTTATAGAGGCTGGGAAGTCCAAGATCAAGGCACCTGCAGGTTTGGTGTCCAGTGATGGCTCGCTCTCTGCTTCCAAGATGGTGCCTTGTTGTGTCCTCTTGAGGAAATGAACACTGTGTACTCACGGTGAAAGAGATGGAAAGGCATAAAAGGGCTAGCTGGTTCCTTTGGGCCCTTTTATAAGGGCACTAATCTATTCATGAAGTTGGAGTCCTCATGATCTAATCCCTCCCTAAAGTGTTAAAATCAGGTAACTTAAGTTCTCCAACTAGCTGTTTTTGATCTCTGTGAGGCCAGTCTGTACACTAACCTTTTTTTTTTTTTTTTTTTTTTTTGAGACGGAGTCTCGCTCTGTCACCCAGGCTGGAGTGCAGTGGTGTGATCTCGGCTCACTGCAACCTCTGCCTCCTGGGTTCAAGCAATTCTCCTGCCTCAGCCTCCTGAGTAGATGGGATTACAGGCAAGTGCCACCACGCCTGGCTAATTTTTGTATTTTTAGTAGAGACGGGGTTCTACCATGTTGGTCAGGCTGGTCTCGAACTCCTGACCTCGTAATCTGCCCGCCTTGGCCTCCTGAAGTGTTGGGATTACAGGCATGAGCCACCGCGCCCAGCCCCACTGACCTTCTTTCATGGGGAGTTCATGTAAGTTTTTCCAAAGGCTCTGCAGGGTATCTTCAGTATAGAGTGTTCTGATATGGGAAACGAGCTCTAGCTCAACCTCCTTCACTCCCAACTCCAACTAGCTTTGCCATCAGTGTTACTCCCTATTGCTGTTTGCTCCACAGCCTCTTGCCTAGTGGATGTGGTCTGGCATTGGACAGCACAAGCAATGACAGGGAAGCCCCCTGAAGACCCTTGCCCAGAGGTCTCTGAGTTTTCTAGATTTCTTCAAAGCCAGGTATAAAGGCAGTCTAGCAAGCTCACACTGTCCAAGCAGACATCCAATCAGGGAAGATGCCAGCCTCTCTTTTTTAGGCATCTGAAGTCATTATGGTAACTCTCTTTGAGCTACACCCTGTTGGCTTTAGTAATAGCACCGCACCCTCCCTATTTCTGCACCCAGGAAGCTGCTTAGGGAAACTCTTACCCTTCCTCCCGCCCCATCCCTCCCCCGTTGTCCAGTTATGTAAGCCTGAGGGTAGGGTGGTGGTGGTTCAGAATGGCAGGGCTGGCTCTTCAGCCCTCTAACAATAAGCTCTGGGTGCTGCCATGTTGTGCTGCCTTTACAGTGTGGGATACTGAATGCCTCTGGGTACTCACCTTTGTGCCCTGACTCACTAATTCCAGGGTAACAGGAAAAGGCTCATTAAACGTCCCGTTACACACAGCTCTAATAAAAACAGCAATAATAACATCAAAACACTCACATAGTGCTTGCCAGGCACCAGTCTCTTTCTCTACTTATGTTAACTCATTTCCTCTTCACAACAACCCACCCCATTAAGCAGGATCAGTAACCCCTTTGCACAGCTGAGGAAACTGAGACATAGAGGAGGTAAACTGCCCAAGGTCACAGGGACAGAGAGCCAGAGAGCTGCAATCCAATCGAGGGAGTTTGGCTGGAGTCCACGCTGCGCTGCTTTCCACATAGGAGAGGCAGAGAAAAGCTGCACCTGCAAGAGCGATGGTTTCGGCTGCGTATTTGGAATAACGAAGTCAGCGGTCAGGAGCAAGGAGAAGGCACACATCTCGGGCCTCATTTCTGTCCCCGAGCGCTCCCCCACACTGCGAGATCATGGCGGTGGAGGGGAGTCCCGCATCCTGACCCCCGGCCGCCGCGCACTGGGGGGCCCTCAACCTCTGGGTTACTTGGGGGCACGCAGTAGCCACCCACGGGGCAGAAAAGACGGGGGCGGTCAACTTTCTCCACTCCAGCCGCCTGGGGTCCCGCCATCCCTCAGCCAGGACGCTTGGCAGCCGCCTCTAGGCTAGGTGGCCACGAGTTGCGTGCGAGAGCGAGGGCTGCGCATGTGCGAGGCGTGCGTGGTGCGTGTGTGGCGCCGCGGGCTTCCGCTCCGACGTGGGGATCACTAGACAGCAACTGCCCCCCAAGTTCTCGTATCAGCTGCGGGAAGGAGAGAATGGTTCTAGTCAACCGAGAGTGGAAGGAGACCAAATTTCAGCAAATGCACGGACTTGAGTCCTCATGAGCAGGGTGGCCATGGTGCGGAAGCAGCTGGCACGGCCCCCTCAACCCCGGACCCCTGGGGTCCTCACTGCCGACCCGCGCATTCAGTGCTGCGCATAAATAAGATTTCCAATTAGAAGGCCTAGGTCCCAGCTCTGCCCCACAGCGTGGCTTTGGGCCAGGCACGTCATAGCCCTGGAACTCTTTCTTCCCATTGTTGAGATGAAGAGGGTGCACGATATGTTCGACGCAGCAAGGTTAAATGGAAGGAAACGGGGCGGCCGCTTAATGACTGGTTGCACGCGCTTGCGTTGGGTGCTGCAGCCTGGTGCCAGGAAGGTGGGGCAGGGACCTTGTGGTGTAAGGAGTGGCGGTGAAAGTGCCTGGGGTCAGAGAGGAGAGGCAGGGGATGAGTTCTGAGTGGGAGGAGGGGGCAGCTCAGGTTTCGTCAAGTAGATGACCTCTGAACCAGAACTTGAAGGATAAGACGGGAGATGGCCGAGACGAGAGATGGCCCTAGGAGCATCCTGGCACAGCAGGTGCCTGAAAGCCTGCATAGGGCATAGATGTGTCTAGAGAGTTCTGGGAATGATCGCTAGAGCGGTGTTGGGCTCGTAGGGAGGCAAGAGGTGGGCTTGGAGCGGGAGGTGGGAAAGGCATGGGGAGTGTCTTGAAAGCCCCCTTCATCTGCAGGTCCTGAAACGCTGCAGAGGGTCTTTAGGCGTGGAATTTACATAAGATGTGTGTTTCAGTAAAGTGACTTACAGGAACCAGACAGGAATTGTAATTATACAAAGGGGATTTCGGAGGAAGGAAGTTAGTCTCAGTCCAGGGAATAATGAGGGCCTGAGCTCAGGAGTGCAGTGGGGAGGGAGAAAGAAGGATTCCAGAGAGATTTTGGGCAGAGTAATTGACAGGCTCCCGATTAGAGCAGAAACTAAGATGATGCCTAGGTTTGGAAAACTGGGTGAATTGAATCATTAAGACACTGAAGTGTCCACCAAGTGCAGACCTTGTGCCAGGCACTCAGCATCCAAAGATCAAAAAAGACCTAGTCTCTGCCCTCAGGTGCTTCTACTTGAATAGGGCAGGTGGACACATAACTAGGTAATTGTATCTATACCCTGTGATGTTGAGGATTACAGCTGTCCCTGCCTGACCTGGACCTAGGGGTGAGGGCAGGGGGGCTTCCTAGAGAAGTGGGACCTGAGCTTGGCAGAAATGGGAGTTCACAGGCAGTGTGAGATGGGTCCCCTAGGTACAGTAGGAACGCAAGCAGGAAGGCCAGGGAGTTTGTGATGTGTTTGGAGAACTAGAAGCAGATGCTGGAGTGTAAAACCGGAGCTTGACTTTTATTCTCTAGAGGGTGGGGAGCCATTGCAGAGCCTTAGGCAGAGAAGGGCCTGGTCAGATTTGGGTTTAGGGCAGCTTGCCCTGGTGCCTCGTGGAGAACGGTTGTAAAGGCGAGAAGCTAGGAGCGAGAGGTGGCTGTAGGAAGTGCTGGTGAAAGAGAGTGGAAGCTGGAGCTGACACAGGGAGTTCAGGAAGGAGAGTGGGCTGGGGGATGGTGGGGTGGGGAAGTGCAGGATGAGGAGGGAGGGCTGAGGTGAGGTCAGTGCTGCACACCAGGTGCATGAGGCCTGGGGAGCATCTCCATGGAGGTACCTAATGGCAATTTACTAGCCAAGTCATCTTGACCAGTTCACTTAGCCTTGGCGATTTGCCTCATATTGCAGAATGTGGATGACAAGACCTACCTCATAATGTTGGAGTGATTCACTCAACGAGTATTTACTGAGTATCTGTTGGTGTTCTGGGTGCCAGGGATTCAGCTGGATGGCCTCAGCAGAAAATACACAGGAAATATGGGTTGAGCTAAAAATCAAGGGCCCAATTAGAACAGATTTGACTATCATCCATATTAACACTCCCAGAAAAGAGGGAGATGAGCAGAGAGAGAGAGAGAGAGACTTTTCCAGTTGCAAGGCAAGAGTAGGCTGCAGGGTCACCTTGTGCTGGCTGGCAGGAGCCAGGGGCTGGCATGTATCCTGTTTGGCCAAACCATCATTAAGTGGCAGTTCGAGAATAGGCCCTCTAAGCTCTTGCACTGGTGTCATAACATCTGGGGATTTCCTGTGTGTCAGTGTTTGTGTGGATAGAGGGAGCTGGTGGTAAGTGTTCAGCCAGGTGCATCCAAGATCCCAGGGTCTCATGGGAGGACCCAGGGCTGGAACTGGCCTCCTCATACCGCTGTACAGCTCTGCCTGGAGCCTGGAGCCTCCTCCTCTGCTGAGTGGTGCTCTCAGCACAAAATGAGTGTTATCAAAGGGGCATATATTCTGCACTCACTAGCTGCACAAGAGAAGAACAGCGGTTGTTGGTATGCCTTATAACTACTCTTCAGAATACACACCCCTTTGACAACATTCACTTTGTTCTCAACCATAAACAACCACACCCCTTGTTTATGGTTGAGAAGATGAAGGCCTGGTGGAATTAGCTTCTTGCCAGAGACTACACTGTGGCCAGAAGGACTCTGCCTTTTCCTTGGCTATCTGAGCTTCATCTCAGAGGTGTTTAATTGCTCCAGCCAGATCCATGTGAATAGCAAATTAAGCCCACACAGTGGCTCATGCCTGTAATCCCAGCACTTTGGGAGGCCGAGGTAGGCGGATCACTTGAGGTCAGGAGTTTGAGACTAGCCTGGCCAATATATGAAACCCTGTCTCTACTAAAAACACAAAAAAATTAGCCAGGTGTGGTGGCACACGCCAGTAGTCCCAGCTACTGAAGCGGAAGCTACATCGAGTTGAGATCGTGCCACTGCACTCCAGCCTAGGTCACAGAGCGAGACTCCATCTTAATAAATAAATAGCAAATTAATGTTTTAAGTGAAGTAACAATAACGGTTTACTCTGATTTAATTTACAAATAAACATGGAGTTTTTGTTTATAAATTTTCACCAAATTTAAAATCTTCAAAGGCTAATTAAAATAGTTAATATTTATTGAGTGCTTCATATGTATTTTCTCATTTGATTTTCACAACATCCCCATGAGTTAGATATGATTATCATTGCCATTTTACTGAAAGTAAGGTTGGAGCAAGGTGGAGTAGGATGGAGTAAGGATGAGGTTAAGGGTGGAGTAAGGTTGGTATACGGTGGCTAAAGTTGGGGTAAGGTAAAATAAGGTTAGGGTAAGGTGGGATAAGGTTGAGGTAAGGCGGAGTAAGGTTGGGGTAAGGTGGGCTAAGATGAAGTAAGGTTTGGCAAAGTTGGGGTAAGGTTGGAGTAAGATGAGTAAGGGGGTAAGGTTGGAGTAAGCTTGGGGTAAAGTGGGGGTAAGCTTGGGGTAAGGTTGGAGTAAGGTTGGGGTAAAGTTGGAGTAAGGATGGGGTAAGGTGGGGTAAGGCTGGGATAAGATAGAGCAAGGTTGGGGTAAAGTGGGGTAATGTGGGGTAAGGCTGGGATAAGATAGAGAAAGGTTGGGGTAAAGTTGGAGTAAGGATGGGGTAAGGTGGGGTAAGGCTGGGATAAGATAGAGCAAGGTTGGGGTAAAGTGGGGTAAGCTTGGGGTAAGGTTGGAGTAAGGTTGGGGTAAAGTTGGAGTAAGGATGGGGTAAGGTGGGGTAAGGCTGGGATAAGATAGAGCAAGGTTGGGGTAAAGTGGGGTAATGTGGGGTAAGGCTGGGATAAGATAGAGAAAGGTTGGGGTAAAGTTGGAGTAAGGATGGGGTAAGGTGGGGTAAGGCTGGGATAAGATAGAGCAAGGTTGGGGTAAAGTGGGGTAAGGTGGGATAATGCTGGGATAAGATAGAACAAGGTTGGGGTAAAGTGGGGTAAGGTTGGGGTAGGGTGGCCTACAGTTGGAGTAAGGTGAGGTAAAGTTAGGGTAAGGCTGGGGTAAGGTGGAGGGTAACTTTTCAGATGTGATACTGTTTTTGCACGCCTTATCTTTCCCTTCTTGCTGCTCAGTTAGGAGCAGCTTTTCTCCTCAATTTAACTGAAGTGAGCATTTGCTGGAGAAGTTGAGGGAACACGCACATTGTGCAGCCCTGTTTGTCTGAGCTGAGGCTTGTGTTTGTCCTAGGAAGGGCCATTTGGGAGCTGTTTGAGATGGCATCTCACAGCGAGCAGAGGAGGGCACAGTCAGGGTGGTGATTGGGGTGAAAACTCTGCTCATGAAGAATGATTTGGTATGTGCACAGATGATAGCTTTTCTAAATCCTATTTTGTTTTTCTGAAAAATAAGTGACAGTAACCTGAACACCTTTGAGTTTCTCCAATGCTGGCTTAGTCTGAGGCTGGGGCCTGCCTGCCATCCCTTTCCCTCTCTCACTGAGTGGCTGCTGCTTGCCCGTCTCTGACCTTTGAGAGTCTCAGGTCTGATGGTGGTGGAGATGGAGCACAGGTGACTGATTCGGGGGACTCGGAGACACACCCCTTGGAGGAGGGACAGGGAGGGTTGGAGGTAGCTGGTTTCATGTGGGCAGAACACAGGACATAGACATCCTCTGTCAACGTTGGTCTTCTCTGTAGTATTTTGTGCAGGGTCCTGGTCAGTAAATCTGGCCAAGTGAGTCATCTGAAAGCAGTCATGTGATCTGTGTTGATAAGTGGATAAAGCATTGGCTTTCATCACTCTCTGGATTTGTTAGTGAACTTTAAAAAAGAAACCTTTCTTGTGCTTTTAAATAATGACTGTGTTTTTTAATCTTACCATTTAAATCTAGTTTTCCTGAAGATGCCTGTGTGCCTTTGGCCAACAGGATCTTTGTCCGAGGTGACAATGAAGATAGTATACCATGAGCCCATACTGCCTGCAGAGTCGTGGCTGCCAAAATTAACAGCTGTGGAATTATTTGTGACCCTGTTAAGGATAAACATATTTGTCCCTTTTCATTTTATGATCAGCAACTGCTAAAGTTCTTACTTGTAATTGCAATTTACTGCCCTCACTGTATTGCTTAGTTTAGAGGTGGACACAGAAAGAATGGAACATTTGTTTTCTTTTGGGTCTGAGCTATGAATTTGGGCCGCATTATCATGCAGGCCTTGGCCCCTCTGTCTCTGCAAGATTGGGCTTTCCTGTTTTTGTCATTCTCAGCTTACTTCGCAGGCATGCTTTGTGTAGAGGAGAAAAATACCCTCCAAAGAACCTCCCAAGGAGGTTACCAGGTACACGGTTCAGCCAAGTGGGTGACTCAATGGGATGCATCTCTTTGTGTTTGTCAGGGCCGGGAAGGGTGTGACAGCATGTGGGGAGAGACTCAGTTCCCAGCCAAATAACTTTACCACCTGAGCTATGAGGCAGTTCCTGCACATCACCACTCCAGCAGGGTCCAGCCTTGCTGCGGCAGAAAGCGAGTGTGTGGGAAAGCAAATGGCTCCACACGACGCTTGCAGTGTTCAGAGGGATGAGTATGAATTGTGTGTATCTCAGGGACCCCTTTGACCCATGAATACATGTATAGAGTATTCTCTATTATGTGGGTGAAGTGTATCTACTTACATACTTAAGTATTTGTGAGTAAAACGAGAAAAAAAAAAGATGTGAAGGATGGATAGAGAAAATAAAACAGCAGGAGGCTGGTAGTTCCTGAGGCTGGATGCTGGGCACATGGGCATCCATTCTACTCTTCTCTCTATACTTCTGTGTATATTTGAACATTTTCAAAATAAGAGGTTTTATTTTGTTTTTTGATTTTTTTTTTAGATGGAGTCTCACTCTGTCGCCAGGCTGGAGTGCAGTGGTATGATATAGGCTTACTGCAACCTCCGCCTGCTGGGTTCAAGCAATTCTCCTGCCTCAGCCTCCCAAGTAGCTGGGACTACAGGTGCGTGCCATCATGCCCAACTAATTTTTTTTGTATTTTTAGTAGAGACGGGGTGTCACCGTGTTGGCCAGGATGGTCTCCATCTCTTGACCTTGTGATCCACCCGCCTTGGCCTCCCAAAGTGCTGGGATTACAGGCGTGAGCCACCGCACCTGGCCTTTTCTCTTTCTTTCTTTTTTTTTGAGATGGAGTCTCACTCTGTAGCCCAAGCTGGAGTGCAGTGGTGCGATCTTGGCTCACTGCAACCTCTGCCTGTGGGGCTCAAGCGATTTTCGTGCCTCAGCCTCCTGAGTAGCTGGGACTACAGGTATGCGCCACCACACCCAGCTAATTTTTTGTATTTTAGTAGAGATGGGGTATCACCATGTTGCCCAGGGTGGTCTCGAACTCCTGAGCTCAGGCAATCCACCTGCCTTGGCCTCCCAAAGTGCTGGGATTATAGGTGTGAGCCACTGTGCCCAGACAGAATCAAAGGATTCTTTTTTTAAGTATGTACAGTATTTGTCTTAGTCTATTGTGCTGCTGTAACAAGATACTTGAGACAGGGTAGTTTATAAACAACAGATATTTATTTCTTACAGTTCTGGAGGCTGGGAAGTCTGAGACCAAGGCACCAGCATTCAGTGTCTGGTGAGGGCCTTCTTGCTGTGTCCCCATGGGGCAGAAGGCAGAAGGGCAGAAGGGCAGAAGGCAGAAGGGCAAAACCTGCCTCGCTGGTTCCTTCAAGCCGTTTTACAAGGTCACTGATCCTGTTTATCAGGGCTCCCCCTGCAGAACTTAATCACCTCCTAAAGGCCTTGTATCTTAATGCTGTCACATTGGCAGTTAAGTTTCAACACATGAATTTTGGGGGCATCCAGGCCATGACAGTTTTCAAACATTTTTCTGCATATGTAGGACCCATCAAACGCTGTACTCCTGCTCTGGTGCACACACTGAGCTGGGCATCTGGGTTCAACAATGCTTCACTTTCCTGGCACGCAGAGCTGAGGGGCAGGGACAGAGATGAAATCTCTGAGGCACAGTGATGGTATCATGGAAACCTTGAACTGAGGGGAGGGTCGGAGTTGGTTTCACTGAGGAATCGAGGACTGAGCTGAGAACCGAAGGATGACTGGGAACCTCCTGGGTGCTGTGGGACTGGGACTGGGGGCGAGGGAGAGGGAGTCTCAGATGGTGGGAATCCCCTGTGTAGTGGCCCTGGGGCCTGATGGTGGCCAGAGGATGGAGCCCAGAGGGAGGGGAGGATGGTGAGGCAGGGGTGGAAGGTAAGGGGTGTTCCAGGCCCGGTTAGGGGATTGGCCTTGGTATTCGTGCCATGGACAGCCATTGAGGCGTCTAAGCAGGGAGTAGCCACAGATCAGGCTCCTGTTTTCCAGCCACCGTTTATTTGTGGCTTGGAGGATGGATGGCACAGGCAGGCACTGGCATCCAGGTGAGAGATGACAGCTCCCCAGACTGAGGCTGTTGGGGGTGTGTGGTGGCAGGAGTGGGAGCAGAGGTGTGTTTGAGAGAGATGGAGGATGTAGTGGCGGTCTAGGCATGGGTCATGGGGAGGAGGGGTGAGCATAAACGGTGATGGAGCCATTGCAGAGATAGAACGCCAGAACAGGACCTGATGTGGAAGGGAAGACCAAGCCTTGTGTCTGACTTGGGTGGATCTGGAGGGAGATTTTGCAAAGCAACTTGGTCATGTAGACTTGGGGCTCAGAGGAGGCCCCTGGGAAATGAGTCTGAGGGACTCCTCCGCATGCAGACACTACTGAGAGTGTGGAGGAGTTGCTTAGGGAGAGGTATGAGCCAAGGGACCACATGAGGTGGCTCCAGCAGACTGTTGAGCCCCAGCTCGGGTCTTTTTAAAATTAAACAAGCCACACTTAGGTGTGCTTGTTGTAAAGATGTGAAGCCATAGCTACTATATACAGATGCAGACACTTGCAGACACTTTTCTAGACAGCACAGCTACACGTATGTACATATGCATATATATTATTTTCCGTTTTATGTAAATGGGATCATACCATCATCCCAGCAACTCATTTTTTTGAAGGTTTGTTTTCTGATTATAAATGTCATGCAAAGGTATAATGGGAGTCCTCTCCTAAAATCCCATTCTCCAGAGATAACATCATTGTTAACATAGTCCTTAAACGTTTTCTTCTATACCTATATAGTATTTTATTATATGGATGAATCATTATTTATAATTATTCCTCTGTGGAAGAACATTTAGGTGCCTGTAAGTTTTCTTCTGTTAAAATATAGCCCTACAGTGAACATTCTTGAGTGTGTGTATTCACTTGTGTGCATTTGTGAGTAGTTTTGCAGGCTGGGCTCCTCCAAGTGGAATTGCTAGGCTAAAGGGCATGTACCTTTTAGAGGTTTTTGTTTGTTTGTTTGTTTGTTTGTTTTTTGAGATGGAGTCTTGCTGTGTCACCCAAGCTGGAGTGCAGTGGCGCGATCTCAGCTCACTGCAACCTCCGCCTCCCGAGTTCAAACAATTCTCCTGCCTCAGCCTCCCAAGTAGCTGGGATTACAGGCATGCGCCAACAAGCCCAGGTGATTTTGTAGTTTTAGTAGAGACAGGGTTTCACCATGTTGGTCAGGCTGGTCTTGAACTCCTCCTGACCTGTAGTGACCCACCCGCCTTGGCCTCCCAAAATGTTGGGATTACAGGCATGAGCCACCACGCCTGCCCAACCTTTTAGAGTTTTAACAGATGTTGCTCCGTGGCCTGAGAATGCCTGTTTCCCCACACTTTCTCCAGCACTAGATTTAACCTAATCTGTTGGGTGAAAAAGGTTGTCTTATTGATGCCTTAATTTACATTCTATCCATGACTTGCAACTTTAAGCATCTTTTAAAATGTTTATTGGTTACAGGCAATCTTCATGAGAACATTGTATCCTCTGTCTGTTTTTCTTTTGGGTTTCCTTTATTTTTCCTTAATGGAGTTGAAACAGTTCTTTGCAGGATCTGGCAGTTGATTGACAGCTTCTTAATTCTAAGAATGCCCCCAACTTAAAAGCAGCCCTGGAGGGTCCCCTTCTTCCGTGTCACCCCCAGTGTCTTGTGTGAGTTGTCACCGGGCCCCACTTGTTTTCCTCTGAAGCATTCTGACAGCTCTGCTCGTGGCCCCTGCGTTTAAGAGACATGCTGGGCCGGGCGCAGTGGCTCACGCCTGTAATCCCAGCACTCTGGGAGGCCGAGATGGGTGGATCACGAGGTCAGGAGATCGAGACCATCCTGCCTAGCATGGTGAAACCCCATCTCTACTAAAAATACAAAAAATTGGCCGGGCATGGTGGCAGGCGCCTGTAGTCCCAGCTCGGGAGGCTGAGGCAGGAGAATGGTGTGAACCTGGGAGATGGAGGTTGCAGTGAGCCGAGACTGCGCCACTGCACTCCAGCCTGGGTGACAGAGAGAGACTCCGTCTCAAAAAAAAAAAAAAAGAGACATGCTGCAGGCCAGGCATGGTGGCTCATGCCTGTAGTCCCAACACTTTGGGAGGCCAAGGCGGGCGGATCACTTGAAGTCGGGAGTTTGAGACCACCCTGGCAAACATGGGGAAACCCCGTCCCTACCAAAAATACAAAACAGCTGGGCGTGGTGCCTGTAATCCCAGTTAACTCGGTAGGCTGAGGCAGGAGAATTGCTTGAACGCAAGAGGTGGAGGTTGCAGTGAGTCAAGATCATGTCACTGCACTCCAGCCTGGACAAGAGTGAGATTCTGTCTCAAAAAAAAAAAAAAAAAGAGAGAGAGAGAGAAACATGCTGCTGCAGAGCACCCCTGCAGTGTTCCCGAGGTGTGAGGTGACAGAGCCCTAGTCTCTGATTCTGTGACAGCTTCAGAGGGTGACACTCTGTGTCGGGCCCAAAAGGGCTCCCCTGGGCTGTCAGTGATGAGCTTCTCTGGTCACCTTTGGGGGGTGCCGTAACCTCACCTCTGTTCAGTTTCTCAGATGGCCAGTCAGGGAAAAGAGTGGCCATCAACATATCATGAAAATGTTCTATTTGAAAATGCAGAGTACAGTTCCTGGGGACACGGGGATCTCCCAGTGCTCGGTGCTTCAAGACCCTGGGCAGTTCATATTAGACAATGTCACAGGAAGGTGTGAGTCATTCTGGGCGGTTGCTAGTGTGCCGTGCCTGTGGGCTTGGTGCTGGGGAGGCCAGGCAGGCTTGGTGGTGGGGAGGCCAGGCGTGGGAGTGATGCTCCTGACTATGCCTTCTCTCCCAGTCACTCCTTTCTGGGTTTTGTTAGGGGAGGGGGTGTCTAGGGCCCAGGCCATCACCAGAAGCTTGGCCCCCTGCTCTTGCTTCTGCCAAACACTCCACAGTTCAGCTGGAAGCGCCCTCAGGGTTGTCCAAGCTGCCTGCAGTTGGTTGTGCCTCCGACTGGCTCTGGCCCCGCCTCCCAGCCTCCGTAGCTGGTTCCTGAGCCCTACTCCTGGGGCCGCCAGCCTCTCCTACTTCCCTCCTCTCTCTCTGCTTGCTTTGCAGCAGCTTTACTGAGATATGATTCACATACCCTACAATTCACCCCTCGGAAGAAGAGTTCTTAGTAGAGTTTTCCATCATTTTTAGTCTGTTCACAGAGTTGTGTAACCATCACCATCCAGTTTAGAATATTTGCATGGCCCCAAAAGAAGCCCAGTACTCATGAATCAGTCACTCCCATTTCCCCCTCACCTACCTCCTCTCTCAGCCTCTCCCAGCCTCTCACAACCACCAGTCTACTTTCTGTCCCTATGGATTTGCCCTTTCTGGACATTTCATGTAAGTGGAATCAGATGGTATGTGGCCACTTGTGTTTAGAGTGGTGAGCAGAGCCCAGGCTGCGGCAGACATCCAGACCAAGGCGGTCTGGGCCAGGTGACAGCCTGGCTAGGGTTTGGCGAGGTCAGTTCCTCCTGCCTCCGTGGGGCCCATGAGCCGCAGTCCCCAGGGATGCATCCGGAGGGCATCAGAGGCAGGACGCCGAGCAAGCTGATACCCAAGGAGTCACAGCCACCCTGGGAGCTTAAAGGGCCGATGCAGGGATTGGGAGGCCGTGGTCTGGGTCAGTTGGGAACTGGGGGTGATCAGGGATGGCCACTCATAGAACCTCTGGATCCTGTAATCTAGAGAGACACGGAACATGAGCTCCCCTGTTGGTGTCTCTCCTGAACCCATTCCCTCAATATAGACACGCTTCTCCTTTGATGTTGTAGACAGTCTGAGATATATTCTACTAATTTTACCAGTTAGGCTTTCCGTGAATTGATGCCTTGTTAAAGTTCTCTAGAGGGTTTTGACATTCATTTTCATTCATTCACATCTTAGGGTGAATTATTTTAATCTAGGTACTTTCTTCCTAACAGAAGAATCAAGTTAATGAAACTGGAAGTCCCTAGTCTCCTTAGATTTCATAATTGGCCTCACAATGTCACAAGAACCCTGATCCTGGCACTCGTCCTATCAGGTGCTGTGCAAGGGAAGCGCTGTGAGTGACAGAGCAAAGCCAGGCATCTTTCAGTCAAGGATTTTCTCTCCAGTTGTGTGCAAGATAAGAAGTGACTGACTCTGTGTAGCCAGGAGGCTGAGGCAGGAGGATGGCTTGAGGCCAGCGGTTTGGGACCAGCCTAGGCAACATAGTAAGACTCGGTCTCTACAAAAAATTTAAAAAATATCCGGGTGTGGTGGTGCGTGCCTGGGGTCCCAGCTGCTGGGAATGCTGAAGCAGGAGGGGATTGCTTGAGCCCAGGAGTTCGAGGCTGCAGTGAGCCATGATTGCACCACTGCACTCCAATCTGTGTGACAGATGAGACCCTGTCTCTTAAAAAAAAAAAAAAACCAAAACCAAAAACAAAAAACCACCTCTCTAGATTATGTTGCTCCTCTGCTCCACACCATGCTGTGGCTTCTGTTCACAGTCAAAGGTCCCAAAGTGGCCATGGCCTGTGCTGCCTGCTGCCGCTCTCCACACCCTGGCCGCTCGGTCCCCAGGAGACCAGGCATGCTCCTGCCACAGGGCCTTTGCACTGGGTGCTCTCTGGGTCTGGAACAGGCCCCACACCCACTCACTTCCCCCAAGTCTGCTCAGATGCCACTTCCACACTTCCTAACAAAAGGAAGCTGTTGGTGAGCAGATGCTCAGTAACTTATGTGTGGCCAGAAGGAGCGAGTGGCTCCAGCCTGCGCGTGGAAAGCTGGCTCTCCTGGGTCACTGCTCTCACTGAGCCTCGGGTTTCTGCTGCCCAGAGGACTGCGTGGCTCTTTCTTGTACCTGGCAGTTCTGACACTGCTGGAATTGGGAAGAAAAGGGACCCTGAGACTAGGTCACTCCCTCCTGGGGTCTCAAGGGGCCCTGTCCCTGGGGCTGGAGGCTGAGCTTCCTCCTCCTTGTCCCCACCCTGGGGATGGCCTGTGTTCTGTCTTCCTTGTGCTCACCACTGGCGCCTGTTGGCTGAGGCAAGAGGGCCTCCAGCTGGGTTCTTCCTGTCCTCTAGTTGGTGCCTGAAGGCCCCAGTTGGGTGGGGTCTCTCTTTACCCTCTGGTCATATAGCAAACTGTGGCTGGTGTGTGGTGAGTCAGCCCTGTGTGCAGGCAGGGTCCCATTTCCCTGTGTGCAGGCCACAGTCTGTCCCAGTGCCTGCAAGGCCTCTGCCCCAGCTGGCCTGGACCCCCCTTGCCAGACTCTGCTCTTTGTGGGGCTCTGCCCACATCTACTGCCCAGTAGGACGCCCAGTCTCCACTGCTCTTTGGAGGTAAAAGAGGGCCTGGCACACTGGCACGGGGTACTTTCCCAAAGGTCAAAGATGTGTTGAGTGAACGAAGGTAGAGAGTTCATTTCTGAGACCTTTGCTGGCCTAATTCAGCTCAGTGGGGTGAAGTTATTACTGTTGAGATGCTTGCTGTTTTGATTGTCTTTAGAGAGCATTCTTAATATTTGGATGGTTTAAAATACCAAGGAGAAAAAAGGGAGGAGAGGCTTCTTTTTTAAAAATACCAACTTCATTATGAAAACACACAAATGTACACACAAATAGAATAATATAATGACACCCCTCCCACCACCACACGGCCTGTTTCAGTCTGTGTCCACAGCGAGGCTTCTGAAGGAAAGGCTGTGGAGGGGGTGAGCTGGTGGAGCCCATGTTCTCCCGGGCCTGGCCGGGATGTGCTTGCCGCTGTCACAGCTCCCCCATCTCCACCCGTCACATGACATCGAATGAGGCCGGCCTGGCTCTAGCCACTGCACAGGTGTCCCGTGGTCATTTCCTTCCTGTGCTGCTGAGGCACACAGTCACCCGTTTGCAAACTCTGAGGTGTTTTCCCTTTTCCCATTTCCTGTCACTGTTTTGAAGCTGTGAGAGGAAGAGAGAGACCTCGATCTGATAACCATTCATTTACTATCAAAGTTGGGGTCACATCCTTATAAGAACGTGTGGCTTGAGGTCATGAATAGCAGTAATGCGAGGGAAGCTAAGATTCTGGCAGGATGCAAATGATCTGGGAGTTTTCATTTTGTCGTTATGTATGGGCTGTTTTCTGCTGCATTGTTAACTATTGGAAAAGATTTTCCATGGATTATTATATGGATTATAGAGGAAAATGCAAATCTCCAACCTCTATACATTTAATCACTTAAATGAAATGTCAAGTTTTCTTGTTAAGAATTATGGTGCTGACTGGAAGAACAACATGGCTTTAAATATGACTTATTAGTTTCTTTCCACTTCTAAAGTTCAAAATAAAACATCATAGGTGGCAAAACAAATCAAGGTAAAATACGTTTTGAAAAGTCATAACTTTACTCAACAACAAAAAATAAGAAATAGACAGAGGACTTGAATAGACATTTCTCCAAAGAAGACATACAAGTGGCCAAGAAGTACATGAAAAGATGCCCAACATCACTGGTTATTAGGGAAATGCAAATCACAGGCATTAGGATGGCTATTATCAAAAAAAGCCAAGCAAAACCAACAACAGAAAATAAAAGCATTGGCAAGGATGTAAAGAACGTGAAGATGTGGAGAAATTGAACGTTGGTTTACTGTTGGTGGGAATGTAAAATGGTGCTGCCACCGTGGAAAAGTTTGGTATTTCCTCAAAAAGTGAATCAGAGGCCAGGCGCGGTGGCTCACGCCTGTAATCCCAGCACTTTGGGAGGCCGAGGTGGGCAGATCACGAGGTCCGGAGATCAAGACCATCCTGGCTAACACGGTGAAACCCCATTTCTACTAAAAATAAAAAAATTAGCTGGGCGTGGTGGTGGGCGCCTGTAGTCCCAGCTACTCGGGAGGCTGAGGCAGGAGAATGGCGTGAACCCGGGAGGTGGAGTTTGCAGTGAGCCGAGATAGCGCCACTGCAGTCCAGCCTGGGCTAAAGAGCAAGACTCCGTCTCAAAAAAAAAAAAAAAAAAAGTGAATCAGAATTACCGTGTGGTCTAGGAATTCCACGCCCAGAATAGGCATGCACTGAAAAGAATTGAAAGCAGGGACTCAAGACACTTGTGCATCGATGTTCACAGCAGCATCATTCACGCTAGCTAAAAGGTAGAAACAATTCAAACATGCACCGACAGATAAATGGATAAGCAATGTGGTCTACAGACATGGACAATGGAATATTATCCAGCCTTAAAGAAGGAACTCTGGCCGGTCACGGTGGCTCATGTGTGTAATCCCAGCACTTTGGGAGGCCGAGGCGGGTGGATCACGAGGTCAGGAGTTCAAGACCAGCCTGGCCAAGATGGTGAAACCCTGTCTCTACTAAAAATACAAAAATTAGCTGGGTGTGGTGGCAGGTGCCTGTAATCCCAGCTACTCAGGAGGCTGAGGCAGAGAATTGCTTGAACCCAGGAGGCAGAGGTTGCAGCAAGCCAAGATCATGCTACTGCACTCCAGCCTGGGTGACAGAGCAAGATTCTGTCTCAAAAAAAAAAAAAGAAGAAGGAATTCTGACACATGTTACTACATGGATGAATGTTGAAGCCATGCCCGGTGAAATAAGCCAGTCACAAAAAGACAAATATTGTCTGATTTCACTTATATGAGGTATCTCTTATATAAGGTAATCAAATTCATAGAGACAGAAATTAGAATAGTGGTTACCAGAGGGTGGGGAAGCAGGGAATGGGAAGTTATTATTGAATTAGTATAGACTTACAGTTTGGGATGACAACAAAGTTCTGGAGATGGATGATACTGATGGTTGTACAACATTGTGAATGTGCTTACTGCCACAGAACTGTACAATTAAAATGATTAAAATGATCCTTTTGGCCAGGCGCGGTGGCTCATGCCTGTAATCCCAGAACTTTAGGAGGCCGAGGCAGATGGATCGCGAGGTCAAGAGATCAAGACCAGCCTGGCCAACATGGTGAACCCCATCTCTACTAAACATACAAAAATTAGCTGGGCATGGTGGCACGTGCCTGTAATCCCCGCTACTCGGGGGCTGAGGCAGGAAAATCGCTTGAACCAGGGAGTCGGAGGTTGCGGTGAGCCGAGATGGCACCACTGCACTCCAGCCTGGTGACAGAGTGAGACTCCGTCTCAAAAAAAAGGATCCTTTTGTGCTGTGTATATTTTACCACAATTAAAAATGCAGGAGTTAGTAAAGGAATGGAACAAGATCATGTGAACGTGAGTTATGAGAATACTGGAATGGCATCCGGCAAAGCAGACTCAGAACAGGACTGTTCCTAGAGATAGGGAGGACTGTTTTATGCGGATAAAGTGGTCAAGTCATCAAGAAGACATTATGATCCTAAATATGTATGCACCCAATACAGAGCAAAAACTGACAGAACCAAGAGAACAAATAGACAAATGCGCAGTTATAGCTAGAGATTTCCACACTTCTCTCTCAGTAAATGACAGAACAAGGAGGCAGAAAATCAGTTTAAGAATGCAGAATACTGCCTGGGTGCGGTGGCTCACACCTGTAATCCCAGCACTTTGGGAGGCCAAGGTAGGCAGATCACTTGAGGTCAGGAGTTTGAGATCAGCTTGGCCAACATGGCAAAAACCTGTCTCTACCAAAAATACAAAAATTAGCAAGGTGTGGTGGTGCATACCTGTAATCCCGGCTACTTGGTAGGCTAAAGCAGAAGAATTGCTTGAACCCGGGAGGTGGATGTTGTAGTAAGCCGAGATCACGCCATTGCACTCTAGCCTGGGCGACAAGAACAAAACTCCATCATGACAAAAAAAAAAAAACAACAACAACGACAAAAACTAGCCAATTGAGTTGGGCACAGTGGCTCACGACTGTAATCCCAGCACTTTGGGAGGCCGAGGCAGGCAGATCGCTTGAGCTCAGGAGATGAAGACCAGCCTGGGCAACGTGGTGAAACCCTGACTCTACAAAAAATCCAAAAAATTAGCCATGTGTGGTGGTGTACACCTGTGGTCCCAGCTGCTTGGGAGGCTGAGGTGGGAGGATCACTGAAGCCTGGGAGGTCAAGGCTGCAGTGAGCAGAGATCGCGTCACTGCACTCCAGCATGGGTGTCAGAGTGAGACCCTGTCTGAAAAAAAAAAAAGTCAGTTGAATCTAGCAACAAAAAAAAGGATAGGCCATGGACAAGTAGAGTTTATCCCAGTAATGCAACATCAGCTTAACATTTAAAAATCAATATAATCCTCCATATTAACACAAAAAAAGTAGGAAAACACTATCAATAAAGAGCAGAAAACTGATGGTACAACAAGTGGATGAATCTCACAGGACTTATGTTGAATGAAAGAAGCTGGACAAAACAGTATGCACTGTGATTCCTTTTATAGAAAACTCTAGAAAGGACAGATCTCATCTAGAATGATGGAACACAGATGGGTGGTTCCCTGGGTCCTGGTGTGACCAGGAGGAGTCATGAGGGAAGCTTCTGGAGTGATGGGATGTTCTTGGTTTTGACTGTGATGATGGTTACTTACACAGGTATACACATTTGTCTACATGCATTGAGCTGTATACTTTTATTTTTTTTTTTGAGACAGAGTCTCACTCTGTCACCCAGGATGGAGTGCAGTGGCACGTCTTGGCTCACTGCAAGCTCCGCCTCCCGGGTTCACGCCATTCTCCTGCCTGAGGCTCCCAAATAGCTGGGACTACAGGCATGGGCCACCACACCCGGCTAATTTTGTTTTTGTATTTTTAGTAGAGACGGGGTTTCACCATGTTAGCCAGGATGGTCTCGATCTCCTGACCTCATGATCTGCCCACCTCGGCCTCCCAAAGTGCTGGGATTACAGGCGTGAGCCACCATGCCCGGCCTAAGCTGTATACTTAAGATGTGTGCACTCTCTCGTATGCAAGCTGTACATCAATAATATTGATTTTTAAAAATCCTTTAACTGAGGTAAAACACTGATGTACAGTGTAGTTATTCTGCATTTTCTGAAATAACCATAGTTTATATCAGAAAGAATAGGGAGCTACAGAAGATACAGAATAGTGCATATAAGTTGCTACTTTTTATTGATAAATTTTTACATGTTTATGTGGTACATGGAGTAGTTGTTACATTACACATTACAGAATATGTAATGATCAACTGAGAGTATCTGAGGTATCCATCACCTTGAGTGTTTCTTTCTTTTTTCTTTTTTTTTTTTTTTTGAGAGGGAGTCTTGCTCTGTCACCCAGGCTGGAGTGCAGTGGCACGATCTTGGCTCAATGCAAGCTCTGCCTCCCGGGTTCACGCCATTCTCCTGCCTCAGCCTCCCGAGTAGCTGGGACTACAGGCGCCCGCCACCACGCCCGGCTAATTTTTTTTTTTTTTTTTGTATTTTTTAGTAGAGACGGGGTTTCACTGTGTTAACCAGGATGGTGTTGATCTCCTGACCTCGTGATCTGCCTGCCTCGGCCTCCCAAAGTGCTGGGATTACAGGTGTGAGCCACCGTGCCCGGCCTTGAGTATTTATTTCTAAGTGTTTGTAATGAGGTAGGAGGCAGGCGAGACTCAACTCCGGACCAGATTGAGGACTGGCCAAAACTAGGAAGAAGTGCACAAAGGACCTCTCCATAAGACATGCCCACCAGTGCCATGACAGTTTACTATTGCCATAGCAACACCCAAAACTTACCACCCATTTTCTAGCTGTTTCTGAATAACCTGCCCCTTAATTAGCATGGCACTAAAAGTGGGTATAAGATATGACTGCAAAACTGCCCCTAGGCTGCGACCCTCAGCACACTGCCTATGGGGTAGCTCTGCTCTGCAGGGGCAGCCAGCCAGAGCTATAGCACTGCCTCCACCGCAAGAAAGCTGTTTTCTTCCACTACCAGCTTGCTCTTGAATTCCTTCCTGAGGAAGCCAAGAACCTGCCCTGCATCAGTAGCATTTCAAGTCCTCTCTTCTAGCTGCTCTGAAATATGCAATACATTGTTGCCAGCTACAGATACCCTACTACCCTGCTATGGAATGTTAGGGCTTATTTCTTCTACCTAACCATATGTTTGTACCCATTAGCCAACTTCTCTTTATCCTCCTCCCACCCACACATGCTTCCCAGCCTCTGGTATCTATCATTCTATTCTCTCCCTCCATGACATCAACTTTTTAGCTCCCACATATGAGTGAGAACATATGGTAGCTGTCTTTCTGTGCTTGGCCTATTTCACTTAACGTTATGATCATCGGTTCCATCCATGCTGCTGCAAATGACGATTTCATTCATCTTATGGCTGAATAGAATTCCATTATATATATATTTATATATATATATATATATATATATATATATCTATCTCACATTTTCTTTATTTCTTCATCTGTCAGTGGACACAGTTTGATTCCATATCTTTGCTGTTGTGAATAGGAGAGTGCTACCACTGTTAAAGGATCTATTTACATACATGCTTATAAATAAATGCATCCAGGATTTTTGTAAAGATCTATCATTACTTTCACTCTTTTGTAGCTTTTGAATTTTTTCATCATGTGCATCCACTTCCTAAAAACAAAATTTCTTTTTTTAACTTTTCTTTTCTTTTTCTTTTTTTTTGAGGCAGGGTCTCATTCTGTCACCCAGGCTGGATTGCAGTGGTGTGACCTGAGCTCACTGCAACACGTACCTCCTGGGCTCAAACAATCCTCCTACCTCAGCCTCCTGAGTAGCTGAGACTACACACTCATGCCACCACACCCAGCTAATTTTTGTATTTTTTGTAGAGATGGGGTTTTGTTATGTTGCCAAGACTGCTGTCTAACTCCTGGGCACAAGCAATCTGCCTGCCTTGGCCCAAAGTGCTGGGATTACAGGCATGAGCCACCGCACCCAGTTGTGTTTTTTTGTGTTTTGTTTTTGTTTTTGTTTTTGTTTTGAGACAGAGTCTCCCTCTATTGCCCAGGCTGGAGTGCAGTGGTGCTGAAACAGGAAAAGTTCCCGTGTCCCCCTCGCAGGGCAGGCGATGGGGGTGTGGTTCGCTTCTTCAGTGCCCCACTGCTCAAACCGCTAGGGGAGCATACAGATGGGCAGGCTGTGGGGCTCCGGCCCCAGGGCAATGTCTAGGGGTTAATGTTTACAGCCAGGACCCAGTGGGCATGTGCTACTGTTTGCTCTTTTAGTTTTGCTGTCTATAGGTGGCTTTTGTTAACCAGTTCAATTAGACCCTCTAGGCCTGGCATGGTGGCTCATGCCTGTAATCCCAGCACTTTGGGAGGCCGAGGTGGGCAGATCACTTGAGGTCAGAAGTTCAAGACCAGCCTGGCCCAACATGGCGAAACCCCGTCTCTACTTAAAAATACAAAAATTATCCGGGTGTGGTGGCTCACACCTGTAATCCCACCTATTCGGGAGGCTGAGGCATGAGAATCACTTGAACCCCAGAGGCAGAGGTTGCAGTGAGCAGAGATTGCACCACTGCACTCCAGCCTAGGCGACACAGGGAGACACCATCTCAACAAAAAACAAAAAAAAAAAACAAAAACAAAAACAGAAAAAAAGGACCCTGTACCTTGTTGCGAGGACAGAGGACTTCCTGTATCCGGGTTTTTGACTTGGTGTACCGGAAGAATTGGATCACACGTGGGCTTGGAGAATGAGTGCAAGGTTTTGTTGAGTGGAAGTAGCTCTCAGTAGATGGGGGAGCCAGAAGGGAGATGGAGTGGGAAGGTGGCTTTCCCCTGGAGTCGGGTCGCTCAGCAGCCCAGGCTCTCCTCGACTGCCCTGGCCAAACTCCACGTCGTTCCACCAGTCGAGAGCCTGCCAGTGTCTGCCAGTGTGCTCTTCTGCCAGAGTGCTCCTTTCAACATCCTCTCAAAGTCCAGCGGCTTGCGTCTCCTTCTGCCAGTGTGTTCCTCATGATGTCCAGCCACTTCTGTGTCTGCCTGCTAGGGTCTTGGGGGTTTTCATAGGCACATCATGGGGATGCAGCAGGCCAGGGCATTCTGGGTAAATGCAATGTTTGGGCAGGAGTGCCTATCCTCACCTAGGTACATAGTGGTGGAGCTCTAGCCAGGGACCATGCCCTCCTCTACCCAGCACTTCTCTTCCCCACTCCTGTATCATTTAAAGGGACCACGCTGTTCCCTTCCCAGCACTTCCCTTCCATATCAGCGCTATCATTAGCTCCCTGCAGCCACAAACTCCTGGGCTCAAGTGATCCTCCTGCCTCTGCCTCCCAAGTAGCCAGGACTAAAGGCATGTGTCACCATGCCTGGCTAATTTTTTTAAAAAGTTTTGTAGAGATAGGGTCTTGCTATGTTGCCCAGGCTGAATTAACTGGACTATTGTTCAGGAAACCAAAGTACCAGGCAGTACAATGCTAGATTTGAAGTCTATGAAAATAGTACCCTCTGAATCATTAAGGCGCATCTTCCTATGAGAGGTGGCTTGAGCCAGACCCTGGTGGCCAGGGGCAGTGTCTGTCTGGACCTTCCCACCAACAGGCTGTGCAGCCCTGGCCAGCCCCTATTGCTCCTGTACTCTTTCCTTACCTGCTAAACACACCCAAATCACAGCAGAAATCCAATTCACTTGAAGACAAGGGCTAAGCCTTTCTCATAACCAAAGGCCGTGCGCTTCCCAGAGCAAAAGTCTGTATTTGTCCCCTCATGTTCTGAGCTGCCAGGCAGTAATTCTAGCCTACAGTTACTCAGTGTGACCTAAAATAACAATTACCCAAGAAATGAAATTCTGATAATTTCAAGTAGAATAAAATGGAACATATTTTAGTGAATGGATTGTAAGGAAAAGCCTAAAGATTTGGAACTGCCCATACGTGGCACTTTAAAAATCTTGGGCCCTTTATTTCAGGTAATCAGTTCATAGAGTAAAAACCCATGTGACTGCCAAGACTGGTTATTAGTTCAAGCCCAAGAACACATCTTCAAAGGAAGAGAATGAATTTATCCACAGTTCTGATTGTTTTTTACGTTCTAAAATCACACTTATTATTAAAATATAATTCACTTAATGGTGATGGTAATTACATCAGCCAATTCACTTAAAATGAATGCGCAAAGATGAATGCACAAAAATGCACCATTTTTCAATGAATTGGCTGATGTACTTACCGTCACCATCAAAACGCAGGGTGTTCCCCTTTCCCCGGGAAGCTTCCTTGTGCTGCAGTCTCTGTCAAATCCCTTATTCACAGACCTGGCCAAACACTGGTCACTAGAGATTAGATTTAGCTTTCAGGGTTTCACAGAAGTGGAATCATTCACTCTATGCTGCTTCTTGTCTGGTACCTTTCGCTCAGCACAATGTTTTTCAGCTTTATCTGTGTTGTTACATGTGCCAAACCTTTATTCCTTTGTCGTTGTTGTTTTGAAACAGTCTTGCTTCGTTGCCCAGGCTGGAGTGCATCGGTGCCATTGTAGCTCACTGCAGCCCTGAACTCCTGGGCTCAAATTATCCTCCCGCCTCAGCCTCCCAAGTAGCTGGGATGACAGGTGTGTGCCACTGTGCCCTACTAATTTTTTATTTTTATTTTATTTTATTTTATTTTGAGACAGAGTCTCGCTCTGTCGCCCAGGCTGAGTGCAGTGGCGCAATCTTGGCTCATTGCAAGCTCCGCCTTCTGGGTCTACGCCATTCTCCTGCCTCAGCCTCCCGAGTAGCTGGGACTACAGGCGCCCGCCACCACACCAGGCTAATTTTTTGTATTTTTAGTAGAGACGGGGTTTCACCATGTTAGCCAGGATGGTCTCGATCTCCTGACCTCATGATCCACCCGCCTCGGCCTCCCAAAGTGCTGGGATTACAGGTGTGAGTCACCACGCCCAGCCCATTTTAATTTTTTTTAGAGATGGGGTCTTAACTATGTTGCCCAGGCTGGTGTTGAACTCCCGGCCTCAAGTGATCCTCCCACCTTCGTCTCCCAAAGTGATGGGATTACAGGTGTGAGCCACTGCACCCGGCCACATTTATTCCTTTTGATCGCTGAACAGTACTCCTCAAATGATTTTTTAAAAATAACTATCTTCTTCCTCATGACCTGCTGGTAACTCCTAGAACAGTGATGGAGGAGAATTATGGAATGGTCCTTCTAAGCTCCTGAATAATTAAACCAGTGAGCAGAGCCACTGTCCCATCCCGTTGGCCACACCAGACACTTGGGAATTATTTTTGGTTCCTTCTTCTACCTCTTTTCAATTCCAATAATTACCAAGTTCTATCAATTTTAATCCCCTAATATCTCTCTAATCGATCTCTTCAGTTGCTATTTAAGTAACTCTTCATTTCTTCTCACCTGTGTTACTACAGAAATTCATTTTTCTATAGTTTTGCCTTCCATCAATCCCTTCTCCATCTTAAACCAAACTGATCTTACTGAGAGGAATGTTGTGATTTCCTCTCTCTCTCTCTCTCTGGAATGAATATATACATACATACATATATATATATATATATATGTGTGTGTATATATATATATATATATGTGTGTGTGTGTATATATATATATATATATATGTGTGTGTGTGTATATATATGTATATATATTCCAGAACCTTTTCATCACCCTAAAGAGAAACTCTGTCCCTAAATCCCATTCCCCCTCCCCTAGCCCCTGGTAACCACCAACCACCATCTCACTTTCGCTCTACAAATTTGATTATTCTAGGTACCCCATATAACGACTCGTACGGTATTTGTCCTTTTGTGTCTGGCTTATGTCACTTAGCCCAATATTTTTCAGGTTTATCTATGTTGTGTCATGTGTCAGTATCAGGATTTCATCTCTTTCTGAGGCTGAATGATGCCCCACTGTGTTTATCCATTCATCTGTTGGACACCTGGGCTGCTTCTATCTCTTGCTATTGTGAAGAATGCTGCTGTGAACATGGGCGCACAAGCTTCTGTTCCAGTTCCTGCTTTAATTATCTAGGGCATACACTTAGGACTGGGATTGATGGCTCATATGGTAATTCTGTGTTCAAATTTTTGAGAAACCACCTAACTGTTTTCCACAGCGGCTGCACCATTTTGCATTCCCACAAGCAATGCGCAAAGGTTCCATTTTCTCCAAAACTGGATACAGTGAACAACAATGAAGGTTTTTGGTTTTAAACATATATACATATGTTGTTTATATGCTCTACACACATCTCTGTGTGTGTATCTTAAAATGGGTGCCAGTGACTCGCCATTCAGTTTTGGGCAACGTGGACTCTCGGTGCCTCAGTTTCCTCACCCCTAATGGAGGTACTGATACTGTTATCATTCTTGAAGTGATTGTGCAGTTTAAATGAGCAAATATATGTAAATGACTTAAGTGGGACCTGACAAATGCAGATGCTATAATGTAAGGATGGCTGATCTCATTATTGTTGTCATACTATTACTGAAAATCAGTGTGAATGAAATCTCTAAACTTTGCAATCAACACTGCTCACCTGGGTCTCCGTAGAAGCTGCAGCGAGCTGGGGCTGAGGCAGACAAGCCTGTGGACATGAGAACAGATGCATGTGCTCCTCAGACAGACAGACAGTAGGGTGTTGTGGAAGGGGTCATCTTTAGAGGCCACATACTGTAGTCCATCTCCCTCACAGAGCAGGAAGGTGAAGCTTGCCAAGCCTGAGGGAATCCTCCAGCCCAGACATCCTATGAGGGCATTGCCAGGACTTGGGGGTAGTGCCCTCGCTCCAGGCATGTCTTTTCCCCATCCCTTGAGCAGGAAGAAGCACAGCAGACAGCAGGGTGCATGCAGAGTACCTGGCAGAATCGCCTCGGTAGTGAGAACAAGCCTGCGTGATGCTGCAGGTGCCCCTGACTGTGACTGAGCCTGGCTTCACACACCTGGGTTTCCTCATGGCTGTTTTCAGCAATTTGGTTACTGTGGTCCCAGGATGCATAGCCTCTCAAGATTCCACAGAACAGCCTGGTCCAGCATGAAGGCTACACGGTGCCTGGTGCCATCTCTCAACGTGTTTGTTAAAAGGGAAGCTTTGTGGCCTCTTCATCTAATATAGAGGGCCTTCAAATTATAGACTTCCAAGTCCATAGCTATAGAGATTTTCATTTTAAAATATATGTATTGGCTGGGCATAATGGCTTACGCCCGTAATCACAGCACTTTAGGAGGCCAAGGCGGGAGGATCACTTGAGGCCAGGAGTTCAAGACCAGCCTGGGCAACAGAGTGAGACCCTGTTTCTCCTAAAATAAAAATTAAAAAATTAGCTAAGGATGGTGGCATGCACCTGTAGTTCCAGCTACTTGGGAGGCTGAAGTGGGAGGATCATTTGAGCCAAGGAGTTTGAGGCTGCAGTGAGCTGTGATTTCACACTGCACTCCAGCATGGGTGACAGAGCAAGACTCTATCTCTAAAAACAAAACAAAATAAATAAAATACAGTAAAAAATAGTGTGTTGTGTTGTGGGGTCTGATGCGGATGTCTACAGCTCTTCATTCCTAATGCATCTGCTGTTTTTCCAGCTCCCCCTGAGGCCACGGGCCACACAGGCCACAGGGGCTCTGCCTGCCCAGCTGGGTCCACAGGAATTCTGCCAAGAAGGGCTTTCTTTTGCCCTTGTGGGAGCTGGTGGGTCACTTCCTGGTTTTTTTCTCATGATTATTGTTTGTGAAGTTTGAATAGAACTGACTCCTGGCTTGTTTTTTAATTATTAAAGATTTAAGAACTTTTGAAAAGATTAAAAAAGAATTTTGCTCATATTCCTGCCAGCCTTGCATAATAATTGTTTTCATTTCTATAGACTTTTTTCTGGTCTTTTCTCATGCTGACACAGATTTTACATTGTTGTAATCATTGTGTGGGGACAATTTAGGTTCTTTCTTCTCAGTTTTGTTTGTAAACATCTCTTTCATATCACATTATTTATTATTATTATTATTTGAGACAGGGTCTCACTCTGTCACCCAGGCTGCAGTGCAGTGGTACAATCATAGCTCACTGCAGCCTCAACCTCCCAGGCTCAAGCCATCCTTCTGCCTCAGCTCCCTGAGTAGCTGGGACCACAGGTGTGTACCATCATGCTCGGCTAATTTTTACATTTTTTGTAGAGATGGAGTCTCGCTATGTTGCCCAGACTGGTCTTGAACTCTTGGCCTCAAGGGACCCTCCTGCCTCAGCTTCCACAGTCCTGGGATTATAGACATGAGCCACTGTGCCCACATTATTTATTTTTGACAGCCAAATAGTAATCTGTCAGGTTAACATACTGTAATATATTATAGAGAAGAGACATTCCTCTCTGACTGGTATTTAATTTTACCCAAATTTTCACTATCGTGAATTTTGTTTAACTCTTCTTGGTTTTATGCAATTTGTAAAAAATCACTGTTCATAATTTGTCTTCCATGCAGTTCATGCCACAGCATTTGAGAGTGGGTGCTGCCCTCCTCCACCGTCCCTCTTCTATCAGAATTCCGCCACAAGAAATGTCCTGGCATTAACATTTTGGAAGCTGCTTTAGTGAGGGCCACTCTTGGGGCTGGACAAATGGCTACTTGAGGGTGGTATCTGCCATGAGGTTGGTCAGGTACAGGGGCTTGGCTGGCCTGGCCTGGTGTGGACTATTCCAAGGTCACGTCATCAACAACAAGGTGGGTTAGCTATGGTGCACATACTCCGCTACCCTAAGCAGCTGGAAACCTGGACAAAATGTCTGAATCAACTGTTTTCAGGTGTTGAGAAACAGGCCATGCAGAGCTGTGACCCCAGAGTCTACAGAAATGAGATGGCAAGGCGCCGCAGCTGCCCTGGGTTTCTGCCTTGGTGGGGTCGGGGGTGCTTCATGCACATCAAGCAGTGCGAGTGGCTTGGCTGCATTGAGGAGCGGAGATGGGGGGCTCTGAACAGCTGTGGTTTGTGGGCTGAGTCCTGGAGGGATGGGAACACTGCAGAGAGGGGGCTCCAGTAATCCTCAGGGTTGCCCCGAGCATTGGGAGATCCTAAGCTGTGTGTGTGCGGTGTGCAACGTCGTGGAGACAGGAAAGAACGAGTGACCAGGAGCAGAAAGGCAGCTGAGTCCAAGAGTTCACCTGTTCTGGGAGATGCTCGGGTGGCAGCCAGACTCAGTGGATGGCTCTCACTGAACTCCCGGGATGCCCTAGAGACCCCTGAAGAGCCCCACCTTAGTAGTGGAGCAAATAAGCTCTAGAGTAAGGGTGTCTTAGACCCTCCCCTGCAGAGCTTAAAACAAGGCTTCAAAGTGAGGTTGGAGGCGGGCCCCAATCTGGAGGCTTGGCTCATGCAAGGGACCAAATTGAGGCCTAGCTAAACAGGGAGGGGGCAGAAGCAGCTTTCCCTAAGATACACCCACCAGTGTGCCATGTCAGTTTACCATTGCCATGGCAACACCCAGAATTGACCTCTCCTTTCCATGGCAATGACCGGACAACCCAGGAGTTCCTACTGCTTCCCTAGAAATTTCTGCATAAACCACTCGTTAATCTGCATGTAATTAAAAGTAGGTATAAGTATGCCTGCAAAGCTGCCCTGAGCTGCTACTCTCTGCCTATGGGGTCCCCCTGCTCTGCAGGAGCAGTCACGGAGCTGCAACACTGCTGCTTCAGTAAAAGCTGTTTCTCCTACCACCAGCTTGCTCTTGAATTCTTTCCTGGGTGAGGCCAAGAACTCTTGAGGGCTAAGCCCCACTTTAGGGCTCATCTGCCCTGCCTCAAAAAAATCAAACTAGTCTGCCAGTGACTTTGCTGCTTAACCAGGCTTGGAAGAAAAGAAAACTATAGATCAAGGTCCTTCATGAACACAAATGTGAAAATCTTCAACAAAATATTACCAAATATGACTCAGCCATGTACAAAAAGGATTATACACCATAATCAAGTAGAGTGTATCCCAGGAGTAAATGGTTAGTTCAACATTCGAAAGTCAATCAACACAATTCTTCCTATCAGCCAACTCAAGAAGGAAGCATTTATGATCGGCTCAATAGATCCAGAAACGGCATTTAACAACATCCAACACCCATGTGTGACCAAAACACAGGAAGCCGGGAATTAAAGGGAATTTCCTTAATGTGATAAAGGCATCTACAAATGCCCTACAACTAGCAGCATGCCTAAGGGTGAAAGACCGAATACTTTTCCCCTAAGGGCCAGAGCAAGGCCAGGTTGTCTGACCCCATCATTTCTATTCACCATTGTACTGGAGGTTGTAGCAAGGGCAAAAGGTGAGAAAAAGGAAAGGCATACAGATTGGAGAGGAATAAACAAAACCATCTTTATTCCCAGATGATAGGATTTTCAGTGTAGAAAATCCGATGGAATCTACAGAAAAGCTACCGAAACTCACAAGGAAATATATCTACTAGCAAACCACTGAAAATTGAAATAAACATGTCCATTTATGACAGCACCAAAACACAAATTTGGTCATGAATCCTATAAAATATATGCAAGAGCTACATGCTGAAAACAATAAAACTTGGCCGGTGCAGTGGCTTATGCCTGTGATCCCAGCACTGTGAGAGGCTGAGGCAGGAGGATTACTTGAACCCAGGAGTTCAAGACCAGCCTGGGCAGCATAGCAGGAGCCCATCTTTATACCAACAAGGAAGAAAGAGGCCAGGCACAGTGGCTCACACCTGTAATCCCAGCACTTTGGGAGGCCGAGGCGGGCGGATCACTTGAGGTCAGGAGTTCAAGACCAACCTGGCCAATATGGTGAAACCCCATCTCTACAAAAATACAAAAATTAGCAGGGCATGATGGCCGGTGCCTGTAATCCCAGCTACTCAGAAGGCTGAGACAAGAGCATCGCTTGAATCCAGGAGGTGGAGGTTGCAATGAGCTGAGATCGCACCATTGCACTCCAGCCTGGGTGACAGAGCGAGACTCTGTCTCAAAAAAAAAAAAAAAGAAGAAAGAAAAAGATATATAAAAAGCTATAAAATGCTGATAAAAAAATCAAAGAATTCCTAAATAAATGGAGAGGTATATTGTGTTCTTGTGTTGGAATAGTCAATATTCCAAGGTTTACAAGATGTCAGTTCTCCCACACTGATCTAGAAATTAAACTAAGTCCCAGTGAAAATCTCTGCAGGTTTTTTGGTAGAAATCGACAAGCGGACTCTAAAATTCACAGAGAAAGGCAGGAAGCTACCATAGACACTACTCTAGAGAAGAATATGGTTGGAGGACACACACTATCTGATTTGAAGACTTACTACAAAGCTACGGTCATACAGACATGGTGGTGTTGGAGAAGGCATAGACAGATAGATCAATGGACAGACAGGCAGGCCACAGAAATCGCCCCACATGGCTGTGGTAGATTGCCTTTTGACAGTGTGAGGCCAGTTTAGTGGAGGATGGATTGTTTCGGGATGAAGTTCTTGGTTCAGAGGGTCTGAGACTCAAGGAGGAGTTCTGGAGCCCAGAGACACCGTTTTGGGAGGTGTAGACTTAGAGTTGGAATGGAGGACGTAGGAAGATGTGAGCTTCCCCAGGGAGATGGGAAGATGGAGGAGAAAGCTGGGGTCCTGACTCTGGAATAGGAGAGAGACAGGATTAAGAGAGGGACCTAAAGGCGGGGAAGCTCACGTCTGCACAATGGGGAACGTATCTGGGGAAGGAGCTGGCACATGCTGTCAGGTGCTTCTTTGAGCACAAGATGGCCCAGGCCGGAAAAGGGATTTCAGGGAGGTAAAGAAATGCAGAAGAATGGGAGAGCAGGGTGGAGACACAATGGTGCTGCACATCAGCCTGGTGTCACCCTCTGCTGCACATGGAGGGATGGGGGTCATGCCAACAAACAGCCATACAGTTTTCCTTCTTAGCTGCTTGTTTTTTTTGAGACATGGTCTGGCTTTGTTGCCCAGGCCGGAGTGCAGTGGCACAATCTTGGCTCACTGCAGTCTCAATCTCCCGAGCTCAAGCAGTCCTCCCACCTCAGCCTCCCAGGTATTTGGGATCATAGGCATGCACCACCATGCCTGGCTAATTTTTAAAATTTTTTGTAGAGACAGGGTCTCACTATCTTGCCCAGGCTGGTGTTGAACTACTGGGCCTAAGTGATCCTCCTGTCTCAGCCTCCCAAATCATGCTGAGATTACAGGCATGAGCTACCAGGCCCGGCCTCTCAACTCTTTTTTTTTTTTTTTTTTGAGACAGAGTCTCGCTCTGTTGCCCAGGCTAGAGTGCAGTGGCACAATCTCGGCGCACTGCAAGCTCCACCTCCCGGGTTCACGCCATCCTCCTGCCTCAGCCTCCTGAGTAGCTGGGACTACAGGCGCCCGTCACCATGCCTGGCTAATTTTTTTTGTATTTTTAGTAGAGACGGGGTATCACTGTCTTAGCCAGGATGGTCTCGATTTCCTGACCTCGTAATCCGCCCACCTCAGCCTCCCAAACTGCTGGGATTACAGGCTTGAGCTACCGCGCCCGGCCTCAACTCTTTAAAGTAAGATCTATCATCCCCATTTTACGGACAGGGGAACTGAGGCTGGGTTCCTGCCGCCAGCGAGTGGGACCCCTGGCCTTTGAGCCCCGGCCCTTCCCACCACCCTCTGCTGCTGGGGCTCAGCCCTCGGGCACGTGGTTGTGTTAATGGAGAGCCATGGCCATGACTTGGAGGGCCCGGAGAGCGTGCACATCATGCCTGCTTCCCATGATGCCCTGCGAGGTGGGCAGAGGCCGGGGGTGCTCAGGCCGAGCCCCTGCTACAGCAGATCTGAGGCACCAGCAGGGACTGGCTAGGTCCTCCCAGGCAGGCCAATGTGCCCGGGTCTTGGGCCTCTCTCTCTCACTCCTCACTGCCTCTCAGCTGCCCAGGCAGCGTCCCCTGCAGAGCAGCCCTGGAGCCTGGCCCCAGGCTGTGTTGCTGCCTCTTGCCCCCATGGGGCTGCCTCTGCAGGGAGCCTGAGTCGTTTCCTCCCTGGGCAGGTTTCAAAATGGCTAAGTCCAGTGGAGAAAAGAATGGCTCAAAGGGACCACAGGCTTGAATTTGAAAAAATAAAAATGCTCGATGCCAAAGCGTAGACGCACATTTATTTGAACGACTTACACTTTGACCTGAAACAGTTTTTTCCAAATTGTTTTCCACAGCGGTAATCTCTTCAAAATGAACACATGTGAGGTCTTCGAATGTATGTTAAAGGCCAGTATTTGTTTTTTTTTTTTTTTTTTTTTTTGCTTTGGAAGAACCGACCTCATCGTTTGCATGAGAACCTGATATTCTTGGTCCTCTGTACCTTTTGTAACTTCCTCTGAATGAGAGGAAATATGGTTTCCAGTTATGTTTAATTTACTTTAAACAAATCAAAGCACAGATTTCTACTTCCTGCCTGTGTAATACTTGACTGCAGGCAGCTTCAAAGGGCAGAATCACTGTTCTTGTGACTGTGCCTCTGTCGTGTTCTGTTATAAACAGTTCAAAGCTCTGCATTGTACAGGAGCGCGCGGAACAGCATGTAGAGATCTTTTTCTCTGTAGTGGCGGCAGAGCTGTGTGTGCCCTTTTGCTTTGCCTTGTGCTGGTGGTGGATTAAGTTTAGGTTTTCATAGAATATATATTTATGTAGAGACTCAGAGTTTATTTTTCCTGTTTTCTCCAGCACTGCTTAACTCATTCTCTGAAATGTTTATCACAAATGGCAGGTGGGGCTCAGAGGATGTCTCTATCTTTGTTCCTTGGCTTAAACTGGCAGGTTGTTGTAAAGGGCAGTGGGAGGGAAAGAAAACTAAGGGGAAACCAAATTACTTATTTAGGGCTTGATTTTCTGGCAGGTGAATTGGGCTTAGGAAACCCCACCTAGATTAGCAGCTGTTCCTGACCGGCCCCTCGCCAAAGCTGCACCCCTGGGTGGTGGTGGGGGCTTCAAATTAGGGTGTCCCAAGGGCTGGATTGTTCCAGCAAAGGTGTTCCTGGATTCCCAAAGCAAGTTCACTTGTTTTAGGAACAGTTCCCTGAGGCTCTGCAGGGGCTGCTGGGCTGCCTTGTCTCCCCAGGTCCATGACGCCAGGCCACCATCCATGCATCCTGTTGTGTGCTGGGACGGGGTGCCAGATGCTGGCATCCAGGAACAGAGAGTGGATTGCATGAACATGGCTACCATGCAGTTGGTTCTCTGCTGCTGGGGTGCAGGCACCTGAAAGACACGGAGGAGCTAACCCAGCTGAGAAGGGTGTGTGCCAGTCAGGACCTGGGGTGCAGGACACAAACATCACACCACTGGGTTGCACAAGACTTGGAGGAGGGGCCCAGGAGGATGACATCAAGGTCTGGAGGGGGTTGCTCAACAACACACCTGGATGTGCAGTGCAGGCATGGCACCTGCCTCTGCAGCAGGGCCCAAAGACTCGATGGGGCTGCCATGTGGCCTGATGTGAGTTGGAGTGAGGCTGTGACCCCCGGGTGAAAGCTGCAGCCTGCATGCATCGATCACAAGCGAGGGCTGGCTGTGTCCTCATCCCAGGAAGGGCGGGGTGAGGGCCTCACCACAGTGTGGGCAGGGCCCACTCACGCCCTGGGAAGTGAATCAGGAGGTGGCAGCAGGCACTGGGGCTCTCTAATCTCTTGCCCGTCTTTGTCCAGTTATTGTGAGAGCTCCAATTCCCTGTTCTTATTTCTCTGAAAGTGCTGATAAGATGGGTACAGAATAAATCAAATGCAAAGTTACGTTTCCTGGCTTAGGAAGCAAAAACCTAAGTATAACCTTGGAAGTGCTCCTGGGTACTCCTTTCTTTCCCCAAGGTGATTTTTCCCTCTTAAACACATTACAGTAAAATACATACAACATTCACTACTTTAATCATGTTTTGTTTGTTTGTTTGTTTGTTTGTTTGAGACAGGGTCTCGCTTTGTTGCCCAGGCTGGAGTGCAGTGGAGCAAGCACAGCTCGCCTTCTGGGCTCAAGTGATCCTCCCAAGTAGCTGAGACTACAGGTGTGAGCCACAGTACCTGACTGATTTTGAAAAAAAATTGTTTGTAGAGATAGGGTCTGGCTATGTTGCCCAGGCTAGTCCAAACTTCTGACCTCAAACTATCCTCCAGGCTGGGACTCCCAAAGTGCTGGAATTACACACGTGAGCCACTGTGCCTGGCCCACTTTAATTTTTTTTTTTTTTGAGATGGAGACTCTGTCACCCAGGCTGGTGTGCAGTGGCACAATCTCGACTCACTGCAATCTCCACCTCCCGGGTTCAAGTGATTCTCCTACCTCAGCTTCCCTAGTAGCTGGGACTATAGGCATGCGCCCCATGCTTGGCTGATTTTTTTTGTATTTTTTAGTACCAACACCATGTTGGCCAGGCTGTTCTTGAACTTCTGACTTCAAGTGATCCACACATCTCGGTCTCCTAAAGTTCTGGAATTACAGGTGTGAGCCACCGCACCTGGCCCCACTTTAACCATTTTTAAGTGCATTAAGGACATTCACAGTGTTGAGCAGCCAGCACCATCACCATCTCCAGAACGTCGTCATCTTCCGAGGCTGAAACTCTGTTCCCATTGAACACCACCTCCCCACTCCCCATGGCTGTCTCAGGAGCTGGCCTGAGCACTGCTGCCCTCAAGGTCACTCTAGAAGTGGAGCTTCAGTTCGGCCCCCACTTCCTGTGGCTCTATCCCTGCAGGTGTGCCCGGGATCCAGAGGTGGCCCCATGAGGCCTTGTCCGAGCAGGTCTGGCTGGACCCTTGCTCCTCTTGGAGCTGGGTAGGGCTGGGTGGGCTGCGTAGGGATGTTCAGGGCAGTGGTCACCTGTTGCCCAGCTCTGGGTGGAGCCCTGTCTGAAGACAGCTGTTCTTTTCTAAAGAAAGAAGATCTGTCAGACGTTAGTCATCTGCACCACTGTCACAGCTGACGTTGATTGAGCTCCTGTGTCCTGGGCACTGTCCCAAAAGCCCCCTGCATGCAGTTCTTGCCATTTAGTACCTTTTGTTTTGTGTTTACTGAATGGATACAGCCGGAAGCTAGCTAAATTTAACTCACGCCCTCGACTTGGGTGGAGGTGAGGAAGGGGCTTTCTGAGGCAGGGAATTGGGTGAGGGCTTTATTTTATAGGCATACTTTGGAGATAGTGTGAGTTCAGTTCCAGACCACACTGCAGTAAAGTGAATATCATAATGAAGTGGGTCATATGAATTTTTTGGTTTCCCAGCACATATAAAAGTTATGTTTACACTAAACTGTAGTCTATTAAATATAGGATAGCATCACATCTAAAAAAAACAATTTTTATATGCCTTCATTTAAAAATACTTGGCCGAGCGTGGTGGCTCATGCCTGTAATCCCAGCATTTTGGGAGGTTGAGGCGGGAGGATCATGACCTCAGGAATTCAAGACCAGCCTGGTCAATATGGTGAAACCCCGTCTCTACTAAAAATACAAAAAAAAAAAATTAGCTGGGCATGGTGTCGCGCGCCTGTAATCCCAGCTACTCAGGAGGCTAAGGCAGAAGAATCTCTTGAACCCAGGAGACGGAGGTGGTAGTGAGCCGAGATCACGCCATTGCACTCCAGACTGGATGACAGAGCGAGACTCCGTCTAAAAAAAAAAAAAAAAGAAAGAAAAAGAAAAAAAAACTTTACTGCTAAAAATACTAATGATCATCCAAGTCTTCAGTGAGTCAGAATCTTTTTGCTGGTGGAGGGCCTTGCCTCGGTGCTGATGGCTGCTGACTGATCAGGGTGGTGGTTGCTGAAGGGTAGAGGGGCTGTGACAATGTATTCAAATCAGACAACAGTGAAGTTTACCACATTGATTGACTCTGCCTTTCACAGGAGATGGCCCCCGGCACTGGAGGCTGCTTGATACCATTTTACCCACAGTAGAAGGTCTTTCAAAATTAGAAATCCTCTCAAGCCTGCTGTGTTTTTTCGGTTATGAAATATTCTGAACGCTTTGTTGTCATTGCAACCATGTTCACAGCATCTGCCCCAGGAGGACGTTCCGTCTCAAGGAACCACTTTCTTTGTTCATCCCTAAGAAGCAACTCCTCATGTGTTCAAGTTGGATCCTGAGATTGCAGCAATTCAGCCCCTTCTTCGGGCTCCACTTCTTTTTTTTTTTTGAGACGGAGTCTCGCTCTGTCGCCCAGGCTGGAGTGCAGTGGTGCAATCTTGGCTCACTGCAAGCTCCGCCTCCCGGGTTCACGCCATCCTCCTCCCTCAGCCTCCTGAGTAGCTGGGACTACAGGCGCCCGCCATCACGCCCAGCTAATTTTTTGTATTTTTAGTAGAGATGGGGTTTCACCGTGTTAGCCAGGATGGTCTCGAACTCCTGACCTCGTGATCCACCCACCTCGGACTCCCAAAGTGCTGGGATTACCAGTGTGAGCCACTGCACCTGGTCTAGGCTCCACTTCTAAATCTGGTTCTCCTGCTGTTTCCCCCACATCTGCAGTGACTTTCTCCACTGAAGTCCTGAACCCTCAAAGTCATCCATGAGGGTTGGAATCTACTTCTTCCAAACTCCTATTAATGTTGATATTTTGACCTCTTCCCATGAAGCAAAAATGTTCTCTTTTTTTTGAGACAGGGTCTCACTCGTTGCCCAGTCTGGAGTGCAGTGATGTGATCGCGAGGACATCAACAACCTTCTGGGCTCAGGTGAGCCCTGCCTCAGCCTCCCAATTAGCTGGAACTATAGGCATGCACCACCAAACCTGGCTAGTTTTTTTTTTTGTTTGTTTTGTTTTTTTTTTTTATAAACAGAGTCTCCATATGTTGCCCTGGCTGGTCTCAAACTCCTGGACTCAAGTGATTCTTCTGCCTCAGCCTCCCAAATTGTTGGAATTAACAGGTGTAAGTCACCACAACTTGCTGCTTTTCATGGCATCTAGACTGGTGAATCTTTTCCAAAAGATTTTCAATGTACTTCGCCCGAATCCATCAGAGGAATCACCATCTATGGCAACTATAGCCTTATGAAATGTATTTCTTGAATAATAAGACTTGAAATTGAAATTACTCTTCAGTCCATGGGCTGCGGAATGGATGTTGTGTTAGCAGGCATGCACACAGCTTTCATCTCCTTGTCCATCTCCATCACAGCTCCTGGATGACTAGGTGCAGTAATATTTTGAAAGGATTCTTTTTTTTTTTCTGAGCAGCATTTCTCAACAGTGGGCTTAAAATATTCAGTAAGCCCTGCTGTAAACAAATGTGCTGTCATCTAGGTTTTCTTGTTCCATTTCTAGAGCGCAGGCAGAGAAAATTTGGCATGATTCTTAAGGCCCTAGGATTTCTGGAATGGCGAATAAACATTGGCTTCAACATAAAGTCACCAGCTGCATTAGCCCCTAACAGAGCCAGCCTTTCCTTTGAAACTTTGAAGCCAGTCATTGACTTCTCCTCTCTAGCTAGGAAAGTCCTAGATGGCATCCTCTTCTGATAGAAGGCTGTTTCACCTACATTGACGATCTGTTGTTTAGTGTGGCCACCTTCATCAGTGATCTTAGCCAGATCTTCTGGATAACTTGCGGCAGCTTCTACATCAGCACTTGCTCCTTCACCTTGCACTTTTATGTTATGTAGATGGCTTCCTTCCTTACCCTCATGCACAAATCTCTACTAGCTTCTAAGTTTTCTTCTGCAGCTTCCTCACCTCTCTCAGCCTTCATAGAATTGAAGAGAAGTAGGATCTTGCTCTGAATTAGGCTTTGACTTAAGGAAATGCATGGCTGGTTTGATCTTCTATCCAGACCACTACCACATTCTCCATATCAGCAATAAGGCTGTTTCACTTTCTTATCATTTGTGTCTTCACTGGAGGAGCACTTTTAATCTCCTTCAGGAACTTTACCTTTGCATTCACAATTTGATTATTTGGTGCAAGAGGTCTAGCTTTCAGCCTGTCTCAACTTTTGACAGCCTTCCTCACTAAGCTTAATCATTTCTAACTTTTGACTTAAAGTGAGAAATGTGCAACCCTTCCTTTCACTTGAACACTTAGAGGCCATTGTAGGGTTATTAATTGGCCTAATTTCAATATTGTTGTGTCTCAGGGAATAGGGAGGCCTAAGGAGAGAGAGAGAGATGGGGCATGGACAGTCAGTGGAGCAGTCAGAACACACATATTATCAGAAGTTCACTGTCTTATACGGGCATGGTTCCGGGCCCAAAACAATGACAATAGTAACATCAAAGATCACAGGCTGGGTGCAGTGGCTCACACCTGTAATCTCAACACTTTGGGAGGCTGAAGCACGTAGATTGCTTGAGCCCAGGAGTTTGAGACCAGCCTGGGAAACATGGTGAAACCCAGTTTCTACAAAAAATACAAAAGTTATCCAGGCATGGTGGCACACGTGTGCCTGTGGTCCCAGCTACTCGGGAGGCTGAGGTGGGAGGATCGCCTGAGCCTGGGAGATTGAGGCTGCAGTGAACCATGACTGCAGTACTGCACTCCAGCCTGGGTGACAGAGTGAGACCCTGTCTCAAAAAAAAAAAAAAAAATCATTACTCATGAGGCAGGAGAATAGGGTCTGGAAGCAGGGAACCTAAATCCTCACCTTTTCTGCACTGGCAGATGGGAAATTGGCTGTCTTCAACAAATCTGACTGATTGCCGGTGGAGTCTTTGTTTGCAACTTGGTAACTTCACTCTGGCCTTGGAATGGTTGCTGTCCACAATCAATCAGACTGATTGTGGGCAGAGTCTTTGTTTGCATAGAAGTATAACTCTGTAACTTCATCCTAGCCTCTGATTGCTTTTTGCAACCAATCAGATGTTTGCACAGGAGTGTGACCTTTGTAACATTACTTCAGCCTCTGGTTGGCTGCTTTCTGCAACCAATCAGAATGATTGTGGGCTATCACTTCATTTACATGAGATGAGCATGAAGTGGCCAATGGGAAACTTCTTGGGGGTATTTGAACCCAAGAAGATTCTGTATCTGGGCCCTGAGCCACTGCTTGGGCCCGCTCCCACACTGTGGCGTGTTCTTTCATTTTCAATAAACACCTGCTTTCATTCTTTTGTTGCTTCATTCTTTCTTTGCTTTGCTGGGTGTTTTGTCCAATTCTTTGTTCAAAACACCAAGAACCTGGACAACTTGCAGTCACGACCCTCTACCGGCGACAGTCACCGATCACCATGATGGATACCTAATAAGGAAAAAGTATGACATATTATGAGAATTACCAATGTGACACAGAGAGCCAGAGGTCACATACTGTTGGAAAAATGGCACCAAGAGACTTGCTAGACACAGGCTTGCCACAAGCCTTCAATTTGTAGAAAACACAATATCTATAAAATGCAATAAAGCAAACTACAATAAAATACAGGTGTGCCTGTATTCTATTTTGCCCCAACCTCCACAACAACCATGAGGTGCAAAGATATTTCACCCCCATTTTGTAGACCAGAAAACAAGCAGAGAGAGGCTAACTGTAAGGGTGTGTTTTTAGATCCCAATGCCAGGAAGGGTCAGAGTGCAGGTTCTGCCACATTTGACATCATGCGGTCCAGGGGGCCACTGCACCTGATGCCCGTGTCATCAGGGCTGGGATTTGGTCTCCAATGCACCTGTGTGATCAAGGCCCAGGATGTGTGCCGGGGGGTGGCTTTCCTTCCTGGGGGAATGTGACTGGCCCATACCATTTCTGGTTTAACTTTCTAGTGAATCGATTTTCATGTCTTTAGAGTTTAAACTGTGCAGGCAGCCTCAGGGAGAGCCAAGAGTTCCGTGGACAGTCTTGAAGCTTGATGGGCTCTTCTGAGTGACAGCGTGAGCGCCAGGCACGAGTCCAGACTGTGATATGGGCTTTGACCCTCTGACCTCATTGCCTCTCTGTTTATCCGCTTTGCTTCCTCTGCAGCTGATGTCATTGTGGTTCACATTTCGCAGTAGGATGATCCCTGGGGAGTGGGTAGTGAGGGACACTTGTTGGGGAGGGCCTGTCTGGACCTAGGGACAGAGCTGGGATCATCAGCTGTGACCTGTTGGCCAGATCCCAGCACCGCTCTACCCCATGGCTCAGGAGCTTACTATGTTTGTTACATTGCTAAATGGTCAGAAAGAAGGAAGAAGAAAGAAGGAGAAGAGGAGGAGGATTATTATTCACGATTGGCCTAAGGGGCTCACACCTGTAATCTCAGCACTTTGGAAGGCTGAGGCGGTGGACTGCTTGAGGCCAACTCAATCCCCGTCTCTACAAAAAATTAAAAAATTAGCTGGGAGTGGTGGCATGAGCCTGTACTCCTAGCTACTCAGAAGGATCGCTTGAGCCCAGGAGTTGGAGGCTGCAGTGAGTTATGATCGTAAAAAATAAAAAGATTTCATGACATGTGAAAACGATCTGAAATTCTAATTCACTGTCCATAAATGAGCTTTACTGGAACACAGTGGTGCCCATTCCTTTTGCTTTGTGTGGGCTGTTTTGCTCCCACGGCAAGGTTGAGTAGCTGGGACAGAGGCCATGTGGCCTGGAGAGCCTAACATATTTACCAACTGGCCCTTCCCACAAGACGCTTGCCAAGCCCAGGCCCTGCGTTCCCTCCCTTCCTGCGATGACAAAGTCAGGTTGGTAGTCACATTTCATGGGGTTGGCACAAACCGTTGGTGCTTAATCGGAGTGGAAGAGGCTGTGCTGGGGGCCAACTGCACAACTGCACGGGTTCCAGAGAGAAGGCAGCGGCCCACATGCCATCAACTGTCCCACACCTGTGGCTGCCAGGGCCTGCCTCCGAGGGACGCCCCCCTCCGCCCGCCGTGTGTTCATTAAGAGGGCCGGGGTCTGTGGTGGCCCCACAGGCAGCGGGCCTCTGTCCTGTGCTCAGGTGGTGCTCTTTGAAGGGTGGCAGGGCCGGGGGCTCCTCTTGTGCTGCCAGAGCTGGTCCCAGAGACCCACCTGCCCAGGGCCAGCCCGTGGGATGGCAGCCCCGTGCGTGACAGTGGCCTTCGCATAGTACCATCTGCTCCCAGTGGGGCGGTTCTAGACTTGCTCTGGGAAGCAGCCTTTCCAGATAACAGGAGACACCCCAGCCAGTCGGTGGGGAAGCAGGCCTGGGGTCGGCCACGGGGACTCTGGAGGGTCTCTTCAGGCCACGGCTGGTGTTTCCTGAGGAAGTGGGGCCGACACAGAAGGGCCAGGGCCGCGTGGTTGAGAAGTAAGGATGAGGATGATGGGGGCTGCTAAGATCCCTGGCCCCATCACTGTGCAGCTTTTCTACTCACTTGTGGTAACAAACGCCCAACATGACATTTATCATCATAACCATTTTTAAGCACCCAGTTCGATAACCTAAGTATATCCTAAGTATATCCTTAGTATAACCTAAGTATATCCGCGTTGTTGTGCATCCAGTCTCCAAAATCCTTTTCATCCTGCAAAACTGAAACACTGTACCCACTAAACCACAACTCTCCTTTCTCCCTTCTTTTCAGCCCCTCCCCAGCTTACCATTCTGCTTTCTGTCTGTGAATTTGGCTATTCTAGAGAACTCATGTCAGTGGACTCACTCCGCATTTGTCTTTCTGTGACTGACTTATTTTACTTTGCATAATATCCGCAAGGTCCATCCACGTGGCGGTGTGTGTCCGAGTTCCCTGCCTCTCCAGGCTGAGTGATGCTGCCTTCTGCGGATGTGTCATCTTTTCTTTATCCATTCATCTCCTCATGGGCACTCAGGTTCCCTCTATCTCTTCAGCATGGGTGGGCATTTGCCCCAATCCTGCTTTCGCTTCTTTTGGATCTACACCTGGAAATGGTGTGCTGGATCAGAGGCTCTTCTTACTTTTAACTTTTGAGGAGCAGCCACACTGATTTCCATAGCAGTTGCACCATCTCACATTCCCACCATCGGCACACGAGGGTCCCACCGTCTGCACATGAGGGTCCCACCGTCTTCATTCACATCCTCACCAGCATGTGTGTGTGTGTGTTTTTTTAATAGCAGTCATCCTAGTGGGTGTGATCCGTTTTGTTTTAAGTAAGGCATAATTTTCATACAACAAAATGCACAGATCTTGTTTCCCATAACAGGAGTTTTGGCTGATGAACTTTCATGAAATCTACATCCCACCCAGGGATAGGACATTTCCGGTGCTCTGGGAAGCTCCCTCTCACCTTTCCCTGTCATCCCTCTCCACCCGGCACCGGGTTGCTGTCACACCGGAAGAGCAGTGCCTGCCCCTGCCCTTGGTGCCGATGCACCCACAGTAAAGACAGAAAGGTTTGCGTGGGCCCAAGCCTGCCTCCCCATTAGGCAGCCCTGCTCAGGGCTGCTCCTCGCACCCGGGGAGGAGGTGCCTGTGCCTCCAGGAGCAGGGAGAGGGCTGGGTTTGCAGGTGCCCTGCATCCAGCTCCAGCCTCTCCCCAGCCCGCTGTGTTTGCTTTTGGAGGGCTGAGCACAGGATGTGCCCGTCCTCTGCCTGATGACAGTGGAGTGATGTCAGGCCAGGTGCTTCCCGGAGGGAGGCAGGGCGTGCAGCCTGCTGCCTGGCAGGGGAGGGGGTGGGCAAGGTTCCCAAAGAGAGAGCTGAGCTACGGGCCGACTATGCATCAGCGATGTTTACAACAGCTTCCCGCCCTCACCAGTTTCGAAGTTTGCGTTTCCATTCTGAGAGCCTCATTTTCAGCCCCACTTGCTGCTAAAGGGCAGTTTATCTTCAGAATCAACATTCGGATAGAATCGCGCACCCTCTAACCTGGGAGCAGAATGTGCTCGGCTTTGACAACTATACAGTTTTTATGAGCAGCAGGTTCCTGAAAAGCTTGTGTTCCCAAGGCCAGGCTGGTGCCACGGGAAGGCCTGTCCCAGGCTGAGCTCCGTCTCTCCTCCCGTGGATTTACTCAGTAACGTTGCAGGAGTCTGAGCCCCGACAGTGTCGTGGGTTCATTCAACCTTCAGCAAATCATTATTCCTGTCAGACGCTTGGGATACAGAGTTGAGCAGGCTGGGAACCAGGGGGCAGACTCAGGGGATGACAGCATCACACATAAATACTCATATCCACCTAAGTGTGCATTCAGGCTGGGTGGTCAGGGGGTCCCTTAGAGGAAGCCACACCAGAAGGGTGGATGGGATTTAGCCAATGAGAAGAGCTGAGGTGGTGAGTCTCAGGGGAGCTCGGATGCAGCCTCTGTGGGGAGGTGTGTGAAGGGCCATGCCCTAAACAGCGTCCAGGGCAGTGGGGTGGCCAGCCCCTGACTGAGGGGGTTAATGGGGGTGGTGATAAGCCCCAGAACCAGAATTGCTTTTCAGGCCTCAGTGGCTCAGATTCCAGAGGCTTTGGTGTCTTTGGCAGAAAGAGACTGAAGTTTCTATTTCAGTTCTCTCAGTGAAAACCAGCATTTCTCACCCAGGCTTTCATGCTTTGGCTGAGTTCTAGGCTCCTTTTCTCCCAAGACATGGAGCAGATTCCAGGCTGGTGGCCGTCTCTGTGTGGTGCCTGAGCTGCGTGGCATCGATGGCTGTGAGCTTTGTCCCCACTGGCTCACGAGCTCACAGGGCCACACTGCCTTCTCCACACCGTACCCCACAGCATCGCGGTGCCAGTGCCTCCTGGCCTCCAGAGGTGGCTATTGGCTGCCTCATGCCTTCCTCAGAGATCTGGTTTTTAAAGTAAAGTGAGGGTCAGTAAATGGAGGGAGACAGAAGCAAAGAAAAATGGGTTGGACACAGAAAACAAACTGGCTGTCAGAGCTCTGATCTGAATCTCAGGCATCCTTTCCTTTCTTTTAAAAATATGTGATTGTGGTCAAACATACAGAACATAAAAGGTCTACCCATTTTTAAGTGCGTAGTTCAGTGGTGTTAAATCCATTCTCACTGTGCTGCAGCCACTCCCTAGAACTCTTCATCTTGGCCTGGTGCGGTGGCTCACGCCTGTAATCCTAACACTTTGGGAAGCTGAGGCGGGCGGATCACCCGAGGTCGGGAGTTCGAAACCAGCCTGACCAACATGATGAAACCCTGTCTCTACTAAAAATACAAAAATTAGCTAGGCGTGGTGGCACATGTCTGTAATCCCAGGTACTCAGGAGGCTAAGACAGAAGAACCACTTGAACCCAGGAGGTGAAGTTTGCAGTGAGCTGAGATTGTGTCATTGTACTCTGGCCTGGGCAACAGAGTGAAACTCTGTCCCAAAAAAAGAAAAAAAGAAAAGAACTCTTCATCTTGCGTGAATATTAAGCATTTTTTGAAAAACAAAAGGAGGCCAGGCATTGTGGCTCATACCTATAGTCCCAGCACCTGTATTATCAAGGCCCAGGGTGTGTGCCTGGGTGTGGCTTCCTTCCTGGGAAGGATCACTTCAGTCCAGAAGTTCGGGACCAGCCTGAGCAACATGACAAAACCCCGTCTCTACAGAGAAATGCAAAAATTAGCCAGGCATAGTGGCACATGCTTGTAGTCCCAGCCACTCTGGAGGCTGAGGCAGGAGAATTGCTTAAGCCAGGGAGGTGGAGGTTGCAGTGAGCTGAGATTGCACCACTGCACTCCAGCCTGGGCAAAAAAGTGAGACCCTGTCTCAAAAAATAAATAAAAAATAAAAAAGGAAAGGAAAGAAAATAAACAGAGCAAGGTTCTCTTCAAAATTTAGCTGCAGCCAGGTGTCGTGGCTCATGCCTGTAATTCCAGCACTTTGAGAGGCCGAGGTAGGAGGATCACTTGAGCCCAGGAGTTTGAGACCAGCCTGGGCAACATAGTGAGACCTTGTGTCTACTAAAAAAAGAAAAAATTTAAAAAACCAGGCATGGTGGCATGTGCCTGCAGTCTTAGCTGCTCAGGGAGCTGAGACGGGAGGATCCCTTGAGGCCAGTTCGAGGCTGCAGTGAGCTGCGATTGTTGCACTGCACTCCAGCCTGGGTGACAGAGCAAGAACTTTCTCAAAAAAAAAAAAAAAAAAAAAAAGGCCGGGTGCGGTGGTTCCCAGCACTTTGGGAGGCCGAGGAGGGTGGATCACTTGAGGTCAGGAGTTGGAGGTCCCCCCTGGCCAACATGGTGAAACCCCGTCTCTATTAAAAAATACAAAAATTAGCCAGTTGTGGTGGCATATGCCTGTAATCCCAGCTACTCAAGGGCTGAGGCAGGAGAACCGCTTGAACCTGGGAGGCTGAGGTTGCAGTCAGCCGAGACTGCTCCACTGTACTCCAGCCTGGGCAACAGAGACTCTATCTCAAAAAAAAAAAAGGCTCAGCTGCCAGGAGCCAGCATTTTTCCTCTTCCCATCATTCCCTTTCTGCAGCCAACTCCTGCCCCTCCTCATGTGCATTGTGGGGGCTGTCACAGCCCTGTGGCTTCTGTGGGGCGGGGGCACAGCGGTGACTGCTGCCCAGGGTAGAGCTTGTGCAGAGGCTGGCTCCCCATGACCTGCCTGCTCCTGAGTAAGTCACTGACTCCCCTGCAGCTCTTAGCAAGCCAAGGGACAGGGCTGCTTGCTCTGCAGATTGGTGAGGTGAGGGACAACCCCCCAGCCTAGCGGCTCTAGTGCTGTGGGAAGGTGCAGTCTGCGGCAGAAGGGCCCAGGGACTTGGCCTGTTAAGGGCCACGCCAGGCTGTTTCCTTCATGTCTCACCTGCAGCACCACCACACCTGCCGCTGGTGGAGCCCCTCCCCCCTCACACCCCCACTTCTGCTCCTTAGCAGGTCTTAGTTCTCATTTTGCATCACAGTGGGCCATGTGGTTTTCCACAAAACAAGAGGGAGAAAGGCAATAATACAGTGGCTTTCGATTTGTTTCGATTTGTAGTAGTAAAGTCTTTCTTTAAATAAAATCTTCCCTGGTAATTGTGTCATGGAAGAAATAAGCAAAGCATCTCTAGTTGAGGCAGCCAGGGTGCCTCCCCGTGCTGGGGCGCCCCCACTCCCAAAGCCCGTATGCCCAGAGGCCCCTCCACTGACCCAGGAATTTGTAAACCCTCGCCTTGGTGTTCAGCAGGAAGCTCACACAGGGGCAGCAACAAGCCCCACCGCCACCCCAATCCCCCCACTACGCCTACATTGAGGCTGCCCTCGAGGTGAGTTCATGCATACAGAAGTCCAAATTTAGACCACACGTTGGGGGTGATACTGCCTGAGGTATGAAGATAGGATTTGTCTGATAGGCAGATGTAAAGGCTGGAAATTACCTGCATGCTAAAAAGCAAAACAGAGATTCCAGGTTCCCATGGTGGAGGGAAGCACAGAATCTAGTAAGACAAACCTCCCAGAAACTCACCGCAGCAACCAAGTTGAAGAGAGGAACAACCACAGGCCTCGAACTTCAGGAGCCCATGGTCAGGGAGAAACAGAAGATTCGGGTGCAGCAGGGCATGGCTCCCAACAGAGGCGTGAGGATGATGTGAGGCTGGGGTCTTAGGGGCTCCAGCTCCCCTGCTAATTTGGAGAGATGGGGGCTAGAGGCAGCCCTAGGAAAGGATGGGAAGGAGCTGCAGCCCCCCAGCACTACGAGTCTCGGTCCTGGGTGGCTGGCGAGCCCTGGGGCACTGTGCTGAGGGCACCGTGGGCCTACACTCGTGGCCAAGCGGCGGCCCCTGGGTGGCCTACACTCGTGGCCAAGCGGCGGCCCCTGGGTGCTCCTCTCTGCTGCCATCACCGCCTTCTGCCTGGCTTTGTGTCCTCTCCCATCCCCTGCTGGGCTCCATCCTGCACAGGCCCTTCCCATGACCCACTCCCCTTCAACCCATGTCTGCTGCTGACCCCCCAGCCTAGCCTGGGGTCCCATCCTTCCTGCTGGCCCTTCTGCCTCCCGTTGCCTCCTCAGCCCACCCTGGTTTCCCAGGCCTGCGACCGGCTTCGGACTCAGCGAGGCTCACATTCAGGAGTAAAGCTGAGGACCTGCACTCAGAGCTGGGCATTTTAAAAATCATCTTTATGAAGTTGATCAGACCAAAAAAAAAAAAAAAAAAGACAAAGAACTTGCTTGCATCACAAACATCCTAGTGTCCACCATCCCTCTTCAGAAATGAGATCTGACAATGCACTCCACATCCCAGAGGCCCCCGAGGTGAGAGTGGCAGTCCTGAATTTGGTGTTAACATTCTTTGCGTGGGTTTGTACTTCTAATGCCTAGGCTTATTCCTCCAAGTGATACAGATCACACTCTGCAGTAGCACAGGAGATATAGAGACCTATTACCTTTATGCATGGATAGATGTAGCTATCTCTCCATCTGTCTCCCTGCCCATGTATGTGTGCATTTCTCTATCCATTCATATATGTATGTATGTATCTATTCCGGTACATATACACCTGTCTATCCATCTAGCCATGTATATATGTATGTGCCTAGCCATCCATCCATGTACATATGTACCTATCTATCCACCTATCCATTCATGTATGTACCTATTCATCCCCCTGTCTATTCATATGTGTGTGTACCTATCTATCTACCTATCCATCCATGTATGTATGTACCTATCTATCCACCTATCCATTTATGTATGTATGTACCTATCTATCCACCTATCTATTCATATGTGTATGTACCTATCCATCCACCTGTCTATTCGTGTGTGTATGTACCTATCCATCCACCTGTCTATTCGTGTATGTACCTATCCATCCACCTGTCTATTCGTGTGTGTATGTACCTATCCATCCACCTGTCTATTCGTGTATGTACCTATCCATCCACCTGTCTATTCGTGTAAGATTGTACCTATCCATCCACCTGTCTATTCGTGTATGTATGTACCTATCCATCCACCTGTCTATTCGTGTATGTATGTACCTATCCATCCACCTGTCTATTCGTGTATGTATGTATCTATCCATCCACCTGTCTATTCGTGTATGTATGTACCTATCTATCCATCCACCTGTCTATTCGTGTATGCACGTACCTATCCATCTGTCGTTCTCTTTCTTCTGCAGCTCCTTTCCTCACCTGCAGTGTGTGAGCCTGCCACGCTAACTGTGACATGTGTCACTCCAGTTCATTCATGAATAGTTGCAGGGTTGCTGGGGCACACAGAGTACCAGGGGAATGCCAGTCCTGGCTGGGCCACAGTGTCCATCCTACTGATGGAGTGTCAGCGGGGTGGGGGTGGGACTCCAGTTTTCTGCAAGTCTAGCACGGCTACTGAACAGTCTCATGCAGGCGCAAGGGGTTCCAGGGCAGGTACTGAGACACGGGCTTGCCAGGTCCCACGGCATGGCTGTCCTTGGCCTCCTGACACCGCCACAGCTCTGGCCAAGGCTGCTCTGCATCACCCCCCACCACAGGCGTGGGAGCCGTCTTTCTGGTTTCTGTGGTCCGTTCTGTTTCCAGTTTGTGAATTACCAGTTCCTGTTTTCCCCCTTTTCAATGGGTTCTTGGCCTTTTCTTAATTAAGTTATTAGATTCTATGAATATTCTGGATTCTAATGCTTAGTTGGCTCTATCCTCTGCAAAGCTTTTCTCCCAGTCTGTGGCTTAAAGTCTTTTCACTCCTTTATTTTGTCTTTTAATATATAGAACGTTTACAGTGGAATGTAGACTAATCCAGCAATCTGCTCTGTGCTTTCAGTGTTTTAATCAAGAAGTTATATTTCATACCAAAGTCATAAAGCCTTCTGCATTTTCTTCTGAAAGTTGTAAGGTTTTATCTTGAGGTCTTTGGAGTAAGGTGTGACATAGAGATTCAGTTCTGTTTTCTTTTTCCACATGGACATGAATCGAGTCCCTTCTCCCTCCTACAGGCTGTAATGCCACGTGGCCATCTGTTACGTGGCCACAGTTTCTTGAGTCTGGTCCTAGACTCTTCTCCGTCCTGGGACTGCTCATCTGTCCTGAGCCGGCACAGCCTTTGGGTATTTCAGCTTTGCGATCCATCTTTATGCCCCACGTTGCCCTTCAGAACACATCTGACTGTTCTCGGCTCTTGGCTTTCCCATCACATGTTTTAGAATCAGCCTGTAATCCCAACACTTTGAGAGGCCAAGACTGGAGGATCACTTGAAGACGAGTTCAAGACCACCCTGGGCAACAAACTGAGACACGGTCTACAAAAAAAGTTTTTTTAATTGTTAAATGTGGGGCCGGGCGCAGTGGCTCACGCCTGTAATCCCAGCAGTTTGGGAGGCCGAGGTGGGTAGATCACCTGAGGTCAGGAGTTCAAGACCAGCCTGGCCAACACGGTGAAACCCCGTCTCTACTAAACATACAAAAATGAGTCGGGCATGATGGCGGGCGCCTGTAGTCCCAGCTACTTGGGAGTCTGAGGCAGGAGAATCGCTTGAACCCGGGAGGCAGAGGTTGCAGTGAGCCAAGATTGCGCCACTGCACTCCAGCCTGGGTGACAGAGTGAGACTCCATCTCAAAATAAATAAATAAATAAAATAAATAGTTAAATGTGCTGCTGTGGTAAAGCACACTTAAAAAAACTGCATTTTACAGTCATTTGTGTTAGTGAGCCTGAATGCTACTGAATTCTGAATATTGCTCTTGGCTCCCACACCCTTCAGAGCTTTCTCTCTGACACTCACTGGGTCATGGTCTGCCACGTGACTCCACCTGCCTCTCTCTTTCCGGCTCCCACAGCCTTCAGCTTTCTGACATTTTACATGGTCCAGGGGCATCCTTGCCATGTTGAAAATAGAGGTGATGGCAGGCATGATACAGCAGAAATGTTAATACAAGAAGAGAGAACTTATTAGCTATGCATGACTCTGTGCTCCAACACTTGAACATTTCATTAAAATAGACAATTTCCTAGGAAAAATTAAATGTTCAAAACCTGGATCTAAAAAAAAAGTAACCTTTCTATTGCCTCTTTGGGTGTTTTTTATAATTATTTTCAGCATATTGGCCCCTTCTTAAGGGGAAATCATGTAGAGTAGAAAAAAAAAAAGCGCACCGGGTCACTGTGATGCCTCCCCAGTTACCACCCGAGTGGCTCCAGCAGACACTCTGGAGACCAGAGCCCGGCCACCAGAGCACCACAGGGGACCGCCACCTGTCAGGGCTTTAAAAATACTGCGTTCCTTTCTCTGTTTCCTTCTACTCTACTTTCACTCTTTTTGAAAGTGAGGTTGGCCTTTTTACCCAAAAACTCTCAAAGTCCTCCCACACACTGTCGTTGGCCACTGTCATTTAGCAGGAGGGAGTGTGTCCAGCCTGGGAAGTGAGCGACTGCAACTCTGTGTTTGCCTAAACACAGTTTCTTGTTGCCGATGCCTGCTCTCTTCTCTTATTTACTCTGTGTACCGAGGGAGGTGGGCAGGCGGTGTGAGTAACCTCTCTGCTCCCGTCGAAGCTGCAGCCCCGTCCTTGTGTGTGTTCACAGACAACATTGGCAGTACCATCATGATGACTGGTGCCACGTCCTGAACAATCGGCCCACGGCTGTCGGGATGCACCTGGGCTTGGGAACTGGTGTCTTGGATGTGGGACACTTCCCAGATCACAACGAGAGCTTCCATGGAGAGGGAGTCCTTCCCAGACTGTCAGATGGCCACCTCAGAGACAGTAGTCTTTGGGATGAATACTTTTGTCAATTTTGTCTGCATTCCTGAAGGAATAGGACATCATTTTGAAGAACTTGGGAGTATTATTTTACCTAAAGCTAGGAAAACAGGAAGGAACTGTGTTGTTATTTTAGATACTGTTCAGATACGATATGAGCATTGAAATGAATAGGGTCATCAGTCGCTGTGGTTTGATTTTATTGTGGTAAAAACACATATTATACAATTTACCATCTTGATTTTTTTTTTGAGACAGAGTCTCACTCTGTCACTCAGGCTGGAGTGCAGTGGCACGATCCCAGCTCACTGCAACCTCTGCCTCCTGGGTTCAAGTGATTCTCCTGCCTCAGCCTTCCAAGCAGATGAGATTACAGACATGCGCCACTATGCCCAGCTAATTTCATTTTTTCTTATTTTTTGTAGAGACAGTGTCTCACTATGTTGCCCAGCGTGGTCTCGAACTCCTGACCTCAAGGGATCCTTCCACCTCAGCCTCCCAAAGTGCTGGCAAAGTGCTGGGATTACAGACATGAGCCACCACTCCCAGGCTTTCACTTATTTTTAGATTGGATTATTTGATTTTGTTGTTGTTGAGTTTTAAAAGTTTTTGTTGTTGTTGTGTGTTGTTGTTTTTTTTTTCTTGAGACAGAGTTTTGCTCTGTCACCCATGAAGGAAATAATGTATACAGTGGTCTATTTCCAAGACAAAGTGCATTGAATTGGCTTAGGTCAGCAAACTACAGAAGAAACAGGATATACCAGGCCCCTGCTTGGATAGCCAATGACTGCTTGTCGGCCTTCCCCTTCCCTCTCTTCTTGCCACGCCCCGCACCCCCACCCTCCCCACCCTTAGTTGCCTTCACCTGAACCAAAGAAATTCAGTCTAAGACGAAAGCTTACTAGTCTTCAAAATAGCTCGCTTTGTCTGTTCTTTTCAGCCTGCCCAGCTACTTAGGTCACAAGTCAAAAACTTGGAGAACCCCTGAGCTAACTAGGATTGCAATGCATTGTGGGCTGCAACAAAATGCAGCAAGATAACTGTAAAAAAAAAAAAAAAAAAACACCTACAGGCCCTACCTAACAATCAGAACAATCAGTAGGCGATGTCCGGGAAGGTTGTAGCCCCATAGTACTCACTTTATGAGGAACTGGGGGAGGGACCTGCACACTAGGGGATACATTGCCTATTGAAACTGTGCTGGCTGTGCCTGCCTATCAGGCAAGATCGTCATTAAAAGTCTCACTTTGGCTGTTCTCTGGGTCTCTGAGTCCATTCTTTGGGTTTGGATGAGTGAGTTTGTTTCTCACATCCAGGCTGGAGTACTGTGGCGCGATCTCAACTCACTGCAATCTCTGCCTCCCGGGTTCAAGCGTTTCTCCAGCTTCAGGCTCCCTGGTAGCTGGGATTACAGGCGCGCACCACCACGCTCAGCTAATTTTTGTATTTTTGGTAGAAATGGGTTTTCACCATGTTGGCCAGGCTGTTCTCGAACTCCTGACCTCAGGTGATCCACCCTCTTCGGCCTTCCAAAGTGCTGGGATTACAGGCGTGAGCCACCGTGCCCAGCCAAGAGTTCTTTCTATGTTGTGGCTGTTGATCCTCGTCAGATGTATGATTTGCCAATATTTTTTCTCATTCTGTCAGTTGCCATTACTCTGTTGACTGAGTCCTCTGATGAGCAGAAGTGTTAAGGTTTGATGTAGTCCCTGCGGTCTGGCTTTTGTTAAAAACGTGTTGGCAGGGGGAGGGAGGGGGTCAGAACCCTGCAGGAGGTTCTATTACTTCTGGTGATGCATTGCTGAGCTGGGGCGTTCTGTGATCAAATTTCACTGGCTTTTCTTGATTTCTTTCCAGCCTGAAACTCAGGTGTGGAGTTTATGAAAGTTCTTCATGCAAAAGTGAGTGTTGTCCCTGAGATTGCTAAAGCCGATGCCCTCACCTGAAGGAAAGGGAGCATAGCGTAGGAACGCTGGTTCCTGGATGTCTTTCTTTGGGGCCTATGTCATGGGGGGCAGAGTCAGGTTCTAATGTTGATTCTAAAAGAGAAGACCCCATTTGAGAGAGTAAGCATTGCTGGTTTGCTAAAAGTAAGAAAAGTTTCTACTCGTTAGAGAGACTGTCTCCTGCGGTTGCCTGGCCGCCCTTTGCACAGCCCGCGAAGGGCACGTGGGAATCCTGCTCCATTCCAGGTCCCGGGCCAGTAGCTCCAGGCCGCGCCAGGGTCGGTGCAGAGCGGCATTTCCCGCCCCCACACACCTTGACAGGCCAGGTAACAAGAGAGGCCTTTCTAGAAAGTCCCTGGAAAAGGCTCTTTCCTCCCAAACCGGCAGATTATGCTTTGTATGTCTGTTGTGGCAAGAACCTTTTCTTGTTTTCTTTCTCAAAGTGACAAATTGATGGCAGGGCAGATAAATCGTATTTTCTTTCCTTCTTTCTTTCTTTCTTTCTTTCTTTCTCTCTCTCTTTCTTTTTTTTTCTTGGTGACAGGGCAGATAAATCATATTTTCTTTCTTTCTCTTTCTTTTTTATTTTTCTTTTTGAGATGGAGTCTCGCTCTGTCACCCAGGCTGGAGTGCAGTGGCACGATCCTGGCTCACTGCATCCTCCGCCTCCTGGGTTCAAGCGATTCTCCTGCCTCAGCCTCCTGAGTAGCTGGGATTACAGGCATGCACCACCACGCCCAGCTAATTTTTGTATTTTTAGTAGAGATGGGGTTTCACCATGTTGGGCAGGATGGTCTTGAACTCCTGACCTCAGGTGATCCACCCACCTCAGCCTCCCAAAGTGCTGGGATTACAGGCATGAGCCACCATGCCCAGCCTTTTTTTCTTTTCTTTTCTTAATAGACAGGGTCTCACTTTCAGTCACTCAGGCTGGGGTGCAGAGTTTCAATCCTAGCTCACTGCAGCTTTGACCTCCTAGGCTCAGCTGATCCTCCTGCCTCAGCCTCCCAAAGTGCTGGGATGACAGGTGTGAGCCATTGTTCCCAGCTAAATAGTGCTTTTTCTTCTCTCTAACATTGAAATATAGAAAGTATGAAAAAGCCACTCATGGTCAAGCGGCATGTCCCTGCAGAGCTGTCAGCCACACTGCCTCCCAGAATCCAGGTTGGGGGTTTCCGATGCTGTCTGTTCCATGTGACCTCACAGCCTCCTGAACCAACTGATGGCCCCAAATGTTTATCCCCATTCCAGATGGCACCTGGTGGTACCTGAAAGTGACCTCTGGGCTGCGAGGTGCGTGGTAATGTCCCTGTGGCCCATCTCTAGATCGTGAAGAGGGTGATGTGAATCATAGCACACTCCAGGACATCACAGGGCCCCAGCACAATTGTGTATGCTGTGACTCCGTCACCCAACTACTTCGAGTCTTCAAAGACATTGAATTGCCATTGTTCTAATACTTATTTGCCTTTGGTTCCCACTCCTTCCTCCCCGTGGTGGGAAGAAAGTTGGGGAATGTGCACCCAGAAGATGTCGGGGCTGGATCAAGCCCCTTTTCAGTCACTGTCATTCATAGTTGAGATGTGAACTCTGCAAAGGCAGTGAGTACAGAACATTCTTGTTTCCAGTGCAAATCCACTGTGACCAGGAAGCTGTGCCTAGGTCTCTGACTCCAGCCACCCATACCTCCTCTCCCTGTACCCAGAGCCCTGGATGAAAGCATGAGTCTGGGATGCTGGGAAGAGGGCAGACAATGACAGCTCCCAGGCGCTGTGGACCAGGCAGGCTCTGTGTTGGGCTTTCCTGGCAGACGATGCTGTAGTTAGTTAATCCTCTCGAGGACATGTGAGATGAGGGTATCATTACCTTAGAGATGGAGGATCTGAGCCTCCAGCAGATAAGCAGCTGCCCCGCTGCAGAGAACTGAAAATGAAGCTAAGCTTGTTGGCTTTTCCCCACCAGCTGCCTCCCACTTCCTCCACCTGCTCTGTCTCTGCAGAAAACATCAAGAATGCAAATCCAGCCCCTTGGCCAGCTCATTTGCACACACACTCACCTCAGGGGTCTCTGGGGGTGTCTTGGATGCAGACCTCCATCCCTCACACCCTCACACCTGTCCGTCCAAGGGTCAGGCCATGCTGGAGTGCCTGGGCTGGCCTGATGGAGATGCTGCACCAGCTGAGTCATGGCGGGAAAACAGCCGGGAATCACCCAATATCTATTCCTTCCTTCCTTTCCATTTTCTTTTACAACAGCAAAATGATGCCAAGATTTTTCTGTGCTTCCCCTGTTATAGGCTGATTTATGGCCTCCCTCCCAAGTTCCTATGTTGAACTCCTAACCACCCAGTCCCAACCCCATATGGCTGTATTTGGATAGATCTTTTTCTTTCTTTCTTTTTTGAGACGGAGTCTTGCTCTGTTGACCAGGCTGGAGTGCAGTGGTGCAATCTTAGCTCACTGCAACCTCTGCCACCTGGGTTCAAGAGATTCTTGTGCCTCAGCCTCCTAAGTAGCTGGGACTACAGGTGCGCACCACCACGCCTGGCTAATTTTTTGTATTTTTAGTAGAGACGGGATTTCACCAGGCTGGTCTTGAACTCCTGACCTCAAGTGATCTACCTGCCTCGGCCTCCCAAAGTGTTGGGATTACAGGCCTGAGCCACTGCACCTGGCTGAGAGAGGGTCTTTAAACAGGTAATTCATTCAAAATGAGGTCATGAGGGTGGGCCCTACTCTTGTATGACTGGTGTCCTATAAGAAAAGGAGACTAGGGCCTAGCAAGGTGGCTCCCAACAGTTTGGGAGGCCAAAGCAGGAGGATTGCTCAAGCCCAGATGTTCGAGACCAGCCTGAGCAACATGGTGAGACCCCCATCTCTACAAAAAATTTTAAAAATTAGCCAGGCATGGTGAGGTGCACCCGTAGTCCCAGCTACTTGGGAGCCTGGGAGGCTGAGGCAAGAGGATCGCTTGAGCACTAGGAATGTGGGGCTTCGGTGAGCCATGATTGTGCCACTGCACTCCAATCTGGGCAACACAGCAAGATCCTGTCTCTAAAACTAAATAAAGAAAGAAAAAGGAGAGGAGATTAGGACACAGGTATGCCCAGAGGGATGACCCTCTGAGGGCATGGCGAGAAGACGGCCATCGACAAGCCCGGGAGAAGGTCCCCGGAAGACATAACCCTGCCCACGCCTTGATCCCAGACTTCCGGCCCGCAGAATATAAGACAATAAAGGTCTGCGGTGAGGCCACCAGCCAGTGGCACTTTGTGATGGCAGCCCCGGGAGGCCAAAACAGCTGCCTGTTCCCCACGTCCCTCTCCCAGCAGAAGCGCATGGGCTGCTCTTGAGCCCCAGCTGCAGTCCATCACTGTCAGTGCTAATGCGAAGCTCCCCTAAGACTGACTTGACAATATTGGCGAGTGGGCTTGACCCACCAGCCTGCATCCGGTGCCGGTGAATGGGCACTTACGTTCCTTATTGAAACGCTACTTGTGGCCCTCTGCTTCCCGGAGCTCCTGGCAACAGCCCAACTTTATGTTCCAAATAGGAAAAGGCTGCTTGATTTAAAGACTCGGACTTCATTAGGCGTTACCTTGATTTATGGAAAAATAATACTGAATGGTTGCATAACAATGGCCCACTGCTCACCTACGTGTGGCCTGGGGTTAATAAAACCGGCACATTTGTCTCTCCCACGATGACGTCAACGTGTACCAGCCCTTCTCTTCCACATGGGAAACGTGTTATGTTGTTCCAATTGTACATTCACTTGGTGAAGGGTTGTGTTAAGTGATTCCAAAAATTGACTGTGTATATTTTCTCTAGGGAAGTTATTGTATATTATTTTAGCTGGGAACATCTCTCGCACACAATTACTAATCAGAAGTGAAAATCAGGATTTGTCCCCGGCCCACCTGGCGGATCTGATGCAGCGCCAGGGCAGCCCGTGAAGACGGGCGCTCTTCCTCCGTGACTCTGGGCCAGGCAGAAGGAGCCTTGGAGAGGCTGCAGGAGGAAGCCCGGCTTGAGGCCATTCCTGTTTTGTCTTGCTGGAATTCAAAGATATTTGTTAATCCTTTCCCCCCACTTGAGTTGAGAAGGCCTGGAATGAGGTTTCACAAGCTGTGCCCTGTAGAGCTCCTGGGGAAACTGGCTCGAAAGAATGACTTCTCGAGAGGGAAACTAATATTTGCTTATTTTCCCCCCACTAACTTCCCAAGGGAAGGCTAATCTTTAGAAACACAGAAACTTTGGAGGCCAATAAAATTGAGAGCAAGAGAAGCGAGATTGTTTCATTGTTGCCACCATGAAGGAGAGTTTGTTTTTACTGGATTTCTTTTTCCCTTCAGGAAGGCTCTGGTAAGAGTCCTGATAGATTATTCTCGCACCCCTGGTTCTGGCTTTCCCCCCATTGTTTCAATTGCCCTTTTAATCACCACGATCTCAGTCAAGGTCAAGGCTGCTGTTTCATGTACCCGTGCCCCGCCTGCCCTCCTCTGCCGCGGATTCCCATGGGGATGTGTGTGGCTGCATGACCACCCTTCCGTGTCACCAATCACACCGAGCAGCCCTGAAGCCAGCGTGGGGTGTCGGCAGGGTGGTGGCACTCGGCATTTCCCAGCCTCTTCTTGGATGCCTGGGGTCCTCTCTGCAGGGTTTGGTGAGGCCCTGCTGGGGTGAGAGCCCTTGGCAGCCCCAACTGTGTCTGATCACAGGCGAAGCATTTATGAGGCAGCTGGGTCCCATAACAGAAACAGGGAAACCAGAGGCAGAAGTGACATTACGAAGTGGCTTACGGCGCTGCTAAGTCAGGGTTGGGGTAGCAAAGCGTCATATAGGGAACTGAAATGCTTTTCAGCGCACAATAGCAGTGAACTGGATGGGAATCTTCGGGCCGAGAGAAGTCCAGGCAGAGGCGTTAAAAAGTTTAGGCAAGGAAAAGGAGTGAAGGGCTGGACCTGGTGGGGTGGGGTCCCATTCCCAGGAGAGTCGGCCCTGCCCCAGCAGCTTCCAGCTGGAGCCTTCAAGGACCTGGAGGGGGCAGGACCAACCCCTCCACCCTCCCTGCCCTTCACCCTCAAGTTCACCTGCAGGGCTGTCTTCTTGCTTACTAAGGCCTGGGAGAGTTTAATTCCAAAGCAGAGGATGATGACTGGAGAAACGGATGCCTGGTTGAGTCACTTCTGGGGGCTCAGCATTGGAATCCCTCTGTAACCTCCCAGAAGCAGAAGTGGTGGCGTCCAAGGCTGCCCAGGCCCCTCCAGTGATGAGGAGCCCAGACCCTACAACACGCCTTTGCCCCCTGCACACCCTTCCTGCTGACAGCCCCATCCCATGCTCCTCCCCATCTGACCCGTGTGTGTGTGTGTGTGTGTGTGTGTGTGTGTGTGTGTGTGTGTGCGCCCCCCACCCCCGCAGACCTCCCGAGACAGCTCTGGCAGCCCCACCTGCCAGGGGTCAAGTGCAATTCCTCTGGAAGTAGCATCTTTCACATGGAAACGTTCCTTTATTTTCAGTAGTTATGGTCGTCAGCGAGCCCTCTTAAAGGAGTCAGGTGTCCTGCTTTTGTTAAAATGACGTTGTCTCCTAACTCTTAGAGAAGAGGAAAAATGTCTCTGCCCAGCTGGCATGCTGGGGCACAGACCACTGAAGCCAAGGCTTTGGACTCGGGGGTTCTGGAGGCTGGAGGAAGGGAGAAGGGGATGCAGCGCAGCGTGTTGTGTGTGCATAGTGCTCCAGGGACTCCAGAGGAGAAAGGAGTCCCTGGGGAAGAGACATGGGTCTGCCTCTTATCCTAAGTGCTTTCTGGTGCTCCAGGGAGAAGTGTTTCTTGTCTGAGATGTGGCAGACATTTAGAATCATTGCTCAGAACTGTCTCATCTTAAACCTTTTAACCAGAAAGTACAGAACCATTGCTCCAGGGGAAATACAAGCTTGTGAGAGCTTCTGTTTGCAACATTTCATTCACTAATCCATACATAACCTTGTTGTGTGTCTGTTTCTGTTGAAAGACACTTTAATATATATTATTGCTTCTTTAATGTATTCACCACCAGCAACACCATAACTCTTGCCTGAACGCAGCTCATCTAACACACATATTTTCCGCATACAGTTCATTGCAGCCTTTTTTTTTTTTGAGATGGAGTCTCGCTTTGTTGCCAAGCTGGAGTGTAGTGGCGGGTTCAAGCGGTTCTCCTGCCTCAGCCTCCCGAGCAGCTGGGATGACAGGTGCCTGCCACCACGCCCGGCTAATTTTTGTATTTTTAGGAGAGACAGGGTTTCACCATGTCGGCCAGGATGGTCTCAAACTCTTAACCTCATGATCCACCCGCCTCAGCCTCCCAAAGTGCTGGGATTACAGGCGTAAGCCACCACACTCGGCCTTTTTTTTTTTTTTTTAAGAGATGGGGATCTTGTTCTGTCACTCAGGTTGGAGGGCAGTGGCATGATCACAGGTCACTGCAGCCTTGACCTCCTGGGCTCAAGTGATTGCCCACCTCAGCCTCCCAAGTAGCTGGGACCACAGGCACACGCCACCACATCCGGCTCATCACAGCCTGTTTGTGCTTAGGAACACTAGACAGCCCTCAAGGTCTTTACCTATAAAGTAGAGATGTCAGAGATGTCAGAGGCACTTGAACCAGAGCAACTCCATCTTGAATAGGGGCTAGGTAAAATAAGGCTGAGACTTACTGGGCTGCATTCTCAGACAGTCTTTTTTTTTTTTTTTTTTTTTTTTTTTGAGACGGAGTCTCACTCGGTTTCCCAGGCTGGGGTGTAATGGCGTGATCTTGGCTCACTGCAACTACCACCACCCAGGTTCAAGCAATTCTCCTACCTTAGCCTCCTGAGTAGCTGGGACTACAGGTGTGCATGACCACGCCTGGCTAAGTTTTGTATTTTTAGTAGAGACGGGGTTTCGCCATGTTGGCCAGGCTGGTCTCGAACTCCTGGCCTCAGGTAATCCACCCACCGTGGCCTCCGAAAGTACTGGGATTACAGGTGTGAGCCACCACTCCTGGCCCCTCCGGTTAGGCATTCTAAGTCACAGGATGAGATAGGAGGTTGCTGCAAGATACAGGTCATAAAGACCTTGCAGATTAAAACAGGTTGCAGTAAAGAAGCAGGCTAAAAAGCCATCAAAACCAAGATGGTGATGAGAATGACCTCTGGTCATTCTCACTGCTACACTCTCAAACTGTCAACAATTTGACAATTTACAAATGCCATGGCAATGTCAGGAAGTTACTCTGTATGGTCTAAAAAAGGGAGGCATGAATAACCCACCCCTTGTTTAGCATATAATCAAGAAGAAACCATAAAAATAAGCAACCGAGGCCGGGCATGGTGGCTCACGTCTGTAATCCCACCACTTTGGGAGGCCGAGGCGGGCGGATCACAAGGTCAGGAGATCAAGACCATCCTGGCCAACATGGTGAAACCCAACTCTACTAAAATGCAGAAAAAATTAGTTGGGTATGGTGGTGCGCACCTGTAGTCCCAGCTACTCCGGAGGCTGAGGTAGGGGAATTGCTTGAACCCGGGAGGTGGAGGTTGCAGTGAGCTGAGATCGTGCCACTGCACTCCAGCCTGGCAACAGAGCGAGACTCCGTCTCAAATTAAAAAAAAACAAAAAACAAAAAAAAAAGCAACCAGCATCCCTCAGGGCTGCTCTGACCATGGAGCAGCCATTCTTTATTCCTTCACTTTCTTAATAAACTTGCTTTCACTTTACTCTATGGACTCGCCCCTAATTCTTTCTTCCTCGAGATCCAAGAACCCTCTCTTGGGATCTGAATTGGGACCACTTTCCGGGAACAGAGACAGCAGGGCAATGGCCAGAGGCCACATGAGACAGTCAGTAGTGTATGGAGGCGGCAGCAGGTGCCCAGAGGCATCCCCGGCCCACCCCCAGAGCCTGGCCTGACATCCAGGCCTCGCAGGCTTCAGGCCAGGACCCTACCAGCAACCCCCCACCCCCGAGCACCCCAGGTGTGTATGGGTGGGTGGGGCCTCCCGTCAGCCCACCCAGGGGCCTGTCACACCCCTGCTGCACACAGCCTCTGCACTCTGGACTGCATGCTGGAGCCCGTGGGCATCAGAGCCACGGGCTGGGCTTGGCAGGATGCACCTCCCAGCAACGGTGTGCTCACTTCTCCTGTCCTCCCCTGGCTCTGATGACACTGTGAGGCAGCAAACCAGGGTCCTGAAGGGACCTCTAAAGATACAGTGTGTGCAGGGACCCTGCCCAGGGTGAGAGCAGCTGGAGCTCTTGCCGTGATCATCTCAGGCTGCCCAGGTGAAGGTGTTTCCCCAACAGCCCTGGCCACAGAGGAGGCCAGGCCTCTTCCCTGCCCACCAGTCTCATGGCCCTCCAGCCTTCCCTCCCGCCACCTGGGCCAGGGCCAAGAGTCTTGGAGGGAGGTTCTTATTGCTACCAGGTGACCCCTGCTCCTGGCTGGCATGGAGCAAAGTCACCCTTGCTATCAATTTAACACAGATGAAAGATCATGCTTGTTCCCATTCCCACCACCTGGACATCCTCCTCTCCTGGACCCTACAGCCTGCGTGGGGGGTGCATTTGCAGGAATGGACCTTGCCTCCCTGGAGTACCTCTTGGCTTACAGCCCCATCCTCCCTGGGGTCTGCTATCCTACTGACCTGAGCGTGCACACTGCTGATCTCCTGACCCACTGTTTAGGAAAATCACTCCTTTCCAAGCCTCCTGTTTCCTTGCAAATGCTCTAGAGCAGGGGTCCCCAACCCCTGGGGTCACAGGAATGGGCCACACAGTAGGAGGTAAGGCGCAGGCAAGCAAATGAAGCTTCATCTGTAACAGCTGCTCACTGCTTGAATTACCCCCTGAACTCTGCCTCCCATCAGATCAGCAGCGGCATTATATTCCCATAGGAGCACAAACCCTATTGTGAACTGTGCATGTGGGGGATCCAGGCTGTGTGCTCACGAGAATCGAATGCCTGCTGATCTGTCACTGTCTCCCATCGCCCCCAGATGGGACCATCTAGTTGCAGGAAAACAAGCCCAGGGCTCCCACTGATGCTACATTATGGTGAATTGTATAGTTATTTCATTATATATTACAATGTAATAACGATGTCATAATGAGAATATAATAATAACAGAAGTAAAGTGCACAATAAAAATGTAATGCACTTGAATCATCACAAAACCACCACTCCACCCTCGGTCTGTGGAAAAATTGTGTTCCACAAAACCAGTCCCTGGTGCCAAAAGGCTGGGGACCGCTGCTCTAAGGCATAGCAGTCTTTAACCTTTTGGGGCACCATGGAGACTTGCATAGCCTGATGAGCTCTGTGGACCCCTTAGAACTGCTGATGTGTGTCGCTTACATTCAGAGATGGAGAAAATGCTAAACCTTAGTGAAAATAAAGATGCTTTTTCTCCCATCCAAGCTCCTGAGTGCCCTGAATGCCACCCATGGGGACCTTGGGGAAGCCCTAGGACAGGGATGTAGGTACAGATTGACAGTCCAGAGCTGCCATCAGGGAGAAGCATTTGCAAAGCACAGGCTCTGCAAATGGGGTCTACTTCCTCCATCCCCCAAGCCTGTCTTCTGCTTCACTTTGCCAAGACTCTGCCTTGCCCCAGTGTTGGAGCAGGATGCCAGATGGCAAGATGGGCTTATGGGCTGGGTCTTCTGTTTGGTCGCGGCAGAGCCCATGGCAGCTGTAGGAACTTTGACGGGGAAGGGGCAGGGGCGGGAGCAAACCTGTAGCGTGAAAGTATGTGAACGCTCTGTCATGGAGGGCACCCCAGGCCGTGTCCAGGCCAGCTTCACCCTGTCTCTGGGAGAAGGAAGCCTGGTCAGAGCTGAGGAGGCTCCAGGGCACCAGGCCTTGTCCCTCTTGCGCCTGGGCGTGATGCTCCCCAATGGCGTGCGCCAGTCCTGGGACCATTGCTGCCGGCCGTGTGTCTTCTTCCAGGGTGCAGAATCCCTTGTCAAGCTGGGTGGTTTGATGCCAGCCCCTGGGCCTCGAAGCTCCCTTCCTGATGGAGTGCTGCCATTTGGAAGGGGTAACTTTCGTGGTCATTTTTTTAAATCATGGTAAAATATACATAACTACATAACATAAAATTTACCATTCTTCCTTTTCTTTTCTTTTCTTTTCAGACGGAGTCTCGCTCTTTCGCCCAGGCGGGACTGCAGTGGCGTTCTCTCGGCTCACTGCAAGCTCCGCCTCCCGTGTTCACGCCATTCTCCTGCGTCAGCCTCCCGAGCAGGGGACTATAGGCGCCCGCCACCGCGCCTGGCTAATTTTTTGTATTTTTAGTAGAGACGGGGTTTCATTGTGTTAGCCAAAATGGTCTTGATCTCCTGACCTATTGATCCGCCCGCCTCGGCCTCCCAAAGTGCTGGGATTACAGGCGTGAGCCACCGCACCCGGCCAAAATTTACCATTCTTTCTAACCATTTTAAAGTGTACAGTTCTGTGGTATTAAGTACATTAACACTGTTGTACAACCAGCACCACTGCCCATTTCCAGAAGGTCTTCATCTTCCTAAACTGTAATTCTGTGCCCATTAAACTCCCCATGTCTTCTTCTCCCAGCCCCTGGCAACCACGATTCTACTTTCTGTCTCTGGGAATTTGACGACTCTTATAATTGGAGTCATGCAACTTTTGTGTCTGGTTGGTTTTACTCAGCAGAATGTCGTTTCATCCATATTGTGGCCTGTGTCAGAAGTTCCTTCCTGTCAAAGGCGGAATGATACTCCATGGCAGGTTTACACCACATTTTGTTTTTCCACTCATCCGTGGAGAGACACTGGGTGGGTCCCTCCTTTTGGCTGTTGAGAATGATGCTGCTGTGAATGAAGTGGTTAGAAGGGGGCTTTCAGACGTGTGAAAGGTGTCTTTGGGAATTTTAATTTCAGCTCCCACAAATGAGTAAAATTTGTCTTTCTGTGCCTGGCTTATTTCACTTAACATAATGATCTCCAATTCCATCCATGCTGTTGCAAATGATAGGATCTCACTCTTTTTTCATGGCTTCGTAGTACTCCACGGTGTATTTGTACCACATTGGCTTCACCCATTCGTCTGTTGATGTTCGACACCTTATTATTATCGACTGTAGTCACCCTGCTGTGTAATAGATCTCTTTTCTTTTTTATTGATATTTCAGAATTGTGCATATTTTGGGGCACATATGATATTTTGATACATGTATATAATCTATAATGTTCTAATCAGGGTCGTTGGGTTATTCATCTCCTCAAACATTTGTTTTTTCTTTGTGTTGGGAACATTCCAATTCTAGTTATTTTGAAATATACAGTCCGGGCGTGGTGGCTCATGCCTGTAATCCCAGCACTTTGGGAGACTGAGACAGGTGGATCACCTGAGATCAGGAGTTCGAGACCAGCTTAGCCAACATGGTGAAACCCCGTCTCTACTAAAAAATACAAAAAATTAGCTGGGCGCAGTGGCAGGCACCTGTAATCCCAGCTACTCAGGAGGCTAAGGCAGGAGAATCTCTTGAACCTGGGAGACGGAGGTTGCAGTGAGCTGAGATTGTGCCACTGCACTCCAGCCTGGGCAACAGAGTGAGACTCCGTCTCAAAACAAAACAAAACAACCCCAGAAATACACAATTCATTATCGTTAACTATAACTTTCCTACTCTACTTTCAAATACTAGAACTTATTCCTTCTACCTATATTTTTTAATCCCTGGTGATCTCTTTTCTTATGGGAGCAGTGTGCGCCCTGATGGTGTAAGGTGGAAACCCGCCCCTTGTTGGAACCAGGATTGAATATCACCGCACAGGAGCTGAAGGTTCCCACCCGGCAACGTCCCCCCTTGGCTGTGAAGCAGAGAGCCCAGGGCTGCTCGTTTCCAGTAGTCCTCCTGGCAGAGCACCGCTGAGGAGGGTGGTGAGGGGAGGAGAAGATGCATTCTGCAGGGAGAAGCATCATAGTGGGGGCCGGGGACTCTCCTGCGTCTCCTAATTGCCCGACTGTCATGTGACCGATCAGTGCACTCCGAGCATTACACAGAGCAGTCATCCAAAGAGAGGCAGCGCCTCACAGCCCTTGGCTGGAGAGGAGAATGGAGGCTGGAGGCTCCAGAAATTTGGGATGGGAGGAGAAAAGGAAACAGAGGTGCCCCTTCCCCTGTCTTATTGCAGGGAATCAGTAAAACGACTACTGGAGTTCACTGGCTTCTCTGAATCTTTGTAGAATTTCTCCTGCACCTCTGATCCCATCCAGCTGCAGACACAGTGCCTGTTCAGCAGGGTGTGTGTGCAGACCACGGACTCACAGACGGGGACCCTGGGGACCCCAGGTTCTCTCCCCTCACTGAGGACAAGAGAGGGGCCCCCACCCCATGTTAATGATGCGGGGCCTGCAGGGACCTTAAGTTGCATTAGCATGGCATGGAACAAGAGAGAAAATTCAGAACCTCCAGCTTGTGATATGCAACAACCAAAAATGTGGCTGAGTGTGGCCGCCTTGCAAAGGCCTGGGCCCTCTTTAATGGGTGCTTGCTGCCCTCTAGTGGAGAGATGAGGACGGGGGGTGGGCGAGCTTGCTCAAGGACACTCACTGGGGAAGGGCGGTTTGCAGACAGGTGTCGTGTTTTGGTATATATGTGTGTATGTGTGTTATGTGTTAGGTGCTGCGAGCATATGAAATGAATTACAACGTTGTTATGGGCTGTACTGTGTTCCCCCAAATTCACTTGTTGAAGTCCTAAGCCCTGCTCCCTTAGAATGTGGCTGTATTTGGAGACAGGGTCTGTAAAGACCTGAATGAATTAAAATGAGGTCATTAGTGTGGGCCCTGATCCCGTATGACGGGTCTTCTTCTTCTTCTTCTTTTTTTCTATAACATCTAAAGTGAGATTTATTTGTGTTAAGCTTTCAGAACATTTCAGAACATTTGCTGCGACTCAGGTAAAAATAGGTAAGTATTCACAGAATATGTTAAGTCTAGAGTTCAGAAAGTTATTTCAACTAAAATAGGTCAATCCTCACATCTGAAATCACTTAGACATTACTGATGTATTTGGAAGTGTTTCTGTATAGATATTTTAGGCTGACGGTGCTCAGTGCTTTAGGGGGTCAGGTAAACCCAGTTCTCGTTTGTTCAGCGGTGCCTCATTTCCACTACATAAAGCTTGTTCTCCAGTTCCACCACCAATGCCTACTTTACGTGATGTTGCACTGTGTTGGTGCCATGTAAGGTGATTATATTATGAAAGGCCTCTAGACCACCTTGTTCAAATGTAACAGCTGGTTTCAGTAATTCCAGGAGCAAGGGAACTGTCTCCAACAATTCTCAGGTTGATAAATTTGATTTTCCAAGTATTCTCCACAAAAGGGCAGCAGGTGAGCCCAAAACTTTGTTCAAAAATGCCCAAGCAAGTGTTCCCTCGATGTCCCAGCAGTTCCCAGCAGTTCCAACCATCACCAGCCCATGAAGAGAAGAAGTACATTTCTACATTGGGCTGAGAAAAAGAAATTCTTCTTTTACTAGTGACGGCAAACGGAGACTCATGATTTCTGTCCCATGGTAGTCCATCCCTTTTTTTTTTTTTTTTTTGACGGAGTCTCGCTCTGTTGCCCAGGCTGGAGTGCAGTGGCATGATCTCGGCTCACTGCAAGCTCCACCTCCCGGGTTCACGCCATTCTCCTGCCTTAGCCTTCCCAGTAGGGGACTATAGGTGCCCACCACCACGCCCGGCTAATTGTTTGTATTTTTAGTAGAGACGGTGTTTCATTGCGTTAGCCAAGATGGTGTTGATCTCCTGACCTCGTGATCCGCCCGCCTCGGCCTCCCAAAGTGCTGGGATTACAGGCGTGAGTCACCGCGCCTGACCTCTTTTTTTTTTTTTTTTGAGACAGAGTCTTGCTTGGTTGTCCAGGCTGGAGTGCAGTGGCGTGATCTCGGGGCACTGCAGCCTCTGCCTCCCAGGTTCAAGTGATTCCCTGACTCAGCCTTCCGAGTAGTTGGGACCACAGGCATGTGCCACCACACCTGGCTAATTTTTGTATTTTTAGCAGAGATGGGGTTTCACCATGTTGGCCAGGCTGGTCTCAAACTCCTGACCTCAAGTGATCCACCCACCTCAGCCTCCCAAAGTGCTGGTGTGAGCCACCACACCCAGCCAGTCTATCACGTTTTGTTCTGACTTGTTGTAATAGAATCTAAGCTGAGTCTATCACGTTTTGTTCTGACTTGTTGTAATAGAATCTAAGCTGGACATCATGCTGTGGTTCCCATTCATCTTGAGGTGGTCCCAGGAAAGAATTGTGAGAATTAAGAAGTCCAAAGACCCGGTGACAGAATTCTCCCAGGCAATGAAAATCAACCTTTTCAGCTTTTTAATCTTTTGCCTGCTGTCGAAAGAGCTGGATGTCCTCTGTCTTTGTAACTGGCTCTGGTGTTTCCTTCAATTTTGGCTGTGATTGCTTTTATACGCTAAATAAGACTGTGTTTTTTAGTAACTGGAGGTATAACAACCACCCCCTGGTGTTGCCAAGTACTTAAATGTGACCAGAAAGGTGGACGTTTTTACGCCTCAGAAGTTCTGCCCTTGGACTGTCCACTAACATTACATGAAAGGTGCTCCAAATCCTCAAATCAGCAAGTGCTGCCCATGACATGGATAATCCCGGAAGCTGCGCCATTGTCACTGCCACCACCTCCTGGCGGGCCCAGCTGCCTAAGCCTGTGTAGTGGTTCCGAAACGGGAAAGGTTCCTTTGTCCGCCTTGCAGGGTGTGGGATGGGGGTGTGGCTCGTTTCTTCTGTGTCCTGCTTCTCCCACCGCTAGAGGGGGCATACAGATGGGCAGGTTGTGGGGCTCAGGCCCCACAGCAGGGTCTAGAGATGAATGTTTACAGCTGAAGCCCCAGTTGGCGTATGCTACTGTTTGTTCTTTTAGTTTTGCTGTCTATAGGCGGCTTGTGTTAACCAGCTCAATTAGACCCTCTACTTGTCGCGTGGACAGAGGGCTTTCTGTATCCCGGGTTCTTGCCTTGGTGTACCGGAAGAGTCGGATCACACATGAGCTTGGATAATGGGTGCAAGGTTTTATTGAGTGGAAGTAGCTCTCAGCAGATGGGGGAACCAGAAGACAGATGGTTTTCCCCTGGAGTGGGGCAGCTGGGTGGCCCAGACACTCTTCCGACTCCCGGCCAAACTCCACGTCATTCCGCGATCAGTGGCATGCCTGTGCCTGTGGGCGCATTCCTCTCGCCAGCCGGCCACTTGTGGATTCCTCCGCCAGTGTGCTCCTCTCCACGTCCAGCCGCTCCTGTCTCTGCCTTGCTAGGGTCTGGGTTTTTATAGGCGCCCGATGGGGCGTGGCAGCAAGAGCGGTCTTGGAAAATGTAAGGCAGGAAATGCCTGTCCTCACTTAGGTCCGTGGGGGTGGAGCCTTAGTAAGAAACGGTCTTTGCTTTGGGAGGCCAAAGTGGGAGGATCACTTGAGCCCAGGAGTTTGAGACTAGCCTGGACAACACAATAAGATCCTGTTTCTACCAAAAAAATTAACCAGGTGTGGTGTTGTGTACCTGTAGTCACAGCTACTGAGAAGGCTGAGGTAGCAGGGTCAGAAAACGCCCTCCTATACCCGCACTTCCCTTGGCACTTCCCTTACCCCCTTCCGTATCATTTAAAGGGACCATGCTTCTCCCTTCTCAGCATTTCCGTATCAGTTTCAGAGCAGTGGATCTGCCATGGTGGCAGGGATTCCCCAGGATTCTGCCTAAGCGGGGTCTGAGACTAACTGGGTTCTAGGCCCCGAACCCCCTCCACTCCCAGGCTCCAGTGACCTGGGGTCAGCATGAGGCTTGGGAAGGAGTGGCTGTGTTCCATGGCACAGGTCTGCCCTTACATTGGTGGTCTTTGGGCTGCACCAGGCAATTGGTGACGGTGCTGCACAGGGCCATGAATCTCCTCATTGTCCAGTAGCCCAAGTAGGTTACGACAGCCCTCCGTCTCTGGAGAGCTGAGTCCTGACATCTCGACCCCCGGGACAGAGGGAGAGGACGATGGCAATAATGTTGCCCCTGTGGCCCACCAGGCCCGCACCTTGGCAACACACACCAGAAGTCATGGCAAGTGTTCTTATAAGAAGAAGAGATTAGGCCTATAATCCCAGTGCTTTGGGAGGCCAAAATGGGAGGATCGCTTGAGCCCAGGAGTTTGAGACTAGCCTGAACAGCAGAGTGAGATCCCATTTCTACCAAAAAAAAGTTAGCCAGGTGTGGTCTTGTATATCTGTAGTCACAGCTACTCAGAAGGCTGAGGTAGCAGGGTCACTTGAGCCCAGGAATTCAAGACCAGCCTGGGCAATATAGCAAGACCCTGTCTCTACAAAAAATTCAAAAATTAGCCTGGGACTATGCCTGTAGTCCCAGCTACTTGGGAGGCAGAGGTGGGAGGATCATTTGAGCCCTGCAGTGAGCTACGATCATGCGACTGTGCTGCAGCCTGGATGACAGAGCAAAACCCTGTCTCAAAGAAGGAGAAGAAGAGATTAGGACCCAGACAGGCACAGAGGAAAAGGAAAGACCCCGTGAGAACGCAGGGAGAGAACGGCCATTGACAAGCCAGGGAGAGAGGCCTGAGAAGGACCAACCCTTCCAGCCTCCAGGACTGCAAGGAGTAGGTGTCTGTTGTTTAAGGCGCCCAGCCTGTGGTACTTCATCATGGCAGCCCCAGCAGACTAACACACACGGATTCTGTCCTTCAGGAGCCAGTATTTGTAGATAAATCATGACTGAATGGCAGTGGTGAGCAAAACTTAATGGCCCTTGCCAGCTTCCAAACGCCCAGCGCTTTCTGCGTGCACCCTCAGGCAGTGGCATCGGGCACACAACCATTCCTAGCTCAGGAAACCAAGGGGAAGAGGTTCCGCTGCAGGCCCGGGAGCCCAGCCGATCCCAAAGACTAAAGACCTAAGCCCCGGGCTTCCCAGAGGAGGGGCACAGCCTTTTGAAAGCAAGAGGAACTTCTGACAAGGTGAGCAGGGTGAGGAAGTTATTGATTTTGATTTTGATTTCCCCTGAATTCTCTATAAAAATAGAGGGGGCAACCAGAACCCAGGTAGTGAAACCAAAGCCCATGTTGGAATTTACAACCTAGTGAGGGGAGGCCGCGGCCTCGGGGCGAATCCATGAGGGGTTGGCATGTGTGGTGGGGGGAGTGCTGGGGGAGACTGGGGGACATGGCAGCGGGATGGGGAGGGGAAGATAACACCAAGCAGAGGAGAACGAGGACGCAAGGAGAAGGAGACGGCGGACTGCAGAACGAGCAGAGGAGCGCAACAGATGCTGGCAGGCCGCAGAGAAGGGGCACCCTCCTTTAAGTTTAAGGACGCAAATTTCAAGGTCAAATCCTATGCAAAGGATTATAAGTGTATTACAAGAAAAAAGAAAATAGGACGAATAATGTAAAATGGATGAAAACTATGCCCTAATCATCATGTCCAAACAAACTTTAAACAAGAAACTGATACAAGATACGTGACAACATACATACATTTCTCTGAACTTAAAACTTTTAAAAAATTGAAAATGAATGGCAAGAAATTAGGAAAGGGTTGTAATGAATATTTAAATATCATTTCAGAGATGAATATTAAACAAGAAAGACAGGAGCAAATAGACAAGGGCCTAAGAGAAATAGAAGTTGAAAAGAAAGAAAATCTTTGAGCATAAAGAAAAGAGAAACACGTAAAATCTCACTACAGACCAGCGCTAACAGAAGAACATTTCAACTTGATGACAGGGAACACTAGTTTTGAATCTTGATTAAGCAAAAAGTTTCTCCTGTGCACACAAGAGGAATTCCAAGGATAACAAGTGTTGATGAGGTAGTGGGAAATTAGAACCCTTGTGCACTGTTCATGGGAATGCAAAATGGTACAGTATGGGGATTCCTCAAAAAATTAAAAATAGGGCCAGGCAAGGTGGCTCACACCTGTAATCCTACCACTTTGGGAGGCTGAGGCGGGAGGATCACTTGAGGCCAGGAGTTCAAGACCAGCCTGGGTAATATAGTGAGACCCTGTCTCTACAAAAGAAAAAAAAAAAATTAGCCAGACAAGGTGATATGCACCTGTGGTCCTGGCTACTCAGGAGGCTGAGGCAACAGGATCACTTGAGCCAAGGGGTTCAATTTTGCAGTGAGCCATGATTGTACCACTGCACTCCAGCCTGGGTGACAGCAAGACCCTGTTTCAAAAAAATAAATAAACTAGAATGACCACGTGATCCAGCAGTTTTATTTGTCAGTATGCCGGAAAGGTTTGAAAAGCAAGGTCTCCAGGAGGTACCTGCACACCCATGTTCACAGCAGCATCATTCACAACAGCCAACCTAACCTGGGTTGCTTGGGGAGGAGCAACCTAAGTGTCAGTCAACAGAAGAACAGATGAACGAAGTGTGGTTTATACATACACTGGAAAATTTAGCCTCAAAAAGGAAAGGAATTCTGATACATGCCCTAATATTGATGAACCTTGAGGTCATTATGCTCAGTGAAATAAGCCAATCACACAAAAGACAAATACCGTATGATTCCATTTATATGAGGTGCCATGTGTGGTCAAACCCATAGAGACAGAAAGCAGAACGGTGGTTGCCAGGGGCTGGGGAGGTGGGGATGGAGCATTGGCATCTAATGGGACAGTCTCGGTTTTACACAATGACAAAGCTCTGGAGGTGGGTGTGGTGAGAGCCGAATGTGAATGCACTTATTGCCCCTGAACTGCATGCTTAGAAATGGTCAGAGTGGTGAATGTTATGCGTATTCTACCACAATTTAAATAACTTAATTAAAAACAATTCCATTCTTCTCATTAGTAGACCTATCTTATGAAAAACTGTACTCTTATTATATTTGAATTTCATCAATAAAAATTGTGTGGAAATGTGTTTGTCTCTTGTGATGTAAGTACCTACATGGTATCTCCAGTTTTGGCTCTTCTCCTGCAAGGTCTGAAACATATTCTCTCTGGCCCCGCACAGAAAACAGTTCCGGACCCTTCCTCTAGAACAGGGTTCGGCATGCGGCAGATGCCCAGGAAAGAGTGAAGGACCAAGCTTCCTCCCTTCTTCACCGGATCCCTCTGGCAGCTTCGGGTCCAGTGAAAGAGAACCCAGGCCAGTCCCTTCTCCGTGAGCCTCGCCCCACAAACACCGGCCTCCCTTGCCTCATCTCTCGCATCTTAAATCTCTTTCACCTACGAACCGACTCAAGCATCAGCCTTAGAAGGATGCCCTGGGCCCCGTTCCTCTGTCCATGCACATCCAGGCTCTACCCCGGGAGTTCAAGGCCACCTTCAGTTCCTATATCCTGTCCCTGCTCTCTGTGACCTCTGACCCCACAGCCCCAGGTCTCTAAGCGTCCTCCCACCTGAGCCGCTGCTCAGGCCAGCCCCGAGCAGCCCTCTGTGGGTCCTGATTCCCAAAGAGCATGATCCCAGGTCTTTCTGGGTCCCTCCCACCTTGCCCTACTTCATGCTTCCGTGCCTAGCCACACCCCTGCACAACCTGTGATCTGGCCTCAGGAAATCTGTTTCTCATGTCTGCTGTATAGGCTTGGCTGCCCATGGCAGCAGGAAGAACCTCGCCTCCCTTGCTCACACAGCAAAGGCGTTTAGGCCTCATATTGGGGAAGCCCAGGGTGGGAGGCCCCTGACTCTTTGGACCCATGACGACATCAAGAGTATCTTCGTATCTGTGCTCTGCCATCCTCAGCTGGCTTTCCTCAGCTGCCATTTCAGTCTTCACACCAGATGTGATGGTGTCCCAGGAAGAAGAGGCCATCTCTTCCCATGGCTCTCTTCGTCAATAGAGAGTACATTCTAGAAGCCCCGTGGTAGGCTTCCCTATGGCTTGCACAGGACTGAATCACAGAACTGTGTCCTCAGCAGTCACTGGCAGGGGACAGGGGTCACCCGAACTGGGTGGAGGCCCGAACCTGACACCCCTGAGCTGTGCTAAGCAGAGGGCTCCTGAACAGAATTGAGATTGAGGCCACAGGGCCAGGCTGACTCCCTCCTGCCCCACGTGCTCTCCGGTGAGACCCTGCTTGGTCTGCAAAGCCGAGCTCGATGCCCTCCCTACCTCTTCTCTCCTAGGCCTCATCCACGGCCTTGTCTTGGGCCAGACAGCCATGTGCCATGTCTGTCCTCCCATGCAGCATCTGCACCGTGGGGGTGGGGGGGGAGATTCTCTGCCACGTTCAGCACCTCAAAGGCAGGGGGTGCATTTCACTCAGCTCTGCATCCTGTGCACCCTCAGCCATGCCGGCAGAGCATGTGTGGGGAAGGGCCCGAGGGACCCCAGGGAAGGAAGAGCACTGTGTCTGCATCCAGAAGAAAGTTCTGAAAAAAATGGGAACCTCTGTGACTACAATGAACTTGTAACAAAAGCAATGACTTTGCTCTTCCAGGAGGCACAAAAGGAGCCCCAGGCAGTGCGCAGGACCCCCAGGCAGTGGTCAGGAGCCCTGGGCAGTGAGGAGGAGCCCCAGGCAGTGGTCAGGAGCCCAGGGCAGTGAGGAGGAGCCCCAGGCAGTGGTCAGGGGGCCTGGGAAGCAGCCAAGAGCCCTGGGCAGTGGACAGGAAGCCCAGGCAGTGGCCAGGGGCCCCAGGCAGTGAGTAGGAGCCATGGGCAGTGGCCAGGAGCTGCAGCGTGCCAGTGTTCGCTCTGGCACTCAGTCAGGGACATCTGGACCAGCATCCTGCATGGGCTGGGTCTCAGGCTCCTTGCTCCATGAATTAGCAGAATCTCAGGCACCTGCTCTTGAATATGGGAAGGTGACATAGCACTTCTAGTAGGTCTTTTCCTAACCTCTTCCCTTTGCAGTTATTCTTTTTCAACCTAAGCATGCCAGGTGATGACCTTGTGATTCTCCTAACATACAAATGGCAGGCATGGAATAGTTCCTACCCAGGGTGCTGTGCTGGCCAAGGCTTTTCCAGCTTGGAGCAGACCTCATGCTCAGCCAGGAGACTGCCCACGGCCTTGGTGAGTTCCAGAGTCTCCTCTCCCTGCAGGGGTGTCTTCAGGAGCCCACAACCCAGCAAGTCCCTCTTCAGTGAAATGTGCGGGAGGAGGCACTGCAAGGCCCCAGGCCTCCAGGAAGCCGGAAGGTGCTGATGGGGTGCAAGGCAGGGCAGGGCTGGGGGAGGGGGGGCGCAAGGTTCACAGAGGCAGTGAGTGGAGTTCTGTTAACAGGGAAATGAATTAAAATATGTGGTGCGTGGACTTTGGGTCTCGAGGCCCAGAAAGCTGAGGCAAGGTGGCCTGAGTCAAATGGACAGGGATTGTCTGCCCAGGAGCTGGTTCAGCCGACATCAGAGATCATCTGTCTGCACAATGGCCTGCTAGTAAAGATTTTCAAGTTGTTCACACGTGTTACCCTTGAGGGTTTAGAAACATTCCCTGGGCACTCCCAGGGTGCTCAGACAGATGCTGTGGACTGGTGGCCAGTGAGCACTAATCATGACTTTTATTTTTCTTTTTGAGACAAGGGTCTCACTTTGTCACACAGGCTGGAGTGCAGTGGCACGATCACAGCTCACTGCAGCCTCAAACTCCCGGGCTCAAGTAATTCTCCTGACTTAGCCTCCAGAGTAGCTGGGACTACAGGTGCATACCACCACGCCCAACTAATTTTCTATTTTTAGTAGAGATGAGGTCTCACTTTGTTGCCCAGGCTGGTCTCGAACTCCTGACCTCAAGTAATCCTCCCATCTCGGCCTTGAAAAGTGCTTGAATTATAGGCATGAGCCACTGCACCTGGCATAATCATGCTGTTTATATGTTATGATGTTTTGATATCTTGGGAGGCCAGGCTGGCTGGGAAGAGACTGTCCCTCCCAGAGACAGCTAAATCCTACAGATGATAAACAACTTGCCTGGGAGCCTGTTTATTCACATGCAGACCAACCCATCCCAAGTCCATACTCCCAACCACCCCCTCTATCTAACTCTTACAACCAAGCCATTATTTCCTGGGCCCTGAATCCCACAGGGCCAGGCAGCAGGCACTAGGGATGGCCCTATACCCTGGCCAGCCAGCCTTATTCAGACCAGCTGGTCCTGAGCTGTTCACCTGCCCCACCTTGAAAGGCTCTGGTCTCAGCTTTCCCTGTCTCCTCTCTGCTTCCTGACCCAACCTGGGTCACCCACTGTGGCCTTGTGGGTGGGGTGAGTGTGCCCCTCCTCTCCAGAAATACGAATAATGAAGTCTTTCAGTGGCGCTGGCCACTCTCTGTGGGTGCTGACACCTCTGTAAGTTAAACTCCCATAGGCACGATGGAGACGCCTTGTGACTCAGCTCCTCAGTGCCAACACGGGCTGCCCCGTCGGCCACAGCGCGGCCAAAGAGCCCAGAGAGCGTTAGTATCTGTAGCCAGGCCCCTGTTGCCACCCCAGCTCTCCCGTAACCTCACATGCATGGCGCTGCTCTACTTCACCTCAGAAAAAGGACACACATTTACGTTCCATTTTTTACTTCAAATAATTGTTTAGATTGTGGTAAAATACATATAACACAACATTGGCCATTTGAACCAATTGGGTGGCACTAAGCACATCCACAGATTGTGCCACCATCTCCACCATCCGTCTCCAGGACTTTTCAACCGTCTCCACCATCTGGCTCCAGGACTCTTCAGCTTCCCACCACAAACTATCCCCATGAAGCACTCATTCCCCATCCCCATTCTCCTCCCCTTGCCCCTGGCGCCTACCATTCTATTTCTGTCTCCGTGGATTTGACTCCTCTAGGGTACCTCATGTAAGTGGAACCATGCAGTATTTGTATTTGTCTTTCTGTGACTGGTTTATTTCACTGAGCATAATGACCTCAGAGTTCATCCCTGTTGTAACATGTGTCACAATTCCTTCTTTCTTTTTTTTTTTTTTTTTTTTTTTTTTGGCAAGGTCTCACTCTGTCACTCAAGCTGGAGTGCAATGGTAGGATCATGGCTCACTGCAGCTTCAAACTCCTGGGCTCAAGAGCTCCTCCTGCCTCAGTCTTCCCAGTAGCTGGGACTATAGGCATGCACCACCATGCGTGGCTAGCATTTTATTTTTGTTGAGAGAGGGTCTCGCTAGGTTGCAATTCTCCCATCTTAGCCTCCAAAGTGCTGGGATAACAGGTGTGAGCCACTGCACCCGACCCAGAATTTCCTCCTTTTGACGGCTGAGTGATGTTCCATTGTCCGCACACACACATTTTGTTTATCCTTTCATCCATTGATGGACACTTGTGTTGCCTCCACCTACTCGTAGCACCCTGGCTGTTATGAGTAGTGAGTGCACTATCTCTTGTGTGCAGTTGTCTCATGGAGACCTTGCTTTCCTGCCTGTGGCGTTAGTGCAGGTGGCAGGCAGGTCGGTGGGCAAGCAGGTGTGCCCTGTGGATGACGAGAAGCTTTTTCTGCTTAAAGCCCTGCATGGATCAAAAGTTGGAAAATATATTTGATTTTTACAATTTGTTCAAAATTAATCAAGCAAACACTGATTTTCATGTATTTTCTGAGATCTCTGCTATAAAACAGAAAACCACCACCCTCTTTCCAGGGAAGCATCTTCTTCCTGGCTCCCTCCTTCCCTTCGGGCCATGGCGGCATCCTCGGATCCTCCCTAGCCCATTCATATCACACGGCTTTTCCTCCTCTGCATCTCGATACCACTGGCTCCTTTGGGAGGTTCCTCTGAGCCACCCATGCGCGGGGTGGGTTGTCATGAAAAGTCACCAGTTCCACCTCCAGCCAGAAGTCCCACAAAAGCGAAGGGCACTGAAGACAAAACCACCCTTCCCTTCTCTAAAGGAGGAGGGGCGGTGCTTCAGAGGGTGTCCCCCAAACCCGTTCTTTAGAGCAGGGTCCCCAACCCCTGGGCTGCGGAGTGGTACAGGTCTGTGGCCTGTTAGGAACGGGCCTCAGAGCAGGAGGTGTGCGGTGGGCGAGTTTACCGCCGAGCTCCGCCCCCTGTCGGATCAGCTGGGCATTCCATGCTCATGGGAGGCAAACTCTATCGTGAACTGCGCATGTGAGGGATCCAGGTGGTGCGCTCCTTCCGGGAATCTAATGTCTGATGATCAGAGGTGGAACAATTTCACCCCGAAACTATCCCCCACCCAACCCCATCGGTGGAAAAATTGTCTTCCACGAAACCGGTCCCTGGTGCCAAGAAGGTTGGGGACTGCTACTTTAGAGCATGTCCTCGGAGTGGAGGTACCTGCTCTCCACGCAGTACAGCATCTGGCTGTGTGGTGGCTGCAGTCCAGTGGGTCTGAGAGGGGTGGAGGGGGAAGGTGGAGAAGGAGAGGAGGGAGGAGGGGAGGGAGGGAAAGGTGAGAGGGGAAGACGAAGGGAAGGAGAAGAGGTGGGGGAGGGGGCAGGGGGGCAGCATTGGCCAGGTAAGGGCGTGTCCACTGTGAGGCACCGTGGGATTCCTGGGCGAGGACTGTGAGACACTGGTGAGCGTGTGTGCAGGGCTCTTTCGGGCTTCCTCTGTTTTTAATGACATCAGAGTGCGTGCCATGCATGGGGCTGTCCTGGTGTTGGCACTGACCGCTTGGAGCCCAGCTGCTGCCCCCTTTCTCAGGCCACAGATGCGCCCAAGAGCAGGGTTTGTCCAGGCCCGCCTGGGCCCGCTCCACGCCATCCTGCAGTGCCCACGCAGCAGCGGTGCCAGGTCTTCCTTCAGCACCCATGCGTGGTTACCTGTGGCCGATGTGGCAGGCGTGTAGGGTGTGACTGCAGAACTGCATGGACCAAGCACCGTCTGCCTCCTAAGGGAGCAATGGGACCGAGGAAGTGGGCCCCATGTTGGCCTTGACCAGCTGTGCCCACCTCCTTTTGGGAACAGATGTGCCAAGAACAACCAGGCTAAGGAAACGTGGCTCGCACACCGGGAGCCCTGGGGAAAGACTACAACGATCCTTTTAATAATACTTTTTACTGACTGTAGTCATAGTGTAATAATTTCAGAAAATTCAGAAACCATAGAAAAGTATACAGAAGAAAATTAAAATTACCTGGTGCCCCCACCAAGCCACAGTGATCATTGTTCAAGCATTAACAAATTTTCCTGGATTTTGGTAAACAGATATAAGTGCATATTTTAAGTGGAAATATTCTATATTTAGTTTTGATCCTTGTTTTCATCCCTTTAAAAGGATTTTTCATATTATTCAATCATCTCCTAAAATACAGTTACCAGTAACTGCCTTCATTCCATTAGATGCTGAAATGGATTTAACTGTTCTCTGGTGGTTAGTCATATATTCTTGTTTCTTTCTTCTTTCCTGGTATACATAATATTGGGAACATCTTGGAACAAGATGGCTGTACTCAATTATTGAAATTCCTAAACGATAAATGACTGGAGGAGAATCCTGGATCAAGGAGGGGCTCCTGGAAGTGCTCTGGGCCCTGCTGGAGGCACAGGCCTTGGCCACAGGCCACCACACATACCCTTTGGAAAGAGACTTTGCCATTGTGATCGGCCAAAAATGAAACCTCACTTTATTTTATTGTGAGACAGTGTCTCATTATGTCACCCAGGCTGGACTGCAGGCTCACTGCAGCCTCGACCTCCTGGGCTCAAGAGATCCTCCCACCTCAGCCTCCCTAGTAGCTGGGACCACAGGTGGGCGCCACCATGCCAGGCTAATTTTGTATTTTTTGTAGAGATGGCATTTAGCCATGTTGGCCAGGCTGGTCTCAAACTCCTAGGCTCAAGGGATTCGCTCATCTTGGCCTCCCAAAGTGCTGGGATTACAGGTGTGAGCCACCACGCCCAGCCTTTTTCACTTAATTTTGAAGCTTGGAGATAAGTTTTATATAGGCCCATATACGGCTGCCTGAAACCTCACTTTAAAACTAGGTATATTTGTTTGCTGCCTGCTGAGGCTGAGTGCTCATTGCCTGTTGCTTGGCTATTTGTAATTGTCTTTTGTGAATTGCTTTTTCTTATCATTTGCCCATTTTTGTACTGGAATGTTTACCTCTTCCTGGCTGATGTGCAAAAGCTCTTCAATTCCCTTGTCATATGCCTTCCAGCATGTTATCATGGCCTTTGCACGTCTATGGGTTTCCATGGCCAGACCTCTGGCTTCTTATCTTCACGGCATCACCTTTGCTCCTATGCTTAGACGATGCTTGCACATTTGAGGGAAAGGGAGCATTTTCCTGTTTTTCCCCTGTATTTGGTTTATTACATTTGGCTCTTAAATCCGGTGGTTCCCAGTTAGGGGTATGCATCAGATTTCCCAGGAGGGCTTTTCTAACCATAAGTGCCTGCCTCAGTCCATCCAGATCTTCCCATCAGCCCCCAGGGTGGGGCGGGTGATGGCGGGTGGGGGTACAGCCTTGTTTTGGAAAAAGTGCCATAGATGGTGCAGATGCAAGCCTCTGATTATGGGCTTCTTCCTTCTGCCACATGTGTGATGTAAGATAAGGATGCTATTTTTATTGGCTTATATTTTAAGAATAGCTGATTGCACAAGTATATTTATTGTGCAAACGTGCCTTCTTTCCCCACTCAGTGACATTATATCTAAACCAAATTCTCAATTATAACACGGGAACGTTTCCCTTTAGCCTGCGAAGATCCAGTGTCTCGGTTATGGTGTTTCTGGTTCCCCGGCCACTTGGAAGACACCTGGAGCTCTGTGATCTTGGTGGGGACCTCAATGTCAGCCGGGACCTCAATGTCAGCAGACCCTGTGTCCCCAGTGTGGCTGGGCTTTGCTAGACCTGTGGAGCAATAGCTAGTCAGGCTTGTGGCCCCAATCCAGCCAGCATCACACACTGTCCAGCCTCCCTCTGACATCAGCATAGGTCTAATGTCAGCATAGGCCCTCTGCCGCAGGGCTGTGCCCAAGGACACTCTCCTGCTCTGGGTCCTAAGGGAGGGAGGATCTCAGGAGAGGCCTCTCCTCATCCCTGGCAGATCTCTCAAAATGGCCTGCAGCCGGGATTCCAGACACCTGAGCTGGTGTGAGCCCACTCCCCACCGCTGGCTCTCAGGCTGGAGTGGGGCCAGGATGTCACTGAGCTCCTCAGAGTTTGCAGACCATTTGCCCCTCAGCTGGACCCCTGGCCCACCAGGGACTTGAGCAAAGCTGTTCCATCAACGCAGGGGAGGTGAGACCACATCTAATCAGGGGTCTGATGTACACACAGCACCATCACCATCTCAGAAAGGTTCATCACCCAAGCACAAAGAAGCTGGACTTGGACATCTGACAGCAAAGCATGACCCATTTTATGTGAGGCAACGAGTCTGAAAGCAGGTAACCGGGACACCCAAAAGCTGAAAGCACAGAGGGGTTGGCGAGGAGTGCCTGGACCTCTCCCTCCCCAGGGGTGTCTTCCTGTCAGAGTTATGCATGCTCTTGCCAGAGAGGGCAAGCTTGACAGCCAACTGCCGCTTGATCAGCCTGCCCCTCCTGCCTCACCTCCTGTGCCTCAGCACGTGGCCATGTCCCCATGCCCCCCCAAATCTCGCACCCTCTCCACCGCACAGAGCTCTGTCTTAGGTCCCCAAGGGCCACATGGGCAGCCTGAGTCCTTCCCTTACTTCGCAGGTTTTTCCACAGCACTGGTGTTGATTGCTCCCTCCCTTAGGGAGCTCTCTCCTGACTCTAAGCTCTCCTCTCGAGCTCCTGCCTCTCGCTCCCTGGCTGGGCACCTCCCTTTCCTCTCTGAGATGATGCCCTCCAGGGCTCTTTCTCTGCAGCTTTCCTCACTCAAAGTGTTTTCATTCTTTCCCAGGGCCTTGCCTCTCTTTTTATATGGGGGCCCCAGAACTTGTTTGGAGCCACAGACCTGTTGTCCCCGCTGCTCTAGGGGCCTCTGCAATTGGGCACACATAGATCTTTCCCAGTTTACTCCCACCCCAGTGAGCGGTCCCACAGCCTCCTGCTGCCTTCACAGGCATCTGGGGGCACACACATTCATGTGGTCTGACGGCATCTCACCTTGCACTTCTTCCTGCTCGCCTGTTGGAGGTGCCACAGAGGCCCCTCCATGCCACGACCTGTGGCTGAGTAGGTTTCCACACTTACTTTTTTTTTTTTTTACAGTTTTATTCAGGTATTATTTACTTAACTCCAAATACACCCATTGTATTGAGTTTCAGTAAATTTATAGAGTCGTGCCACTATCCCCTCAGTCCAGTTTTAGAACATTTCTATCACCCAAAAAACATTTTCTTGTGCCTGTTTGCAATCCCCACTCTCTGCCCCACCCCTGGCTCAAAGCAGACCCCGATCTGCTTTCTACCTGTAGATCTGCCCCTTCAGGATCTTGAACATTTACTTTTCGCCAGTTCACTGCAAGAGGTTGAGTCTCAGCAAGAGTAAGGAATGGCTCCGGAGAGGTGACACCAGCTAAATGGTGGACTAAGGACCTTTGGAAATTCTCTCCTCCAGAAACTTGACGACAATGCTGGCAAAAAATCATCATAATCAGCTGTTTCAAAACTCTGGAAATTAACCAAAGGCCCACAGAAATTTAGGGAATGCTTATTCAAGAAAAACAGCTGACTTTCAATAAGAACAATGGACTTCGTGGTGTTTTGTGGGTTTTTTTTTGAGACAGGTTATTGCTCTGTCCCCCAGGCTGGAGTACAGCGGTGCCATAATAGCTCGCCGTAACCTGGAACTCCTGGGATCAAGGGATCCTCCCACCTTAACCTCCCAAAATGCTGGGACTGCAGGTGTGAACCACCACGACTTGCTAATTTTTAAATTTATTATAGAGATGGGGTCTCACTATGTTGCCCAGACTGGTCTAGATCTCCTGACCTCCAGCAATCCTCCTGCTTCAGCCTCCCAAAATGTTGGGATTACAGGTATGAGCCACGGTGCCTGTTCTGTGTGATGTTTTAGCCTGCACTGTTCTCATCATTCTCCCCTCAGCTCCACAATGGTCTTGGAGACTAACAGCCCACCACTATGGTGAAAATGAACATATGGCAGCTGCTGAAAGGTGTAGAGAGGGTTGGAGCCCCATTTCCACAGAATTGTCATTATTTGACCGCTCTGGTGGTTCCATAAAGACCCCACCCACAAGACTTTCTTTATTTGATCGGACTTGGGGGATGCCCAGTATAAAGAGCTGTTTCCCTAGGAGCATTTGTTGAAAACAACCAGAGGTGATTGTTGTATATCATGGTTGCCTGAGGTGGTGTATAACAGTTGGAGCAAATAACAAGCTAACCCAGATATTTAAAAGGAAAAGCTGGGAAACAAGATGTCTATAGGGGCTTTGACAAGCTCTGACACATTCTTGGGCATCTAGAAGGCCATGTGCAGGGATGAGTGTATACTCAGGAGAACCTCACCTCTCACCTCTGGCTAACCTTGAAGCTCTGCAGAAGTGGGAAGTAAAAAGTAAGGTGGAGTTGCCAACTGCTTGGCTGAGGGTCAAAAGTGTGCCCCTACCCATACACAGAGCCCCTCGGCAAAGGCTAAGAGACATACTGGTTCCAGGTATCTAAAAATATTTGTGTCCAGTCATTTAGCTGCCCATTAAGCTAACTGAATAGAGACTTCAGTAGCCACACACAAAAACAAATACAAATTTTACATAATTAGCCCAGGAAAGTCACTGAACAAACAAACAGCAACAAACCCTGGGGAGGAGGGGGTGCAGGAATCTGATTTCCAGAGTTGCCATGTTATATTATTTTAAAATATCAGTTTTTAACAACAAAAATTATGAGACACTGTCCATGAGAAAGCCCAGATTGTTGGATTCACCGTACAAACACCTTAAATGAACTGCTTTTAAATATGTTCAAGAACTAAAAGGAACTATGTCTAAAGAACTAACAAAAAATATGAGAATGATGTCTTACCAAATAGAGAATATTAATAAAGAGAATAATTTTTTTTTTTTTGAGATGGAGTCTCACTCTGTTGCCCAGGCTGGAGTGCAGTGGTGTGATCTTGGCTCACTTCTGCTTCCCGGGTTTTCAAGCGATTCTCCTGCCTCAGCCTCCTGAGTAGCTGGGATTACAGGCATGTGCCACCATGTCCAGCTAATTTTTGTATTTTTAGTAGAGGTGGGGTTTCACCATGTTGGCCAGACTGGTCTCAAACTCCTGGCCTCAAGTGATCTGCCCACCTCAGTCTCCCAAAGTGCTGGGGTTATAGGTGTGAGCCACCATGCCCAGCCATAAATTATTTAAAAAACAAAAAGACATTCTGGAGTGAAATGTATGATAACTAAAATAAAAAATTCACCAGAGAGGCTCAACAGCAGATTTATGGCCAGGCGTGGTGGCTCATGCCTGTAATCCAAACACTTTGGGAGGCCAAGGTGGATGGATCACCTGAGGTCAGGAGTTTGAGACCAGCTTGGCTAACATGGTGAAACCCTGTTTCTACTAAAAATACAAAAAAATTAGCCAGGCATGGTGGTGCATGCCTGTAATCCCAGCTACATGGGAGGCTGAAGCAGGAGAATCACTTGAACCCGAGAGTTCAAGAGGGCAGTGAGCCGTGATCACGCCATTGCACTCCAGCTTGGGCAACAAAAGCAAAACTCTGTCTCAAACAAACAATCAAAACAGCAGATTTATGTGGGTAGAAAAAAGAATCATTACACTTAAAGAGGTCAGTTGGGGTTATCTAAGGAATAGAAAGAAAATAATTGAGTCTGAAAAACAGAAAGAACAGGATGAAGAAAAATGAACAGAGTTCCAGAGACCTGTGGTACAACAACCAAGCATACCAATAAATGCATAATAGGAGTGCCAGAAGGAAAGGAGAGGAGAAAGGGATAAAACAATATCTGAAGAAATAATGGCTGAAATTTTTGATAAAAAACATATATGTATAGTTCAAGAAGCTCAAGAAACTCCAAGTGGAGTAAACTGAAAGACATCTACACCTAGATGCATCATAATCAAACTGTCAAAAACCAAAGACAAAGCGAGCATCTCAGAGCAGCAGGACAGAAGCCACTTGTCACACACAATAGAGCCTCAATAAGATTGACAGCTGATTTCTCACCAGAAACTATGGAGGCCAGAAGGAAGTGACATATTCAAAGTGCTAAAGGAAAACAACAAAACAAAACAAAGCAAAGCAAAACAAAACAAAACACTGTTAACCATCAATCTATATCAGCCAAAACTATCCTGCAAAAATGAAGGAGAAATTAGGACATTCCCAGATAAACAAAAACAGAGTTTCTCATTAGCAGAGCAGCCCTACAACAAATGGTATCGGCCGGGTGTCTTTCACCCTGAAATAAAAGGACATTAGGTAATATTTCAACTCCAAATAAAGAAATAAAGAACTCCAAGAAGGATAACCACATAGGTAAATATCAAAAACAGTATAAATGTATTTTTATTTGTAACTATTTTTTTCTATCTAATTTAAATGACAACTGCATAAGCAATCATTATAAGTTTAGGTTGATGGGCACACACTGTAGAAAGATGTAATTTGTGCTACTGTGGCATGAGTGGAGGACACAGCTATACACGCACACACACATTCATATATATATAAGAAATTTCTATTTCTCAGTCATTTGAAGATAATTAAATGGTACACATTTAACACAAAAGAAGAAGTGGAGAAATGAACAAAACAGACATAAGGCATGTACAAAACACATAACAAAATGGCAGATAATCCTATTCAAGAGTAATTACATTAAGTGTAAATGTTTAAAGAGCCCAATTAAAAGGCAGAAATTGGCAGAATGAATATAAAAACAAGATCCAGTTATATGTTCTCCCAAGAAATATACCTTAGATTTAAAGACACAAGTATGTTGAAAGTAAAAGAATGGAAAATGATATACCATGCAAACAGTACCCAAAAAGGAGCTGGAGTGGCTATACTAATATTAGACAAAATAGGTTTTAGCACAAAAAATGTTACTAGAAACAAAGTGGGAAGTTTTGTAATAATAAAGGGTATATTCATCAAGAAGATATAACAATGATAAACATATATGCACTTAGCAACAAAGTCCCAGGATACATGAAGCAAAAAATGACAGATTAAAGAGAGAAATAAAGAATTCAACAATAATAGTCATAGAGTTCAAGAGGTCATTCTCAGAAGTTCAACAAGAAAATAGAAGAGTTGGCCAGGTGTGGTGGCTCACACCTGTAATCCCAGCACTTTGGGAGGCTGAGGCGGGTGGATCACGAGGTCAGGAGATTGAGACCATCCTGGCTAACACGGTGAAGCCCCATCTCTACTAAAAATACGAAAGAAAATCAGCCAGGCGTGGTGGCAGGCGCCTGTAGTCCCAGCTACTCAGGAGGCTGAGGCAGGAGAATGGCGTGAACCCAGGAGGCGGAGCTTGCAGTGAGCTGAGACTGTGCCACTGCACTTCAGCCTGGGCAACAGAGTGAGACTCCATCTCAAAAAAAAACCAACAAAAAACAAACAACAACAACAACAACAAAAGAAAATAGAAGAGTTGAACAATATTATAAGCCAACTATAACTAACAGACATCTGTAGAACACTCCACCCACTAGCAGAATATACATTCTTTTCAATTGCACATGAAACATCTTCAGGATAGACCATATATTAGGCCATAAAATGAGTCTCAATAAATTTAAAAGGACTGAAATCATACAAATTGTCTTCTCAAATCACAATGGAATAAAATTAGAAATCAATAGCGGAAGGAAATTTGGGAAATTCACAAATATGTGGAAATTCAACAACACAGTAACCAATGGGTAAAACAAGAAATCGTAAGGGAAATTAGGAAATACTTTGAGATTAAAGAAGAATAAGACACAGCCTACCAAAACTTATGGGATGCACTAAAATAGTGCTTAGAGAGAAATTTAAAGCTATAAGCACCTATATTAGTAAACAAGGAAAATTCAATTTAATAATATAAACTTTCACCTTCAGAAACTAGAAAAGGAAGAGCAAACCAAAAATAATGCAAGTGGAAGGAAGTAAAAAATACAGATTACAGTGGAAATAAATTTTAAAAGAGAAAAGAAAATAATAATCAATAAAACCAAAAGTTGACTTTTCAAAAAAGATCAACAAAGTTGACAGCCTTTTGCTATACTGACTAAGAAAAAAAGTCAGACTCAAATTACTAAAATTAGGAATGAAAAAGAAAACATCACCACCAACATTACAGAAAAATGATTATAAGGGAATACTATGAACAAATGTATGCTGTGGCAGGTGGCATAATGTTCCCCTAAGATGTCTATGTCCTAATCCCTGGAACCTATGAAGATGTTACCTTAAATGGCAGATGGGATTTTGAAGATATGATTAAGTTAAGGATCTTGATATGGGAGTCTTAACTTGGATTATCTGGATGAGCTCAAGATAACCACAAGGATTCTTACAGACGAAAGAGGGAAGCAAGAGGGTTAGAGTCAAAGATTTGAAGATGCTATGCTGCTGGCTTTCAAGATAGAGAAAAGGGTCACAAGCCAAGGAATATAGGTGACTTTTAGAAGCCAGAAAAGGCAAAGGGACAGAGTCTATCCTGGAGCCTCCAAAAGGAATGCAGCCTTGCTAACACCTTGAATTTAGCTCCTTGAAATCCATTTTGGATATCTGACCTCAAGAACTACATGATATTAAATTTGTTTGGTTCTAAGCCACTAAGTGTGTGGAAATTTATCAGTGCAATAGAAAACTAATACACATGCCAACAAGTTAGATAAACTAAATAAAACAGACAAATTTCTAGAAAGTTAGAAACTTCTGAAACTGACTCAAGAAGAAATAGAAGATCTGAATAGAACTACAAGTAAAGAGATTGAATTAGTAAAAAACAAAACAAAACAAACAAAACTTCCCATAAGCAAAGCCTAGGGTGAGATGGTGTCACTAGTGAATTCTACCAAATGCTTAAACAGTATTTAACACCAATACTTTACAGACTCTTCCAAACAGTAAAAAAGAAGAGAACATTTCCCAACTCATTCCATGAATACCCACAAAACAATGCCAGACAAAAGCACACACAAAAGAAAGCTATAAGCCAATATCTTTTAAGAATTTAAATACAAAAATCTTCAACAAAATACTAGCAAACAAAACCCAGCAACATATACAAAGGATTCTGTACTATGAGTCAGTAGCATTTATGTCAGGAGTGCAAAGTTGGTCCAACAATCAATCAATCAAGTCAATCACATTAATAAAAAGATGGGCAAAAAAACACATGAGCATATTAATAAATGCAGAAAGCATCTAACAAAAATCCATCAATCTTTCATGATAAACACTCAACAAACTAGGACTGTAAGGGAATTTCTCAACCTGATAAAAGGCATCCATAAAAACCCCCACAGCTAACATCATAATGGTGGAAGACTGAAAGCTTTCCCCCTATGATCAAGAACAAGACAAAGATGTTCACTCTTACTACCTCTATTCGGCATTGTAATAGAGGTTCTAAACAGGGCAATTAGATAAGAAAAACCACCCAGATTATAAAGAAGCAAAACTATTTCTATTTGAAAATGATGTGATTTTGTATAAAGAAAATGCTAAGAAATCCAAAACAAAAGAAAACAATTACTAATAAACTAGTTCAGCAAGGTTGCAGGATACAAGATCAATATACAGAAATCCATTGTATTTCTATACAGTAGCAATAAGCAATGTAAAAATAAAAGTAAGAAGATAATTCGATTATAATAGCATGAAAAAAATAAAATACTTGGGATAAATTTAACCCAAAAAGTGAGAGACTTGTACAAAACATTGTTGAAAGAAATTAAGGAAGACCCAAGTAAATGGGAAGACATCCTGTGTTTGTGGATTAGAAGATGTACAGTTGGCCAGGCATGGTGGCTCCTGACTGCAATCCCAGCATTCTGGGAGGCCAAGGTGGGCGGATCACTTCAGGTGATCCTGAAGTGGTCAGGTCAGGAGTTCAAGACCTGCCTGACCAACGTGGCAAAACCCCATCTCGACTAAAAATACAAAAATTAGCCAGGCATGTTGGTGGGCGCCTGTAGTCCCAGCTGCATGGCAGACTAAGGCAGAAAATCGCTTGAAATCAAGAGGCAGAGGTTGCAGTGAGCTGAAATTGTACCACTGCACTCCAGCCTAGGCAACAGAGTGAGACCGTGTCTCAAAAAAAAGAAGAAGAAGAACATGTACAGTAGACCTTTGAATGATGGTGGCAATTCGGGGCACAGGTGAAAATCCGCATATAATTTTTGACTCCCCAGAAACTTAACTATGACTAGCCTACTGTTTCCTGAAAGCCTTACCAATAACATAAACCATCAATTAACACATATTTTGTATGTTATGTGTATTGTATACTGTATGTTACAGTAAAGTAAGCTAGAGAAAAGAAAATGTTATTAAGAAAATCACAAGGAAGATAACATATGCTTCCTATTCATTAAGTGAAAGTGGATCATCATAAAGATCTTCATCCTTGCTGCCTTCACATCCAAGGAGGAGAAGGAAGGGTGGGGTTAGCCTTGCTGCCTCAGGGGTGGCAGAGGCAGAAGAAAATGTGTTCATATGTGGACCTGTGTCATTCAAACCTGGGTTGTTCAAGGATCAACTGTAATAATGCAATACTCCCCAAATTGATCTACAAACTCAGTGCCACCTGACTTCTTTGCAGAAATGGGCAAGCTGATCTTAAATTCATATGGAAATGTAAGGGGTCCAGAATAACAAAAACAATCTTGAAAAACAAAATAAGAGCAATGTTGAGGACTCACACTTGCTGATCCCAAAACTTGCTACAAAGCTATAGTGAGGGAGACGATGTGACACTGGCATAAAAATAGACATATAGGCCGGGCGTGGTGGCTCACACCTGTAACCCTAGCACTTAGGGAGGCCAAGATGGGTGGATCACCTGAGGTCAGGAGTTTGAGACCAGCCTGGCCAATATGGTGAAACCTGGTCTCTACTAAAAATAAAAAAATTAGCCAGACTTGGTGGTGTGCGCCTATAGTCTCAGCTACTTGGGAGGCTGAATCACTTGAACCCGTGAGGCAGAGGTTGCAGTGAGCAAAACTCTGTCCAAAAAAAAAAAAAAGAAAGAAAGAAACCCCATCTCTACTAAAAATACAAAAATTAGCCAGGTGTAGTGGCTCATGCCTGTAATCCCAGCTACTCAGGAGGCTGAGGCTGGAGAATTGCTTGAACCCGGAAGGCGAAGATTGCTGTGAGCCGAGATCGCGCCACTGCACTCCAGCCTGGGCAACAGAGTGAGACTCTCTCAAAAAAAAAAAAAAAAAAAAAGACATATAGATGAATGGAATGGAATTTAGAGTCTAGAAATAGACCCTCATATTTATGGCTAACTGAGTTTTGATAAGGATGCCAAAAAGACTTAATGGGGGAAAGAGTATTCTTTTCAACAATTGTGCTGAGACAACTGGATATATCCACATGCAAAAGAATGAAGTTAGGCTCCACCTCATACCATATACAAAAATTAGCTCAGAATTGATCAAAGACTAAGTATAAGAACTAAAACTATAAAAGTCTTAAAAGAAAATAGAGGTATGAATCTTCACGACCTTGGATTTGGCAATGGTTTCTAAGATACGACATCAAAAGCATAAGCAACCAAAAAAATAGATAAATGATAAATTATTAAATAAATTATTTAAAAATAAAAGTATTCATTAAATCAATAAATGTAAATACTTTTATGCTTCAAAGGACTCTATAAAGAAGTGAAAAAGACAACACAAAGAATGGGAGAAAATCTTTGCAAATCATACATATGTAAGTCCCTGATGGAACTTGTAACTAGAATATAAAAATAACTTTTGCAACTCAATAATAAAAAGACAACACAATTTAAAAATGTACAAAGGAGCTGAGTGTGGTGGCTCAGGTCTGTAATCCCAGCACTTTGCGAGGCTGAGGTGGGAGGATCACTTGAGCCCAGGAGTTCAGGACCAGCCTGGGTGGCATTGTGAAATCCTATCTCTACTAAAAATATATACACACACACACACAAAATAGCTGGGTGTGATGGCACACACCTGTAGTCCCAGCTACTCAGGAGGCTGAGGTGAGAGAATCACCCGAGCCTGGGAAGTAGGGGCTGCAGTTAGCCGTGATGACATCCACACTCCAGCCTGGGTGATGGGAGTGAGATCCTGTTTTAAAAAAAAAATGCACAAAGGACTTGAATAGGCATTTCTCCAAAGATATGCAAATGGCCAATAAGCACATGAAAAGATGCTCAATGTCATCAGCCATCCGGGAAATGCAAATCAAAGCCACAATGAGATACCCCCTAGGATGATGGCTATAATCAAAAAGATATTACAATAATAAGTACTGGCAAGGATATGAAAAAACTGGAACCCTCATGCACTGCTGATGAGAATATAAAATGATGCAGCTGCTGTGGAAAACAGTTTGGCAGTTCCTCGAAAAGTTCAACATTGAGTTATCACAAGACCCAGCAATTCCACTCCTGGGCATATACTTAAAAGAATTAAAAATGCGTGTGGGACACAGTGGTTAACACCTGTGATCTCAGTGCTTTGAGAGGCAGGAGGTTGACTTGAGCCCACGAGTTGGAGGCTGCAGTGAGCTACGATCGTGCCACTGCACTCCAACACAGGTGGCAGAGCAATATCCTGTTTCCACATATATGTTTATAAACATATATACATAATAGTCAAAAGATGGCCATCAACTGATGAGTGGATTAAAAAAACGTAAAAGATCCATACAGTGGAATATTATTTAGTCATAAAAAGGAAAGGCCCAGGCGCTACCTAAAATATACCAAGCCCCAGGTTTACATAGGGCCCCAGGTCACACTAGGCTCTAGGTAGACACTGGACTCTAAGTAGACTTTAGGCCCCAGGTTCACAGCCACACCTCAGGAGGATACCACACCCCAGGTAGCTGTAAGACTCAATCCAGACACCAGTCCCCCGGTGGAGAATCTACGCCCCAGCTGGACATCAGGTTCCAGGTAAACACCAAGGCCCAGTTGGGTTTACTGGATCCATTGGTGGACATCAGGCACCAGGTTGGCACAGAGCCCCCACATAGATATCTACACCACAGGTGGACATGAGGCCCCAGGTACATACCCAGTCCGCAGGTGACTATCGGGCCCTAGGTGAACACTAGGTCTTAGATGAACTTCGGGACCCAAGTGGATACCCAGGCCCCTGGGGAACATCAGGCTCCAGGTGGACACCAGGACCCATGTGGGCAACCAGGTCCAGAGGTACATCAGGTTCCACATAAACACCCAACCTCCAAGTGGATACTGAGCCCCCAGGTGTACACACCAGTCCCTCGACAACTGAAAGGTCACATACTCTCAGGCCAAATGCAATAGAGTCATCTCTCCCAAAAATATGTATTTGGGAAAGCGAAAACTACACTTCTCAATCATTCTCAAGTCAAGGGACTCTTAATAGAAGGCCAAATACACACTGAAAGAACCAACCATGAAATTCCCACATCCAACAGGAGTGCAATGCTGCTCAACTAGTCCCAGAGCAAGACCCACCACAGGCTTTGCATGGAGGACACACAGATTAGAAGGGAAGAATGGAAATGTGGGACCTGAGATTGCAATACAAGAAAAGAGAAAAAGGCAACCGTGCATACCAAGAAACCCAAGAAAGAAAGGGTGACGTGGAGAAATAACTAACCCAGGCCCAGTTTTCCAAGAAACATTAGAACCCGCACTGCGAATGAAGTGGCAGGCCGAATCGAGCCCTGTCTAGATTTTCAGGTGTGGGTCTCTCCTAGATGACTTAAAAGCCTACAAATTGCTGAGGTCACCCTGACTATGTCCGACCCACCTTGCAGAAATTCACCACTGGGAAAAGACACCCAAACCAATGCAGTTCCGGAGCTTACCTTGGAGAAGCTTCCTGCAGTCCCTGGGTGCCACTGGCTGGCTCTGCGGCTTTCTTGGAGGGCCCGCGGCCTCAGCCCGGCTCCCTCCCTCAGCTCTGGTGCGTGGCCGCAGATGACCCGAGCGGCCTGGGCTTGGGCTTCTGGTGCCCTCGAGGAGCCGCCCTGTGTGCTCACACAGGCTCCTGGCGGCGGGCAGCACAGCACTCTCACTTTTGGTCACCGGTCCTTTCCCGAGGGCAGTCTGGCGGGGCACGGCTCCAGGGCCCCGAGTCCAGCACCTCCCTGAAATCTTCACGCCACAGGCAAAGCAGTAGGGCAACTTACCCAGGCTCTGCCTGAGCCAAGATGGCGCCTTCCTCACAGCCTGTGCAGGAGGGCGAGGTCCCAGATGATGAGGCGCGGGACAAGGGCAACTCGCCACCCATTCTTCCCAGAAAGAGGGCAGGTGCATGGGGGCACACCCCCTACAGGTGGACATAAGGCCCCAGTGGACACCGAGGCCACGGGAAAACATCAGGCCACAAATAGACACTGGACATCAGACACCAGGTTGACACCAGGACCTGGGTGGACACCAGGTCTCAAGGGGCCTCCAGTCCCTGCACAGACATCAGGCCCCAAATGGACAAATCAGGTCACAGTTTGGCACATAGGCAGGCCCCAGGTGGACACCAGGCCACAGGTACATAACAGGCCCCAGGCCAAAACCAGGTCCCAGAAGGACATCAGACATCTTAGTGTATGTCAGGTCCCAGGTTGACATATAGGCCCCAGTGGAACACCAGGCCCCACTTGCCAGTTTCCAAGTGGATATCCAGACCCCAGGTAAATATCAGCGTCAAGGTGAACAGGAGGCCCCAGGTGGACAACAGGCCTCAGCTAGATGCCTAGGCCCCTGGTGAACTCCAGCCCCCTGATGAACATTAGGCCCCAGGTGGACACCCTGGCCCCACGGGAACATCTAGTTCCAGGTGGACATCAGACCCAAGGTAAATACCCATCCCCAGGTAAACGCCAGACCCCAGGCAGATTACAGGTCCCAGAAAAACACCCAGGTCCCATGAAGAAATCAGACCCTAGGTGAACTCTGGTCTGCAGGGGGACATGAGGCTGGGTATCCACCTGGGACCTGGTGTTCATGGGGTGGGGGCCGATGTCCACCTTGGGCCTGTTGTTCATCTGTGGCCTGGTATTCACCTGGGCCCTGAGAGTCAACCTGGTGCCTGATAGCCACCTGGGGCCTACATAGCCACCTGGGGGCCTGGTGGTCACTTGAAGCCTGGTGTCCTCCTGGGGCCTGTTACCAACATGCGGTGTAGGTATCCACCAGGGGCCTGATGTCCACCTGAGGTCTGGGGTTCACCTGGAGCCTTGGTGTCACCCTGGGGACTAATGTCCACCTGGAGCGTGGTATCCATCTAAAGCCTGTGGTCTGCCTGGGGCATTATTATGTCCCTTGAAGACTAAGTATCCAACTAGGGCCTGATTTTCACATGAGGCCTGGGTATCTGCCCGAAGCCTTGGTATCCTCCTTGGGCCTGAAGTCCATCTGTGACATTCTGTCCAGCTAGGGCCTGGGTGTGAACCTGGTGCCTGATGTACGCCTCAAGTCCAGCGTGCACCCACCTGGGACGTGATGGCCACCTGAGGCCATATATCCACATGGAGCCAGGGTGTCCACTTGGGGCCTAATGTTCACCAGGAACATAAGTATCCACCTGGGGCCTCATGTCTTCCTGGGGCCTGGGTGTCAATGTGGGGCGTGGGCATCCACCTGGGGGCTGATGTCCACTTGGAGCCTGGTGTCTACCTGGAACCAATTTTTCAACTGGGAACCTGATGTCCACCTGGTGCCTGATGTCCATTTGGAAACTGGAGTCCACCTGGGAACTGGCATACACCTAAGACATAGTGTTGAGCCGGTGTTTGATGTCCAATGTTCACCAGGCTCCAGGTGGACACCGGGCCTCAGGTTGACACCCAGACTCCAGGTGGACACCAGGCCCCAGATGAATGCCAGGTCCCCGGTGAACATCCAGGCCCCAAGTGGAAACCAAAACCTCAGATGTCTAGGCATTAGACCCCATGTGGACATCCAGGCCCCAGGAAGTCATCAGGCCCCAGTGGACACTCAGGCCCCAGGTGGACATGGAGTCCCAGGTTGACACCCAGGCCTCCAGTGAACAGCAGGCCAAGGAGAATTCCAGGCCCAGCAGGCCCCAGGTGGACAGCAGGATCCAGGTGGACACAAGGCCCCCAGATGGATACATAAGACCCTGGTGAACATCAGGCTCCACATGGACACCCAGGCCCTAGAAGAACACCAGGCCTCGCGAGGATACGAAAATTCAAATAAACACTAGGCCCCAGGCTGAAATCAGTTCCAAGGAGGACACTAGACCTCAAGTGACAACCTGGCCCCAGGTGGCTATGTGGGCCCCAGCTGGACGGCAGGTACCAGAATTGACATCCAGGGCCCAGGTAAACACCAGGCCCCAGAAGGATAACAGGCACAAGGTAGACATAGGCCCCAGGTGCACACCAGATCCCACGTGGATATCTAGGACCCAGGTGAACAACAGGCCCAAGGTGAGAATCCGGTCTCCAGGAGGGCACCAAGGCCCAGGCAGACACCAGGTCCTAAGAGGACACCAGGATACAAATGGACACCAGGCCTCGGGTGGACACCAGGCTCCAAGTGGACATCAGCCCCCAGGTGGGTATCTGGCCCCAGGTGAACACCCAGTCTCAAGGTAGACACCAGGCCTTAGGTAGACAGTAGCCACTGGGTGAACACTGTGCCCCAGGTGGACACCAGGTCTCAAGTAGACACCCAGTCCCCAGGTGGGCACCAGAGACCAGGCAGCCTGATGAGTCCCCAGGTGGGCACCAGAGACCGGGCAGCCTGATGAGGCTCCAGGTGGACACCAGAGACCAGGAAGCCTGATGAGGCTCCAGGTGGACACCAGGCTGCAGGTGGTACCAGGCTCCCAGCTGATACCCAGGCCCCAGGGGAACACCCAGGCCCCAGGTAGACAGCAGGAAGCCAGTGCACCCTAGGCACCCAGGTAGATACTAGGCCCCTGGTGAACATCGGGCCTCAGCTGGACACCCAGGCCCCAGGGAAACACCCAGGCCCCATATGTCAGGTTGTTAGGTCCCATATGGACAATCAGGCCCCAAGAAGTCATCAGGCCCTGGTAGACACTGAGACCCCAGGTGACTATCCAGTCCCAGGCTGACACACAGGCCTCAGGTGGACACCGGGCCCTAGGAGAACTCCAGGCCCCAGCTGAAGATCAATGCCCCGGGTGGACACCCAGGCCCTAGCTAACGACCAGTCCCCAGGATTCCATCAGGCCCCAGGTGGATACTAAACTCTCGGTGGACATCAGCAAATGCCCAGGTCCCAGGTCAAAACCAGGCCCCTGATGGACCCCCTGACCCCAGGTAAACATGAGGTTTCAGGTGGACACGTGACTCTAACTGGATATCAGGCCCCGGGTGGACACCCAACCCCATACGGATACCTAAACCCCCGATGAACATCAAGTCTCGGGTGCACCTCTAGGTCCCAAGTAAACACCTAGGCCTCAGAAGTCCAGACATCGGGCCCCATGTGGAAATCCGGGTCCCAGGAACTCCTCAGGCACCAGGAAACACTCAGGCCTCGGTTGGATATCTGGCCCCAAGTTGACACCCAGGCCTCAGGTGGACACCAGGCGCTAAGAAAACGTCAGGCCCCAGCTGAGATCAACCCCTGGGTGGTCAGTACTGGCGCATGCTAAAACATGTATGAGCCTTAAAAACATCATGCTAAGTGAAAGAAGCCAGGCACAAAAAGCCACATAGTTTGTCATTCCATTTACATGAATGTCTAGAATAGGCAGATCCACAAGAGACAGAAAGTGGGTTAGTGGTTGCCAGAAGCTGGAGACAGGGGAGAACGGCGAGTGACTGCTAATGGGTACGGAACATTATTGGGAGGTGATGAAAATATTCTGGAATTACATAGTTTATGATGTGGCATAACATTTAAAATATGCTAACAACGACTGAATTGTACGCTTTAAAAAGGTGAGTCTTTTTCTTTTTTTGAGATGGATTCTCACTCTGTCGCCCAGGCTAGAGGGCAGTGGCCCGATCTCGGCTCACTGCAACCTCTGCCTCCTGGGTTCAAGCAATTCGCTGCCTCAGCCTCTCGAGCAGCTGGGATTATAGGCGCCCGCAGCCACACCTGGCTAAGTTTTGTGTTTTTAGTAGAGACAGGGTTTCACCATGTTGCCCAGGCTGGTCTCAATCTCTTGACCTCATGATCCACCCGCCTCGGCCTCCCAAAATGCTGGGATTACCAGCGTGAGCCACCGTGCATGGCCAAAAAGGTAAATCTCATAGCATGTAAATTACATGTCATTAAACACACACACACACACACACACACACACATGAGGTGGGTGTGGTGGCTCAGGCCTGTAATCCCAGTACTTTCGGAGGCCAAGGCGAGAGGATAGCTTGAGCCCAGGAGTTTGTGACAAGCCTGATCAACAGAGCAAGACCCTATCTCTACAAAATAAAAATTAAAAAAAAAATTAGCTGGGTATGGTGGCATGCACCTGTAGTCCTGGCTGCTTGGTAAGGCTGAGGCAGGAGGATCGCTTGAACCCAAAATCTGAGGCTGTAGTGAGCTATTATTACACCACTACACTCCAGCTTAGGTGACAGAGGAAGACTCCATCTCTTAAAAAACAAAAAAACAAAAAAAAAAAACTAATAAAATAAAAACATGAAATCCAAACCAAAAAGAGATGAGAGGGGAGGTAGGCAGAGAGAGACAGAGGGAGAGAGAGACCAGGAGAGAGCCAGGGAGAGAGGAAGGGAGAGAGGCTTGGACTGAGTGTCTGAGTCTCCATACAGACAGTCAGATCACTGGTATGTTGTGGGGGTGCAGTTGGGGAAATGAGGAAACTCCAGGCATCAGGGGGCCCCATTTGAGATGTACCATCCAGAGTGTGAGAATTCTAATGAGTAGGCAGGGGCCATAAGGACCATTTTCTTCCTCCCTCCCTTCCTTCCTTCCTTCCTTCCTTCCTTCCTTCCTTCCTTCCTTCCTTCCTTCTTCCCTCCCTCCCGCCCTCCCTTCTTTCCTTCCTTTTTCGTTTTTGAAATAGGGTCTCACTCTGTCACCCAAGCTGGAGTGCAGTGACACAATCATAGCTCACTGCTGCCTCGAACTCCTTGGCTAAAGCAATCCTCCCACCTTAGCCTCCTGAGGAGCTAGGACTACAGGCATGCACCACCACACCCAATTAATTTAAAAAAATTTAATAGAGATGGGGTCTTGCCGTGTTCCAGGCTGGTCTTGAGCTCCTGGACTCAAGTGATCCTCCCACCTCAGCCTCCCAAAGAGCCAGGATTGTAGGCATGAGCCACCGTGTCCAGCCTCTTTATAAATAAAAGATCAGTGACACAGAAAATGGTTTGGTTAAAATACTTTATATTTCTTCCTAAACTCTTCTTCCAAAGTAAAATAAATATATTTTCAGTTATAAGTAAATTTGCTGGAATGTTTTTCCACCTGCTGGGGCAAAGGTCCTCCCCTTCCACCCCTGCCTGCTGCCCCCGGTCCTGTCGAGGGGCAGATTTCCTCCCTCACAGGGCAGACAAGCCACATCGGGGCAGTGTCTGCCGCTGCTTCCGAACTCCCTGCTCACGGACTGGGAGCGGGGCCTCTGGCCCCTGAGTGAGCTGGGGCAACAGACTTCAGAATGTCGCAGCCCGAGGGAGAGTCACCTGGAGAGCCACTGGGGAGACGCTGATGTGGGCTGATGCTGGATGATGGAAAACACTGTGTTTCGTGTTTTTTATTTTGTCAGGTGTGATGACAGTATAATGGGATGATATGTTAAAATTCTTTTTTTTTTTTTTGAGACGAAGTCTAGCTCTTGTCCCCCAGGCTGGAGTGCAATGGCACGATCTCGGCTCACTGCAACCTCTGCCTCCCAGGTTCAAGGGATTCTCCTGCCTCGGCCTCCGGAGTAGCTGGGATTACAGGCGCCTGCCACCATGCCCGGCTAATTTTTGTATTTTTAGTAGAGACGGGGCTTCACCATGTTGGCCAGGCTGGTCTTGAACTCCTGACCTCAGGTGATCATCCTGCCTCGGCCTCCCAAAGCACTGGGATTACAGGCGTGAGCCACCGCACCTGGCCTAAAATTCTTATCTTTTCATGTATCTCAAAATATTTAGGGATCAAATGTGTCTGGGCCATGCTGGAAATACTTTAGACAAAGAAAACAGGAGAGACAAAGCAGATAAAACAAAATGTTGATAATTTTAAATCTAGCTGATGGGTATATGGGGGTTCCATTTAATATTTTCTCTCCTACTCATATACGTGTGTTTGTGTGTATGTGTGTGTATGCCTTTCAAAATTCTCATTGAAAAGTGGCTGATCGGAAGTGCACCCTCAAAGATGTTTTCCCCTTTTCTCCACTAACTCACTTTTTTTTTTTTTTTTTTTTTTTTTTTTGAGACCAAATCTTGCTCTGTCACCCAGGCTGGAGTGCAATGGTGTGATCTTGGCTCACTGCAACCTCTGCCTCCCGGGTTCGAGCTATTTTCCTGCTTCAGCTTCCCGAGTAGCTGGGACTACAGGCATGCAGCACCATGCCCGGCTATTTTTTTTTTTTTTTTTTTTTTGTATTTTTAGCAGAGACAGAATTTTGCCATGTTGGCCAGGCTGGTCTCAAACTCCTGACCTCAAGTGATCCGCCCGCCTCGGCCTCCCAAAGTGCTGGGATTACAGGTGTGAGCCATCAATGCCTGGCCCACTAACTCACTTCTAAATGATCTTGTTCTCTTTGAACAGAAATAAAGGATATTATGATCTTACCACTTTATAAATTAGAATGATGAAATTGAGAAAAACTAGAGATGACTAAGATGAAGACAGACATGAAATCGTGCCAAAAAGTGCCCATGCTGTATCCAGCAGCTGCTGCAGCCACAGAAATGCTCGAGTTGTCAGCGAGGGTACTCACTGCTTGATCATCTAGCATTGCCAGATACTGTAAACCGCCGCACACCTATCAGCAGGGCACTGGCTACATCACACAGATTGCTGTGCCATGGTTTAAGGTCACATTGCAGCAGAGCAGGAAGCATGTGGCTGGGAGTGGCACGGGGCCAGCTTTCAGGATGTATGGTCTGGACTGAGCTGCAGTCCTTGGGGCCTGGACAGCTGCTCTGGCCCTGAGCCCTCCTCCCCTCCCTGTGGTCTCTCCCTTTCCATCTCTCTCTGCTACATAGCCTCCCTTCCCTCTCTCTGCTCTATTCTCCTTCCCCCATCCCCTTTCCCCTCACCCCCAGGTCAATTTTCTTAGATATCTCCAGGCCCAAGTTTGGAGGTTCCCAATTAGGGTGCAGGCTGGCCCTCAGGTGCGTGGGGGTCCACCTTGTCCAGCCATGGCTGGCCCCAGTGCTACGTCACAATGTAGGGACTGAGAGTGGATGCGGTGGAGGTGGGCATTTACCACACTGTAAGGGATCAGTCAGTACAGACCAGGAGCAGGCCGAATAGTCAGTACCCGTGCAGTTCCGGAAAACCCACTCGTTTTGTGAAGAGCGTCTGCCAGCTCCTGCATCTGCTAGGGCCCTGCTGTGCCTCCTCCCCTCTCCTGCCCCCTGGGACTCCGCCTCCCTCCCCTGCTTTCTTTTCTCCTGGCGCTTGTCCCCATCCCACGCTCCACCGCGGGATATAGCAATGACTTATTTGTGTATTGAGGTCAGTAGATCTCCTCTCTATGAAGACAGGTCCCTCAGGGACAGGGCTGTCTGTGCTGGTGGCCGCAGCAGCCCAGCCCCTACAGCCTGCCCCACATGGTAGACAGGCAGCTATTTGCTGAGTAAATGAAGGGGTCAGGGGATCGCTAATAATTTTCATTTTATGTTTTATGCTTTCCTTTTGGTTTCAACTGTTCTGTAAAGAAGACATTTTATACTAGAAAATAATATTGCTTTAAAATGTAAATGTGCATGGAGCAACAGGAACTCTCTCATTCATTACTGGTGGGAATAGAAAGTGGTCCAGCTATTTTGGAAGACGGTTTGGCAGTTTTTTACAAAACAAAACATACTTTTACTATACAATCCAGCAATCACACTCCTTGGCATTGGCCCAGATGAATGGAAAACTTAAGTCCACACAAAAACCTGCGCATGGATGTTTATAGCAGCTTTATTTATAATTTTGTCAAAACTTGATAGCAACCAAGATGTTCTTCAGTGGGTGGGTGGATAAATAAACTGTGGCACATCCAGACAACAGAATATTATTCAGTGCTAAAGAGAAATGAGCTATCAAGCCATGAAAAGCCTTGGAGGAAGCTTAAATGCATATTACTAATTGGAAGACTCCAGTCTGAAAAGGCTACGTACTGTACAATGCCAACTCTATGACAGTCTGGAAACAGCAAAACCATGGAGACAGTAAAAAGATCAGTGACCCCCCGCCAGGTTCAATGGCTCACTCCTGTAATCCCAACACTTTGAGAGGCCGAGGCAGGTGGATTGCTTGAGCCCAGGAGTTCAAGACCAGCCTGGACAACATGGTAAAACCCTATCTTCTCTACTAAAAACACAAAAATTAGCCTGGCGTGGTGGGGGGTGCCTGTAATCCCAGCTACTCTGCAGGCTGAGGCACGACAATTGCTTGAACCCAGGAGGTGGAGGTTGCAGTGAGCCGAGATCATGCCACTGCGCTCTAGCCTGGGCGACAGAGCGAGACTCTGTCTAGAAAAAAAAAAAATCAGTGGCTCTCATAAAAACATCAGTGGCTCCCAGGGGTTGTAGAAGGGAGGTGAACATGTGGAGCAGGAAGGGCTTTCCGGGCAGTGAAACCGCTCTGTATGATTCTATAATGGCGGACACGTCATTATGCATTTGTCCGAATTCTCACGAAGTGCAGCATCCGGAATGAACCCTAGTGTGCACTGTGGACTCTGGGGGATAGGCTGTGTTTACCTAGGTTCTTGGACTTAACAAGTGCACCCCTCTGTGGGGTGCTGACGGGGGAGGCTGTGCCTGTTGGAGCGGAACATATGGCACATCTCTGTAACTTCTGCTCAGTTTTGCTATGAACCTAAAACACCTCTAAAAGCTAAAGTCTATTAAAACATTTTAAAAAGTAGATTTCAGGCTCAGTGAGGTGGGAGAGGGCGGTGGGGGTGTTCCCAGGCACAGAGGGAGCAGGCACACCCTGCCCTCGCACCCTGGGAGAAGCTGGGCTGGCTGAACTTGGGGAGGCCTGGCCCTGGGACCTGCAGGTAGCCTCTGGAATGCGGACGTGCAGGCTGACCCTGATGGTCCTGTGAATGCCAACCAACCTGCCACTCCTGGGCTCCCTGGCACAGTCACCACAAGTGTCACCCCAGGTCACTCGCAGATGCACCCTTATCTCCAGACCAGCTGGAGACCTGGCCTGAAGCTGAGGGTTGGCGGCAGGAGAATGGCCCAGGCAAAAGTTCTCCTCCTAAAGTTGCTTTGGAAGGAGGGCCGGGGAGGGCCCTCCCGGACCCTGGAAGCATGAAGACCTCCCCACTGGAGTGAAGACAGGGAGAGAGCCAGGCGTGGCAGGCACAGCCAGGGTGCGCACAGAGGATGGCTGCCCGGGGCTTAGCATCTGCTCACCTCATGAGGTTGGCACTGCTGCCTAGACAACCCATGTAATACCCCAGGCCTCACCATTTTGGATTGAGAGATGAGCTCAGCGTCCCCTCACAGGGCTCTGGAGGGTTTAGCAAAAGGCTGCGGTGAAAGTCACCCGGTCCACGGCTGTCTCTGCCACCTGGGACTCTCTGCTTCCTTTGCCTGTGACTCTGCAGCCACTTGGCCCGGCCCCCAGTGCTGGGCACCCCTCTAGATGAGCGATTTGCCTTCCTCTCCGGGTACAGATGATGAAGGGGCCTCTCCCGGTGTCCTGGGTATTTCTGGCAACCAAATGGCCCCTGCCCAGGCAAGAGTCCCGCTAGGAATCAGCACAGCCTGCTTGGGCTGAGTTCGTGGGTGGAGGGCATGAGCTTCCGAGAAGCCCCTGCAGGCGCCAAGCTGGGGGGCCACCAAGCCCGTTTTCCGCCGTGGCTGCCTGGGTGCAGCGGCAATGCCTGTGGCGTGGGCTGCTGGCCTGGCCTGTGGGGCAGCTGCAAGTTTCCCTTTTAATGGAAATCTCTCTCTTGCAGCCATACATTGTGTTTGACTCGAGTGTGTTTTTCTTGGCTTTAAGAAACAGGATTAGTTGCACTCTTTGTAATTTTTGGTATTAAAGGTATTTTTAACAAATGCAGTCTGTATCGTGGGAACATCCTGAAGTTCCTGGAATGTCTGTAGTCTAAAGTCAAGCCTGTTCCCACCCCTGGCCTTCCTCTTTAAAGGCTTGATGTTGTTCGATGGGATGTCTATTTTTGTTCATTTAGGTTTCAAATTGAAGCGTGACTAGCACTGGGAAATTGGCATTCCCCTGCAGTCAGCTCTTCTTCCTCCAGCCCCAGATGTGGGACGGTAGAGCAGAGGGGCAAAAGGATCGGACGGCACTGTGTGCTCTAGGCAGGGACAGCTGAGGGGCCAATGCCCTGCCCCTCCCAGCCAGAGGAGGATGCCCCCATCTGTTCACTGCACCCTCCAGTGGGAAACGAGCAAAACAAGAGGCAATGCATTTGCAGTCACTACAGTAGGAAGAGGTATTCGCTTTCCACCAGTAAGTGACAAATCACTCATAAGGGAGTGCTGGGAAGGGAAGAGCATGATCCCTTTAAATGATACCAAGTGGGGAAAGGAAGTGCTGGGTAGAGGAGGTCGTGGTCCCTGGCTAGGGCTCCACCCCCACGGACCTAGGTGAGGACAGGCATTTTTGTTTGCCTGCCCAAATGTTGCATTTCCCAAGACCACCCTGGCCTGCCATGCCCCTGTCCTGTGCCTGTAAAATCCCCTGACATTCTAACAGGCAGACACACAACAGGCTGGATGTGGAGAGAAGCGGATCGGCGGAAGAAGACACAAGCGGCTGGACGTCAAGGGGAGCACGCTGGCGGAAGAGCACAGCGACAGAAGAGCACACTGACAGACGTCGGCAGGCCACCCACCCTGGCAGAATGACACAGGGTTTGGCTAGGGCAGTCAGAAGAGAGCCTGGGCCGCTGAGCGCCCGACTCCAGGGGAAAACCATCTCTTGTCTGGCTCCCCCATCTACTGAGAGCTACTTCCACTCAATAAAACCTTGCACCCATTCTCCAAGTCCAGGCGTGATCTGATTCTTCTGGTACACCAAGGCAAGAACCCAGATACAGAAAGCCCTTTGGCCTTACAACAAGGTAGACGGTCTAATTGAGCTGGTTAACACAAGCTGCCGATAGAGCACCCTGTAACACATGCCCACTGGGGCTTCAAAAACTGTAAACATTCACCCCTAGACACTGCTGTGGGGTCGGAGCCCCACAGCCTGCCTGTCTGTATGCTCCCCTCGAGGTCTGAGCAGTGGGGCACTGAAGAAGCGAGCTACACCCCCATCGCACGCCCTGCGAGGGGATCAAAGAAACTCTTCCCATTTCATCACCACCAACAGCAGCTTGAGATGACACCCATTTGCAGCCTCACAGTTCCACGAGGCAGGAACTTGAATGTGGCTTAGCTGGATGCTCTGCTTCTGGGTGTCTCCCGAGGCTGCAGTCAAGGTGTCTGCCAGGGCGGTGGTCTCATCCAAGGCTTTGCTGGGTGGGGCTGCCCATCCAAGCTCACTCATGTGCTCTTTGGCAGGACCCAGTTTCTCTGGCTGCTGGACCAAGGCCCCAGCTCTCGGCTGTCTCTCGGCTGGAGGCCGACTTTTGTTCCTTGCTGCATAAGCCTTCCATAGTGGCAGCTTCCTGCACCAAAGCCAGCAAGGGTAAGATTCTAGTCTTTTGTAGTCTAATCACAGTGTGACATCCTCAATGTCGCTGCGTTCTGTTAGAAGGAAGTTACTCAAGGGGTGAATACAAGACCATGCCTTCCATGAGGCAGGATCGTGGGGCCACCTCAGACACTGTCTGCCACAGAAGCGTGTAGAAACGATCCACCCCTTGCTCATATGTGCATTCACCAGAAGGTGCTTTGGCCCCTGGTCCAGAGCGGGAGCACCAGGGTGAGGCTCTGACCCCCTGCAATCCTTTCAACTCTCCCATCCCTCCATCTCCTCCTCTTTAGAACGGGGGTGATGGAATCCACTGTGCAGTTTTGTAATGTTTTTAAATTAGAGGTTGTATTGGGCCATTCTTGCATTGTTACAAAGAAATACCTGAAACTGGATAATTTATAAAGAAAAAAGCTTTACTTGGCTCACGGTTCTGCAGGCTGTACGGGAAGCATAGCAGCATCTGCCTTTGAGGAGGCCTCAAGAAAACTTCCAGTCTTTGTGGAAGGTGAACGGGCCGCAGGCACAGCGCATGGTGAAAGCAGGAGCTGCGGTCGCGGGGGCGGGGGATGCCACACACTTGAAAATGACCAGATCCATAAGAACCCGCTCACTATTGCCAGGACAGCACCAAGAGCATAGTGCTAAACTATTCATGAGAAAACCACCCCCATGAGCCAATCACCTCCCACCAGACCTCACCTCCAACACTAGGGATTACATTTCAACATGAGATCTGGGGAGAGCCACACATCCAAACTATATCAGATGGGATGAGAAATAATGAAGAGCTGGCCTTGGCATTTTGCTCATAGTGGGAACCCAGAAATCCTTGAATGAATGAATGAGTTTCCTGTTGACACAATATAAGTGCTATGATACAAATGTATGTGTCCCTCCCAAAGTTCACATGCTGAAACATAACCCCAAGTTGATGCTATTAAGAGGTTGGGCCTATGGAAGTTGATGGCCATGGGGGCAGAGTGTCCTTATAAAAGACGCTCCAGAGAGCTTGTTCAGCCCTTCTGCCATGTGAGGATGCAGCCAATAAGGCTGCTTGGAGGCAGAGAGCAAGCAAGACTCACCAGATACAAAACCTGCCAGTGTCTTGATCTTGGACTTTTCAGCCACCAGAACCATAAGCAAAAAACTTCTGTTGTTTATAAACTATCCAGTCTCAGGTATTTTGTTTTATTAGCAGCTGGACAGCCCAAGGCAGGGACAAAGCCCCATTTGGAGACTTTGGCAGCAAGAAATACATGAGAATTCCTTCAGAATATGTGGATTCCTGGGGAAGTGAAACCCAGCTCAGCCCCTAGGGAGTGCGGAAGGTCAGGCCTCTAGCTTGGACTTGGCCCTTTGTTCTAGAGAATTAGACACTCAACAAAGCTCCGCGGTGCTCACAGCTGAGGCTGGAGAAGGGACAACCCAGATGAGGAAGGAACAACATATTTTTTTTTCTGGCTTCTACTTTATTTTATTTTGAGACACAGTCTCACTCTGTCACCCACGCTGGAGTGCAGTGGTGTGATCTTAGCTCACTATAGCCTCTCTCTGCCTCCCAGGCTCAAGCAATCCTCCTGCTTCAGCCTCCCAAGTAGCTGGGACTACAGGCCAGTGCCACTACATCTGGCTAATTTTTAAACATTCTTTATGGAGATGGGGTTTCACCATGATGCCCGGGCTGGTCTCAAACTCCTGAACTCAAGTGATCCACCTGCCTCAGCCTCCCAAAGTGCTGTGATTAACAGGTGTGAGCCACTGCACCTGGCCTCTGTCTTCTATTTTAAAAAAGAAACTTTTATGTGGTTATAAAAGTGATGCTGGCTAGCAGGAAGACCCTAATGGAGAGGCTAGAAAGGAATGCAATCCCACTGCCCAGAGAGGCCGGCCTGGCTGTGCCAGAATCATAGAGTGGGGGTACACTTTCACCTGGCACAGCCAAGCCCACTCAGACCTGCCCAGTCAGAGCTGGGGCAGAGCTGGGCAGGAGGAGGTTGGAGACACCCCCTGAGTGATTCTGACAACCTCCTGGTTGCAAAGTGCCCTCTATGCAGCATCTCCCGTGGGTGAGGTCAGGCTCTTGGAGCAGTTTTCTTTGTCTGCTTTTCCCCATGCAGCATTATATCATCCACATTTTCCAGTGATGTTCTCTCCCTGTGACTCTCACACCTGTAATCCCAGCACTTTGAAAGGCTGAGGCAAGCAGATCACTTGAGGTCACGAGTTTGAGACCAGTCTGGGCAACATGGCGAAACCCCATCTCCATAAAAAATATTTAAAAATTAGCCAGGTGTGGTAGCACCGGGCTGTAGTCCCAGCTACTTGGGAGGCTGAAGCAGGAAGATTGCTTGAGCCCGGGAGACAGAGGCTATAGTGAGCTAAGATCACACCACTGTACTCCAGTCTGGGTGACAGAGTGAGACCGTGTCTCAACGTAAAATTCTCCAGGTGTTCTCCCAGCCCACAGCCCTCGTCAGGTTGGCATATGACATTGTAGGCCTTTTCTTCTGTGTTTCCATAATTACATATTTACGTGGCAATATAGTTTTGGATTGTTTTTTTCTCTTTATATAAATGGTATCATACCACAAGTGGCATCCTGTGTCTTACCAGTTTCCCACTGTGATATGTCTTGGTATTTTTTCCATGGTTGGACATGTCACTGACACATATTCTTTTCATTGCTTCTTGGTTTTGAGGTTCCAAGGTTCCGAGATTCCATAGTTCCAGGGTTAGATGGTTCCATGATTCACTGGTTCCAAGGCCCAAGGTTACATGGTTCAAAGGTTCCAAGGTACTATGGTTCCATGCTTCCAAGATGCAATGGATCCAAGGTTCCAAGGATTAATAGTTCCATGTTTCCAAAGTTCCTTGGCTCAAAGGTTCAATGTTATCATTGTTCCAAGGTTCCATGTTTCCAAGATTCAGTGGTTCCAAGGTTCTATGATTCCATGGTTCCAAAGATCAGTGATTTCACCGTTCCAAAGCTACATGGTTTCCTGGCTCCAAGGTACAATGGTTCCAAGGATCCAAAGTACCGTGGCTTCATAGTTCCAAGGTTCCAGGGTTCACTGGTCCCAAGGCCCAAAATTACATAGTTCAAAGGTTCCAAAGTACTGTGGTTTCATGCTTCTACGGTGCAATGGTTCCAAGGTTCCAAGGTTCAATGGTTCCATCCTTCCAAGATTCCAAGATTCCATTATCAAGGTTCAGTGTTACCATTGTTCCAAAGTTCCATGGTTTAATGGGTCCAAGATTCAATGGTTTCAATATTACAGAGTTCTAAAATTCAGTGGATCTGTGGTTCCAACTTTACAAGGTTGTAAGATTCAGTGGTGAATGGTTCCAAGGTTCCAAGTTTACAGGGTTTCAAGTTTACAGGGTTCTAAGGTTCTGTGGCTCTGTGATTACAAAGTTACATGGTTTCCTTGTTCCAAGATTACATGGTTCCAAGGTTCCAAGGTTTCTTGATTCCATGGCTCCAAGGTTCCATGTTTCCATACTTCCATATTTCAGTTGCTCCAAGGTTCCATGGTACCAAGGTTTCATGTTTCCCGGTTTCGAGGTTCAGTGGTTCTGTGGTTTCAAGACTCCACGGTTGCAAGGTTTCATGGTCCCATGGTCCAAGGTTCCAAGGCTCCAAGTTTCCAAGGTGCCATGGTTTCAGAGTTCATGGTATCAAGGTTTAGTGGTTCCTTGCTTCCCAGTTTCCCTGGTTTGTTGCTTCCAAGTTATCAACATTTCATTTTTCATTTGCCTCCACCTATTTGTAGACACTCAGATTGCATCCGGAGATTTTGCTCTTATCAACAACGCCACCACTATCAGCCTTGCTTTTTTTTTCCTTGTGCACATTTAGGAGTGTTCCTGAAGGGCAAAAATCAGGAGCAGAATTGCTGGATCCCAAGAAGTAATATGTGAAATTTAATCAATAGAGCCATATTGCCCTCTAATGCATCTGTATCAGTTGCAGTCTTCCAGCAGTGTATCTGAGTACCATTTGCTCGTCATCCTTGCTATGACACAATATTATCAAACTTTGGTAATCTTTTTTTTTTTTTTTTTTTGGAGACAGAATCTCACTGTGTTGACAGGCTGGGATGCAATGGTGGGATCTTGGCTCACTGCAACCTCCGCCTCCAGGTTCAAGCAATTCTCCTGCCTCAGCCTCCTGAGTAGCTGGGATTACAGTCACGTCCCACAAGGCCCGGGTACTTTTTGTATTTTTAATTGAGATAGGGTTTTGTCATGTTGGTCAGGCTGGTCTTGAATTCCTGGCCTCAAGTGATCTGCCCACCTTGGCCTCCCGAACTTCTGGGATTACAGGCATGAGCCACTGTGGCCGGCCAATCTTTGATAATCTGACGGATGACAAGAATATCTCATTGTAATTTTTGTTTCACTTGAGTTTGAACTCTTTTACAATATGTTTATTGACCACTTGTGTTTCATTGTTACCTGTGAATTGTCTGTTTTTATTATGTAGGTGGTCTTCTTGTTGCTATGTAAAGATTCTTTTTTTTCTTTCTTTTCTTTTTTTTTTTTTTGGGACAGAGTCTCGCTCTGTCTCCCAGGCTGGAGTGCAGGGGCAGGATCTCAGCTCACTGCAGCCTCTGCCTCTCGGGTTCCAGCGATTCTCCTGCCTCAGCCTCCTGAGTAGCTGGGATTACAGTTGCCTGCCACCACGCCTGACTAATTTTTGTACTTTTAGTAGAGATAGGGTTTCACCATGTTGGCCAGGCTGGTCTCAAACTCCTGACCTCAAGTAATCCGTCTGCCTCAGCCTCCCAAAGTGCTGGGATTACAGGCATAAGCCACCATGCCCAGCCATAAAGATTCTTTATGTGTTCTATTACCAATTCTTTGCCTTTGTTATACATGTTGCAAACATTTTCTCCCAGTCCATCATTTCTCTTGTAGCTCTGTTTTTGGTGAGTTTTATGTATTGCCTGATGTATCAGTATTTTCTCTCTGGGTTCAGAAACTTATGTATTGTATTCTCTACTTCACCAACAAAGTTTCCTGTTTTTTTCTTTTCTTTTATTTTTTTTGGATGGAGTCTCACTCCGTCACCCAGACTGGAATGCAGTGGCACAATCTCGGCTCACTGCAACCTCCACCTCCCAAGTTCAAGAGATTCTTCTGCCTCAGCCTCCCGAGTAGCTGGGATTACAGGTATGAGCCACCACACCTAGCTAATTTTTGTATTTTTAGTAGAGACGAGGTTTCACCGTATTGGCCAGGCTGGTCTCGAACTCCTGACCTCAAGTGATCTGCCCATATCAGCCTCCCAAAGTACTGGGATTACAGGCATCAGCCACCATGCCTGGCCTATTTTCTTCTTTTGTATCTCATCAGTATTGATGTCCACCAGCCAAAGACCATCTGTAGTCAACAAAGTTAAGTTTATTGCTTTGTTGCAAGTGAGCCTGCACATCTAAAGGAGTGGGTCTGGGGACAGAGTTAGTCATAGGATGTCCTGTCAGCGTTTGGACAGAGTTTGTTAACTGAGGGTCTTACTGGAACAACGATGAGTGGTCTTGTCTTTATGAGTTCGTTTTGTTTTGTTTTAGAGACAGGGTCTCACTCTGTTGCCCAGGCTGGAGTGTAGTGATGTGATCATAGCTCACTGCAGCCTCGAAATCCTGGGCTCAAGCAATCCTCCCTCTTCATCATCCCTAGTAGCTGGGACTTCAGCTCCTGTAGAGGCGGGGTCTCACTATGTTGACCAGGCTGGCCTCAAACTCCTGGCCTCAAGGGGTCCTCTCACTTCGGCCTCTCAAAGTTCTGGGATTACAGGCATGAGCCACCGTGCCTGGCCTGGTCATGTGTGTTCATGGGCCAATTTGTCCATGGCTTATTTTAGGACACATGGATGTGAATGAACTGGTGTTAAATAATGACGCCCACTGTGGCTTGATCTGGCACAGTTGATGTGTTTTGTGAGTCAGGGTATATTTCGCAAGCTGTGGTTTCTGTTTTAATCCTCAGTTTCCCCAAACAGACTGGATGCAGCAGGACCCGTTTACACCTGAGCTGTGGCTTTCCCAGTCATTTTCCTGGCCAGCCTTGGCTGAAGGACCAGCTGTTCTCTTCTGAGCGTGCCATCATCGATTTTTGTGCCAAGTCAAATGGTAGCCTTTCTGACGCCTGCAACATCCAGCCCCCTTGTTCTTTCTGTTGGATCATCTGACAGGACATCAGCTTTGTGGCAGCATTCCAAAACGTGGATATGCACTTGGCTACTGCAACACAGATAAATACTAAGACAAGAGTTTTTATTCACAAGTGAAACATATCTCCTATGTTCTGTGTTCTATTAGGAGCTTTCTCGGATGACCAAGTGGTTTCTTCCCTTTGATCTGGATGAGATTTGTTCAACTTTGCCAGAGTTTGAAGAATTAGTTCTGTATCTGGTGATTGTCAAGAGTTAGGGTCTTGGAAGCACCAACAATGGGGGTGTCCACTGGCAATGGAGTCCCTGAATCCGCAGAGAGGGAAAACAGCCAGGAAAATAAAAACCAGGGACATGCCTCATGCAGAGAAGCCCCAGCAGTGGGCAGAAGCGTTCTAGTCCGCTGATCTCTGCTCGTGGACCCCTCGGTCCTGGGAACCCTGACCCGCACGAGGTCCATGGTGGTGGCATTGGCACTGCCCCTAATTGAATTCCCTGTAGTACCAGTAGCCACCAGAGCCTGGGACAGTCCTTGACTGAGGTTCTTTAGATGTTTCATCCACACGGCTCAGTTCCCGAGCTTTGTGGATAGCAGGAGCCTTGGGGAGAATGTAAATAAATGTTCTGTAAATGTCAGTTCGGCCCGTCAGGTCTAGAGTGTAGTCTAACTTTGATGCTGCTTTGCTCATTTTCTGTCTGGATGATCTGTCCATTAATAAGAGTGGTATGTTGAAGTCCCCTACAAAACTCTAATAGGTAGTAAGAATAAGTGTTTTTTTTCTGGATTTAGGAAAGACAAAGTCAAAGAATTGTCAGAGAACTTAATATATGAATAAGGCTAGAAATGGCAAATTATACATACAGATAAATATATATAGAGAAAAATATATAAATATATATAACAAAAAATTTTTATATATGTATACATATATTTTCCAAGACAGGGTCTCACTCCCCTTGCCCAGGCTGGAGTGCAGTGGTGCAGTCTCAGCTCACTGCAGCCTCAACTTGCTGAGCTCAAGTAATCCTCCCACCTCGGCCTCCCAAGTAGCTGGGACTACGGGCGCGTGCCATCGTGCCCAGCTAATTTTTTGTATTTGTAGTAGAGGCAGGGTTTCACCAATTTGCCCAGGCTGGTCTCGAACCCCTGGACTCAAGTGATCTGCCTGCCTCGGCCTCCAAAAGTGCTGGAATTACAGGTATGAAGACTTCATTTTCTTTGCAGTGATTTTAGGATAAGTTAAGGGTGGAGCCAGAATAAACCCAGCTGTATTAAACCCTGAAATTCCAATCCTTTCCTCTAATAGCTTTAACACAATGTTTTTACTTTTAGAAATGAGATCTCACTCTATCACCCAGGCTGGAGTGCAGTGGCATGATATAGCTCACTGCAGCCTTGAACTCCTGGGCTTAAGCAATCCTCCTGCCTCAGCCTCCTGACTAGCTGAGTAGGCACACGCCACGACGTCTTAGTTTTAATCTTGTGCTGTGTAAGTAGAGCTCTTTAATCAGACTGCAATGTATTTTTCTGTGGGATATATGATCCAAACCTTTGTTTCTTCCAAATAGATAGCCAGCTGTTGCAATTTTAGACTGGTGTGACCATTTTTCTGTTCATAAGAACACTTTAGAGAATATCAAGCATGTGTATCTTTCTGTTCACTTACGCTCATTTTCTGGAGTTAAATTTCCTGAACTGGAATTACTGGGTCAAAGGTATGAGCCTTTTGAGGTTCCTGGTGCATGTTACCAATTGTTTTCCATAAAGGTTGCACCCACAGGCAGAAGCATCCATCCTTGGATATTCTAATTGTAAAAGATATGCTTTTCTAGTGTGGATAAGCAAAGTAGCTTAACATTGCTTCAATTTACTCATCTTTTTTTATTTTTATTTTTTATTTTTGAGATGAAGTCTTGCTCTGTCACCCAGGCTGGAGTGCAGTGGCACTATCTTGGCTTGCTGCAACCTTCACATCCCAGGCTCAAGTGATTCTCCTGCCTCAGCCTCCTGAGTAGCTGGGATTACAGGTGCCCACCACCACACCCAGCTAATTTTTGTAGTTTTTAGTAGAGACGGTTTCACCATGTTGGCTAGGCTGGTCTCAAACTCCTGACCTCAAGTGATCTGCCCACCTCAGCCCCCCAAAGTGCTGGGAATACAGGCCTAAGCCACCATGCCCAGCCCAATGTACACATCTTTAAAAATTAGTGAGAGGCCACTTCATACCCATTGGGGGTGCTACTATATTTTAAAATAAAAACAGAAAACAAGCAGGGCATGGTGGCTCACGCCTGTAATCCCAGCACTTTGGGAGGCTGAGGTGGGCAGACCACCTGAGGTCAGGAGTTCGAGACCAGCCTAGCCAACATGGTGAAAGCCTATCTTTACTAAAAATACAAAAATTAGTCAGGCGTGGTGGCGGGCACCTGTAATCCCAGCTACTCGGGAGGCTGAGGCAGGAGAATCGCTTGAACCCAGGAGGTGGAGATTGCTGTGAGCCGAGATCACACCACTGCGTTCCAGCCTGGGCAGCAGAGCGAAACTGTCTCAAAAAACAAAACAAAACAAAACAAAAAAACAGAAAACATAAGTGTTGGTGAGGATGTGGAGAAATTGGAACCCTTGTGCATTGCTGGTAGAAATGCAAATAATGGAGCCACTATGGGTTCCTCAAAAAATTAACTATAGAATTCGCATTTGATCCAGCAACCCATTTCTGGGTATAGACACAAAAGAATTGAAAGCTAGGACTCGAACAGATACTCGTGCACCTATTATTACAACAGCCATGAGATGGAAGCGATGTTATTCATAACCCAAATGTCCATTGACAGATGAATGGTTAAACAAAATGTAATATAAACTTACAGTGGAATACTATTCAGCCTTTAAAAAGGAAGGAAATCCTGATAGATGCCACAACATGAACGGACCTCCAGGACATGATGGTCAGTGAAATAAGCCAGTCGCGGAAGGACAGTTTCTGCATGGTTCCACTTACGTGAGGTTCCTACAGTAGTAGAAATCATAGAGATAGAAAGTCGAATAGTGGCTGCCAGGAGCTGGGAAGAGGGGACGGTGGGGAGCAGTTGTTTTATGGGGACAGAATTTCAGTTTGGGAAGATGAAAAGTCCTAGAGACGGATGGTGGTGATGGTTGCACAACAACGCGAATGTGCTTAAGCCCATCAAATCTCACGCTTAAAAATGGTTAAGACGGGCCGGGCACAGTGGCTCACACCTGTAATCCCAGCACTTTGGGAGGCTGAGACAGGCAGATCACAACATCAGGAGATTGAGACCACCCTGGCTAACATGGTGAAACCCTGTCTCTACTAAAAAATAAAAATCACAAAAAATTAGCTGGGCATGGTGACGGGCACCTGTAGTCCCAGCTACTTGGGAGGCTGAGGCAGGAGAATGACTTGAATCCAGGAGGCGGAGTTGCAGTGATCCGAGATGCACCACTGCACTCCAGCCTGGGTGACAGAGCGAGACTCCGTCTCAAAAAAAAAAAAAATTGTTAAGATGGACAGTCTTTGTGTGTGTGTGTGTGTGTGTGTGTTTGTGTGTAGGCCGGGCACGGTGGCTCGTGCCTGTAATCCTAGCACTTTAGGAGGCCGAGGCAGGTGGACTGCCTGAGCTCAGGAGTTTGAAACCAGCCTGGCCAATATGGAGAAACCCCAACTCTACTAAAAGTACAAAAAATTAGCCAGGTGTGGTGGTATGTGCCTATAATCCCAGCTACTCGGAAAGCTGAGACACGATAATCACTTGAACCTGGGAGGTGGAGGTTGCAGTGAGCAGAAATTGTGCCACTGAACTCCAGCCTGGGAGACAGAGTGAGACTCTGTCTCAAAAAAAAAAAAGACTCACCCTGATCACAGCTCAGTGCAGCCTCAACCTGCTGGAGCAATCCTCTCACCTCAGCCTCCCGAGCAACTGGGACTACAGCTGTGGGCCACCATGACTGGCTAATTTTTAATTATTATTATTATTTTTTGAGATGAGATCTCCCTATGTTGCTCAGGCTGGTCTTGGACTCCTGGACTCAAGTGGTCCTCCTGCCTTGGCCTTCCAAAGTGCAGAGATTATAGGCATGAGCCACTGTACTCGGCCTGTCATGTATATTTTATCACAATAAAAAAATCTGTGAGAGGACCATTTCTTCCAATGTTGATTGGCCAATCCTATTTTTGTGTGTGTGAGTTTTTTCTTCATTTTCTGAGCCCACTTATGTCCGAGCTCTGAGTCCCAGGAGGCCAGTGGAGGAGGGAAGAAGAGGACTCGGCCTGAGGGTGACATGAGACTTGAAGAGGCTCCTGGTGGCATAGGGGAGGGGACAGCCCAGGGGAGGCAGTTCCGTAGGCCTGGCAGTATGAACCCCAGGCTGAGGCAGGTGCTAAAGAAGAGGCCATCTCCTCGAGGCCCTGACCCTGGAAGGCATTTGCTGAACACCCAGTGCCTGGTGACATTTGGGGTCCTGAGCCCAGCCAGCCTCCGAGGATCAGCCCTGCCTGTTATGCGCGGAATGTTTGCATCCCTCCAACATTCGTTGTTGAAATTCTAACCCCTAGGGGGGTGGTACTAGAAAGTGGGGCCCTTGGGAGGTGAAGAGGTCGTGAGGGTGGAGTCCTCATGAATGGGAGTAGTCCCCTCATCAGAGGGGCCCGGAGAGCTCTCTGCCCTCTGCCACGTGAGGATTAAACATGAAGTAAAAAATCTGCAGCTGGAAGCGGCTCCCACCAGAACCCAACAAAGCTGCGTCTTGGTCTCAGATTTCCAGCCTGCAGAGCTGTGAAGAATACAGTTCTGTGTTTAAGCCACTCAGTTTACAGTATTTTTTAATAGCAGTCCAATCTAACAAAGCCACCACCCCTGGCTGGGCCCCAGCTAGACAGAAAGCCTGTCAGGGCACTCTAGGGTTTAACTCCCCAAGCTCAGAGAGCGTGTTGGGGCCAGCTGGTGTCCCACACCTGGGCCACTTATCTGCAGGACAGGGTGATGGGGGCTCCCCCGTGTGTCGTGACCTCTGGGGGAGGTTTTCTAGAAAGTGCATACACTTGCTCTGTACGCATCTCCACCCTGATCCAGGGTGCTCCCATCTCTGCCCCAAGCACCTGCTCCAGAGGACGCATGGTCCCACCGTCCAGGGTCAAGAACCCCGGACCAGGCCCTGGCCCGGTTCTGGTCAGGCTCGGCCACCAGGGGGCGGTGTGGGCTGCAGGAGGCTGCTGTCCCTGGAGCTTCCCAGTTCCAGACCAGGACCCCACCCCACTGGGTGGGCGTCTCCAAGGCCCTGGTGGATTCTGTAAGCTCGGACCCGTTAATAGAAGTGGTTCTCTATTGTCCCAGTCGCCTAAAATGCTGGGGACCTCTCAGGTGTCTGCTGATGGAAAGGCAGCCAGAGCCAGCCAAGGCAATTCCCAAGCCCACCGCTCAGCCTTGCAGAACTGACTGCACAAGGGTCACCCAGGGGAAATGGTTTCTAAAAATACAGGGACTTCCACTTCCAGGAAAATTGAGTAGAAGTACTTTTCCCTGTTCCTCCCACTATGTACGGCTAAAAGCCTGGACACCACACAGAAAGCAAACATAAGCGGATTCTGAAAGGTGAAGAGAAGAGCAGAGATCCGTCAGGGACCTCAGGACCCAAGGATGACGGGGCGGGCAGCTCCATGTGGTTTCTTTTGGCCTCATATATCTCACTCCTGGAGCTGAAGAAGCCAGCAACCTGGAAACGCCAACAGACACAGACAAAATTACTCCAATGAAAGCTGCTGTGTCTAGCCAAAGGACCAGGAGGCAGCAGCCTCGCAAGGTCAAAACGTTTAGGCGATAACCTGTCTACTCCAGCCATCACCACCGAAACACCCTCGGCCACTCCAGCAAAGGCTGAGCGGGAGCCTAGGCTCCCCACTTTGGGAAGCCGTGGCAAGGAACCCCAACATCTCCCCCTGTGGTGTCAGAGAGGCCAAGGAGGGAGCCGAGACCGCCGCACCCACCCCTGACCCATACCCCATTGTGGAACAGCCTGAGCTTCCACCCCATCTGCCAGTAATGCCGCCCTCTCCCCCTCCCTGCTGGGGGTGGGGGTTGGTGTCAGAGGAGGCAAAGCGAGGAGCCTGGCTCTTCACTACTACTCAGTGGTAACGAGGCCACCCCAATGGGCTGTCAGCAGAAACCACATGGGGAGCCAGACCCTGCCCAGAGTAAAGAGAAAAAGAGCTCCCTTGGGTATAAACGGAGATTGAGTGGGGAACCTGGACTTTTTTCCACCCTGCAGTAACAAGGGGCCAGAGCAGCGTCAAAAAAACAACAACAGCACAACACCACAATGTTTACAAAAGCAGCAATAGAAGACTTTGGGGCCAGGCATGGTGGCTCATGTCTGTAATCCTAGCACTTTGGGAGGCCAAGGCGGCTGGATTACTTGAGGCCAGGAGTTTGAGGCCAGCCTGGCCAATATGGTGAAACCCTGTCTCTACTAAAACTCTAAAAATTAGCTGGGCGTGGTGGCGCACGCCTGTAATCCCAGCTACTCAGGAGGCTGAGGCAGGAGAATTGCTTGAACCTGGGAGGCGGAGGTTGCAGTGAGCCGAGGTTGTGCCACTGCACTCCAGCCTGGGTGACAGAGCAAGACTCTGTCTCAAGAAAAAAAAAAAAAATAGAGAAGACTGATGGGTGTGTTTATTACCTTGATTGTGGTGATGGTTTCATGGGTCTGTATAGACATATGTCAAAACTCATCAAACTGCCTATTTTAAATATGTAGTTTCTTGGGTATCAATTATACCTCGATAAAGCTGTTTGAAAAACAGAAAATTTAAATCAGATCCAGAGTCTCATAACACAAAAAATGTCCAGGTTTCAATAGAAAACCGCTCATTACCAGGAAGATGGTTCTCAGTATGATGCAACGGACTGAAACTGTTGAATGCAACTAAGTGAAAAGGGACAATCAGTAGATGCCAACAGTAGGTGGCAAAGACGTTAGAATTAGCTCACAAAGATTGTAAAGCAGCCATCATAAAGATGCTTCAGCAAACAACTAAGAACGTGCTTGAAACAAATGAAAAAATAGCCTCAGCAAAGAAAGAGAGAGAATATCTTAGGAAAGAAATTGAAGATATAAAGAAATTGGAATGGAAATTTTAGAAGTGAAAAATACAATAACTGAAGTATAAACTCAGTGGATGGGCTCAAGAACAGGATGAAGGGGACAGAGGAAAGAACCAGTGAACTGGAAGACAGAACAATAGAAAGTACCCAGTCTGAACAACAGAGAAAATAGACTGAAAAAGAAAAAAAAGAACAGTCTCAGGTATATGTGGGACTGCAACAAAAGACCTAATATTTGTGTCATTGGTGGTTAAGAAAGAGAGGAGAAAGCGTGCAAGGCTGATAAAGTACTCAACAACGGCTAAAACTCCCCATATTTGGCAAGAGACACAAACCTACAGATTCAGAATGAATCCCAAACAAGGAAAACCCAAAGCAATCCATGCCAAGGCGCATCACAGTGAAATTTCTAAAAACTAAGGACAAAGCAAAAATCTTGAAAATAGCCAGAGAAAGCAATACCAATACCAGTACCAATACTCTATAGGGAAAAACCATTTGCATTACTGCAGATTTCCCTTCGGGACTGATGGAGGCCGGAATGAAGTGGCACGATATTTTTCAAGTGCTGAAGGAAAGGAACCATCAGCCCAGAATCTTATATGCAGTGAAAATATCCTTCAGGAATGAAAGGGAAATCAAGACATTCTCAAATGAAGGAAAACTAAGAGAATTTGTTGCCAAAGACTTACCCAAAAACACCAGCTGAAGGAAGTTATTTAAATGGGAAGGAAATAATTAAATAAGGAAGGAAGGAAAAAAACCTAATAAGTAAAAATGTGAGTAAATACAATAGGCTTTTCTTCTCCTCTTCAATTTTGTAAGTTATGTCTGATGGCTGAAGCAAAATTTATTGCACTGCCTAATGTGATTCTAAGTGTATGTATAGGAAAGATTTAAGACAATTACATTATAAATGGGGCAGGATAATGGGATACAAAGAGAGGTAAGTTTCCTACCCTTCACTCAGACTGAAAAAATGACACCATCAGTAGATTGTGATAAGTTGTATATAATGTGGAACATCCACTAAAAGGCTGTACAAGGAGCTACATTCAAAAACACGATGGAGGGCCAGGCACAGTGGCTCACACCTATAATCTCAGCACTTTGGGAGGCTGAGGCAGAAGGATTGCTTGAGGACAGGGGTTCGAGACCAGCCTGGGCAACATAGCGAGACCCTTACTCCACAAAACATTAAAAAATTAGCCGGGCATGGAGGCACATGGCTGTGTCCTAGCTACCCAGAAGGCTGAGGTGGGAGGATTATTTAAGCCCAGGAGTTTAAGGTTACAGTGAGTCATGTCACTCCAGCCTGGGGAACAAAGTAAGACTCTGTCTCCAAAAAAAAAAAAAAAAAAATGCAAACAAAAAACAAAAACAACCCACACTATTGATCAATCAAAATGGAATTCTAAAAAATGTTTAACTGATAAGAAGTCAGGACAAAGGAAACAGAAACAAAAAACAGGGAGCAAACAGAAAACAGATCAGAATAAAATGGTACAATTGCTGGGTGCAGTGGCTCAAGCCTGTAATCCCAGCACTTTGGGAGGCTGAGGTGGGAGGATCATGAGGTCAGAAGATCAAGACCATCCTGGCTAACACGGTGAAATCCTGTCTCTACTAAAAATACAAAAAATTAGCCGGGCGTGGTGGCGGGCACCTGCAGTCCCAGCTACATGGGAGGCTGAGGCAGGAAAACGGCGTGAACTCGGGAGGTGGAGCTTGCAGTAAGCCGAGATCGCACCACTGCACTCCAGCCTGGGCGACAGAGCAAGACTCCGTCTCAAAAATAAATAAATAAATAAATAAATAAAATGGCACAATTATATCCTAACATATCAATAATTACATTAAATGTAAATGTCTTAACTCACCAATTAAAAGAGATTGGTAAGATGGATTTTAAAACATGTATCAACTATATACTATCTACAAGAAATTCACTTCAAGATGTTTCACACAGATATTAATCAAAGGAAAGCAGGAGTGGCTATATTAGTATCAAATGAGGCAGACTTCAGGGCAAAGAAACTTACCAGGGATAAGACTGACATGCAATAATAAAAGGGTCAATGCAACAAGAATGCATAGTAATCCTAAACATTTATCTAACAAACAACAGAACTGCAAAATATATACAACAAAAAGGGATAGAACTGAAAGGAGAAATAGACAAATCCACTATTGTGGTTGGATACGTCAACACTCCTCTCTCAACAATTGATAGATCAACTAGACAGAAAATCAGCAAGAAAATAGAAGCACGCAATGATATCGTCAACCAACAGGATCTAATTGACATTTATTGAACACTTTATTCCAACAGCAGATTATCCTTTCTTTCCAAGTGCCCACGAAACATATACCAATATAGACCATATTCTGGGGCACAAAACAAACCTTAACAATTTTCTAAAAATTGAAATCACATGGTGTGGGTTCTCCAAACACAATGAATTCAAACTACAAATCAACAGAAAGATAACAGAAAAACCTCCAAATACTTGAAAACTAAACCACTCATTTATAAGTAATCCATGGGAAAAAGGAGTTTCAAGAGATATTTTAAAAAATACATTGAGCTGAATGAAAATGGAGTACAAATGTCAAAACACAGAAAAAGCATTGTGGATGGGGAAAATTTATAGCATTAAACACATATATTAGAAAAGAGGAAAAGTCTCAAATCGATAAGCTCAAAAACCTCAAGAAACTAGGAAAAGAAGAGCAAAATAAACCCAAGGCAAGCAGAAGGATGAAAATAATAAAAGATAAGGGCAAAAATTAATAAAATCCTTATAAAAATAATAGAGAAAATCAATGAAAGAAAGAGCTGATTGTCTTTTTTTGTGGGGGGAGGGGGACGGAGTCTTGCTCTGTTGCCCAGGCTGGAGTGCAGTGGCGCAATCTCGGCTCACCGCAAACTCCACCTCCCAGGTTCAAGCGAGTCTCCTGCCTCAGCCTCCCGAGTAGCTGGGACTACAGGCACGCACCACCACGCCCAGCTAACTTTTGTATTTCAGTAGAGACGAGGTTTCACCATATCGGCCAGGCTGGTCTTGAACTCCTGACCTCGTAATCCTCCTGCCTCAGCCTCCCAAAGTGCTGGGATTACAGGTATGAGCCACTACACCCAGCCAAAAGCTGATTCTTTGAAAGGTCAATAAAACTGACAAAACTCTATCAATACTGACCAAAGAAAAAAAAAGACATAGATTACCAATATCAGGAATGATAACTCTACTCTATACATATAAATTTGACAACTTGGATGAAATGAACCAATTTCTTGAAAAATACAAACTACCACAACTTACCCAATATGAAAAAGATAATTTGAATAGGGAATTTAATTAATAATTTTAGAACTCCTAAAAAAAGAAATCTCCGGACTCCTATCGTTTAAATAGATAATTCTATCAAATCTTTAAAGAAAAATTTATCACCACTGTTCCAGAAAATAGGTGAGGAAAGAAGACTTTCCAATTTGTTTTATGCAGCTGGAATTACAGTGATACCAAAACCAGACAAAGATAGTAGAAAAAAAGAAAATCTCAGAAAAATATCCCTCATGAATATAGACCAAGAAAATATTTAATAAAATATTAGCAAATAGAATTCAGCACTACATACAAATAATTGTACACCATTACCAAGTGGAGTTTACTCCTGGAATGGATGACTGGTTAAACATTCAAAAAGCAAACAATGTAATCCACTGAATTCACAGGCTAACAAAGAAAAATCATATCAATTGATGCACAAAAAGCATTTGACAAAAATCGGCTGGGCATGGTGGCTCACGCCTGTAATTCCAGCACTTTGGGAGGCTGAGGAGGGTGGATCACGAGGTCAGGAGATCGAGACCATCCTGGCTAACATGGTGAAACCCCATCTCTACTAAAAATACAAAAAATTAGCCAGGCGTGGTGGCGGGTGCCTGCAGTCCCAGCTACTTGGGAGGCTGAGGCAGAAGAATGGTGTGAACCCGGGAGGCGGAGCTTGCAGTGAGCCGAGATCATGCCACTGCACTCCAGCCTGGGCGACAGAGCAAGACTCCGTCTCAAAAAAAAAAAAAGCATTTGACAAAATTCAACACTCATTCATAACAGAAATTCTAAAACTAGGAATAAAGGGGGAACTTTGTCAACTTTGTAAAGGGCACCTATAAAATACCTATAGCTAATGTGATACTCTTTTTTTTTTTGAGATGGAGTCTCACTCTGTCACCCAGGCTGGATGGAGTGCAGTGGCGTGATCTCAGCTCACTGCAAGCTCCACCTCCTGGGTTCACGCCATTCTCTTGCCTCAGCCTCCCAAGTAGCTGGGACTACAGGTGCCCACCACCACACCTGGCTAATGTTTTGTATTTTTAGTAGAGACATGGTTTCACCATGTTAGCCAGGATGGTCTCGATCTCCTGACCTTGTGATCCATCCGCCTCGGCCTCCCAAAGTGCTGGGATTACAGGCTTGAGCCACCGCGCCTGGCCAGCTAATGTGATACTTGATGGTGAAAACTAAGTTCTTTCCTTCCAGGATCCAAAGAGAAGATGCCTGCTCTCACCACTCTTACTCAGCACAGAGCTGGGAGTTCTAGCCAGTACAATAAGGCAAGAAAAGGAAATAAAAGGCACACAGACAGGAAAGGAAGAAACAAAACTGCCCTCATTTACAGATAACATGATTGTCTCTGCATAGAAAATTCCAAGGAATCTACCCTCAAAAAAGCCCTCCTAGAACTAATAAGTGAGTTTAACAAGGTCGCAAGACATAAGATAAACGATCAAAAGTCAATTCTATTTCTACATGCTAGCAACAAACACATGGGCACTGACATTAAAAATACAATACCATTTAAAATCCCTCAAAAAATGAAACACTTAGGTATAAATCTAACATATATAGAACATAGGTATGTGCTGTGCACTGGTAGCCTCAGCTACTCAGGAGGCTGAGAGGGGAGGATCACTTGAGCACAGGTGTTCAAGGCTGCAGTGAGCTATGATCTATGCCACTGGACTCCAGCCTGGGTGACAAAGTGAGACCTCATCTCTAAAAAGATTTAAAAAATTAAATTAAGTTTAAAAATGCAGAATTTGAACACTGAAAACTATACAATACTGATAGGAAAAAAAAGAATTGAAGTTTTTATTGATCCCTGCAACAACTGGCATAAATCTTCAAAGAATTATGCTAAGTGGAAAAAGCCAGGCCTGAAGGATGATATACTATATGATTCCATGTCCACTTACATAACACTGTTGAAATCAACATTCTAGAAATGGAAGACACATCAGCCATTGCTGGAGGTTAGGAAAGGGCTTCGGTGGGAGGGAGGTGCGTGTGACCGTAAAAGGGCAGCAGGAGGGAGTCTCTGGTGACAGAAATATCCCGTATCTTGACCGTACCAGTGTCAGCATCCAGGCTATGATGTCCTACCGTTGCAAGATGGTACCATTGGGTACAAGGGACCTCTCTGTGTTATTTCTTACAGCTGCCTGTGAATCTACAATGATCTCCACAGAAAAAATTCAATTAAAAAATATTTTAAAGCACATAACAGGCAGTCATGTGTAATTTGGGTCACGTAGAACAAGTCTGGATCATGAAGTCTGTGAGGCTGGTGTACACTTAACTGAGAGTGTGTCTAGCTTTAAACCGGTATCTGCATTTAAAAAAAAAAAAAAAGGCAGAGTCGGGGGCCACTCTCAGAGAGCACTATTAGGTGCTCACCGGCAGAACCCAGACATTGCATTTTCAAAGCTTTTAAGCTTTTCAGCTGCACTCTGAGGAACCGGCTATTGATCTGTGTCCTTGGTGCACAGCCCTTGCACTTCTTTCTGCCCCCACGCCCTGCGGCCCCTCTCGGCTCTGAACAGGGGCCCTGCTCTCTGGGACTCCACATCCCTGCAAAATTTGTCTCCCCTTCCCTGGGTTCCTCCCCCGGGGCTGAGCTGAGGACAAGGGCCTGGCCTCCTCCTTGGAGAACCCCACAGCACCCTGCATTTCGGCGTGGTCCATGGGCTCTTCTCAGGGGCTCCTCACGTTGTGCAAAGGGGTAAGGGAGCAGGGCCAGCTGCAGATCTCCCTCCCGCTGTGACAAGGACATCCTAGTCGAAGAGCCCGTTTATCTTCGCTCTTAAGGCCAGGCTCTCTCAGGTCATTGTTGCCAAAGAAATGAATTGCAGCACAGCTCCGCAGGTCCCTGCACAACTGGGGCAAGGGCTGGCACTGGGCCAGCGGGAACCTGTTGGGGAGGCTGCAAGGTGCTTCTCTGCATCCAAGGCTGCCACACCCTGTGCACACTGTGGAGCTGGGTGGATGGGGTGTGCTCAGGAGGGGCTCTCGGCCCTCGGCTGGGAGTCAGAGGCGTGGTGGGTGGGGCGGGGAGGGGTGTCACAGCTGCAGGGCAGCCTTGATGTCTGCACTTGGCTTTTTAATTTGTAGTCACAGCCAACAAGTGTGGAAACCGCCTCAGGACCGGCTTGAGTGGAGCGGCTGCGGGAGTTACTTCATGACTGTGGTCTCACGCTGTGTTTCGCCACCCATCCCTGCCTGGCCTGGCTTCCTTCCTTCCTCCTGGGTACGTTGGCCCTTGGCTCTCTCCTCATTAACTGGCCCCTCGGACCCCGGCTGGCCAGCTGTCTGCAGCCTCCTGGGTGACACCTTCACCCCTGCCTCCTCGGGGGTCTGCTGCCGCCACATCAATCTCCCTAACACCCTGGGCATGCCACCCCTCTGGAGACCTCCCTAGTCTCTCTCGCAGGGCCCCCAACCTGCTCAGCCCAGGCCCACTGCCCTCTCCCTGCCCGGACACGTGCTCCCGTGGCCCGGCCGTGCCTGCCCACACACCTGCCCTCTCTGAGGTTCACATGTGGCATCCAGGGGCCCTTCCCCAACAGCTCTGCCTGGTGCAGCCTCCCCCTCAGCCTCCTCTTCCCCCCGAGCAGGGTTTGCAGAGGCCCAGAGGCTGCCGGGATGAGTAGATGTTGGGATCCTGCTTACTGGGCGTGTCTTATCCCCCAGAGCAATGGCCTTGGAGGTCAGGGACCCAGCATGGCCATGCTGGCTTGGGGTTTAGGAGCTGTCTCACCAGAGCCCCGCCTCAGCCCACAGCCCCGGGCCTGTTTCCTTGAAGGCTCCCCAGAGCCCCATGCCTGGTTTTCTGGCCAGAGCCCTTGGCAGTGACCCCTGCTCTCCGCCTGCAGCTCTGGGCGTCCTCTCAGCCCCAAGCCCTGATAGGTGCCCCCTGTCTCTGTGCCTGCAGCCTTCAGGAGTGGCCCACACATTGGCTTTTATCTCTGGGCTCTCTGTCACCTCCTCTCCCTCCTGCCACCCTCTGCTCACAGGCTGCGGGTGTGGGGCATCCAGGAGCTGGCCGGTGGAAAGAGGAGCAGGTGCCCTTACGCAGTGGGGAGCAGACACACTTGTGCTGCTTTTCCCTTGGGGCTTGGGGTGGCCACTGGGGCAGGACATGAGGACAGACCAGCCCTCGTCCCCCCAGTGCAGGGGGCAGATCTCACTGCCAGGTGAAACCCTGCTGACCATCCATGTGGACCCCTCAGCTTGGCTGGATGCAGGAGGTGGTTGCACAGTTGCAGGTGGGGCATGGAGGGAGTGGAGCAGCCCCTTACCCCAACACAGGCCCCATTCCTGCTTAACCGGATGTTCCGAGGAGAAGCACAGCCCAACAGGTGTGCACAGGAAGCTCCCATCAGTGCTGTCCTGGGAAAGGCCCATCCTGAATGAAGTGTGTTGCTCAGATCCGAAGAGCGCTGCATCTTCACAGGTCAGGGTGGAAACCTCCTGGTGCACGGCCCGGGAGGGGCACCCGTGGCAGGGCCAGCCCCTGTGAGGCTGCACAGATGAGCTCGAGCAGAGAGTCTGGGGCCGGCCACATCCCACGTCCGACCCTGAGCTGGGGCCCTGGGGGAGCCCCTGTGGCTTTCGTACCAGCCACGCCTGTATGTAGAGAGCTGAGTGTCTGCTGTGGAAGACCACGAGTCACATGGCAGACATGGGCACTCGGCCCAGGCGATGCTGACCCATCCATCAGCTCCTACAGGACCACAAGCTCCCGTTGTGGTGGCCAGAGACTCCCAATGGCCACAGACCCACTCAGGGCTCTCTCTGGGGTCTTCCGGAGAAAAGGAAAGCTCAATGAGCTCCTTAAACCTTTCACTTCAAGTTGTTGCTTTTAAACATTTTGCTTCGTGGCCTTTCTTGCTCCTTCTGTAAAAATCTACATTGTGCTACCATTTTTTTTTTTTTTTGGCAAGGTGTCACTCTGCCACCCAGGCTAGAGTGCAGTGCTGTGATCATGACTCACTGTAGCCTCAAACTCCTGGGCTCAAAGGATCCTCCAGCCTCAGCCTCCCAAGTAGCTGGGACTACAGGTATATCCCACAGCATCCAGCTAATTTTTTGAAAATTTTTTTGGTAGAGATGAGGTCTTACCATGTTGGCCAGGCTGGTCTCAAACTCCTGGGCTCAAGCGATCCTCCTGTCTCGGCCTCCCAAAGTGCTGGGATTACAGGCGTGAGCCACTATGCCCACTCAACATAGTGATTTTCTAACTCCTTCATTTCTTCTCCATTTAGTAGTTGGCTTTCCACCGTAAGGAAAACTGCCCAGTCTCCCCTCTGGCTACCAGTGAAGGCTTGTGGGGTTTTCTTTGATTCGGTGAGTTATATTCAGTGGCTGTGGGGCTTGTTTGGATGCTGGCTGACCGGCCCCGTGTCCCTGTCATGGTGGAGCACGCCCTTGCTTCCTGGCACCACCGCTGCACCCGGCTCAGCCTGCACTTTAACTGCTGCAGCGCTGGAGGCAGCCACTTCCCTGAGGAGCCCTGCTTCCTTTTGTTTGTTTGTTTTTGTTTCTTTGCTTTGAGACGGAGCCTCATTCTGTTGCCCAGGCTGGAGCGCCCTGGCAGGATCATGGCTCTTTGGCTCAGCCTCCCAAGTAGCTGGGACTACAGGTCCCCAACATCATACTTGATTACATTTTTAAAATTGTTTATAGAGATGGGGTCTCATTATGTTGCCCAGGCTGGTCTCAAACTCCTGGGCTTAAGTGATCCTCCTGCCCTGGCCTCCCAAAGTGCTGGGATTATAGGCGTGAGCCACCACGCCCGACCAAGGCCAGCTTTCTTAGAACAGAGTATTTCTTCCACACTGGGGTCCAGGCATGAGTTGTGCTCACTTTACCATGGTATCATTTAGATCCTAGAAAAAAATTATTTGTGAGATTATTATAATATGTATAAATAAATATACAATTAATAATACTATTAAACATCATTGAATTGTGATTATATTATTAATATAGTTGTATTATTAATATGTGATTGTACTATTAATTTTAATTATCGTGTAATTAGTTATAATGCATCCATAATAACTCATACCATGAATTCACAGTCACTCCTAGTCCTGCCCGGCCCTGCAGGCTCCTCCTTGTGTCCGTCATTCCGTATCTGTACCTCCTTCTACAAGAGAGCCCTAACTTCTAACAGCATCACTATGTCTATCATCTATTTAGCCCTCCAAACACACAAGACACTTCCAGAATCTTCTTATTCTCCAGAGGAAAATGTTTCATCAAAACACCAGAGGCAGCCAGCATTTTGACAAGAAAACACAACAAACTTCATTTCTTTGGAAATTTGATCTAGGAAAATGTGTCTCTCTCATTTTGCTAATGGATGTCTGTTTATCAGTCAGAGACCATGAAACGACTCCTTATTTTGAATATCAGATTTTCTTCTTATTCTCAAACCTCAAAACAGCTTGGTAATAATTTATTTGGAAATTATCCGAAAGGTAAAAATAAAAACAGAAGCAAGTAATATGCCTTGTTACTGCTCCTTAATTAGGTAAGAGCCTCATTTCTTGGGCTGCTGGGATGTAAATTCTGCATAAAATGGCTGGCTTTCTTTTTAAGGCTTTGCAGCAGTGTTAACATTCGGCTGCCAACTAAGTCGATTTTAATCGCCTTTACAGGAACCTTCACTTTTTCTGTTTGTTCCATTCCACTCTTTCCTCAGTGGATAATCCCGCATGTTAAGATTCCTGTGCAGCCGAGGGAGGCGGCTTTTGGCCGGGAGCTTGTGCTCTGGGTGTGAGCGTGGCTGTTGGGAACGCCTTCTGCTCAGAATTCCGTGGTCTCAGCAGATCGTTCAGTCTAGCCACTGGGACGGGGCCGACCGCACACTGCTGGACCTCTGAGCGGAAGATGTGTGAGGTTAGGAGGGAAGGAATAAACAAAGTCGCCTTCTTCCCTGCTGACCTGCCTTGGTATGTCACCATTACTCAGCTCCTTACAGAACAGGAGCTTCAAGCTTTCACCGGACAGGCTGGCTTCTTCCCGGGAGCCCCCGCCCAAGGTGGGGCCTGGTGGGGTGGGGCCACCATCGCTGCTGGAAGCTTTAGCTCTTTTCCCTCAGCTTGGCCTCCTTTGGCAACTAATTTTTTAACTTTTTCTAATAGGTAACAGAGTCCCAAGATTCCAAGTTCCAGGAGCATGAAAGGACTCACTTGTGGAGATTCCTGCCTGGGGCTCCCACCCACCTAAGGAATGCCATCCTTGTCACCGGCTCACGGGGCAGCTCTTTGGTATCCTTCCAGGGTGGTGTGTACAAGTACAGGCACATGGATGCATGGATGCATGAGCATTTTTTTCTTTTGCCGACATATTAATACACCCGGCAGCACTCTAGGCCCATTGGCCTGCAACTTTTCATTTGATTGATTTTTAATTATTTACTTTTTTAAAAAATTGTAGTTAAATATACATGACATATATTTACCATTTGAGTCTTTTTTTTTTTTTTGAGATGGAGTCTTGCTCTATCTCCCAGGCTGGAGTGCAGTGGTGTGATCTCGGCTCACTGCAACCTCCACAGCCTGATCCTGGGTTCAAGGGATTCTCCTGCCTCAGCCTCCCGAGTAGTTGGGATTACAGGCGCCTGCCACCATGCCTGGATAATTTTTTTTTCTTTTGAGACGGAGTCTTGCTCTGTCACCCAGGCTGGAGTGCAGTGGTGCAATCTCAGCTCACTGCAAGCTCCGCCTCCCAGGTTCACGCCATTCTCCTGCCTCAGCCTCCCGAATAGCTGCGACTACAGGTGCCCGCCACCACACCGGCTAATTTTTTGTATTTTTAGTAGAGACAGGGTTTCACCGTGTTAGCCAGGATGGTCTCGATCTCCTGACCTCGTGATCAGCCTGCCTCGGCCTCCCAAAGTGCTGGGATTAAAGGCATGAGCCACTGTGCCCGGCCTAATTTTTGTATTTCTGTAGAGACAGGATTTCACCATGTTGGCTAGGCTGGTCTCAAACTCTTGACCTCAGGTGATCTGCCCTCCTCGCCCTCCCAAAGTGTTGGGATTACAGGTGTGAGCCACAGCACCCAGACCATTTTTAAGTGCACAGTTCAGTGGTATTACATACATTCACAGTGTTGTATAATCGTCACCACCATCCATCTTCAGAACTTTATGCATCTTGCAAAACTAAAACCTGCCCCCATTAAACAGCAGCCCCCCTCATCCCCTGCCCCCAACCCCTGGCAACCCCTATTCTACTGTCCGTGCCTATGAACCTCACTACTCTATGCACCTCACATACGTGGAACCACATGGTATCTGCCCTTTCGTCGCTGGCGTCTCTTAGCATAACGTCCTCAAGGTTCATCGGTGTTGGGGCACGTGTCGGGATTTTATGGTGTGTGAATGACGTCTCAGTTTAAAATGTTCTAGAGTTACCCAGTGGTGATGGATACACAACTCTGAATATGCCAACAACTTCTGACTGGTACACTTTGAGTGGGTGATTGTATGGTCTTTGAATTGTGTCAATAAAGCTGTCATTTAAAATAAAATACCAATCCGTGCTGGCACAGAGAAGGACTGGGAGACTCCGGGCAGTGCGCAGGCCCCTGTGTCTAGGAGAGTGAGGGGCCTGCTGACCTCGTCCCGGGCAGGCGTCCCAAGAGTCTAAGTTCCAGGCCTTAGGTCTCCTTACGTGGGTCTTGTGCGCATGGCTCAGGTGGAGTGGCGACCTGAACAGTCGGCACTGCTACGTGAGGACGAGTGTGGCCCCAGATGGAAGGCCTGAGCGGAGGCAGCAGGGATGAGGGTGGCATGGGTGTTGTTATGCACTGATTTATGTTCTCCCTTCCAAAACTCCACACCAAAGCCCTCACCCCCAGGACCTCCGAATGTGTATTTGGAGGTAGGGTCCTTAAGGAGGTAGTTAAGTTAAAATAAATTCATGAGGGGGTAGGTCCTGATCCCATATGACTGGTGTCCTTCTAAGAAGAAATTGGGACACAGACATGTACAGAGGGACAACTCCGGGAGGACTCAGGGAGAAGGTGCCACCCGCAAGGCAAGGAGAGAGGCCTCAATCGGAACCAGCCCTGCCCACACCTTGATCTTGGACTCCCAGCCTCCGAGACAAGACAATAAATGCCTGTGGTTAAGCCACCGGTCTGCAGTGCCTCAGGACACAGACACAGGTGGTGATGAAGCCAGGCGAGAACATTTTGAATGCATCTAGGGATAGAATCGGCAGGACTTGCTGATGGATCCAATGCAGGACAAGTAGGTGACCCTGAGGATTTTATTTGAGCAAATGGTGCAGTCACCAGTCAGACGGGGGACCCCCGGGCAAGCACAGTGCAGTTTCTTTGCAGGTGCATCCATGAAGGGTGTGATGCCTACCAGACATTCAGGAGCTGCAGCCAGGTGGGCAGCCCACAGGGGAGTCTGGGCTTCTGGGAGGAAGATGCAGAGCCGTCCTGGACAGGGCAGCAGCAGCACCAGCCTTCACTGGAGCCGGGGCCTGCAGCCTCCATTGGTGGCACACCCAGGTGAGGTCTTCACACTGCCTACACTAAAGCAAATGAACAACAAAAATCATGAGAGACCCTTGGATCAGTTTTGCACGGGAGAAGTCATTTCTTTCTTTTCTTTTTTTTTTTTTCAAGATGGGGTCTCACTCTGACACCCAGGCTGGAGTGCCGTGGCGCGATCTCAGCTCACTGCAACTTCTGCCTCCCAGGCTCAAGTGATGCTCCCACCTCAGCCTCCTGAAGCTGGAACCACAGGCATGCGCCACCACACCTAGCTGTTTGTTTGTTTGTTTTGGTAGAGACGGGGTTTCGCCGTGTTGCCCAGGCTGGTCTCAAACTCCTGAGCACAAGCGATCTGGGATTACGAGTCACTGCGCAGGGTGGGGAGAAGTCATTTCTATGCGCCTCGGGGAAGCAGTGTGGACAAGGCCCGCAGGGCCCTGCTCTTGGGCTGATTCCCTTGAGGGAGAGCCTAATGTGTAAGTGAAAAATGAAATGTGCAGGAGAGCCACTGGTCAAGCAGCAGTGCTGGGGCAGCAGGCCCTGTCGGGGATGCCAGCAGGCTCAGAGCACAGCCAGGAGGAGCCGGCCTCCAGACAAAAGCACATTTGCTAAAATAACTTTGAGAAATTTTTTAATGTTTTTCAAATTTTTACCGAAATTTAGAAAAATTTCCTCTAAACTTTGCTTAAACCGTGCTAAAAAGTGGGGACAAGCCTGAACAAAGGCCTGACACCAGCAAAGGTCAGCGAGCAGTGCAGAAGAGGCGGGAAATATTGCCAGGAGGTGGCCAGGCAAGGAGAGGCGAGGGAGGTCCCCAGAGCGTCTCCCCACCCCCGATTGGACCCAAGGCACTGGGTAGTTTGCCGAGGGCAGTGCAGCCACCTTGGGCCAGGGTCCCAGCCGCTTGCCCTCTGTCAGGAGTTGCTTTCTTTTTTTTTTTTTTTTTTTTTTGAGACGGAGTCTCGCTCTGTCACCCAGGCTGTAGTGCAGTGGCTCCATCTCGGCTCACTGCAAGCTCCGCCTCCCGGGTTCACGCGATTCTCCTGCCTCAGCCTCCCGAGTAGCTGGGACTACAGTTGCCCGCCACCACGCCCGGCTGATTTTTTGTATTTTTAGTAGAGACGGGGTTTCACCGTGTTGGCCAGGATGGTCTCCATCGCCTGACCTCGTGATCCACCCGCCTCGGCCTCCCAAAGTGCTGGGATTACAGGCGTGAGCCACCGCGCCCGGCCAGGAGTTGCTTTCTTAGGTATCTCCTTGGATCATGAGTTTCAGCGAGGAGGGGTCGTCTGCACAGGAAACACGCCCCGGCCGTTGGAGACTCGCTGCTGCCCCCACGAGGCACTGCTCCTTTGGAGTGAGCTGGCCAAGCACAACACAGAGCCTGCTCCCCAAACTGGGCGGGACAGCGCCAGGCCTACAGTCACCACGGAATGTGCTCTCTCACTCAGCGCCTCTCCTGGAGCCTGAGATGGCTCCATTCAGCACTGCAATCCTCCCAGCGAACCCCAGCCAACCCAAACAGCCTTGTTTGTGCGGGGCTCTGTTTCCCAGTCAGGATACAGGGCAGCAGGGCGGGAAGGAGCCTCAGCAGCTCCCCAGCAGCACACACCACCGGCCTGGCTTCCCTGCTCTGTTCGGGAATCTCCTCCCCCACACCCCCCGCAGCCCCCAGCCCCCCAGGAACACTTCCCCAGTGGGCTCTAGCCTCACCTACACAGCCCCCACCAGACCCCTGCGCCCGTGTCTCAGAGGCTGTCACAGAGACAACCGATGGCCCTGCCCATCATCCAGCTGGTCACGCCGATGCCTCCCCCACCTCCCGCACCACATCTGGTGCCACACAGCTGTGACCAGGTGTGACTGTACACAGGGATGGCCCCCATCCCCTCTCCACTGTCAGTGCCCTGGCCCCAGGCCTCTGCTGTGCCTTTGGGGAGTCCTCCCACTGCCCACTCTGCTGTCCAGAGACAGACAAATATACATTATCCAGTCTGTGACAGAGAGATAAAAGATTCACTAAAATTGTTTAAAAGGATGAGATTCTGCAGATTGTATTTTTCAAAGATGGCCACAACACTTCCTTCTATCCCACATGCTCTTCCAGAACCCTGATACTATCTGTGAATCTCAGTGATCTCATTCCCTTATAAACCATAGAATGCCACAGAACTGATGCTACAGAGCTCCTGAGGCTGGGGCGCAAGAGATAATGCAGCATCTGCCTTGGGTGCCAGAGCACTATGCACAGAGACTTGGGGCCACCATGCTTTCAACGTTGCCAGGCTAGCCCACCTGCACAGAGGTAGTTGCCAGGCTAGCCCACCTGCACAGAGGTGGTTGCCAGGCTAGCCCACCTGCACAGAGGTGGTTGCCAGGCTAGCCCACCTGCACAGAGGTGGTTGCCAGGCTAGCCCACCTGCACAGAGGTGGTTGCCAGGCTAGTCCACCTGCACAGAGGTGGTTGCCAAGCTAGTCCACCTGCAGAGATAGTTGCCAGGCTAGTCTACCTGCAGAGATGATATAAGACTTCATGGAAAGAAACATGTCCAGCCAGTTGCTCCAGCTCCAGCCACTGTCTGCCTGGAATGGCATGAACTACCCAGCTAAGATATCCTGAATTCCTGACCCCCAGAAACCATGATAGATAGTAAGACTAAATTGCTATTTTAAGTCACTAAGTTTTGAGTTGTTATGCAGCAATAGATAATGTTATGCAGCATTTCATAACAGAATAAAGTGCACAGAGAGACCCACAACATGTAGCCAATTGATTTTCATCAAAGATGAAATTGGCAATTCAATGGGGAAAGTCAAATATTTTAAACAAATAGCACTCAAACTATTGGATAAATTGGGAGGATGAACTTTGACTTCTACCTAACACCGTACGCAAAAACTAATTCAAGGTGGGGCGCAGTGGCTCAAGCCTGTAATCCCAGCACTTTGGAAGGCCAAGGCAGGTGGATCACTTGAGGCCAGGAGTTCGAGACCGGCCTGGCCAACAGGGTGAAACCCCGTCTCTACTAAAATACAAAAAATTAGCCGGGGGTGGTGGCACATGCCTGTGATCCCAGCTACTCAGGAGGCTGAGGCATGAGAATCACTTGAACCTGGAAGGCAGAGGTGGCAGTGAGCAGAGATCGCACCACTGCACTCCAGCCTGGGTGACAAAGTGAGATCCTATCTCAAAAAAACAAAACAAAACAAAAACTAATTCAAGATAAAATTATAGTCCTAAACATAACAATAAAACTGCAAAGCTTCTAGAAGAAACAGAGGAGAATATATGTATAAGCTTGGAGTCAGTAGGCAAAGATTTCTTGGAAAGGACACAAAAAGCATGAAATATAAAATTTTTAAATTGATACATTGGATTATCAAAATTATAAACATCTGTTTCTCAAAAGATAACATTAAAATGAAAATAATTCTGGTGTGGTGACTCACTCCTGTAATCACAGCATTTTGGGAAGCCAAGGTGGGCAGATTGCTTGAGCCCAGGAGTTTGAGAGCAGCCTGGGCAACATAGCAAGACCCTGTCTCTACAAAAAATTTAAAAATTAGCTGAGCATGGTGGTGGACACTTGTGGTCCTAGCTACTGGGGAGGCTGAGGTGGGAGGATTGCCTGAGCCTGGGAGTTTGAGGCTACAGTGAGTGATGATTGAGCCACTGCACTCCAGCCTGGGTGACCGAGTAAGATCCTGTCTCAAAAAAGAAAAAAAAAAAAAGAAAGAAAAGAAAAGAAAAACAACGACCAAAAGCCATTGTCTCAAGAAAATATTTGCAAGGGGCATATCTGACACTGAACTGGTACTCATATTTTTTATTATTGATTTGCAGAAGTTCTTTATATATTCAAAGTTATAAAATAGGCAGAATTAATCTGTGATTATAGAACACAGGTCAGTAGTGGCCTGGACTGGGGTGGGGGTGGGAGGGTGGGAATTGACTGGGAAGGGACACGGAACACTTTCCAAGGGTAATGAAAATAGGATCTTGATTGGGGTTTTGGTTACATGGGTTTATATATTTGTCAAAATTCATTGAATTGAGAACTTAAGATGTGTGTATTTCTCTGCATGTAAATTTCACCTCAATAAAATAATTTAAAATAAACAAAAAGGGAAATGGGTATCCAATCTGCAGCAAGTAGGTTAAAATAACAACGATAGCTATTTCAGTTCCTTTGCCTTTCCATATAAATTTTAGAATAGTCTTATGACTATTTGAATATCCACTAAAAAACCTGGCTTATATTTTTATATTTTGATGTATAGGAATGTATTTGGGCATAACTGACATCTTTACAATACTGAGTCTTCTAATCCATGAATATGGTGTATCTCTTTCTTTATTTAGATATTCTTTGGTTTATTTCATCCACATTTTGTTGCTTTCAGCATAAAAATCCTACCCATGTTTTGTTAGATTTAACACCTGAGCACTTTACTTTTTGAGAGATTATAAATGATACTGCTTTTTTCTTTTTTTCTTTTTTTCTTTTTTTTTGAGATGGAGTCTCTATCTGTCACCCAGGCTGGAGTGCAGTGGTGTGATGTCGGCTCACTGCAAGCTCCATCTCCTGGGTTCATACCATTCTCCTGCCTCAGCCTCCCAAGTATCTGGGACTACAGGTGCCCACCACCATGCCTGGCTAATTTTTTAAATATTTTTAGTAGAGACGGTGTTTCACCATGTTAGCCAGGATGGTCTTGATCTCCTGACCTCGTGATCCGCCCACCTTGGCCTCCCAAAGTGCTGGGATTACAGGCATGAGCCACTGCACCCAGCCCAATGATACTACATTTTTAAAGAAATACAATTGATTTTTAAAATTTTTTTATTTTTATTTTTTGTAGAGAAAAGATCTCGTTATGTTGACCAAGCTGGTCTCAATGTCCCGGCCTCAAATGACCCTCCTGCCTGAGCCTCCCAAAGGTCTGGGATTACAGGCATGAGGCATCGAGCCACAGTTGGTTTTTGTATGTCAATCTTATATTCTTCAACTTGCTCAAGTGAGAAGAAACAATCTGCCTGATCTCAAGGCCTATTCCATAATTATGGTATTTAAAACTATATGGGATTAGCAGAAGGGTGGACACATAGATCAGTGAAACAGTAGAGAACTCAGAAATAGATCCATATAAACATGCCCTAGTGATGTTTTAAAAATAAATTTTATTGTGTATATTTGAGGTTTACAACATGATAGGTTTTTTTGGTTTGGGGTTTTTGGGGTTTTTTTTTGAAACAGGGTCTCACTCTGTTGTCCAGGCTGGAGTGCAGTGGTGCAATCACAGCTCACTGTAGCCTCGACCTTCCAGGCTCAAGTGATCCTCTCCCTCAGCCTCCCAGACAGTTGGGGCTACAGGTGTGCACCACCACGCCCAGCTAATTTTTCATATATATATATATATATATATATATTTTTTTTTTTTTTTTTTTTTTTTGTAGAGATGGGATTTCACCATGTCACCCAGGCTGGTCTTGAACTTCTGGGCTCAAGCAATTCTCCCACCTCAGCCTCCTAAAGTGCTGGGAGAACGGGCGTGTCCCTAGTGATTTTTGACAGAAGTTCAAAAGCAACTCAATGAAGAAAGGATACAACAAATGGTGCTGAAGCAACCGGACATATATAGATGTGTTAGGCCATTCTTGTATTGCTATAAAGGAATATCTGAGACTGGGCAATATATAAAGGAATGAGGTTTAATTGGCTCACAGTTCTGCAGGCTTCACAGAAAGCATGGTGGTGGCATCTGTTCAGCTTCTTGGGAGGCCTCAGGAAGCTTTCAACCATGGCTGACGGTGAAGGGGGTCAGGCATTTCACGTGGCAGAGCAGGAGCAAGAGCTAGGGGAGGTGCCAACACTTCTAAATGAGTAGATCTCATGGGAACTCACTCGCAATCACAAGAACACCACCAAGGGGATGGTGGTAAACCAATCATGAGAAATCCACCCCCATGATCCAACCATCACCTCAAACACTGGGGATTACATTTCAACATGAGATTTTGTGGGGACACAGAGCCAAACCATATCAATAGGCAAACAAAAACAAAACCAGAAACCTCAATCTCACATCTTATTTAAAAATCGACTCAAAATAGAATGACAGGCCGGGCACAGTGGCTCATGCCTGTAATCCCAGCACTTTGGAAGGCCGAGGTGGGCCAATCACCTGAGGTCAGGAGTTCGAGACCAGCCTGGGCAACATGGCGAAACCCCGTCTCTACTAAAAATACAAAAAGTAGCTGAGAGTGGTGGTGGGTGCCTGGCTGAGGCAGGAGAATCTCTGGAACCCAGGAGGCAGAAGTTGCAGTGAGCCGAGGTCGTGCCACCGCACTCCAGGCTGGGTGACAGAGCAAGACTCAAGAAAGAAAGAAAGAAAGAGAGAGAGAGAGGAAGGAAGGAAGGAAGGAAAGAAGGAAGGAAGGAAGGAAAAAGAAGGAAAGAAGGAAGGAAGGAGAAAAGAAAAGAAAAGAAAAGAGATGCCATCTCAAAAAAAAAAAAGGAATAATAAACTGAAGTTTAGAATGTAAAACTATAAAACTTTCAGGGAAAAAAATACAGGAGAATAATCTCTAGGATCTAGAGCTAGGGAATGAGTTATTAGACTTGACTCGAAAAGCAGGAGCCATAAAAAGAAAAATTGATAAACTGGACTCCATTAAAATTAAAACTTTTGCTCTGTGAAAATTTCTCTGTTAAAAGTGGTTCTGTTACAAGAATGAAAAATCAAGCTACAGACTAGGAGAAAACAGTTGCAAAAGATATATCCAAGAAAGGGCTAGTACTAGAATATATAAAGAACTCAGGCTGGGCGCAGTGGCGCATGCCTGTAATCCCACCAATTTGGGAGGCCAAGGCAGGCAGATTACTTGAGGCCAGGAGTTCGAGACCAGCATGGCCAACATGGCAAAACCCATCCCTACTAAAAATACAAAAGAAAAAAAAAATTAGCCAGGCGTGGTGGCACCCATCTGTAGTTCCAGCTACTCAGGTGGCTGAAGCACAAGAATCACTTGAACCCAAGAGGTGGAAGTTGCAGTGAGTCGAGATCATGCCACTGCACTCCAGCCTGGGCGTCAGAGCAAGACTCCGTCTCAACAAAAACAACAACAAAAAAACCCTCTCAAACTCAACAATAATAAAAATCCAATTAGAACATGGACATGAGACATGAATAGACATTTCACCAAAGAGGATACACAGGTAACAAATAAGCACATGAAAAATACATCATTAATCATTAAGGAAATGCAAATTAAAACCACAGTGATATCACTATACATCTATTAGAGTGGCAAAAAAAGCCTGGACACAGTGGCTCATGCCTGTAATCCCAACAATTCGGGAGGCCGAGGCAGAAGGATCGCTTGAGTCGAGGAAGTGGAGCTTTGGTGAGCTGCGATTTCACCACTGCACTCTAGCCTGGGTGACAGAGTGAGACCCTGTCTAAAATATATATATAATTTTTTTAATTAAAAAAAAATGGCCAAAAAAGGTGATACTGTTAAATGCTGGTAAGAATTTGGGGAAACTAGAGCACTCATATACTGCTAGTGGGAATGTAAAATGGTACAGCTTCTCTAAAAAGCAGTTTGGCAGTTTCCTTTTTTTTTGAGTCAGAGTCTCGCTCTGTCACCCAGGCTGGAGTACAATGGCGCCATCTCGGCTCACTGCAACCTCTGCCTCCCGGGTTCAAGCAATTCTCCTGCCTCAGCCTCCCAAGTAGCTGGGACTACAGATGCATGCCAGCACACCTGGCTAATTTTTGTATTTTTAGTACAGAACTACTTGGCAATAAAAGAGAAAGCTATCAACACACAGTAACCTGGATTAATCTCCAGAGAATTATGCCAAGTGAAAAAAGCCAATTCTAAAACTTCCCACACTGCATGATTCCATCAACGTGACATTCAAAAAATGCCAAAATCATGGAAGCGGTGATTGAGAGACTCAGGAGGGGAGGAGAGTGGAAACCGGGCATGGCTGTCAAAGGGTGATGGGAATGTTCTGTGCCTCACCTTGATCAACGACAACATCTAGCTTGTAGTATTATGATATTATAATACAGTGTTTCAAGATGGCATCATTGGGGAAAACTGGGTGAAGGGCACCTGGACTCTCTTTGCATTGTTTCTTATGCTGTATCTCAAAATAACAGGTTTCATTTTAAAAATATACAAACCCTTGTGACTAATTTAATCGACGTATCCTACTAGAGATACTTTTCTGGGGAGCCGTGGGGAGCCTACCACACCCCTCCTTGTGGCTCCATTAGCCTCTTCTCACTTAGACCAGGGATGATGGTGAGGTGGTGCCAAGGAACGTGGTGGGTGCAGCTCTTACTCCAAAGTCAGCGAGGAGCAAGGAGGAGGTGTTTGCGCTGTCACTTCAGCAGTGACCAGATTGCAGACAGGGAGGCAGGTAAGACTAGGACTTGAATTGTGTGTGGTCGAGACGAGGAGTTGAAGAGTTAAATCCTCATCCTCTGGAATGGTAAGTCAACACACAGTGCTAAAACTATTTGCCATGGAAATGTCTCCCACCGTGAAAGTGTTCATACGCTTCTGTTTTGTTTTGTTTTGTTTTGAGACAGGGTCTCTCTTTGCCACCCAGACTGGAGTTCAGCATGATCCTGGTTCACTGCAGCCCCTATCTCCTCCTGGGCTAAGCAGTCCCCTGACCTCAGCCTCCCAAGCAGCTGGGATTACAGGCACACACCACAGTGCTGGGCTAATTTTTTGTATTTTTTATAGAGACAGGGTATCGCCATGTTGCCTAGGCTGTCTCAAACTCCTGAGCTCAAGTGATCTGCCTGCCTCGGCCTCCCGAAGTGCTGGGATTACAGGCGTGAGCCACCAGCGCCCGGCTTCCCTCTGTATTTTAATAGTCTTCAGCATGATGTTGGCCCTGTAATAAATATCTAGACACCAATGTCTCTCTATATAAAGATATGGATAGACTGATAATATCATAGATAAAACGATATTTTATGATTAATTATTATTATTATTATTTTTTGAGACAGAGTCTTGCTCTGTCCCCCAGGCTGGAGTGCAATGGCGCAATCTCGGCTCACTGCAACCTCCACCTCCTGGGTTCAAGTGATTCTCCTGCCTCAGCCTCCCCAGTGGCTGGGATTACAGGTGTGCGCCACAACGCCTAGCTAATTTTTGTATTTTTAGTAGAGATGGGGTTTCACCATGATGGCCAGGCTGATCTCAAACTCCTGACCTCAAGTGATCCACCTGCCTCGGCCTCCAAAAGTGTTGGGATTATAGGTGTGAGCCACTGCGCCCGACTGATTAATTTTTAAAAATCACAGTGGGTAGCTAGTATTTGTGGAGCCCCTTCTCTGAGGCCCCGTGGTCCCATCTGGACCTCGCTGCACTGGGGAGCCACCTTCCACTGTTGTCCCACTGTACGGATGAGGAGCCCAAGCTCTGGTCCAGGTGTGAGCAAGTGACAAGGAGCCAAGGAGCCCTTCCCTTCACAGGTGCTTCCCTGCAGGTGGGGTGGCCAGGTGTCCTCAGACCGGGTGGCTCTCCCTCAGGGACCGGGGTGGGGCAGGAAGGAGGAAGGAGTTGTTGCGCATTCGGCACAACCCATGCCTGCTCTGCTGCCAGCCGCGTGGAAGCTTGATTGCCATACAGCACAGACTGCTGCCTTTCTATGTTGCTGACTGTTTTTAAAGAGGGGTTTTGGGAGGGGTGGTATGAAATTGATTGTTTCTCTCTTTCCTCATTACTGTTCGCACCTATTTTGGGTGTTTTGTTTTTCCCTGTGCTTCCTGTCCTCTGTGCACTAGGGAAGCCTCTCAAATGGCAACAGAAAGTGGTTGGTTTCTTTGAAGAGCATTTGAACTGAGTGAATTTTCAAAAAGCGTGGCATTGACAGAACAATGAAAGTCCCAGGATAAAGTCCAGGCCAGTTGCCATGACAGACGGCATCTGTTGTTGACAGAAACATGGAGCCAGGCTGAAACTCCGGCGGCAGGAGGGCTGCGCACCTGGGCAGGGCAGTGCCGAGCACAGCTCCCAGTTTGGGTAGCCAGTGGGACTGGGTCTGGTACCAGCCTTGATTTCGGACTGGAGCAGAGTCACCCAGTTGTGCCTCTGTTTTGTTTTCTGTGGAGCAGTGGGGGGCCCACCACACCCCTCCTCGTGGCTTCATTAGCCTCTTCTTGCCTGAACCAGGGATAATGGTGAGGTGATGCCAAGGAACATGGTGGATGCAGCTCTGCCTCCAGAGTCAGCCAGCAGCAAGAACGAGCCATGCACCATCACTGCTGCAGTGACCGGACTGCACCCCGCAGAGCTCTGATCGCCTCTCTGGGGGCTGCCGTAAGAAAACACCTGGGTGGTCTCAGACCCCAGCACTCGGGTGGCTCCTCTGAAAGAGATGTTGTTCCCGACTCCCAGCCTGTGGGTAGAGAAGGTGCCAACCCCACGAGAGTCTCCAGGCCCTGGGCCTGCTTGGACCTAATCTGCTTACAGTTCATGCAGGTTCTCTATCCAGGCCTTGCCCTCCTCCCAGCTGTTTCCTAGTCTCCTTCATCCTGCAGGAGCTGCTTTTGGTCTCACTGTACTTTGTTGAGTAGGAGGCATAGCAGCCTTGAGAGCTAGAAGGGTCCCCAGCCATCACCTGGGCCAAGTCCCGCCGTGGACAGGTGAGTGTCTACTGTTTTGTAGGGGCAGAGACTCAGCCCAGGGTCCCACGGGCTGCTAGCACTGGCGTGAGGCAGACCATTCACCTTTGCCGCTGCACGGGTCATATCCTCCCCTCTCAGCCAACGTGCTGGCCCAGCCTGGACTGGCCCAGCCCCTCTTCCCTGCTTCTGGGGTCCTGTTCACCCCACGAGCCCTCTCTCCAGCTCTTCTTGGATAAAGCCCCATGCCCAACATGGTCCCAGGCACCGGCTTTTGGGGCAGTCCTGGGATCGCCAGCAGATGGAGCTCAAGGGGGTCATGCAGACCCCACCCAGGCCTGGCTCCCAGGGGCTCCCAGGAGGGAACTTCCTACCCATTGAAATGCAAACGCTGGAATTCCAAGAAGCACTTCAGATACATACAAGTCCTGATTGTGTTTGATTCCTCCTCTGGATGGAAGGCTTCCCTCTCTGAAGTCAGACGACAAAGCAGAGGCCTGGGACTGGTGGTATAACCCAGAGACCCTGCCTGCCTGGCACTGGTGGTACAGCCTGGGACCCTGCCTGCCTGGCACCGGTGGTGTAGCCAGGGACCCTGCCTGCTTGGCACTGGCAGTGTAACCCAGGGACCCTGTCTGCCTGGCACTGGTGGTGTAGCCGGGGACCCTGCCTGTGTACCCTCTGTCCAAGTCTTGGGGTGCCCCTGTATTGTGGTTTGAATGTTTGTCTCCACAAATTCATATGGTGAAACCCTACCCTCCAGGTGATCGTACTAGAAGGTGGGGCCTTTGGGAGGTGATTAGGTCACGAGGGTGGAGCCGCATGAAAAGGATTGGTGCCCTTATAAAAGAAGACTGGAGGCCGGGCGCAGTGGCTCATGCCTGTAATCCCAACACTTTCGGAGGCTGAGGTGGGTGGATCATTTGAGGTCAGGAGTTCGAGACCAGCCTGGCCAACATGGTGAAACCCCATCTCTACTAAAAATACAAAAATTAGCTGGGCATGGTGGCAGGCACCTGTAGTCCCAGCTACTCGGGAGGCTGAGGCAGGAGAATCACTTGAACCTGGGAGGCAGAGGTTACAGTGAGCTGAGATCGTGCCACTGCACTCCAGCCTGGGAGACAAAGCAAGACTCTGTCTTAATCAATCAATCAATCAATCAATAAAAGAAGAAGCCTGGGGTCAGACACAGTGGCTCAAGCCTATAATCCCAGCACTTTGGGAGGCCCAGGTGGGAGGATCACTTGAGCCCAGGAGTTCAAGACCAGCATGGGCTACAAAGAGAGATCTCGTCTCTACAAAAAATATTTTAAAAATTAGCCAGATGTGGTGGTGTGTGTCTGTAGTCCCAGCTACTCCGGAAGTTGAGATGGGAAGATTCCTTGAGCCAGGGAGATTGAGGCTGTAGTGAGCTGTGATTGGGCCACTGCACTCCAGCCTGGGCAACAAAGTGAGACTCTGCCACTACAAAAATAAAAATAAATAATAACAATAATAATAAAAGAGGGTCCGAGAGATACCCTTCACCCCTTCCACCATGTGAAATTATAGAGAAAATATGATCATCTATGAAGTGGGCTCCACTCTCTCCAGACGCCAAATCTGCTGGTGCCTCGATCTTGGACTTCCAGCCTCCAGAGCCGTGAGAAATAAATGTTTATTGCTTAAGCCCTGCAGTCTAAGGAGTTGTGTCATAGCAGCCCAAACAGACTATGACACCCTGTATTCGTTTGCTGAGGTTGCTGCAACAAGGTCCCACCAACTGGGTTGCTTAAATGAGGCGGTAATGATGGAGGGCGTTCAGCCTGCACTCAGAAAGGTCTTTGCAGATGGCTGGAGGCCCTGGAGCCTGGAAGGAGGTGGATCTCAGGAATTTCACCCACACACACACACATATCTCTGGCCAAATCAAGTTCTTTGCCCATTTTTGAATCAGACTGTCTTGTTGATGATGATAGTAGGCTCTCTTTGTGATTCTCAAAAATAACCTCGAGGATCAGGGCAGCCAAGACAGTCCCCTGAGGCACAAGTGGGGCATGGGCCCCTGCCCCATGCTGCAAGATGACTGGGCCCTGGCATGGGACAGGGGCTTCTGAGGATGCAGGGGTCTGTAGTTGGACCCTTGGTTTGACCAGTGTCTGTCACAGTGTCTGTCTGGGAGTCACGGGCCCAGACCCTGGGCCAGAGGTCGGGCAAGGCTTTGCAGGCTGTTTTGGTAGCAAGGCCCAAACCTGGCCAATTGCATGCTGGCCCTGCACCAGAAGAAGGAGACCTGCCCAACAAGGCCCTCACCCAGGCCGAGCCCCTGTGCATCAGCCCTGCCTCCCTCACCCCACCTGCCGTGGCCAGCACCTGCCCAGGGCCCCTCTGCTGGGCTCCAGGTACTCCCCCGAACTCTAAGCCAGCACTCGAGGCCCAGCCCCGCTTTCCTGGCTATGCAGGCTTGTGGCATGTTGATCCCCCAACGTGAAGCCCCAAGGAAAGAGGGTCTCTGCCACCACTCCGGGTGTATGGGGTCTTCTGATCTGTGCCGCTGTGAGATTTGCGGCTGGCAGCTGCAGTGCAGACCAGAGGTACGAGTCCTGCCCTCACCAGTGCCCTCCGCCTGCACCCCTTGCTGGTTGGGAAGTCCTAGAGGGAGGACTGGGTGGCACGCTGGCACTGTCCTGCCAAGAGGGCCACACGCAGCTGCTCACCAGGCGAGAGGGGGCAGGACTCACTCAAGACGGGCCTGCAGCTGAATGGCTGTGAAGATCCCTGGCTGCAGAACGAGCCCTTCGGCAAGAGCCCCGGGGAGGGGACAGAGTAACTCCTTTGCCCTGCAAGGCCCCGCTTGGGTCTCCCCAGGTTCAGCTCCCAGGTGCACCTGATCATGCTTCCTTCTTTGGCTGAAACCTGCTCGGCCACCTCTGAGGGGATGCTGGTCAAAGCATGCAGGGTTGAGGGCTGAGCCTCGTACCTCCTGCCTGCTTTTCCGGTGAGGACAAGGGGCCCCTCCTTTCCTGCAAAAGCAGCCCCTGTCTTAGGGGCTCTGTCTCCTGCTGCTCCCCCATCTCTAGGGGACCCTAAAAGCCTCCACCACTTTAAAGGCAGCCTTTGGAACAAGGAGGGGCAGGAATCCACTTCAGTCCAGGACGTGACAGCCGGCTGGCCACTGGCCACGGAGGTCCAGCGACATGCTTTCCCCAGTCAAGTGGAAGGACTTTGGCGGCATCCTGGTACAGGGTGTGTCTGTCTCCACCAACGGGGAATCCCCTGCTCAGGGCTGATCATGGCTCCAGCCTACAATGGGTGCAACACATGCTTGATGGGAAATGGGGTCCAACCTGGGGCAAATGAGGAGCAGGGCAGAGCTGCCACCACGCCCTGCAAGTGGGAGCAGGAGCCCTCACGCAGGCTGGCCCCGCTCTGCCAATGGCCCTGGCCATGGCACCCGGGGATGGCAGCTCCTCACCCTCCTGACCCACACCATCCGCCCCCGCAGCAATGTGTGCTGTGCATTCTGGGGCAGGCAGAGCTCTGGCTGTCCTCCATGGGAGAGGCGGCCTCTGTGGCGTTCAGTCCGGGGGGCTGGAGAGGACACAATGGCAGGGAATGAGCTGAGACTGGGGTCCTCATCCTCACCCAGGTATGGCCATCACCTGAGGCCTCGAAACCAGGTGATGGGCCGCCAAGTTGAGGGCTCTGGCAACCACCTTCCCCGTGGGAGCCTGGGTGTGCAACAGGCAGTGCATTTGCACGCAGCACCAGGGTCCAGGGAACAGAGGTCCTGAAGACGGGACAGTAGGGTCCTGTTTATTCCAGAGTGATTTTCAGATCTCTCTTGCCTGACTGGGAGGTAGATGCAGTGGGGAGCTGGAGCCAGTCCCTGGAGCCCAGCGCTGAGCTCTTTGTGATGGAGGGGTGGGGTGAGCCGCAGGATCTAGGTCACCGTGCTCTGGCCCTGCTCTCTGCCTTTCGCAAGCGCTTGCTCCCGTGGGATGTTTGTCATGCTTCCATGCATGACACAGGAGAATATCAACATTGGTGCCATTTCACATCTCTTCATTCATCTGCTATTCTTCCACCTTCAGCTTCTCATAAAATCACAGAACTGCAGTGAGGACCTCTGCCTGCCGGGACAGCCTGGGGATGGTCCCGTGCAGCCCCCTCAGGCAGCATCCCTGTGGAGGGTTCCCCTCCGCCCCCTACCGTGGGGAGCTCTTCCCAGCTGAGTCACACTGCACGCCTGGTCCCTACCCTGGGCTGCTCTCTGTGTTATCTTGCAGGCGCCGTCCCAGATCCTTCAGGGGACTCTGAAGGCCCATCAGATGTGGCTGCAGACCCACCTCCCTCAGACCCTCAGCTCTGGATCCAGGCTGGCTCCCTGCCGTGGAGCACAGGCGCCCTTTGTAGCACTCACTCCAGCTGCCCAGGGAATCGGGGACTTGGTGTGGACTGAGACTCAGCCCCCTTGAAGCCCTATTCTGTCCACCGCTGCAAGACATAGGCGGCTTTAAGCAGGACCAGGCCGCACCCTCCAGGCAGAGACAGCTGCTGTGGGTTCTGTGCTCTTCTAATGGGCATGTCTTCCCATCGGTGATGAGGACTGATTTGTGCAGTGACCCCCTTACATTTTTCTGAAAAGGAGATCAAGGAAAACATTCTTCAGTAGAATCCTCACTGTGCACACACTTCCCCTTGTGCTCGGTGACAGCCACTGCCTTTGGGAGCAGGGAGGACGCCCCAGAACCTCCTGGTCTCCGCACACCCCCCTGAGCTGGGCTGAGCACACAAGCACCCCTCTGCAGACAGTAGAGGTTTTGGGATTCAGAATATGCAGTCTGAAGCTCCCCAGAGCCTGGCTCTTTAGTCAGGCCCTCCTTGCCCGCCCTGTGAATCCACGCCTAGGAGCCTGTGCCCCCACCCAGCAGGAGCTGATGCTGCTGAGCTTCCCAGGTGCCAGACAGGGGCTGAGTGTGGGGGCCAGGGAGCCAGTCGGGAGTCTGCTGCCTGGCAGGCCATGTCCTGCAGAAGAGAGGCCAGCATAGGGCACGGTGGGCCTGGAGGGGCTGGAGACAGTGCTGCTGGGTCGGCAGAGCTAGAGAAGGGCAGCCCAGGCAGGGGGCACACTAGTGCCAAGGTGCAGGGGCATGAAGCTGCAGGTCACACGGCCTCCCTCGGAGCCCCCAGGTACTGGGGGTGGGTTCAAATCTCACAGGGTTGGCGGGCGAGGGCTTCAGGAACAGCAGGGACAGGAGCATGAGAGCAGTAGAAAAATGCAGGGGTCAGGAGGATCATCTGGGACCCACCAGGTTGCTGGTGAATTCAGGGGATAGAAGGGATGTGAGCTCAGGCCTCGAGCAGCTGCCTGATTGGGACAGCCCCTGGCTGGGCCGCGACCAGGTCACAGCACTTTGCAGGAGTCAGGCCTGGGCTCCACGGTCGTGGGTTCTAGTCTCGGCTGTTTAGTCTCAAGCAGATCTCCACCGCGCCCTGACCTCCACTTCCTGCGTCTACTCAGGGTGAAAAAACACCCCATTCCCAGCACAGGTCAGGGTTGCCCGAGTTGATCATGCAGGTAGGCCTGTGGGGCTCTCAGGTGCCTGACACCCTGCATGCATCTTGGCCTCTTCCCTCATCCTCAGCCTCAGATGGACTGAGCCATCTGGAACCTGTCAGTGGTGGCCTCAGCCCTAACTGCAGATGACAGGCTTGGGAGTGTGGCGACATGTGTCACCTGGAGCAAACTGCTCCCCCTCTGAAGCCTGTCACCCACAAGACCTGCTCCCAAGGGCCAATGGCAGGTGCCTTATTCTTTCGTCGCCATCACCGTTGCCACCTCCCCACCAGCTCCATCCTTCTCCGGGTCCCAGCCCTGGGGCGCTCACTCCCCTGTGTGCTGAGGGAGGCCCAGCATGGTTCAAATGCAGCCTCTGGAGAATTTCTTCACTAAGAGGCTTTTTCTGAAAAGAGTCAAGCTATTTGTAGCCCAAGTTGGTTGAACAGATTTTTCTTGGTGTAGCTTATTTTTTTATTCATTAACTTCTTTTCCTTATGAATTAAAAAATAGCATTTTTTTTTCCACAAAGGAGTGCTTTATTTACTTCTTTTTGTACCACAGCCAGCGCTTCCTCTGCCTGCTGGGGAAAGTGGATGCACACACCCACTTTGGCAGGCAGTTTTCTTTCAAGCCATGGCATCTTGGAGAGGTAAGTGTGTGTGTTCAGACCACTGCCCTGTGGCTCCAGCCCCCCTGATATCAGCCACAGCCCCAAGGCTTGGGTGTTGTTTGTTTGTTTTTTCATTTTTTTTGAGACAAGGTCTCACTCTGTTGCCCAGGCTGGAGTGCAGTGGCACCATCACGGCTCACTGCATGCAGCCTCAAACTCCCAGGCTCAAGTGAGCCTCTGGCCTCAGCCTCCTGAGTAGCTGAGACTACAGACTCATGCCACCACAGCCAGTTTTTTTTTTTTAATTTTTAATTTTTATAGAAACGGGGTCTCACATTCTTGCCCAGACTGGTCTCAAACTCTTGGCCTCAAGTCATCCTCCCACCTTGGCCACCGAAAGTGCTACAATGATAGGCGTGAGCCACCAGGCCTGCCTGGTTGGCTTTTTGGTGAACAGGAGCATAATAAGGGTTTCACTGGGCTGTCAGCCTCCATTGTGGTGGCCAGTATCTCAAAGCCTCACCTGGCAGAACTGGAGACGCGTCTGCTGACCGATGCCCTCATGACCCATTTTCCTGACTTCAGAAATGTCCCATGCAGACACTATGCCATCCAGCAGGCCTCCCAGCTAGACAGGGTGCAGCCTCGATGTGTCTGTGGAGGGACTCGGGCTGTCCCTGCACTCACAGTCATGGTGACCAAAGTCCCAGAGTAAGGGAGCAGATGCCGCTTCCCCCTTCCAGCCCAGGCATTTTACATGAGGCGCTGACCCAGGACCACCCTTGACTTCACTCTTCCAAGGAGTGGCTCCCAGTCCTATATATTCCATCAGCCTCCAGGCTGGCTGTCCCTTAAACACTGGTCTCCAATCTAACTGCATTTCTGTAAGTAATCTTTTGGGACAGACTTTTTTAAAAAAGATCATGTTTATGCCGTATTCCTCATCTTTCTTGTCTTCTATCTCCAGATTTGTTTTAAAACCTATTACTCCTGTATACATGTGCCTCCCACCCTTTGAGCTATGCCCTTGACCTGCTATGCACTTGTCTCAAGGCCAAGTTCAAACCCCCTAACCCAAGGCTGTCCAGAGCTGCCCTGCCACCTGAGCCATGGGGAGGGGCGCTGAGCTGGTGCCTTTCACAGGCTGCCTGCCTCCCCCTGGGCAGGGCTCCTGTCTCTCCTCCTTTGTCTCCACAAGCACAGGCTTGCATGGGTCAGCACGTGGTGAACAGCCAACCATCATTTTCCAATTCTTTCCAAAAAGTCCTGTCTATGCTCAGAAGTCCTGCCTGGCCCTTTGAGTGCCCCTACCCCCACACACACATTCTTTTTTTTTTTTTTTTTTTTTTTTTTTTGAGACGGAGTCTGGCTCTTTGGCTCAGGCTGGAGTGGAGTGCAGTGGTGCGATCTCGGCTCACTGCAACCTCCGCCTTCTGAGTTCAAGTGATTCTCCTGCCTCAGTCTCCTGAATAGCTGGGACTACAGGCATGTGCCACCATGCCTAGCTAATTTTTTGTATTTTTAATAGACGGGGTTTCACCGTGTTAGCCAGGATGGTCTTGATCTCCTGACCTCAACACACATTTCTTTATCGAAATTCCAAATTCTCCAAAGCTCAGAAACATAAAGGTTTTTCAAAACTCAGTGGCAAAGCTGGACCTGAACGATGCGCCATCACTTACTGTCTTTATTTCTTCCAGTTCACCTGAATACATATGTTTTGCCCCGAAAATATAAATGGGTCTGATTATGAGGAGCAGCCCCAGGTTCCAAAGAGGTGCCACATAATGTATGATGTATACAAAAAAGCCTGAGTTCCAAACACATCTTGGATGAGAGGTTGGGACTGTGGGGGATCCCTACACTGGTTAGAGTTCTAGACCCAGAGCAGGGTTATGGTCAACGGCGCTCTGGCCACAGAATGCAGCAGAGCAAGGACTGTGGAACAAAGACGCGGCTTACATGAATTTTTCACTTACCGTGCTGGGTGCTGGTGATTCAGAGATGGAAAGGCCCTAGCGACACCCCCCTCCACCCAGGGAGCCCACGGGCCAGCAGAGGGACCAAGGGGCACAGGACGGGTGGGGAGCAGAGGCGGATTCCCTGGCTGTGGAGGTACTGTCTATACGGGGTGCAGGAGACATCTCCATACAAGGGGGCCCTCACCTGGGGAGGTGGTGACCGCAAGCCTGACAGCCCCAAAGCCTTCAGAGATGCCGCCTGGGGACACTTTGGGAAAGTCCAGGCGGAGGACACCTGGGAATGTGATAGTGACACAAATGACCGGAGAGACTTGCTCTCAGTCACTGAGTCTGGCTGACTCACTGAAGATTAGGGCCTGAACTTCCCCCTCTGTAAATGGGGTGCAGGCCCTGGCCCTGCCTTCACAGTGCCCCTCGGTCCCCTACAAGCCTTCTCCGCAGGGTGGGATCGGGTCTGCCTGGAGCATCCCCACAGCCTATGGGTCAGCAGAGAAGCAGGCGCAGAGCTGGGGTGAGACGGTCAGGGCCGGTCCTGCCAGACACCTCAGATCACTCCTCTTCACAAATAATCCCATTTTACAGCCCAGGAAGAGAGAGGCCGGACCACTGCCCAAAAGCCTGTGGCCTACAGCCTGCCAGGTGCGTCTGCTCGCAGAGCAGGTCTGCGCAGCACCGAGCGGTCAGCAGGGGCAATGCTGGGCACTGGCCAGCCGCGCCAGGACCATCCCTGCTGACCTCGGCGGGGTGGGGCGGAGCGTGCAGGGTCTGGCCCGGAAAGCCAGGGCAGGCTTTAGAGAAGGGCCACCGGACGGATGGTCCGAGGACCGGCATGGACCCGGGTCCCAGCGAGGGCGGGGGGAGCGTAAGGCTGGGCCTGGGCTGCGGCACCGGGGAGGTGGCGGGGAGGAGGCCGGCAGGAACAGCCGTGCAGGGCGGGGGCGGCGCGGGTCTGGTCGGGTGACCCCGGGCGCGGCCAGGGCTGTAGGAGGCGAGGGCGTCGCCCCGAGGCCGTGGTCTCGGGTCCATGGTGGGGGACCTGGGTCCCCGCCCCCCCGGGCCGCCCTGGGTCGCGCGTGGGCGCGGCGGGCGCCGATTGGCTGCCGGGCGCGCGGGCGGAGCGGGCGGCGGCGGCGGCGGCGCGGAGGGGCCGCTCACCCCGCAGCCCGGCCTCGGCCTCCGCCGCTTGTCGTCGCGCCCCGCCCGCGAGCCCGCCCCGCACGTCCCCCGCCGGCGGCCACCATGAGCACAGGCCTGCGGTACAAGAGCAAGCTGGCGACCCCAGGTGAGCCCAGCGCCTGCCCGCGTGCCCGCGCGCGCCTTTGTCCCCGCCGCCCGCGCGCCTCTCACCGTGTCTCTCCGTCTCTCCCCCGCCCGCCGGCCCGGACCCGCTCGGAACCGGACCCGGACTCGACCCCGACCCCGACCCCGCAGAGGACAAGCAGGTACGTGCGCAGCGCCGCTCCCCCGCCGGGAGACCCGGCCGGCTGTCACCCATTGTGACACTAGCGCCTTGGGCGCCCAGGCGCGACCCCGCCCCCGCCGGCCCTCACCCAGCCCTGTCGCGATCACCGATTGTCAGCCGGGCAGTGCCGCCGCGCCTGGGGCTTCAGAGGAGAGGAGTGGGGGCCCTGGTCCCCGGACCCGCACAGCAGGGACCCTGCGCCCCTCCCCAGGATGGGGGGATGGGCAGAGTGTCCCCCTCCCACAGGGCCAGTGCCAGCATCTCCTGCTGACCTGGCCTGTAGGCCATGAGCTGGGGGTCCTGGGTGAGGCCATGGTCGTGGCAGGCCACGCTGGGGGAGGGGAGTCAGGCTCCATCAGCCAGCACAGTCCCTGAACAGCCCTACAGCAGAGGGCCTGTGGTCACCACCCACCTCCCCTGCACCTTCATGCCCCTTTCCCTCCCCATACACAAATTTGAGTGTTCAGGTCTGCAACAGGGACTCTTCCCCAGATTGGGAACCCCCAGGGTCTGGTCTGAGTCATTCTGGGTGCCCAGATGGGTCCTGGGACCCTGTGGGTACAAATAGGCTTGTGGCTTCTCAAAAGGGTTGGCCCCACCCTCCAGGAAAGCAAGACTGGACAGGAGGCTGGTCTAGGCACCTGGGTGAAACCCAGCCGAGCTCAGGGTTAAACAATGCTGTGAGGCCCCTGGGGTGGGGCGGGGGCTGACAACCAGGTGGGCTGGGGGGGCTGGGGAAAGCCTGCTGGTGTCCTCTCTGGCTTGAGCTCAGCCATCTTTGGAGGAAAAAAGAAGAGCCCAATTCTGGCACCAGGGTGGCACTGGCAGCCCCCATCAGGGATGGAGTTTCTCAGGAGCCATGGATGCTGAGTGGAACTCCAGAGTCCTGGCCCAGGGTGCAGCAGGCAGGGCAGGAGGGCGGGCAGGGGGGCCAGGAGCTGGGGGAGTCACTGGCTGACCAGTGCCATTCTCCTGGAAGGGACACACCCCACCCAGAGGTGGATGAGGCTCTCTGGGAGGGGCCCCTTGGGGAGCCAGGCTGGGAGCTGCCTCCCCATCACAGCAGGTCAGACAAAGCCTGAGATGCAGGGACACATGCGTCAGGCTACTGTTTGAGGGAAATGGAAGGAACTGAGGCTGGGAAAGCCAGGAGGCCAGGCCCCTGAGGCTTCTCCTGTGCCTGCAGGTGTCCCCAGCTTGACCCAAGGGCACTCTGAGACCCTGGGCTCCAGCCACTGCTGTTGGGTGCAGCCAGGTTCTCTTGCCCATTACTGCAGGGTGGGGACCCCCTCCTGCTGAGGTGCCCATCGTTTGAGGTCAACCGGGAGTCCACCTCACCCCATCCCAGGCCTCCCAGGCCTCCAAGCCCAGAGGAAGAAGGCACTGTGTGGCCAAGGAAGGGAGCCCCGGAGCAGGAGCCAGGCCAGGTGTCTGGGTGACCAGTGGGTCTGGGGGAGCTGGAAGCACATGGCAGCTTCCCTGCTACCACCGTTGCTGAGCCTCAGCCTGTCCAAGCATTCTTTTTGCTCTTTGAAAGGGGGCTGTAGAGGCATTGGGGGAGTTCCGTCACTACGCTCTGTGCCCCCACCTCCTCACAGGCAGCACCGGTGATCTCTTGGCCCTGGCTGCTGCTCCCAGAGCTGACTCGGGTGATTCTAAGAATGGAAGTGCCAGAGAGGCTCAGGCATTGGGAGGAGATGGGCGCAGCTGTGTCATATGGCTCAGGAAGCCCTGGGAGTATCTTTTGTCACTTGGGGACCAGAGAAAGGGGGTGGCAGGTACGGCCCCTTCCTTGAGGCTCCCCCAGGGAATCCACAGGCCCTGACTGGGCCCCAGTGGGTGGCAGGGCAGGTGGGTTGAACGCTGAGAGTGAGATTCTTGCCCTCCTGACCTGGGCCTCCCCAGAGGCTGTGCCTTACCAATGGGGAAACTGAGGCAGGCAGTCTGAGAGCCACACACTCTGTTAGACACCTCCTAGCCTGAGGCCTAGGCCCAGGGCTGTCTGTCTTCCTGGAGATGCCCTGGGCCTGAGATGCCAGCCTGTCTGGGTGGGTGCTGGGCTTCGAGGTGTGGACCCTCAGTTGGAAACTGGGTGGGACTCAGCCTAGAGGCTTCCTGCAGGTCAGGGCCATGGAAGGCTGGGGCCAGTGAGGAGGCTTTCTGGCAGCAAGGACTGAGGGATGCACTGGTAGAGCTGGGGGGCCTGGAGCTGCCCCCTTTCCCTGGGATGAAAGGCTCTCCTGTTCCCAGCTGTGGGCCTGCCCCTCCTCCCCAGGTGCCAGTGGTCCAGGCCCCACAACAGGACCAGGGCCTGGACAGGAAGTGGAGGAGGTCTCTCAGCCAGGAGAGCCTAAGGGAGGGCTGGTGGCGGGTGGGGTGGGGTGGGGTTGGGGCCTCCAGCTTCTAATGTTCTAATGTGCAGGGGCTTGGCCTGACCAGTCCTACCCTGGAACCTTTCCAGGCCCCATGTCCTGCTCCGCTGGGCTTGCCTGTTGGGATTCTACTGGGGTCATGGAGGTGGGTGGCCCACAGAGCGGAGCTCGGGAGACCCCCGCAGTCCCTGGAGTAGCCACATGGGAGGGAGGCCCGGCTGGCAGGAGCTCCCAGTCCCTCCAATCCTGTGGGTCAGAGCTGGTGAGGATGCTCAGAGGGCAAGGGAATGTCCACAGAAGCACGTGGGAGATGGGTCCCATCCCACCCCCACCCCTGTCTCTGAGGGCAGGGCCACCTGAGGGCTGCAGGGCAGCGCATGGGTGGCCGGCGTTTATTCAGCAGGCTGGCGGGGGCTTCCAAGTTTTGCAGGGACCTCCAGTACTCCGGCAGCCTGCACCCTTCCTTTCCCTTCCCTTCCCTTCTGTCCACCCTAAGCCTCCTAGGGGACAGGCAGGCTGGACTTCAGAAAAGGTGGGCTCTGCCCTCCTCCGGTCCCCCGAATGTCTTGGGAAAGAGTCCACCAAACACACATGCACACACCCGCGCACACGCACATACCCAATGCATGCACACACGTACACACACACGCATACACGCATGTATACACGCGCACACACGCAGGCATTACACACACACACATTACACACACACACCCGCACGGACGCGCACACACAAACGCGCGCACGCACGCACGCACGCACGGGGGAGGTCAGCCCCAAGCAGGGCTGGGGAGGGGTGCAGGGCGCGGCGTGTCTGTGGGCACTTGGGGCGTCGAGACGCCGCCGGGAGGTTTTCGGGCAAGTCTGCGAGAAGACGGCGGGCCCTGAACTGGGCGGGTACCCGCGCTGTTGCGCGTGGGTCCCGGGAGCGGCCTCCGGCGCCCTCTGGCGGGCGGAAGCCGCGCAGCACCTCTTGGGGGCGGGACGCGCGGTGGCTACCGACTCCCGGCCCGCCCCGGCCCGCGTGCAGGACCCGGTCGTCCCCTCCTGCTGTCCTGGAGCCCGGACTGAGGCCCCGGGGGCGCGGCAGGGCTCCCGGTCCACGCGAGCCATGGCCCGACCGCGCCTCGGCTCAGCCCTGCCCTCCGCAGCCGCTTTCGGGTGGCTCCGCCCGCGGCCCAATTTCCAGGCGACCGTTTCCCGGCGACGGCGGGCGGGGCCGTCTCTGCCGCCCCCCGCCGCGCGCTCCGCGGGCGCCTGCGACGCCCCGCCTCTGGCTCGGGTGCGGGAGCGGGGCCTGCCCGGACTGCGACGCCGCCACAGCTTGGGGCCAGTTCGCCCAGTCAGGGGGATGGCTCGGTCGGCCTCGGGGGTCGACGATCCCCCGGGTAGGCGACGTGCCCTGTCCAGGCCTCACTTCCCGCGTCCGCAAAACGGGGTGGACAACGCAGCCTAAGGCAGAGCCGCGCCAAGGTCCCTCGCTGTCGCCGGGCTCTGGCGGCCTGACCGGGCCTGGGGTCCGAGCGTGCCCCCGGGCCTGGGGGGGTCGCCGCGATGGACTCGCTGGCAGCGCCCCAGGACCGCCTGGTGGAGCAGCTGCTGTCGCCGCGGACCCAGGCCCAGAGGCGGCTCAAGGTGCGTGTGTGGAGAGGGCGGAACGTGGGTCTGTGACCCCGCGGGCTCCGGGACTCGGCATGGGGTCCCCGTCCCCGCGCGCCACGGCCCGCCAGCGCCTAGGCTCAGCCCTTCCCTCCGCAGCGGCCTCGCAGGTCCGCGGCCCCACGGTGGGGCGACGTGCCCTGTCCAGGCCTCACCTCACGCGACTCCAAAACGCGGCGGAGAATGCGGCCGTGGGACCCCTCCAGGGGCCCCAAGGGTCTGCGGGGGCTGGGCGCCTGGGCGCGCGGGCGGGGGAGGCTCGGCGCCGCGGTCTATAAATAGGCGCTGCTCCGCCACCGCCGCTGCCGCCGCCCCCGCGGCTGGATCCGGGCCAGGTGGGGCCTCCCGCCCCCTGGCACTCTCCGGAGGGGTGAGTGTCGAGGCCCCCAGCTTCTCCGGCTTATGGAGGGCCTTGAGTGTGTCCCAGGGGTCCCAATCCTGCTGCCCTCTGCCCGAGGAGGGAGGACATCGCCTGTGCCTGCTGCGGCCTGACATCTCCCCACGGAATAAATACAGTGTCGGTCCCTGCAGAGCCCTCCCTGGGATTGGGGCCAGGGGTGCCTTCTCCTGCCACCACCTCGCCTGCCTTCTTATCTCCAGGCTTTTGCCCACGGGCCCTCCCCTTATTTTTGCCAACGAAATGCCCCACCCTGGGAACCGTACCCTCTGCTGTCTCCTCATACCGCATTTGGTAAGAGACAGGGTATTGGGCTTCTGGAGAAACCTTTGTGTCCCTACCCTGTTCCATCCTGTCCCCAGGACATTGACAAGCAGTACGTGGGCTTCGCCACACTGCCCAACCAGGTGCACCGCAAGTCGGTGAAGAAAGGCTTTGACTTCACACTCATGGTGGCTGGTGAGTGGGCCAGGCTCCTCGGGGGAGTGGCTGGGGTCACTGGCCAGCCAAGCTCTGTCGTTGGAGCCCCAGACCTAACGCAGCTCCTTCTCTGTACCTGTGTGCAGGTGAGTCAGGCCTGGGGAAGTCCACACTGGTCCACAGCCTCTTCCTGACAGACTTGTACAAGGACCGGAAGCTGCTCAGTGCTGAGGGTGAGTGGCCCCCAGGAGGCCCTGGCACTGATCCCCAGTCCCCTTCCATGGGACCTCTCCAAGGACTCCCTTTCAGGTCCAGCTCCCACTGTTCTGTTCTCGCGGTGTGGGTCCCCTGGGGGTAGGGCCAAGGCACCAAGATGGATGAGGACGAGGGTCCTGGCTGCCAAGGGTGAGGGGCTGAGGGTTGGAGAGGCCCTTCCAGTGGCCCCTTCCCCGTAGAGCGCATCAGCCAGACGGTAGAGATTCTAAAACACACGGTGGACATTGAGGAGAAGGGAGTCAAGCTGAAGCTCACCATCGTGGACACGCCGGGATTCGGGGACGCTGTCAACAACACCGAGTGGTGAGTGAGGCCTGCTGAGAAAGGCCTTGCCTAGGCGGCCACAGCACTCGAGGCCTGGCCTCACCTCCCTCCTGCCCACAGCTGGAAGCCCATCACCGACTATGTGGACCAGCAGTTTGAGCAGTACTTCCGTGATGAGAGCGGCCTCAACCGAAAGAACATCCAAGACAACCGAGTGCACTGCTGCCTATACTTCATCTCCCCCTTCGGGCATGGGTGTGTGGCTGTCCTGGGGCCAGGCTCGGGAGTGCAGCCCCTACAATATGGCCCCCTGGCTGTGCCTATGCCCACCCTTGGCTGCTCTCGGCAGGCTGCGGCCAGTGGATGTGGGTTTCATGAAGGCATTGCATGAGAAGGTCAACATCGTGCCTCTCATCGCCAAAGCTGACTGTCTTGTCCCCAGTGAGATCCGGAAGCTGAAGGAGCGGGTGAGCCTGCCGTCGCACAGGGGCCTGGCCAGGGCCCTGGGGCTGAGAGTACCAGGGGGACTTGTCTGGCCTCAAATCTGATGGTCCTTGCCCCACCACAGATCCGGGAGGAGATTGACAAGTTTGGGATCCATGTATACCAGTTCCCTGAGTGTGACTCGGACGAGGATGAGGACTTCAAGCAGCAGGACCGGGAACTGAAGGTGAACATGCAGACTGGTGGGGCAGGGGGGATGGAGCTGGTGAGGGGCAGAACCAGAGGGCTTTGTCTCCTTCACATTGAGCCTGCTGGAGGAGGGCCAGGTCAGCCCAGTTGGGTGCAAGAGTCATTTGTTCTAGGAGTAGAGGACCTGTACCCCCTTCATCCAGGGCTAGAAGGTAAAGGTCACCATGTCTTTGCCTGGCTGGGGTGGGTCATGTGGGCCCCGTGTGGTGCTTGGCAGGTATGGAGCACTTGCCCAGATCCAGAGGTGCAGCAGTGGGCCAGGCCCCCAACCCCAACCCTCTTCCCATGGGTCACCAGAGGAAGGGGCTGCCCCAGTGGCACACCCTGGCTCCCAGATTTCTGAGCTCCAGGGTTGGTGGCTTTGGGTGCCCCGGCAGCTAGAGTGATGATGGAGACCATGCCAGGGGCAGGTGGCCACCAGGGCAGGGGCATCAGCATGGGGAGACATAGGCTCAGCCCTGGGGAGGGAAGGGGCAGCTGGAGGGGGTGGTTCTTGATGAGGGAGGAGATGAGGAGGGAGCATGCCTGGTTGGGCATAGCCTGGAAAGGCCCTGGAATGTGAGCCACATGGGCTCTGGCTCCAGCCAGGGGCAGAGAGGCCAGAAAGGGGCAACGCCAGGATCTCTTTGAGGAGAGATAGTTGATGGTGATGCTGGAGGGGTGCCCCGGGAGTTACATGCCCGTTTCCCATCAGTAACCGTGCAATTACGCTCACCGGGTGTGAGCCTTTCTCCCTCCTTCCCCCAGGAGAGCGCGCCCTTCGCCGTTATAGGCAGCAACACGGTGGTGGAGGCCAAGGGGCAGCGGGTCCGGGGCCGACTGTACCCCTGGGGGATCGTGGAGGGTGAGTAGAGTCTTGGGGTACCAGGTCTGGTGGGGGAAGGCTGTCCTGGGCCGGCGCCAGCCCACTACCCACCCCCACCCCGCAGTGGAGAACCAGGCGCATTGCGACTTCGTGAAGCTGCGCAACATGCTCATCCGCACGCATATGCACGACCTCAAGGACGTGACGTGCGACGTGCACTACGAGAACTACCGCGCGCACTGCATCCAGCAGATGACCAGGTGCGCGCCCCAGCCGCGAGCCAGACCTCGCCCCTCTGGCCCCGCCCACGTCTCCATAACTGAGGGCCGGTCCTGTCAGCCCACCCAGACTTGAACTTTGCACCATTCCCTAAGCCCCCCCCCTCCCCCAGAGCCTGGTCTCCCTAGAACCAAGTCCAGGGCTGTGAGGGCTCCGGAGGGCAGGGCCTCAGCAGTGGCGGGGATGGGCCAGGCATCGCCAGCCCACGCTGAGCCTCCCGGTGGCGCCGCCCCGCCCATCCTCCCCCCCGCCCCGCGCAGCAAACTGACCCAGGACAGCCGCATGGAGAGCCCCATCCCGATCCTGCCGCTGCCCACCCCGGACGCCGAGACTGAGAAGCTTATCAGGATGAAGGATGAGGAAGTATGTGGGGCGGCGGGGGCGGCGGAGGCGGGCGTCAGGGATGCTCCTCCGCGGTGCTGCTCACCCGCCGGGTTGTCTCCGCCCGCAGCTGAGGCGCATGCAGGAGATGCTGCAGAGGATGAAGCAGCAGATGCAGGACCAGTGACGCTCGCCGCGGACACACCGTCCGTCTCCGGGACGCCCTCGCACCCCTGGACACCAGACCGGACTGTTCCCGACCCGGAGACGCGGGGCCACAGCCCCCAGCTGACCCTAATTTATTCTCAGCACCACCCCCTCCCAGGTCATTGTGTCTGTTTCCGAGGGGCCTGGACCGTAGCCCCCGCCCAGCTGGCCCTCTCTGACCTTGGGGGATCAGGAGCGAAGTTGGGCGGGACTTCAGAGATCCGCCTCCCTTGCCCTTCCCCCGCCCCCGGACGGTCACAGCACCCAAACCGCAGGCCCTGCTCTGGCAGGCAGGCAAAGCTAGGCAGAAGAGGATTCCCAGGATCCTGGGTCTGTTCCCTGCCCCAGTGCTGCAGAACGGACTTGGGAGCCCTCCTTTGCCTGCTCCCGCGGGTCACCCAGCGAGTGCTGAGACCCCATTTTCTGTCGAGGCGGGCCGAGTCTTCCCTTATCCCCAGACGCCTAGCGGGCAGGGTTGGGCTGAATCAAATGGGAGCCCTCCAGACATAAGGAGGCCAGAGGCTGCAAGGAGCGGGGTCGTGACCGCTTACACCCCTTCTCCACAGCCCGGCCCGACCTGGAGGGCCCCCGGGGCACTGGGCGGTGAGCCACCTCCTGGCAACTCTCGGTGCCGTCCCCTGCCCTCGCTCGAGGCCTCTTCTCCCCAGCACCGCTGTGGTGTGCCGGGATCCTGAGCCTAGGCCTCCCGATGTTCCCACCCGCATGATCCCTTCCCGCCACACGATGCTCCGTTTTCTTCCGTTGTGAATGCCGCGTCCTGTCCTGGTGACAGGAGAACAATGTTGGTGAACGTCGCAGCGGGTGTCCGAGTGCTCCGTGTGCCCCTGAGAGCGGGTGGGAGCGGAAGCCTGAGCGGCCTGCGGCCTCCGGCGATAGTGTGCTATCTGCCGCTGCAGCGCGCGTCCGCGCGGCCTCTGGGCTATTTCTGGCCAGGCCGCAGCACTGTGGTCGGTGCGGGCGTGGCAGGGGCGGGGCGGCCTTATCGCTCGGCTCTCCCGCCTACGCCTCCCGCTGCAGAGTAAGCCGGGCTGCCGTCTTCTCGCCATGGGCTCCGGTGAGTCTGGAGTCCGGTCGGGCCCCCGGCTGCTCCCTAGGCCGACCCGGGTTGAGAGGAGCTCTGGTCGTTTGGCTGCAGCTGGGAGAGACTTGGGTCAGACTTAGAGGGGACTTCCAGCCGGCGTGCGGGGTGGTCAGGGTGGAGAGGCTGGCGGGCTACCGGGACGCCGGGCATCAGGGGCTGGATGGAGCCGGGCCGGCAGTCTGGGTACTCAGAGATGTCGCCCAGGTGCCCGCCGACCGCTCGGCTTACTGCGGCGCTTCCCTTGCAGGGCCGCGCGGGGCGCTGAGCTTACTGCTCCTGCTGCTGGCCCCGCCGAGCCGCCCGGCCGCAGGTTGCCCGGCGCCCTGTAGCTGCGCGGGGACGCTCGTGGACTGCGGGCGCCGCGGGCTGACTTGGGCCTCGCTGCCGACCGCCTTCCCTGTCGACACAACCGAGCTGGTGCTGACCGGCAACAACCTGACGGCGCTGCCGCCGGGGCTGCTGGACGCGCTGCCCGCGCTGCGCACCGCACACCTGGGCGCCAACCCCTGGCGCTGCGACTGCCGCCTTGTGCCGCTGCGCGCCTGGCTGGCCGGCCGCCCCGAGCGTGCGCCCTACCGCGACCTGCGTTGCGTGGCGCCCCCAGCGCTGCGCGGCCGCCTGCTGCCCTATCTGGCCGAGGACGAGCTGCGCGCCGCTTGCGCTCCCGGCCCGCTCTGCTGGGGGGCGCTGGCGGCGCAGCTTGCGCTGCTGGGCCTTGGGCTGCTGCACGCGTTGCTGCTGGTGCTGCTGCTGTGCCGCCTGCGGAGGCTGCGGGCCCGGGCCCGCGCTCGCGCCGCAGCCCGGCTGTCGCTGACCGACCCGCTGGTGGCCGAGCGAGCCGGAACCGACGAGTCCTGAGGAGAGAACCGGTGCGTCCTGAGGAGAGAACCGGCGCTGGGCAACACGGGCCTGCAAACTCGACAGGACCCTGCCCGAGGGGCCCTCGCGCCAACCTGGACCGGTCCCCGCCTCCTCCGCTGCCCAATCTCTCAGACCCACCCCACCTGCAGGCCCAGACCACGTGGGACAGAACTCCTGCCCACCCTACCCCGAGGGAGGCGAACCCGCACTTCCAGGCTTGGGAGGACCATGGGGCACAATGCGGTCCAGACCCTGCTGCGTCTCCCTTCCAAACTCTGGTGCTGAATAAACCCTTCTGATCTGGTCTTCTCTGCACGACTGACCTGGAAATTCCCCTCGCCAAACTCAGGAAAAGGCCCCAGGAGGCGGTTCAAGGGGACACAAACACATCCTCACATGCCCACCCTAACCTCAGGGGCAGACAGGAGTCAGTGGGTGACCTCTCCCCTTCCAGACACACTCCCAAAAGGCCACATGGGAAGGCATGAGAGAGATGCTAAGTGATAACGTGGGGGCCAGTGAGGACGTTGTGGGGACACTGAGGACCCTGTGGGGGCAGTGAGGATGCTGTGGGGATGCTGTGGGGACAGTAAGGACACTGGGGGCAGTGAGGACGCTGTGGACACTGCGGACGCTGTGGGGACAATGACGCTGTGGACAGTGAGGACGCTGTGGGGGCGGTGAGGACACTGTGGAGTGAGGACACTGGGGGCAGTGAGGACGCTGTGGACAGTGAGGGCGCTGTGGGGGCGGTGAGGACGCTGTAGGGGCGGTGAGGACGCTGTGGGGGCGGTGAAGGCGCTGTGGGGATGGTGAGGACGCTATCCGGGGCGGTGAGGACGCTGTGGACGGTGAGAACGCTGTGGGGACACTGAGGATGCTGTGAGGACGCTGTGGGGGCAGTGAGGACGCTGTGGACCGTGAGGACGCTGTGGGGATGGCGAAGACTCTGTGGGGGCGGTGAGGACTCTGTGGACGGTGAGGACGCTGTTGGGGCAGTGAGGACGCTGTGGACCGTGAGGACTCTGTGGGGGCGGTGAGGACTCTGTGGACGCGGTGAGGACGCTGTGGGGGCGGTGAGGACGCTGTGGACAGTGAGGAGGCTGTGGAGACAATGGGGACGCTGTAGACAGGACGCTGTGGAGGCGGTGAGGGCGCTGTGGGGGCGGTGAGGACGCTGTGGACACTGACGACGCTGGAGGTAACAATGAGGACATTGGGGACAATGAGTACACTGTGGGGGCGGTGAGAACGCTGTGGACACTGAGGACGCTGTGGGGGCGGTGAGGGCGCTGTGGACGCGGTGAGGACGCTGTGGGGGCGGTGAGGACGCTGTGGGGACCGTGAGGACGCTGTCGGGGCGGTGAGGACGCTGTGGACGCGGTGAGGACGCTGTGGGGACGGTGAGGACGCTGTGGGGACCGTGAGGACGCTGTCGGGGCCGTGAGGACGCTGTGGACGCGGCGAGGGAGCTGTCAGGGCGGTGAGGACGCTGTGGACGCGGTGAGGACGCTGTGGACGCGGCGAGGGAGCTGTCGGGGCGGTGAGGACGCTGTGGACGCGGTGAGGGCGCTGTGGGGACGGTGAGGACGCTGTGGACGCTGTCGGGGCAGTGAGGACGCTGCGGACGTTGAGGACGCTGTGGGGGCGATGAGGACGCTGTCGGGGCGGTGAGGACGCTGTCGGGGCGGTGAGGACGCTGTGGACGCGGTGAGGACGCTGTGGGGACGGTGAGGACGCTGTGGGGACCGTGAGGACGCTGTCGGGGCCGTGAGGACGCTGTCGGGGCGGTGAGGACGCTGTCGGGACGGTGAGGGCGCTGTGGACGCGGTGAGGGCGCTGTGGGGGCGGTGAGGACGCTGTGGACGCGATGAGGACGCTGTGGACGCTGTGAGGACGCTGTGGGGGCGGTGAGGACGCTGTGGACGCGGTGAGGACGCTGTGGACGCCGTGAGGACGCTGTGGGGACGGTGAGGACGCTGTGGACGCGGTGAGGACGCTGTGGACGCGGCGAGGGAGCTGTCAGGGCGGTGAGGACGCTGTGGACGCGGTGAGGACGCTGTGGACGCGGCGAGGGAGCTGTCGGGGCGGTGAGGACGCTGTGGACGCGGTGAGGACACTGTGGGGACGGTGAGGACGCTGTGGACGCGGTGAGGACGCTGTGGACGCCGTGAGGACGCTGTGGGGGCGGTGAGGACGCTGTCGGGGCGGTGAGGACGCTGTGGGGGCGGTGAGGGCGCTGTGGACGCGGCGAGGGCGCTGTCGGGGCGGTGAGGACGCTGTGGACGCCGTGAGGACGCTGTGGGGGCGGTGAGGACGCTGTCGGGGCGGTGAGGACGCTGTCGGGGCGGTGAGGGCGCTGTGGGGGCGGTGAGGACGCTGTCGGGGCGGTGAGGGCGCTGCGGACGTTGAGGACGCTGTGGACGCAGTGAGGACACTGTGGGGACAGTGAGGACGCTGTGGACGCCGTGAGGACGCTGTCGGGGTGGTGAGGACGCTGTGGGGGCGGTGAGGACGCTGTCGGGGCTGTGAGGGCGCTGTGGACGCGGTGAGGGCGCTGTGGACGCGGTGAGGACGCTGTGGGGGCGGTGAGGACGCTGCGGACATTAAGGACGCTGTGGACGCGGTGACGACACTGTGGGGACGGTGAGGACGCTGTGGACGCCGTGAGGACGCTGTCGGGGCGGTGAGGACGCTGTCGGGGAGGTGAGGACGCTGTGGGGGCGGTGAGGACGCTGTGGGGGCGGTGAGGGCGCTGCGGACGTTGAGGACGCTGTGGACGCGGTGAGGACACTGTGGGGACAGTGAGGACGCTGTGGACGCCGTGAGGACACTGTCGGGGTGGTGAGGACGCTGTGGACGCGGTGAGGACGCTGTCGGGGCTGTGAGGACGCTGTGGGGGCGGTGAGGACGCTGTGGGGGCGGTGAGGACGCTGTCGGGGCGGTGAGGACGCTCTCGGGGCGGTGAGGGCGCTGTGGACCCGATGAGGGCGCTGTGGGGGCGGTGAGGACGCTGTGGACGCGGTGAGGGCGCTGTAGGGGCGATGAGGAGGCTGTGGACGCCGTGAGGACGCTGTGGACGCGGTGAGGACGCTGTGGGGGCGGTGAGGACGCTGTGGGGGCGGTGAAGATGCTGTGGACGCGGTGAGGGCGCTGTGGGGGCGGTGAGGACGCTGCAGATGTTGACGCTGTGGATGCTGTGGGGGTGGCGAGGGCTCTTTGGACGCGGTGAGGACGCTGTGGGGGCGGTGAGGACGCTGCAGATGTTGACGCTGTGGATGCTGTGGGGGTGGCGAGGGCTCCGTGGACGCGGTGAGTACGCTGTGGACAGTGAGGGTGCTGTGGGGACAGTGAGGATGCTCTGGGGGGCAGTGAGGGCGCTGCGCGGACAGTGAGGGTGCTGTGGGGGCAGTGAGGACACGGTAGACAGTGAGGACGCTGTGGGGGCAGTGAGGATGCTTTGGGGGTGGTGAGAACACTCTAGGCAGTGAGGACAGTCCCAGCAGTGTGTCTCGTCCTCTGAGCATGTTCAGGGGCTGGTTCTTGTGGACAGTGCCGGCCTTGAGGACACCAAGAGCATTTCAAGGGTTGGGTTTCCTGATGCAGGGACTGCGGCGTTGGCAGCATTCAGTTCACTAGGGGAGCGTTGGGGCAGGTGACCAGGGCTGGTTCAGGTCTGTTGCTCCATCCGGGATCCCTGGACCATCCGAATGAGAAGATGGCCTCTATGTGACAGAGTCACATGCGGTGGGGGTTCTTGGAGGGCCCCACAGCGATGAGTGGACCTCAGGGGTTGCAGGGTCTCTGGAATCATTGTGTTCTGGAGTGAACTTGCCCCCCCACAGGCTCCACCAACACCCCCAAACCCTCTTCCTGCCATCCCTCCCCATCCCACAGCAGCGGCCCTGGCCCCAGACCCCTTCTGCCAGGGCTCAGGGCTGGCAGCCTGCTCCTGCCAGCCAAGAGCCGTTCCTGTCCCTGCCCACAGCTGCTGCCTTCCCCAGGCTCCCAGGCTGCACCACACGGGGCCTGCATGTTCCTTCTGACTGGCACAAGGTACTCTCCATGCCACTGCTCCTTGCTCATCTCCTGTGCCTCTGGCGAGTCCCCCACCGGGCCACCACTTCCCTCAGGAAGGCCTCTCCGACTGCCCAGACCAGCAAGGGGCTTCTCAGAGTTCTCCAGTCTCTGGCCTCCCACTGCCCTGCCCGGATTCTGGAGCTGAGCAAACAGGTCAGCACATGGTGCCCAACTTAGGAGGTGACTGACGCCTTCCTCACTATTTGGGCTGGCCTGGGGTGCCAGGGACAGGGTTCCTCTGCCACCGTCCATGTGGCCCCCACCTGTCTGGCCTTATGAACAATGGAAACTATTCTCCATGCATCCCAGAGAGGCCCCAGATGAGGAGCCTCAGGTCCTGGCTGCCCGGCCCAGGAAGGCCCTCAGCCCCCAATGGCCATCACTGACCACCACTGACCGGGTCGGGGAGGCTGCCACTGACATGGCCTTTGTCCTGGCCTTTGTGGGACAAGACAGATGGCCCTCCTGTGGGGCTGATGCTATCTCGAGGCTGCCAGTCAGACGTGAGGCAGGAACCACCCCTGCCTTTGTGAGCAGGTGCAGGGCATCCGGCCCATTGTGGGCTGCAGCCGACTGTGGTTGTCCATCCGGCCTTATCACCACATCGAGGACAGTGGCCCCCTTTATACAAATGAACTGCCCAGCTTGCCCTCCCCAGCGGTGGCCTGGCACCTCCAGAGGTCCTAGTGTAGGTCAGAGGTAACCATCGTCATAACACCGTGCATGTGCAACACTCTAAACTCAGTCCAAGCAGGGCAGGGGAGGGGGTGTGCTCCCCACTTTCTCTAAGAAACCAGATCCCAGAAGGGGGCTCTCTGCTGGGCCCCAGAGCATTTTTTGTGTGAACTGGAAACAGGGCTGAGGCAGGCCTCTTGCATCCCTTCTCTGCCTCACTGAGGTCTTTGGGGTGCAAATGTACAGCCCAGGAGAAAGTGGCCCAGGGTCTTAGGTGGCCCCCAGCCAAGAGAAGGACGCTCCTCTGGTCTGTGGGAAAAGGCCCCAGCAGGAGATAGGGGGAGTGGGCAGCCCACTGCTTGCAAGGCTTGAGGTCTCCTGGGCCAGTGTGTCGCTCAGGGGGTGGCAGGGGGGGCCCTGAAGGGCAGGAGCTGCAGAGGCAGAGGGACTCCTGTTGAGGAAAGCTACTGGAATCACTGTGTGGTTAGACCTAAGGAAGAACTTCCTGCCTGCTGGTCGGCGGGGCAGCCGAACCCTATGATTCCTCCACAATCCCTCCTCTTGCCGGCTCTCCGTGGTTTAGACTGGTTCGTGCCAAGGTACTGACTGTGGAAGGCACAGGGCTTCCCTCGCTGGCTGACCTTCCTTGGCTGCCTGGGAGCCCCCAGTCCCCATGCCTGACTCTGAGCTGACCCTCCACACACTGACCCTGGGGCCTCAGCCTCCAAGGGGTGTGGGGAAGTGAGTAGTCCCAGTTCAGTATACCTGAATGGCCCTGTGGGGACGGGAGAAAGGCACACCCTCCCTGCAGATCTGGGCACCACCTTGATCCCAGCATTGTCCTTCATTTCACAGACAACACACCTGCCCCAGGACCCCCTCCCCACTGATGAGCTGGGCCCCTCTGTGACCTCAGACTCTTCCTTCTAGGCAGGAACAGGTTGGGGGTCCCGTCTCCAAGCCCTGCCTGGACCCCGCACCTCCAGTCCCAGGCTAGCTGATTCAGGGCTCCTTGCCCTGCAGCCCAAGGGCCCTCTCACCACCATTGCCCACCCCACCTCCCTGGGCTCCTGGGATCTCAGCCTTAGGTCAAGGCCCAGCCCTGGTGCACCCTCCCCCATGGGCCAGGCCCTCCATGCCTTTGCCCGCGCCAGTCCCTCCACGGGGCACGCCCTTCCCGCTGTGGCTACTCCTCAATCTTAGAGGCCCCTCCCAAGCCCATTCTCACAGAGCTTCCTAGGCCTGCCCTGGCCTGACACATAGTGCAGGACAGTGTCCAGGCCTGTGTCCCCAAGACCCATCTGGGGTTCAAGCCACATCTTGGGCCTATACACAGCCAGCTAGTGAGTGAGCGAGCGAGTGAGTGAGGCCCTGCAAGATGGTCATCTGTCTTGTCCCGCAAAGGCCAAGACAAACGCCGTGTCAGCGGCAGCCTCTCCAACCCAGTCTGTGATGGCCAGTGGTGGTCAGTGAGGGCTGGGCCGCGAGGCTCACAGCTCAGGCCGCACCCGCCGGTTTCACAGACCGGCCAGGAAGCTCCCAGGGCGAGGGCCTAGTCGTGTCCTCCCCATGGGCGAGCAACCCTAGGCAGGCACCAGAGGGCGCTCGCGGTCTGCAGAAAACGCTGGCTAAGGGGGGAGCGCGGAAAGAGGTGGGCACTGTGGGTGCAGACAGCTGGGGTCCGCGGAGAAACGAAGGCCTGGAGCGGGGGCGCTGGGTTGTCCAGGCTGGCGGCGAGCTGCACCGAGTGGGACGGGCAGGCTGCCCCTAGTGAGGGCGGGGAGGGTGTCGCCGCGTGGCGGCTGACAGACGGGGCGGGATGAGCGTAGCCCCCGCCCCTGCCCTGGTGCACTGACAGCCTGTCAGCCGGGAAGATAAGGGACTTCTTCCGCTGGGCGTGGGGTGGGGGTCAACCCAGGTGCGCTGTCCCCCTCCCGCTGGTGTTTGCTCGGTAAACACTTATTGGGCCCCGGGCTGTGCACACCGCCGCGGGGGAGGGGCGGGCGACCTGAAGGCCTGGACTCCATGGCCTCTGCCAGGGATGCCGGGTCCATGGGCCATCAATGATGCAGGAAAAGAGGCTCTGTCACCTCTGGCCCCGCCTGGAGAGAGTTGCCTGTGGGGTCCTTCGTGGGCCCCCTCCAGCCTGGGGTGGCCCTAGCCTCAGCTTCAGAGCTGGGCTGACCCCCGACTAGCCGAGGCATTAATGGGGCCCCGTGGAGGAGGTCCTGGGAAGGTCTGGGGAGCTGAAGTCCTGGCCACGTGGGGGGGACTGCACCCCCTGCCCAGACGGAGCAACAACATTGGGGTGGGTGGCGGGGCCCTGGGGGCCCATAGCTCAGCGCAGCGTCTGCGCCCACCCCCTGTGTTTCCGATGGAAGACAGGCTGAAGGTGATAAATCACCAGGTCCCACCCCCACCCACCCTGCCAACGGGTGGGGAAGGGGGGCTGCATGTGACAGAGATGGGGACCGAGACAGAGATGGGAGCCAGGTCTAGAGGAGAGACCAGAGACAGTGGCACTGTGGTGGCCCCGTTGACACGGGCCAGGACCCTTGCTTGGGTGTCTGGCCTCCCCGCTCTGGGCGCCCCTTCCACAAAGCCCATCTGGAAACCAGCTGAGAGCCACCGTACCCCCACCCCGGCTGACCCCCAACAGGGAGGTAGAGGAGGGAGGGAGACCTTTGCAGCCATAACTCCGTCCCCCGCCTGCCCGCCCCCAGGAGGACCATAAATCAGCAGGGGCTCTCAAAGCACTACCTCCACAGGCTGAAGGGAGGGCTTCAGGGCCACTGGTCTTAGGGACTAGGCCTGTCCTTGGCTGTGTCTGTCCCTCTTTAAACAGCCCTCAGGCTGAGGCAGGCATATCACTTGAGGCCAGGAGTTCAAGACCAGCCTGGCCATCATGGTGAAACCCTGCCTCTACTAAAAATACAAAAATTAGCCGGGCGTGGTGGTGTTGGGCACCTGTAATCCCAGCTACTCTGGAGGCTGCAGGGGGAGGATGGCTTGAGCCCAGGAGGCAGAGGTTGCAGTGACCCCAGATCACGCCACTGCACGCCAACCTGGGTGACAGAGCTAAACTCTGTCTCAAAAAAATAAAATAAAAATAAACAGCCCTGAGGGGAACCCCAGTGGCCCCCACACCCAGCACAGTCGAACTGACTGAGCACTGTCTACACTGGATGTACACACTCACATCCTCACTTTCTCTCTCCAGACAGGAAACGTCTGCAGGGAGCAACTCTGTGTCCTCATCAGGAGACCCCCTGTTGCTGGCCCCTCAGGAACTAGGGATCAGCATGTCCTACCCAGTGAAGCCCTCCTGGGGGTCTTCTCTGCCCATAGGAAATGCCTCCTTCTATCCTGTCTTCCTGTCACCACCACCCCCCAGGGTACTGAGGGCCAGCTGGACAAAAGGTGGTGAGAGATGGGCCAGGTGGATCCCCCGCAGGTGAGCGCACCCCACACACATACACACAGGGCAGGTGCAGAGTCAGTACCCAGTGGGAGAGGCTTGAGAGGGCCTGGGGGAGTGCTCCCTGGAGCTGTGGGGTGTGCTCAGCAGCCTAGTTCTAGCCGGGCCGGCCTCAGCAACCCCTGTCCAGGGTCTAGCCTACAGACATTCCCAGGGTTCCCGTGGTGGGCATAAGGGCATTGTACACAAGGAAACACAGATGTCCACCGTGACATCACCCCAGCTTGTCTCAAAGAGCCGTGGGGTTGGGGATGAGGGCTGCTTCTTGTCTAGAAAGACCTTCAGAGATGTTGGAATTCTGTGCCTGAGACAGGCACTGACTGTCACTGGGCTGGCCTGGGCCTGGTTACCTGGACTGTCGCCTTCATCCTCAGAGCAAACCCTTGAGTCTAGCACTAGCGATGTCTCAGGGGAGGGTTCAGAGTGTGCAGCAGCTGGAAGTGTGCTCAGCTCAGCCTGTAGGAGGGTCTGGCTTTTCCAGAATGTCCCAGGGAGAAGAGCGCAAGGGGAGTAGGGTGCTGGGGTGTGCAGGGGAGCCCATCTCCCGTCATCCATTCACGTTCAATCATTCATACCAGTGTGCAGACCTGTCTGGAGCCTGCCGGCTGCCAGGGTCAAGGGCTGGGGGGGTGCAGATCCCTTGGCCCCAGACCCCCACCTGGCAGAGGCACTTCACTCCTCTTCCATCCCTCCTGAGAGGGCCAGCTCCCTCCTCCCCGCACTGGGATTCCCCCTAGTACGAAGTCCTCTGGGGCTCACCTAGGTGTATTTAAGCATGTCTGACAAATTGAGGGACTCCAGGCCTAACAGACTGGAAATGGGCCGGGAAGGCGAGGGCTCACTCAACCACAGGGACCAGTCTGCCCTGCCCTTCCCAGGCCGCCCAGGTGTGACTCTCTCCACTCTCTTTGTCCCAGCCACGCAGGACCTTAGGGCCAGCCCTGCAAGGTCACTGCACTCCTGGTGGGGTACAGGAACCCTCAAAGATGGGAGGATCTGGAAGGGAAGCCATTGAACTTTGCCTGATGGACCCATGGGATGTGGGGGCACAGACCCCAGCTGGGCACCAGCAGGTCCCCATTTGGCTGGACCATGTTGACAGAATTAGGGTGCCCACTCCTGGGAGGAAAGCCTCAGTCTATGGCTGGAGGTCCAGTGAGCCAGGGGTGAGGGTCCCAGGGCAGCATCAGCCCACAGAGCAGACCAAGGCTTCTGCCAACTGCATTGCACCATGTGGCAGCTGTACCTGCCAGTCAGGGGATCCCAAGCTGGGGTGGGGCTTCAAGGAGGTGCCTACGGGCAGATCCAGGGCCGAGCTCTGCCCGGGTGTCTGCTTCAAAATCTATTTTGATGTGCTTTGTATTTGGGGAGTTGCTTTTCTCTATGCTTTGTTTATTTAAAGATGCTATTGAAGAGTTCCAGCCAAACTTTGTAAATGCCGAGGAACGGGCTGCTGTCTGAGCAGGGCTGGGGAGGGTAGGAGCCCCTGACAGCCGCCTGTCCCAGCATGCCCACCCCGTGCCCTTATTGCCCACTGAAGGTGCTCGCGCGGCACCAACTGCACTGGCTTCCTCCAGGAGGGTAGCCTGGGGGCTAGGGCCAGAGAGGCACCAGTACGCAGAGCAGTACGTGAGGCCAAGGACCTGGTCACTCTGAGACCAAGCAGGTTCCAGGCATCTATGCTGAGGGGAGTGGGAGACCACTGACTTTCTTTGTGGCAAAAGTGGGGATGGACCTGTTTGTGTGAGCTCAGGGCCTCTCTTGGCACTAAATGCCTCTCTTGGCCACCCTCTGCCCTGGGGTCCTTGGCATGGGACTCTCTGGTATGGGAATCCCAGGTCTATGGAATGTTAGTCTATGAGTCCCTGGTCTGGGGTTCTGAGCCTGAAGAGTCCTGCTCTGGGTGTCTCAGGTCAGCAGGTCTCTGACAGGTGTCTGCTCAGGGTCCATAGTCTAGGGGTCAGTGATCTGGCCTTTTCTCCCCAGGGGTGCCAGGTGCCGTGTGCTGCCATGGATGTCTCTGGGATATCAGTCAGCCCCTTCTCTGTTGGCCAAGGAGCCACTGCTAACAGGAGTTGTCCCAGAGGGTCACACTCTTGAGTCTCTTGTGGCAAGGTCAACAGGAGGACCATCTGGAGCACGGAGAGCATCCCCAGATCATAGGCAGAAGGGTGTTTCCTGCTAAGGCCAGCCAGAAGACTCCACAGACCTCCCAAGTCCTGGCTAGACTCAATCCTGCTGTTATAAGTCTCCCTGGGTCCTCCCTGAATCCTCCCAGAGCCCTCCCTGAATCTTCCCAAAAGCTCCCTGAACCCTCCCCAGGTTGTCTCCTGGAGTCCTCCCAGTCTTTCCTGGATCCTCTCCACATCCTCCCTGAGTGCTCCCAGAATCTTCCTGCAGTCCTCCCCATGTTCTCTCAGGCGTGGGCTGCTGTACCTGGATTGGCCCTAGCAGGTGACTCGGGCTGGAGTTTGGTTGACACCAGTGGAGCCACAAGCCTGCTGTGCACAGGTGTGATGGCAGGCCTGTGAGGGTTCGGGGCTGCATGGCCTTGCTCCCTTTGCACTGGTGTCTGGATGTGCTCAGAGGCCCCCTGGGTCCCCAGGCCTCTGGGACAAGGCCGGTTGAGTCTCAAAAACAGGTAGGACCCCAAGCAGAGCCAAGGCATCACCAGCCCCAGCCCTTGTTCCCGTGTGCCCCATCTCCCGAAGCACTCCCCTGTGTCATGCGGTACCAGCTCTGCCTCTGACTCCCCATGCAGTGGCCCTAAGGCCACCCCTTGTCAGTGTCCTCCTGGGCCTCCTGGGGCGGGCAAGAACCTGCTCACACAGGTACATGCACAGCAAGCATCGGAGGGTCTCCTTCCCTGGGAGACATCACCGCCCCACAGTGGGTCACCCTCAAGGCTAACCACTCAGCTTCCGGGTGGCAAGCCTGCAGAGTGGCCCCAGGCATGCCGGGCCACCTTCTAAGTGTGCCAGTCCCACCCTGTGTGTGTGTGTGGATGTGCCAGAGATGTGCAGTCACACTTCCATCTGTGTCCCATGCCCCCATGAGTGTGTCCTCACACCTCTTGCCCCGCCTCCCTGCTGTGTGCCCCTCGTAGCAGCTTGGCCCTGCCCGCTGCACCATGTGTACACAGAGGCTTATTTTCTCTGCCTTTCGGGCCAGGGGCGTGCTCGTAAATTGTGCAGTCGACGACACATTTATCCCGCGGGCGGCTGGCGGTGTGAATTTATGGCTGCACCCCCTTCCTGGCTGAGGCAGGACAGGGGCCGGGATACCTCTCAGGCAGGAACCTCCAGTCCACTCCACTGGGCTGTTGTGGGGCCATGGGGGCGGGCTGGGCCGGGAGGGCTTAGGAGTGCTCCCAAGGTCTGGTCTTGCACAGAAACCCTGCAACTTCAGGGTGCTTGGGGCAATGAGAGGCGAGGCCACTCTGCCTGGGTGAGGGCTGGGGGCACAGTGGCTGCCCACGTGCCAGAGGCATGGAGGCCCAGAGCCCAGCCTAATGTCCCAGCCTCCATGCCCCCTTCCAGTCGGCTTCTCATCTTCCCACCTAAGAAAGAGGGGACAACTTGGATGCCCCAGGGACAGCAGGTGTGGGGGTGGCTCCCCTCAGGTGCTGAGTCAGCCACCCACTGCCACTAGGCCCACTGGGAGTACTGAGATCTGGGGAGGACTGTCAGAAAGGGTGGGGGCCTCGAGGGCAGCTGGGGCTGCACACAGGGAAGAGGAGCGGAGATACTGTCGAATCAGAGCAGAGAGCCCCTCAGAGCTCACCTGCCCTCCTCTGCCTTGTAAAGATGGGGAAACTGAGGCCCAGGGAGAGCAGAGGTCCCAGGTCACATGGGTAGGATAACAGAGCCTCAAGATCCTGGATTCCTGCTCCCTAGTATGCAATAAAGGGGGTCCTAGGCACACCCCTCCCCACGGAGCCACCTTTGTCCTGCAAAGTCTGGAGGTGGGGCCTCCGGCTGAAGCCTCAACAGGGAGCTGATGGAGCAAATTGGCAAGCTGGTCCCATCAGGGCCACAGCTGGGGCCTGGGACCTGGCTGCCTCCCCTCCGTCCGTCGGTCTGTCTGTGTGCAGGGTCGGGTCTCCAGGGGACCCTCTGTCGGCTCTCAAGCTCCCTCCCATCTCGGCCCCAGCCCCCCCTCACCGCCCGCTGTCAGGATGAGCGATGGCCGTGCCCCTCCCCGGCCCTCGGCCCCAGGCCCGGTTCCCGCTCATTAGCCACTGACACTGTTTGCTTTCCCGCCATGGACGCCCACCCCGTCACAGGCCATTTCTCCCGGCGCCCCCCACCCCTGAGGACCTGCCCAGGGGTCCAGGGTGCCGGGTCGAGGGGACTGCCGGGTGCCAGGCAGGACCTGCATTATGCTCCCGGAGCAATGGCCACATGGAGTGCCGGCCCCACCCTCACCTGCACCCCAAGAGACGGGGAGCCACGGGCCACCCTGAGTCTCCCATGGCCCTGCCCACATCACACAGGCCAGACACAGCCGCCGTGAGACTGGGCCGTGCCTCGCAGCTTGGATGGCTTGGTGCTGCACACACTGGGAGGGTCTCTGATGACAAGTACCTGGCCCACTGCACCTATCTCTGTCTCTCTTTATCACTGCCCCTATTTCTGTCTTTGTCTCTCTCCTTGGTCTCTGCCCCTAGCCCCATCCTGTGGAATGACCACTGAGCCAGCAGCCCATTCAGAAAGTACATCCCTCACCTGGAGCCCCTCTGTCCCCTCAGGCAGCCCCAGTACACAGCCTGGGGGGTGGGTCCTGAGGCAGCAGGCACCCCTCCCTCCTGCACCACCCCCGCCCCCAATATGGCCACAGCTGGGCGGCATCAGGGCCCGCAGGCCAGTGGCAGCCAGTCCTTCACTTAAAAATGTGTTTGTGATTTCGGCAGCGAGGCAGATAACGGTGACGAATGGCCCGCCTGCCCCCCAGGGCCCTCAGCCCATCTGGTTTGACTTTGGCCTGTCGGCAGTGCCCTTGGGCCTCACTCCTGCCCTCTGGCAGTGCCCTCCGAGTGAGGCACCCCTCAACCTTTGCACACTCTGGTTCCTTTGCTGGAAATGCCCCTCCTCTCCACCCATCTGTCCCCCCATCATGGGCTCCCCTGGCTATGCCCATAGGAGCCACCCATGCAACACTCGGGGTGGCAGGTCCTGGGCAGTGCTGGGGTTTGCAGGGTGGGGGAGGGCACAGGCCCAGCAGGGAGGGGGCATGCCTTGCCTGGGCCCTGCATCCCCTCTGTCTAGGAGGGAATAGTGAGTGCCCACCTAAGGCCAGAGGGGCCGAGGCTAAGGTGACGGAGTGGGCCAGGACCGAGAGAGGTGGCCCGGCGGCCAGGGCAGGGCCTAGCCCTGTGAGACAGCCCATGTGGTCATTGTCAGGAGGAATTTCTGACAGGGCTCGGGACCCTCCTGACCATCGATTATCCAAGCAGGAGGAGTGGCTTCCGGGTCCGGCTGTGGGCTCAGCTGGGAGGTCACTGAGGTCAAGCCCGAGTGCCCCTCCTCCTCCAGTCTCCCCTTCTACTCCCTTGGGGCTCCCCAGTTGGGCAGAGGTGCCTGGAAGGTTGCTCCTGCCCAGTTTGAATCCTGGCCAGCTACCACAGGGAGTGGTCAGGGGTCCACTAGGGACTGGAGCTCATGCATTCCTTAGCACAACTTCCCAATCAACCCCTGCGTGCCCAGGTCACAGACGGAGTCAGACCTGGCCCTCAGAGAGGAGATAAGGAGAGGTGGAGGTGCTTAGAGCTCCCCTGGCCCATCTCAGGGGTTGGGGAGGGGCTTGTGTAGAGGGAGGGCATTCGGGCAGGATAGAGGAGGCAGCCCTCCCTGGGGGTCTGGGGTCGCCTCCAGGAGAGGCACTGCTCCATTCCCCACTGCACCCTCCAGGCCCACTCCCTGCCCTGTGGCGAGGACAGCTGTAGGGGGAGGGGAGGGGCAGCGCCGTGTCAGGACCCCCACCCCCTCCTCCAAAGCAGGAAAATCCCTCTCCGTTAGTATCACATTGTTGAGAATTAACTTTGTTGAAATAAAAATTGGTCGTGGTATTAACTCGGCCTCAAGGATTTTCTCTGGGATCCTGGAGGCCGCAGAGGGGTCAGACGCCCATTCCCAGGGCCAGCCGCTGGCTCGGGTTTCGGGGACTCCAGCGACCTCAGATCCTTGGGACACGGTGCCTGGTTCCTCCGGGTTGAGGGAGCCACCCCAGTCCTGCCTTCTACAGCCCCGGACACGAAGGAGGACGGCCCAGACAGTGTGGGTCTTAGGCATCCATCTGTGCCCCTCCCCCATGTCTCCGTGTCACTTGCAGCCATGGCTGTTGAGCCACAAGATGCCCCTCCCGCTCCTCAGGGGTCAGCCACGGCCTTAGTTTCCCCACATGTAAAATGGGAGCTTCACCCCAGCACAGGGTGTGGGGGGCCCTGGGCACAGACAGGCAGCCGGATGCTCAGACACCCCAGAAACCTGGGGCGGGCACGGGTAGGGACAGACCCACCCAGGTCTCTCCAGAGGGCACCAGGTGGCCACACAGGCACTCCTGGCCTCAGCACAGCCTCGCTGGCCACAGAAAGAAGTTGGCACCCCCGACTGTCTGCCAGCAGGGCGTGGGCACTTGCTCCCAAGGAAGCAAGCAGAGAGCCCACGCGTGCTGCCAAGAAGGGACGGCAGCCCTCAAACGACACGATTCCACACAGACAGATCCGCGCAAAACTGCTCTGAGAATTGCTGGGGTCCCGCCCCCCCGCCATGGTCCCTGCTGGACAGGGGGCGTGAGCACTGCCGAGTTCCCACGCCCCCACTCTGGAGTGTGTATTCCTACAGAGGGAGTGCCCACGGACAGAAGCACAAGGGATGGAGGTGGGGCCTCCTCAGGGCCTGCGGGTGGCTGGTCCTGCGTCCCGGTAGCCAGGGGACAGGCGAGACCTCCCAGCCGGTGGTCCCCTGGAAGCCTCCTCTGCTCACATCCCAGGCAGTGTGTTTTCGGGGGTGGGGTGCAGCCTGGGAACGGGCTGGTTCGGGGGCCTGGGAACGAAGGCAGGGGCCCCTGGCGGGGGATGCACCAGTGGGCCCAGCTGTTGCTGCCTGGCTCCAATTCCCACTCTGCACCAAGGCCTGTCCCTGGGGCCAAGGCTGGTGGTCTGCCTGGGAGGGAGTGAGGGGGTGTGGGGGCCATATCTTCCTCCAGTCAGTGGTCCCTGGGCAGTAGAGGTAGGAGAGAACCGCCTTCGAGCTGAGTGGCAGAGCCCACAAGCAGGGGGTGCTCTCCTGTCTCCCCAAGCCCAACTGCAGCAGGTCCCAAAGCCTGCTCCGAGCATGGAATCACCCTGAGGCCCCATCCCCTCACCCAGCACCCAAGCCCACCTCCTCCCTGGGCCTGTGTTGGCGGACCAGGGCCTCCATTATACACCATGAGCCTGGCGCCAGCCCAAGCCCTCCAGGCCTCTGCTGTGGCTGCTCCTCCTGTCGAGGGAGCCTTTGCACCAGGGCCATCCTAAAACTCCTACTTAACCTTCAAGACCCCATGCAAGTGTTCCTGCCCCAGGACCCCACCCCGAATACTGGGCCCTGCACCCAGCTGGTGTCATTCTCTTTACAAGACTCCTGATGCCCCTCATCTGGCACAAGGCTGGACACCAGAGTGGGGGGTGCACATTTCCACCTCCAGGAGCAAAAAAGGCTGACTCCTCAAGGAGGCCTCCTTCCCAATGCCTCAGTTTCCCCATCTGAACTGTCCTTGGCTGACAGTATCCATGGTCCTATGGGAGCAAGTGTGAACTCTGGGCAGGAACCAAGGCCAGTGTTCTAAGCAGGGTGGAGGGACCCTGAAGAGGACAGGCCAACTGGGGGCTCCTCCAAAGCAGGAGAGTGGGTGCCCAGCCAGCCACCCCACAAACATTTGGCTGGCTTCAGCTGAGGCCAAGGGAAGGCAGAGCTGCTGGCAGGGTGGGGGCCAGAGCGGGATTCTTCTTACTCCTAAAATCCCTCCCGCCTGCCCAGCGGGCCCCGAGGGAAGCCCCATGATGCGGGAACCTGATATTTTAAGACTTAAAGCAAATGTTTCTGGAGCCCGAGCTGGGCCTCGGCGCCCGCCCGGGCCTTGTGGGGGCAGGGCCAGCGAGGAGGAGAGGACCCCTCCCCTGAACCAATCCTGCCCCTCCCTGGACTGCAGTTTCTGGTGACAGGCAGGGGCAAGGCTGGAACCCCTTGGGCACCTTAAGGTTCCCCGAAACCTGAGGGTGGGGGCCCCGTTGTCGGCTCTCCGCTCTGCTGGTCCCTCTCTCGGCTGCCAGCATCAGATGAGGCTCACTGAGAGCCCTGAACCCCTCTAGGGCTGGCTTTGCCTGACCCAGAGCCCAGGGATACTCCCTTTCTTACCACTAGCAGGGTGGGCGTGTACAGGTGCTGCTTTTGAGCCACTGGCAGGAGCCACTTGGAGCTCAGAGCTGACACCTGAAGCTTCCTATCTGAGAGGACAGGAGATCTGGGACTGACTGGCGATGTCTGCCTGGGGTGTTGCAGGATTCCTGCGCTTGGAACCGCAGCAGATGGGATCTTGCTCTGTCGCCCAGGCTGGAGAGCAGTGGCACAATCACAGCTCACTGCAGTCTTGAACCACTGGGCTCAATGGATCCTCCCACCTCAGCCTCCTGAGTAACTGGGACCACAGACACACACCACCGTGCCTGGCTAATTTATTTTTTTATATTTTGTAGGTGGGATCTTGCGATGTTACCCAGGTTGGTCTCGAACTCCTGACCTCAGGTGATCCTCCCTCCTCAGCCTCCCAAAGTGCTGGGATTATAGGCGTGAGCCATGGCACCTGGCCATGATAGGGTTTTTTTCTCTATATATAGAAGGGACTCCCCATCGCTTGGACCATAGGGCAGTCTGACACTCGGCTGAGGCTGAGTGAAGCTGGCCTGGGCTCAGGGGCATGAGTTCCAGGCTCCAGGCCCCACACTGGTGCCACCTCCTTCTGGGAGCCTCCTTGGGGGCCTTTGAGAGCAGGAGCATCACAAGTGGAGGGGTGACTGGGTCAGGGACAGCAGAGCAGGGAGGCAGGGGCCGTGTTGGGCAGTGAGGAATTAAGGCCTAATAATGAAGGCTGTATCTCCAAAAAATGTTTCGGAGGCAGGGCCATCCGGGCCCAGCTGGGAATGTGGGGGTGTAGGGGAGAGACGTTCTCCAGGTTCTCCCAGAACAGGCCATCCTAAGGACCCAGCCAGCCCAGTATCCAGCCCAGCCCTCCAAGCACTTGGCACCAAGGCCCTTCCTTGTCTGCTCTCAGCTGGTGGGGCTGGGCCAAGCTCCTACCCACTAGCTGACAAGCCTCCTCTGGACCATGTCCACATTTTACAGATGGGGAAACCAAGGGCCAGGGTGGGAACAGTGCTTCCAGAGAGCCTACAGCTGGCCTGGCTGTGTGGACCCTTCCTCACCACCCCTGAGGTCCTCCTGCCTCAGTCTGGAGGAGGGACGGAGCTCTGGCCAGCTGTTTGGGTTCGTGCAGACCTGAGCGTGAGTCCACCTCGGCCATGTCCCGCCTCCAGGCACTGTCTGCTCACCTGAAGCTCTGGCTGTCTCATGGGGCCTTGGAGGGTGTCACCACCTGACTTTGGTCTGCTCCTCGCTGGTCCTACTGCCCTGGTGGACTCCTGTGCACCCTTGAAACCCACTGGAATCCTGCCTAAATCGTGAGCCCAGGAATGCCCCCCACTTCCTAGCTCCAGCGCAAGCACTCAGCAACCCTCCCCTGACGGGGAATTCCTTGTCCATTGCCCCCAGGAAACCCACCAGCCCCCGCCTCGGGCAGTCCCAGGCTTGGCCCCGCCACTTACCTCACTGGACAGTCTTGGACTCACGCTGTGAGGACAGACACATGACGTCACGCCGCCTTAGTTTCCCCAGCTCTGAAATGGAGATGGTAAATGTTGGGTGGGTGTTAAGGCCGGGTGTCCTGAGCTGCCCAGAGGAAGGGCAGCTGGCAGGAGAGCTAGGGGTGGTGCCCACCCTGGGCCTCTGCAGCACCACTTCCCACTTTAGGGGCCCAGATGCCATCCGCAGATCCTTGGTCCAGCCTCTCACTAGGCCTGGAAGCCAGGCTGCCGCTGTGGGTAGACTCCTGCCAGGCTGTGGGGGCTGGGGAAATGTGCCCAGCGGTGGCTGAAGCCAGGTTGCCTGGGGAACCAGTGCTCCCCAGGGGGCCTACTGCTGCCTCCAAGGCCCCATAACACCCCTGTCCACAGCTCCACCCAAGCTCCCATTGCTTTCCCTCAGCATTTTCTTTCATCCTTTGGGCCTCAGTTTCCCCACATGTGTCTCGGGAAATGACAGATGGCAGATTTGGGGGCGAGGAGAGGAGAGGGTATCCAGGCACTTTGTTAGGATTGAGGTGGAAAGAAGAGGTGGTCAGTGGAACATGGGGCGCCAGGGTGGGGAGGAAGGCCGCAAGATCCCCATCTGTCCCCTCCAGAGGCAGAGTGAGGTTAGGGCCTCACCAGACCAAGTGGAGGAGCCAGGATTTGAATGGGGGGCAGGATGCCGCCATGTGGGTGGAGGCTCCCTGTGCCTGGGGCCTGAGTGCTGGCCACCACCTGCTGTCTGGCGTCCTCTCCAATCCACACTGGCCCTCAACCCCTGTCCCAGGCTCTGGTTCCCCACCTGTCAGGTGAGGTCCTTTTGAGCCCACGGCACTGGGGCGGTCTGGGTGGAGTCCCTGCCCCCTCCCAGCCTCAGGCAGCATCCCAGGCACACACAGCTTGCTTCCCAGGCCTCTTTGAGGAAGGTCAACGGCCGAGAACTAAGGCTAGGGATCACCGGAAACCTGTCCCATCCTCGCCCCCAGACCCTCTGACCGCAGAATCTCCTGTGGGGCTGTACCCTGGGTCCCCTCCCAGGCCTGTGACCCGGCCAGAGGCTGGAGGCAGACAGGCTCAAAACCAGGCCCCCTCCTCAAAGCCTGTGGAAGCCCATGAGATGTCCCCCAGCACCCCAGGGTGGAGCTCACCCACCTGTCCACAAGCAAAGGCAGGCGAGGGCAGGAGGTGGCAGTGAGGCCAGGCCCAGGGATGACCTGGCACTAGGCCCAGCCCCTACCCACAGCCCCCCTCTGCCCATCCCCAGCCCCCTGGCCCAGCTTGGGCACCCAGGCTCCAAACCAGAAAAACTAGACGGAGAGCAAACAAGCCCACGGTGCAGACTCCCATGTCTAGTGGACCAGTGTGGGCAGGGCCTTGGAGCTGGGGTTCTGCCCCGGCAGAGCCCTGAGAGCCAGGGCAGGAGTGATAGGCCCATCCAACCCTGAGTTCAAGGCCTGTCCTACCAGGCACCCCACGTTGGCCCTGTGCATCCCTCAGTGGAGGGGGATTTCCACCCACCAGCCTGCAAAGTGAGCACTGCCATGCCAGCTGCCCCAGATGCCACAGGCTGCTTCTGGGGAGTGGGCTTCTCATCACTAGGGGTGTGCAAATGGTGCCAGCAGCCACGGCAGGCTGGCCGGGTAGGACTGATTCCCCAAGGTTCTGTTCAGAGTCCCTGGACCCAAGACTCCAGAGCCTAAGGCTCTGGAATTCTGTCCCCTGAGATGGTGACATGTTTCACAGTGGGCACAGTGGTGCGCACGTCATAGGGGCCGGACAAACACCTGCTTATTCAATCAGCACACACCTCAGTGGGGTCCAGGGGTGGCTGGGTGCCTCAGGCTCATTGCCCTTCACCTTCCCCTCCACCAGCCCTCCCCATTCCCTCTCTAAGGGTCAGGCCGACCACTGCAGCCTGCAGTGCCTCACACAGGTCTCTCCTCCCCAGGAGTCGCTGTTCTTGCCCCAGGACCCTTGCACAGGGTCACCACTGGAAACCGGGGAGGGTCCATCTCTCCCGGGTCTGCTTGGTATTTTCCAGTGTATTCGCAGATTCTTAGCATGACACTTCCACTCGGCAGAAAGGACAGGGAGAGAAGGCTGTGCTTTAGGGCGACGGCAGCAGGGCCAGCTGGTGAGAACCATGCACAAGGGTGGCTGGCAGAGGGATGTGACATGGGCTCCCAAACAGGCCAGGGGACCTGAGGCCCAGGATGCCACCTGAGAGGCTGGGGAGGGCAGCTGAAGGAGGGAGGGGGCAGGGACTCCCCCCGGGGCCAGCCCACCTGCTGTTCTCGCAGCCCTGGGCCCAGTGATGTGGGGCTCAAGGGGGCCTCACCTGGAGGTCAGTTGGGGAGCTAGAGGCCGGGACAGGAGCTGAGGGCCAGAGGGGACTCCGGAGAACACTGGATCAAGTGCCATCAGCTGGGCTAGTTGAAGAGTTTTGTGAGGGTTTTTGTTTGTTTGTTTGTTTGTTTGTTTTTGCGGGAGGGGTGGAACAAGGACCAGCATGCAGGGCAAGATGAGGCCTGAGGGTGGAGGGGACAGAAGAGCCCTGCCGGGACAAGGGACACAGGGACATCGGTTAGGTTTGGACCCATGCACAAGGGCTCAGCCACGCTGCCAGTGCCAGACTGGCCCCCCTTCCTGGGGCGTGGCAGCACATTCAGTTATGGGCACAGGCAACGGCAGGGGCCAGGGCTGCCTCGAGCAGGGGAGGCTGGGCACCCAGCTGTCCTGTGAGGACACACCACCCCACCCTCAGACCGTGCCACTGGACACTCACATGACCCAAGTCTGGCCGCTTGCTCACTGGCACCCCTGCCAATCATGCTGACCTTCTTCCCACTAGCACCTGCTGGGAGCTGACAGAGGTCTCTATTCCCAGCCAGGCGCCTGCTCAGGTTATATTTAGGCCACAGGGGTGGGAGCTGGGCCTCTGACCCCCACCATGCCCAAGCAGGGGCAGCTGGGCTGACGCCGTGGGTTGCTCACTGCCTGCAGGGCCCCTCCCTCCAGGCCTTGTCCTCTCATCCATCGGCCATGTGCAGGCTGGGAGGCGCGGGCCGGCCATGCTTCATATGGGAAACAAGCTAGTCTGGCTTTGAGCTCCTGGCCTCGGGACGATGGGGGCTGATGGCACCAGAAACTCTAGGGAGGCCAGCACAAGGGGACAGGCCCGGGAGCTCAGGTTGGGTGGGGGGCTGGCGGGAGGCCCAGCCCAGCCTTTCAGCTCCGGAGGCTCAGACGTGCCATGAGGTCATTCCCTCCTGGGAGCTCCCAGAGCCCTGCCCGAGGGGATGCTGAGCCCCAGGCCCTTCCTGCCCAGCCGGGGCTGGATCCCTCTTTTCCCTCCTGCTGCCCAGGCAGGATGTTTCCAGGGAGGAAATGGCTCCTGGGAGGCCACCCCACCCCCGCTGGAGTCTAGGGCCACTTCCTGCCCCGCATGGGCCTTGGTTCTGCCCCCAGTCTGCCAGCCTGGGCCAGATCCCAGATTTCCTGTCCCTACAGCATGGAGAGGCAGAGGTGTCTCGGCCTCAACCAGCCTGGGAGGCACAGTCGCAACCTCCTGGACCCCAGGACCTGAGAACCTCCCCCTGGAGCCCCACTTCCCTTGCCCCACAACCCTGGTCAGAGGGAGGCACGACCTGCCCTGCCCCCATGCCCAGCCTTCCCCAGCGCCACAGAGCCTCCTTCATATAGGTTCCGCTTGGGTACCAGCTGCTGCTCCACCGCCCATCTCCATGGGGCCCGCGGGCCTGGGCCATCCCCAGCCCACCCCAGGAAGCTGAATGGCTGCATCGAAGCTCCCTTTTGGCTACAATCCTGCAGGGCTGGCCTTGGACCAGCGGGTTAGCCTGGATCTGATGGGCCCTCCTAGCAGAGGTCATCACCCGGCTCCGTGGGCAGCCCCATCCCCAGGGGAGGTCAATCAGCTCAGTCCTCACCCACCCTATTCAATGGGGCTTCCTGCCGACCCCAGATCTGGGTGAGTGTCCTGGTCACCGCCCCCTCGACCACCACCCCATGCAGCAGGAAACACGTAGCTGGGGGGTTGTGGGGCTTCAGGACTGGGATTGGAGAGGCTGACAGCAGGGCTCAGGGCTCTCGGCGGAAGTGGGGCCTCAGCCCACTCAGAGGTCCAGGAAGTGGGGGTCTCGGAAGCTTCCTCTCGGCCAGACGAGCCGGAGGGTCAGAGGCCTGGCCGCAGCTGCCCCTTCCTCTTCGGCCAGCCAGCTGCTGGGTGGCCCGTGCTGCAGCAGGCCTCAGGTTGGGGAGCTGGTTGTCCTTCAGCCCCCGCAGGTGGCCAGCATCAGGACCGGAAGGCTCTGAATCAGCCTGGTCTGGAGGTATGGGCAGCTGTGGGGGCCGGTGGACAGGTGTAGCAGAGCTCAGGGCGCACAGCAGGGGCCATCTCAGCCTGGGCCTGTGTTCCCTTCAGTCAGACCTCTCTCCAGCCTCGGCTTGCCCATCTCTCCAGTGAGGTGACAATCCCGGGCCTGACCAGACAGGCTGACCAGGACAGAGAACCCTGGGGCCTTCTAAGGCCACTGCCATGTGGGCCGGGTCCTGTCAGACACCCCCAGCCCTCAGCCCCTGACCCATTTCTGTTCATGCCCTGGCCCTCCTGCATGCCCACCCAACCCCACTGGAGCTCAGAGACCCTGCCCCTCCAAGGCCTTTTCTCCACAGCCAGGACCAGGCCCCCAGATCTGGTGCCCCATCAGTCCTGCCGGTACACCTCTCCACAGAAGAAGCCCAGACCCAACCCAGCCTGCGTGAGCCCTGCTGGGGGGCCTGGGCCATGGAGGTCCCCAGCCCCATGCTTCAGGGGACCGCAGCCCAGTCAACCCAGGCTGCAGAGGTGTGAGGAGGGGGCTCTTGCCCTTGGCAACTGGCAGGAGCTGAGGAGGTGCCCGGGAGACCCCATCCTCACAGATGCTGTCATCCTGGCACATCCCTACCTGCAGTGGGGACCTGGACAACTCATGGAACCAGTGGGAGCTGGAGGCTCCAGGCATTGATGTGCTGGGCCTCAGTCCCTATGGGTCCCCACTGTGGGAGTGTCTCAGAGTGGGATGAGGAGTCTGTGTCCGTGCCTGGGCCGAGGCCTGGACAGGCCCCACCCCCGGCCCACACATGATGGGCGGTCGTCCATCAGCACAGCCAGCCCCTCTGGCCATCCATCACCAGCCAGCGGCCACAGGAGGAATGGCCTGTTTGTTTTGCCAGCTCCGTGTCACTCCCTGGGGCGGGGGCTGGAGGAAATGGCCATTTTCTGCCTGGGCGGGCGGGTGGACAGCAGGGGTGGGCAGGGCACCGGGGACAGGGATGTGGCAGGACCCTGGCTCATCCCGGCCCTGCATAGATGCCCACAGCCTTGCCCTGTTCTGTGCCTCAGTCTCCCCTCTGGCATCAGGGTGAGTGACACTGGGATTTTCTGACTGTTCCCATGGCAGCTCTCTCCAGCTGGGTCACTCACCCCTGCCCCTTGCCACTGGGTAGGGTGGGCTCAGGTGTCAGCTGCCACCAGGTGGGGGGTCCCCCTATCTGAAATCCAAGATGCTTGATGCTGGCTGTTCTTATAAACCATGGGGGGAGGCTCTGGAGCTAGGTCCAGGCCATAGGCCAACTGTTGATTGGGGTTGGGGTGGGGGCTGTCAGGAGGTCTGAAAGGGCCTGGGCACCGATTTGGAGACTTCCAGCCTTAAGATCAGAGCAGGGGACAGTTGGGGCCACATTAAAAAAGGTAGCACGTGTAGAATGAAGGGGGAGACATCCTGTACCAAGAGGCTGGTGTCCAGACCCCGGGACTGTGTCCTCAGCACCTGCACAATGACCCTCACTGCATCCTCATGGTAGAATTTGCAGATATGATGTAGAGGTGTGCGTATATGTGTGTAAAGGGATACATGGCAGGTATAATTTGCTGACACCATGCTAGGGACTCTACAATCATTTTATCACTTCTCACAACACCTACAAGGCTCCGGGGAGTCAAACTGGGATATTTCTTTTACCACTGCAGCCTCAGACCTCTGCCCTGGTCCCTGATCCAGAACACAGTCACCCCACACTCCCCTGGTCCTGGGCTAGCAAGGAGGGCTGTGGAGGAGGCAAGCAAGCTCCAAAGTGCAGCACTGAGGCTGGGGCGGAGACACTGAGAGTCCGAAGGCACCTCCATCCCTAGGAAGCAAAGCCAGACACCCAATTCTGGAGTCAGAAAAAAGCCCTTCAATTTCCATCCCTGCAGCCCAGTGTCCCACCACCCTCAGGGGAGAAGGGTCGCTTTGCTCTCCCTGGGGCACTGTGTTTGCTTACCTCCCAGGCAGCTCTGATGTTGCATAGCTCTTTTTCATTTAGGAGCAGTGACTTCCTTCCCGAAATTTCTTCCCTTAGACCTGGGCTGCTTCCTCTGACCCTGCACAGCCCTGCAGATGTTTGCAGGGTATCGCCCTATTTTATCTCCCTAGACTGAAACATACTCTGTCCTGAGTTAAGACTCTGGCTGGTTGTAGCAGACTTTAAGGAAAGAACTTAATTGCAAAAATTCACTCTAAGTGTGGGCGTGACTAAGACTCATTGTGTCTTGAATGTGCAGAGATGGATAGGAGGAGCTCGGGGGTTAGTGACATTGAGGCCACATGAGGGAACTCTCGTGAACACTCAGTTGAAGGGTTCTGGAGTTGGGAGGCTAGTGAACCAGTCCCACCAGTGCAGGGCTGACGGCCCTGTGTCCAGAGACCCCCAAGCCCAGCCTGTTCCTTGAGCCAGGGCTGCCGTGCCTCTGCCCAGCCTCCAGCTCACGAGGGCTGGCTTAGCGGGATTCATGTGCCACCCCCTCGGTGACATCTGAGACCATGCACGTCTTGGTTGTGCCTTGTTGCTCTCTGCTGCTCTACACAGGGAGACAGGCCGGCTGGTCGCCTCGGGGGTTATCTTCCCTGGCCCCCGAAGCCCTGGTGACCCTGAGCCTGACCCAGGGGGAACAATGACACAACAGCAAATGCCCTGGGGCGAGTGCCACCCTGACAGCCCCAAGGAACAGAGAGAATCAGCAGGGTGCAGGGCTCAGCAGGTGCAAGGGGAGAAGGCTGGCTTATGTGGTGGTGGGGACAGGGCACAGGGCCGGGAGGGAGGGGACAGGTGGCCAGGGGCTCTGTCTACATGGGAGCCACATGGGGGTGTGGGTGGGCACTGCAGAGAGGGGCCCTGGTCATGGGGTCCACAGGAGAGCCAAGCCAGCCTAGAGGATCCAGGGATGGCCCAGGTGCTCCTGCCCCACCTGTTCCAGGCCAGCTGTGTCAGGGGTACTGCCTCCGTTTCTCCAGGCTGGGACCTCCACTGCAGTGGGTACATTGGACACTCAGACCAGCCCCAGGGCCTGGCAGTTCCTGGTGAAGACTGAGACAGCCCGACACCCGTCCACACCCCCGCCCAGGATGGGGTGGCTGCTGGGTCACTCGGTCCTGGCAAACACGCTGGAGGGAGGGGCTGGATTGACTTTAGGGCACTGGTAAAAGCTCACATCCATCTGTCCACCCAGAACAGCTGGTGCCAAGCACCCACTTAGCAGGACAGGGCAGCCCGCGCCTCCACACTGCCCATGCCCCCTCCCGTCTCCCAGGACGTCCACACAGGAGCCACATGTGTCCTGGACCCACGCCACCCCCCGCTCTGTCCCTCTGTTCCCTGAGCTGGGCTGGCAGGGGAAGCTGAGGTGTACAGGGATGGCCAAGGCCTCCTCCCTCCCCCCTGCACCCCCTAGCCCCATTGGCATTACCTCAGAGCAGACAACAGCTTAGTGGGGACCCAAGTGAGGGGGTGTCAGTGGCCCAGGCCCTGCCCTGCCCAGTCACTCAGGCAGCTAAGAGAGCAGGAAGGGCCCAGACGACACCCCCACAGACATATGCCAGCCCCTCCGGGTGACCAAAATCATCTCAGTAAAGGCAGATGAGGCCAAGCGAAAAGGGGTGGGTGGAAGAACCGGCTCTGAGTCTCAGCCCACAGACACTCGGACACTCGTCGGCCCGGTAGGCAGGGGTTCCTGGTGGCCTCAGGCTGTCAGGCCCGGCCCCCTCCCGCAGCTGTCTCCAGCTCCCACCTCCCCCGCCCACCCCCCAGGACTCCTATTTCACTGAGGAGATTAAGACCACCTGGCGAGAACCCCTCCCACCCCTCCCCTCTCCCCAGCCCTCCCTCCTAACCCTGTCGGCCCCTTGAGGTGCCCTCCCGGCCCCGGCCCTCCTCTCCCATCCCCACGTTCCTCCACGGCAGCCTCCACGCCCTGCCCTGCCCTGCCCTGCCATGGGCCTGAGGATGTCCCCACCCGCTCTGATGGCCACCTCGGGTCACTTCTCCTCAGCCCATACCCTGGCCTAACCCCCACCCTGAGCCTCCAGTCCCTCCAATCCTCACCCTTTATGTCCCCCAGCCCTGCATAGATACAGGCATCGTCACCAGCCACGGCAATGGATCCCGTCCACCTCCCACCCGGCCACTCCAGACCCAAATTCAGCACTGGCTTCAGCCTCCTGCCATTCTTGCTGGGTCTCAGGAGGGAACCGGGCCAGCCAGGTGCTGTCTGGGACTGTAGGCTCTGAGCCTGGTCCCTGCTCAGTTCCAGCAGCCAGTGGGCCAGGGGTGCTCAGCTGAGGACCCCCACTCCATCCAGCCTGCCGTGGGGCAGCCGGCCTGGCCTGATGCTGGCTCAGACAGACTCATGAGGAATCTGAGCTCTGAAAACCGCAGCTCCGAGCTTGCCTGTTTGTTTGCTTTTGAGAAATTCCAACCTGGTTCAGCAGAGCCTTGGAGGAGGGAAGGGATTTGTCAGGTCTGGGGTGGGGCTGGGGCAGGCTTGTGGATGTGGGGAAACCAAGGCTGAATCTGGGCACAGGGACCCAGTGGGGAAGCCGGGAGAGGGTGCCTAACTGGGCCTCCTGGGGGGTCCAGCTGTGATTCCCCCTCCCCAAACCTCACGCCAGGCCTGGAGGCTCCACAGGGGCTATGGAGGCAACAGCCACCCTACTCACAGTGCTGGGAGGACCTGCGGGGCTGGGAGGGGCCCAAGGAGGCCCTGCAGCAACAATAGTGACATCAGCTGGGGAGCTGCAATTGAGGGCCCACATGTGCTGGCTCCATCCACCCATGGGGCCTGCAGCATTCTCCCCACTTCTCAGATAGCATCACTGAGGCTTGCAGAGGCCAGGGCGTGTTCCCAGACACAGAGCCCTGAAGGGTGAAGCTCGCTCCTGGACCCAGCTCCTGAGACTGGGCGACATCACCACGCTGGTTCCTCCCTGTGCAGAAGGGCCCAGAGTACAGGGGTCCTGCCGAAGCAGTCCTGTTCTCCTTTGAAATGAAATATTGCCAGCCTTCTCACCAGCTCCTTCCCCTGGGAAGGCGGGAGACCAGACAGAGTTGGCAGCCCCCAGCCCTGCATCGCCACCCCGACCAGGGAAAGCTGCCTGTGCAACTAATCTCTCCAGGCCCCGGTCCCCCTCTGCCCACGGGCTTGGGGATCCTCCACAGGTCTCAGCAAAGGGGTTCCCGTGCTAGAGCCTTGCCCATCAGGGACACTCCCCAAAACCTGCCCCAGCCTGGGCAGCCCACCTGCCTTTGGCCCCAGGTCAGTGAGGGCGCCTCAGGTCAGCCCCCACAAGCACAGGGGGAGATATGAGCAGGGTCTGCCCAGAGCAGTGGGCAGGGAGGCTCAAATGCCAGCCTGGGCACCTGGGCACAGTCCTGGCCTAGGAGGGACAATCCAGCAGCCTTGGGGGCTTGGCCAGGGAGCAGAGTGGACCGAGAGGCACAGGGTGTGGGGCCAGTCCTCCCCTCCACTGAGACAGGATTTCCACACAGTCTCTCCCAGCAGTCACACTGGGCTGTCACAGTGACAGTATGGACTACTTGAATCAATTGAGCATTTAATGAAAACTGCAAGTGTGATATATTTGACTACTTTAAATGCTTTAAGCATCTTTAAAGAGAGATACAACATATCCAATGTTTACGGGGGCATGGCCTCGTTAGGACCCATTAACAAAGGTGCTGAGGTCACTGGCTTAGTTGTCATTCCTCATTGCCTCTGGCCCTGTCCCCAGAGCCTTCCTTCTCAGAGCTTCCCAGGGCTCATTCGCCACCAAGCAAGATTCAGGGTTGGGGTCTGAGCATGGAAAGTGGCCTCCCAAGGAGTTCCACCCAGAAGGTTCTCTGTAGACCGATCTTGTCTTGAGAGTCTCTTCCAGTACCAATGTCCAAGGAAGCAGGCTGGCCAGTCGGATGCCATCATCCGAGTGCATCCCCTTCAGAAATGACCCAGCAGGAGAGGACTGAAATATTGCATTCTTCCTTCCTCACACAGCAGCAAGCTTCCACAGTGCTTCGCCCAAGTCAAGTCAATCCAAGGCACATGTGAGCATCGTCATTATTGTAGAAGGGTTACAGTGGCCACTGTGAGTGATAAGCCTGCACATGTGTGCGCCTGTATGTATATCTGCTACATGTGCTGTGTGTGCACACTCTCTCACACTGGTGTCTGTGTTGGTGTCTGCTATGTGCATGTGTGTGCCCATGCTCACGTGTGTCTATGTACAGAGGTGCATGCATGCCCGTGCTCACGTCTGTGTACATGTAGAGTGCCCATGCTTGCGTGTCTGCAGGCATACAGTGTGCATGTGTGCGTCTGGGCCCAGTCCGTGTGTCTGCATGCAGTGTGCCTGTGTGTGCCCATGCTCACGTCTGTGTGTCTGATATGTGCATGTGGACACATGTGCCCATGGTCACAATATTGGTATGCTCACATGTGTAGGCATATGTGCCCACACTCCCATGTATGTGTGCCTGAGTATGAACATGGTGTGAACACACACATACACTCATGCTCATGCTCATGAGTATGTGTGCACGTGGTGGTGTGGGTGCTTGAACATGGGCAAATGGGAGCTACTGTCCAGTCAGGGTTCCCTGCTGCCCAGAGGAACTGGAGGGGCCTGTCTGCACGTGTCCATCTTCTGGCCACTCACCCTCAGCCAACACTCCTCCAGGGTCTTTTGGGACAAGTCCCTTCCCCTGGCAAGTGTGGCTCCCCCTGCTGGGGCCACAGAAGGGAAGGGGGCTAGCAGGGACTGGTTCCTCAGCTGGCCCGCCAGGCTGAGATCCAGCCACCTCACCAGCCTGCACATAGGTCTTCCAGGGTCTCAGAGCCTCACCTCTGCCTGGCTGCACCTGGGGTGGAGGGGCTAGTGTGGCCAGGAGATGGACAGACAGATGGACAGCCAGCTCCCCATGTGGCTGGGTCCTCCCACCAAGTGGGCAGCTAAATCAACAGCCTCAGAAATTGGAGAGGGGTCCAGGGCTGGGCTGTCCATCAGTCTGTCTGTTTGTTTGTTTGTTCTGGAGTTGTGGGAACTTCCAGTCTGCAGGGAGTCCTGGTGCCTGGCGAGGTCGGGGGGCAGAGGGTGCCATTACCCATCCGGCCAGCCATCCCTCTCATCATCTCCCCACATCTGTCCTCCTGGGAACTTGGCCCAGAACATCGCACCCATAGTTGCGGGGGACAGCTAGGCCGGGTGACAGGAGGTTGGGGACCAGCTGTATGCGGCTGGCTGTGCAGACCCTGGCCGGCCCCCTCCCGGCTGGGAGGAGGCTGGTGTCACACGGCTGTGTGCTTCCCTGTCCAGTCTTCTCTCCACCCATTACCCCATCCCATGTCTGCCTCTCTCAGGGTCTCGCTGTTCTCTTTGTCAATCCTGCAGTCTTTTGTCCCCCAGGGTCCAGGCACTAGGACTCTCAGGCGGGTCAGACCCTGCCCTGGGACCAGGGAGCAGATGGTGCTGGGGCCTAGGAAGAGTCCCAGGGGATGCTCTGGGCCGGGTGAGGGGGCCACACCTCCTGTCATCCTGTCCAGTGTCCTCCCAGCCACAAGGTGTGCACACCAGGCTGTGTCTAACTCCCAGGCCTTTGCCAGCTATGTGGTCAGCCTGGTCCTGACCAGACTCACAGGGACACCTCCTCCAAGCCCTGGGCCCCTTCCTGGGAACGTGGCTGTGGGCCTGGAGCTCCTGGGCAGGGTTCCTGCCTGCTGTCTGACACACCCCCCAGAGCTTGGAACCAGCCAGAGTACCCACGACCCCAGCAGTTTGAGTAAAGGCCCAACACCAAGGAGAACACGTGGGGGTGGGCTTGGTGAGGACTTCCGTGTCAGGAGGCGGGCGCCAGGGAGGAGAGAGGTCCAGGGAGGGCAAGGTCAAGGAGCAGTGGGACCACCTGAGCCACAGGTTGGGGAGGACTCCCATTGAGACCCCAGGCTGGGTAACAGGAACGGCCTCCTTCTTCATCGCAGGCAGTGTTTGCGGTGGCACAGGAGATCCGGCGGTGGACCCAAATGCGCCCTGCCCTGGCAGGCAGGGAAGTAGACCGCTTCTGTCTCCAGCCCTCCCTGGAGGCGGACCTGGCCCCTGTTCTGGCTCTGGCTTGGGTCCCTCCACTCCAGGAGTCCCCAGCCCCCAGTTCTAACTCAGCACCCGCCCCAGAGGCTGCAAACCCACTGCCTATGCACAGAGGGAGACAGCACTCCCGTCAACGCCTCCGCATGCAGGACCTAATGTCCGACCCGGCTTTGATGCAGATCCCAGCTCGCTCCCGTGCCGGCTCCCGCTCCCGCTCCTCCCCCGCCACCCCCGCCCGCGGTTCTTCTCTCGGCTTGGCGGCTGGGGTCCGACGAAGGGGCAGAGGCCACAACTCAGCGGCCCCGCGGGCAGCCCCGGCACGCGGCCCCACCCGCCCGCCTCCCAGGCTCGGGGTCTCGGCTCGTCCACGGCCACGAGGGTCGCCCGGAATGTCGCGTTCGCCGGTGCTGTGGGCCAAGCACTTTCGTGGGATGGAGGGACGATTGGGGAGCGCCCGAGGCTGCTGTGTTGGCGCCCGCCCCCGAGGGCTGGGAGTCAAGAGGTGGGAGTGGAGAGGGGAGGAGAGGGCAGAGCTCCTGGGCGCGCGGTCCTGTCCGGGTTCCGGCGAGGTTTGGGCCCCCAGCCGCCCGCCCTTCTCTGGGGCCCGGGGCTGAGCTGCTGATGGCGGGAGGGAGGACGGTGAGGGCAGCTCCTGGCGGCGGGCCTTCCCCGAGACCCCGAGGCCGCGTCCAAATAGGGCGCTGTAAGCAACTCCAGGCGGTCCATCCTAAAACGAATTAGCAGGGTCAAGTAAAGCCCGGCTCCTCAGTGCTTCCCTTTGCACGGTGCGCGGCGGAGCCCGATTCTGCTCTCTCCATACTCTGAGGCCTAGAGGAGGAGTCCCCCGTGCACCTCGAACCTCCGGCCGGTCCCTTCTGTGTGTATATTTGCCCCAAGTAGCCTGGGACCAATGCTGGGGGCGCAACTTGCCTGGGAAACACAGCCCAGCCCAAAGATCCTGGTATACTGTCTGCCCACCAGGGACGCACGGGAGGTAAAGGAGGGTGCGCGGCAACCCAGCGGTGCTCAGAATTCTGAGCAGTGGGGAGGTGCTGTGCCTTTATGGATAGGAGGGGAAGGGGGTCCTGCTGGGTGGGCGTGAGGGTGCCTGTCTGAAGGCTCCCCTGAGGGAGCCACGTGTGTGCAGGGGAGGCGGAACTGGGCAGACAGATGGGCGGCCACAATTCTCCAGCGGCAGCCTACCTGCGCTAGGGAAAAAAACTTCTGGAATTAGGGTTTGCTTCACCCACAACTACGAAGACTGGGGTGGGGGGCGAGTCTCAGCACACTGGACTCCCTTGGGGCAGGGCTGAGGTGCAGCCCAGACAGCAAAGGCCGCCGCGGGTCCTCGGTCGCATCCCTCCCTTCAGCCTCCTGCACTCAGCCAAGCCTCTGCTCCCCACCCCTTACCTACCCGAGTGGAAGCCAAGCTTCGGTTTTCCGGCCTGTAAAATGGTATCATAGCTCCCATCTCGCCCCCTGCGCTGGGAGAAATGGGCGTCTTGTCTTCGCTGCGCATTGCATGCGGAGGAGCAGATGTCTCAGCCCAGGCCCTAGCCTTGCATCGAGCCCTGAGGAATCAGACCCTGCGACCCCTAGCCGCGCCTCACCTTCCTGATCCACGCAAGGGAGCTCCCAGTCAGGCCTCCTATCGCGCGGGTGTGGAGGTGCGGCCGGCAGGGGGAGCGAGGAGGAAGGGAACCGCGGCCGGGCCAGGTGAGGGAGGGAGGAACACTTGCCGCGGGCCGTGCTGAGGCGCTGCGTTCGCGTGCGGAACCCGCGTGTGCCGGGCTAGGGCCATCCGACGGGCGCGCTCCCTCCGGGCTGCGGGAGGGCACGACGGGTGGGGTGGCGGCAGGTGAAGAGGAGTGTGGGCGGGTGGCGGGGTGGCGGGGCGGCGGAGCGCGGCGGGGCGGTGCCCTAGGCGGGAGGGAGGGTCGGAGGAGCCCTATCCTGCTGCGCGATGGAGGCGGTGGAGGCGGCGGCTCCGGCTGGAGGCTGGGACGGCCTCGCGCTTCGAGGGCTTCCGGGCCCCTTTAGCCGAGGGCTCCTGGAGGGTCCCAGCGTTGAGCAACGGGGTCCGGGGGTCCGAAATCAAGCGAGTGAGTATAGGCAGCCGGTGGGGTAGGGTCGGCCAACAGAGCCGGCTGGGTGGGGCCCCTCACCTCTTCCCGTCGCCCTTCTGGTTGACCAGGGTTTCCTCCACCCTGACGGCCTCTTCTCTGCTGTGGCAAGCTGGCCGCCCCTGCCTGCCTGCAGGTCCTGCTCAGGCACGAAGGGGTTAATGGGGGCTGGAAGGGCTCTGCTCCTCCCTACAAACCTCAGGCACAGAGGTCTGGGGACCTCTGGACCGATCCTTGAGCGGCTGACCCAGAGTCTCCAGGAGGCCCCAGGGTTTTTCACTTTCACTTCTCCCTCCTCAATGTTGGCCTCACCCACAGGCCCCACATCTGGCCAGTGCCCTGAGGTGTGTGCAGATGTACACAGGACACAAGCTTGGGCATACCCTCAGGCTGGGGCACATGCAGGAGCCCCACCCCCATGCCCCCACCGACTGGCCCAGGCCTCTCTGGGTGCAGACTGCCAACACAGGCACGTCTCCTGCAACACTACCAAATCTGCGGCCACCAGCATCCCTACCACCCGCCTCCACGGGACTGTCCTTCCTGCAGGAGCAGCTCCTGGGGACAATGGCTGGTCCTGCTCAGAGAGGAAGGAAAGGGGCCTGGAACCAGCTGGTCCATCCCCACACAGCACTCCTCACTGGACTTGTCCCTGGGTCCCCTCAGTGACACTGAGAGACATAAGTCATTGTCACTGTCATGGCCCAGAATGACTACTCAGGGCAAGAAAAATGCACTAAGGACAGCTTCCCTTTTCTGACATGGCCCACAAAGCTCCAGCTGCAGGCGGCAGGGGTTGTGGGGGGCAGGACATGAGGCACCCCATACAGGCAGCAACACACACCACATCCCAGACAGGCAGCACTATTCGTATACTCACCCACTGCGGCCCTGGACTCACATGCGTTCCTGAACCTCAGGCCCAGGGCCAGCCTCCCCACTGGCGCCCAGCCCCCCAGCCCGTTACTGGGCCTTCCCAGTTCCCAGCCAGCATCCTCTCCAGCCCAGGGTCTGAGGTCCTGAGATCCTAAAAACCCTGGGAGAGGTTGCCTGCCTCCCACTCCCATCCTGAGCATGCACAAGCGAAGGCTGCAATGAGGTTGTATACAGAGAGGCCTTGCAAACAGTGGCCCTGACCACCAGCACCAGGGAGGCTCCAGCAAGGCACAGAGGCTCCAGCAAGGCACAGAGGCACAGAGCTGAGGTTGACACCCAGCTGGAGAGGCCCTGTACAGGAAAGCCATGGGTGCGCTGAACTGGTTAGAGGAGACCCTGGAGACAGTAGGTGGGGAAACGCACAGGCCAAGTCAGGCCTTGGCGTCTGGGATGCCTGGGCCTAGAAACCAGGCAGAGCGGCGGGCCTCGGCCTCACTCTGCCCAGCCTGGTCGGGCCATAGAGCTTCTCCCGGCAGGCAGGCTGGCTGCTGGGTGCCGGGGGGCAGCATACGACCCAGTGGCCTGAAGTTCTCCAACATGTCCTCGTGTCCTCGGCTCCCTCGGCTGGCCAGGCTCCGCCCCCGGCCCTCCCTGCGCCCGGCCGGTGCGCAGGGAGGTCGGAGGAGCGGGCACTGCCCACCCTCCGGATGTATAAGCGTCCTGGCCAGAGGCGGGCGGTGCGCGCAAGTGCGCGTGACGCTCGGGCTCGCGGGCTGCGCAGCCTGGGCAGCGTCCCTCTGCTGGGGTCTCCAGCGACGATAGTGAGCCAACTTCAGGGGGCTGTTGGGCATTTACTGGGCTGGGTCCTGTCCTGCTGCGCCAAGGAACAGAGGACGCTGCGGCCCTGGGGCTCCTGTCAGTGGCCGGTGCGAGAGCCCAAGCTGCCCTCTCCTCACCCAGGTGCAGGGGCAGCCAGGGAGGAGGTGGAGGCGGGAGGGGCCAAGGGCAGGGGCAGGGCTGGGCTCCGGCAGCCACTCGCTGCTTCATGGGTGCCCTGCCACCTCGGGCTAGGGCTGGGTGCTGCTGGCATAGACACCTCTCCTCGGGGGGCTGTAGAAGCTGACGGTGGCTTCGCTGCACAGAGAAAGGCCGTGCCTTGGCAGGAGCAACGGGATGTTCAAGGGGCGTTGGTCATGGAGGTCCCTGGGAATGGAGGAAGGGGGCAGGGAGCTTGGAAAGCAAGAGGGCCCTGCACTTCCAGGGTGCTCCACCCGTCTGGGCCCCTCGGCTGCTACCAGCCCCAAGTGGGGGGCCCATGACGCCATAATCCTCTGGGCCAGGGGCCCCTGGCAGTGAGTGGCACCACAGGCCCCCGCCCCCGGACTCCGTGGGCTGGGCTGGGCTGGGCGCGGTGCGGCTGGGCACACGCAGTCGGAGGCGGCGCCGGCCAGGCCGCCGGGCGCCTATGGACGCGCGGAGCCCGCTGTCTCCCCGAGCCAGTGCGTTCAGCATCGCCTCTCTGGTTGCAGCGGAGGCGGCGGAGCGCACCGCCCACCAGGGCTCAGGGTCCTCCGACCGGGTGAAGCTTCGCTGGCTGCCAGGATCCCCGGCAGGGATGCACTTCAGCACCGTCACCAGGGACATGGAAGGTGAGCCTCCAGGCCGTGTCTACACTGGCCCGCCCGCCAGACCCCCTGCCTCAGCTGCTGTGGGGCCCGGGTGCAAAGTAGGTGGAGGCAGCTCTTGGTAGCGTGGGCTCCAGGCTTCTGGCTGCGATTCTGGGGCAGAGAGGAAGAGCCGGCATCCCGCCCACAGCCTGTCCCCTCACCAGCCTGGGGGCCCAGCTTGGAGATGGGCACTCAGGTATACACAGGCCCGGAAGAGGGCGAGTGAGGCTGGGAAGGAGAGCAGAGGTGGCCGTGAGCCTGGAGAGGGGGGAGGAAAGTTAATAAGAGAGGAGAGAGCGGGAGAGTTTCACAGAAGGAGAGAAAGCCTCGAGGAAGCCGTGGAGACGAAATTGAGCAAAGGGGAGAAAACACAAAAAACCCAAAGAAGAAGGTAGGGGAGAAACAGAAGGACACGAAAAGGCAATAAAAAGCAAGAGCGAAAGAGAAGAGAGAAAACGAAGGGAAAATTTAAGACAGAAAGCGAAGTCATAAAAAAGAAAAAAAGGAAAGACTTTAGTTTTTTTTTTTTTAAAAAGAAAAACATAAAAAACAAAGGACATACAAAAATAAGAGGAAAGGCACCGACTAAAAGAAAGACAAAGAATGATTAAAAATAAAGTGAAAAGGAAGGCGAGGATGGAGGAAAAGGGGAAGAGGCGGAAAGTAAAACAGAAATAAAGAGAAACTACAGAGATAGGGGAAGAAAAAAGATGATCGGGAGGGAAAATTTAAATGAGGACGACAAAGGTAAAATAACAAATTAGGAAAAGAACGTCTGGGAGAGAGAGAGGAGAAACGCACGCGGGCGGGCGGCAGAGCGAGGGCCGGCCGACGGGCCCGGCGCACCGGTGAGCCGGTCCGGGCGGTCGGGGGGCCCCGGGCCGAGCGAGCCGCGGCGGGCGGGCTGGGGGCCGGGGAGGGGGAAGGGGCGGGGGAGGGGCGAGGGCCGGGGGAGGGATCTAGTCCATTGTCTCCGCGCGGGGGTGGGGGGGCCCCGGGCGGGGCGGGGCGGGGCGCCTCCTCGGGGCCGGCCTGCGGTGTGGGGCTGCACGGCCCGGGGCGCACGCAGCGCGGCGCCCGCCACTCGGCCCGCGGCGCGGGGCAGCGCTCAGCTTGGTGGCGGGGGCGGCGGCGGCGGCCCGCGGGTCATGATCTCCGCCGTGTCCAGCCCGTGGCTCACGCAGCTCTCGCATTTCTGCGACGTTGCAGCCTTCACGGCCAGCAGCCTGAGCAGCCTGGGGGCCGCGGGGGGCTTCCCGGGCGCCGCGTCGCCCGGCGCCGACCCGTACGGCCCGCGCGAGCCCCCGCCGCCGCCGCCGCGCTACGACCCGTGCGCCGCCGCCGCCCCCGGCGCCCCGGGCCCGCCGCCGCCGCCGCACGCCTACCCGTTTGCGCCGGCCGCCGGGGCCGCCACCAGCGCCGCCGCCGAGCCCGAGGGCCCCGGGGCCAGCTGCGCGGCCGCAGCCAAGGCGCCGGTGAAGAAGAACGCGAAGGTGGCCGGTGTGAGCGTGCAGCTAGAGATGAAGGCGCTGTGGGACGAGTTCAACCAGCTGGGCACCGAGATGATCGTCACCAAGGCCGGCAGGTCAGGGCGCCCCTCCCCACGCCGCGACCCTCCCCACGTGCTGCCGCCAGGGCTGCGGGCCTCCGCCTGATCCGCGCGAGCGGGGCCGAAAGCCGGGTCGGGGGCGCGGCCTGGCCACCTGCGGGCCCCTCTGGGCCCCGCTGCCTCCTTCGCTGTTCGCCGTCCCGGCTCCGGCGACAGCCGCCCGGCGCTCCCCTCCTAACACCTATCCTCCGCCGGGGCGGGAGGAGACGGCGCGGGCCGCACGGGAACGGCGAGGAGCCCCGCGGGACTCGCCCGCCCGCCCCGCAGCCCCAGGACGCCGCGCGGCCCAGAAACCGGCCCGGCTTGGGGCGCACCCGGCTGGGGGCAGGCAGCGGCGTCCAGGGGGCCTCACCGCCCGGCCGACTCCTAGTAAATCCCACCTCAAGAAAACTCTGGTTCAGTTCTGGAGTTCAGTCTATGCGGGCAAGATAAAGAGCGGCAGCCGGGCAACTCTCTGGACACTTTCAGGAGAGGATTACCCTTAAAAACAGCGTGCACTGTTGCGTGGAAGTTGCTACCCAGTTTCCTTCAACCTAGATCCCTATAGTTGTGGGGCCTGGCTCTGTATCCAGCGGCCCGTCACCTCCCAACCGGCCTGTATTTGTTTTAAAGACCAAGAGACAAGGGGAACAAGTTTTGCAGATGCACCCGATTTGACCGGTAGACAAAGGCGGGTGCCGCGCTGTGTCTAATGTACACACCAGCTCGGAGTCCGAACAGCCAAGGGGAGCTCAGGGCCTGTTTGCAAAGCCTTCTCGTGGTTTCTGTTTCCCTGCTGCCGGCGTCCTTTCTGAGGAACCTGGGCCTGTGCTCTGCTCCAGCTCTGTGGTTTTTTTCCAGGCCCTCCTTGCTGTCCCCAGGCACACAGGCCCTCCTGAGGACAGCGGCAGCCCAGCCGCTGGCTCAGGCCAGCCCGGCAAGGGCCTTGTCGGCGCTGGGCTTCACCCGGGAGCCCACGTCCCGCAGCACCCTCCAGCCTGCAGAGGCTTCGGGTGGGGGAGGGAGCGGGCCTGTCCTAGAGGCTGGCTCCTGGCATCTGTCTTCTGCCCACCGCCTGCAGGGAGTTGCTTGTGAGGGGAGGCAGAGGGGACGGCAAGTGAGGGCCAATCCTTGTGTTGTCCTGAAGGGCCCCACGGCCACTACTGCTGTGCCATCATGTGGGGGTAGCCCATGGCCTACACCCGTCCAGGCACTGCAGAATGTCCTTTCAAGAGCCCTGACTGGTCACTGAGCCAGGGTCCAAAGCGGGGGAGATTTGAGGAACAGGAAAGACACAAACTGAGTACACTCTGGGTAGCTGCGTCTTGGGGTTATGTGTCTTAAGGGGAGTGGAAGCTTGCCCTGTGCCCTGAGGAAGGTGGGGAGACTCTTATCATGGGGCCATGATAGAGAGGGGCCCTGAGAGTCAGGGGAGGGAGGGCTCTGAGCCTTGGCCTCACTGAGGGGATTGGGTAACAGCCGAAGACCCAGCTAAAAGGGCAGCGGGGACGCCTTGAACTCACACAGGACTACCCGGTTTCACTTTGTTGGAGCCGGGAGCTGCTTCGATCAAGCTGGGGAGGCTCTGCTAAGGGCGCACGTTAGGCACCCTGCTGCCGGCCGAAGCTGGGACCAAGAGGCCAAAAAGTCAGCAAGGGCGAGGCCGAGTTTATGTAGGCCAAGGTTGCCGAAGGTGGGGGCTCCAGCGCTGGGCTGGCCATTTCTGTGTCCAGGAACGGCCCAGGAGGCTCCCCTGCTGCGCCAAGCTCCCAGTTGAGTAGGGGCCTGCCCAGATTAGAGCAGCTAAGCCAGGAAAGATGGAGCCCAAGGGCTGGGACGACACAGCAGCCCCCAGAGGCTGGAGGGAGGGGCCGAGCAGAGGGGCCGCCAGCCCCAGGCAGGTCAAGGGGGGCTGCCTTCCACCAGCTAGGGTGACCCAAGGCCTCATCACCCCCAGGCGGATGTTTCCCACCTTCCAAGTGAAGCTCTTCGGCATGGATCCCATGGCCGACTATATGCTGCTCATGGACTTCGTGCCGGTGGACGATAAGCGCTACCGGTGAGCGAGTGGTTGTAAGCGTGAGGGACCGGGAGGGCACCCTGGAAAGTGGCGGGTCTCCGCCTGGTGACCCAACTCCAAGGGTCGTCTGCACCATGAAACTCTTTAGGCACCTGCGATGCTGCCCGATCAACCCGCTCCCTCCTCCACTCCCATCTGACCCCAGACCCACAACCCTACTCCATGCCCTCTCAGAACCCGCCTCTGGAGCCGCAGGCTGCAGACAGCTCTTGCTCCCCTGGGCTGGTGTGGCCCTAGGGTGGTCAGCCAAGTACTCAGCCCCGGACTTCTTCAAGTCTCCCTCTCCCAGGAGGCCGGCCTGAGCGCCTAGTCCCCTTCCCCCATCCCCAGGGAACTCTGGATCCTGGAGCTGGGCCGGAAAGGTGGGGTGGCCAGGAGAGATTATGCAGGGCGGGCCTCAGCTGCCCGGACAATTAACAGCAATTAATAAAGAGAACGCGCACTGCCCTGTGCCTGAGGCCCGGCAAGGCCAAGTGTGGGCTCCCACCGCAGCGGCACCGGGGCGGGAGGACCCGCATCCAGCGAAATGAGATGGCAGGAGCCCAGCCTCCCCCTCTCGGTGCCCCACAGGGTGTCCAGTTCCTTGATTGTTTTGAGTGTTGGGGTGGGTGGGAGTTCTCTGTTTAGTCCATAGTCCCCCTTGGAAAAGCTCCCAGCACATGCGGCAGCAGAGGGTTCAATCTCACAGGTGGGGAAACTTCTCAAAGGCACTTTTAGGGTTCGCCCAGCACACGGGTCAAGGCCCTCTGGGTTCACCTCCACATGCACGACCCCACCCCGTGCCGCTCCAGGTACGCCTTCCACAGCTCCTCCTGGCTGGTGGCGGGGAAGGCCGACCCTGCCACGCCAGGCCGCGTGCACTACCACCCGGACTCGCCTGCCAAGGGCGCGCAGTGGATGAAGCAAATCGTGTCCTTCGACAAGCTCAAGCTGACCAACAACCTACTGGACGACAACGGCCACGTGAGCGACTGCCTCCCCAGGCTCCGGTGTCCCCCAAGGCCTCGAGTCCCGAGGCACCCGCCTGTCCCTAAGAGGCCTGTAGAATCCCCAGGCCCCCGGCTGTCCCCAGGCGGCTCTGGGCTGTCCCCGAGGAGGCCCTTTAGAGTCCCTGCGAGGCTAGAGGCTGAGGCGGAGCTTGGGCAGTGCTGGTGTGCCGATGAGGAGAGCGGCCTCTGGTCAGGGGTCGCACAGCCTAGTGGGCCTGGGCCCTGGGAGAGGGGTCGCCCTCCTTCTCTCACCCCACTCCTGATTTTATGCAGGAAGCTTTTTTAATGGAAAAGATGGGGCCCTGCAAGGGGGCTGGAGAAAGAGGCTTTATGGAGTCCAGGCCAGTGAGGTCGCTGGGCAGGCACCTAAGGAAAGAGAACCTAAACCCAGATCTTTTGCCACTTGGAGCTCATTCCTGGCAGTTGCCAATGGGTCACAGCCTCCTCTTGGCCCAGTGACCCAGCCTCATCTTGGAATTAAGGGTTTTGCCCAACTCATCCAGGAAACTCATTGCCAACTCAGACCTCAGCCCATTTCCTGGCTCCCACCCCAGATCCTCAGCCCAGCCCCACCGCTGGAGCTGATTCCCCACCTTGTCTTCCAGATTATTCTGAATTCCATGCACAGATACCAGCCCCGCTTCCACGTGGTCTATGTGGACCCACGCAAAGATAGCGAGAAATATGCCGAGGAGAACTTCAAAACCTTTGTGTTCGAGGAGACACGATTCACCGCGGTCACTGCCTACCAGAACCATCGGGTGAGGGCCTGTGGGGAGGACCTGAGCGGATTCAACGCCTCTGGAAAAGCGGGTGTAATTTTCAGTTGCCGTTTGGGGACAGTGGGTCCGCTTAGACCTGCAGGCTGTGGTCCCAGTGGAGCCCAACCCAACTGGAGCCCCACTCCCAAGGGCCTCAGGCAGCCCCCTCCCTCTCGAGGCTGGCCGGCCCAGCCTCCTATCAGCTTGACCTCTCCAGCGGCAACTGTCACTTCGTCCTGAAAGTTTGTTTTCCGAACCATTCCGGAAACTCCCCATCAGGGGCCTGATCTGAGGTTTACCCAGATTACTAGGGAACCCGCTCTGTTCCCCACCCCCCACCCCACTGCACGTGGGGGGTGGTGACCACATTCCTGTCCCAGCGAGGAGCACAGGGCCTCCATCCCCACCCACCTGGGGGACACCAGAGAGGGGTTCCCTAGTGAGAGAGGAGGTTCCTCAGACCCCCGCCCCCCTGCAGGAGGGAGCACCAGCTCCGTAGAGGAGGGGCAGACGTGGACTGGTTCTTGTCAGGGCAGCAGAAAGGCCCTTGGTGCGCTTCTCCTAACACTCCCCTATCCTCCGCCGAGGTCGGGTGGCCCAGGCTGCAGGGCTCCAGCGGCTTGCTCACACCCACCTCCCTGCAGATCACGCAGCTCAAGATTGCCAGCAATCCCTTCGCGAAAGGCTTCCGGGACTGTGACCCTGAGGACTGGTGAGTGTCCTCCCCCGAGAGAGTGAGCGCCGGGCGCCTGGCGCAGGCGCCGCCCTGATCCGCCTCCCGCCCGCAGGCCCCGGAACCACCGGCCCGGCGCACTGCCGCTCATGAGCGCCTTCGCGCGCTCGCGGAACCCCGTGGCTTCCCCGACGCAGCCCAGCGGCACGGAGAAAGGTAGGGCCGGGGTCGTGGGATCCGGGTTCCGGCCCTGTGCGCGCTCTACCCCGGGCCGGCGGCCTCGCCCGACCTCGCCTGCGCCCCCGGGGCGCTCCAGGCTTTCGCGCCGGTTGCACAACGGCCGCGGCGGCGGGCAAGCGCGCACTCGCCCGCCCGGCCCGACGGCTGCGCCCCGCCCGCCGCCGCCGCCGCCCGCAGAGGGGCGCGGGCCCCGGGGAGGGCTCGGGGCGCCGGCGACTTGGGGTCTCGGGCACGCTGGCACCGACTGGTCGGGGAACACCGAGGGCGGCCAAGAGCCTTCTCTCCGCCAGGGCCTCGCATGGGGCGTCGGAGCTCCTCGGCGGCCCCGGCCGGCCGCGCTCACTCCTCGGCCCTCTCCGCAGACGCGGCTGAGGCCCGGCGAGAATTCCAGCGCGACGCGGGCGGGCCAGCAGTGCTCGGGGACCCGGCGCATCCTCCGCAGCTGCTGGCCCGGGTGCTAAGCCCCTCGCTGCCCGGGGCCGGCGGCGCCGGCGGCTTAGTCCCGCTGCCCGGCGCGCCCGGAGGCCGGCCCAGTCCCCCGAACCCCGAGCTGCGCCTGGAGGCGCCCGGCGCATCGGAGCCGCTGCACCACCACCCCTACAAATATCCGGCCGCCGCCTACGACCACTATCTCGGGGCCAAGAGCCGGCCGGCGCCCTACCCGCTGCCCGGCCTGCGTGGCCACGGCTACCACCCGCACGCGCATCCGCACCACCACCACCACCCCGTGAGTCCAGCCGCCGCGGCCGCCGCCGCCGCTGCCGCAGCTGCCGCGGCCGCCAACATGTACTCGTCGGCCGGAGCCGCGCCGCCCGGCTCCTACGACTATTGCCCCAGATAACACGGGCCCTGTCGCGCTCCCGCCCCGGTCCTGCACAGCCCCGAAGTTCGCCGGGCCCGGCCACCCTGCCCCAAGGGCAAGCAAGGAATACGTTCCCCCAGCCCCAGGGGCCACCGCGGCTCTCCCCTTCCCCAGCCTCGAAGCCATGGGGGCCCCCTCGCCACCCCCAGCCCCTTGGGCTATCGAAGTATCCGGTTCCCCAGTCCCTGGAGCCACCGCGGGTCCTTCCCCGGCCCCGAGGGCCAAGGGGGTCCCCGCCCGCCAGTGCCAAAGCGCCCGGTCGGAGGCGGAAGGAAGTGATATTTATTGTTCTCCCCGAGACCGCGTCGCCCGCGGCCCGGCCGGCAGTTGCAGTGTAGACAGCCCGAGAGCCCCGCCTGCAGGCGGTGTAGATACATGTAGATACTGTAGATACTGTAGATACCGCCCCGGCGCCGACTTGATAAACGGTTTCGCCTCTTTTGGAAGCCGCCTGCGTGTCCATTTATTTGTGCCCAGTTAGATCGCGTTGGGAATCTTCGGGACAGCGAGCCCGGGGTAGCTCAGGGCCCTCAGGGCCTCCCCAGCCCCAATCCCTGCCGACTGTAGGTCGGTCCCGGTCCCACAGCGCCCTGTCCGCCACGCCTCCTGCCCTCTGCCCGCCCCATAGGGGCTCCCACTGCCCCTCCCCTCTCCGAGGCCCCTCCTGCCAGGCCTGTGCACTCCCCCCACCTTCCCACCGTCCCGTCTCATCCCAACCTCCCCAGGGCTGGTGGTACCGCCCAGGTGTGCATCCTGCCTTTTTACTTAAATTCCTCCCACCTGCAGTTGTCCCTATTCTGGGACTTGGGCCTGCGCCCTGGCCTGTTTTCGGGACAGATGCTTGTGCTTTTCCATGGAAGCTGGGAAGAAGGGTCATGACAGACACTGCCGGTCGGTGCTGGGAGGGGGAGAAGCCCCTGACCGGGATGGGGTCATGGAAAGACAAAAACAGGCAGCACTGTTCTGCTAGCATTTCCCCTGCCGGCCTAGCCCAGGCCCGCATGTTCCCTCCTTAGTGACTTTATTTGCTGTGAGTGTCCCTACGGAGTGACCTGGCCAGGGGGCACAATGACAGTAGCCATGAGTCATCTTGAGACCTGTGTATGAAGCATTTTTCCCAGGCCAGGTGGCTAAGGGACCTCTCCCCGTTAACTCAACACCAGGGATGGGGCGAGAGGAACTCTTTGATCCCTCCCTTCCTGAGCGCAAGCAGGAAGGGCTGACAGCCGGTCAGCGCCAAGGCTGCTGACTTGGACACAAGATGAACGGGAAGTGCACGTGGCCGAGGCTCTGTCCCCCACCTCCCGTGCCTGTCCCAGTGTGTTTGTGGCAACTGCTGCCTTCTAGGCCACTCGGCTCATCACCCCACGTGGTAGCGGCAGCCTGAGTGCCACCTCTCCGAGGGCACAGCCAGGAGTTTCCAGATGTCCACCCTCGCGGACCTGTTTTTCGTATACATGTTTGCTCTGGCGGCGTGAAGTGAGTGGGGTCTTAGTAATTGAATGGCAGGAACCATTCCCAGAGGCCAGTCTAGGGTGGGAGGGGGTCTCCAGGGGCCATCCAAAGCCTCAAAGGGCATCTAGCACCAGAGAGTGAGGACCTCTGCAGCATCTGCCCAGGCTCCGTGAGCACGGCTTTGGAGATGCATTTGGGGGGACGGCTGTGGATGCCCATTCCCAAGTCCTGATCCCCACCTGCGTGAACTTGGGGCAGCCATTACCCATGTGCCCCACGGTGGGTGGGGCTTTGCACTGCAGAGGGCCTCCCTCTCTTGCTGTCAGAAGGCAGCCATTCCGTACTCCACATCCAGGATGTGCGGAGGGGCTGCCATTCGAGACCTCCGCCTTGGTTTTGTTCAGAGCTAAAGGGAGGAAAAGCCCTCCCCTGAACAAAGAGCAAACACAGTGTTTGTAAATGAGGGTGGGACACACAGCAATGTGCAAGGACCCTGAGTGTGCAGCAAACTGGCCTGTTACCGTGCCCCTCCTGTTGGGATGGCCATGCAAGATGGAGCACCCAGCCGTCCAGCAGGGCCGCCGCTGGCCATCCGGGGCTGTTCGCATTCTTTTTTTTTTTTTTTTTTTTTTTTTGAGACTGAGTCGCGCTCTGTCGCCCAGGCCGGAATGCCGTGGTGCGATCTCGGCTCACTGCAACCTCCGCCTCCTGGGTTCAAGTGATTTCTTTTGCTTCAGCCTCAGAGTAGCTGGGACTACAGGAATGTACCACCATGCCCGGCTAATTTTTGTATTTTTAGTAGAGACGGGGTTTCACCATGTTGGCCAGGCTGGTCTCGAACTCCTGACCTCAGGTGACCCGCCTGCCTTGGTCTTCCAAAATGCTGGGCTTTCAGGCATGAGCCATCACACTCGGCCACACGTCCTAATGAACTAGGATTCATTAAACATTCAGGTCCTCACTGGCCCCATTCCAGGTGCTCCGTGGCTCACAGGCCGCGGGTCACCACACTGCTGCTGTTGCTGCTGAGGGCACTCCCACGCTGGGCAGTGGCCCCCAGAAGTGTGGGTTTCCTCCCCTCCACCTTTGTAGATGAGTTTGTGCATCTGAGAACTTCTTGTAAATGAGAGCTCGCAGGCCGGCGTCTGGGTGGCAGCTTCCGCTGGCTGTGTGTCTGCAAGACTGGCGCACGCCGCTGCTCACCGTCCCTCATGTGCTCAGTCCTCAACCAGTGCCCAGTGATTGCCTGCCCGCTGCGGGGGCTGTCTGGCTGATGCCCCAGCCACTACCGTTCCTGTGGAGGTGACGTTCCCATGGGCAGCTGCCCTAAGGCCTGGCTTCCAGCAGCTTCCTCTGTGACAGCTGTGATCTGAACGTTCACCCCCAAGGTGATGGTGGCAGGAGATGGAGCCTTTAGGCGGTGATTAGGTCACGAGCGTGGAGTCCTCATGAGTGGGATTAGTTGAGTGCTATGCTGCTCACAGACCTCCAGCCTCCAGAACTGGGAGAAATAACTGTCCATTGTTGATAAGCCACCGGGCCTATGGTCATTTGTCCTAGCTGCACTACTGGACTGACAGTGGCCGTTCTTCCATCTCCTTCTTGTTCCCTGTTTTAGGTTCCCCGTTGAGCACACCTGCCCTGCCCCTTCTGTAAGCTGCTGTGATGGGCAGTATGGTGTAGGGGATAGGGGGCTCGTCCCACCGCTGTTCCCCCACAGGCTCCCCCTCAGCTGTTGGACTTCCCCCAAACATCCTCCTCCAGGTTCCCTAGCTGGTCCAGAGGCCCCGTTGCCCTCCCCTAGCCTGGCTGCAGACGTCCAGCTGCCAGGACTCAGGAGGACGAGAGACCAGAAGGGCCCCCAGACTCCTCACTCCCAAAAACTCTCCAAAAACAACAGATGCACAACGCAGGAAATAGATAGATTCTTGACTAAGCGGGGGTGGGGACCATCCACACCCCCTTCACACCACTGCATCCCACGGAAGGGTTCTAGGACCCCAGGGCCTGGGGGTGCAGCTGGACGATCCTGCAGTAGCCCCGCTCCCTGTTTTCAGAAGACCCCCCCACGGCTGCCCTCTGCAGCATGTGCCCCTTTGTCGAAGGGACAATGGGCACTCCATTGCCCAGAGAGGCTTCTCACCCAGGAAAGCACTGGAGGTGCAGAGGCAGGAGCACGCGGGGGCTTGGCTGCGGGACAAGGCGAGTCTGTTTGGTGGCACCTTGAGCTGCGGAGGAAGACAAGACCCTGGCCCGGTGGAGATGAGACCCTGGCCTGGTGGGCTTCAGGCCCCACCCTGCGGCGCACCCTCCAGCTGGGGAAGTCCATGGGGTGTGTGGGATCCATGCGATGACAGTTGTATGAGGCTGAGGCCCTGATCTCCAGGTGTGCCGCAGATCAAAGCACCCGCATACCAGAGAATTCCACGTAGCCACAGTTGCCAAGGGCAGAGGCAGCCTCACCTCTCACTGGTGGAGGGAGAGTGATGGGTGAGGAGCTGCTTCTAGGACGAAAGGGATGGCTCCAGTGTGTCAGGCAGTGCAACCCAACCAGGAGCTGGGCACCAGGGGAGAGCATGTGGCCCGTGTTCCAGAGACTCTGTGTTCCAGAGACTCAGTTTTCCCTTCAGCTGTGGTGCTGACCTCCGCCCTGTGTGGAGAAGCTCTCTGTCAACAGTGGAGGCCTGTGTCAGCCATGGGCACGGGGACGTTCATTCCTGCTTCTCTCCTCCCTGTGGGTTCCAATGAGGCGGTGTGCTCGGGCAGGGTCCACAAGCATCTGCACCATCCTGCCTCTCCTCCTTGCCAAGCTCCTTCACCCCCCGCCCTGAAGGAGCATCCTGCAGAGCCTGGCCAAGGAGCAGGTGGGGGCACGGCCCCCCAGCCTGGCATAGTGGCACCCAAGCCTAGGGAGGGCAGGATGAGACCTTTTTCCTTGGTGCTACCTCACACATTTTCTGGATTTCAAAAAACACAACTGGTGCCTTTGATTCAATTCCCTTTCCTGCTTGTTGTACTACTTCAAACCAGATGGGCTCCTCAGATGAAACTCCGGAGACTCAGTGTCTCTCTTTAACCGCTGCCAGGTCTGTGTGTGGGAAACAGCAGAACCAGAAATATTTTGCTAAAACCAGCCCATGTGGGGGAGAGGCTTAGCTTTTAATAGCAGTAATTAAATTATCTTCTTAATTATAAAGGGTGATGGCATTGTCAACATGCTTTATCTATCAGCTTTCAATTGCACAAAGTAAGCACGTAATCCTCTCCTCCCGGCCCCACTGGCATCCTCTGCTCTGTGGCCAGCCCAGGCCCCCTTCCTGCAGTGCAGACCCCCAGAAGCTTTGGGGTGCATCTCCCCATTTCACCAGTTCTGAGGTGCACAGGGTTTTTTGCCTGCATTTCAACACCTCTGAAGTTGGTGTTCTCTTATTCAAAGTGGGGGGTCTCAGCCTAACTGAAGGATCTTGGCTGCACATGAAACCATGGTGCAGTGGCAGTTGCCAGGGTGCTGCAGTTGAGGCCCATGTCGGTGCGCCCACTGTGGCCTCGGGCAACGCTGGGTGCCAGCATGTTGCTCTGGGTGACTTTCTTGCAGGTGGTGACTCCGGCTTCTGTCTCCAGCCCTTACAGTGGCCCTGTCCTTCCAGGACCTTACTCTTCATTCACATCATTTCTCAGGACACTCCTCCCTGCACATCCCTAGTCTTCCCCATCTCCTCTTCATTCCTCTGTCATTCTAGCTTCAGTTCCTCTCAACAGTTTTTTTGTTTGTTTTTTGAGATAGAGTCTTGCTCTGTCGCCCAGGCTGGAGTGCAGTGGCACAATCTCAGTTCACTGCAACTTCCGCCTCCTGGGTTCAAGCGATTCTCCTGCCTCAGCCTCCCAAGTAACCGGGATTACAGATGTCCGCCACCACGCCCGGCTAATTTTTGTCTTTTTAGTAGACATGGGTTTCACCATGTTGGCCTTTTTTTCTTTTTGAGACAGGGTCTTGCTCTGTTGCCCAGGCTGGAGTGCAGTGGTGTGATCATGGCTCACTGTAGCCTCGAACTCCGGGGCTCAAGCCATCCTCCAGACTCAGCCTCCTGATTAGCTGGGACTACAGGCGTGTGCCACCACACCCTGCTAATATTTTGTAGAGACATATGAGTCTTGCTATGTTGCCCAGGCTGGTCTTGAACTCCTGCCTCTTGAACTCTTGGCCTCAAGTGATCCTTTGGCCTCAGCCTCCCAAATTGCTGGCATTACAAGCGTGAGCCACCGTGCCCAGCCCTCTTCTCAAATAGTTTTTTTTTCCCCTCCGTTTCTGAATTCATCCTTTATCTCAGAATATGTTTTCCGGATTACTCCCCCAAGACAAGCTTTTTTTCTTGTGACATCATCACAGAACGAAGATGGTGACAGCAGCAGGGCCACAAAACAGTCCCCAGTCTACCCAGTTGCTCATGGCTGTGGTTTGGACCTTCAGCCATGAGGCAGTACGTCTTCCCAGGGCAGGGTAGGGACCTTCACCGCGGGGCTGGGTCTCAGGAGCTGCCGGGCGCCCTTCTCCAGCCCGCCTTTGTGATAAGGGACAGAATCGGGGTCACTGGCAGGACACAGGTCCCCTTCCCTGTCGCCTCAGGCTGGTGGGATTCCTGCACCCGAGTGCTGCTGGGGCTGCAGGCGAGGCCTGGGCTACACAGGAAGCCCGGGCACCGCAGAGTGGCCGCTAGCTGGTGGCATTGTTCCTCCACGGATTCAGAGCTTACGAGCACGGGCGTTGAGCTGAGGCAAAATACGGAAACAGCCACTTCCATGCAAATAATCACCCTTCTGATAACAATAAGTCAAGTCTCAAGGGACTAAGAAAAACAAGCAGCTTTATTAAGATGCAGCTGACCGATCTGAAAGCCTGCCTGCTCCGCCACCTCCTGGGAGAGCCTGCAGGGCCCGAGCTCTGGGGACAAGAGCTGCTGCTCAGGCCCCAGAGGAAGGTCTAGGTGGGAAATGGGCCGCCAGGAGGTGGACACCAACACATAGGAGCACATCCCAAGACACCCATCACCCTGTGTGGTGGGTGCTGGAAAGAAACAGCCTAGTTATGAGAGAGACTTGCAACTGGGGGCACCCTAGCACCCCACGGAGGCATTTCCAGGTGGCCCCTCCAGCTTGGCTGTGTGGGCTTCCTTGGAGGACCCTCCCTCCAGGCGGCCAGCCAGAAGGGGCCATCTCCAGGCAGGCACCCCCTTCAGGAGAGCCCATGCCCAGTCACTGCCTGGGAAGCTTACTGCAGGGCTGGCCCCCACCTGCCACTGTCACCTCCTGACCTCCACCTGCTCTCCTGGGTCCTCAGGCCTCACACAGTCCTGTCCTTCTAACAGGTGACTGCAGGATGGAGCCCCAGGCATCTCGGCATCCTGATGCGGTCACTGCCAGGAGGGGAGTGGTCTCAGGGTGGGCCAGACCCCTGGACACCAGCGTGGTCTCCTTCCTGAGCTGCCGAGGGAGATTTGCCTGGCAAAGCCCACCTGGCCCCTCGGCCCTCAGCCGCCGAGTTTCCCTCCTGCAGTGGGAGGTTTCCCACGACTGGAGGGAAGCAGTGGCTATTCCAGTAGTAGCTGTTTCTCATGCACAGGTCTCTTCCCCAGAAAGAATTTGAGCTGCAGGACAGAGATCCTATCACATATATACCCAGAAGGTGATTCAAGGTGAATATTAAAGACTTGGATATCCATTAGGATGATGATGATTTTAAAAAACAAAAACAGAAAACAACACGTGTTGGTGAGGACATGGAGCCCCTGGAAGCCGTCTACACTGCTGGTGGGACTGTAAGATAGTGCAGCTTCTGTGGGGAACAGTGTCATGGGTCCTTGAAAAATTATACAGTTGTTAGGGAGAGTGAAGCAGGAGGACTGCTTGAAGCCAGGAGTTCAAGACCCGCCTGGGCGGGCCTAGGCACCTGTAGTCCCAGCTACTCAGGAGGCTGAGGCAGGAGGATCGCTTGAGCCCAGGAGTTCCAGGCTGCAGTGAGCTACGATCACACCACTCCACGCCAGCCTGAGTGACAGAGCAATATCTTGTCTCTAAAATCAATTAAAATTCTACATAGAACCGTATGTTCCAGGAATTCCACTTCTGGGAAAATACCCAAGAGAATTGAAAGCAGAGTCTCAAAGAGATATTTCTCCACCCATGTTCATAGCAGCATTACTCAAATAGCAAAAGGTGGAGGCGAGCCGAGCGTCCACCGATAAGTGAACGGATCAACAAAATGTGGTGTGTGTGTACCGTGGAGTATTATCCAGCCTTAAAGAGGAAGGGAATTCTGTTACATGCTACAACAGGGATGAACCCTGAGGTCCTTATGCTCCGTGAATTGAGCCGGTCACAAAGGACACATTTTGTACTGTACAATTCCACTTGCATGAGGCACCTCAAGTAGTCAGATTCAAGAAACAGACAGGAGAATGGGGATTGTTAGGGACTGGGGGAGAGGAATGGGGAGTTGGCGTCTAGTGGGGACAGAGGTTCCATTTTGCGTTCATCTGGAGGTGGACGCACAGCATCGGGAATACACAATGCCACTGAATTGTGTACTTCAACATGGTCACAATGGCACATTCTTTATTTTTTGTAGAGACAGGGTGTCACTGTGTTGCCCAGGCTAGCCTCGAACTCGGGTTCAGGCTCTCCTTCCACCTCGGCCTCCCAAAGTGCTGGGATTATAGGTGTGAGCCACCACACCTGGCCAAATTTGTGGGTTTTTTGGTTTTTATGTTTTTGAAACAGAGTTTCTCCCTTGTCACCTAGGCTGGAGTACAGTGGCGCGATCTTGGCTCACTGCAACCTTTACCTCCTGGGTTCAAGCGATTCTCCTGCCTCAGCCTCCCAAGTAGCTGGGATTACAGGCACCTGCCAACACACCCAGCTAATTTTTTCTATTTTTAGTAGAGACGGGGTTTCACCATGTTGGCCAGGCTGGTCTCGAACTCCTGACCTCAGGTGATCCGCCCACCTCAGCCTCCCAAAGTGCTGGGATTACAGGAGTGAGGCGCTGCGCCCAGCCAAAATTTGTGTTTTTAAATGTATGTTTAACAATTTAAAAATCCTAGATCATCCACAGTTTGCAAAAGCCACTGCTATCCATCTTGGATTGACCAATTCCCTACCTGCCTCTAAAGCGGTGGTTTTTTAACAGGAGCAGTCTTGCCCCCTGGGGTGTTTGACAGTGCCTGGGACACTGGGTGGGGGTGCTTCTGGCATCTGGTGGGTGGAGGTGGGGTATGCTTTTCACCTCCTGCAATGCACGCTCGGAACCACAGGTCCGGAGCCATGGGGCTGCTGTGGCGAGGTCTTCCCACATGGCCGCACCCTGTCTGAAGGAGCTAGTGGTGGGGCCCCGAATATTCTGAGGCCAGGAGCTCCCAAGTCCCACCTGGCATGAAGCGGTGCCCCAGGGCCCTCTCCGCACTCCTCCCCCTGCCCAAGTGGGCCCAGACTCCCCAGTGAGGCCGCATGGCCTGGAGTGCTCGCCTGGAGCCTGAGGGGTCTGGCTGCTGTGAGGTGGGCTTCGAGGGTGGCTGCCAGGCTGTGCTGGAGAGGGCTGGGCATCAGAAGGCTGGTGACAGCCTTGCAGGGAGACGGAGGGTTACCGGAGCCATCCCTGGAGGTGGCCCCTCCAAGTGCTCGGGCCCCAGGCAAGTCCCACCGGCTCCCGAGTGGAAGGTGTAAGCCACGTGGGCACAGGTGGGAGGGAGTTCTCACCACCCATGGCTGCTAGTGCCCCTGAAACCACCTGGAAGTCCCAGCGGCTTCCCCAGGGACAGGCAGTGCTGTGGCCCGTGTCCACCCCAGCTCTGGGGCCTGTGCTCGTGGCTCCGTGTCTGCCCGTGGTCTCCCTCTCTCTCAGGGGTGGTTTCTCTGTCCCTACCCAATATGGTGCTCTATAGCTTTCCTTAGGATCCTAGCTCCTCAGGAGGAAGACGTGTGGCCCCTTGCTCCAGGAAGGCCCAGTCCTCCCTCACTGGGGGTGGGAGGGTAAGGCAAAAGTGCCAAAGTGTCCATCCCATGAATGCAAGACACACAGTGCCTGCTCTAGAAGAGCTCATGTTCCAGCAGGGACAGCTAACACCCAGGGGCCTGCACGGGGTGGAGGGCTCTTCAGAGGCAGGATCACCTCGGAGATGGGTGCAGGGGACCTCGGGCCACCCCAGGGCCAGGCCTGCTTGCCCTGCTTAGGAGCTGGGTCTCCCACTCAGGGAGGGAGGGGTCATGTCTCAAGGGCAGCCACTGGGCCTGAAAAGCAGAACCGCATGTGATCAGTCTGGGTGGGCAAGACTTCAAGAGAGCACGCCTACCCTCAAGGGATGGAAGCAGAGGCTGGTAGCCGACGTCCATGCCAGCCACCAACTCAGAGCCAGCACACTACCCGCATGTGCCTCTGCCAATGAGTGGATGAAAAGCAGCGACCTACAGATGCAGGCAACCTGGATGAGTCTTGACTTTATCTCACGGAGGGAAGGAAGCAGGCTCGGGAGGTGCCGTGCCGCGTGGCTCTGTTTATAAGCTGTCTGGGAAAAGGCAAAACCACAGTACAGAACACAGATCAGCCAGTGCAGGCAGGAAGGGCCAGCACACGGGGTGGGAGGAGCTTCCTGGGTAACGCTCAATCCCATACGCTACAGAGGGCGCATGTTATTGAACATTAAGGTTTTTTTAAAAAATTTTAATTTAATATAATTTAATTATTATTATACTGTTTTAGGGTACATGTGCACAACATGCAGGTTTGTTACATATGTATACATGTGCCATGTTGGTGTGCTGCACCTATTAACTCGTCATTTAGCATTAGGTATGTCTCCTAATGCTATCCCTCCCCCTCCCCCTACCCCACAACAGTCCCCGGAGTGTGATGTTCCCCTTCCTGTGTCCGTGTGTTCTCATTGTTCAATTCCCACCTATGAGTGAGAACATGCGGTGTTTGGTTTTTTGTCCTTGCGATAGTTTGCTGAGAATGATGGTTTCCAGTTTCATCCATGTCCCTATGAAGGACATGAGCTCTTCATTTTTTATGGCTGCATAGTATTCCATGGTGTATATGTGCCACATTTTCTTAATCCAGTCTATCGTTGTTGGACATTTGGGTTGGTTCCAAGTCTTTGCTATTGTGAATAGTGCTGCAATAAACATACGTGTGCATGTGTCTTTATAGCAGCATGATTTATAATCCTTTGGGTATATACCCAGTAATGGGGTGGCTGAGTTCTACTCTTATAAAGAGCGTGCTGGCCTTTCCCATGCCTTCTCGTCTGTTTTGACCCATTCTGGGTATCGGTCCTTTTCGTCTCCCCCTCTCCATCCTCTCTCAGCCCCTTTCACTGGGTTTCAGTGTGCTGGGCACAGGTTCAGGGTGTGTTGTTACTCTTAATTTTTTTTTTTTTTTTTTTGAGACAGGGTCTCCCTCTGCCCCCCAGCCTGGAGTGCAGTGGTATGATCATGGCTCACGGCAGCCTTGACCTCCTAGGCTCAAGTGATCCTCTTACCTCAACCTCCCATGTAGCTGGGAACACAGGCACGCACCACCATGCCCGGCTAATTTTTAAGTTTTTTGTGGAGATGGGATTTTGCCATGTTGCTCAGGCTGGTCTCGAACTCCTGAGCTCAAGTGATCCTCTTGCCTTGGCCTCTCAAAGTGCTGGGATTACAGGCGTGAGCCACCACACCCAACCAGGATTTATTACTCTTAACTAGTAAAACAGCACATTCCTGCTCATTTCAAGAGACAGGATCTTGCTCTGTCACCCAGGCTGGAGTGCAGTGGCATCGTGATCAAGGCTCACTGCAGCCTCAACCTCCCAGTCTCAAGCAAACCTTCCTCCTCAGTCTCCCGAACAGCTAGGACTACAGGTGTGTGCCACCACACCTGGCTTTTTTGATGTTGTTGTTGTTGTTAGAGATGGGGGTCTCACTATGTTGCCCAGGCTGGTCACAAACTCCTGAGCTCAAGTGATCCTCCCGCTTTTGCCCTCCAAAGCACTGGGATTATAGGTGTGAGCCACTGCACCTGGCCATTGCTCCTTATTTCTTTTCTTTCTTTCTTTTCTTCTTCTTTTTTTTTTTTGAGACGGAGTTTCGTTCTGGTTGCCCAGGCTGGAGTGCAATGGCGTAGTCTCAGCTCACTGCAAACTCCACCTCCTGGGCTCAAGCAATCCTCCTGCCTCAGCCTCCCAAATAGCTGGGATTACAGGCATGCGCCACCATGCCTGGCTAATTTTTGTATTTTCAGTAGAGACGGGGCTTCACCATGTTGGGCAGGCTGATCTCAAACTCCTGGGCTCAAATGATCCGCCTGCCTCAGCCTCCCAAAGTTCTGGGATTGTAGGCATGAGCCACCGTGTCCAGCCCCTTTGAAACCCCATCTCTACTAAAAATATAAAAGTTAGCTGGACGTGGCGGCAGGTGCCTGTAATCCCAGCTACTTGGGAGGCTGAGGCAGGATAACTGCTTGAACTTGGGAGGTGGAGGTTGCAGTGAGCTGAGATTGCACCACTGCACTCCAGCCTAGGCAACAATAAGACTCCGTCTCAAACAAATAAAATAAATAAAAGTAGGTAAGGGGGAGATCTGGTTCCCTGATCCGACGTCTTTCCTTGGGGTCACTGACTGTGGGAAAGGCCTGTGCTGGGCTGAGGTGGGACCTGGTGTGGCTGTGGAGGCCGTGTCTGTGTCTGTGTCCTGTGGGCGGCTCGGCTCGTTGGGAGATGCAGTCCTGTCCTGCCCTTCCATGCGGTTCAGACACTGGACATTTGTGCAGTCTGATCTGCAAGAAAAGAGAGGCACCTCTGACATGGTACTTCATCCACTCTCATTGGATGGGGTTGTCACCCAGGTGGACATGTCCTGAAGGACAAGGAAGTGAAAGCTGAGACGTCTAGGAACACACCAGAGAGAGAAGTGGAGCTTCTGAGGGATGCAGGTGGCTGTGTGAACCTGGGGCTCCCCTGCCCCGCAGAGTGCCAACCCTTCAATACCCAGGGCCTGGTGGCTGGGAGGACCGCAGGTGACCGTCTTTGTTGAATGCTGAGGCCGGGCCATGGGCACATGGAGTTGTCGTGTTTCCCTTCACTTTGGTTCATGTTTGAAATTTCCAAAATTAAAAAAACAGTGACTTGTTCAGTAAATTCCAATATGAATAAAGTGCATGTTTTGTAATAAATACTTCTCCATAGAGTCACACTCCCAGTTGATAAATCAAAACTTGTTGGATAAAACAAAGTAAATTTCTCCTGACATTTAAACATTGACTGTAAACTCATTATAAACACTTCTAAATATTTAATGGAAACTACAAGCTTAACATATCTGATCCAAAAATGCCTTAAACACCTCAGTACAGACACCCACACACTATGAGGATGATTCCCTCAAACTGGTTCTGAAAGCAGTAGCTGTGCTTTTCTCTATCGCGTTCTTATTCTTTCTCCGACGTGCTCTTAGCACCCTCCTGGGGATTAGCATCCGACCCACATCACTCGGGAAAAGCCCTGGCTGGCGGCTCCCAGGCGGAGGCACCACGGTGAGGCCAAGTGCTGCTGTCCAGTAAGCCTGACTGCCCCCTCAGGCTCTTTCCCTTCACATTTACTTATTTATTTTTTAAATCGACATATAAAATTGACGTATTTATTGTGTAAACTTCTTACCACAAAAATGAGAACTATGTCAGGTGATGTATTTGCTAGTTAGCTAGACTTAAGCAGGCCTTTAGTTTTCAGTTTTTAACATTGAGGGAAAATACACGTAAATCAAATTTACCATCGTAGCCCTTTGTAAGTGTACATTTCAGTGGCATGAAGTCCATCCACATGACTGTGCAGCCATCACCACCAGCCATCTCAGAACTCTTCATCTCAGAAAACTGAAACTCTGTCCCCATTAAACAAGAACTCCTCATTCCCCTCCCCTGGCAGCCAGCATTCTACTCTCTGTCTCTGTGAATCTGACTACTCTAGGCGCCTCATGTAAGTGGAATCACACAGCATTTGTCTTTTTGTGGCTGGCTTAGTTCACTGAGTGTAAGGACCTCAAGGTTCATCCGTGTTCTAGCCTGTGTCGGAACTCCCTGCCTTTATAAGGCTGAACACTATTCTGTTGTATGTCTGTACCACGTTTTGTTGATTCATTCTTCTGTCAATGGACACTTGGGTTGCTCCCACCTGTTGGCTGCTGTGAGTAATGCCGCTATGAACGTGGGTATAGAAATATCTTTGCAGCCCTGCTTTCAGTTCTCTTGGGTATTCTGCCACAAGAGGAACTGCTGGCTCATATGGTAATTCTATGTCCAGGATTTTGAGAAATGACCACACTGTTTTCCATAGCTGCTACTCCATTTTTACATTCCCACCAATAGCGCACAAGGGTTCAGATTTCTCCACACACTTGTTTTCTGTTTTTTTTTTTGTTTTTTTTTTTTGAGATGGAGTCTCGCTCCGTCGCCCAGGCTGGAGTGCAGTGGCGCGATCTCGGCTCACTGCAAGCTCTGCCTCCTGGGTTCATGCCATTCTCCTGCCTCAGCCTCCCGAGTAGCTAGGACTACAGGTGCCCGCCACCACGCCCAGCTAATTTTTTGTAGTTTTAGTAGAGACGGGGTTTTACCATGTTAGCCAGGATGGTCTCGATCTCCTGACCTCGTGATCCACCCGCCTCAGCCTCCCAAAGTGCTGGGATTACAGGCGTGAGCCACTGCACCCGGCCCTGTTTTGTTTTTATTTTTGGTGTACCCATCCTCATGGGTGTAAGGCAGTATCTGTCTCATTATAGTTCTGACTTGCATTTCCCCAGAGGATAGTGATGCTGTGCCTGCTGGCTACTCATACATCTTCTTTGGAGATATGTCTACTTAAGTCATTTGTCTATTTTTTTTTAATTTTTAATTTTTAGAGACAGGGTCTCACTATGTTGCCCAGGCTGGACTCCAGCTCCTGGATTAAGTGATCCTCTTGCCTCAGCCTCTTGAATAACTGGGTACATACCACGGCACCCAGGATGGCCCATTTTTGAATCGGCTTTTTTGTTGTTGTTGAGTTTTAGGAGTTCTCTATATATTGTGGATATTAATCCCTTATCAGATATATGGTTTGTAAAGATTTTCTCTCAGTCTGTGGGCTGCTTTTTTACTCTGTTGATGGTGTCTTTTGATGCATACAACTTTTAAATTTTCATGAAGTCCAGTTTGTCTATTTTTTTCTTTTGTGAAATGTGCCTTTCGTGTCATATCCAAGAATTTATTGCTAAATTCAATGTCATGAAGCTTTTGGCCTATGTTTTCTTCTAAGGGTTTTATGGTTTTAGGTCTTAATTTAGGTCTTTGCTCTATTTTGAGTTTATAGGGTATGAGGTGGGGGATCAAACTGCATTCTTTTGCATTTGTAAATCCAGTTTTCCCAACATCATTTGTTAAAAAGACAGTCTTTTCCCCCATTGAATGGTCACCACATTAAAAATCATTTGGCCAGCCAGGTGCAGTGGCATGTACCTATAGTCCCAGCTACTTGGGAGGCAGAGGTAGGAGAATTGCTTGAGGCCAGGAGTTCAAGACCAGACTGGGCAACGCAGTGAGACCCTGTTTCTAATTGAGAAAAATATCACTGGTTTATTTCTAGGCTGTCTATTCTATTACATTGGTCTTTACATCTGCCTTTATGCCAGTACCACACTGTTTTGATTACTATAGCTTTATAGTAAATTTTGAAACCAGGAAGTATGAATCCTCCAAGTTTATTCATTTTAAGATTGTTTTAGCTATTAAGGGGTCCTTGAGACTCCATATGAATTTCAAAATGGCTTTTTCTATTTCTACAAAAAATGTCATTGGGATTTTTGAAGGGAATGCATTGAATCTGTAGACTGCTTTGGGTAGTATGGATATCTTAACAATGTTAAGTTTTCCAATCCATGAACATGGGATGTATTTCCATTTATTTATGTTTTAATTTCTTTCAGCAGTGTTTTATAGATTTCAGTGTACAAGTCTTTCACCTCCCTAGTTAAGCTAATTCTTAAGTATTTTATTATTTTTAATGCTGAGTCTCTTTTGATAACAAAACCTCTTGTTATGTTGAGGAACTCTTTAGCCCATCTTTTGTATTTGCTTTCAGTTTGTGACACTTTAGCATCTCTTCCTGAGATGAGCGATTCTTTGGGTTTCATGGATGGGAGAGCCCATTGCATTATCCTTTCATTTGGAGATATTGCCTGGTGTGTTGGGACAAGGAAGGACTAACCTTCCTTGTCAGTGTCTTATCACACCCGCAGGGCTGAGTGACAGGGTGGTCCTGGGCAGGCTGCCTGTGGCTGTGCAAGCTGAGTGGGTGCACACTGGACTCTTCCCACCTACTGATGGTGTGTGAGGCTGATGTGCATGGATTCTAGCTCCTTCCCTGTTTCTGGGGCCTCAGCTGTCTGTGTTCACTCTTTCTTGCTACACAAAGAGAAACAAGGACAAGCCTTATTTGATAAAGGCCACAAACACTTTGACCTTCCTCCACCCAGTGTAGGGATCTGTTTCCCCTCTCCTGGACTCCAGGGCTGGTCACAGAAGGCTCTGGGCTCCAACCTGGCTTGCTGGACGTGCTCTTGAAGCCCCCAAGTAAGAAGTCTGAGTCCCTGAGACCACCACACTGCAAGGACACTTGAAGGTACTCAGGTTGGTGGTCCCCGCTGTGCCCAGCCCCTGAATGAAGCCAAGGCTCCAAGCACCTGAGTGAAGAGGCTGTGATGGAAGCGAATCCTCCAGCCCTGGCCATCACCCCGTGGAGTAGACAAACTGCTCAGCCCAGCCTCTCCTAAATTCCCGACCCACGGAGCCCACGTGCCCAGAATGGCTGTTATGCTGCTCTGTTTGAGGTGGTTTATTAATGTAGCAAGAGATAATGGCACCAGGATGAGGCCAAATGACTCGATTTCTCTACACCCCACATTTTACAGGTTTCAGAGCCCAAGTCAGGAGGTCAAGTGTGCATGCAAGAGGTGGCAGGGGACAGATGTGCTGCTGTTCCCAGGCCACCTGCACAGCTGGATGGTGGAAGCAGTTCACTTAAAGGCCATGAGTTACTCGGGAGGCTGAGGCAGGAGGATCACTTGAGCCTATTAGTTGGAGGCTGCAGTAAGCTATGATCATGCCACTGCACTCCAGCCTGGGTGACAGAGTGAGACCCCCACTGTCCCTGGTCTCTTAAAAGAAAAAACAAACAAACAAACCAAAAAACAAAACAGCTTATGAGCACCTCCTACTAATTTCCTCAGCTTAGCACACCCTGTGGCCGTTGTCCCCATCGTCCGTGGCTTCATCCCTCAACTGATGCTTTCCTATGTGGACTTCCCGGCCAGTGCTGTGGGACCTCCCCTGTAGGGCTGGCCAGCCTCATGGGCTGGGCTACCCGTCCCACTCAGCAGTGGCTGCCTGGCCTCCCCTCTGTCCCTCCTGCCCAGCTCCTAATGGGCCTCCCATAAAAGCTGATGCGTGGGAGCCAAGCCACAGCTCGCTGACCTGGGGAAGCTGACAGAGTGACAGAGGGTCTCAAGGACTCTCCACCCACAAGGCGGGAATGGGGATGCTGGCAAATCTGGTATGAAGGTTGAGACCCCGAGGAGAGGCAGGCCTGGGGGACCGTGCAGCAGCTGTGCCCACCTAGGACCACAGGGCTGGTGGGGCTGGCAGCTTGGTAGAGGGCAGGTGCACAGCAAAGTTTTCACCGGTGCCGGCTTGTTGTCTTCCACGCTGGGATTTCACATGAAGTTCTAGCTAATTGAGTATAAGCATTTCTAAAGAACCCCCGGAGGGTTGTTTTTCTTTGTGCAAACACTCCTTTTGTGCAGAGGGTGTTCTGTGGCTTCTTGGCAGAGACACAGGTGGGAAACACCTGATTGAACATCATTGCCTGGGGAGTGGAGACACGCACAGCACGTCAACATGGAGCGCCCAGCAGCGGCGGCGGGTCCTGGGCTGTGCTCCGGAGCCCTTCCCGGGATCATCTCCCGGCATCGGCTGACCCCTCGGTGTCTACGTGCCAAGCCCAATCTGCCTGCAGGGACACCCACTGCCAGAGGCGGAGGCAGGTTCTCCTGGTCCCAGACCCAGGGCCGTCTGTTGGCCTGCAGGTAACACGCAGGGAGGAAGGAAAAGGCTCTAGGCACAGCTGCTTGTCTAAGAGGGACCCTGTTGGCGGCGCAACGCTGGGTGAGTGCTGCCCGCCCGCGGATGGGGTGCTGGCCGAACCTACCTTGTAAAGTGGGGCTGCACAGAGGTCAGCACATGGTGGCGCCCACCGTCGAGAGGGGAGGCCCCTTGGCACTGGAGGCAGGGCCTCACCAGGCAGACGTGCCAGGACCCGCGTCCCTGCACACAGCTGCCCACCGGCCAGTGGAGTGGGACCTGCTGCCCCTCTGACAGCTCCTGGTAATCAGAGGGGCCCACTCCACCTGCACCGGAGGCAGCGGCTGGGGATGCTGGAGCATACGGCTCCAGCCACTCAGGATCCCACTCTGGGCCGTGAAAGTTACTCCACAGAACACCCCAAGGCCACCCCTGCTGGCTGTGAAGACACCACCAGGCGGACAGTGCCCAGGGCTGGGGCTCACAGCCACGAGAATCTGGATTTGAACAGAAAAAGCCCCCAGCCGCGCTGCCACCCTGACGCAGCCTTGTGGGGCCCTGAGCAGAGGACCAGCTACGTTGTGCCCGTGCCTCGACACATGGAAATTCTTCCAATAAGAACAGGATGGTGGGCCGGGCGCAGTGGCTCAGGCCTATAATTCTAGTGCTTTGGGAGGCTAGAGGCGGGAGGATCGATCGCTTGAGCCCAGGAGTTCGAAACCAGCCTGGGCAACATAGCGAGACTCCTTCTCTATAAAAAAAAATAAAAAATTAGCTGGGCATGATGGCCTGCACCTATGTGGGTGGTCCTGAGCTTCTCGGGAGGCTGAGGCAGGAGAATCGCTTGAACCTGGGAATCAGAGGTTGCAGTGAGCCGAGACTGCTCCATTGCACTCCAGCCTGGGGGACAGAGTGAGACTCTGACTCAAAAAAAAAAACACCCCAAAAACACAGGATGGTAGAACACACCTACCTGAGTTGGCACTGAAAATGGCAAGAAATGTCCGCCGTTGTTTCCAAACACCAAGTTCTCTCTGGCTTGAGAGGCCTCACTGCTACCCAAGAGCATTATGGAGGAAGATGTGGAAGGGCTGCCTCTCCCAGTTGGTGGGTTGGCCAGGGGCGTGATGGCAGCGACCAGCCATGCTGCCAGGAGTCGCCTCTCAGGTTCATCCCAGGAGCTGCATGCTGACCTTCGCGTGCTGCCTCCGGGCCACCCCTCCTCCCCACTTAATGCCTTCACTGCTGGCTCTGTTGGCGTTCCTGCCAGCCTACAGGAAGTGGCTGTTTGCTAGGAAGAGAATGCCAATGTTCAGGTGCATCTTTTCCAAGCTGGATGTCTGGAGCTGAGACCGTTTCTTCTTCTGTTGTGGGGGTTTCAAGGCTGGTCAGACGCATGGTGATTCATCACGACCCAGGTTCTGTTGACACAAAGGCCGACCTGTCCAGAGCCACATGGCTCTGCTGTGGACACCACGGAGCAGCTCAAGAGAGGAACAGGACCAGGAGGGCTGCACTGCTCTTGGCCGGCTTGGACCCCAGCACCGGTTCTGCTGCTCTCCCAGGCAGCTCAGCCAGGTGAATGAAAGTCCTGGGCCTGCCCTCCACAGGACGTCTATAAGGCCTCAGAAGCTGGATCTGCCTGGCAAGGGGGGCCCTATCTGCCTAGCCACCCAGATGCGGGCACGTGGCCCCGTTGTGCACTGGAGGGGTGAGGGCTGTGTTAGGCATGCAGGACTCACGCTGTCCCGACTCCATCCCTGCACACTGAGATTCAGAACAAGATGTGCCTGGACACTGCTCAACGCCACATGGCCTGGGGCAGGGAGCTCAAGGCCAGGCTAGGGGGCAGCCGCCTGCCATCCACCCTGCTTGTGCCTTTGACTGAAAGCACGAGGGCCAGGGGCCAACTCAGGGTCTGTACACCCTGCCCACAGCTCTTCATGGCCTCTATGTAAGACATCAGCAGGCAGTGCCACTCGCCAACCTCATGCTGGCATGCACACCTGGGCCCTCATGTGGGATACCCACCTCGTGGCTGTGGGACGTAGGGAGTTTTGTAACTACAGTGATGATGCCAAAGATGACAGGGACATAAACAGGGGAAGGGGTAGAGGCCCAGAACCCTCAGGGTGGGAGCTGAGGCGGGGCAGATGTGCCTTTGGCAAGGCTGTCAAGGGCATGCAGGGAAACTGCAAAGCCAATTCCCACTCCACCTACCCTGCCGCTGTCATGGGGATGTCAGAACCTGACACCTTCCCTCACTGTGACAGCCTGTGATGAGCACCCAGGGCACAGCTCCCTCAGCACCTGCAGTCACTGCAGCCTAAACCCAGGACCCTTCCCCTCCCTGACACCTCAGTGATATGAAAATACCTCCCGGAGTGCCCTACGCATCCTGGCGGCTATAGGACACTCGAGGAAAAGCAGCAGGGCCCCCCTCTCCAAAGGTCCTGGGCACCTGGTGGCCACCCTTGTCCAACGGAGCCAGGCCAGTACCCGAGCCAGGTGGTCTCCAAGCTTGGGCCAGGGGCCGCTTTCCCGGCCAGCACTGACATTCCCGTTTGATGGAACGGTCCCCATGGTACCTCTGACCAACAGAGAAGTGTGGTCACAGGACTCCTCAAGGACTCCGGGCCCCCCAGCAACCATGTTCCTCACAGTGGGGTTGGGGAGGCACGGCCTTGGGACCCCCTGCAGTGGGTGCACAGGTCTCACTGACAAATCCAACACCCCCATCCCCAGGCCTTGGAAGCCCTCCTCGGCTGTACCCCACGGCGGCTGGCCATGTCCACTTCACTCAGTGCAGCCACCCTCAGGCTGTAATCCAGCCCCCACCCCCAGCCCGGCACTGGAGCCTTCCTGGCCCCAAGCTGCAGCGCCCAGTCCAGCCCTCCGTTTGGCAGGTCTGTTCCGGGAACTCCCCTGATCCACCCCTGCTCCGGCCACCTGGATCCCACACCCTTCCGATCCGTCCCACACATGTTCAGATTTCTGCCTGGAAACCTGGAAATGCCATGTGGTCCTGCAGGAGGCTGGTGCCACTCTCAGGGTCACCCTCTGTATCTCATCCTGGGGGTCTGCTGGACTCGAGTCTAGTTCTAGGACTAGAAGCCCAGGTGGGGGTCCCAAGGAGCATCGGCAGGGCCTTGCAGGGCAACTGCCTCAAGGGAGGCCACCCCGGGCCTTCAGCTAGAGGGGCTCTTCCGGCAATCCGGGCAGACACAGGCGTGTGTGGTCCCAGCTTCTCTGGATCTGCCCATGGGCCCCACTCCAATATTCAGGGTCATGGTTCTTTCCCAATCAACACCCGCTTTTAGGAGGAGACGACCGGCCAGGCTGGGCCCGGCTGCATGCAGTGTGAGGCTCTGGCTGCTAAGTCCTGCTCTTGCTGTGTTGTGCCCTGGGGGCCACCCTGTGTGCAGCCGCAGCTGTGACTGTGGCCTTGGCCACTGTGAGGCGGTGCTTGTCACACTCCCTTGCTGCTCTCGTGCCTTCTGCCCAGCACTCACCTGGAGGTGCACCCTGTGCGCCTTCCCCACTGCACCCTCTGCGGGCAGGCGTGCCCTCCCGGATCCCACATCTGGCCTGGCCCTGTGCGCTGCAAGCCCCCCTTGCCGTCCCTCACAGGCACCTTTCTCTGCTTCACTCTTTAGGGAGTTCAGTTACTTCCTGATCCTGATCCTGGCCTCAACCTGTGTGTTGGGAGCTCCTGGCCTCCTCGGGGTGAGGGGTCATGTGGACATCGACGCAGCTATGGTTGGGGCCTATCATCTCCTGAGGCCTGGCCCAGGAAACCCACACTCGGGGTGGCCCATTCAACAGCAGGTGTGAGGGTGGGGCTGAGCATCCTGCCTGGTGGGGGTCTGAGGGCACTGATGCTAAGTGGGGGACCAGGGCCTCCTCAGGGAGCTCCCACCTCAAGCCTGCAACTTGGCAATGGAAATTTATTATAAAATACCCTCAGCTGGCAACACAGCAGGCCCAAGCCAACGTCTCCTGCAGGCCTCGGACGGCCAGGGCTCTGGCTGGCCCCCAGAGTCACCGTCCTGTGATGAGGCACTCCACAAAAGGAAATACCAACCTCATGAAGACAGCGGGGACTCCATGGTCCTTGGGCCATGACTTGCTGGTCCTCAGAGGCCCTTGAGGTTTCAGGCCAAGGCTGGGGCCTGATGCCCACCTCCCTGCCCGCCCTCCTCGTCTCCCGGGAAGGGAGTGGGTGAGTCATGCGCGTGGGTAGAGTGACCAGAGGCTGATCCGCTGATCCTTGGAGCCCGCGGCCAGCAAGCCATCGGCGGTGAAGGCCACGCACTGGACAGCGGCGCTGTGGAAGGCCAGCACGGCCAGTGGCTGCATCGTCCGCCAGTGGAACACGCGGATGCGGTGGTCCCAGCCTGCGGTGGCCAGGATCTTGCGATCTGGCCGGATCGTGACCTCGGCGATCCCGGGATTGGTGAGTTCATGAGTCCCACGCACCTGTGAGAGTTGGGAGAGGTGTTAGGCCACTCCTTAAGCCCACAAGGCAGTGCTGCCCCTGGTGCCCCACCTGCAGCTGGAACCAGGAGAGACGCAGGCCCACAGGCCCGGGATGTGAGGGCCACACGCTCCTACCCAGCTGACCTCCCACTCTTCCTAAGGCCACGATGGGGGACTCCAGCCCTCCCCTCAGAGTGGTCTTCGGCCCTGCCCTGCTGCTCCTCGCACCAGCTCTGACCGACTCCTTCCCCAGTCAGAGAGCAGCAGAGACAGGGAGGTCCCAGCTGCAGGAGAGGGGCTGGGTCCCGGGACCCCTCACCCCAGGGAAGCCACTGCACCCTAGTGCCTAGCGAGAGGCCACGTCCCGGGCTTGATGGCAGCAGAATGCTGGCACTCCTCCCAGAAGAACCTCACAACCACCCCAAAGCTGACGAGGGTGAGAAATACAAACTCCATTTTCAGCAAAACCATGAGGTATGTGAACCCCCAAGCTCGACAGGGCTGGGAGCGCTGCCAAGAGCAAGACCCAGTGGGGGGTTGGCAGGATGAGGGGGGGACAAGGGGGAGACGCCCTGGAGGCGGCAGGAGCCACACAGTGTACCTTGCCTGGTGGGGGCAACGTCCCCGGCTGGGTTCTGAGAGGGGGTAGGGCACTGCACGAGACCCGGAGCCACACAGACAGGTCCTACGTGCACGGGGCCGTCGGGGTGCTGGCCTCTTCCTGGGCCGAGCGTTGGGGCCAGGGGGTGGTGGCATGTGCCTGTAATCCCAACTACTCGGGAGGAGGATCACCTGAGCCCAGTGGATGGAGGCTGCAGTGAGCTGAGATCACTGCCACCGCACTCCTGCCTGGGCGACAGAGTGAGACCCTGTCTCAAAAAAAAAAAAAAAAAAAGATACGCTCTAATAAAATTATTAGACTTCATAGCTAAAAAACCTTTGGTGGCCAGACAAAAAGACCATGTTGATGAGGGTGCTGTTTAGGCCGTCCTCAGAATGCTCCACAGCCACAGGGTGCCAAGGGATGACGGGGTGATGCCTGCAAGGCTGAGGAGGAAGGCGAGGTCCAAGTATTTTATATCCAGCCAAACTGTCGCTCAATTATAAAAACAACAGACCAACATTTCTGAACATGTAAGAACTCAGAGAATCCTGCACCCATAAGCTGTTCTTGAAAGACTAGAAGATTAACTCCAGTCTCGTAAGAGATAACTGGAGAACTGCAGCAAATGGTCTGGCAGGGAGCACTGGACCCACTTGCCTATAGGATCAGCTCTAAGACAATATGGGGATTACGGCTATGGAACCGGTTATTATAACTCACAGAAATATGGGAGGCACTGAGAGAGATGGGATGGTTGTTAAGTTCACTGATTTAGCTCAGCTTTTGTCCTTTGGGGCCAAAGATATAATAGTCAACCTCATCCCCGAGAGATTATCTGAGAACCCCCCACCATAAGTAATGACAAAAATAGCATTATTTCCTTCTCCTCTCCCACCTCACTGTAGGTGCCTATGTTTCCTTGTATAGCTGCATAAAGTAAAAAAAAGATCTAAATATACTCAACAGGCTGAGTGTGGTGGCTCATGCTTGTAATCCCAGCTGCTTGGGAGGCAAAGACAGGAGGATTGCTTGAGGCTGGGAGTTTGAGGCTGTAGTAAGCTAAGATCACACCACTGCACTCCAGCCTGGGCAACAGAGTGAGACCCTGTCTTTAAAAAACATTACAGATTAGCCAGGTGTGGTCGTGTAGTCCCAGCTACTTGGGAGGTTGAGGTTGGAAGATCATTTGAGTCTAGGTTTATGATTGAATTTCAAAGTGAAATCTAAATCTATGCTAGGTACAAGGAGGATGCCAAAGGAACTCTTGGCAAAGATATACTGGGAAAATGCAAATAAGAACAGGGTAATCTGAATAATAGGAACATTTGAATTCAGGGCCAAAGCATTAGGTAAGATTATATAAAAGACTTAACAATGATAAAGAGTACAATTCCCAATGAAGAGCCATATAATCCCAGCACTTTGGGAGGCCAAGGCAGGAGGACTGCCTGAGCCCAGGAGTTCAAGACCAGCCTGGGCAACATATAGAGATACTGTCTTTACAAAAAAAATTTTTTAATTAGCCATGCATGCTGGCATGCACCTGTAGTCCCAGCTTACTGGGAGGCTGAGGTGGAAGGATTGCTTAAGCCCAGGAGTTTGAGGCTGCAGTGAGCTGTGATCACACCATTGTACTCCAGCCTGGGTGACAGAGCAAGACCTTGTGCTCCCCACCCCCCAAAATAACTGTAAATATCTGTTTAGCCAGTAAACTGACATATCATCCATAAAGCAAGAACAATAGGAAAGTGTCTATAATTGAGAAACTGGTACCAGACTAGTCTTCTTGCTGTAAACAACCATAAAAAGTGGACAAAATACACAAGGCAACTGTTTACAGGCAGGGAGCACTAGGCAGAGAAGGGCAGCTGATGAGGTGGGCCTCCCAAATGCCCCCACAGCTCTCTGCCTGGAGACAATGCCATGAGCATGAAGTCCAGGCAGAACATAGTGGTCACATTAAGCTGAGGAGGCAGAGATCATAATCTGCAGTAGCCAGAGGGCTGAAATCCATGGGGCAAGGCAAAGGAACAGAGGGAGCTGAAGATTGTCTGAGGGGGTCCCTATGAGTCTTGTGTGAGGGCTGGACTGCGCATGCTCACGGTGGACTCCACAGGGCTTACCAGAGCTGCACAGTTAAACAGAACAAGTTCAAGAGGTCAACAGTGCCGGGGGTCCAGTCAGCCTGAATGTGAAGACTGTGTGACAGCCTGAGACCAGCTGAGCTACCAGAACGGCTTCACTTCAGGAATAGGATTCTATCTTAGAGTATGGCCTACCCTAGATCTACCAGAACAAAACTAGAAACCAAGCCCTGAAAAGGTCTGCAGGAGAGGCAGAGTTTGGAAGTTGAGGTCCACCCCACTAAACAAGCCTGGGAATGAACTTTCCACAGACCTGCCCTAACAAAGCCAAAAGCCAAGCCTGCACAAGCTCAAGGTGAACAGTCAGTAACTGAACTCCATACCAGAATGAAAGCAAACACTCTTCAGAGCAAAATAACAGAACCCAGAGATTCAGCATGTATCATTTACCATGTCTGGCACACAAACAGCAAATTAGTAGACATGCTAAGAAGCAGGAATATATGACCCATAGTCAAGGGGAAAAAGCAGTTAATAGAAACTGACCCCAAAATGGCAGAGATGTTGAACATATCAGATAAAGACTTTAAAGAAACTCCTTAACTATGTTCAAAAAATGAAAGGAGCTCTCTCCCACCACCCAAGATGCCAAAAGGAAAGAAGGCCAAGGGAAAGAAGGTGGCTCTGGCCCCTGCTGTCATGAAGAAGCAGGAGGCTAAGAAAGTGGTGAATCCCCTGTTTGAGAAAAGGCCTAAGAATTTTGGCATCGGACAGGACATCCAGCCCAAAAGAGACCTCACCCACTTTGTGAAATGGCCCCGCTATATCAGGTTGCAGCGGCAGAGAGCCATCCTCTATAAGCGGCTGAAAGTGCCTCCTGCAATTAACCAGTTCACCTAGGCCCTGGACTGCCAAACAGCTACTCAGCTGCTTAAGCTGGCCCACAAGTACAGACCAGAGACAAAGCAAGAGAAGAAGCAGAGACTGTTGGCCTGGGCTGAGAAGAAAGCTGCTGGCAAACGGGACGTCCCCACCAAGAGACCACCTGTCCTTCGAGCAGGAGTTAACATCGTCACCACCTTGGTGGAGAACAAGAAAGCTCAGCTGGTGGTGATTGCAGACGACGTGGATCCCATCGAGCTGGTTGTCTTCTTGCCTGCCTTGTGTCGTAAAATGGGGGTCCCTTACTGCATTATCAAGGGGAAGGCAAGACTGGGACGTCTAGTCCACAGGAAGACCTGCACCACTGTCACCTTCACATAGGTGAACTCGGAAGACAAAGGCACTTTGGCTAAGCTGATGGAAGCTATCAGGACCAATTACAATGACAGATACGATGAGATCCGCCGTCACTGGGGCGGCAACATCCTGGGTCCTAAGTCTGTGGCTCGTATCGCCAAGCTCGAAAAGGCAAAGGCTAAAGAACTTGCCACTAAACTGGGTTAAATGTACACTGTTGAGTTTTCTGTACATTAAAATAATTAAAATAATACAAATTTTCCTTCAAAAAAAAAATGAAAGGAAAGTGTATTCAAATAATTACCCAAAAAATTGTCTTGAGTGAGCAAATAGGAACTCTTAGCAGAGAAATGGAAATTATAAAAAAGAGTCATAATAGAAAATATAGAACTGGAAAGCTCAATACTGAAATGAAAAATGTATTGAATAGGCTTAACAGTAGATTGGAAATATATATTTTTTAAAGTCAGTGAACTGGAAGACAGATCAACAGACATTGCCCAATCTGAAGAGAGAAAAAACGACTGAACCAAAACAAACAGAGCCTCAGGGGGCCATGGGATGCTATCAAACTGTGTAACTCATAGAAGCCCCAGAAGGAGGAGAAAGTGAAAATGGTCAAGAAGAAACAGTGGCTGGATATTTCCCAATTTTAATGGGAAACACGAATATATAGATGAAAAGCTCAGCAGAACCCAATCAGGACAAGAAGAAAAATCTATCTAGGCACATGATAGTCAAACTACTGAAAACCACAGATAAAAAAAAATCTTGAAAGCAGCCACGGAGCAAGACATATTACATGCATGGGAATGATAGGATATCATGAGTTCTCATCAGAAACAATGTAACAACATCTTTACAGGGCATGAAGAAAAATAAAACTATCATTCCTAAATTCCATAGCCAGGATTCTGTAAAAATGAGGGTGATAAAGACATTTTTTAGATAAACAAAAGCTAGAGAATTTTTTGCCAGCAGAATTGCACTACAAAAAAATGTTAAGAGGATACTTGGGTCTATAGGATGAGCACCAGAAATGGCAAAGGGGTGAGTAAATGTAACATGTTATGTTTTTTATTTCTTGTAAGTTTTTTTTTAAACTGATGATTTAAAGGAAAACTGGCCAGATGCAGTGGCTCATGCCTTTAATCCCAGCATGTGGGATTGCTTGAACCTAGGAGTTCAAGGCCAGCCTGGGCAACATAGTGAGACCCTATCTCTACAAAAACTTATCCAGGCATGGTGATAGGTGCCTGTAGTCCCAACTACTTGGGAGGCTGAGGCAGGGGTTTGAGGGTGCAGTGAGCTGTGATTGCACCACTGCACCCCAGCCTGGGTGACAGAGCAAGACCTTGCCTCAAAGAAAAGGGAAACTAATATTGTAAGGTGCAGTTTTGAATGTGTGTAGACGTCAAGTAGATCACAACAGTCACAGAAAGACTAAAAAGGTGAGTAGAAGGGATTGCACCAGCACAAGGTCATCATGTTTGTGAGGCGGGATGTAAACAACACTGATTCTAAGGAGACTTTGAGAAGGTTGCACACTCTTGGAGTGCAACCACTTAGGAACAAAAGTGGCAAGAGGTCTAGCTAAGAAGCCAAGAGAGGAAACAAAACCGAATACTAAAAAATAAATATTTGATTACCACAAAAGAAGGTAGGAAAGGAGGAAAAGTGGTCAAAAATGGAAGTGACAAGTAGAAAATAAGTATAGAGGTGTTAGACTTAATCCCAGGCATGTCAATAATTACAGTGAATGCAAACAGACTAAATGCACCAGTTAAAAGGCAGAGATTGTCAGAAAGCATCACAAAGCAAGACACATCTGTCTGCTAAAGATGCTTTTCATTGGGAGGCCGAGGCAGACGGATCACGAGGTCAAGAGATCGAGACCATCCTGGACAACATGGTGAAACCCTGTCTCTACTAAAAATACAAAAATTAGCCGGGTGTGGTGGCGTGTGCCTGTAATCCCAGCTACTCGAGAGGCTGAGGCAGGAGAATCACTTGAACCTGGGAGGCGGAGGTTGCAGTGAGCCGAGATCACGCCATTGCACTCCAGCCTGGTGACAGAGTGAGACTCCGTCTCAAAACAATAAAATAAAATAATAAAATAAAATAAAATAAAAGATGCTTTTTAAATATCAAGAGGTCAGGACAGGTTGAAAGTAGAAGCAAGGAGGAAAATGCAAAGGGCAAACCTAAGAAAGTCGATGCTACTGTTTAGTATCAGACAAAGCCAACTTCAAGACAAAGAGCATTAACAAGAGACAAGGGACACTTTGTGCTGAGAAAAAGGCTCTGCACCAAGATGAGGTGACATCTCAGCGCCTATACACCCACACTGAGCCCCAGAGCTTCAAAGCTCATGAAGCAAAACTGGCAGAGACAAAGAAACAGGCACGTTTGCAATCACAGTTAAAGATTTTAAGAGCCTTCTCTGCGTAACTGGTAAAAAAAAAACAAAACTAGACCAAAAGATCGGTAAGGATATTAAAGACTGGAACCACGTCCACTGACCTGGGTCAGGCTGACGGAAGGCTCCACCCCACAACTGCGGAACACACGCTCCTTTCAAGTCCATGTGGTGCACTCCCCGAGACACGCCATGTGCTGGGCCAAAAGCAAGCCTCCATAAATTTCTAAACACTGCAATTGCACTGCGTGCATTCACTGACAACAGAATTAAGCTAGATTAAAGATATAGCTACAAAATCAACGAATATTTGGAAATTAAATAACACACCCCCACCAAGGAACCTACAGATCAAAGAGAAAATCACAATATTCTGAACTGAATTAAAATGAAGACACAGTAAGTCAAAGCCAATGAGACTGAGTCACATGGAAGGTGGCCAGGCTGGGAGCTGAATTCTCAGCAGCCCAGGGAGGTGGCAGGACCTAGACCCATGGCCCAGCAGCTGCTGCTGCTCAGAGAACGGCCCCTCAGCATCCAGGCCCGTGCATCAGAGGCCACCAGCACAGCCACCAAGAGGCCCCTGCCTGAGGAATCCCTAAAGGATGCGCTTTTTGGCTTCCAGAAGGAGGTCTTGAGATGTAAGAACACCCAGGGCAACGCTCACACACGACATGCAATCATCGATGTGAGAACTGGCTCCATAAGAGATGTGTCTACGCCTGGAGGGCCAGGAAGGTTGGAGGTAAAATGATTAAAATGTAAAGGCTATAAAGGGAAGTAGTGACCAAAAGAAACCTGGACTGAGCCATATTAATAGTTGGAAAAATAGGCTTTGGGGCAAATGTCCTTTCTAGAGATGATGAGGGGGAATGAAGAAAAGACCTCATTCACCAGGAAATCACCATTTTAAACTGGCATGTTCCCAGGCCAGCTTCAAAGTGCATAAAGCAAATACAGACAGGCCCCCAGCAAAAGGGAACAGGACAGGCCTCTCTGCGCCTGCTGGGGACCATGGTGACCTGCAGGATGACTTAAAGGGCTAAGAATCAGTGGACACACGGGCCTGGCGCCCACGTGTGCAGCGGGGCATCTGACAACCAGCACTGCCTCCCTGGCACATGTGCAATGCTTATGAAAACTGGACGGCCCCGCATTTCAAAGAACTAATATCATTCAGACCTTGTTCCCAGACCACAATGTTAATTAAGTTAGAAATTGAAAACTAAAAAATAACTGGGGAAAAAAATCAAACATTCAGAACCATAAAAACATTCTAATTAACTCAGCAGCCAGAGAACAAATAAAAATGGGGTCTTTGTGTCAAATGAGGAATATGGGGAAAAAATAATAAAAATGGGGTCTGCCTGGAAGTGGGGGGAGGAAGACAATGTCTTCTTGCACCAGGGAGCCCAGCTGGACAGTCACCTCTGGAAACAGGCTCCATGTGGGGCTGGCAAGGGAAGGCTGAGTGCCGATGGGCTGTGCACCTGACCCCAGGCAGGGCAGCAGATGCAACCCAGGGGACATGGGATGGAGGGAGAGCATGGCAAGGACAGAAACAATGAACAGAAAGATAGAAATGCTCAAGGACAAACGCATACAAGACTGATCAGGAATAAAGCAGGGACGGAGCTTTGAATGCGGCAGAAATTTAAACAATCATCACAAGCAGTCCAAAAAAGGTCACTAGGAATACAACCTTCAGGATTTGTATGCCCACAGACAAATTCCTAGAAAAATTCCCCAAATCAGGAAACCTAAATTAGTCCACAAAGAAAACAACCTGGGCAGAGAAAATAACTGCCCAGTAATGGTGCAGGCGAAGACCAACCTACAGTCACTCACGACCCCCCACCTCCACCGCCCAAATGTGTCCATCCATCGGGAGAAGAGGGAACGCTCCCCACCAGCTCCCTGAGCCTGGGGCTCCTGTCACTAGGCAGGTGGTGGGAGAGGGAGGCCCAGGTCCGTCTGTGGCCCTGGGCAGTTCTGGCCCAGCCCAGCAGAGTGGGCGGAGCACATGTCACACACGGGAGGGGGGGTGGGGGTGCAGGCGGTGATTTCAAGACTTTTCCCTGAGATTCAGGGACAGACTGAGGATTTTAGTTGTTTTAATGTTTAAGAAAACTCCAACAATGCAATGAACAGATTCAAGAAGAAAACCTGTATGAGTTGGAGAGATGCAGTGAGATCATTTAGTGACATCAGGCACCCATTCAAGACCCAGATTCTTTCCCCAGGAGGGGTGGGAGGAGCCTCGCCTGGCGAGGAGATGCCACCAAACAACCCACAGCCAGCGCAGCCCTCACCCTGGCCTGGGATACCACCGCCTGCGCCCCCAACACTGCTCTAGGCTCCTGGCCAGTGAGGTAGGCGCCTTGCCATGCCCTCAGCCACCTCGCCGTCCTACCTCAACACCAGCTTGTCTCTCAAGGCCAAGCCCCTGCAAGCCCATCATCCTGCCCTTTCAAGGCCTCTCCAGGGCCCGGGGCCCCCTGGTTCACGGACTTACCAAGGCCTGCAGCCCTGACCCCTCTCATGGCCCCTCCCCTCCCACCGCGCACTGTAACCAGCACAGTCCCAGCACATCCCAGACGCTCTGCCTGTCCTCTACCTCTCTTGCCTGGCAGACCTTGGCTCTGGGGGTCTCGGCGGTATCCTGCCTGTGCACACACAAGCAGCTGAATGTGCTGCAGCACGACACACAGCCATTGGTTGGCAACCGCAAGCCCAGGCTGGCCTCAGTGTCCAGAGCACCCGGCCTTGGCGCTGCCTCCCCTCCCTCCACACCAGCCCCTACCTCCCCACTTGGCTCCCTGTGACCCGGCTGAGGGGCTGTCAAGGCCAGCACCTGCTGCGCGGGGCCGTCAAGTCCAGCACCTGCTGCGCAGGGCCGTGAGGGGATGCTGGCATGTACCTGTCATGCGTGTGGGGTTCGCCGCCTGTGCTTGCAGACCCAGGAGCCCCTCCCCAGCTCTCAGGGACCAGAACACAGTGGCCCAGGGAAGGAACTGGCGGCTGGGAAGAACAGGAGGCTGATTTGATGCCATCGTCACCCATTTCTCTCCTGTGACCTCTGCCCTAAGTCAGTGGTAGAGAGGGAACAACAGGCCACACGCCATGGGCCTCACTGGAAGCCACTGGGGCCTGCTCAGGGCCCTCTTGACAGGAATTTGCTGGCAGGTCCTTCCCAGGGAGAAAAGAGCTGCCAAATGCCTGGAGCCACAGGCGTGTGGGGAGGTTTCCGTAGAAGTCCTGACCAGGGATCTTCACCTGTGGAGGCTGAGATGCCCAGTTCCTCCTGCCCAGCTCCTGCCCAGCAGCCTGGCTGTGCCTACCCACCAGCCAGGCGGCCACTGCCTGCAGGGACAGGAGCGACCCCACACCCACCTCAGCCATTCTCAGAAAGCAGTGACAGCATCAAGGTAAAGAAAACCAGGTTCAAGGACCAGCTTCCCGCAGGAAATGAGGATGATGCGGGAAGCCTGGTGGGGCCTCCTGGAGAAAGACTAGGGCCTGCTCCAGCCCTGTGTTCCTGAAGAAGAGGAGGACTGGTCCTGGCCCTGCAGTGACAGCAGCCAGGGCCCTGCACTACCGTGCTCCTGATGGCAGATGGAAACATGTCCACGCCCTGCACAAGCCTCTCCTCCTGATGCGATGCACGGGGAGCTGACCCGGGGCCCTTTGGCCTCCCTCCTGGCTGCCCAGCAGCTCTGCTACTGCCCTCTAAAGGGAAGCCTCTGGCAGACAGCGCAGCAGCCACCACTGCTGTGCAGATGGGAGCGCAGCTGGGACACCTGGCCATGTCTTGTGGGAGAGCCACGGTTGGTCCACTTCCCAGACCAGGGCTGCCTGGGGTGGGGGAGCCTCATTATTACTTAAAGCCCTAAGAATATGGCTGGCTGTAAATCAGTCCCCACTTCAAGGCTGTGGGCACTACCCCAAAATGTGGGAGGGAGAGGGCCTGCGTACCACCTGTATCTGATGACAACACAGGCTCTAACTGTGACAGCTCACGGGAAAGCCGCCTCAGCAAGGCAGGCTCAGGGCTCCAGTCACCACTTGACCCCGAGGCACCCTCAGGTGGTATCCTGATGTGGGCAGCCTCCTCGTCACCACCGCGGCCCCTGGCCAAGCCCCAGCCTGGACCTGGGCCTTCCAGGAAGGATCTCTGGCCACCAGTGGCTCTCGTAGCGCATGACCTCAGGTGCCAGGAATGCGTGGTGCGGCGAAGCCACCATCTGGTTCCGATTACCCATGCTCTGCTCCAGGAACCTCATTCGCGTCTCTACTCCCAGCACCCGCCGGGGGGAGACTGATCTGGGCTCATCAGAGGCTTCGGCAGGAGGGTGTGAGGGGGACACAGCCGTGCCCACGTGGCTCTCAGCCAAGGAGTCACAGTGCAGGCGGTGGGTGAGGACACCTGTGGGTGCTGAGGACCTTCGGTCACCTTGCTTGCTCCCGGGTGGCAAGAACGCTCTCAGGCAGCTCACCTCCGAAAGCGCCCCCACAGGCTTTCCCTGAGGCTGGGGCTTTACAGAACCTGCAATCTCCAGGGCCTCTAGGATCAACGTTAAGATGTGACATTGGGCAGAGGGTGGCGCATCAGCCTCTCCGGCTCCCTGTCCCCTGTTCCTGGAGTCGCCTGTCCCCTCCCAGGCCTCCTCCTGGCCCATGCAACACAGGGCTCAGCAGGGGAAACGCCTCTCCTTCGATGTGCACCATGGGCCGATGCCCTGCCCAGCACGCCACAGCCACGCCAACCACTCCCTGTTCCTGGTTCTCCCTTCTGCTCTCACTTTCCAATTCATTAATACCTGGTCCCCCTTTTGCTTTAACTTTTCAATTCATCAATCCGGTCAAGTTCATCTCTGGACTGGAACATGCCCCATAAATTACAGTCCTAAGTTCCAGCAGCTGTTTCCCAAACACACCAGGAGAGACGAGGCAGATCTGGGCCAGGACGGCAGGAGGGCCCCTTCCTGGGGTCCTGGGCACAGAGGTGGAAACTGCAGAGAAGAGCCCTCCGGGGGCTCTCAGGGAAGCTGTCTGGGTCTTCAGCGCTTTGCTGTCAGGCTGGTGAAGGACAAGCCAGTGCCAAGTGAACACTGGACCCCATGGGGGCAGCCCTGCAGGATCCCTGCCAGGCTTGAGGAGGAGGGAGGGAGTGCAAGGGAGACGCCCCTTCCAGACATGCAGACCCAGCACCCAGAGTGGCTCTGCCTCCCAGCGCCCAGAGCAGCTCAGCTTCTAGCTGCTCAGAACGGGCATCATGATGATGACACATCCACCGACCACCCAGGCCTGCTAAGCCTTAGGAGACCCTTCCTCCCGGGGAGACATGAGAAGCTCTGCCGCTTACATCAGGGCCTTGTGCCCCCATCCCCAGGACAGCTGACGGATGGGTGAGGGATGGACACAGCTCTCCTGCAAGTCTACCATGTGCCTGCACAGGTTGGTGATGCCCACAGGGCACTGGGGCCGCTCACAGAACCCTGCCCCTCTGTGTATCCTAGTCTCACCAGGGCATGTCCTTCCGCAGCTCCACCATGTGCTTCAAAGACTCTGGTGGTGCCCACTCAGGGGTGGGCCTGACGGACCCGAGGTGAACCCTCCCCGCCCCACAGGGGCCAGGGCTGGGCAAGCGTGAGGCGCAGCAGGCTTGCTGGGGCTGCGGGCAAGTCTGCCCTGCCTGGGGGGCCCGAGGAATGCCCTCTCTGTGGCCTCCTGTCGTACAGACAGCCTGGACCACAGCCCTACAGAGAAGGGCAGCCCCGGGCCCTGTCCTTGGTGAGGCTGGGAGCTGTTGCTGCTTCTGCCAGTAGTCACCTCACGGGACATGCAGCTCCCCCTGGAGGCCCTTCACCCACTAGACTGGGCAATCTGACCACTCGCTGGCTATGGGTCTCAGGCTTCCAAGACTTCTGGTGAATGGGGGCTCCTTGTCCACCCCCCAGAAGCCAGGATGTACCCAGGCCACACCCAGCACCTCATCTCCCATGGTCTCTGCAGCCCCTGAGACTTGCACCAGAGTGAGACCTGGACAGGAGACTCCCCTTGCCCCCACCAGCCTGACCTGATCCCTCCCATCCCAAACAGGGCCACGTGTAGGCCAGGCCACCCTGGAGCCACAGGCCCAGACAGGGACACCACGGTGCCCCTCGAGCCATGCCAGCTAGGAGAGCCCAGGAGACACCATGGGAAGATCTTCAGCAACCGCCAGGTGGCCCTGAGGCTTCCCAGCCTTCCTGCTGGGCTTTCCTGCTGCCCGTGAGCAATGGCCTCCCTCGGGCCAGCTCCAGACCACCACGGGGGCTGCAGCTCCTCGCAGTTTTCCACACTGGTTTTTTTTTTTTTTTTTTGATTAATCAGTTCCTTACTGACCAAATTCCTCTGAGTTTTCACAAAGGGGTTTGAGTATTCCTGGACTCTGCGTGCCTTTCTCTAGATGGACAAGATGTGACGGCATGAACCCGAGGTCTGGGCGAAACCCAAACCATGTGAATGGTCTGCCAGCGCCCACGCCCCCTTCTTCCTGCGCCAGCCATGGACAGCCCCCCTGCACCCGCCTCCAAGTGATTAATTAGCCAGGGATCTGCAACAACTCCTCTTCATGCCTAAATATTGTTTCAGCCTATCAGACTGTTAGTGCAGAGCAGGATAAATGAGACCCGGGGCCTGGCGCACTGACCTGCAGGGCCTGCTGCCAGTCCAGGCTCCAGACAGCCAGCGCCTTCCCCGCGGAGCCTGAGATGCCCCTGGCCTTCTGGGAGTCAAAGTCAAGGTCCATGACGGGCTCCTCATGGCAGGCGATGCGGCTGCACACCTTCTGCTCAGAGACGTCCCACAGGACCACCGATCCATCCTCATAGCCGGCCAGAAGGAGTGGGCGGGAGCTGCAGTCGGCCTGCGGGGAACAGCAGAGCAGTCAGCTCCTGGAAGGACCCTGACTCCAGTGAGTTTCGGGGGAGAAGGGGCTCTGGAAATTCCTGCCCCTCCTGCTGGCTGGGGCTGTTTCCCATGTCTTCCACGTGGCTGCCACAGCTCAGAAGCTCTGCACCGCCAGTGCCCTCCCACACAGCCCCTGGATGGCTGATGCTGTCAGCATGGGACTGGCACGGCTGCCCTTAGGGCACCCCAAGGACATAGGGGTGGAGGGCAGAGAGCCAAGCCCAAGGCCTCCCACTGCTGTACCACTTCTCACCAGCCCTGCAACCTGCATGTGCCCACCCTGGGTTCTGCCCAAAGGGGTGATGCTGGGCACCCACCAGCCACTGTGAGTGCTGCCGACCCTCTCCACTTCTCCCATGCACAGGGACCTGTCCTCCTGCCTCCTTTCCCCAGGCCTAAGATGTGTGGCCACCACTTACTGGGGCTGGTCACCTGTCTAGAGCCGCCAGCCAGAAGAAACCGTGAGCTCCATCTCCATGAAAAATGAACTCTCTGTGCTTTGTCAAAGTGGCTGCCGAAGCCCCTGCCCCTGAAGCCTGGCGTGAGCCGCCCGAGCTCTTGTGATGAATGAGGGCGCGGGTCAGAGGGCTCCAAGCCCTGGGCAGACACCTCGTTTGTTAAGCCTCTGGAATAATTGCAGGAGGAGAGCACTGCAGGATTCCGCATCACCCTGGGGACACAGCCGTCAGTCCCCGGCACCAAGAATGACAGCCCAGAGAAACCTGGCATGGCTGAGCAAGGAGACCTGAGGGAGCCAGAAGGCACCAGGGCGTGTGCCTAACAAAGGGATGCTGAGTCCTCAGACACCACAAGGACCAGGGCTCGCTGCATCAGAAGGCTGGTGATGGGAACCGGGGTAGCCAGGCCCGGAGCCCGAGGCCAACTGCCCTGACCTGGAGGGGATGGCCATGCCAGGGACAGAAGGACACTCACTGTGCCCTGCAGGATGTGGGCATGTGAACCCGAGGCCAGAGCTGGTCCAGTGGTCCTCATACATGTCCCTGAAAAAGACTTGTAAAACCACTGGGTTCTAATAACAGAGTTCACACAGACAAAACTGAGAAGAGTGAGGCTCCAGGAGGAGGCGAGTGGCGGTCAGTGTGTCTTCTCCCGGGGCACCTCCTCCCAGGCCTCATCCCAAGTCATGCCCCGCTGCCAGAGTCCACATTGTCCCTGGGAGGCAGGGCTGCCCCAGGGCCCCGAGTGTACTCAGCCCCCTGCCCCTCCCTGCAGAAGTCCTGGCCACGCTCCTGCGTGTGCTGTTTTATCCCTGGGAGGAGTTCCATGTTGGCACCTTTCAGATCACCTGCTGGGAAATGAGGCGTGCAGGGACCCACAGTACTTTCCTTCCCAACATGGGCACCATGCCTTCTGCACAGAAGCTCCTTGCAGGCAGCCCTGGCTCCCTAGAAGGGCCTCCCCCTGGTAAGTGGTGCGTCTGAACTCACAGTGGGTGAGGGCCAGGCGAGAGCAGCGGGGAACACTCTGCATCCCAACCAGGAATGCAGGCCAACCCCAGAAGCTGACTCCAAAGACTCTCCTCATTGGACCCACTCCCCTCAGGCAGCGCTCTGTGGTGGCACCTGTTCCCAGCCTGTGCCACCCTCCTCCCCGGCACTTTCCTCCACTGCAGGAGCTGAGACTGCCTGGGGCTGCTCCCATCACCGATGTCCTTCTGGCAGTCTCAGAGCCTAGAGCCTGTGTGAAGCCACTGCCTCTGAATTCAGATGCCATGGCCAACGCAGGGACTGTGTGTGTGACTGACCCGCCTGTCGTGGTGCCACAGGGTGGCTGGAGCAGAAGCCAACCTGGCCTGGAGGGGCTTGCCCTGTGGTTGCCAGCCCCTGCTATGCCCCTGGTCCCTGCAGCCCCCTAGTGACAGATACCACAGGCCGGGCAGTCCTCTTGTGGCTGGAGCACTTCGGTGCCCACAGCCTTGATGCTGCCTGACCTCTGCAGGGGAGAGGATCTGAAGTCTCCTGGACCTGTTCTTCTCTGCCCCCTCCCTGCCCGCAGATGAGACCTGGAGGCCAGGCCTCATTCTGCACCCCTCCCATTGACTGGCACCCCCAGAGGGACACAGCAGGTCAGGGGCTGTGGGAAGCCCTCCATGCACCATACCCCAAGAAGCAGGGCAGGGCTGGCTGGAGTGGCCCCTGCCCTGAGGGCTATGCCAGTGACTGCCTCAGGCTTGACGTAGGTCCTGACCTTTTATATATTAATAGCAATTATTCTTATGTTGCAGGTCAGCTGCTTAGAGGAGCAAAATAAGAATATACTAAAAATTAAAAATTAAAAAATTTTTTAAATAAATAAAAATGTGATTGCCCCCCAAAAAAAGAAAACCCTCAATGTTTCAGAAAAAAAAAAAGCAAGTCAGGCCACTGTGCCACAATTGGATTGATAAATTATAACCTGACCCTCAGGCTTGGGGATGGAAAAGGGAACATGTGGAGTTAATGTCGGCTTTTCTTAGCGGAATGCTTCACGCTGGATCTCCATCACCAACAGAAACACGATTTGTCCTCTGTCAACTACATTAATTACCTTAACAAGTTTGTACATCCCTTTCTACGCATTTTTCTGTTGGAATTTTACATGATTGTGCAATGACCCACGTTTCCCAAGGGGTGGAACAGGAGCCGTGCAGACTCGGACACCCTTCCCCAGGACCTGGATGCCCTGCCCACTGCCTGCGGGGTTGCAGCCTTGGGGGGCGTTTTTCCTCCCAGCGGAGCCCATGTCAAGCCCTTGGAGGAGCCTTGTGTGGGCACATGGAGCCCAGTGACCCAGGCTCTGCTGCAGTCCCTGTGGCCCGGCTGTGAGCCTGCTGGCACCGAGTTTCATCATCTCAGGTGAGCCTCCCGGAAGCCACCCTGCCTCCTGTGAGGGCTTCTCCCCAAATGGCCACAGCCACAGAAGCAGCACTACAGGATCAGTCCACGGGAGACCCCAAATTCCAAGTGAACCTTCTCAGTCAAGAAACCACAGGGGGAAGCTGACTGCAGTAAGGGGCGCCCACTTTCTGGTCACGTGGAGAGAGAGAAAAGCTGGGGGCAGGGACTCTGGGGGTACCCATCCCGGTGGGCCTTGCAGGGCATGCAGATGCCCACAAACTGCACAGGCCCATCCGGTCTCGCTCTCATGAGGAGGTCAAAGAGGCAGCGAGCCAGAGTCACCTCCCGGTAAAGGCCCAGCCCAGGGCAGTTCTCAGAGCCAAACAGAAAAGGAGGGTGCCTGGGCCGGGCGCGGTGGCTCACGCCTGTAATCCCAGCACTTTGGGAGGCCGAAGCGGGCGGATCACGAGGTCAGGAGATGGAGACCATCCTGGCTGAGATGGTGAAACCCCGGCTCTACTAAAAATACAAAAAATTAGCCGGGCGTGGTGGCGGGCGCCTGTAGTCCCAGCTACTCAGGAGGCTGAGGCAGGAGAATGGCGTGAACCCAGGAAGCGGAGCTTGCAGTGAGCAGAGATCGCGCCACTGCACTCCAGCCTGGGTGACAGAGCGAGACTCCATCACAAAAAAAAAATAAATAAATAAAATAGAAAAGGAGGGTGCCTGGCATGACTTAGGGCCTGGGAAGAGTGCTGCTGGTGACCCCTTACCGTGGGCTTCCGAGGCAGCTCAGGGCTGAGGGGCTCTTTGCAAGTGAATGCACGGGATCACTTGCTCTGCAGCCCTGGACATGAGCGGCCCCGAGGAGGGCAGCTACACCTTGAGCCAGTGCTGGCCTGAAGGGTGATGAGGGAGGAGACTGGCCTCGAGGAAGCTGTGCTGCATGGAGGCAGCTGGCCCAGAAGAGTCCCTCCCAGCAACCCCGACCTGTGCCCCGGCTGATGCCTTCCAACCCTGTCTAACCACAAAGAACAGTTGAGAAGGAAGGAAATGTTCATGGATCAGAAATTCCAAATGTGGCCTCAGGGAATGTCATTGTGTTAAGTCCACTCCTGCCTCTAAGAGGCAAAGAAGTAATAAAAATCAATCCTAAGCAAAGCGGGGGCCGTGCAGGCTTGCTGCAGTTAGTCAGCGTGGCCTGCCCTGCCCTAAGCACGGCCCAAGTACTGAGGCGCTGGCAGACCCCACTGTCCCCTCCTCACCGCTCACTGGAGGGCACCACGAGCTGCGGGGTGAGCCCACCGGAGCTTGCAAAGGACGAGGACCTGCTGCCACTGCTGCTGGCTGAAGCCAGGCCTCTCCTGGGGCACTGACAGGAGGCCCCTTGCAGCAGCAGGAAGCAGAGGGCCGTGGGGACACTGAGGCAGCTGCACAGGTTCCCTGCGGCAGGGGGGTGGGGTGTTGCCTGAGTGGCTCGACGATAAATCAGATCCTGAATGGAGCATGACTCATGGCCGTGGGTGTGGCCGGCAGGGCGTGGCTGGTGCACGCGGGGCCTTACCTGCCACAGCCGCAGGCACATGGGCATGCCCAGCTTGGCATCTGCCTTCGGCTTCAGGGCGCACACTGACGTCTTGGAGGGCATCTCCAGAATCTGAACCTGACAGTAAGAAAACAAGTTGATTTGGGCCGTCGCCAAGTCGAGTCTGCGCTATACAAACAAGAGACTCTTAAGGCGATTAGCCCGGGCTGCTGTGAGTTTCTGTCTGCTCCCCTCCCCGTGGGCACCTGGGAGCCCAGGCTCCTAATTAGGCTGCATGGGCCCTTGCAAAACGCTCTCACTGTTCCCAGGTCACCGCCTGGCAGCTGCCCCAGCCTCTCCCGACGTTACCGTGCAGGCTGAGCAGGAGGCTGGTTCACTGGCCCCTGACAGAGCCCACCGATTCTCTCTCCTTCCTGGTGTAGGCTTTACATACGAACCAGTGTGAGTGATCTCAGGCATAGCCATGGTTCTAAGACTCGCCCAGGAGCACCTAGGGATTTGCCACCCACTTGAGAAATGAATGTGATGTGCGTCCTCTGAGGGCAGCTCCGGGAAACCTGGCTCCCCCACCTGGACGCCCCGGTGTCCCCTGTGCATCGAGGCTGCATTCCAGGTCCCCTGAACACAGGCCAGGGCCCCCCTACACCTGGGCTGGGAGATGTGCCATGCCGGCTTGTGGGGTGTAGGCTCGCTGGTCACACATCTCCTGAACAGCCAGGTCAGGGGATGGCCGAGGCCACAAGCAGCAGACTGCCAGGTGGTTCTGCTGGAATCCAGGTCCGCCTGCACCCTCTGCCCTCGCTCTGGGAACTGGGGAGGCTCAGCCAGCACTGAACTTCCCCAGGTACAAGCGAGAGCAGCTCACTGGCCCCTGACAGAGCCCACTGATTCTATCTCCTCTGTCTGCTTCTCCTTCCTGGTGCATGTTTTACATAGGAACCACTTGGAATGAGCTACCGATAACACAGCAATAATATCAATGCACAGCCACCTTGGACAGAGCCTGGCATACATGGGGCATCACCCACTTTACACACAAGGAGTCCAAGCCCCTGAGGCTGGGGGCTCTGAGTAGGCAGAACTCATACCAGTTGGTCCAGCGGTCTCTGGCCCCTCTATTCTCCTGAGCCAGGCAGAGGGATCGTGTCTTAGGGGCCTGTGCCTCTGTGGGTGAGAAGCTTGCTGCCCTCACTAACCCACACAGAATAGGCCCGGGACCCCAAGTCTGAATCCCAGATCTGCCACAGGCATGCTATGGGTGTGCTGAGGTCACCTCCGGGCAGGGCAGAGAGCTGGGCCCACAGCCCGGTCCTTCCAGCTACAGAGACCTGCTGAGGCGCCCACCTCCAGTACGCGGACCAGGGCCACGGCGCTTCTTGTGCAGGCTGCTCTTGCCAGGGGCCCCCACAGCAGCTCAGCCTCTGCCAGCAGGGCTTCTGCTCCACTCAGCACCAGGAGCTTAGCCTCTGACAGCAGGGCTTCTGCTCCACTCAGCACCAGGAGCTCAGCCTCCAACACAGGGCTTCAGCCCCACTCAGCCCCAGGGATGGCTCACAGATCTAGGCCCCACACAAACGCATGCACACACACATGCATGGGTAACATGTACACACCTGCACACACAAATAGAGCCTCCTGCCCATCAAGCCCAGAAACCAGGGGCCTCAGGGGGAGCCAACCATCTGACGAAAGGGGCCCCCGGGGAACAAACAGAGCAACATAATGAAGAGGGCAAAAAAGAACTCAGTAATGGGAGAGGTGATTACAGTCAGGAACCAAGAGGCTCAGTGATGGTGAGACCAGGCCTGCGAGCTCTGGGGAAGGTTGTCAAGCCTGAACTCCAAAGCCGGCCAAAATGGTAAGCAGGAGGGTAAAACAGAGGTCTCTGTGGACACCAAGGATTCCTTGCGGAAAAACCGCTCAAGGAGAAGCTCTAGCCACATGGAAATATAGGAACATTGATGTCCAAAAACCAAGACGAGGTGCCACTGAGCCTGGCACAGAAGAACGTGGAGAACCCAGGAGAAGCTGGGGCGGGCTTAGCCGTTCTTTGTCTTCTGCAAGTAACAGCAACTCCGGGACAGGGTTCCTCCTCTTAGGATCAGCATGGCCACTGAGTGAAGAGCTAGAGGCACCAGGGCGGCCTGCAAGGACCAGAGTTATAGCCCATGTGCCACCTCTGTGATCCCAGCTAAGGGAGCAGTGGCAAGCTGTCATTGGGTGTTGCCACCATTGTCCCTTTGCTGTTTTCAGGAAGGGTCTGTGAGAGCCACCGTCAGGGCTGTGGGGAGGGTCTGGGAGGGTGTAGACCACACTGCCTGGCTCACTCCCCACATTTCCAAATGATACGGGAGAGGGGCAGGGAAGTGCTAGGAAGGGAAGTCACCTGGCAAGGGCTCCACCCCCGGGCCTGTCCCTATAGACCTAGGTGAGGACAGGCACTCCTGCCTTCGCACCCAAATGCTGCATTTCCCAAGACCACCCTGGCTCACCACACCCCCATTCTGTGCCTTTAAAAACCCCCAAGACCATAGCAAGCAGAGACACAAGTGGCTGGACGTTGAGAGGACGTTGAGGGGAGCACGGTGGTGGAAGAGCACACCGACAGAGGCTGGCATGCTGGCAGGCCATCAACCAGCGAGCGGAATGAGGTGGAATCTGGCCGGGCAGTTGGAGGAGAGCCCAGGCCACCCAGCAGCCCAACTCCAGGGGAAAACCATCTCCCTTCTGGCTCCCTCATCTGCTGAGAGCTACTTCCACTCAATAAAACCTTGCACTCATTCTCCAAGCCCATGTGTGATCCAATTCTTCCAGTACACCAAGGCAAGAACCCCAGGATACTGAAAGCCTTCTGTCCTTGCAATAAGGCAAGGGTCTAATTGAGCTGACTAATACAAGCCACCTATGGACAGCTAAACTAAAAGAGCACCCTGTAACACACACTCACTGGGGCTTCAGCTGTAAACATTCACCCCTAGACACTGCTGTGGGGTCAAAGCCTCACAGCCTGCCTGTCTGTATGCTCCCCTAGAAGTTTGAGCAGTGGGACACCGAGGAAGCGAAACACACCTCCATTGCACGCCCCGGGAGGGGATAAGGGAACTTTTCCCATTTCACAACCTGTTTTCCCCATATTAAATTGAGAAGTTTTGTTTTGTTTTAAAGTCAGAGTCTCACTCTGTCACCCAGGCTGGTGCCATCACAGCTCACTGCAGCCTTGAACTCCTGAGCTCAAGTAACCCTCCCACCTCAGCCTCCCCAGTAGCTGGGACTACAGGTGTGCGGCCACCAGGCCCAGCTAACTTTTTGCAGAGATGGAGTCTCACTGTGTTGCCCAGGCTGGTCTCGAACTCCTGGGTTCCTCCTGCTTTGGCCTCCTGAGTAGCTGGGACTATGATTTCCTACTTTTTGCACTCCTCTGTGCCAGATTTCTTAAAATAAGATCTGTTCTTCTTGTCGCTATATCAGGAAGATGGGCTAGTTCCAGCAGTTAATGGGGTGGGGAGGTAGGGGACTTAAGCCAGGGGCAGGAGGAGCCGCCCTGAGCACACCTGTGCCTCTGTGGGGTGGGGAGGGCTGCGGAGGAGGCAGGCACTGGCTACACAGCCTACACGGCCATACACAGTCCCCAACCAAGGAAGGCCTGTCTCAATTTGGGCTCCAAAAGACCCCTCTGGGGACAGTGAGGGGACATCAAGGGCAAAGGACTTGAGCAGGCCAGTGAGGGCAGGGGCAAAAGATGGGGGGAGGAGGGGTGCGGTGAGGGCAGAACCCAGGGCAGCCCTGATGCCCCACTCTGGGCGCTGCAGGAGGGAGCGGGGGTGGCGGCGCCTTGAACCACATCCTGGGTGCAGGGGAGTGGTGAGCCCTGGGCCTGAGCACCAGAGGTACACACCACGTCTACCTGGGCTGGGTCCTCAGCCCGGGGCTGCCCCTGCCTGCGCCTGTACTTGGAGCCTCCTACAGACACCCATGAGCTTTCCGCCTGGCACCTGACTGCAACTTTTGTTTCCAGAAGGAAAAATGTTAGGTTTGGGCAAGTGTGGCCACCCAGCCGGCCGAGTGGGGTGGGAGTGCGGCTCCCTGGGCGTTGTCTGGGTGCAGGCCAGTGAGGCTTTCTCCCGCCCAGTCTGACAGATTCCAGGTGGGAATGTGGAAAGCAACTGTTTTCCCAGGATGTGAGAGGTCCCCAGACAGGCTGCCCCGGGAAAAGACAGATGCTGCCCCACAGGGAGAGCTGAAAGCTAGGAGGAGGGTTAGACAGCCTTGAGCACAGGGGACGTGTGGCAGGGGGCAGCGCAGGCTGACCGAGTGCTGGCTGGCGGCCTGGGGGTGGCCGAGACCAGCGCATGGAGCACAGCAGGCCAAGGGAAGAGCTGACTCAAACTCCTGCAGCATTCCTGTGGGTCTGTAGACCTTGGGTCCCGGGGGAGGAAGCACGCCCCTCTTTCTCACATAAATACAACTTGTAACAGGTTTTTGGCAGATTGGCAAGAAAAGTGTATGTAGCTCCTAATTGGTTATTTAAATGCAATGAACAAATAAATGCCTGTTCCTATCTCATTATTTCTGTACTGGATCTGCCTGAAGACAGAACGACTCTCCTTGGGCAGGGGCCAAGCCCAACTGTGCGTGGGGGCCGTCCTGCCCAGTACCAGCCCCAAAGACTGCCCGGGCACAGCGAATGGGGAGGACTCGGCAGTGGGCATGGACAGTAGCCCCCACGTGTGCGCCCCCTATTCCATGGTATGTCCTCCCCATGCCCCGCCCTCGGGCCACCATGCCCCACTCACCAGGTGGGACAGTCGCCACTCAAAGGCTCTTCTCTGATTTCCCTTCAGCTCCCCCAAGAGCTGAGCCTCCAGCCACACCCTCCTCCACTATGACACCCTCCCCGCACATCTTGGGCACCCCTCCCTTGGCAGACCCTGCCTCCTGTGCCACTGGGGGTGTGGATACCACTGTCCAGCTGGGCCAGTCCTGTGTTACCAACACCTCTGGTCATTCTGGCCTAAGCTCCACCTAACAGTGGCCTCCCTGCTTGGTGATCCCCCCACCCCCTGGGTGTTCCCTAGCTCACCTTTCCCCTGAGGACTGTGATCACCACCTTGTGCCTGCACCCACCCATCCCAGCCCTGGTTGTGTGCCCTGAGATACCACCCTCCCTGCTGCCCTGGGTCAGCCCTCCCCAGGCCTCCAACTTCACCAGGGACTTGGTCTCTCTCCCACCGCCTCCTGCCAGCTGCCCCGGAGCGTTCCTCCCACTTGGGTCTAAGGTCCTCAGGGCCTGAGCAGTCTCTCCCCTGCCGTTCCTGCCGGCCTCGGGCCTCCATGCTTGGCCATCCCACGCCACTGTCCTCCATGTGCAGAACTATGCTGGGTGCCCAGGCCTCCAAAACACCGGCCCCTCCCCCAACGCCTCCTGATTCTCCCACTGCCCTGGGAGGATGGCTCATCAGCAAGGCCACCCCAAGGGGACAGGCCCAGGCCTAGCCGGCTGTGCATCAGCCCCGGCTGCTGAAGCTGCCGGCAGGTGGGCGGCTCCATGGAGTCCTGTGGGTAGGCGCAGGCGCCTCCTAATCAAATGCAGAGGATGAGCACAACTGTTTGGAGAACATGGGGCCTCAGGCAGGCTGGCTCTCACCTCGTCGCTGCCCCTCCCTGGCACGGCAAGCGTCCAGCGTGGCTGGCCCCCGGCCAGGATGCTGCTCCGGCAGAAGCCCACACTCTCCAAGCACACGGAGTCCACGACAGCGCTCCTGCCCTCCGCGAGGTCCCACAGGCACAGCTTCAGGTCCCGGCCCTGACTGCCAGACAAAGAGGAGACAGGCCTGAGACTCCCCTTGACAAGTGTCAGCTCCCATGGCCCCTGCAGCGGAAGGAAGGCAAGGCCATGTTTCCAGAGAGTGGGTGCCGTGAGCTTGGATCATCGCAGGTCGGGAGCCTCAGCTGAGGAAGGGCCTCACCGCTCTGGCATTGACACTTGAGCCAGCACCAAAGTGCCCGAGGCCAGGACATGCAGTGGATCAAGGCTGTGGACTGATGGCTGTCCAGCGTGGCCCCGGGGTGGGGGACACCAACCCTGCAGTGCTGCACAGCACAGAGAGCAAACTTCACTGTGTGCACCCTAAAACCAGCAAACTCCCAGGGTGCCAGGATCCCAGGAAGGACTGCAGACTGTGACAAGGGGGAGAACAGAGGGGAGCCAACCTGAGGCATTTTGGGGTAGTGCTCATGACTAGATGCTTATGAGGTTAAAGACAAAAATAACTGTGCAGAAACTGTTCCAGTGGGTGAATTAGTTTCTCAGAGGGGTGCAGGTTACAGTTCTGAATCCTCTCCACGCGTACACCTGGTAGAACAGATGAGGAAACCAGTGGTGGCTCATGGGCCCGGGGTCTCACCACAGGGAGATGTGACGAAGAGGCACAGGGGAGACATGGGCTGGCGGAGTCGAATTAGAATTGTAAAGTCAATATGAACAACGAGTGTTTGGGCAGATGCACAGACAGAAATGAGTACAGACGGGTGTGTAAGCACAGGTCAGCGGGCACCCAGGCGTCTCCCGGTGCTGTCCACTGAGAACACCTAGAAGCAATGACCACACCTAACCCAAGTCTTGGTTTCTTATGCTGTTCTCCAAAAACAGGAACCAGGGCTCTGGAGAAATGGCTGAGTCTAGGGTGGAGTGGAGGAAAACCAAGAGGAGTCTCAAGCATCCTGTAGTGCCAGGCAGTGAGAAATGCTTCAAAAATAAAATAAGGCTGGGTGCAGTGGCTCAACGCCTGTACTCAGCACTGTGGGAGGCCGAGGCAGGTGGATAACCTGAGAGGTCAGGAGTTCAAGACCAGCCTGGCCAACATGGTGAAACCCCGTCTCTACTAAAAACACAAAAAAATCAGCTGGGTGTGGTGGCACGTGCCTGTAATCCCAGCTACTTGGGAGGCTGAGGCATGAGAATTGTTTGAACCCGGGAGGCAGAGGTTGTGGTGAGCCAAGATTGCACCACTGCACTCCAGCCTGGGTGACAAAGCAAGACTCTGTCTCAATAAATAAATAAAAATAAAATAAAGACTGGGTGCGGTGGCTCACACCTATAATCCCAGCACTTTGGGAGGCCAAGGCAGGAGGATTGCTTGAGCCCAGGAATTCCAGATCAGCCTGGGCAAAATAGTGAGACCCCTGTTTCTACAAAAGACACAAAAATTGGCCAGGCATGGTGGTGCGTGCCTGTAGTCCCGGCTACTCAGGAGGCTTAGGTGGGAGGATTGCTTGAGCCTGGGAGGTGGAAGCTGCAGTGAGCCATGATCGAGTGACTGTGCTCCAGGAGACCCTGTCTCAAAAAATAAAATAAAAATAAAAAAGGATCGGGGATGTCAGAAGGACACGGACTCTGAAGCTGGAACAATCTGAGAAATCAAATAAATCATGGTGGTATTAGATTTTAGCCCAAAGAAAGAAGTAAATCTGCATGAGCCCATCCTCATGAGTGAATGTGTATTATGTATCAGAAAGAAGGAATAAACCTTCCTTCCAGCTTCCTATATTCCAATTAAAGTAGAAATCTGCCATGGCTGGGAGGGATGAGGGAAACGAGAATACCCCAGTAATAACAGGTGCAGGCAGAGTCCACAGATGGATGCTAAAATCAGCGGCAAAAGGGTAAGGGTCTCAACATGTTGCCCAGGCTGGTCTCAAACTCCTCGGCTTAAACGATCCTCCCGTCTCGGCCTCCTGAGTAGCTGTGACTACACTCCCCAGATGTTAGTAATTACTGCAGTGGTTTTAACACAGGGCCACACATCCTTGGCTCTCCTCTCCCCAGGAGGTGAAGCTTCCTTTTCTCTTTGCATGTGGACTGCAGCTAGTAAGCAAAAGCTATACCTTGACAGTGGAGTCAGGCAGACACTTCCTGCCCCAGTGACCAGGGTTGTCCCCGGCAAGCCATGGGCCATCAGGGACCCATGTGTTCAGCATGGACTCCGGGATGACAGGATGAGAAACCTCACTTCTGTGGGTTTCTTCCCAAAACCCATCACCCCAGTCTTAACCTGAGAAAATATCAGACAAACCCAACCTGAGGGGCGTTCTACAAAACATCTGGGCGGTAACTCTTCAAAAGTGTCAGCTAGGTGCAGTGGATCATACCTAGAAGGTGGAGGTGGGAGGACTGCTCGAGCCCAGGAGTTCAAGACCAGTCTGGGTAACATAGTGAGACTCCATCTCTACAAAAAATGTTTTTTAAATTAGTCAAGCTTGGTGGCGTGCACCTGCAGTTCCAGCTACTCAGGGGGCTGAGGTAGGAGAATTGCTTGAGCCTGGGAGATTGAGGCTGCTGTGAGCTGTGATCACACCACTGCACTCCAGCCTTGGTGACAAAGCAAGACCCTGCCTCAAAAAAAAAAAAAAGACCAAAATGTTGAGGTCACGAAAATAAGTGATCACACACCAAAAGGGACTAAGGAGACGTGACAGCTCAGAGGATCCCGGAGCAGAAATGTCACTGGTGGACAAACAGAAGAAATTGAAACAAAGTCTGGGTGCCAGTTATTATCATGCACCATGCTCTGCCAGGAGGGCCGTGCGGTGTGCGGTGTGCAGTTGCGGTTGTGGTGCCCACGCCACAGAGAATTCAGCACCACAAAGGCCGATCTGGGCAACTCGGTCCCGTCCAAATCTCCACTGGGGTTTTGGAGAACCTGCCAAACTGATGTCAAAATGTACCTGGACATTTGGAGCACAAAGACGTGCACAGCCCCCGTGGCTCTGCTAGGCGGCAAGGCTCAACATGACACTGCAGGGAGGCCGAGATGGGGGTGTCCTCAGCATGGGGAGGGGCCAGGGCCAAGGGAGGGGAGGTGTGGCTGCACACCACGCTCATATGGAGGGCACCCATGTAAGCCCTGCGGGGAGTGGAGGACTGACTTGTTTTTCCAGGAACTTTAACATTTTTTTTCTTTGAGACAATATCTTGATTTGTTGCCCAGGGTGGAGTGCAGTGGGGTGATCACAGCTCACTGCAGCCTCAAACTCCTCCCTCAGATGATCCTCCCACTTCAGCCTCCCAAGTAGCTGGGACTACCAGCATGTGCCACCACACCCAGCTAATTTTTGTATTTTTTGTAGAGACGAGATTTCACCATGTTTCCCAGGTTGGTCTCGAACTCTGGGCCCAAGCACACCTCAGCCTCCCTAAGTGCTGGGATTACAGGAGTGAGCCACTGTGCCCAGCTTAACTTTTTATTTTGAATCAGTTTTGAACTCACAGGACAGTTGTGAGAACGGCACGAAGACCCCGTATGCCTCCTGCTGCAGTGGCCTGCTTCTCCCGGCCCCTCCTAGCCCTGTGCACACAGGTGAGCCTCTCACCAAGAACTCCACCTTGTCAACACCGCATCCTGACCAAGGGTGAGCCCCGACAGCCCACAGCCATCCTGGGGCGTCGTGGCCTGTGTGGGGCCTCGCGGGGCCCCGGCTGCCTCTGCCCCCTGCATGGCCCCTTCTCTCTCCCTGTCTCTGCCTCTCTCTCATGTCTTTGCACTCCTTCCTTCCCTGGGGACGAGGCCCAGGCCCATATTCCTCAGATGACACCAGTCGTCACGCTGCGAGGCACACGATGTGACCTGCCCACCATCAGGGGTGTCAACCCTGATCGCCTGGTCAGGACCCATAGTTTTCAAAGGCTCATCATCCCTAATTCTGATCATTTATTTTAGTGCTCAAATTGGCCCAGGCTAATGGGAGTCCCTGCAGGCTGGCTCAGAATCCTCTGACGTGGCCATCTGCGAGATGTCCAGACCTAGAATCTGCCATCTCCCGGGGAACCCTCACTCAGCTTAGGACACACAGGCATTTAGAAGCCAGGACCTGGGTGTCCACCTGCTCACTGCCAGAGTGTGCCCCAGCCACCAGGCCCCTCCGCACACGGGCTAGGGAACACACACATGCCTCACATGCATGCACACAACACACAATCACACACACCACACACCTCATACACACCTCACATACATACACACCACACAGGCACCTCACACATACACAACTTACATACACAAACCTCACACACACAACACACAGGTTCTTTCTCACCTTCCCCCTTCTCGTGTCTGTAACTCTCCTCTCTGGGCAGGGACAACCCTGGCCTCTGTTATCCTGGAGATGTTCACTGACATGCCCAACAAGCGAGCCTGCCACCTGCCCTCACCAACCTCCTGGCCTCCCAGGCTGCCGCTGCCACACCACCCCCCCAACCCTGCTTCTTTGACTGCCTGGCACCCCCTTCCCACCCCATCCAAGGGGCACTGAGGTGGGGGAAGGCGGGACCGCTGGGTACCCACATGGAAACCCAGGGCCTTCACTGCACACCGTAGTGAATTCCAGCTGAACCATGGATCTACAAGGGACAACAGTAAAGTTCCTGGGAGACATGGAGAGAGGTCTCTCGGACCTCGGTGCAGGAACTCCCGGCAAGACACAAAGGCACTCTCCATAAGGGGAAAGCCTGGCAGACTTGAATCAACTCCATTAAAATGAGTAACTTTGTTCATTAAAGACACCATTAGGGGCCAGGCACAGTGGCTCATGCCTGTAATCCCAGCACTTTGGGACGCCAAGGTGGGCAGATTATGAAGTCAGGAGATCATCCTGGCCAACATGGTGAAACCCCATCTCTAGTAAAAATACAAAAATTGGCTGGACGTAACGGCACATGCCTCTTATCCCAGCTACTCGGGAGGCTGAGGCAGGAGAATCACTTGAACCAGGGAGTCGGAGGTTGCAGTGAGCCAAGATCATGCCACTGCACTCCAGCCTGGCAACAGAGCAAGACTTTGTCTCAAAAAAAGAAAAAAAAACGTAAGAAAAAGAAAACAGCGACAGCTGACTGCAGCTACATGCAACACACGGAGCTCACGGAGATAAAGTTGAGTGAGAGAAGTCACACACAGATGCTGCTCCTTATGTCTCCACGCTTCCAAAGAAAAAAGCAGACAAAATAGTCTATGCTTTTCAGAGACATACATTCATAAATATAGCAAAAATGAGGCGTGAGGGGCTACCTCCTGGGGCATGAGGGGCTATCTCCAGGGAGAGCAGGTGGCAGCAGCTCAGGGATTCAGAGGCTCGGGGGCCCTGCGCTCTACTTCTTGACTGGAAGGTGGTTGCTCAGGTGCTCACTCAGCCGTAATACAATGCTCTGAACACTTGTCTTGCACTCTTCTGTGAGTACATTATACTTCACAAGAAAAAAGATTAAAAAACACCCTGCCGAGGTGGCTGTCGAAGGCACAGGTGTGTCCTTGGCATGCGGGAGGCTGAGGGCGTCCTCCCACCTCCCATCAACATGAAAGCCATCACTTCCTTCAAGGGCCACTTGGAGAGACTTGGCTTCCAAACACAGCTGAGCACAGGCCGGGTGGCGGCCCACAGGCTCTAGTACAGTGCAGACGCACCTGGCACTCCACACCTGCAGTTTCTGTCCACAGACCCCCTGACCCGTGGCTGGCTCTGCCTGGGAAGCAGCCACTACAGCACCATCCCAGCAGGAAGGGGAGGTGCCCTCGAACGTCAGCTCCCAGACCGCCCACCAGGCCTGGCACAGCTCCTGTCTGCAGGACAGCCTGATACCACAAGGCACCTACGCAAGGGACCACCAAGGGCTACATTGTGGCTGAAAACTCAGGAGGACACTTACAAACAGCAGCTCCTGATGCACATGGCCTGGTGGGGTTCTAGAAATGAAGTCTACTCTGACAATCAAAGACCAAACCCACTCTGAGGCCCCCTGCACCAGTGGTGAGGGATCTGGGTCGGCTTGGCCAGGATGCAGGCATGACCACACGGGGCTCTGCAAGCACACAGGCTCAGGGCCTCTGCTCTTCAGGACAACCCTGGTGCCTTCGTCACCTGCAGCCATCTCCCAGGTGGTAGGCACCGCGTGAGTCTAGCACAGACATGTTTTGCAGACTGGTGGGGGCCAGACAGGCCTCATTCTCCAGGGACTATACTCCACAGTGCCATGAACCAGGCACCGAGTCCAGAGCAGGAGAACAGGCCTGTCCTTCTGGAGTTCTGGGCTGTGATGGTGATGGCACGGAGTTCCCTGAATATGACGCAAGGCAAATCCCAGGACAGCAGCAGGCCCGTGCTCAGGATTCCTGGGCTGGTGGCAGCGATCCCCACACAGGGGCAGATGTCACTCTGATCAAGGACAATAGCCTGCTCCAGCATCCAGGCAGCCCAAAGGAGGACTTGTTGTCAGCCCCCTGCAGGCCTTCCCTGTCCCACCATGCCCTGTCCCTCCCACTCCCCATGGGAAACAGAGAAGCCCCTCACGCACCTGCCCCTGTCTGCTGCTTCCTGGCCTACCTCCGGCCTGGTGTCTCAGCCCCATCACCTCCACAAGACCACGGGGGCGATGTCAGAACCCAGCCCTGGGCTAACCCTCGGGGGCTGCCCCTCCCTGCTCTGCTGCCAGCTGCCCAGCACCCAGCCCCACTGTCCTTCACCACACTCAGAGGCAGGCCCTCCAGGGCCGCAGCACGTGGGGTCTCCCCCACCAGGACTGCCAGGCCCTCTTATTCCTCCGCCACCTCCTGCTTACCCAGCAGCTGCACCAGCGTGTGAAGCAGGGCCCTGTGAGCTGGGTAACCTCAGGATGAGGCTCTGCCACCCATGCAGGAGGATGGTGCGACAGCCACAGGAGGCCAAGTTGTAGAGGGGCTGTGGTGACTGGGACCTGGGCCCATGGGATAGAGGCAGAAGCTCATCTGAGGAGGGGCCTGGGCTCAATGCGGACCCCTGGCCAGGGCGAGCTCTGCTGAAGGCACAGGCTGACACTGCAATGGGGACACAGCCATCGCCATACGTTCACTAGGCTCTTCCCAGCAGGCACCTGGCCAGACAGCACAGCAGTCACGGAGGGTAGGGTCACACTGTCTCGGGATGGGCTAAGGCCTCATGAACCATGGGGGCACCCAGAAACCTGCCCTTGTGCTAAGCACAGGCTAGAACAGTGGGGTCTGAATACCAATGGGGACAGGCCACCTCTGTGGACCCTTCCTGCTGGGGTACAGTCTGGACAAGTAATCCCCAAGTGATGCGTAGGGTACAGAACACACACGTGAGCTCGGGGCCCTGAGGGAGGAGACTGCAGGGGTAGAAACCACAGGAGACACTGCAGGGGGGACCAGGTGGGGAGATGGCCCTCACTACCACGCCCACTTCAGAAACGCAGAAGCACACTGCTGTGGGACAGCACTATACACCCAAGCCCTGCGCCCCGCCCCTGGCCACTCAGCCACCATCTTGCCAGCCACATAGCCGTATGTGGCACAACATCAGGGGCTGGGTCCTCTTGGGAAGAGTCAGGTGCATTGTCATAACCTAGTGAAGGGACACACACGGCCAGGGCTCAGCTGCCGGAACACCCAGCTCCTAGGGCCTCCACCGGCACCGTGTGTGACCTGCCATGCTCATGGCACACGGCCCAGGCAGGATGGGCAGTGGGCAGGGAGGCCCTCCTTGGGACCACTGCCTGCATCCCTGAGCCTGTACTTCATCCCATTCCCCTCCTCTCAGCAAATGCCCTCACCCCTGCCCAGTTTCCCAAGCCACGACCCAGTGCCCTTGTGAAGGCCCTCCCACCAACTTGCGCCTGGGCTCACCTCAGATGTCACCAGCCCTGGAGCTCTGGCCTCCTCACCTGGCACCTCCTGGCTCCAGCTTGGAGCATGAAGGGTCCAGTGGAGATGGTGGAGATGCAGAGGCAGACCTGCCTGCCTCCCTGTGACAAGGGGCTGGACCTGCACACCCTGCCCTTGCTGCGGACCCTTTGCTGGCCCCTTCTGGTTCCCCCACCCCATTCTGCCCCTCAGTGGGGGACACCAGAGCCTCCATCAGAGAGTTCCTGACTCCCCCGAAGGCCATACCTGGCTCCTGCACCTTGGAGACCCACCTGAGGAGCTGGCGCCCCTGGGGCAGCGTCTGCAGCCAGGTCACACACTGGCCGCCGTGGCCATCCAGGGTGGTAACCGCTCTCCGCGTCTGCAGGCTCCAGATGTGTACCAGGCCACTCTGAGACCTGTTTCAGACAAGCCGAGCAGGGTGTCAGGGGGCAGAAGGGTGTGCTGAATGCTCTGGGGCCAGCCTGGAGGCCACATTGTGGGATGCGGGCATCTAGGCTGGTTGAGCTGAAAAGCCAACAGCTCTAAATATGAACTAAGGGCCAAACTGGCAAAGCACTCCTTGCTCCTCTTCCAGAGAGGGGACCGGGGGACCCTCAGGAGCCTCTAGGGGTAACTCAGGCAGATCTGCTTCTCTGGAGGTAGGGGGAGCCATGCCACAGTAATGCACGCTGGGTGGTCGTGCCTGCTCCTGCGTCTGTAACAAAGAGTGTGTGTGTGTGTCCCTGCCTCCCCCAAGGGACAGTGTGTCTGCTGGTGGGTGCTGAAAGCTCAGCAAGCCTGGGTGGCGAGCAGTCCATGCCCCTTGGCCAGCACCCTCAAACAAGCGCTGGGCTCCTTGCTAGCTCACGACCTCCTGACTTGGCCCTGGGTGGCCTGGGGCTGGGGCCACAGCTACTCACCCTGAGAAGAGGAGCGGGCGCCCCTGAGCCTGGGCTCCTTCGCAGAAGTGCAGCGCATGCACCGGTGACTGGGTGCCTCGGAGGACAAACTGGGGGTCTGGAGGTGGCGGCGGGCAGGGGGCCGTCATGCTGGGCAGGATGCAGTTACCTGGGCACCAAGGGAGGGCGTGTGAGTGACTGCGTCCCTATTCTCACCCTCTAGGAAGGCTGCTCAGGCACAGGGGTGCTTGAGATGTTGCCCCTGCTCATTGTCTCTGGCCCTGTGCCCCTCCTGGGAGAGAGGTGCCACTGCTCCCCAGACACTGATGAACGGCCTGTGGCTACAGAGGCACCAGTTCCCTGCACGGCGGTGAGCCCAGCAGAGAGCACAGAGCTCACCCTTCCCCCACTGCTGGGGGAACTGGGAGCCCCATGGATGCCAGCCCTCCTCGCACCGTGCCTGTTGGCCTCTGCACCTGACTGGTGCACCCGCTTGGGCCCCACCTGAGCCATCCCTGAGTGGGCACAGCGGCATCCAACACTTCCTCGGCCACTCTGGCCTCCAGGGCTTCCTGTCCACCACTGGCTGTGCCCTCTGGCTCCCCAGATCCCAGGGGCCACACCAGTGCTTTCCCACTCTGGCCATCTGCATGCCGGGACTGCCGGTCCTGCCACTGGGCTTGGCTGAGTCCCGCCCTCTGTCCAGGGCTCACTCCAGTGTCTCTCTTGGGAGCCACCCTCCCTCCCTGCTGGCAAATCCAGTCTCCCTTCTTCTCTCCTCCCTGCTGCCACCTCTGCCCATGGCCAGCTCAGGGATCAGGGGAAAAGAGGCACACAGGGTCCCGGGGGGCTGCTAGGAGGAGCCTTCCTCTCACATCTGCTGGGCCCCAGGCCTGCCCCGCCACAATTTCTAACCGCTATCACCACCCTATAAGGCGGCAGCACCCTTTTCACTCTTGGGGAAACCGAGGCAGAGAATAGTCACTGAGCTGCACCAGGCCCCTGGCGCTGAGGCCTGAAGTACTCTAGGGCCTCATGGCACCACTGAAGGGCAGAGTGGCTGGGGCAGAGTCGCCGTGCGGCTCCTTAGGAGAGCTGCGGTCACAGATGAGCAGCTGTTCCCCAGACCACTGGGCCTGTGGGGGAAGACTGCCGGGCCACCACCCACCCAGAGAGGCTTCCCGGGTCCGTGCCGAGCCCTTCCAACCACTCAGACCCACAGGGCCTCGCACTCCACCTCAGCCCCACAGCTGGCTGCTCTGTGGGGTGGCCCTGGAGCCAGAAGCGACCAGCTCCATGTCTGTCTGCCTGCAGACCCTGAGCTGGGCTAAGGGCTCAGAGGGAAAGGCCAGGAGCAGACCACTGGGTGGCTGGGGCAGCCTGTCACAGGGGGCCTTTCCCACTGGGCTCTGGGACAGTGGGGCAGGCCCCGGCCCAGCCACCTGCAGCCTGCACACAAGGCAGGGAGGATGGCCCACGGCAGCCACAGCCAGCAGAGGGACTGGGGCCAGTAAAGGACCAGGGCAGGGGAGATGGGAAGGACTCTTCAGAAGGGGCTGGGTGGTAGGCGGATGGGGGTGCAGGTTCAGAGGCAGGAGTGCTGTGGATGTCTGGAGGCAGCTGTCCAGGGTGCCCCTTCAGCAGCACTGCCACCGCCAAGCCCTGCCTCTCCCCTTCTGAATACACGCCAGCCCTCTCCTTACTCTATTCAGAGCTGGGGCAAAGGTTCAAAACACCTGAGAAATGCCCCTGCCAAGGTGTCCTGCAGAGTGGAGGGTGGACAGCAGCCAGTGCCCAAGCGGGCGGCATGGGGGAGGGCAGGAGGCCTGGGAGGGGCCGGGCAGTGACTCCAGGGCGCAGGTCCACCCTGCCTGGCGAGAGACCTCGGGCAGCCACTCTACCTCCCAACCCTGCCTCTCTCAAGGGGTTCCGAAGACAATGCGGAGTTCCCTGGGATATCCTTTACTAACTGCCAAGTCCCATTTTTCCTTTTCTTTTTTGAGGGGGATGAGAGAGGTTTCGTCCTCTCTCACCTTTGGCTGAAAGCCAACTGATCATGCCCAAACTTAAGGGTGGCTTCCAGGGGAGGCAGAGGGACCAGACCCCACACTGCTCCCAAGACCCACGGCCCCTGCTCCAGCCTGTGATGGGGAAGACTCCAAGACTCCTGAAGACGCAGCCAGGCCGGGGGCTGGAACAGCTGCCCTCAGCGGGCTGGCTTGGAGGACAGTTCTCAGAAGCCACTGCCTGTTTGTGCTATGCCTGCCAGGTAAGAAAGGCAAGCTAGCCAGGGGGACAGGAAGGCAGGGCCCAGCTCCAAGAGGAGCCAAAGAATGCAGACCCGGCAAAAGCACCTCCACCTAGCAGGAAAGCACCGAGTCCAGGATGGAGGGTCCCTCCCATGACTCCAGTCCAGGAAGCAGAGCCTGACAGGTCACCTCTACACAGGCTCCCCTGTGCAGTCCAGGCACGAACACACATTAGACACACGCTATGCTCACACATACACACACATGCACATGGTGCACACAGACACATGCAAAACCCACACATAGGACACATGCCTACACATACATGTTCACACACCCATATGTGCACACACACACATGCACACACACAGGCACACACTCATACCTACATACACATACACACACGCAGACTCAGACACTCAGGCACAGGCACTCACGTATGTGCACACACAGCACAGAGAAGCACACACACAGACAGCACGGCGGCCTTGGGCGGTGCCAGCCGAAGCCCGGCCCCCACATGCCACCTGCCTGGGGCCTGGCGGGAGTTTCCAGAACCTCACCAGCAGAAGGCTCATTCTCAGGTGATGAAATCAAGTTCTCCTCTATTGTTTCCCCAGAACTGCAGGGAACAAACCCGTCACGTTGTTACAACAACCAAAATGCACAGGCCAAAATGATGCATCGGCAATTAAGGGCTCCATCATTTCAAGTAATTAAAATAAATGCTTTATTTGAAAACTAATTAATTCTAGCTACATATTTTTCCCATGACAATATCCTAGGATTGCTTGATTTATGACATCTAATTATTCTTTATTAATCTAATTGAGAATCATCACATTCCCCTATCTTGCCTGGCCCCAGGCTGTGGAGCAAAGGCCGCCCTTGCGCAAGGCCCGTGTGCGCCCAGCTGTCCTTGCGGTGGCCCCGGCCCAGCCCCGGCCCTGTCCTCCCGGAGGCAAAGGAACAGGAAACTTAATCCACAGAGCACAACTTTGGCTTCTGCCTGCTCTTCCAGGTGTCAAAGTGAGCCACATTCTTTGAAAAATGAAAGGCAGTCTGACACAATTTGTGCAACTCTAACAGCCCTTCCAGAGAAGCCACAAACACCCCTGAAAGCCCCAGGGAACAAATGGACGACAACAGCATCTGCCTGCAATGCACCACCGCGGAGGCAGCTCGGCAGGCCCCAGGGCTCTCCCAAGAGGGGTCCAGAGCGCTCCTCTGGGTGTGGGGACCAGCGGGTAGGTGCAACTGGCAGAGAGGTCCACAGACACCCCACTCAAGGGAGGCAGGGGCAGGCCTGCAAATGTCCTGCTGGCGCAAACCCACCCACACCTGCAGGGCCTTCCTCCCTACAGATGAAGCAGGGCTGCGGCAGTGGCTGGAGCCCAAACACCACAGGTCCCTACCCAAGACATTCTTGGGCTCCTGGGGGTTCATGCCAGACAGGCCTCAGCTCAGCCTGGGCCCCCGCCCTGCCCTCGGGCTGCACAGCCCTGTGCTCAGTCCCCTAGCCCTTTTGTGGAAATCAGCAAAGAGTACCACGAAGTGAGCCAACGTGGGGAGCCACCACCCAGAGAGGCCACTGGCACCACCCCTGCCCACCCCAGCCCACCAGGTCCTCCCTGTCCCATTGGGCATGTGACAGCACAAGGACAGGCCGCACAGGCCGCTGGGAGTGCCTCAAACAGGACCCTCTGCCCCACTGCATATCTCACACAAGGGCATGGAACTAGCTCCAGCATCCCCCGAGGAAGCTCCAGCCCATAATCAGCAAGACTGAAGACTAGGTCAGCACCCCTTTACACCAGGACGGACACCCTGGGTGGCCCTCTCCCAAAAAACAACTAAAGATGTTGATAAAAGTTTCTTAGAAGGCCAGGCATGGTGGCTCATGCCTATAATCTCAGCACTTTGGGAGGCCGAGGTGGGAGGATTGCTTGAGCCCAGGAGTTCAAGACCAGCCTGGGCAACATAGGGAGACCTTGCCTTTACAAAAAATAAAAATAAATTAGCCAGGTGTGGTGGTGTATGCCTGTGGTCCCAGCTACTCAGGAGGCTGAGGTGGGAGGATAGCTTGAGCCCAGGAGGTCAAGGCTGCAGTGAGCCATGATCGCGCCACTGCACTCCAGCCTGGGGGACAGAGCAAGACCGCATCTCAAATAAATTAAATAAAATAAATAACTATCTTTAAAAAATTTTTTTAAACACAGCCAGGCACAGTGGCTCAGGCCTGTAATCCCTGCACTTTGGGAGGCCAAGGCAGGAGGATTGCTGGAGTCCAGAAGTTCAAGACCAGCCAGGGCAACATAGTCAGACCCCCATCTCTACAAAAAAAATAAATAAATTAGCTGGGCATGGTGGTGGGTGCCTGTAAGTCCAGCTACTCAGGAGGCTGAGGTGGGAGAATCATTTGAGCCCAAGAGTTCCAGGCTACAGTGAGCCACAATCACACCACGGCACTCCAGCCTGGACAGCAGAACAAGACCCTGTCTCTGAAAAAAATCAAAATCAAAATCAAAATATTAAACGCATCACTAAGTTGACAAAAAAAAGTCTGAGCTGCCAGAGGCCAAACACTAAGTAAAAGTGCAGCCTCGGGAGACCTGCCAAGCCTGCCTTGAGGGCATTTGCTGCACTAGTGACCTGGATTTCCAGCTCTGATGGCCTCTGGGGTGACAAAAGGCAAAGCTTAGGGCCATCCTATGGTGGCTAACCTCCTAGGAGAACCCCAGTAGCTAGATGCTCAGTGTTAGGCTGAGCCAGCACTAAACCTACACCCACGGATGCCAGAAAAACACCAGTCCTCAGGTTTCAGCCCTAACTCACACCACCTTGAGAGATCCCCCACACTTCAGTCTGTCTTCTCAGAAGGAACCCACCTGCAACCCAGGCCTCAAGGAATTCACTTTAGAATAAGTCCTAAGAAGTGCAAGGTTGTAGTCAAAAATCACAAAAGTCAACAAGGCACTGTAATCGAGAGTCATGAGAGGCAACAAAAAACAGAACTAGACCCACAGAGCAGAGCACTCGGGTATATAAGGCAAGGGTGCTTAACGCTCTTAAAGAAACAGAGAGGGAACTGCAACTACAAGTAGAGAGCAAGGGAGATGAAACATCATCACACAGATCCAAAAAAGGATCCAACTTGGTGAGAGGTGGTTGGGAAACAGGAGATGTGTGTTGCGCCAAGGTATTACTCTCCAAACTGTTTACTGATCACAAAAGGAAAATGTGTATCTTCAATGGAGACATCTGGCTGTCACCACTTTCACCACTGAGAAAAGCTAGCACTGCCAATAATGAACAAACTGGCATTGCTTATCTCCTGATGTGATGCCACAGACATGGCACCAACCTTGTGTGTCCCTGCCAACAATGCTCAACCTCAATCCAGCCATAAAGGAAACAATCAGACACATCCAGGTTACGAGACACTGGGCAAGACTACTAGCTTGGACTCATCAAAAAGGTCAGCATCAAGAGAAACAACCAAAGGAAAACGCTGGGTAACTTCCACATTAAGAGACCAAAGGGGCATGATGACCAAACATGACATATAAACCTTAGATCCTGGCTCTTAGATCAGATCCTGGATCAAAAAAAAGGGGGCTATAAGGGACATCTGGGGGATCTTTGTGGGTAATCTGAATATGGACTACAGATAATGGGGTGTTATTAATTTCCTTGGAAGGATAACAGTATTTTATGTAGAAGAATGTCTTTATTCCTACGAGATACATCCGAAAGTATTTAGGGGTGAAATGCTATAATGTCTACAATCTGCTTTCAAATGTTTCAAAAAAAATTCTCTCTTAATCTCTACCTATCTATGTATGAATATATAGGCAGAGAAGTAGTACAAATGTGGCAAAATGCTAACAACTGGTGACCACAGGTGAAGGTGTACAGGTATTTATTTTACTACACTTGCAGCTTTTCTGTAGATTTAAAACCATAAAAGCATGCCAGAGGGGTGGAGAAAGACAAGTCCACACTGGACTCGTATCCAGAATATCTAAAGAACACAGAGGTCAACAGAATACAAAAGCAAACACCGAAAGAAAAATAAGCAAAAGGCTTGGACAGATATTTCACAAGCAACGTAAATGTCCAATAAATATATGCAAAGATGTTTAACCTAATTAATAATCCTGGGAATGCCTGTCAAAACTACAATGTGATATAATTACACTCTCAGCAGATTAGCAAAAAATTAAACAGTCTGTCAAATGTTGATGAAGACAGAGGACAACTGGAACCTTCTACCATGCTAGAAGGAGCGCACACGGAAACGACCACTTTGGAAAACAATCTGACTCCATCTTGCACACCGTATGACTCGGCAACCCTACTCTTAGATAAACACCCTGAAGAAATTCTCACAAGTGTGTACAAAGAAACTCACACAAGAATGTTCCTAGTAGTATTGGGTATAATAACAAAAACCAAAAACAACCCAAATGGCTAGCAACTGCAGAAAGGAACACATTGGGTAAATTCGTACGATAGAATACTCCACAGAACTGAAAATGAATCAACTCCAGTCTTACATGGATGAAGCTCAAAGTCATAATTCTCATCAAGAGACATGAAGGGAGTCAAAACTGAAGACACAGACAGAAATAAAATGTTCACAACACGTATCTGTTCAAGGATTCATTCTCAGAATTTACTCCTTGACTCAGAATATGTCACTCAATAAGAAAAAGAGTGTAACACAAAGTAATTCCAAAACGCTAAAATTAGAGATGGGCAAAAAGGTATATGGGGCAAACAGAAACAATAAGAAAGTAGGGGTTGAAATACTAATAGCAGACAAAGTTGAATTCCAGCCAAAAAGCATTAGACTTGACAAAGACAGATAGTTTTTAATTCTTCATTGCAGTTTACAAAATATAACAGTTTATTGCCAGGTGTGGTGGGCTCACACCTGTAGTCCCAACACTTTGGGAGGCTGAGGTGGAAGGATTACTTGAGGCCAGGAGTTTGAGACCAGCCTGAGCAACATAGTCAGATTCCATCTCTCAAAACAAATAAAAATTCGCTGGGCACAGTTGTATAGTCCCAGCTATTTGGGATGCTGAAGAAGGAGAACTGCTTGAGCCCAGGAGTTTGAGGCTGCAGTGAGCCATGATCACACCACTGCATTAAAGCCTGGGTGACAGAGTGAGACCCTATCTAAAAAAAAAACTATATATATAACAGTTTTTAATATCTATATATAATATATAATTAATCTATGTAACAGTTTTTAATATCTATGCACTATATAACAGAGATACCACCTCTATAGAGCAGAAACGACAGGAGATGCAGAGTCACAGAAAGAAGCCTACTAGTGATTGGAGAATATGACATACTACTCTTTTTCTTTTTTTTTTTTTTGAGACAGAATCTTGCTCTGTCACCCAGGCTGGAGTGCAGTGACGTGGTTTCGGCTCACTGCAACATCTGCCTCTGGGGTTCAAGCAGTTCTTGTGCCTCAGCCTCCCGAGTAGCTGGGACTACAGGCACACGCCACAGTGCCCGGCTAATTTCTGTATTTTTAATAGAGATGGGGTTTCACCCCATTGGCCAGGCTGGTCTTGAACTCCTGACCTCAGGTGATCTGCCCATCTTGGCCTCCCAAAGTGCTGGGATTACAGGCATGAGCCACCGTGCCCGGCCATAACATACTACTCTTAGTACAAGTCAGATCACGTGGACAATAAGTAGGCAGATAGAAGATCCAAAAAATACAACCAACAAGGTAGATACTACAGATCTATAATGGAACTTTACACTCTCATAACAGAGCCTACCTCTTCTTCTCAAGGGTACATGGGACATGTATAAAAATTGACTGTATATTGGGTCACAAAGAAATATCAGTAAGTTTCATAAAGAAGAAATATTTATAAATAAAATTCCATGACCACAGTGCAATTAAATTAGAAATTAATAAAATAAAAAACAAAAAGGTCTTATCAAATAGAAATTTAAAAACAACTTTTAGGTGAAATGGGATAACTGAAACCACAAAAATTTTTTTAAAATGAAAAATACTACGTACCAATTTATGAGATATATTTAAAGCTCTGATCAGAAGAAAAGTATAGACCAATACCAGTTATGACTATCACACAAAAATAGTAAGTAAAATATTAGTAAACAAGACCCAATATCACATTAATATACAGTGATCAAGTGGAATTTATCCTAGAAATGCAAGGTTGGTTCAAATAGGGAATTTATGAAAGCCATATACTGTATTAATAGATATAATGAGAAAAAGCATGTAATTATCTCCACAGATGCTGAAAAAGCCTTTGACAATATTCAATGCCCATTTTTTATTAAAATACGTAAACAAACAGACATTGATGCATTTCTTAGAGGTTAAATATATATATATATATACATCCCCCTTGGTCCTAAATCCAACATATTATTTTATGAAGAAATATTGGGGACATTCCCACTAAGATCAGAATGCCTGCTATCTCTACTACCATTCGACATTGTAGTGGCAGTATAAGCCAAGGCAATTAGTCAAGAAAAATTAAGTAGAGGTTTATAATTGGAAAAGAAGACATTAAACTATCTTCCTGTTGAGTATAGTGGTACACGCCTGTAGTCCCAGCTACTTGGGAGGCTGAGGCAGGAGGATTGCTTGAGCTCAGGAGTTTGAGGCTACAGTGTACTATGATCACACCTGTGACTAGCCATTGCACTCCAGCCTCGGCAACACAGCAAGACCCCATCTCTAGAAAAAGAAAACAAAACCATATTCCAGATTATACGATGGTATACATGGAAAGCCATAGAAAATCAATGATAAAACAGATTCAAATAATAAAAAAAAAACTTCAACTGGTAGCAGGATGTAAAACTAACATAGAGAATTCAATAGTCTCTATGTTATTTGTATACAATAACAATAAAGAGCACATATTACTTGTACAAAAATAATAACCAGTTAGAGAAAATTCCATTTATACCAAAGAAGATAAAATACTTAAGAATAACTTTAATAAATAAATATGAAAAACCTACATGAAGAAAATGTTAAAATTCTCTTGGAAGACACAAAAGTAGATTTGAACAAAGGAAAAAGGATCCTTTGTTCTTGGTTAAGACAATTCAACATCAACATAAAGATGTCTCTTCTCCCCAAATTAATTTATAAATTTAACACAACCCCAACGGAAACACCAGCAAGCTTCTTTATGGAGTTAGAGAAGTTGATATTAACACTCACTTGGATAAACAAAAATGTAGCATGCACAGAAAAACATGGGGAAAAATTAGCTGCAAAGGAGCTAGCCCTATCAGATACTAACAGGTACTCAAGTCTTTAGGATTAAAAGTATAGTACTCCTGTATAGACAGATGGATCAGTGAAATAGAAAGCCTAGAAATAAACCCAAGTACGTGTGGAAGTTTAATACATAAAAGAGGTGGTATCTCACATCACTGGAACAAAAATGGTTAACCATATAAAATCAGATCCATATCTTACAGTGAAATACACGAGCATAAACTCCAAGTGGATCTGGGATCCATATGTAAAAAATAAACCAAGCACTAGAAGAAAACATGGAAGAACTGCATTATTAACATGGTTGTGGAAAAGGTTTGTCATGACTCAAAATTTAGATACAACGCCTGTAATCCCAGCACTTTGGGAGGCCGAGACTTGAGGTCAGGAGTTCAAAACCAGCCTGGCCAACATGGTAAAACCCCATCTCTACTAAAAATACAAAATTATCTGGGCGCGGTGGCAAGCACCTGTAATCTTTGTACAGCTACTCGGGAGGCTGAGGCAGGAGAAATGCTTTAACCCAGGAGGCGAAAGTTGCAGTGGGCCCAGATCATGCCATTGCACTCCAGTCTGGGTGAGAAAGTAAGACTCTATCTAAAAAAAAAAAAAAACAATAAAATAAAATGGATAATTCTGACTATAGAAAAATAAAAATTTTTCATGCCTGTAATCCCAGCACTTTGGGAGGCTGAGGCGGGAGGATCACAAGGTCAGGAGATCGAGATCACCCTGACTAACACGGTGAAACCCCATCTCTACTAAAAATACAAAAAATTAGCTGGGTGTGGTGGCAGGTGCCTGTAGTCCCAGTTACTTGGGAGGCTGAGGTAGGAGAATGGCGTGAACCCGGGAGGCGGAGCTTGTAGTGAGCCAAGATCACACCACTGCACTCCAGCCTGGGCGACAGAGTGAGACTCTGCCTCAAAAAAAAAAATAAAAGAAATAAAAAGAAAGACAAAAATTTTAGCATTTGCATGTCAAAAGAAATTTAAAAATTAATATCTTTAAAATATAAATAAACTTTTCAATATTAAGGAAAGCCTAAAAACTCAATAGAAAAATGGGAAAAAGAGATGAATAGACAATTCAGAAAAAGCTATGAAAATGCCCATTAAACACATGAAAAGATGTTCAACCAAAAGCTTACTCATAGAAAAATGTAAATTAAAACTACAGAAAAGCTTCTTGTTCTGGCAGGATGAAGTAAGCTCATTACAGCCTCTCTCTCAGGCTGACTGCAACTCAAAACTCTGGACAAAATATAAAAAGCAACTACCTAAGGCTGGGCACAGTGGCTAACATCATTAATCCCAGCACTTTGGGAGGCTGAGGTGGGAGGATCACTTGAGGCCAGGAGTTCAAGACCAGCCTGGGCAACATAGTCAGACCCTGTCTTTACGAAAAATAAAAAATATTAGCTGGGCTGATAGCGTGTGCTTGCAGGCCTAGTTACTTGGGAGGCTGAGGTGGGAGGATCACTTAAGCCCAGGAGTTCAAGGCTGCAGCGAGCTGTGATTGTGCCACTGCACTCCTCTCTGGGCAACAGAGCAAGATTCTATCCCACCCCCCAAAAAATCCCAAAAAACAATTCTCTGAAAACAGAAAAGTGGGCAACAGCAGCCAGCCGGGTTTTGGAGGAAAGCAAAGCTTAGGACAGTGACCTACACAGAGACATGTTTCCTAGGTTATTCGTATGTGTGTTTTGGGGTGCTGCCCTACAGTTGGCCCTGGTTGCAGAGCTACCAGGCAGCAGTGGCTAAAACTTGGATAAAACTCCAAATTTCTAGATAGAGATACAGAGAAAAAGGTGCGCTACGGCCCCAAGAATGTGAGGGGAAACCCTGAAGGTTTACTGTCCCCCTCTCTCACGGTGCTGCCCCAGGGATGGCCCTGCACACAGAGCCCAGGGGAAAGTGACTGAGAGAGAAGCTTGTCTTTCTGATCAGGGGAACCAAGGAAAGGGAACCCTGCAAGATGGCAAGGGGGGAAACTACAGAGTGGGGAGAGCTAAAAAAAGTTCCCCAATTCTGTGAATAAATACACAGAAGCCTCAAGCTCACCCCTGAGCTGTGTATACACAGGGCAGACCCAAAGCAGCACCAGCTGTAAGAAGGGAAGTAAACCAACACTCAAGTCTCAGGCTGAGCCCTGGGTGGCTGATGTGCGAGACAGAACCAAAGCAGCATGTCAAAAGCTCTGAAAATAAAAATGAGATTAAAACCACAGCCCACGGAGGGCGAGATGGAGCTTGTGCAAATCTAACTGGGTTGACTGCCTGCTAGCGCCAAACTCAGCTCTCTCTGGAGGACCTCACACACTATTCAACCCAGGATATGTCTAGGATATCATCCAAAATTATTCAGCATACAAAGAACCCGGAAAATGAGACCAACTCTCAAGGAAAAAGCCAATTTACAGATGCCAACCTTGAGAAGATTCAGATGTTGGAAATATCTGGTAAAAATTTTAAAGCAGCTTTATGATTATGCTGCATGAGGCAAAAATAAACATCCTTGAACTGAATGGAGGGAAAAGACCTCTCAGCAGAGAAATAGAAATTATTTTTTAAAAAACCAAACAAATACGAATTTCAGAACTGAATAATATCTGAAAAAAATCAATAATGGAATGGGAGATGACAGAGTGACATAAAGTGGGCCAGGCGTGGTGGCTTACATCTGTAATCTCTGCACTTTGGGAGGCCAAGACGGAGGATGGCTTGAGGAGTTCAAGGCTGCAGTGAGCTATGATCGTGCCACCGTACTCCAGCCTAGGCAACAGAGCAAGACCCTGTCTCTAAAATAAAATAAAATAGGCCGGACGCGGTAGTTCACACCTGTAATCCCAACACTTTGGGAGGCTGAGGCAGGTGGATCACTTGAGGTCAGGAGTTCGAGACTAGCCTGGCCAACATGGTGAAACCCTGACTCTACTAAAAAAATACAAAAATTAGCCAGGCATGGTGGCGGGCGCCTGTAATCCCAGTTACTTGGGAGGCTGAGGCAGGAGAATTGCTTGAAACTGGGAGGCGGAGGTTGCCGTGAGCCGATATCATACCACGGCACTCCAGCCGGGGCGACAAAGTGAGACTCCGTCTCAAAGAGAAAAACAATAATAATAATAATATAAATATAAATATAAATATAAAATAAAAGATTGAGTAAGTGAAATTATTCAATATAAGATCAGAAAGAAAAAAGATTGAAATAAGTGGTTAGCATAGCAGGGACTTGTGGAATAATAGTAAAAGGTCTAACATTAAGGGCAGTGGAGTCTGAGAAGTAGAAGAGAGAAACAGATTTGGACCCAAAAATTAATTGAATAAATAATGCCTGAAATTTCACAAACTTAGAGAAAGACAAAAGCACATATGTTTAAGAACATGATGAACCATAAACGAACCATAGGATAAATTCAAAGAAAACAATATTGAAACATCATAAACTGCTGAAAAATAATAATGAAACCATGGAGGCCAGAAGGGTGGAACATCTTTGTTAAAGAACTGAAAGAAAACAACTCTATATCTAGCAAAATATTCTTTGGGGATGAAGGCAAAATAAAGATTCCCAGATGAGGGCAAATGAGAATTTCTTGCCTACAGATCTGCACTAAAAGAAATGCTAAAGTTCTTCAGGTTCAAAAGACATGATACCAGAAAGACATGTGGAACTTCAAGAAGGTAGGAGGAGCAATGGTAAAATGCGGTTTTATCACTTCAGTAAACATGTATGATTGTTAAAATTGTATTATCTGTTGAGGTTTTCAATATGGCAGTTATAACATAATGGAGGAGGGTAAGGGACCTATGTGGTTGTAAGCCTTCTATATTTTATTTGAAATGGAAAAATATTAACTCTAAGAAGACTGTGAAGGGTTAATTAAGTATGTACACTGTCATCCCTGCAGCAACCATTAAAAACATAACACAAAGAGATACTGCCAAAGTTCCAACAAAAAATCAAAACAATGTTTTAAAATACCTAAATAATTCAAGAGAGGACAGGAAAGAGGGGATAGAAGAAAAAAAAAGAAGAGAAGAAAAAGAGAAAACAACAAAATAGTAGACCTAAATATAACCATACCAATCACTACAATAAACATAAATGCTCCCAACATGCTAATTATAAGACCCAACTATAAGCTATAAAAAATAAAAAGGTGAAAAAGATATGCTATACAAATAATAAATTGCAGTGGATATATTAATATCAGGCAAAGTAGACCTCAGAGTGAGGAATATTATCACGGACAAGAAGAAGATACAATGATAAATGGCATCGATTCAGAAAGAAGACACAAAAGTTGTAAATACTGAGCTAATAAGAGAACTTCAAAATGCATGAAGAAAAAACTGATGGAACTGAAAGTAGAAATAGATAACTACATAATTATAGGTGGAGACTTAAACTCCTCCTTAGTAACTGACTGAACAAGTGGTCAGGAAGTCATACAGAAGACCTGACTAATACTATCTACCTACTTGACCTAGTTGACATTTATAGAACATGCCGCTCAGTAGAAGAAACACATTCCTCTCAAATGCACATGGAGCACTCATCAAGATAGGCCATATCCTGGGTCATAAAAGAAACCTTAAAAATGTAAAAAAAAAAAAAAACAAACAAACAAACAAAAAAAAAACCTCACGCCTGTAATCCCAGCACTTTGGGAGGTCGAGGCAGGCAGATCACGAGGTCAGGGGTTCAAGACCAGCCTGGCCAGCATGGTGAAACCCCACCTAAAAATACAAAAAATTAGCCAGGCATAGTAGCGCACGCCTGTAGTCCCAGCTATCCAGGAGGCTGAGGCAGAAGAATTGCTTGAACCCAGCTGGCGGAGGTTGCAGTGAGTCAAGATCGCGCCACTGCACTCCAGCCTGGGCGACAGAGCGAGACTCTGTCTCGATAAAAAAAAAAATGTAAAAAAACAAAGTATACAAAGTATGCTCTCTGATCATATGGAATTAAACTGGAAATCAATAACAGCAAGATAATGAAAATCTCCAACTATTTGGAAATTAAACAACACTGTTTTATATAATCAATGGGTTCAAGAGGAAGTCCCAAGGGAAATTAGAAAATATCTAAACTAAATACAAATGAAAACACCACATATCAAAACGTGTAGGATGCAGCTAAAACAGTGCTTAGAGGGAAATTTACAGCATTAAATACTTACATCGACAAGAAGAAAGGTCTCCAAATCAATGACCTGGTTTATGCCTTAAGATAACAGAAAAAGAGGACAAAGTAAGCCCAAAACAAGCACAAGGAAGGAAATAAGATTAGAGCAGAAATAAATATTTTTAAAGAATAGTAAAACAAATGAGAAAATAAAGCAAGAGGTCGGTTCTTTAAAAAGATCAATAAAACTGATAAATCTCTAGCTGAACTGACAACAATAAAAAGAGAAGAGACAAATTATAATAATTAAAGAAGGGTTATCACTACAGACACCAGAAACATTAAAAGGATAAGGAGATACTATGAACAACTCAAATAAATTCAAGCTAAATAAACCTAGCTGAAATGAAAGTTGGAAGACACAGACTATGTGAAGAAAGAGAAGACCTGAATAGTCCTGTATCAATTAAAGGAATCACATTTTTAGTTTAAATCCTTGGGGAAAAAAAAAAATCAAAATTCCAGCCCACATGACTTTACTGGCAAATTCTACCAAACATTTAAAGAAGAAATAACACTATTCTACAAATTATTTTCCCAGAAAACAGAAAAAGAGAGAACATTTCCCAACTAATTTGATGAGGCTAGCACTAACCCAATACCAAAACCAGACAAAGTTAGTAGAAAGAGAAGAAAACCACAAACAAACATATTTCATGAATATAGACATACAAATCCTCAAACAAAATAATATCTTGCTGCTTAAGTCTCAAGTTGGGGAGGGAAAAACAGCAAATCTAATCCAACAGTGTAGAAAAAGAATACACTGGAGCCAACTGGCATTTATCTCAGGAATGCAAAGCTGATTCAATATTCAAAAATCATTCAATGTAAACTCTCATGTTAACACTAAAGAAAAACCACAGGATCATATAAGTTAATATAGAAAAGGCACTGGGCAGAATTCAACATCCATTCATGATTTTTAAAAAAACCCTCAGAAAGCATAATCCATAAGATAAAAAACACAAATTCACCTTCCACAAAATTAGAAACCTTTGCTCTTGAAAAGAGATTTTTTTTTTTTTTTTGAGATGGAGTCTCGCTCTGTTGCCCAGACTGGAGTGCAGTGGCGCGATCTCGGCTCACTGCAAGCTCTGCCTCCTGGGTTCACGCCATTCTCCCACCTCAGCCTCCTGAGTAGCTGGGACTACAGGCGCCCACCACCACACCCGGCTAATTTTTTGTATTTTTAGTAGAGACGGGGTCTCACCGTGTTAGCCAGGATGGTGTTGATCTCCTGACCTCGTGATCCACCCGCCTCGGCCTCCCAAAGTGCTGGGATTACAGGCGTGAGCCACCACGCCCGGCCTGAAAAGAGATTATTAAGAAAATGAAAAGACAATCTATACAGATGGGGAAAAATATTTTCAAATGATGTATATGGCAGATAATTTATATACCAAATATATAATTTTCAAAATCCACAAGGAAAACACACTCACAAAATAAAACCACTAAGAATGGGCAATAGATTTGAACAAACACTTCACCAAAGAAGATATGCAAATGGCAAATAAGGACATGAAAACATACTCAACATCTTTAGTCGCTAGGAAAATGTAAATTAAAACCACAATAAAATGCCATTACCTACTTATCAGAATGGCTAAAACAGAAAAGACTGACCATTCCAGTTGCTGGAAAGCTTATGAAGTAATTGAAACTCTCATACGCTGCTGATGGGATTATAAAATGGTACAACCCCTTGGGAACAAAGTTTGGCTATTTCTTTAAAAACCAGTCACATACTGGAGACAACCCAAATGCCCATCAACAGCAGAAGAAACAGAGCTATATCCACACCTGGATATATCCATCCTTGACAATGACAAAGTAGGAAGTACTGATACATGCTTTAATGTGAATAAATCTCAAAATAATCATGTCAGGTGAAAGAAGCCAGAAAAAGAGAGTAAATTCTGTGATTCTATTTATGCAAAATTCTAGGAGATACAAACTGACCTACAGTGACAGAAAGCAGATTAAAGGGAACCTGGAGAAGAGAGGTGCAGGGAGGAAGAAGGGAGGGGCATGCAGAGACGCAGGAAGATACTTTAGGCACAGTGGGTATGTTGGTTGTCTTGAGCGTGGGGATGGCGTCACAGACGCCGCACTTGTCAAACTGTCCACTTGAAATATGTGCAGTTTATTGCATACGCAATTTAATTGCACAATCTATTTTTGTGCTCATTAAAGGAAATGCAAGAGCAACTAAACAATCCAATTAAAAAGGCATAAAAGATTTGGCCAAACACTCCACCTAAAAAGATGTGCAAATAAGCACAAAAGGCAACTCAACATCATAGCCATTAGGGAAATGCAACTTATGCCCATAATGAAATACCACTACATACCTACTAGAGTGGCTAAAATTCAGAAAAAAACTGTCAAAACCAACAAAACCAAGTGCTGGCAATACTGTGGGGCAACTGGAACCTTGTTGGTGAAATGCAAAATGGTGCCCACACTCTGGAAAAGAGTATGGCAGTTTCTTATTTATTTATTTTTTTATTTTTATTTTTATTTTTTTTTTGAGACAGAGTCTCGCTCTGTTGCCAGGATGGAGTGCAGTGGCACAATCTCAGCTCACTGCAACCTCCGCCTCCCAGGTTCAAGCGATTCTCCTGTCTCAGCCTCCTGGGTAGCTGGATTACAGACGCCTGCCACCGCGCCCGGCTAATTTTTGTAGAGACAGGGTTTCACCATGTTGGCCAGGATGGTCTTGATCTCCTGACCTCATGATCCACCCGCCTTGGCCTCCCAAAGTGCTGGGATTACAGGCATGAACCACTGTGCCCAGCCCAGTTTCTTATAAAATTAAATATGCATTAACATGTTGCCCAACAATTCTACTCCTAGATATGTATTCTAGAGAAGTGAAAACTTATATGCAAACAAAAACCTGTACATGAATGTTTATAGTAGTTATAACTAACCACCCAAAACAGAAATGTGAAAACTATAATCTCCTAAAACAGAAAATAACCCAAATGACCATCTATGGATGAATGGAATACTATTCTGCAACAGAAAGGAACAAACTATTGATAAATGCAACAACGTGGGTGAATCTCCAAAGAACTGAGTAAAAGGCTACACACTATTTATATGGCATCCTGGAAAAGGCAAAAGTATAGGTACAGAGGACAGACCAGTGACTGTCATGGATCAGAAGGAGGGGGAGGGGATCACTGCCAAAGGGCAGCAAAAGGCAGGGTTTTGAGAGAATGAGAAGTTTTCTGTGTCCTGATTGAGGTGGTGTTGACACAGACATGGGTTAGGACTCACTGTAAGCGCACACAATAATAAAGATAATAACAATAATACAGTAGTTCCACCTTATCTAGGGGGGATGATGAATGATGATGATGAAAAGTATCTAGGGATACTTTTCAAGACCCCCAGTGGATGCCTAAAACCATGAATAGTTCTGAACCCTATATACACCATGTTTTTCCCTACAGTGTACATATATACCTACGGGAAAGTTTAATTTAAAAATTAGAGACAGGCACAGTGGTTCATGCCTCTAATCCCAGTACTTTGGGAGGCCAAGGCAGGAGGATCACTGAGCCCAGGAGTTCAAGACCAGCCTGGGCAACACAGGGAGACCCTGTCTCTACAAAAAATAATTAGCTGGGGCAGGGCACAATGGCTCACACCTGTAATCCCAGCACTTTGGGAGGCTGAGGCAAGCGGATCACCTGAGGTCAGGAGTTCAAGACCAGCCTGGCTAACATGGTGAAACTCTGTCTCTACTAAAATTACAAAAATTAGCCCAGGCGTGGTGGCAGGTGCCTGTAATCCCACCTGCTCAGGAGGCTGAGACAGGAGAATCACCTGAACCCAGGAGGTGGAGGTTGCAGTGAGCCAAGATCGTACCACTGCACTCCAGCCTGGGCAACAGAGACTCCGTCTCAATAATAATAATAATAACAATAATAATAATAATAATAATAAGCCAGGTGTGTTGGCACATGTCTGTAGTCCCAGCTACTCAAGAGGTTGAGGTGGTAGGATCACTTGAGCCCGTGGAGTTTGAGACTGCAGTGAGCTATGCTCACACCACTGCACTTCAGCCTAGGCAACACAGCAAGATCTTGCCTCAAAAAAAAAAAAAGTATACTATGATAAAAGTTATGTGAATGTGGTCTCTCTCTTACAATATCCTGTTGTATTGTACTCACCTATTTTCAGACTGCAATTGACCATGGGTAACTGAAACCTCAGCAAAAGTGTAGATGAGAGGGGAGCTAGTGTCGTAATAAAATGCCCATGAGTCCACACTGAGGTAAAGAAATGACTAAATAAACAAATCTCCCAAACAGAAGAATTCCACTTTATGCAGACACTCTACCATCAAGGAGGAGTAGATAACTCCCAACCGTTTAAATATGGGTTATGCAGTGACTCCCTTCCTAAGAGGAGAGTACGGAAAGGAGAGAAAAACAGCCACTTTACAGCAGAAACACCTGACAGATACCACCTCCGCCAGGTGATGACGCTCAGCATCAGCAGGGCTAGGTCATGCTGACCACACGTCCCACTGACATGATAGAAAATCCAGGAATGGGCCAGGTGCATGGCTCACACCTGTAATCCCAGCACTTTGGGAGGTCGAGGCGGGTGGATCACTTGAGGTCAGGAGTTCGAGGCCAGCCTGGCCAACATGGTGAAATGCCGACCCTACTAAAAATACAAAAATTAGCCAGGCATGGTGGCACGTGCCTGTAATCCCAGCTACTGGGGAGGCTGAGGCAGGAGAATCGCTTGAACCCGACAGGCAGAGATTGCAGTGAGCCGAGATCGTGCCATTGCACTCCAGCCTAGGCGAAGAAGCGAAACTCCGTCTCAAAAAAAAAAAAAGAAAGAAAGAAAAAGAAAATCCATCCAGGAATGGCATTCAACCTTTGTGCTTTTCTTCCCAAAACCCTTAAGCTCAGTCTAATCGTGAGAAGAACACAACAAATCCCGGTGGAGGAACATTTTACAAGAGCCTGACCAGTGCTCCTCAAAACTTAAGGTTATCAACAACAAGAAAAGTCTAAGAAGTTGTCCTGGCCAGAGGAGCCTGGGGAGACAGGAGAGCAAACGCAGTGTGGGGTTCTGGATGGGATTCTGCAACAGAAAAGGACATTAGGGCAAATTCAGGAACCCTGGATGAAGCCTGGACTTTGGTCACTAACAATGCATCAATCCTAGTCCATTAGTCATGCGCAGAGCAAGATGCTGACAGGAAAAAGGGCTCAGAAATGCGTCCGTGCACAAGGTTCACACTCAACCACTGCTCTTGGCCACAGTCTCACAGGTTATGTTTCAAATAAAATATATTGTACAAGATTCTTGTGCTATTTTTTCTTGTGTTACAGTTAATGGTATTTAATTTACACTAATGTATTATGAAACTTCAATTCCTGTTTCTGGCTTTGGAGTCAATTTCTATCTCTACTCAAGGTGACTTAAACAGACTTAATGAGCCTGGGCAACATAGCAAGACCCCCATCTCTACAAACAAATAATTTAAAAAAATCGGCCAGTTATGGTGGTGCCCGCCATGATAGTCCCAGCTATGTTGGTGGCTGAAGCAGGAGGAGAGGATCACTTGAGCCCAGGAGGTTAAGGCTGCAGTGAGCTATGATCACACTACTGCACTGCAGCCTAGCCTAAAGAGACCTGCCTCTAAAATAAACAAACAAAACAGACTTAATGTCAACTTTTACACGCTTTTCCCATTCCAAATAATTTACTATCTTATTTTTGCCCTAATATAAATTCATCAACAGTGCCCCCTGGTACAAGCTAGTAGTTATTCGGTTAAGCAAATGAGCTGATGACTTTTATGACCATCGTTACTTCCAGAAGGTGTCCCCAGCCAGCTGGGGACAGAAAGAGCACTGATCTAACCACTGTTGCGCTTCACCAGCCCAGCCCACCTAATTTCTCTATGAAGTAGCACAGCCGTTCTAGCATGAAGATGTTGAATTGGCTGGTCCTCCAGGCCAGCAAGAACATGAAGCCAAGGCCATGAGGCCTGAGGCAGGCACACAGGTGGCTGGTGAATGGGCTCCCTCCCACCTCCTGCTCATCAGGCACCTCCCAGGCTACACCTGGAACCAGAAAGGCACTCCCTGGACAGGCCTGTCCTGAGCAGAGACCTCAGTGTCATCCCCTGCCTTCCTGGTGAGGAAGACAGCAGCAGTAAGGCCCAGAATCTCAGAACTGTCCGCTGCATTGCAGCCTCAGCCAGCGACCCTGATCTCCCAAAAAGCCTCACACACACCACTCCAAGAAGCTGCATCAGACACAGAGCCCTGGGCTATCCCAGTCAGTTCACTGGCACACATCTCAGTGCTGCTGCTTCAAACCAGGAAACTGAGGTCTAGATACACCCTTCCCCATCTCTGAAATGCAGGGAGATCAGCGGGGAGTCAGTGGGGGCAGTCAGAGACTAGCCCCCAACAACCCTTCTCAGTCACTGATGTCTGCCCACCAAGGCCTCGGGGGCCAGGATTGCTTCCATGGCCTTGGCTCTCAGCCCAGGACGGGGGTGGGAGCAGCCTGGTGAGTAATGCCCAGGCCCCCAAGAGGTGGTCCTGCCATAAATAATGCCAAGGACACATCCCCCTTCAAGGGAGGCCAGACCTGCCAGGGAGGGCTGCAGAAAAGCTGCACTCTAGCTGCAAACAGGAAGGGATGAGCCTGCTCAGATGGTGAGGTCCCTATCCTGTTACCTGCCACTCACGGCCACAAAGGACCAGAAACCCTCCCTGGGCAAGGAAAACATGCTGCACCTCCCTGTTTGGACCCACGGCTACCAGGGCCAGCTACTGGAGATACCAGGACTCTGCTAGTGTCACCTGGCCTGGGAAGGACCTAAGCAGCTCAAGCTGGCCACACAGCAGCCACAGCCCTGGCCATGGCCCCCACCTGCCCACTCCCACTGCAGCCAGCTCCCTGTCCTGAGCACGGGAAACAGGTCTACCAGCACTAACTCAAACTTCACAAAGAAACCATTTCTGGAATGGGGCTCCGTTTGGCGATTCGGAGTCAAAGGCGCACTTCATAGCTCCTTTCCAAATCCCGTGCATTGTCAGGCCCTGTTCCCCTTTGAAGCCTCGCTGAGTGATTGAAGCGTCTACTTTCTGAGGGGCAGATAGCACCGGGCTGGTAATCTGACTCTAAGCCACGGGATAAAGGTAGTTTGTTTCCTCTCAGCCCGTCTGTCAACACCTCCTCAGTAATTAGCCCTAATTATTACAGAGGGCCAGCCTCCCATTCGGTTATTAAATCAGAAATAGTATCACGGCTGGGCATCTGTCAACGCCCCGACTGGCGACCTTCGATTCATTGAATCCTCTGTCAGTATCCGCCTTTGGAAGCGCCCAGGCGGGCAGGGAGGCAGCGGCTTCAAAGATGCAGATCCCAGGAAGAATTCCGGTGAGGCAGGGAGGCAGGGAGGGCCGGTGCCCAGCAGCCCGATGGCGAGGGGGAGCCAGGCACCGCCCCCCGGGCAGCAAGTGCACAGCCCAACCCCAGCAATTTCCCACCTCCCAGGGCTGACCGATGTCAGTCTCTCTGTGGCGGGGAATAAGGTATGCCCCCCAAGAACTCCTTCCCTTGGAGAAGAAAGCACCTCCAGGCCTGCATCAGGCATATCCGTCTCAGGGAGTGGCCCTGACTGACAACTTGGCCTGAGGCCCACAAAGCCCTGAACCAGCTCAGTGCAGGGAGGGGAACCCGAGCCCCGGCTGCCCAGAGCACTGGTAAGCTGGCAAATCTGCAAAGCAGAACTCAGATTCCAGCCATAGACACGATTTCCATAGTGGAGATGAGAGTGCTACAGTCCTGTAGGCCCCGACGAAGGACAGCCACCCATCTCCCTTCTGGGTCTGAGTCTGTTCTCCATCCTAGAGAAATGGTCATTTGCTCTGCCACAGGGGCCTTCTGCTCTGGCAAAGCACCTCCACCCTGCTCCCCTAGGGTATAGCTGCCCCCCAGCAAGATTCACTGCCTCAGGCCAGGGGCCGGCACTGACCTCACCTCACCTGGGGCAGTGGCCCAGGTGCCCCAGGGCTGGCCACCAGCACTTCTCCAGAGACTGAGACCCACAGTGCCCCACCCAGGACTCCTGGCCTGCAGTGAGCCAGGTGGGGCCCAGCACGGTGCCTACATGCTGAACCCCACCAGGTCTGTGCCGCCCCCTTCCAGATAGGCCCTGCTGCGTGTGAGGGAGGGTCCCAGAGATCAGTCACTTTTGCTGGGGACACGCCCAAATGGCGTGATTCGTTCCCGAGCAGAGACAAGCAAGTTCCTCTAGACAGCCCACTGCAGCCTGTTCTCCCCCGAGGCACTGCCAGTCCCTGCTGGGTGCTCTGCCAGCACTTTGGGTCCTCGTGGCCACCAACCACCCACCACGCTGGCAGGGGGAGTGGGTCTCATGGAGACAAGGACATGGATTAGTTTTCTTCCTTGGGGATGCCTGGAAGCCTCATGGCTGGGGCATGAGGAGTGACCTGCTGGCCAGCTCCACAGTCAGCAGGGGCGCCAGGCAGGCGCTGAGGCTGCAAGTCAGACTTCTCCTTTGCACTGGGACACGGGCTGCCTCAGCTGAGCCAAGAGGAAATGCCAGCGTGAGGAGCCACCAGGCTGCAGAGGCAGGCAGGATGGGCAGGCGGGGTCTCTCTGTGAGCAGGCATCTCACGCTGTGGCTGGGGATGTCCGTCGCCCCAGGAGCGGGTCCCAGGAGCCTGGCAAGATGGCAGGAAGGAAGCCTGACTTGGACATTGTTAGCCAGCCTGCCCCAGGCACTTACGGGCAGAGGCAGGAACCCAGCCAGCAGAGGGACCGGCCTTTTTGACCCGGGTGAACACACGGAAAAGCTCACTGCTTTACAGGAAGCGTGACATCCCCGTGCACCAGTTCAGCCTCTGCTCAGAGGCCTGGTTCATGTAGGCCAGCTGCCGATCCCATCAGGGAGAGACAACACTCACAGAGGGTGCAGGATGGGGACCAATCCCCTGGGGCTGGTGCCCCTGGCCTCGGGGATGGGGATGTGCCCTGGAAACTTGGTCGGAGCTGGAGGAGGGGTCCCTAAGCAAGCTGGGGCTGACACTTTCTGACAGGGACTTGCCTGTGTGGCTCCTCCTGTGGCGGAGGCAACCTTGGGTGGAAAGGGGAGGTCCCCTATCACACACAGGTGGTGGTGTGGCCAGGTGTATGTCTCATCAACTCCCGACCACCCAGCTGCATGCAGTCAGCTGTGCACATGCTTACATATGCATGCCAGCAATGTGCTTGCCCACATCCACAGACATGCGAATGAGGACAGAGGCCAGCCTCCCACTCGCTCTGCCCTGTGGGTGCTGCAGGTGGACCCCTCACTGAGGGCCCCCCCTATGCACAGCCTGTGAATAAAGAGCCCTGGCTCCACAACCCACAAACACTCCCCAGTCCCCTGCAGTGCTCAGACACAGAGGTGAGGTGGGCAGCGCAGGCACAGCAGGGGGCAGGGGAGTCAGATGTCCTGTGCACCCAGCTGGCAGCCCCACCAATGGGGACACAGAAGAATGTGGCAAGTGCATGAGCACCCATCATCCACAGGCCCCAGCCCTGTGCTGGGGGTGGTTCCTGAGGCCAGGAGGAAAGGAGCCGGCCAATGAGAACACCCCACAGGCCTGGGCTCTTCCTTGGCCAGCCCCTACCCACCGTGTCCCTGTAATAGAGATGATGTAGCCCAAAGAAAAACTAAGGGAGCAACGGGCCCTGCTGTCCTGGAGAGCAGGCTTGGCCAGGCTGTCCAGCGACAAGGCACCCCCGAGGCCTGCACCAGGAGAGTGTGAACACTGCTGGGGCTGGGCAAGGGCCATGACACCATCCTCGCTGCCTCTGCATTTGTGATCCAATGTGTTTTAAAACTTGCAAAGACAACTTGAAAAATGGGGACATGGATGGTTTCCCTATGACATAAGCAAGACTTAAAAGCTAGAATAACTAGTAAGGGACAGATCAGACCAGAGAGCAGGCGGGTAGGCCAGGCATGGCTCACGGGTGGCTGCAGCCAGACTGTGAGTTGCTGCAGCCAGCAGCTGATGCTGAGGTAGGCCCTATGGAAAAAGGTGAAATGGGATCCCCTGTTGGTCAGGACATAATAGGTTATGCTGTGGAAAACACAAGCCCCAAACTCAGTGGCTTCGCACATCAAAAATTTATTTCTTGCTCATATTACATGTGCATCGCGGTCGGCAGAGGGGCTCTGCTCATCACAGGCTATCAAGGATGACAGCAGACCCCTCCCTTCTGCCGCAGTTACACTTACAGGTGGACTCAAGGTTGAATGTCAAAGGCAGAAAGTTACAACCTGGGAATACAGGATAATGCCTTTGTACCCCCCAGGTAGGGAAAGATTTCTTAAGTGAGAAACAGCATCCCATACAGCACAACTGGGCACTGCCTACTCAACAGCCAAGGCTTGGCCATCCCCACTCCTCAGTATGGGCCCCAGAACCCAGGGCCTGGGGGACTCTGCACACAGGCATGTGGAGACCACAGAAGCCTGCCCAATATAGCGCTGCCAGGAACAGCAAAGACAAAACCAGAGAAGCCTATCGCGGGCACCGCTGTGGGCAGAACTATGTCCCTTCAATATTTTTATGTTCAAGTCCTAACCCCTAGTACTTACATTTGAAGACAGGGTCTTTAAAGAGGTAATTCAGGGTTAAATGAGGTCATGAGGGTGGGCCCTGATCCAATAGACTAGTGAGCTTATGAGAGATTAGGACACAGACACAGACAGGGACACGGCAAGAAGATGGCTATCTGCAGGCCAAGGAGCGAGGCCTCAGGAGAAACCAACCCTGCCCACACCTTGATCTCAGGCTTCTAGCTCCAGAATCATGAGGAAATGTCTGTTGTTTAAGTCCCCTAGCCTGCGGTCCTTTGTCAGGCAGCCCCAGCAGACAAACAGGTATGTTGCCCTGGGATGGATGCAGGCCCCTCCCATCCTCCCATCCTCAGCAGCACCAACCAGCCCCACGCTGGGTGGCTGCTTGTACTTCTCCATACTGAGCACCCCAGCCCATAGGATGATCAGCTGCTGCCGTCCTATGGAACTCAGGTGTGGCTCTGTGGCTTCCTTTGGCCACAGAAATGGAAGTGGGGTGACACACATTACTTGTGGCCTGCTGTGGCCTTTCCCCTGCCTCAGTGAGCATGGAGAAATATGTCCAGGTAGGCTGTCGTCAGCACAGGTCTGACAGGCCCCAGCCACGGTGGCCCACAGGTGCAAGCAAGAAATAAGCAGTGCCAACTGTAGCCGCTGCGCTGTTGGAGATCTTTGTTACTGCAGCACAATCTGGCTCATGCTGACTGATCCTGCAGGGTAACAGCTTTATTTGCCTTGCTCCTTTATTGCTGGATCTTTGGGCTTTTCCAGTTCTGCTGTTCAAAAAACAGTGACACCCATGAGGTGGGTGTTAGAGGGCCCAGACCCCAGCCAAGGCACTGCATGGGCATCATTCTCATTCAACCCTTCTAACCACCCCATGAGGAAAAACTCTGGTCACAGCTCAAAAAGGTCAGGTAAGGACCCTCAGCTCATGCGGGGAGGGGAGGAGGCAAGGCCAACCTCCAGTCCCTGCTCTAAACCCCCATGTAGTGGTACCGAACCATGACCACCCCTGGCAAGAGCCTTCATGCACCTAGCAAGTAGTCACAGCATGCATGTGCCTAGAATTGTTACGTGGTCAAATTATATTATTGTGTATTCCCACCAACAGTATGAGAAGGTCCACTTCTCCATACCTCCACAACTCTGGGCATCTAAAACTTTTAAAATCCTGGAATCATAGGCAAAAAAAAAAAAAAAAAAAAATTCACCCATATTTTCCTCTAGTACTTTCATAATTGTAACATTGAAATCTTTAATCTGGAATATGTACTGGCATAAAGAGTGAGGCACATACATGGCTTTACTATTTTCCAGAGGGCCAACTGCTTTTACTGAATAATCCATTTTACTCGTTAATTGGAAACACCTCTAGCCTGTACTAAATTTCCATATTTATTTGGCCCGTTTCAAAGTCCTCTATTCTCTGCTCATCTGTCCACATCTAAGTGCTTTAACTATTGTGGCTTTATAAAATATTCCAATATCCCATAGGACCTTATCCTTAGTACTTCCTATTTTAAAGTTTTCCTTGCAGACAGGTACTTTAAATACCATCTCACAGCACCCATCATGTCCTATCTTCAGGAAATAAAATCTCTGGGTATTTCCAAGGGAAGTGAAGGACTGACACCATGATTAGAAAGCAGAGCCAGCACCATGGCCCGTCCCTGAGCATGTCCAGCAAACCCTGCCAGGCTCTGCAGCTCCTGAGCACCCTGCCTTCGGGTCTGCCAGTGTGTGGGGGCCAGAAGAGAAAAACAACCCAGGGGGAATGCCTCCTTCCCCCAGCAGGAAAGCAGCTTGGTCATCATCTGTCTGAAAGCAGGTGCTGCAGCAGCTGGCAACAAAGCCACTCTGAAAGGAGCTGTGTGCACTGCCTGTCTGGAAGGCCATGCCAGAGTCCATCGTTGCCTCCACCCTACCTGTGCAGGAAACCTGGACATCACCACTTCAAGGCCCTACCTTCCTTTCTGGGCAGAGCCCAACCACAATAAACAGGACGCGTTTTAATTAAAAACCAGGTCACCTGGACTCTCCCAAGGACTCTCAAGCCTGCCTAGGTGGATGCTGCATGACTGGCCCTCAGACACACGGCAGACCATAACTCACACACCCCCAGGAGCTGCCTGGGTCCCAAGGGCACAAAAGCCCCAAAGCCCCAATAGGACAGGGTTCAAAAGAGAAGGCAGCAATCCCAGGCTGGAGTATCCACTTCAGGTCCACTAAAGGGAGATGGGGAAGGTGGCCTGTCCAGAAGCCTGTGGGACAGGGTAAAGGTCAGCTGGGTGACTAGGCTGTCCATCCTAGAGAGCAACTCTGGGTTCTACTGCCAGACCCACAGGTGAGCCAGGCCACAGTGCACTGGAGGTAGGCATCAGGGAGCAGTCTGACCCAACCCACAAAAGGGGGGATGGGGCCTGAGTCATCGGACGGAGGGCAGCTGTGACCTGGCACAGAAGCATGGGGCTGGGCCAGGACATCCAGGGACTTCTCACATCTGACCAGAATCAAGACTGAAAATGGGTTTCTTCTGCCAGCTCACTTGCTTTGCTACCAGGGCTATACCTGCTTTCTAAAAATAGCTTCCCACCTATTTCCAAGGTTTCCAGTTGTTTTACCTACAAGGTATCTGTGCCCTGAAATAACTCACACATAAAACCATCTGAACCCAGAGCCTTTTCTAGTGATAGTTACCATAAAATAATCCCAACAATTTATATTTTTCTAAATAAGGTTTTTGTTTTTTGTTGTTTTTTTTTTTTTGGGATGGAGTTTCACTCTTGTTGTCCAGGCTGGAGTGCAATGGCGTGATCTCGGCTCACCACACCCTCTGCCTCCTGGGTTCAAGCAATTCTTCTGCCTCAGCCTCCCAAGTAGCTGAGATTACAGGCATGCACCACCACACTTGGCTAATTTTGTATTTTTAGGAGAGATGGATTTCTCCATGCTGGTCAGGCTGGTCTTGAACTCCTGACCTCAGGTGATCCACCCACCTTGGCCTCCCAGAGTGCTGGGATTACAGGTGTGAGACACTGCTCCCGGCCAGTTTCTGAATAAGTTTAATCAGATGCTTGCTAATTAGTTTTTCCTAAAATAGTTGGCTGTATTTCCAATTCACATTTCTGCTTTTTCTTCCTACTTTCCAGGAAGGTGTTGTTTTGTTGTTTTCACAATTGTAAACCTGAAAGGGACTTGAACTTCTTGTCCAAGCACCAGAGTGGGCACACACTGCACACACTGGGCGGCTGTACCTGCCTATCCTGTGGTAAACTTGGCTCCAGGAGCTTCCAAGCTCAGCTTCCACTAGAAAACCCCTCCTTGTGTGGAACAGGTCTTTCTTCATTCCATTCCTCTGGGCCTGGGGCCTCACAGCTCTGGACTGCTGCCTGGTCCTCACTTCACCTACAGCTCTCGGAAGTCAGTTCTCTACCTGCAGAGCCACCCACCCCCTACTCAGCCCCACCCAGCTTCTTTGATCAGACCCTTGGACCCTCAAAGCCCCTGCCAGAAACCACAGCTGCAATGCTGACCTGGAATGCTCATGGCCAGGCCTCTGCTCCTGACAGAATGGGAAACAAAGACTTGCTGGTAGGCAGCCACTGCACCACCTCAGCCAGTAATCCAACACGTGTTTAATGAGCACCAATTGTGTACCAGGCCACAGAGCTGACTAAGACAGAGCCCCTGTGCTGAGGGTCACAGTCTGCCAGGAGGGAGATCCAAGTCATTTACACACTAGGGCTTAAGTGCTGAATCCGCAATGCATGCGAGTGCGGAGTGAGCAGGGGATGGCAGCACAGCAGCAGGGAAGAGGAGCCTGCTTCAGAACACCAGGCACGATTAGAGCTACAGTGTTAACACACAAAGGGCGAATGCCTGCAGCTGAGCCTGGCAAGGGGCTTGCATCCCACCTTCCTGCATCCAAACCTTCCAGCTGCCCAGAACTGCTGGTAATCCCACAGGAAACATCATTCTTTGCCAAGATGCTATCCCACTCATCCCCCAGAATCAAAGTGGCCACTTCCTCCAGGCAGCCTTCCTCACATTCCAGCTGGGACAGAAGTCACAGGGAGCAGAGAGGGTGGGGCTAGGGGGACAGACACAGAAACCCCATACAGGAACGAGGTCCCAACAGGGCAGACGTGGCAGACCCAGTTCAGTCCCAGCCAGTGTGGAAGACACCAAGGGGGGTGTTTTATGGGGGTGGAGGTGACAAAGATGATGCAACTATCTGCTGAGAGTTGATCTACAAAACGACCCCCTCGTGGGAGCAGGCCTGGGTGAGACGGCACTCCCAGAAGACGGGCAGGGATGCAGCAGAGAGCCAGCAGCAGGGAAAGGGCACAGGGCGGAGGTCAAGCTCTGCTGGAGTTGGGGGAGCTGGTTCTGCTCAGCGCAGAGTCCAAAACAAGCGCATCTTGCCCAGCTATGGGGTCTGAAGTCATCTGGGGACACCACTCTGCTCTGACTGGGGACTATGGGGCGCTCAAGCCACACAGGCCACTTCATCATGAGGGGCAGCATTGTTCCCACCTGGGCTGTGTTCAGAACCCAGGAGAAAGTGGTGGCTCTCCTGGGGTCTCCGGGGCCTCCACCACCTCCTGTGGGGTACCTAAGGACACCTCCTGGTCTCCCTCTGTCTCCAAAACCTCCTCCTCTGTTTTCTGGGGTTTTGGACCTCCTGGATGAGCTGGGTCTGGTCTCTGGGCAGGAGGATTAGCTGACTCCGACAGTCTAGGGACAGGTGTGGGGGCTGCCTCCTCTGGCTGGGAAGAGGCTGGTTCCACAGGACCAGGCTTGGAGCTACATGTAGAACTGGGCAGGACTGGGGGCTCCTTGGGCCCAGGGGTGCTCTCCTTGGTCAGCTGCTGCTCGAACAGAGCACTTCTAGATACAGAGTTGGACCCAGACACAGCAGGGGTGGCCATGGCGGCTGGTAAAGACCTGGGGGCAGTACCCATGTCGAGTGCCAGGCCCTCTAAGAACCTAGCTAAGTATTGCCTCACCACAGGCAGCTGAGGGGCCACTGGCAGCTGGCTGGAGGCCAGGGGCAGGGGACAGGTAACCACAGCATGGTACTCAGCAAAACTGTTCGGGTCTTGAACAACTTCCTTGAGATCCTGGCAGAAGAGCTCGTAATCGTCAGGCAGGGGCAGGTCCCCATCAAGGTAGGGGGCTGCCCAGGCCTGGGCTCGGCCTGTTAGGCGCCTGAGGATCTCGCAGACACGGCTGATGTTGTCCTGATAGTGCTCAAAGTGGAAGGACATGTAATCGCCCAGCTGGGCCAAGAAGCGGTCCAGTAGCCACGGGGAGCCATCAAAGGTGCCTGGGTCTGAGCCTGGTACCCAGCAGAAGTCCACCCTGTGGGGTCGGGAGCTGGGCATGTGCCCAGCTAGGGGACCCCTTTCTGCAGGTTTACCGCCACAAGTGCCACTAGCTGTGCTCTTCTGCTCCATGGTCGTTCGCACACACACGGTGTCCCCACAGCAGGGCCGCTCAATCCAGGGATCCACAAGGGGGGTGTATGCCACCCCAGGAGACGCCTTGTCCATCTGCTGCCATGGATGTGCGTTGGCATAATTGGCGGCTGCCCAGATGGGAATGCGAGGGCCCTGCTGACGGCACCGGCCACGAGGCATGCTGGGAGCACAGGGGAGAAGAGAGGAGAGCCAGCACTGGTGGGTGGTGGGGGTGTGGACAGATGTGGCTTGCACGACACAACAGGACAGGGATGGCTGAACAGGGCGTGGCAGACCCGCACTGGTCCAGGCAAGTGCTGAGGATCAGGGAGCTGACAGCTGCAGCCTCAGGAGAGCTGAGAAGAGCTGAGAGACTGTCAGTCGCAGGCCATCATCCGAGGCAATCTGTCCAAAGACAAGGTGGGGAAGAGCAGGAACTAGGCCTAACCATCACCCACTGGACTGGTGGGAAGAGGCTACAAGCGGGCAACCCTCTGGTACCCAACTAGGAGCTTTGAATGGAAGGAGGGGCCCAGGGGGCTGGCCTGGGAGGTCTGAGGTGGGCAAATGCTGCCTATGACATTGCAAGGGCAAGGCAGAATGACAGATGCTGTCAATTTCAGAAGAAAAGGGGCCAGATCAGAACTGTCAGGAATTTCAGGATAGCAATAGTAGTAACCTTTCACTGAGTGCCCCATTTGTGCCACCTCCCCCACAGGAGGTTGGTACTAGCATTGTCTTTGAGGCACACAGTGGTGAAGTAACTTGTCTGCAGCCACACACTAACCCATAAGTGGTGGAAGCAGCAAAAACTGGCTGGAGAGACCAGAGGCTTAACTACTATACAGCACGCGATTATAAACTACATTTGTCTGCTGAGTAGGCTCTAGCCGCCCCAAAAACTCTGAACAACGCACAGACCGCGTCGTCATTAGGCTCTTTTACATCCCAGCACCAGGCACACAGCAGGTCCTACCTGCTTCCCCGACAGAGCAGTGAGCCTGCTATTCTCTGCTCCCTCCTGACCCCACATGCTTTCCAAATTCACCTCTCACAACTGAGTGCCACCTGCAGGCAATGCCACCCCCACCCACAAACACCACCTTTCCACAGTCCCCATCCCAGCCACAGCAGAGCATCCCAGCCCCCACCATTGTAAAATCCTGGAACCCCACTTGCTGTCTGCTCCCGCCACTCCAGTCACTTGTGCCCAGGGTCTGGGGAGTCCCAGTCTGATGGCTGGACCCGCCCCTCCTTCTCCACGCAGCAGTCACCTAGGAGGCTCCAGAGCCAGTAGCCAGTTCTATTCCAGTGCAAGGAGCCCTCCTGTAGGGCTCTTACACTCTGCAGCCTAACTCTATCTAGCCCCCTCCCCAGTCTCTCTGCAAACGGAGGCCCACTCACGACCTCCAGGAAACTCTCTGCTTCACCCCACACACAAACGCCACCGGCTCACTGGGAGCACAAGGCCTGCACACACCTTCATCCCACATCTCCTATCTGCTGGCCATCCCCCCTCAGGGTGAGTTCCTCCAGGTACCTCCCAGGGTGGCCTGCAGCACTAGAACCTGCCAGGGCCACTGGCCCTACCTCCACCACCCAAACACTCTGGAATCCCTCAGGTCTGACCCCCCTCTGGGGGGGGGGTCTTCACCTGAAAGCCCAGCCCATGACCCTGGCTTCCCACCTTACTGCAGGATTATACTAAGGCCTGGACGTGAGTCGAGTCCAGTCCAGTCCCTCACTGAGCTCTAAAAAAGCAGTGACCCCGATCCAGGGCCCAGCTCCCACCACCAGCCAAGGTTAGGTATCCAGGTTGCCCACAATGACCACACCCCATGCCCGGGAGCCACAGTGTGCTACCCAGATCTCTGCCTTCCCTTCTTCCCAGTCCCCTACCCTGCCCACTCACCTGCGCACCTGTGTCCCCTGCAGTCTGGGAGAAGGCTTCCCTGCACCAGCCAGCCAGGCCTGCTTTGGGCCTGAGCCTTCCTAACCCTGGGCCGCACTCTCACCATTTTGAGAACCTTAGCCCTCCCACGCCTATCAGTCTGTTGGTCCCCCTACTTTTCTCCCCACACTGCCTGGCATAGAAGACTTTCGGCCCTTCTAGACTGGACAGCACTATCCTAAAGGGGCAGGTACCACGGCGCATGTGTGTTTGCCCCCACAAGGCCAAAGGCAGCACCTGGAACGCTGGAGCCGTTCTCTGCTCTGGGGAGACCCAGGAGCCCCAAGAACAAAACCTGCCCAAAGCCTTAAAGCAAGCTGAGTGCAGACGACTGCACCGCCCGCCCCCCAGCAACCGCCATGCAGGAAATACGAGCTCACAAGGCCCACGGCAACAAGAAGCCCACCCACCTGAGGCTACGCGAATCGCCCGCGAAGAGGGTCCTGGGATCCGTAGCCACAGACCGTGGGACGGGCCTCCCTCTGAGGGCGAGAGTCCAGGCGCCACCTAGAAAGTGGAGAACGAGATCGGCCGCCGTGAGGCCAGGCAAGGAGCGGGCGCGGCTTCCCGAGACTGCGAGAACGGCCCAAATGTCTCCAGGTGCCCCCACAAACCCCCGGCGCGGACCGAGAAACTGAGGCCCGCAGACCGAAGGCACTGCGACCCAGGCTGGGGCTCCGAGTGCCCCTCTGCGGATCAGAAGTCGGGAAAAGACGCAGGGGCGCAGCTCCAGGCCCGCGTGCACGGAGTTCAAGCCGGCCGCCCGGGCTCCCGCCTCCACACTGACCCTCTTGCCGGAGTCGGGAACGCCTGCTCCTAGGAGCGCCGCGCAGCGTCCAGAGACCGATTACATCGCGCAGCCACGCCCCCAGCGTGCGCGCGGCCGCCGTGTACGACCCGGCGCATGCTCCCGGCACGCTCCACGCGCTCCTCCCATCCAGGCCGCGCCTGCGCTGTATGCCGTGTGGCCGCTACCTCGCAGGCTCTCCCGGTCCCTGCTGGCGCGGCAGTGCCGCGCGGTGGGTGATGGGAGAGCGCGCCCATTCCCACGCCGCGCCAAGTGCCACGGGATCAGGTGGGGCCGCGTGTACAGGCGCGAGACGGTCGGGCCAAAGCTGCCCCTCATGATCCCCAGCGGACGGTGCCCGGCGGTCCCTCAGATCCGGGAAATCTGCACCCGGCTGTGGCGTAGACCGAGGGGCCGATGCTGCTTCAGCCCGCCGTTACTGCCCTGGCGTCAGCCAGACACTGGGGTGCTGCTGGGCGTCGAGAGGGCTGCTGCGGGGCCGGGCTAAGCCTGGGGGGCTGCAGGTGTCGGGGTGGATGTGGGCATAGCGGGGCTGCTGGGCCTCGTGAGCGCCCTGGAACGGCGTGCCCGCGGAGTGCCTCTCATCACTCATTGCCAGTGCGGGGAACCTTGTTAGGGCCCGGTTCGACGTAGCTGCAGGCTGGGCGCCAGAGGCAGGGGGCAGGCAGTCCGAGAGGACCCTCTACCTGCATACCTGGGGGCTGCAGGCAGGGCCTCTGGGCCTCCTTGTTGTGGATATAATTGTGTGCTTCCCGACTCAGGCCGAGGCTGGACCCGGAGACGACAGCGAGGGCAGGCTACCAAGCCCTCCCCACAGGGCCGTGCCCAGCCCAAGCCTGCCGAGTCAGCACCCAGATCCTGGGACAAGATAGGTGAGGATGAAGTGGTGGTGCTCTTCTCACTTGCACAAGCCGTCCCACGCCACCTCTCCTCGGCTTCACGGTGCCTAGAGAAGAGGTGGGAGAGGGTGCAGGCGCCCCAGCTCAGGATCTGATGCCTGTGGGCCAAGGACCTGGATGCAAGCCAGGAGTCCTTGGGGCCACGGGCAGGCAGCCGGATTCACCGGAAAGTGACGCTTCTCAAGGGGAACACACACGTAACACACCAGCTCCCTTTCTGCCCTGGTCCAGTGACTCCTTTCATGAAAGCTCTCTGAAATGTTATCTGCATTTACACCCAAACTCACTCACTTTGATCCCTGAAACGCGAATCAAAGGTCACATTGTACCTTCCCTGGGTCTGTGGGGCTTTCAGCAGCCTGGGCCAAAAATAATAAAAGTGGCACCGAGCCAGGAAACGCCTCCTTGAAGTGGGAATGAAATTTGGATTTTTTTCGGTTGTATCTTTCCTAATTGACCTGATAATTTAAACTTCCTCCCTCAAGGGAAAGGTGGGGGTTCCCACAAATTCAGCTTACCTCAGCCTCAAGGCAGCTCAGTCTACAGCTCAGCGCCCATCAGCAGAGTGGGCAGTGGGCCTGTGGAAGAAATGAATCCAACTGAGCCAGAAAAGGCCTTTTTTGGTCCAAATTTTTTTTTTCTTTCAGGCCCTCTCCTGTGTATAACTGTCATGCACCGCATAACAACGTTTTGGTCAACTAGGGACCACATATGTAACTGGTCATCCAGTAAGCTATAGTTATTTTATTATTGAAGAAAGAAAATTTTTAGGCCAGGCGCTGTGGAGGCTCATGCTTGTAATCCCAGCATTTTGGGAGCCCAAGGCGGGCAGCTCATTTGAGGTCAGGAGTTTGAGACCAGCCTGGTCAACATGGTGAAACCCTGTCTCTACCAAAAATACAAAAAATTAGCCGGGCGTGGTGGTATGTGCCTGTAATCCCAGCTACTTGGGAGGCTGAGGCAGGAGAATCGCTTGAACCCAGGAGGCGGAGGTTGCAGTGAGCTGAGATTGTGCTACTGCACTCCAGCCTGGGCAATAGAGTGAGACTCCATCTCAAAAAAAAAGGAAAATGTTTAATATAAGTGTGTTGCAGCCTAAGTGTACAGTGTTTATAAAGTCTAAAGTAGTGTACAATAATGTCTTAGGCCTTCACATTCACTCACCACTCACACCCACAGCAACTTCCAGTCCTGCACCTCTGTTCATGGCAAGTGCCCTAACCAGTTCTATTTTTTATTTTTTGCACTGTACTTTTACTGTACCTTTGCTATGATTAGGTGCACTAATACCACTGTGTCACAATTGCCTACATTGTTCAGTAGAGTCACTGTGCAAGTTTGTAGCCCAGGAGCAACAGGCCTTACCATACAGCCTAGGTGTGTAGTAGGCTCTACCATCTTAGTTTGTGTAAGTTACTCTATGAGGATCCCTCCATGACAAAATCGCCTAGTGACACATTTCTCAGAGTGTATCCCCACAGTTAAGTGACATATGACTGTTTTTTTATTGTGGTAAAATATAGTAACATTTACCATTTTAGCCATTTTTAGGTATACAGTTCAGGAGCATTAAGTACATTCATGCTGTTGTATATCCAGTGATCACTATTTATTTCTAGAACTTTTTCTTCACTCCAGAACATTAACTCCTCTTCCCCTCCCACTCGCAACCCCTGGTAACCATCATTCTATATTCTGTCTCTGTGAATTTAATTACTCTAGGTACCTCATATAAGTGGAATCATACAGTATTTATCATTTTGTGACTGGATTATTTCACTCAACATGTTTTCAAGGTTCATCCACATCGTAGCATGTGTCAGAACTTCCTTCATTTTTAAGGCTGTGTAATATTCCTTTGTACACATTGACCAGATTTTGTTTATTCATTTGTTGATTGACACTTGGGTTGTTTTCACCTTTTGGCTATTGTGAATAATGCTGCTATGAACATTAGTGTACAAGTATATGTTTGAGTCCCTGCTTTCAGTACATAAGAGTGAAATTGCTGAATGATACGGTAATATTTTGTTTGACTTTTTGAGAGATTGCCAAACTTTTCCATAGCAAGTGAACCATTTTACATTCCCACCAACAGTGCACAGGAGTTCCAACTTCTCCACATCCTCACCAACACTTGGTTACCTTCTCTTTTGTTTTTTTCCAATAGCCATCCTAACGGTATGAAGTGGTGTCCCATTGTGATTTTAATTTGCATTTCTCTAATGACTAGTGAGATTGAGCATCTTTTCCTGTTATTGGCCATTTGTATATCTTCACTGGAGAAATGGCTATTCAAGTCCTATGCCCATTTTTCACTGGATTTTTGTTTTTATTGTTGAGTTGTAAGATTTTTCTAGATATTCTGGATATTAATCCCTTGTCAGATATATCATTTGCAAGTATTTCTCCATAGGCTGCCTTTTCACTCTGTTGATAGTGTCTTTTGATACACAGAAGTTTTTCATTTTCATTAAAATGTCATTAACTTAATTTCACTAAATTAATTTCATTAATTTCCAAGTCTAATTTGTCTATATGTTGGTGGTAGTGGTGGTGTTATATCTAAATCATTGCCAAATCCAGTGCTATGAAGTTTTGCCCTATGTTTTCTGCTAAGTTTTATAGGTTTAGGTCTTTATATTTAGGACTTTGACCCATTTTGAGTTCATTTTTACATACGGTGTTAGGTAGGGATCCAGCTTCATTCTTTTGCATTTGAATATCCAGATGTCCCAGCATGATTTGTTGAAGACTATCCTTTCCCTATCTTAGTACCCTTGTTGAAAATCATTTGACCATATATGCAAGGGTTTATTTCCAGGCTCTCTAGTCTGTTCCATTGGTCTGTATGTCTGTCTTTCTTTTTTCAGGAAAGTACAGTGTTCAAACTACACAGTCTTGATTACTGTGGCTTTGTTTTAAATTTTGAAATCAGGAAGTGAGAAGCCTCTAAGTTTGTTCTTTTTCAAGATGGTTTTGGCTATTAGGAGTTCCTACAGATTCCATATGAATTTTAGGATGGGTTTTATCTTCCTTTCTTTTTTATTTTTTTTATTTTTTTTTTTGAGACAGAATCTTGCTCTGTCGCCTAGGCTGGAGTGCAGTGGTGCAATCTCGGCTCACTGCAACCTCTGCCTCCCAGGTTCACGCCATTCTCCTGCCTCAGCCTCCTGAGTAGCTGGGACTACAGGCACCCGCCACCACGCCTGGCTAATTTTTTTTATTTTTAGTAGAGACAGGGTTTCACCGTGTTAGCCAGGATGGTCTTGATCTCTTGACCTCGTGATCCACCCATCTCGGCCTCCCAAAGTGCTGGGATTACAGGCGTGAGCCACCGTGCCCGGCCTTTTTTTTTTTTTTTTTAAACTAGACACAGGGTCTCCCCTGTCACCCAGACTAGAGTTTAGTAGCCTGATAATAGCTCACTGCTGCCTCAAATTCTTGGGCTCAAGTGATCCTCCTGCCTCAACCTCTAAAGTACCTATGACTACAGACATGTGCTACCACACCTGGCTTTTTGTTGTTGTTGTTGTTAAAGCTAGGGTCTCGTTATATTGCCCAGGCTGGTCTTGAACTCCTAGGCTTGGCAAAATATTGGGATTACAGGCATGAACAACCGAACCTGGCCTGTGATAGGTTTTTATATTTCTAAAAAAACACTGTTGGGATGTTAATAGGATTGCATTGCCTCTGATGACCACTTTGGGTAGTACTGACATGTGAACAATATTAAACTTTCCAACACAGGATGTCTTTCCATTTAATTGTGTCTTTAAATGGATATAATTGAACACAGGATGTCTTTCCATTTAATTATGTCTTCTTTAATTTCTTTCAACAATATTTTGTAGTTTTCTGTGTACAAGTCTTTCACCTCCTTGGTTAATTCCTATGTATTTTATTCTTTTTGATGCTATTTAAATGAAACTGCTAATTTCCTTCATGAAGTGTTCACTGCTAGTACTATATAGAAATGCAACTGATTTCTGTGTGTTGATTTTGTATTTGACAACTTTGCTGAATTTGTTAATTATTCTGTTTTTATAGAATCGCTATAAGATCATGTCATTGGTGAAAAAATATAATTTTACTCCCTATCCAATGTGGATGCCTTTTATTTTCTTGTCTAATTGCTCTGGCTAGGACTTTCAGTACTATCTTGAATAGAAGTGGCAAAAGCGGGTATCTTTGCCCTGTTGCTGATCTTTGGGGAAAAGCTTTCAGTCGTTCACCATTGAGTGTGATGTTGGCTGTGGGTTTTTCATGTATGGGCTTTATCATATTGAGGAAGTGTCTTTCTGTTCCTCGTTTATTTAGTATTTTTATCATGAAAAGGTGTTGAATTTTGTCAAGTGCTTTTTCTGTATCAATTGAGATGATCATGTGTTTTTTCCCCTTCTTTCTAATGTGGTGTATTACATTGATTTCAATGTATACATTTTTTCTTTTTTCTTTTTTTATTGAGATAGGGTCTCGCTCCATCACTCAGCCTGGACACAGCTCGCTGCAGCCTCAATTCCTGGGCTCAAGTGATCCTACCCCCTCGGCCTCCCGAGCAGCTGGGACAACAGGTGTGTGCCACCACATTGGCACTTTTTTCTTTTTCTGTAGAGACAGGGTCTCCCTATGTTGCCCAGGCTGGTCCCAAACCCCTGGGCTCAAGCAATCCTCCCACCTTGGCCTCCCAAAGTACTGGGATTATAGGTGTGAGCCACCACACCCGGCTTCAATGTATATATTTTTAAATGATTTTAGGCCATGTGTGGTGGCTTATGCATGTAATCCCAGCACTTTGGGAGGCTAGGGTGGGAGGATTGATTGAACCCAGGAATTCGAGACTAGACTGGACAACATAGGGAGAGCCCATCTCTAAAACAAAACAAATTTTAAAATTAGCTGGGCATGGTGTTGTGCACCTGTGGCCCCAGCTACTCAGGACGCTGAGGCAGAAGGATTGCTTGAGTCCGGGAGGTTTGGGGCTTCAGTGAGCTATGATTGTGCCACTGCACTCCAGCCTGTGCAAGAGTGAGACCCTGTCTCAAATTAAAAAAAAAAAAATGTGGAACTGAATCCTTTCGTATCCATCAGAGGCCCCAGTTTCATTCCCAGAAAGGAGTCTCCTTCCTGCCCTGCTGGTGGGGCTGCACCCTACTTGACTCCTTTGGATACTTCAGACACCCTTCCATCTTAGCCAGGGCAGGGAGGTGGCTGGGCACCCAAGCCTGGTGACCCTGGGGCTGTTTGCGCTTCACCCCTTAGAAACCAGTGTTCTCTTTGTGGGTTTCCTTCCATTCTTTAGTTTTGTTTTAATTAAAAAACAATTTTTTTAAAGGCAGGGTCTCTGTTGCCCAGGCTGAGTACAGTGGCACGATCATAGCTCACTGCAGCCCCAAACTCCTGGGCTCAAGTGATTCTCCTGCCTCAGCCTCCTGAGTAGTGGGGACCACAGGTGTGTACCACCATGTCTGGCTAACTTTTTAAATTTTTGTAGAGGTGGAACTCACTCCATTCTTTTTTATTTTTTTTAATTGAGGTAAGACTTAAGTCTCAGGTACGAACAACAACAAAATTGAGGTAAGATTTACTACAATGGAAGGCACGGATCTTTTATATTTTTAAAAAATGTTATCAGGCAGCCTCCCAAACCAGAATAGGTTTGGAGAGACTCCCAGAATGCACAGATCTTAACAGCAGGGTTTCATGACTTTTGTATGTGCAGACCACTGCCACATACGAGTAAGCTACGGAACACTCCTTTCCCTGAAAGCACCCACAGGCCCGTTCCTCACAGGCACCGTTCTGATTTCTACTCCATCCCTTTATTTTGCTCACTCTGGAACTTCTCACAAATGGAATGCTACAGTATAGACTCTTGAGTCTGGCCTTTTCCAGTCAATACAGCATTTGCAAGATTCATCAATGTTGCGGTCACATGTGTCTCATTTGTTTTTTTGTTTTTGTTTTTCTTAAGCACAGTGTGATAGTAAATCTCATTTGTTCTGAGTGCTGTGTAGCATCTCATTGCATGACTACAGTTTGTCTGTCCATTCTCTCTGTCTCTTTAATTTTTTGTAGAGATGGGGTCTTGCTTGTTGCCAAGGCCAGTCTCGAACTCCTGGTCTCAAGTGATTTGCGCGCCTCGGCCTCCCAAAGTGCTGGGACTACAAGTGTGATCCACTGTGCCAGGCCCCTGTTCTCTTATTGATGGACATTCTTGTGATTTCTGGTTTGGAACCATTATGAATAAAGCTGCTCTCAGCATTCTTGAACAAGTTCTTTTTGTTCACCTAAGGTTTCATTACTTCTGGGTAAATATCTAAGAGTGGACTTGCTGGATCATAGGGTAGGTGCATATATTTAACTTTATTTATTTGTTTATTTTATTTTGAGACAGAGTCTGTAGCCCAAGCTGAAGTGCAGTGGCACAATCTCAGCCCACTGCAACCTCTGCCTTCTGGGTTCAAGCAATTCTCCTGCCCCAGCCTCTTGAGTAGCTGGGATTACAGGCATCTGCCACCATGACCGGCTACTTTTTGTATTTTTAGTAGAGCTGGGGGTTTCACCATGTTGGCCAGGCTGGTCTCGAACTCCTGACCTCAGGTGATCCACCCACCTTGGCCTCCCTAAGTGCTGGGATTACAGGCATGAACCACCACGCCTGGCCAATACATTTAACTCAACTTTATATGAAACTGCCCTCTAGGCGCAGTGGCTCATGCCTGTAATCCCAGCACTTTGGGAGGCCAAGGCCGGGCAGTTCACGAGGTCAAGAGATCGAGACCATCCTGGCGAACATGGTGAAACCCTGTCTCTATTTAAAAATATAAAAATTAGCTGGGCATCGTGGCACACGCCTGTAGTCCCAGCTACTCGGGAGGCTGAGGCAGGAGAATCGCTTGAACCCGGGAGGTGGAGGTTGCAGTGAGCCGAGATCGCACCACTGCACTCCAACCTGGGTGAGAGAGTGAAACTCCATCTCAAAAAAAAAAAAAAGAAGAAACTGCCAAGAGCGTTTCACAGTAGCTGAAACTCATCTTTCCTGCAGCATTGTATGTGCATTCCAGTTGTCAGTTGTTCCACATCCTCACCACACTTGCTATTGTCAATCTTTTACATTTTAATCATTCTGGCGGGAATGGAGTGGTATCTCATTGTAGTTTTGATTTGCATTTTCCTGGTAACTAATGATGTCCATGATTTTATGTGGTTGTTTTTCACCTTCTATTAATTTGCAAGAGCCTTGGGGGGTGTTTTGTTTTGTTTTGTTTTGTTTTGTTTTGTTTGTTGTGTCTCGCTGTGTCTCCCAGGCTGGAGTGCAGGGGCGCAATCTCCAGTCACTGCAACCTCCGCCTCCCAGGTTCAGGTGATTCTCCTGCCTCAGTCTCCTGAGTAGCTTGGATTACAAGTGTGCGCCACCACACCCGGCTAATTTTTTAGTAAAGACGGGGTTTCACCATGTTGGCCAGGTTGCTCTCGAACTCCTGACTTCAAGTGATCCACCCATCTCAGCCTCCCCAAAGTGCTGGGATTACAGGTGTAGGCCACTGTGCCCGGCCAAGAGTTTTTGCATATATTCTGAATAAAAGTCTTTGTCAGATATAAATATTGCAAACACTCTTTCCTAATCTGTCACTTGCCTACTCGCTTTCTTGATGTGCCCTTTTGAAGAGCAAAACTTTTACATTTGGATGCCTGTGCTTTTTGTGCCCTAAGAAGCTTTGCTACCTGAACGTTATGAAGGTTTTCTTCTGTTTAGTTTTGGAAGTTCTATTATTTTCACTTCTACATGCAGGTCTGTGGTGTATTTTGCATTGATTTTCATGTGTGATGTGAGTCAAAGTTTGTTTTCTCCTTATGGACATCCCATTGTTTTAGCACCATTAATTAAAAGGACTGTCGTCTTCTCCATTGAATCACCTTGGCACTCTTGTTAAAATCCAGGTACTACATTTGTGCGGATCTACTTCCGGACCCCTATTGTGTTCCACTGATTTTTGTCCTCAGGCCCAAAGCATACCGTATTCATTATTGTAGCTGGCCAGGCACAATGCTCACGACTGTAATCTTTGGGAGGCCAAGGTGGGAGAATCACTTAAGGCCAGGAATTTGAGACCATCCTGGGCAACATAGCAAGACTCTGTCTCTATAAACAAAATGATAGCTTTATAGTAACACTTGAAATTAGATAGTGTAAGTCCTCCAACTCTGTTTTCCTTTTTCAAAATTGTTTTGGCCATTCTAGTTCTTCTGCACATACATGTAAACTTTGTAATCAATCTGTGAATTTCTATAAAAATAATCAGCCTGACAATTGCTCATGGGATTTTGATTAAGATTTTGTTGAATCTATAAATTTGGGGACATAGAACATCTTAAAAATATCTCATCTTTCAATCCTTGAACAGATTACATCTCTTCATTGATTTAGGTCTTCATTAATTTCTTTTCTTTTTTCTTTTTTTTTTTTTTTGAGACAGGGTCTCACTCTGTTGCCCAGGCCGGAGTGCAGTAGCACAATCTCGGCTTACTGCAACCTCCACTTCACAGGCTCAAACGATCCTCCTGCCTCAGCCTCCCAAGTAGCTGGGACTACAGGCATGTGTCACCATGCCTGGCTAATTTTTGTATTTTTAATAGAGATGGGTCTTACCATGTTGTCCAGGCTGGTCTTGAACTCCTGGACTCAAGTGATCTGCTTGTCTCGGCCTCCCGAAGTGCTGGGATTACAGGCATGAGCCACCGTGCCCGACCTTAGGTCTTCATTAATTTCTTTCAGGAATGTTTATAGTTTGCAGTGCATAGGTTTGGGCATGTTTTATTAAATTTATCCCTACACATTTTATGTTTTTTGATGCTACTGTAAATGGTACTTTTAACCACCACATGTCCTCACTCATATGTGGAAGGTAAAAAAAATGATCTCACATTAGTCAAAAGTAAAACAGAGGCTATTAGAGCTGGGGGAAGGGAGGGAGAGAGAGAGACGTGTTGAAGGATACAAAATTCCAGCTAGATGGGAGGAATACATTCTAGTGTTCTACACCACTGTAGGATGACTGCAGTTAACAAAAATGTATAGTTTCAAATAGCTAGGAGGAGGATAGCAAATGTTCCCTAACGCAAAGAAATGATAAGCGCTAGAGATGATGGATAAGCTAGTTGACCGGCATCTAATCACCACACATTGTATGTATTGAAACATCACTATGTACCCCATGGGTATGTGTCATTATTTGTCCATTTAAATTGTTTTAAATTTCACTTTCTGGTTGTTCATAGCTAATATATAAAAGTAGATTTGACATTTTCCCTTGAGTTCCTGCTAAATTCACGTATTAGGTCTAGTAGTTGTCTTATAGATTCCTTAGGAGTTTCCATGTCCATGATCGTGTCATCTACAATTAAAAACAATTGCGCTTTTCTTTCATATATATATGTTCATTTGTATATGACATTTGCATATTGATTTACCTATAATGTACATATGATGTGTACACATATGCATACATATCTATACAGGATTTTTTTGCCTATGTCAGTGGCCAGGTCCGTCAGTGACAATGTTCAGTGAAAGTGGTGTGAGTGGGCGTCCTTGACGTGTTCCTGATTTTAAGAAAGCGTTTGGTCTTTCACAATTAAGTACAGCGTAAGCTGTAGATGTTTCTCCTAAATGCCTTTTTATCAGGTTGAGTGAGTTTCCTTTTCATTTTAGTTCCTAGAGAGTTTTATTTTTTCGTAAATGGGTGTTGAATTCGGTCAAATGCTCTTTCTCTGTTGATATGATCACGGTATTATTCTTTGTCATTCTGTTAATGTGATAAATTACGTTGATTAAATGTTGGCTGTGAAATTGTCTTGCATTCCTGGGATAAATTCCATGTGGTCATAATGAATGCTTTGTACGTGTTGCTAAGTACAATTTGTTCACATTTTGTTAAGGACTTTTGCGTCTGTATTCTTGAGGGATGATGCTGGCCTCATAAAATGAGTTTGGAGGTGCTTCTCCCTTCTCTATTTTCCTAAATAATTGGTGTAATATTGGCATTATCTCTTCCTTAAATGTTTGATCAAATTAACCAATGAAACCATCTGGGCCTGGAGTTTTCTTTATGGGATAGAATTTAATTATTTTAATAGATATAGAGCTACTCATATTTTCTGCTGCTTCTTGTGTAAATTAAGGAATCTGTCTAGTTCATCTAAATTTTCAAATTTAGTGAACTAAATTTGTTCATATTGATTTATTCTCCTTTTAATGCCAGTAGTCTCTGTAGCAGTATTTCCTCTTTCATCTTTGATATAGGTAATTTTATGGCTTTTTATTTTCAAATAACCAACATTTTACCTTACTGGTTTTCTCCATTATTTGTTTCCTATTTTATTGATTTCCACTTTTATGTTTATTTCCATCCTTCTATTTACTTTGGTTTTAATTTGAACTTCTTTTTCTGTTTTTTGTGTTTTGTGTTTTTTTTTTTTTTTTTTTTTGAGACAGAGTCTCACTCTGTCGCCCCGGCTGGAGTGCAGTGGCGCATTCTCGGCTCACTGCAAGCTCTGCCTCCGGGGTTCATGCCATTCTCCTGCCTCAGCCTCCCAAGTAGCTGGGACTACAGGCACCACCACCACGCCCAGCTAATTTTTTCTGTATTTTTAGTAGAGATGGGGTTTCACCGTGTTAGTCAGGATGGTCTCGATCTCCTGACCTTGTGATCTGCCTGCCTCGGCCTCCCAAAGTCCTGGAATTATAGGCATGAGCCACTGCGCCCGGCCCTTTTTCTGGTTTCTTAAGGAGGTTGCTTAGGGCATAGATTGTAAACCTTTCTTCTTTTTTAACATAAGTATTTAAAGCTATAAATTTCCCTCCAACCACTGCCTTAGCTACGTTCTAGAAATATTGATGTGTTATTTTTTCATTGTCATTTAATTCAAAATATTTTCCAATTTCTCTTATGAGTTCGTCTTTGATTCTTAAGTTATTTAGAATGTGTTGTATAATTTCCCAGTTGGGAGCATTGCCAAGCTATCTTTTTATGATTGATATTTATTATTGTTGTTATGTCCTAGTGTATGGTCTACTTGGTGAAAGTTCCATGTGCAACTGAAAAGAATATGAAGTGTGAAACGTATGTGAAGAATGATGGTGGGACTCTGGTATAATCATCTTGGAAAAAGTATTTGTCATTCTTGTGTTAAACATATACCTACCTATGACCTAGCCATTTCACTCGTAGATGTTCATCCAAGAGAACTGAAAATGTATGTCTACACAGAAAGTTTTACATTAACATTCATTGTAGCTTCATTTGTAATAGCCAAAAACAACCCACCAGTAGGTGAGTGGATAAACAAAATTGGCGTATCTATACAATGGACCACCACTTACCAAAAAAAACAAAAAAGAAAAAAAAAACAGCTCCTGATACTGGCTTTTTAGATGTACCTCTTTGTATTTTAGTGGTTGCTCTAGAAGTTTACATTGTACATCTTTATTATAACCTACTTACTGTATATCTTTATTATAACCTACTTACTACCTACACCTTATATGTACTACTTCCCATTAAGTGTAAGAACCTTGCATCTGTATAATTAATTCCATTGGCAACCATGTTTTTGCTATTGCTGTCATATGTTTTTCATTAATATAAACCCAAATATACATTGTTATAATTCTTAAGTAATCAGTATTGTTTAAAGAAAATAAGAGAAGGAAAAATACGGTATTTTTCTTTACCTGTATATTCCCACTTCCTGTACCCTTCATTTCGGTCTGTCCATCTAAGTTTCCATCTGGGAAAATTTCCCTTCTGCCTGCAGAACTTTTTACTGCAGTTTTTGTAGTGCAGGTCTGCTGGTAAGGAGTGATCTTGGCTGACTTTATCTGAAATGCCTTTATGTCTGTTTAGGGTTTGAAAAGTAGTTCACTGCACATAGATCTTGGAGTTGCCTTCTTTTTTTTTTTTTTTTTTTTTTTTAAGACGGGGTTTCACCATGTTGGCCAGGCTGGTCTCAAACTCCTGACCTCAAGCGATCCGCCCACCTCGGCCTCCCAGAGGGCTGGGATTACAGGTGTGAGCCACTGTGCCTGGCCCGGAGTTGGCTTTTTCTTCTTTCTGCCCATACACTTTTTTCTGATGGGAAGTTGCCAGGCGTGTACAACATGTCCCGGCTGCTTTCAAGGTTTTCTCTTAATCTTGGGGTGTCCAAGAGTTTGACTGTGATAGGCCTGGCTGTGTTTCTTTATCCTTATATTGCTTGGAGTTTGCTGTGATTCTTTGATGTTTGTCAACAAATTCATGAAACTTTAGGTCATTGTTTCTTCAGTTTTTTTTTCCTGCCTCATTCTCTCTCCTCTCCTGAGACATCAGGATGTGAGTTGTTTTAATATTGTCGCTCAGGTCCCTAAGGCTGTTTTTTCATTGTTCTTTTTAATCTTGTTACTCTCTATACTTTTGATTGGAGAACTTTTTAAAAATCTCTCTTCAAGTTCATTGACCCTTACTTCTGCCATCTCCAATCTCTTCTTAAGAATACAGTCCATCCAGTTAAATGTCCAATTTTCACTTGTTATTTTTACCTTTACTTTTTGTCCTAGAATTTTCCTTTCTTTTTTCTTTGAGATGGGGTCTCCCTGTGTTGCCCAGGCTGGAGGTCATGCATGCAGTGGTGTGATCATAGCTCACTGCAGCCTCGAACTCCTGGGTTCAAGTGTTCCTCCCACCTCAGCCTCCTGAGTAGCTTTCAAGAGTGAGCCACTGCGCCCTGTCAACCATGGACACTTAAAAACAGAAAACATAGCATAAAGCCTTCATGCCATGCTTTACAGCCATGCTTTGAGCACCTACTATGTGGCAGGTACCATGCTGGGGACAAAAATGTGAAGAAGGGAGGCCCCTGCAGGGCAAGAGAGAAAGACAGGCTTTAGAGTAATCAAGAAACAGCATTCTGTGGGAGCCCTAAGCGGGTGCCTCATCTTGCCAGCTGACAGGGAGGACTCCTGGAGGGGAGCCTGTGTGTTGAATCTTAACCAATGAGGGGGCATTAGCCAGGGCAGAAAGAGGAAGGCACAGCTTTGGGCTGAGGGAACAGCATGGGCAAAGGCACAGAGGCCAGACAAGGCGGGTGCAGAAGAAAGTCCCAGGCAGGAGTAAAGGCAGTGTCCCCACCCACTGGGGGCCCCCACCGTGGTGGCTGTCTGGTCCTCACGGCGGCCCTCCGCGGGTGGGGTGGGATCAGAGCTTGTCTGAGCTGGTGAAGGCGGGACTCATCCCTGCTGTGTCTGGGCCTCCTGGTGCGGTCTTCCGCCCTGACATGCCTGGGCACCTGGGAGCTGACAGGTACAGCACCTTTCCAGAGATGTAAGGCACTGGATGGGAGACTCTGATCTGTAAAGAACTGGCTGATGGGAAGCGCCTGCTGCATTGATATGGCATCTCCGCCCCACCGAGGCTTTGAAAATCAAATACTCCCCAAGCTATGGAAACCCAACCACAGGCGGACTGTTAGGACTTTATTATTATAATCACTCGGCCCAATTCCAGCCACCGCGGGCAGAACAATGAGCCATTGAATCCTTGCAGAGGTCTCGCCTCTCCCATGGGCAGGGACCCGGTGCTGAGGCCTTGGCAGGGAGGGTGGTGGCAGGCCTGTGCGCTACTGCACAGCCCGGGGGCCCGTGGGGGGTCTGGGCTTCGGTCTCCTCACTCATCGAGCAGGAGGCCTGAAGAGAACACATCCGGATGGTGCTGCACTCTCCTGACATTCTGTCCCACATTGTGACCCTTGTAGGTCAGGAACTAACTCTGCTTCAGGGAGACCATGATGCAGAAGACACCAGCGTCCTTCGCAGTCCTCAGCATGCATGGCCTCGCCTATATAATCACAAAAAGGGAGCCTGTGGGGTGTTCCCGCCCCAAGCTGGGGTGCCTAGTATAGGGGTGGCCCTGGGAGTCCCAGCTGGGTCAGAGGCCAGCAGCCAGGGTAGAGGGCTGGGCACAGTTGGCTGCACCCCCAGCTGCTGAGTTACAAGGCCACACCACCTCCTGCCGGTGGCTCCACTTTATTCTCAAGCATTTGGTGTTATTTGATCACCAGTTATAAGCCAAAAAGATTCCAGTTTTAATTAGGGGGGAAAAGTTCCATTCTGTGGAACCGCAAGGCCCCATGATTGTCCCACGAAACCCTAGAGGCCAGGACCTCGCCAGGCTTGAGCCAGGTCTGCCCTGCCCTTCGGTCCTGCTTCACCGGCACCGCTGGCTTTGCATCTCCATGTCCTGAACACACTTGGGTTTGTTGGGCCTGGATTTTCACTCCTGTGGGTGCCCAGCCCTCTGCCCTGCCCCTGTGAGAGTCAGCTACCAACCAAAAGGCACAGCGGGGGAAGTTCTCTTCTGTCTCCAAAGAGTCTCTGCTTGTCCCCCTCACTGGGAAGTAAGGGAAGGCTCTGGGAACGCCAGCTTGGGTTTTGGGATTAGGGTAACCTGAGCACCGTACACCATGTCAGGGCTGGGATCAGGCAGGCTCGGGCCTAAGATGCTTTGCTGGGCCCCACAGACGGCCCCCTCGCTGTCCTCATAGGCACACAGGATTGGCTGGGGGCCAGGACAAGCAGGGCTCCAGAACCCTCTGGCGGCAGGACCAGAGGTCAGGGAGATTTGAGGGAGTTAGGCCACGCCTCGAGAGCAGGCATAGGGGAAGATGAGGGACAGAAGGGTGGTCAGGGTGCGGCAGGAGTGAGGCTCGGCTGCATCTGCAGGACAGCACCAAGGGCCCACGGGCACCAGGCCCAGGTCTGAAGCTGCAGCCCTGACGGTTCCCATGATCAAGTGTGCAGGGATTAAGGAGCAGTATCTGGAAAATGGGCCCACAGTCTTGCCTCTCTCTCCCAGGGTTGCCCAGAAGACCCATCCAGGGTGTTGACAGCAGCAATCACTGGCATTTAGTGCATGGACTTGGCCGCAGGGCGTAGGCACCGTGTGGGTTGTCGTCCTCCACTCCTGGCCAGTGCAGGCAGTCTCGGCTGCTGTCGCCTGTATTCCCTGACGACCCGTAGTGCCAGCCCGAGCTGGATGCTGTCACCGCCTGACGGAGCGCAGGGTGTCTGTGGCAAGTCCTCAACTCTTGGCCAAACTTCACCCTGCATGGTGGATTCTGGGAACAGAAATCGATGATGCCAGCCACGCCTGCCGGGCTTGGAGGTGGGCCCTGTGGCTGACGCTCAGGGGGCTGCTGCAGGTGAGGCCCAAGGAGCGCCCAGGTGTCCGGGGTCCCATCCCTCCCACACTCTGCCTCCCAGAACCCCGTCGGGGCTGCATCACATCCATTTCCTGGGTTATCAGTCTCGTGGCAGCTCTTGCCTGTTGAAGAATCTTCTGTCCAGCTATTTCCCAAGCTGAACATTCCAGGTTGTGGCTGGACAGGCCCTTGCCCGCCTGCCCCCAACCCTGAGCTCCTTCCTTCACTAGCCCACCAGCAGCTCGGCTCCCTGCAGCCGGCCCCGTGGGACCTGGTCTGGGCAGGGGCACAGCAGAGCTGGGATCTGCACAGCACTGGAGCACTGGATCCTGCCTGGAAGAGCACAGCCCAGAAGCCCCAAGCACAGGGGGGAGGCCCCTCAGCCCGGGCGCAGAGGGACATGGGAGCACACGGAGCCAGTTCCTCCCTGCCTGCCTTCTGCTCGGGGTGGCAGCCAGGACGCCAGCGTGTACCTCTTTATGCCCCTGCCTGGTCCAGGAAGAACCTCAGGCAGCTTGCAGGGCCATGCAGTGCCCAGCCAGAGAGCCCAGCTCGAAGATGGTGGTAGAGGAAGGAGACCAGGCTGGGCATAGGATGCTCCCGTGCCAGGCTCTGTTGAGCTCTGGGCTTCCGCTGGGAGGGCTGGGGAGGGGAGGGCCAGGGAGACAGAGGTGGGCTAGCCCAAGGACGCAGCCTGGGGGCCCATGGGAGGGGTCTTGTGGGCCAGTGGCCCTACCAGGACGGGCGTGGGGCTGCTGCCTAGGGCTCCATGGAAGCCCAGGGAGTGGGATCTGGAAGTCTCTCTCAGCAGCTGGCTGGCTCTCTGGCCTGGCCAAGCAGGCAAAAGTAGGGGCCAAGGTGCTGGGTGGATGGGCTGCGGGGTCCCTGGTGGCATGGGGGCCCACGTCCAGGCCCTGCTAGAGCAGTCCCAGGTGGGGGGTAGCTGGGTTGTGGAGAGGGACACCACCCCAGCACACTCCCATTCTAGTCTTCGCCCCATGTGAGTTGGGCTGAGGCCCCCACATGGGCTGGGAGGTCCACAGCCTGTGCATTTGGGGCCAGGAGAGGGCATCTTCCTCTACTGCCCAAGAGTAAGACCTGGCCCAGGCCCATCTGGATGGAGAGGCAGTTCAGAGGGAGATGCTTCCTGATGGGGCGCCCTGTGCCTGGGCCTTAATACCTGTAGGGGCTGCACCACCTGCCCTGGCCACTGATGCTGGCCCGCTGGCCTTGGGTGTAGACCCCCTGCTGCTTCCTGCTCCAGAGGGTGGGGATCCCCGTGTCTGGCAATGAATGACCCACACCAACCCTCCTGGACCCTGACTAGGCCCAAGGGTGGGAAGTGGCGATGAGTGAGGGCAGGTGGGCAGAGGCCAGCAGGTCTCATCAGGCTGGGCGGGAGGATCTCTTGCCCAGGACAGGGGCACTCAGGGACCCTGGGGAGGAGAAGTGGCTCCCAGAGGGACACGGGGTGGGGCAGCAGCCTGGGACCGAGACCAGGAGGCTCAGGTGGCTCTGAGCTCTGGGAGGCAGGAGTGGCCCCCACCCACCAGCCCAACGCAGACACCAACACGCTTCTCATGCCACCCACTGAAGCCAGGTGCCAACCTGTGCTCTCTTGGGGAGGGATGTGAGCATGGGGCGGTGACGCCACTAGGATGGAGCCTCAACCCGAGGTGGCCCAGGCACCTGGAGCCTCAATAGGGCCTGGAGGGGTTAGTGTGGCCTCATGGCCCTGCCCCGATGAGCACACTGCCCAGCCACCTCAGGGCATCCCTCATTAAAGGTCTTGGGTCACCTCCAGTTCTTGCCCAGTGTGTGAGGGGTAGGTGGGGGCCTCAGGCCTGCCTCTGGGTCCTGCTTCAACCTGGGGAGGGGACCAGGGCCCAGTGCCCAGGCACTGGCGGCACCTCCAAGCTGCTGCACTGGGGCTGGAGTGGCCGTGGGCCAGGTAAGGCAAGCAGGTGTCAGCCGAGGTGAGCTCATGTGCCAAGACCCTGTGGGAGGAGCCCAAACCCGAGGCCAGGAAACAGGTGCTCTCAACTGCAGCCCCACCAAACTGCAGCCCCACCTGACGCTGCTGCTCTCACAGGGGCAGCCCTGCCTGAGGGCCTAGCCAGCACTAAGGTCACCTCACGGCCAGGAGAGCAGGGCCGAGGTGCCCGATGGCTGCCAAGTGAGGCTAGGGCCAAGCAAGGGTGCAGCATGCTCAGGGAGGGGGCTGCAGTCTGAGCATCTCAGTTACCCCTCCCCTTGAGCTGATGACCCCTGCTGTACCCCCTGTCCACTCCTCAGAGCCCTGCCAGGCCCTGCCCTCCCCTGCTGCCCCGCTGTGGCCCTCGAAGCCCTCCATAACTGTGTGTCCCCTCCCCTGCATGTGGACCACCCAGGGGGCCTGGGGAACTGCCCAATGTCACTCAGGGGTGTTGGGGGCAGGAGAGGGTGACACTGCCCCATGCAGGGTGTGGCAGAGAGGGGCCACTCAGCCTCGCTGGGCAGCACCCCCCGCCCACTTCTCCTGCTCCCACGTCTTTGCGAGATCCGGTGCCACAGCAGAAGTGTGGAGGATGTCGCCGGGGGTAATTGCAGGTTACACAGAACAATCTGAGGAATTAAAGTCATATTTTTATTGCACCATAAAAACATGTGAAGGCGGCAGGACGGCGGCCGCGGGGCCAGGCGGAGAGCACCCGGCTCTGGCCCCACCCTGCACTCCCTGGGCCGTCTCCAGGGAGACGCAGGATCGAAACCACTGTTGGCCCAGCACACCGGTCCCACGCTGGGCAAGGGAGACCGGGAGAGCGGCCGCTTTGCCCACATTGCCCTGCTGGGCCCTGGTTCCTGCCCTGGCTGTGCAGCTGCCTGGGTGGGGGCTCTGGGCCAGTGTCCCACCAGAGTAGTGAGGTGTGGGGATGGCCTGTGCCTGCGGGGTCCCCTGGGCCTGGTCTGCAGCCAGGTGCCTGCCAGTTCAGCACCGGCCCTGAGAGGGCCTGGGGCAGCAGTGCTGGCCTCTTTGTGGCCACTCTTCACCTGCAGCACCCATTGCTTGTAAACTGGGCTGGACCCCTGCCTACCACTTACCAGGAGGGTATGAGCCCCTGTGCAGCAGGAGCCCAAGGACCCACGGCTGCCTGGGATGTGTGTGGTGGATGTTTTGGTCCCTCCTAGGGGATGTGCAGGCCGGCTGAATGGGCCACACAGCGTGGGAGAGCCGAGGTCACAGAGAGCAGGTGTGTGGTACACGGTGTGTTCTGGGAAGAAGGGGCACGCAGAGAAAACCACCTGGAGGGGCCAGTGGGGACATGGACGTGTGGGTGGCTCTCAGGCCACCAGCAACAGGTACTCCTGGTCGGCTGGGCAGACAGGGAGGCAAGAGGCCCTCCCGGCAGAATGCGGCCCAGTGTGTAGTGCGGGCTCCACACAGCTGCATCCTCTCCATCACCACAAAAGCACCAAGGCCATTTCAAGCTTTCCCCATGCTCCCTGGCAGGGGCTGATCCCAGGGCCAAGGAATCCACAGGCCCTCTGCCCCCTTCCTGGCTGCTGCCCAGAGCCACCCCCCAGAGCCCAGGCAGCAGGTGTAGGCTGACCTCCCAGCCTGGCGGTGCCTCCACGGCAAAAAAAACTTGCAGGCCTAGAGGCGAGCCCCACCCACAGGATCCGGCCCAGGCATGCCACCAGCCGTGTGTTAAATGGGACACGGCTGATCTAGAGCTGCACTTGTGGGAGGGCCTGGCCCAGCACTTGGCATCTTAAGTGGGCGTCTGAGAGCTCACGCGCACGTTTCACACAGCAAGTCGGGCTCCTGCAGGCCCATTAAGGTGCAAAGGCATTCCTCTGTGTGCTGACAAGCAGGGTCCCATCCACGGCTCCGGGCCGGCAGACTAAGTGATGTTTTCTTAAGGAAGACACGCGATTAGCCACAGCTAAAGCCCCAGCACAATGCAGGGCCCGGCCATGGCTGTCAGCGCTGTCTCTCGGCAGTGACTGACAGGCACTCCCCAGCCCATCAAGCCTCAATGCACAGGATTAGCCTGACGCAGCCGACAAGCTGACTTGGAGGGCCACGGTGGAAAACCGGCAAAGTGACTGACATCCGGGGACAGAGAGCCTCACACAGCCCTGCTACCTCCTGTCATGGGCCTGCCTGCTGGCGGGCTGTTCCAGAACAAAGCCGGTGTTGCCGCCCCTCCCAAGAGCCTCCCTGGCACTGGGCTGCCCTTCTTGCTTCAAGGTGCAGAGACCTAGGCAGAGGGTCCCAGGAAAAACCCTCAGTGGGCGTCTTCAGGCCAGAGGCCAGGCAGCTGTGGGGCAGGTGGGGCGGCTCCGCCTCCTGCCTAAGTGGGGTCCCTAGCACTGCAAGTCTGCTCCCCTCTGCCCAGGGCTGCTTGGAATTGTGCTCGGGGGTTCAAGGGGCCCCAGCGGACTCTGGGCTGCCCTGGATGGAAGCTACTCACGATTGAAGAGGGGCCTGGTGGCCTGGCCAGACCCCACCCACCTGGGCGATCCTGGGGGACCATCAGGGACACCGCAGGCAGAGCACACTTCAGAAAAAGTACCCTCTTTATTTGCATTGCAGAAATGCCAGGGGGCTCGGACATGGGTGCCCACAGGGTAGGTTTCCACCCAGGTCGTCATCATCTGGCACCAGGAGCCTGGGGGGGGGTGCCCGGCGGCAGAGGCTGAGAGGTGCAGGGGTGAGGTGGACAGTCCCCTGAGCCATCCCTGTGGGGCACACGGGCCACCTGTCCAGCACTTGCGCTCCACGCTGACCATCTCACAGGCGCTCCAGGAGAGGGTTGAGGCCCCCCAAACCTGGCCTGCAGCCATCCTGCCAACAACAGGAAGGTCAGCACAGGTCAGCCACCCACCCCTCACATCAGCCTAGCTATGTCTCCCACTGCCACACCCAGGGACCCCCAAGGGAGATGGGTGAGAAATAAACCCAGCAGAGAATGGCCCCACCCCAGGGCGATGCGTCACAGGGAGCGACGCGGTGCTACAAAAATATTTTGAAATGATAAAAATTTATAGCAGGCTCCTAACAAAACAGCTCTGGGAGGTGTAATGTTCTGATAAGAGTTTCCTCAGGATGCCCTTTGTTTATCCCTATCGAGCGCGGCCCCGCCGGGGGGAGGCGGCCACGGTGAAGCAGGGGGCCCTGAGTACCCCCAGAGAGGCCTCCCCAGAGCCCCTCGGCGCCATGCAGACCCTAGAGCCTGTCCACAGGCATCTTGGGGGGAGCCCACTGCTCTGCCTGGTCTCCACCTCAGCCCCGGGGGAGAGATGGAGCCCAAACACCCCAACCCTGGGAGGGGCTGACAGCCATGGGGGTGCCCCAGGTGGGCTGGATGGCACGGGCTGAGGGCCCACCCTGCCCCGGCCCCTGCCCTGCAGCCCAGGCCGGAGGATGCACTATTAGACCACGAGGCGAGGGGGCTCTGGCACAGGCATCCCTGGGGCAGAGGCCAGGAGCCCTTGCCAGTTTCTTCCTCCCCAGAAGAGGTCACGATGAACAACATGCCCCCCGGTCAGCCTGGCTCTGCAGAGCTGGAACAGAACCAGATGTGCAGGGCAGGCTGGGCAGGGCCGGCCATCACAGGGCAGCGTCTCCACCTTCTGGGAGATAGGGAAATGAGCGGGCGCTGAACTCTGCAGGAGCCAGGCCTTGGTGGGAGGCCTCGGTGGGAGGCCAGCTTCCCGACTGCAGCCCCCTGTGGGGCAGCAACTTGAGATGCCCGACTTTAGCCCACCCGGGACACCTTCCACGCCAACATCCACCTGGGATAGGCTGCTAAGGATGAGCCCCGTTTCTTGATACCTCCTGTGTGTGGGGAGCAGCTGTGGCCAGGCCGGGGTCTGGGGTCCCCCGGGGAGGTTTGGGCCCCTGGGAACTTCCCCTTCTGCCTGTCACCGCTGTGGCCTGGTTACAGGATGGAGCACCCATTCTGGGTGGCGTGGCAGGTGTAGCCTTGCTGTACACCTGGAGGGAGCCCATGGCCAGGGCTCCTGCACCCCTGCCACATGCCCTGTCCTCAAACAGAGCCAGCCCCACCTGCATACCTGGGTCTGGCCTCCGAGGAGCTGGCGGCGGGCGCACCGTGTGCCCTGGCCTGCAGGGATGGCGCTTACCCTCAGCAGCCTGTCACCGTGGGGTCCAGGCCTGAGCGCTTGGAGATGCGCAGCTTGACTACCTCCTCAGAGCATGTGGGATGGATACCCACGGTCCGCATCACCTGCGCATAGGAAGCCCCACACCTGCACATGGGGGATGGGGGAGGCAGGCGGGGTCAGCACAGGGAGGGGGGTCCACAGCATCCCACCCCCGGGAAGAGGAGGGCCTCAGAGGCTGCTGGTCTCCTCACTGTCCCCTGACCCCCAGCCAGCAGCCAGGACCCCTGCCCACACCCGTGGGTGCCATCCACCTCCCTCCCAGCAGATGCCTAGTGCTCGTCCAGCCCACCTCCCACCCAGCCACGCCCTGGCTTGCCCTGGCCTGGCTTCCTGCTGTTCCATCCTCCCCTGCTAGGCACAGTCCTGCCTTAGGCCTCTGCTCTCTGCTTTACCCACAGACAGCGCATCCTGGCCTCACCACACCACCACCTCCCAGGCCCCACATCCAGCCAGCCACCTCTCTCAGGCCATGCACAATGTCCCAACCTCCAACTACCCCTGTCAACCCACCCAGAGCCTTTGCCATGGCTTCCTTTGACCCCGGGACCCCGAAAACACACAGCCTGAGCCCAAGACCCAGGCAATGGCCCCAGCTCCAGAAGACACACAGCAGCCCTGGGGTGGCTCTCCAGGTACTGGCACTCTGCTCATGGTGGCGTGGTGCTTGGCCAGGTGGGCAAGGGCCCTAGCAGCGACCCGGGGCCACAGGGGACACCTCACCTGGCTCTGGCTGGCTCAACAGCGTCTGGCTGGGGCAGAACCGCCTCTTGTCCCCCTAAAACCCGCCCTGTCTGAGGGGCCTGAGGAATCTCTGCTGCAAACCCACGAAGGCCACATAAATGCCGCAAGAGTGGCAGCAGCTCTCCACTGTAGGACTGCCGGCACTCGAGGGATACCCAGCTGCACATCGCATCGCAGCCTGCATTCCTCGGGACTTACTTGATCCCCAGAGCAAATCCTTGAGTAACTTCGCCTGCGTTGGGGCCAAGGAAATGCAGGCCCAGCACCAGCTGTGGGGGCTCCCTCAGGCACACCATCTGAAAGCCGCACATCTCAGCCACCAGCCCAGGAGGGGGCTGGGTTGCGTCCACCCTGCATCCACCCTGCACCCTGCCTGGGAGGCATGGGTGGGGCCAGTCCTCGGGTGTTCACCCTGCCAGGCTCTTTGCCACCCTCCCTCTCATCCTCAGCACCCTGGGCCACAGGGATGCTCACCTTTACATAACACTGGGATGCATCTCGTCCAGCCACCGTGAACTCCAGTGGTTTATAATGGGCGTGATAGACCTGAGGACAGGATACCAACCCTGGATCAGTGCTGCGACAAACAAACCTCGTGGCACCTGCAGCTCCCACAGGCTGCATGGGCAAGGCAGGGTCATGGCGGGCAGGAACCATCCATCTGGCCTGAAGGTCTGGTCTGGGATGGGGATGAGGGCTTGGCTGGCCACGGGGTGTGTGCAGGCCCTCTCACGTGCAGGCAGCCAGTGGCTGGAGCCATGCTCTGCAGGACAGACCCTGTCCCACCCAGGCCTGGGACCCCCGTAAACCACAGCAGCAGAGCAGGCATCAGGCAATCCAAGCAGCCAGGCCAGGCACAGCAAACCTGGGTGGACGTAGCTCACCCACAACAAATGGTGGAGGCAAGAATGGGTGAGCAGGAGGCCACCTGGGCTCCCTCAGGCACCCTGGTGTTTGCTTGGCCCTCACTGGAGCAAGGCCGCTGTGGCCACACCGGAGCCGGAGCTGTTGGACAAAGGCTTTCAGCACCCCTGAAGGGCTCGACAGCGTGTCCGGGGCTGCGGCCAAGTAAAAAATGAGTGGGGCCCTCACATGTGCTGTACAGCCATTATTAATTAATGGAACTTCAGAGAATATTGTTCTAACTAAGACAGAATTGAAAAGAAAACAAACAGAGTATTTGGCCATTCAACATTGTGAAACATAAAACAACATTATAAAATGCCAGGAACATATGTCCCAGCACACTTGTGATGAATCAAACAAAAATAGCAAATAAAGTGCCTCGGGGAAGGCTGGCCTGTCAGGCCCGTCCTGTTGATGGAGAGTTCTGGGGTGCAGGGGGAAGGGGCCAGCCCTGGAGCCCAGTGTCTCATCCCCAAAGGCCGCAGGCCCCACCGCCCAGGCTGCAGGCTCCGGTTTCTCTGGGTGCCTGCAAGCTGCAGCGGCAGCAAGATGAAACCGCACCGAAGGCTTCCAGCTACCACGGCCCGGCAGGCTTCAGAGCCCCCGCATCCCTCCAGGCCACCCCGGAGCCACAGCCACCTGCCAGAGCAGACCCCCAAAGCAGGCTTGCTCGATGAAAACCCCTTTCCTCAAGGGTGAGTGCCTGAGCCTGGAAGAAGCTGGAAGAGGATGGGTATCAGGATGTGGTGGGGGGCGGGGGGCGGGGGGCTCTCGCCTGGGAGAAACCCTGGGCAGTCCAGGAAGACGAGGTGCAGGGTGGTGGGGGGGGTGGGGGTGGAAGCAGAGGTCGGAGGCCCCTGGGAGAAACTTTTCTGGGTAGAGTGAGATTCATGGCCCTGCAAGGTGGGGACAGCACAGAGGCATCTTCGGGGCCCTGGTGCTTTCAGGGACAAGCTGCTGTGTGCTGGAGTGGGGCCAGTGCTCAGCTGACCTCAGCAGGGGAGCGGGTGGCACCGTGGTGGTGACCCTGCTGGTGCTGGGCACCCCTGCAGCATGGCTGGGGTGGGGCTGGGGGCTTCTGGGCCACAGGGCTTCTCCTTGCCCTCAGAACAAGGCAGCCAAGGGCCTTCCCCTCACTGCTGTGACACATGGTGGCAGAGACCAGAGGCACCTAAGCCCAGTCACCCCAAGGCTGCCAAAGCCCAGGCACCCCCACTTCTGAGGCTGCCCCCAACGTGTCCCTTCCCGCTACACACAGCCACTGCTCAGGGCCCCTGGAAAGGAGAGACCTTGGCACCCTGCTCACAAGGCCTCCGCCCAGAGCATGGGGTGAGGTCGTGGAGTCGCCACTGTCCTCAGCTGTGCTGCTCCCAGGCCTCACCTCAACATGCTCCTGCCCGTGGCGAGCCACTGCCTCCTCCTCGGACAGCCCCACACAGCCATACTCCAGCGGGGTGAAGACGGTCGTGGGAACCTGAAAGCAGGTCTGGAGTCAGGGAGGGCCCTTGGGCCCCGAAAACCGAAGTTCCCCACTGCATGTGACACAAAGAGCAGCGATCACAGACCAGGACCAGATGCGCCCAGAGCAGGCTGCAAGCACAGTAGGCGACCCACCTGCCCACGCCTGCGCCACACTCTCAGAACTGAGCCACACACCCATGCATGCACACACACGTGTGTACAACACACCCACATAAGCGCACACACACGCATGCCCACATCTACATGCAGACACACAGCGCACAAAGGCCCCTCACCCCAGAAGAGCTAGCCTCGAACTCAGCCTGTCCTAGGCTGCACGTGGCGTCCTGCTAGAGAACTCACATTGTCGTAGTCCATCAGATCTGAGGACCCGCCGAAGAGCCGCTGCACCAGGAGCCTCCCGGCCATGATCGCTATGGGTGTCAGCTCAGGCCGCCCCTTGGGGAAGGCACAGGGGGGCCACGTCAGCACCATGTCCGGGGTTATATGCAGCCCCTATGCCATCACCCTTTGCCCTCCGAGTGGGCATCTCCCTTTAGAAAATCCCCAACACTGGCACCGAGCATGGTGACGTACAGCATTCCCCCTAGAGCTCGTCCTCCTGAGGGGCATCCCAAGGACCTAGGTAGGTTGCTCATTCTCCTGTTTGCTGCCCTCCACTCTGCCCTGGGAAAGGAGTCCGCTGCTGATGAGGCTGGCCGTGCCACCCTCACATGCTCAAGCCTTCTCTCCAAACCCCTTCTGCACATTGCTGACCTCGGAGGGCTGCCCCATGACCAAGCTCAAAAGAGCCCCTGCTACCGTTTTCATTCACTGGAATCCCCGGCTAAAAAGGGACCCCAAAGCGTTCCATGTGCTCCTGACGTGCAGCTTGATCTGCACGTCACAGTCCATAACAAATTCCAAATCAGAATGTCGCTGTGCTGGAGATCCCTCCGTCCCAGGGTGTGCCCAGCCTTGGGGGTTCCAGCACCGTCCTCTGGGATGGGCTGCCAATCACCATGGCAGCAGGAAATGCAGATGTTGTTTGGCATTCCAGAAATGCATAGAGATCCGTGGAGATAAACTCAGAGCGCAGCCTGCGCATTCCAGCAGGCCTGACTAACTACGGAAACATCCCGGCGGGCGGCGCACAGCACACAACATCTCATTAAACAATAGCCCCCGCCCCGCCCACAGGCTCTTCCCAGCCGCTCAAGGGACCACTGGTTGGGTGTTAACTCTTTGGACTATTCAGAACGACCTTTCTGACAGAGTGGATTTAATGTTTAAATAAAGAATGCCTTTGTGTGCGCCATGCATTTCTGGCAAAACGGTTTGAAATGTTCCAGTTTCCAACACAGGAGCCTGGGAGCTACACACTTGCAGAGGGAAAACTCAGATTCCCAGACAGAAGGGAGGCTTCCCGCTGTGCACAGAGATGCACATGGCACTGTCTCAGGGTGCAGCGCCCACAGGATTCAACAGACCCTGCAACCAGAGACCACTGCACCTACATGGTCCACAGGCAGAGGCTGCGCTTGCAGAAATCACTGAGCAGCTGAACCATCCAGCTAAGCAAGCTGGGGCTGCAGGGTGGCTGAGGCACATGGAGCCACATGCTCTGTCCACACAATCGGGTCGGCTAGATGGGCCCTACAGGACCCTGCAGGGTCTGCCTGGAGCCTCAGAGTGTGACCTTATTTGGAAATAAGATCTTTGCAGATACAATTAAGGTAAGGATGGAAATGAAGTCATCCTGGATTAGGGTGGACCCTAAGTCCAATTGCAGAGAAACTGTAAGAGGCAAATCAGGGCCCAGAGACACACCCAGGAGACTGTCACATGACGATGAGGCAGAGAGAGGAGTGATATAGCCACAACCCGAGGGACGCCTGGGGCATCCTACCCCAGAGGCTTCCGAGGGAGCCTGGCCCAGCTGACACTTTCTGACATGGAGTCTCGCTCTGTCACCCAGGCTGGAGTGCAGTGGCACAATCTTGGCTCACGGTAACCTCCGCCTTCCTCCTCCCGAGTTCAAATGATTCTCCTGCCTCAGCCTCCCGGGTAGCTGGGATTACAGATACGTGCCACCACGCCTGGCTAATTTTTGTATTTTTTTAGTAGAGACGGTTTCACCATGTTGGCTAGGCTGGTCTTGAACTCCTGACCTCAAGTAATCTGCCTGCCTCGGAGTCCCAAAGTGCTGGGATTACAAGCATGAGACACTGCACCCAGCCCCAGCTGACACTTTCATTTCAGACTACTGCCCCCCAAACGTGAGATAATCCATGTCTGTTGTTCTGGGCCACCCGTGTGTGGTGATTTGGTACCACAGCCCCAGGACGCAGACACTGACAGGTCTCGCTACAAAGAAGCTCTCAGCGACCCTCCAGAGCCACTTTCAGCAGCAGGTGCTGGACACATGCAGGACAGGCCGAGCACTCCTGAGGCTGCCAGGGTGCAGTATCCCAAGACTGACCACCACAGTCCCTTACTGGGGCCATGTGTAAGGAGGGCTCCAGAGCCCCCACCCAGGAAAGACTGGCACCGGTCTCCACTTCACAGCAGCAGCAGCAGCTGAGAGCAAAGGACCTGCCCCGGTGTGATGCCCAGAGAGGCAAGCCAGAGGATACTGAGGCGGGGAGGGCGGGGCCAGGTGGGCCCGAACTAGACCTGCCTCTCAACCCTGTGGGGACAGGACGGCCCCAAGGCCATGGTGGCATTTCTAAGCCTATGCCTCTAGCCTACCTGCCAGGGGTTGAGGCCTGCGTGCAGAGCTGACCCATGCCCCATTCCCAGCAGGCGTCTGCTGCTGGTGCTTGCAGCTGTCTTTAGACCATCCACACTCCCACCACAGAAAGGAAAGGAAAGGCAGAGAGCCGAGGCCCATGTCCAGGTTGCCCCAGAACTCCAGACAGGCTGGCCCTGGGGTTTGGCCCAGAGCCTCTGTCATCAGAGAAAGTGTCGTTTCTCTCCTACAGGACGGCAGCAGCCGGAGCCCAGCGAGCAGGGGTGGTGGAGCAGGCAGGGGCAGGGGCCCTGGTCCCGGGACGCATGCCGTACCTCCACCACGTCACCAATGGCGTAGATGTGGGGCACAGAGGTGGCTTCCCGGGAGTCCACCAGGATCTTCTGAGTGTCGGGGCTAGTATCTACCCCAGCCTTCTCCAAATTCAGACTTCTGGTGTCTGGGACTCGACCTGAAGGAAACAGAGAGGGGGCTGAAAGGTTATCTTCAGTGGCTTTGACCTAGAGCGGTTGTGTTTAAACTGTTTCTCAGAATGTCCACTTAGAGACCGGGTGCAGTGGCTCCTGCCTGTAATCCCAGCACTGTAGGAGGACGAGGTGGGCAAATCACCTGAGGTCATGAGTTCGAGACCAGGCTGGCCAACATGATGAAACCCTGTCTCAGCCAGGCGTGATGGCTCATGCCTATAATCCCAACACTTTGGGAGGCCGAGGCAAGTGGATCACCTGAGGTCTGGAGTTCAAAACCAGCCTGGCCAACATGGTGAAACCCCATCTCTACTAAAAATACAAAATTACCTAGGCGTAGTGGTGCACACCTATAGTCCCAGCTACTCGGGAGGTTGAATCGCTTGAACCCAGGAGGTGGAGGCTGCAGTGAGCTAAGATTGCACCATTGCGCTCCAGCCTGCGCAACAAGAGCAAAACTCTGTCTCAAAAAAAAAAAAAGAAAGAAAAGAAAAGAAAGAAACCCTGTCTCTATTAAAAATACAAAAATAGCTGGGTGTGGTGGCATGCACCCGTAATCCCAGCTACTTGGGAGGGTGAGGCATGAGAATTGCTTGAACCCGGGAGGTGTCGGTTGCAGTGAGCCAAGATCACACCACTGCACTTCAGCCTGGGCGACAGAGTGAGACTGTCTCAAGAAAAAAGAATGTCCACTTAGAACTGGCCAAATGTGAAGCACCAGCAGCGTAGAGGGGCTCCTGGCCTCTGCAGGAGGTGGCAGGCAGGTCTGAAACGGACACTGGTCAGATGACAGCCGGCACAGGAGACAAGGCAGGGGTGCCACCGGTGGAAACTGGAGTCGGCCTTAGACTGGTTCCTGGCACGCGGGAAAGGAAGAGGCACTTGCCAATGCTGGGGCTCCCTGACATCAAAGAGTGCTAAGCGCGGGACTCCAGAATCTTCCGCATGCCCAGGCCTCAGGCCCTGCTGCAGGGCCACCAGCACAGTGCCAGTGGCTCTGGTACTGACTTCATCCGGAGAAACCAGCCCTTCATGGGGAGCTGTTGGCACCTGGCCTGCCTGGCCTCCCTGCATCTGTCTGCAGCACCACAGCCTGATACCATTAGGCAGTGAGATCCATCAGCTCCCAGGCCTCAAGAGTCCAGAGGGGCCTCCTTCAAGGGACACCTGCTGGCTCCCAATGGCCTCCTCCCTATCTGGACAAGCTGAAGAGGAGCCAGCCACACCCTGGACTGTACCCCAACAATGCTCAAGTCCTGGGATCTGGCCCTCTGCCCAGGTAGGGCTTGAAGGTCTCTCCCCATTAGGAGAAAGCAAGCCCCCGTAACCCGCTAGTAGAGGGCCAGGTGAGCAGAGCTAGCAGCCGGGTCTCCCACCTGCTCTGTGCTGCAGCCCCTCGTGGCTGCCTGGCACACAGTCCCAGCCTAGAGACCTCAGGGCCAAGGGGAGCTGAGCTAAGGGGCAGTGTCCAAACTACACCGTGCCCATTCTAGGGGGCAGCTGGCTCAGCTGATCCTGCTCTTGGGTGCAAAGGCCAAGAGGGGCAGGGGATGGCCAGTCCAGGGGGTCAGCACAGCTGCCCCCTGCCAGTCTCCACACAGCCTGGGGCCCGGAGAGAGGGCACCGCATGGGCCTCTTCATAGCCGAACAGCCAGCAGAGGTCCCTTTCTCCCCTAACTCAGATGGGTGTGATTTTGCCAGGCCAGCGGATGGCCACAGCAGCTTTTCCCTCCCAACCCCAGGTGCTCTCGGCTCCCAGGGGCTCAGGATGATCCACCAATGGCGAAGGCAATTTTGCCTCAAAAGCATAGCTCCCCTGCTCATCGTGGCTGGGACAAACCAGCTGCTGGCCGGTATGCGGGTGGCGCCCACCTAAGCATCTGGAAGCTGAAGCTCCCGTGAGAGGGAACCCTTAAGTCTCCAGCTGCTGTCCCGGGGCAGGAGTCAAAACATACCAACTTGGCTAAGCCAGCTTGCGGGAGGCCGGCTCCAGCCTCTGTGCTCTGCTCAGCCGCAGGAATTGGGTGCCGGGAGGGCTGGCACCGGTCGGGGATCAGCCCAGACACAGGGGATGCCAGCCCACATCAGAGGAAGGAGCTGGGCCCCATGGGCAGGGCTGGGGCACGAAGGAGGGGCTGTGGTCCCTGCAGGCCGGGGGCTCACGCTCAGCCGTCTGGTCCCTCTCCAACCTGGTGTCCAGCCCACCAGGCCCAGCACTTCCTGGTGCCTGCTCCGTGCCGGAACAGAACATCTGACGCTGCACCCACACTCTCCTCTGCACGCTTGCCTGGCTGGTCCTGGGAAGCCAAGAGCACTCATCATGTTCCTCATGGTAACTATGGCACTATGGCAACTACAGACCTTGCAGGTGCTGACCAAACCCTGTCCCCAGGTCCCGAAGGAAATAAAGATAAATTTAAAAGTAGTCACAAGAGATAAAAGAGGCATGGAAATAGGTGGCCCATCCAAAGCCAGGACTCTTCCGCACATGCTCTGTGGATCACTCTGGGAAGTCGGTGGGAATGTAATGGAGCCACTAATGTGAAAGGCATGACAGCTGGACAGGCTGGATGGCCAGGGGAGAGTGGGCTGCGCGGCACAGACACGCCTGGCCCTGCAGGGACTCCACAGCCCTTCGGGAATGAACAGCAAAAGAAGAGTGAGTGGCCTGTGGCAGGCAGCAGGCTCAGCCCTGAGGAGGGCAGCCGAGGGCACAGTGGGGTTAGAAGCTGGGCTGGTGGGACGTGGCTGGGAGTGGGTGCAGGGAAGAGGCCAGCTCCACTTGGGTGGGGCCACGTCCCTAGCCGTGGCCAGCCCTGATGGCAGGACACCAGGCCCTGAGCCCCACTATGGGTCTTGCTGAGCAAAGGACTGGGCAGTGGCCAGAGAAGGGCCAGATCTCCCTGCTGGTGCTGGACAGCCAATCAGGCGTCCTAGGCCCTACTGGCTCAGGCCTGGAGCCCTGCAGGAGGTTGGACGACTTGTGCCAAGGTGGGGACCCACTGGGGCCCGAATGCTGTGAGCAGCAGGATGCAGGTGGCTGTGCCCAGTCAGCTCCCCACCATTTCCCTCCTATGCCAGGATAAAGCAGTTGTGCCTGGTCAGCTCCCGACCATTTCCCTCCTATGCCAGGATAAATGTGCACTATTCAGGCCATTTAGGGAAAGAAGGGTGCCTGCACCGGTGTCTTTCGCCCTGCATGTTGTGCTCAGAGCTTTCCCAGCTGTGCCTGTGGCCCACTGCAGGCCTCCCCATGGGGCGGCTCTGTGCTCCCTGCAGCTCCGTCCTCGAAGCCTTGGCTCTGGAGTGCCCAGTGCAGCATTTGCCAAGTGCTGCTGAATGGCCCCTCCTGGGGTAGGACAGGCACTCTCAAGGCTCTGCTTCCTAGACACCACCAGGATGGAGACCTGGGGCACCAGCTTGCCATGTGTCAGTTGAGTTCCTGGGGCAGACCCTCAAAGGAAGGGCGGCCAGCTGAGTGGGGGCTTCTGGGCGCAGGGCAGTCCTTAGACTCTGTTCCTTCCTGGGGCAGGCGGCGCACAGCACTCTCTGTCATGCTGCTTTAATTTGCACTTCTTTGATGACTAGTAAGATGAAGTAATTTTTGGCCACGTGTTTATGAACTGTATTTCCTCTTTTGTAAATTACCAGTTCCTGCCTTTTCTCATCCATTTATAGGCATCTTCACCATGTTCCTTCTTTGTAAGAGCTTATTACGTAATGGATACATGACACTCTGGCATATTTTCTGCAAACGACAAGGGCATTAAAATTCCAGGTACAGCTCTTCAGGCTGTATTCATGAGCAGTCGTGGGCCACGGGATTCGTGGGCAGAGGAAGGGCACCAGCTCTGTGTTCCTTGTGCACATGAAGCAGGAGGGCTCATAGGCCTGCATGCTGTGGACTTAGCTGAGCGGCACAGCTACATCAAGGGCACCTTGAAGGACATGCCCCTGCTGAGATGGTCTCCAGGATCCACACCAGTTTAAGCAGCAGACAGAGCTGTCCATCACCACCAAGGGCCTCCACACGGGCCAATTTCTGTTTGTGTACTGTAGCAAGAGGGCCCAGCTGGACGTCGGCAGCGTCCTCCCTGCAGGCACCACACCTGTACCATCAAGCGCTGCCTGGAGGAGAGGCTGAGACTGGAACTTGTTAGCCTGGGCCTTTGAGAACTACACCGCAGTCACCTCCCCTAGCCCGGAAACCAGGAAGACTTACATGAAGCTGCCCTCCAAGAGGATCATCTCAGCCAACAGAGCTGTGGTCAATGTGGGAGCCAGAGGTGGCCGAACTGACCAGCCATCCTGAAGGCAGGCCATGCCCACTACATATAAGGCAAAGAAGAGCTGCTGACCATGGTGCAGAGTATGGCCGCAAGCCCCAAGGAACGTCCCTTCAGAGATGGCAACCACTGGCACGTTGGCGAACCTGCCACTGCAGAGATGTCTCTGCTGGTAGCAAAGTGGGTCTCATTGCTGCCCACTGGACTTGGTTCAGAATTGGGGCTGATGGGCCCAACAAAGTTTGTCCTTCTGCCAAAAAAATAGTAATTCCAGGTACAAATGGACGTGCTCACTTCCTATGTATATGTGTGGCTGGCCCACAACACTGACACTCAGGAAGCACTGGGCTGAGCATCTCTGCAGCCCGGAGCTGCCTCCAGCCCCAGGCCCAGCAGTGCAGCACCCCTGACGCAGGACAGCCCATCTCCATGTGTGGCCAGTGCTAGGAACAGCCGTGCAGGGCAGCCCTCCTCTGATCACAATGAGAGCCCCACCAGCTGCTGTCAATGGCCCAGGAGATGGAGGGCAGCCACCATGCTTGTCCAGCCAGCCTGGCCCCAAGGAGGGACCAGAGAAGGCTGAAGCCCAAAAACCACCCACACAGTCACCATGGGTCACTCCCATCTATTCTGATGGACACAGGGACACGGGGACGGCCAGCCGCATGCAGTATCATGCGCCTCTCTCATCCATGATGGGAAGAACAGGCATGCCCTCTGATTTCACGCCCGCCTGGGACACATTTTCCCAAGAGAAGAGCAAGGAGGCAGCGCCCCAGGTGAGAGGTAAGTGCCAGCAGGAGTACAGCAGGGTGAGCCAGTGGCTGTGATCCAGACAGAGGCAGCCAGGGCCAAGCACTGCGCCTGAGGACGAGGGTGTGGGAGTGGGAGGCTCCAGGGCCGGTGGGCGATGCGAGGCGGGCACGGCTTCACACACAGGCCCTGTGGGCCACCTGGCGACTGTCTCATGAGGCATGTGGCCCCCAGAGCCAGCCACCCTCACGGGGCCTGGCCTGCCACTTGCCCCAGTGAGGCACCTTGGACCAGGCACAGAGGAGCGTATGCCTTTGGAACTGGACTTAGATTCTTGAAGCTTATTATTTTAAAATATTTATCTTCTTTTTTTTTTTTTTTCTGGAATCGCACCTTCTCAATGAGCCCCGGGCCCCTACCCGCAGCTATGAGCCCACCAGGGGGAAGGGGACGCACCTGCCCTGCTGGCCTCAGGTCCCATCGAGACGCCATGTTAGTTGAATAAATGAGTGAGCCCCTGGGCCTCAATGGGACCTGATTGGCCACTTGCTGTGACTGCCAGCAGCCACCAGGGACCCCTAGGCCGTTCCAGGGATGTCTCATACCCAGGGCGGCTCCTTGGGGGGTGGGGGTGAGCTTCCCCTCAGGCAGCATAAGGGCCTTTCCTACTCAAGCTGCCTATGTGCATTATGATGTGTAAGACCCCACAGTCAGCCTTGGAGTACGGCGCAGCCCCCAGCTCAGGCCCAGAGGACCCCCAGGAAGGAGCGTGCTCTGTGGCGAGTGGTCATTATTGCTTTAACAGTTATTATTAGACCGGGTGCAGTGGCTCACGCCTGTAATCCCAACACTTTGGGAGGCTGAGGCGGGCGGATCATGACGTCAGGAGTTCGAGACCAGCCTGGCTAACACAGTGAAACCCTGTCTCTACTAAAAATACAAAAATTAGCTGGGCGCGGTGGCGGGTGCCTGTAATCCCAGCTACTTGGAAGGCTGAGGCAGGAGAATCGCTTGAATTCGGGAGGTGGAGGTTGCGGTGAGCCAGATCGCGCTCCTGCACTCCAACCTGGGCAACAGAGCTAGACACCGTCTCAAAAACAAACAAAAAACAATTATTATTATTATTATTATTATTAATTATTTGAAAAGAGGTTTCACTCTGTTGCTCAGGCTGGTCTTGAACTCCTGGGCTCAAATGATCCTCCCACCTTGGCATTCCAAAGTGTTGGGATTACAGGCATGAGCCACCTCACCCGGCCCTTTAACAATTGTTAACATAATTGCAATTGTAACAGGTTGGCTGCCCCAGGGCACCTGCAGACATTAGAGGGTGCATGGTAATATGCATAAATGGTGCTGACCTATCTCTAGAAGACTTTTCACCATGTTGTTCTTTTTTTTTTAATTGGTTTCCACTCAGTTCTAATCATTAAGTACTGAATTTGTCATGGTAACAAGACCCAGTTGGACAACCATGTATGCAGGTGCCGGCTGGCCTGTCAGATAGCTGTGGGCTCTGGACATAAGTGTGAACTAGCCCTCAAGCCAAGCGTGGGGCACCAGGCTGGTGGGTAAGCACAGGGCGCTGCCTCCTGCTACTCTGGCCTGGCCTCTGTGAGGTGTTAGCACCACCATGAGCTAGGGCTGAGCCAACAGTGCTGTCTCAGGAGCAGCAGCGCACGCCCGGGGCCACGTGGTGTGGAGGGGAAGGCCGCAGCCACCGCTCATAGGAAGAGCTCCATGAATGTTCATCTTGGCCCCACTTCAAAAAATATCAAACTCACAATGGAGGCAGATTTGGGTCTCTCTTGATGTCATTAATTACAAACTAAATTTGCACTAAAATAAAAAGGTGTTAGACTATCAAAGAGGGGCCTCCGATCCGTGTCACCTGCTCAGGGATGGCCACTCCACCCTGAGAGCATGGAGGCATGTGGATGCCAGGGTCACTGCTGGGCCCATCCCCACCGGGAAGAGCATAGCCACAAACTTGGTTTCACGCAGCTGCAGCAAGGCGCATCCCTGAGAGCAGTCCTGATGGGCCCACCGCAGCCCCCTCGCCCGGGCAGCATCCACACCCACCGCGGCCCCTAAGCCCCAGCTGCACCCACACCAGCACAGAGGGCATCCAGGAGGAGCCGCCCCTTCCCTCTCACCAGGCTTAGGATGCTCCCACCCATCCCCAGCTTGGTTCTTGCTTTCTGCCCTTTCCTGCTGCCTGGCACTCAACAGAGGGACAATCCGCAGGGACTTGTGTAGCTGAGTCTGCGGTGTACGGGAGCCATCAGCCGAGCACAGCTGAGCAAAGACAGTTGCCTGCCGTGTACATGCCAGCAAACAGTGCCTGGGTGGAGAGAGGAGCCCAGGGCTGCAGCCCACCCTGGCAACAGCTCCCCTCCTGGGCACCGCCAGCCCCCATCATCATCTCCTGGGCACCCCAGTCTCTCTGGCTGTGGTCCAGGCACACGTGCCACGTGGGGGAGACTATACAGGGGCAGGCTGTGGGGGTGGCCTCTGTGTGGTGCCAAGAGGAAGCCGGGAAGCCAAGCTCCCATGCTCCATGCATGTTGTGTTTCAGGCTCTGATGCTGGTTTACACACAGGTGGACATCTCTGAGTTATCTAAGATAAAGCCCAAAGAGGAAATAGCTTCAGTGGCTGGGGTAAGATCCAGACGGATTCCTTCCCTGGGTCTCGTCTCACCTGCCATATCACAAGGCCCCAGGCAGACCTGTGGCCACCCTCCCTGGCACTCAGGCACAACAGCTGCCTGGCTGTGGGACCCCCAGGTTTAGCGAGTCCCCTCCTGTGTCTGCTGGCTCTTCTGGCCATGGGCAGGACTCCTGTGGTGCAGGGAGGGATACGCCAGAGCCTTCAGCATCTCACCCTCAAGAGAGGGACAGAGAACCATCCAGAGGGGCTGGGGACGCCAAAGGGGCACATGAAGATCTCAACTTCCAGTTTTTCAGGGCTGCAGTCCAGAGGCAGTCTGTCCCTTCTTTAAAACCAAATCTAAACTTAACTGCACTTAGAAGCCCCTGCACTGGGAGGCGTTTGCTCAGGATGCCCCAGCCTGGCCCTGCTCCCCTAGACAGCCAGGGATTCAGGCCACAACTGGTTAACTCAGCGGGCGAATTCGAGCCCGCAGCAGTGCTGGCTGACTGTCTTCACTCAGCGCTGTAATCGGCACATCTGCAGACAGGAAATCCTCCTCACTGAAGTTCCCAGTCTATTATCTGAGACACCTGGTGTGGGCGGGTGATTCAGAGACAAACAATGAGCGGGGGCCCCCTGCACAGCAATTAACTGCTTTAACTGCTAATATGTTTAATCCACCACGTGGAGATCAAGGCTGCGTCGAGGAAGGGGCTCTGGTCCTCCTCTGCTTCCAGACTGCAGGGCCCACTTCGCAATGCCAATGTCCATGGTCCTCGCCAGCTGCGGCCAGGCGCCAGGCACACGGGCAACGGGCAGGGCCAGCACTCGGCCCCACACGGGAGCTCTGTGCAGCACCTGGGCCCCTTCTGTGTGTGTGTGCACCGGGCACGGAGGCATCCCCCCTTCCTGTCGGAGCCCAGCTTGTGCGGACGTAGTGCACACCCGGTACAGGAAGCAGAGTCGGAGATGTTGGCATTGCCAGCTGTGCCGCCCCTAGGGCGCTTTATTTTAACCTCCCAGAGTGGATCATCCTTTATTGCAAGTAGAAATAAAGCTTGGTTAAAGGCTTATCGTACAAACCAGCAGAAAACGCTCGCAGTTGCTGACCTGGGAAGTGGCTCCTGAATGTTTACAAAACCTGGCTCTGAGCAGCAGCGAAGTCAGCACATGCCCGAGCGGCCCCCAGCAGGCGCGCAGAAGCCGCGCCGCCCTCGGGAAGCAGGGTCAGAGGCCAAGGACTGTGAAAAGCTTCCACCCCCAGCATCAATCATGCCAGGCAGACTGTCTGGGGGATGCTCATTTTGAAAGTACAAAAAAATAAAACAGACTCCTAGCAAGGGAGGATGGGCGTGCAGGCCACGGCAGCTCTGCTGAGTAGGGAGGGGCCTCGCTTGTTGCCTGCCAGGCTGACGCCCCGGCTTTCCGGGGACACAGCCCCCGGCCCATTGGTCTGCTACATCCCTATGGGCTTGGTCGAGGGCTGCCCCTCGGTTCAATGGCAACAGCTCCCTTATGCTGTGGGTGAACGGAGGTGTCAGCAGACAGAGGAGGAGGGCTAGGGCGCGGTGGGAGGGAGAAACTCGCCACCTCCCCTTTAGAGTGGAGTTTATTTGGGAATGACAGTAGGAGGATAAATTTTGAAAGAAAAATAAAGTGGAGTTTAGGATGAGAACCATCAGTACACTCCAGAGTCCAAAATGTTACCTAATCCTTCGTAGTGTTTATCATAATAAACTTACTTAAAATCTACTTTTACAACGTGGCTGAGAACATTGCTCTTGCTGACTGATCACCTCCGGGCCAAGAGCCCTGCGTGCGCTCAGGCATCTCAGGTCCTCCCCGGTCATCACCTCTGCGCTTGTGTCCACTGCACAAAAGTGAAGCCTCAGCCGCTCCAGGCTGGTTTCCTTTCTGATTTCCCATTCCGAGTGACTGCTTCAGAAGTGCATCACCCTATGACACAGCTTGTGCCTCTGGGAGCCCTCCCCCAGGAGACACTGACCCCTGGCCAGCCCCACGCAAGCCCGGTTAGCTGATGGAGGTGGAGGCAGGTGATCTGAGAGGGACCCTGGCTCTGATCTTGGGCTCTCGCAGGGGACAACGGACCAGGCTCAGCACAGAAAGGCCTCGGAGAACTAACAACACTGACTAGGTTGCTCCCGCCTTCAACATGCAAGTTGACAGGGTGATTGGGAAAACTAGGAGCCTAAACTAGACGGCCAGGCACCGAGGTGGGTAGGACATCTGAGCAGGCATGCTGTGTGTGCCGCCACCCACCCTGACGAGGACCCGCAGCCCTCCTTGCGGCGGCCCATCTGCAATGGCCTCCTCTGCAGCAGGCCTGGGACAGAGCAGTGTCTGGGCGATCCCTGTTGGCTCCAGCTGCCCCTTGCCAGTCCCGTCAGACAGCCCCGGCCCAGGCCTGGGCACAGGTATCCCCTGGCTGTGTCCACACTCCCCACACCTGCTCGGCCACTGCCCCATGCAAAACCGGACCTACACCTGACAGAGAGCAAGAAGGTGAGACCAGACTGTGCCCAGCAAGTTGTAGCCAGCCCACGCCTGGCCGGGAAACGCCCAGGCCTCTGCCCAGCACTGGAAGGGTGATGTCTTTGGAAGCCTTCGAAATGTGACTTCTGGAAAGGCCTGCAAAATGCCACTCCTGGCATGTGATGACCTGCCAGGCCCAAAGGGACCCACTGGGAAACACTGAAAGCCACGAGAAGGCTGGACAGAACTTTAAAAACTCTGTGTCATTTTTATGTGCTGAAAACAGGCGGCTTGTGCACACCCATGTTCACAGCAGCATGATCCACAACAGCCAAAAGACGGAAGCAACCTAAGTGTCCACTGACAGATAATGGACACACATACAACTCAGCCTTCAACAGGAAGGAAATGCTGGCACATGCTACACAAATGCTAACTCTAACAAATGCTGCAACATGGATGCACCCTGAAAACATTGTGCTAAGAGAAATGAGCCAGTCACAAAAGGACAAACACTGCATGATTCTACTTACATGAAGTCCCTCGAGGAGTCAGATCCATAGAGACACACAGTGAAGGGTGAGTGCCCGGGCAGCAGGGAGTGAGTGTTTAATGGGGACAGAGCTCAGTTTGGAGATAATGGAAAAGTTCTAGAGATGGATGGTCATGCTGCTTGTACAATATGAACGTACTTAACACCACTGAACTATATACTTTAAAATGCTTAAGATGATGAATTTGATGTTATGTGTATGTCACCATAATTTTTAAAACTTTCAAATCCATATCATTTTTATGTTAAAAACAACAAACTAGCTTGGCTGGGCACAGTAGCTCAAACCTGTAATCCCAGCACTTAGAAGGCTGAGATGGGAAGATTGATTGAGCCTGGGAGGTGGAGGCTGCAGTGAGCTATGATCACACCACCACACTCCTCCTAGGCAACAGAGAGAGACCCTGTTTCACACGCAAAAAAAGAAAAAAACCTAGCTGGAAAGCCTGAAGCAGCAAAACATTTAATATGCTAAAGAAAAAATACATACTGGCCAGGTGCGGTGGCTCACACCTGTAATCTCAGTACTTTGGGAGGCCAAGGCAGGTGGATCACAAGGTCAGGAGATTGAGACCATCCTGGCCTACATGGTGAAACCCCGTCTCTACTAAAAATACAAAAATTAGTCAGGTGTAGTGGTGGGCGCCTGTAGCCCCAGCTACCCAGGAGGCTGAGGCAGGAGAATCGCTTGAACCCGGGAGGCGGAGGTTGCCACTGCACTCCAGCCTGGGCGACAGAGCGAGACTCCATCTCAAAAAAAAAAAAAAAAAGAAAAGAAACATACCAAGACTTAAACCTGGAAGGTGACAAGTAGGATTTATGTGCTGAAACCTTAATAAGCAATTGCTCAAGGGCCAGGGAAGGCGAGGATGATTGCCTAGTTGATCCTCGATGAGGACACCTGGCTGATGCCGTCTCAGTCTCTTCTCTGGTTTTTTCCAGCATGTCCCACGGTGGTGGGGAGACACGCAGAGATGCAAGGTGCTGGGGATGGCAAGATGGGCACAGCCTAGTGTGAGTGCCGCCCCACAGGCCTTCACGGTTGCTCTCGAGGTGCACTGGGGAGCGGCCAACCCGCCTGGCAGCCAGCAGGATGGGGGAGCCCTGGGAGGTGACAGGAAGTGGGGCAAAGATTCTCCATGCACCTCGGGGAGACCAGAGACAGAGCGTGTGGCTCGACGTGCCCTTACCTATGGCCCACAGGACGGTGTCAAAGGTGCCCGTGTCCTCCTTGCCGGTGGTGCTGTCCTCCCAGGTGACCTGCAGCTGGCCATCAGGGAGCCTCCTGACCCGCGAGGGGGCACAGCCCCTCAGGAACCGGGTGCCATGAGATGCCATGTGCTCTATGACCATGGAGGACATTTGCTGCAAAGCACAAGAAGACAGGCCATGAAGACCAGGTGGCCGTGGGAGAGAGGCTCTGGCCCTGCCCTGCTCTCGAAGGCCTCAATGAAGGGCGGAGAGGGGTCTGTGCGGAAGACGGGGTGAGACACCCTGCCCCCTGCTCTACGTCCTCTTGCTCTCTGTGGAGTGTCTAGCCCCTGTCCTGGCTCCAAGTCCTCAACCCTGGGCCCTATGGTCAGGATTCACTCAGCCTGTGGGCTCCTCTCTAGATGCTAATTAACTAAGTCTTCATCAGCCAGATACGGTCACACCTGTAATCCCAACCTTTTGGGAGGCTGAAGTGGGAGAATCCCTCAAGCCCAGGAGTTTGAGGCTGCAATGAACTGTGATCACACCACTGCACTCCAGCCTGGGCGACAGAGTGAGACTCTATCTCTAAAAGAAAAAATAAGCAAGGCCGGGTGCGATGGCTCACACCTGTGATCCCAGCACTTTGAGAAGCTGAGGCGGGCGGATCACGAGGTCAGGAGATAGAGATCATCCTGGCTAACACGGTGAAACACTGTCTCTACTAAAAAACACAAAAAATTAGCCAGGCGTGGTGGCAGGTACCTGTAGTTCCAGCTAACTGGGAGGCTGAGGCAGGAGAATGGCGTGAACCCGGGAGGTGGAGCTTGCAGTGAGCCGAGATTGTGCCACTGCACTCCAGCCTGGGTGACAGAGTGAGACTCTGTCTCAAACCAAAAAAAAAGAAAGAAAAAAAAGAAAAACAACCAAATCCTGGTACATCTACACATTTCTTTAAAAAACAAAAACAAAAAACTTAGTCTTCACTAAAACCAATGGCAGAGAAGCGTGCCTTCCCCCAGGAGCTGTGCCCTGGTCCAACAAGATGGCCCCTGCTCCTGGCCCACCCCTCCACATGTGGCCAACATGCCCCTCTGCCATCCAGGAGCCAGGAGGGTAGGTAGGAGACTCTGCTCCCGCCTAGAAATGTAGGCACAGCAGGCTCAGGTCCAGATCAGGGACAGAGAGAGTCCTGCTTCTCCCTCCCGGCCCAGGAGGCCTGTGCGCCCCAAGTCCAGCTACAGATGGGGGCCCTGTTCCCAGGACAATGGGGACTTGCACGGACCAGCAGTGAAGCTGGCCACAGCTTCTGGTTTCAAGAGGAGAAAAACAGTCACTGCTAACATCCTCTGACACCTGTGCGGGTGTGCCAGCTGGCTCTAGATGGCGTGTGTGGGAGTCTGGCCCGCCGGGCAGGGCTGGCTGTGCTGCAGAGGGGCTGCCGCACAGGCTGTTCATCACTCCTGCACCCCTCCAGAGGCCTGGAGGGCATGGCCATCCCAGGCTCTGAGGGAGAACCATGGAGCCTGTCCAGGACACAGGGTCCCTCGCCCCTCAGCCTGGCTGCCTAGACTGTGCATCCTCCTTGCCTGGGCACGGCCCCCATTCTGCAGGCCCCTTTCCTCCTCCGTCCACTGCCAGCTCACCCTCCCCACATCTGAAGGCTCTGAGGCCTTCCTAGACACTGCGTCCCTACCACAGGGCTCGGTGGGTTTGCACTGAGGGACATGATGGGAGTGTGCCATAGCTTTAGGATGGAACAACACATGGCCACACGGGTGGAGGGACACGTCTCTGAGTCAGCCTGGGGGTGGCACTGGGAGTCTGGAGATGACAGGCCTGGCTCCTCCCACCTCAGGTGACCTCCTCAGGCTCTGTGAGCTGAGGGTCGGCCGAGGACCTGTAGCAGGGCCTGCAGATCTGCACAGCTCACCCTGCAAGGGGCCTCCTTCGTGGCAGTCATGGAGTGTTTGACATCTCCACAATGACAACTCCAGACTTCTATTTTAACAGGAGACTTTCCCTTGAAGAGTTTTTAGCTAAAAAAAGAAAATCTCTATTGCTCCAATCTAGGAGCTCGTCCTGCTGGCCACATGAGTGTGTGTACCCCAGACACAGATGAAGGCCACTGTACACAGCGCACCTGTCCAGAAGCCAAGATCCCACGGGCTGTCTCGGAGCCAGCGCTGCCCTGTGTCCCTCACCCCAGCTCACACATTACAGCTTATTTCACCCCCACTCCCTCAGAGGGGACAGGCAAGGGGAGAGCAGGGAGTTGGGGGTCTCTGAGGTGGGGCTAACACTTCTGCAGCACACACCGGCCTCTTACTAATGGGACGACCCGGAGGGTGACCTGCTCTGCCGGCACAAGGCTGGGCTGAGCCTCCCTTCACTGTGCCTGTGGTCGGCTGGAGGCCTCTGTGCAGCTGTGCGCCCCACTGCCACCCTCCTCCCTCGCTCCGGCCGAGTGTCTGCATATTTCCTGGACAACCTCCTCATCCAATTCAAGGGTTATCTCTAAAGATTCAGGCATCACTCGTGGCCCATGACTGCACTGCACCTGCCTGGGAGGGGGCTGTGGGAGGAAGGCCTCAGAGCCACAGGGGCGGGAGCTGGGGCCTCCAGCACTACCTGGTCGAAGCCGCGGAGGGGGATGCTGCGCATCATGATGGTGGTGTCCAGCCCAATCCCGGTGAGGAAGCCAGCACACTCCAGGGCCACATCTGTGGGGTGCCAGCTAAGGAGCACTGTAGATCCCAATTTTGGAAATGATGGGACAACACCCCAGGGCCCTGTGCCACAGCCCACACCCCACCCATCCATGGCTGGCCCTGGAGGAGGCTCCCAACTCAAGACCCCCACCTCCACATCTCAAGTGCACAGGCTGGGGTTAGCAAGGAGCCGCCAAGCAGCACCCACGGACTAGGCCGGCCTCTGGCCTCTGCTCCCATGTGCTGTCCATCCCGGCTCCAGGGCGAGGCCTGCATCCTGGTGGATTCCAGTTGGGATGGAGAGGAGTGGCTGGTTCAGGGAGGACCTCAGCCACGGGAGATGCCAGGCAGCTGCTTTCTTCCACCTGTGCTCTCAGCCAGCGGCTTGGGGCTTTTTTTTTTTTTTTTTTTTTTGAGATGGAGTCTCATTCTGTTGCCTAGGCTGGAGTGCAGTGGCATGATCTCAGCTCACAGCAACGTCTGCCTCCCAGGTTCAAGCGGTTCCCCTGCCTCAGCCTCCCAAGTAGCTGGGACTACAGGCATGAGCCACCGCGCCCGGCCAGGGACTTTCATCTCCCTCAGATGTCCCCTTGACCCCAGGCCCTCCTGCAGCTCCTCTCCTGACCCTCCCTGTCTAATTGTCCCTTCTGAAGCAATGGGTCCAGGCTGGGGCTGCTCTTGAGGGAGGACAGCCCAGCTGCCTCATGGCCATGTCCAGCTGTCCCAGCTCAGGAAGAGCCTCCAGGAATCCCTGGCCAGAGGTCAGCCTCAAACTGTCCCCAGGCACAGTAGATCCTCCACGCCGAGAGGCCCAGTAAGTGCCGATCTGAGGCAGCAAAGAGCCTGCCGGAAGGGCGGGTGGCAGGGAGGGACTCAAGGGAAGGAGTGTCCAGTTCCCAGGACGGCCACCTGCACGCTTGCAAAGGATACAGCTGGCCCCGACCACCAACCTGTTAGAGAAACAGAGAGAGAGCACATGTAAAGCTGAGGCCCTTATTGACCAAGTGCAGTCAGAGCAGAACCCCGCAGCCTTTGCCCAGGCCCTTGGTCAGCTCGTGGGCTCCAAGGTTACTGTTCAAACAGCTTGCCCCAGGGGACAAAGCCCACTTTCCAAGGCTACACTGTCAAGCATGTTGTGAATCAGCAAATCGCCTGGTGGTGAAGGGCGTGTGTGTCAGTGACAAGTGGTACCTGTCCCCTGGAAGGCACCCGGAGGCATGGAGAAACATCCACCAGAGCAGCACATGGCTTTCCTTCTCTCCCCCCGGGGCCTCCTGGGCTAGGGTGGAAGCTGGGAGATGCTTGGCAGGATGGGGAGGCCACCAGACCGCAAGGGAAGACATCATCTGAGCAAAGCACTCTCAAGACCACAGAAGGCTGGGCCCTTCCATGTGCCAGAGGCACATCCAACCCTATCACAGCTAGGCGCAGGGCCAGGAGGGCCAGCTCCCCAGAGAGGGGACTGAAGGACCCCAGGGACAAGGGAGGCAGCACAGGACACTGCGACCAGCAGTCATTGGAAATATTTGCTCTTGTAGTGAAAACCCTCTATTGTTCAACCCCACACTCCACATGTGTTTTGCATGCACATGTACTCACGCACACTTGTATGTGCACACATGCCACACACCTGCATGCACATACTCTTACACGGGCACAAATGTACACACACACGCACATACTCGCATGGGTACATTCATTCATATATACATATGCACACACTCATGTAGACACATGCATGCACACACATGCAAACGGGCACAGAACCTAACACGAACAAGAACTCCCAGCGGGGCAGCTGCACGTGGGTGGGCTCCCACATTACCCTTCAGTCTTTGAACAAGAGGAGGTGATGTAAGGACGGATAAGCCCAATGTCATTGCTAATCCCAGCAGGTACTAATGATATAATTCCATTTCAAAACACGGTGTATCCCTTGGAATCATTCTGCAGGTGCCCTGCGGGAAGCATCTGGCATGCAGCTTCCTCACTGTGGCTGGGGACAGAACCGCACCACTGTCAGGATTAGGGTGAGCAGACAGAGCTCTGTTGGCCGGCTGAGCACAAGGTGGTTACATGCCTCACTCAGCATGTGAGGACAGCGAAGGGGGACCCTGGGACCCCCAGCCAAGCAGGATTGCAGAGATGCATTCCCAGCCCCGCTCAGGGCCGGCAACACTTGGGAAACAGGCACCACGGTATGCACGCACTTCCACACATGCACACACACATAGGCACCACATACACATCTCTACACGGAAGTGCACTTCCAAAATGGCGAAACCAAACTCTTTTTGGACTTGCTATATGCAGTGAAAGGTACAAGCTTTTGTTTAAGATATGAAGTTATGGCCAGGTGCGGTGGCTCACGCCTGTAATCCCAGCACTTTGGGAGGCCGAAGCAGGCAGATCACGAGGTCAGGAGATCGAGACCATCCTGGCTAACATGGTGAAACCCCATCTCTACTAAAAATACAAAAAATTAGCTGAGCATGGCGATGTGCGCCTGTAGTCCCAGCTGCTGGGGAGGCCGAGACAGGAGAATGGTGTAAACCCAGGAGGTGGAGCTTGCAGTGAGCCAAGATCGTGTCACTGCACTCCAGCCTGGGCAACAGAGCAAGACTCCATCACAAAAAAAAAAAAAAGATATGAAGTTATGAGTTACTGCAAATATAAACAGAACTCTGCTGCTTTGCATATCCTGCCCTAAATGCAAGGGTGTAACTGGGCGAGAGCCCATTGTGTGGTGCCCTTTGCCCCCTGCTCCCAGAGGTGGCTGTGCATGGGCTAGATGCTTCCTGCTGGGCTGTGCAGGCACTGGCAGAGTGAGGCCAATGCATCCCCTCTGTGGGCAGCTGGGCCCCTGCACGTCAGGGCCTTCCTGGCCCTGAAGGCCAACCCTTCTCCAGGAATGGGCCCTGCAGCTGCAGGATGGGGGCCAGGCTGCTCTCCGGGCCTCCTAGCTCATTGCTAGGGATACAGCAACACACCCTCCTGATTTTGCCACAAATGTTTGCTGTCTCTGCCACCGACGTGTACATCCCCACCTCCTACACGATGCTGACCCACCAGGCCTGGATTGGAGCGGGGGCAGGTGACTCTCCAGGCCCTCCCTCGGAGTCCCCCAGTGCCCGGGCCTCCTGTCCTGGCACCCACGGGGCACAGGAGAAGCTCCCGCCTCAAGGGCCACCTTCAAAGTCACAGGTGCCCCCATCCCTCAGCTGCCAGCTCTGAATCAGCAACTGAGGGTACAGCTAGGAGGAGGTGGGTGCAGTGGGCATATTCCCGAGTGGGCATCCTTGACCCTATGTGTTCGGCTGAAATCTCTCAACAAAAGCTCACGTCTCGCTCGTGTGGAGGGTCATTTTGGGCCTCTTCTTGTTGTCATGAGCAAGGATTATTGACAGCATTGGTTTTCACTGTACGCCTCCCCGCATTGATCAAATTATGTGAATGTTTACCCTTTGAAGAATGCAGGATACGAGAATTCCAACAGAGAACTCCGTTCAGACCAGCTAAAGTAAAAAAATGCCCGAGCAAAATAAGACAGACACCAAAGCCTCCAGATCACAGGGATAGAGAGTACCCAAAGACAGGGACCTACAGACACCTTCTTCAGGCCATTCACGGCCCAGCAGGGGTAGGGACAGACAGGAACGTGGTGCAGCAACCAACTCAAGCCATGACTGGCCACAGGAAGTCAGAGGTGCTGGCCACAGAAGTCAGGGGACCAGCTCACAGGACCTGGGGGTAGGGGGCTGGAACCACTCAACTTACCGCTGCATTAAAAGACCCAGAGGTTGGGTGCGGTGGGTCATGTGTGCAATCCCAGCACTCTGGGAGGCCAAGGTGGACAGACTGCTTGAGCCCGGGAGTTCAAGACCAGCCTGAGCAATACAGCTTGTCCCCATCTCTACAAACTAAAAAAATTACTGGGGCATGGTGGTATGCACCTGTAGTCCCGGCTACTCGGGAGGCTGAGGAAGGAGGATCACTTGAGCCTAGGAGTTTGAGGCTGCAGTAAGCTGCACTCCAGCCCGGGAAACAGAGTGAGACCCTGTCTCTAAAACAAACAAAACAAAACAAATAAAAATCAGTTTTCCATGTGATCCCAGCAGCTCAGCTCTCTGTGCTTTTTGGTGTGCAAACATTTTCCAAAGAGGCATAATAACTACTGCAGGATGAGCCTAATCACAGGGCAGGCTTTCTTGTTCAAAATTGGAATGGGGGGAGGAAGCAGAAACAAAAGCATTAATTCAGGCCCACGAAGCCTAGGCTTAAAGAGCAATCCATCTGCCTCTTGAGCTTGAAGGCCTGCTCTCCAGAGGGAATACTCACACAAAGTGAGTCTCATGGGAGGCACCTGGCCCCTTGGAGGTCCTGCCAGCCCAGGAAATACCAGATGGGCCGCCAAGCTGCAGATGCCCCAGGGAGGCAGCACAGGGCTGGGGGTGCTACGAAGGCCTCCTTCCCCGGCTTGGCTGGAACCCCGCCGCCCCACCCAACCCCTCAGGGGCAGATGCTGGGCCGGAGCCTCTGTGTGCTGGCCCTGTAACAAATGCCACTGAAAGCCCTACCTTGTCATGTCTTAGCCACAGGGACGCACACAGAGAGGTGGCGGGGGCTTTGCAGTCTGGTAACAAGCCCCAGGAGGACAGCTGGTCTCCCTATTGCTGAACACAAGGACATCCCATCACACCAGCGGAATGTGCCACTTAAATTAAATTTTCTCCCAAATGGCTGTGGTTCTTCCCAAGATAAAATTTATCTTCTTCCCTCTTGTGCTTAGGAAGAGAGAAAAATGATCGCAGTACCTGGCTGGCTTCCGGACTTCCTAAGGGTCAAATAAAAGCTCTTTCCATGACACACTGACAGGCAGCCTTAAACCAGCCCAAGTTATAAAAACACTCTGCCTCTTGGAGCCCCAGGAGTGCGAGGACAGACAGCAGCAGGCTGGTGGAGCAGCCTCAGAGGGTGGACAGGCCTGGCTGGCTGCAGCCCCTCCCCCAGGGCCCAGTGTGTGGGCTGGTCAGCCCCTGAGCCAGCCTGGCAGCTGCAGGAGAGGCTGGCCCCATGCTCTGTAAACCCCCACGGGGACCTGGGCAGGGGCTACAGAGCTGGCAGCAGGAACAGGCAGACCCTGGTTGTTTCCGGGAAGCAGTACCTCCGTTATCGGACCTGAGAGGAGGCTGCGGTCTCATTCACGCCCTCGGCCCCATCCCAGTGTTGCCAGCTCAGAGCCCTGCTTTGCAGAAAGCGGACCTACAGACACAGCAAGAGGGAGGACTAGAATAGAGGGACCACAATTCCCTATATTGGGGTTAGGGCACCTGAGCTCCAAAACCTGGCACTGAGGGAGAAGACGAAGCCCAGGGCCGTGGGTGTGCAAGAGGCAGAGACAAGGCACACTGGCGGGGCCCAAGTCCCTGCCGGGTGCGGAGGCTTCCCGGTGGAGGCAGCCCTCCAGGTCAGGAAGTGGCAGGAAGATTGTGCGGCTGTGGGACTGGAGTTGGAGCTCAGCTCCTTGGCCCCCCTTAATTGCCAGGCCCCTCTGGGCCTCGGGCTCCTCTTGGCTGCACTTGGATCCCGACCCCCAGTGCCTGCCTCTGTAAAGGAGCTCCCCGGTGTGGGCTCACCATCCTCGCCTTCCACATTCCTCCACCTGCCGGGGGCTTGCTCTGTGGAATGGAAGGTTTGGTTTGCAAGGCTGCATGCCCCCTCTGAGCCTAGTCATTTGGGGTCACGTGCCCCTCCGCACCCCTGCCTCCCTGCAGTGGCCATTGTTCCCAGAGGGGCTCCACTGCCTGCCCAGGGTCACTGTACCTCCCCAGAAACCTCCTCTCTTCTTCAACCTGTCTTGCAGTTCCAGAGAAGGAAAGACACAACACAGCAGAAAAGGCAAACGGGCTGGCACAAGGCGGGCATCTGCATGGCAGAGGCGGAGCAGGAGCCGACCTGGAGTCCTTCCCAGGGTCCCCACCAAGACTGGGAGGACAGTCCCTTGCGCCAGGGCGTGGCTATGGGAGTGGGGCAGCCAGAACGTCCCCCGCCCCACCCCAGTGCACTCAAGGGTCCTGCTCACCCACCCACAAGCTCACACTGCTTTTTCAGGAGTTTTCTGAGTTTTCTGCACGTCTTCCTCACCCTCCTAGGTTACAAACCAGGTGCTCAGCCCACTCTGGTCAACAGGTATGGCCCCATTTTGCCAGCATATGGCTGTTTAGTGAAGTGCACTGTTTAATTCTGTCTCCCCTTGACTGAGCTTGGACACGATCCCCCTGCCTCTGCCATCTGTCCAGCCCTGGGCTCCCTAAGACCTGGATGCAAACAAAGGAGGAAGGGGGCTCCCAACTTGGGGCCCGAGGTGCACTGTGATGCCTGAGTGGCCTCTCTGGGGCAAAAGTGGCATGGTACGACCTTGCAGGCTGGGTCCCAGGCCCCACTGTGGGCACCACTCGCCAGATCTGGAGCTCCCGGCAGTGGGCCCCACACAGACGTGCGCTGAAAGGAGTTCCTGGTGGCAGCCTGTGCCTGTAGTAGAGAGGGACGAGGGAGGCCTCGTGCACGCCGCAGAGCCCACCGAGGGCCTGGGGCCAGGGGGACAGGGAGCCTCCTTGGTGGAGGAGCCAACCAGGGGACAGAGTGCCCACTGCAGGAGGGGCACTGTGATGCCAGGCACCGTGAGTTGCGCACCTGGCCTCCAGGATGGGACCAGGTAGAAATGTCCCACCCGACTACGGGAGGCACTCAGGGGCCAGGGGAGCAGCCCCGGGGTCCATATTAATTTCAGCTCCATTTTAAAGGCGAGTTAAAATAAACATGGGGAATATTTATAAGGCAAATAAATCTGGCAGAAACAGCCCCTCCAAGTGTGAGTGGAGGCCTCCCCTCAGCCCCAGCCCAAGCTGATAAAATACAGAAATGCTACTGTAGACCCTCCGGGCTTATTTTGACTGCAGCAGAGGAATGTAACATGTAAACACTGACTCCCATATTACACTGTTACAACTTGCATTAACAGCGCCGGACAAAAGCCGCATTTTCACAGAAGCATCGTACAGGGATATATCTCCAGCTTAATTTTTAAAAAAACCATTTCCTCACATAAATCATGCTCAGAATGAAACGGGTGACTGATACATTGCAAACACTTTTTTTCTTAAACAATAACATACCTAGATTCCTTCTAAACGAAAGAGCTTTAAAAAAAATCTTCTAAATGTTTTTTTTCTGAAGAAAATAAACACTGCAGTTTCTTTTCTGAACAAAATATCTGGAGCTGTGTCTTCCCGGCCGAGCCAGCTGCCCCCAGCACAGGGTTGCAGAGGAGCGCTCCCCAAGCCCCAGCCACCTTGCTAGGGAGACAGCAAGGCCAGGGCACCCAGAGCACCGGGCCCCCTCCCCAGGCCCAAGCGGGCAGCCTCTGAGGGGAACAGGCACAACGAGGGTGGTGAAAGTGCTGGGCTGCAGTGACCGTCACCGAAGACCCCAGTACATCGAGGGGCCCAGCAGACATCCTGGGGCTGCCAGACATCCAAGGCCATTTCCCTGAAGGTCCAGCAGACAAAGCATCCTGCAGGGGCTGGAGGGGCATCCAGACTCCACCCAGAGAAGCCTACGTGAAAGACAACCAGAGGCACAGGCAGAACTCAGGACGCCGAGTGAGAACAGTGCCTCGAGATGGGCACTGGGGCCCGGGCAACCCATCTCCACCACACCGCAGAAGAAGTGCAGCCAGCCCAAGGAAGTAAAAGAAAATCCGACTTGTGGACGCCCATAAGGAAAATACAGGGCTTAAAAAAAAAAAAAAAAAATCTTGGGGGTGGGGCAGGCCTTTCTGAACATGCAATAAATCAAAAAGCCACTAAGTGTAAAAGATTTAAGTTACATTAAAAAAAACTTAAACCATTTGTACATCACACAAGTTAAAAGACACTAGAAGCTGAGAAAATCTGCACCACAAGCGACAGAGGATCACATCCCTAATACACAAACCAGCTGGAGGGTAAGAAGAGATAAGAGAAGAGAAAAGCCAGACGTGAAAGTGGACAAGGACCATGCTGGCGATTTGTGCAGCACACATGGGCATGCTCACAGACACGCTCATCTCAAATGAGGCTGTGACACGAGGCTTTTCAGGTAAATGTGTGAAAAGACCACTGATCACAGCAAATGCAAACAGAGTCAGATCATGTGTAACTCAGCAGATAGTCAAAGATTAAAAAAACAGTCTGGGTGCCGTAGCTCACACCTGTAATCCCAGCACTTTGAGGGGCCAGGGTGATCACTTGAGCCCAGGAGTTCAAGACTAGCCTGGGCCACATAGCGAGTCCTTGCCCTAAAAAAAATAATCATTAGCTGGGCGTGGTGGCGAGCGCCTGTAATCCCAGCTACTCAGGAGGCTGAGGCAGGAGAATTGCTTGAATCCAGGAGATCAAGGCTGCAGCGAGCCATGATCGCACCACTGCACTCCAGCCTGGGCGACAGAGCAAGACCCTGTCTCAAAGATAAAAAAACAGATAACCCAGAAATTATGGCATAACAGGAAAAAGTGATTGGTGTGACAACAGAAAAACTTAAAATTTCTGCATGAAATACTATCACCAAGTCCAAAGACAAACCACGATCAGTGGGTCCAATGGAAGGCAGCAGGCAGTCGATGGAAACCAGCACAAGCTCAGCACAGTCTCAGGAGAGTGTGGGCGCCGTGGGTAGCAGTGACCACTCTCAGGAGAGTGTGGGCGCCGTGGGTAGCAGTGACCGCTCTCAGGAGGGTGTGGGCGCCGTGGATAGCAGTGACGGCTCTCAGGAGAGTGTGGGCACCGTAAGTAGCAGTGACCGCTCTCAGGAGAGTGTGGGCACCGTGGGTAGCAGTGACCGCTCTCAGGAGAGTGTGGGCGCACCGTAAGTAGCAGTGACCGCTCTCAGGAGAGTGTGGGCGCCGTGGATAGCAGTGACGGCTCTCAGGAGAGTGTGGGCGCCATGGGTAGCAGTGACGGCTCTCAGGAGAGTGTGGGCACCATGGGTAGCACTGACCGCTCTCAGGAGAGTGTGGGCGCACCATGAGTAGCAGTGACCGCTCTCAGGAGAGTGTGGGCGCCGTGAGTAGCAGTGACCGCTCTCAGGAGAGTGTGGGCGCCGTGGGTAGCAGTGACCGCTCTCAGGAGGGTGTGGGCGCCGTGGATAGCAGTGACCGCTCTCAGGAGAGTGTGGGCACCGTAAGTAGCAGTGACCGCTCTCAGGAGAGTGTGGGCACCGTGGGTAGCAGTGACCGCTCTCAGGAGAGTGTGGGCGCACCGTAAGTAGCAGTGACCGCTCTCAGGAGAGTGTGGGCGCTGTGAGTAGCAGTGACCGCTCTCAGGAGAGTGTGGGTGCACCGTGGGTAGCAGTGACCGCTCTCAGGAGAGTGTGGGCGCCGTGGGTAGCAGTGACCGCTCTCAGGAGAGTGTGGGCGCCGTGGGTAGCAGTGACCGCTCTCAGGAGTGTGGGCGCCGTGGATAGCAGTGACCGCTCTCAGGAGAGTGTGGGCGCACCATGAGTAGCAGTGACCGCTCTCAGGAGAGTGTGGGCGCCGTGGGTAGCAGTGACCGCTCTCAGGAGAGTGTGGGCGCACCATGGGTAGCAGCGACCGCTCTCAGGAGAGTGTGGGCGCCGTGGGTAGCAGTGACCGCTCTCAGGAGAGTGTGGGCACCGTGGGTAGCAGTGACCGCTCTCAGGAGAGTGTGGGCGCCATGGGTAGCAGTGACCGCTCTCAGGAGAGTGTGGGCGCCGTGGGTAGCAGTGACCGCTCTCAGGAGAGTGTGGGCACACCATGGGTAGCAGTGACAGCTCTCAGGAGAGTGTGGGCGCCGTGGGTAGCAGTGACAGCTCTCAGGAGAGTGTGGGCGCCGTGGGGAGCAGTGACCGTTCTCAGGAGAGTGTGGGCGCCGTGGGTAGCAGTGACCGCTCTCAGGAGAGTGTGGGCGCCGTGGGTAGCAGTGACTGCTCTCAGGAGAGTGTGGGTGCACCGTGGGTAGCAGTGACCGCTCTCAGGAGAGTGTGGGCGCCGTGGGTAGCAGTGACTGCTCTCAGGAGAGTGTGGGCGCCATGGGTAGCAGTGACCACTGCCCAGGCCAGGGGTATGGGAGGAGAGGCTCCTTTCTGTTTTGTGTCTTATCAAAAAGCTGATGCCTGAGTTACCAAGGACAGGGAAGCAGGCAGAGTACACATGGAATTGGCCTGTCAGCACAAAGTGTTAAGACGGAAGGGCAGCTCCCCTTGTAAAGCGTATAAGACCACCTCACAGCCACTAGGATGGCCACTGTCAAAAAAACAGAAAACATCAAGAAAACAGTTTAAAGGAAAAAATAAAAATTAAAGAAAGAAAAACAGAAAACAACATGCACTGGCGAGGATGTGGGGAGCCCAGAGTCCTCCTGAACTGCTGGTGAGAATGTAAGATGGTGTGGGCGCTGTTGGGAACAGGATGGAGGTTCCTCAAGACCATAAGATCCAGCAATCCCACTTCTGGGTTTGCATCCAAAAGAACTGAAAGGTCTTCAAGAGGTATTTGCACACCTATGTTCACGGCAGCACTGCTCACAACAGCCAAGAAGCAGAGGCAACTTGGGTGTCCACTGACAGATGAATGGATAAACAAAATGTGGTGTGCCTGTACAATGGAATATTACTCAGTCTTAAAAAGAAGGAAATGCAGATACAACATGGATGAAAAGAGTTCCAGACATGGATAGTGGTGATGGTTTCACGACATTATTAATACATTTAATACCATTGAACTGTATACTTAAAAATGGTTAACGTGGGCTGGGCGTGGTGGCTCACCCCTGTAATCCCAGCACTTTGGAAGGCCAAGGCAGGTGGATCACCTGAGGTCAGGAGTTTGAGACCAGCCTGGCCAACATGGTGAAACCCCATCTCCACTAAAAACACAAAAAATTAGCGGGGTGTGGTGGCAGACACCTGTAGTCCCGGCTACTCAGAGGGCTGAGACAGGAGAATCGCTTGAACCCGGGAGGCAGAGGTTGCAGTGAGCCGAGATCGCACCACTGCACTCCAGCCTGGGCAACAGAGTGAGACTCTGTTTCAAAAAAAAAAAAAAAAAAGGTTAAAGTGGTAAATTTTATACTATGTCTGTTTTATCACAATGAATAATTGGGAAAATGTGTCAGAAGCACTTCTGATGGTAAACAGATGCACCTCCAAGGTTTTCACTGCAGCATTGATAATGATGAAGAAGAGAAACTACTGAGATGCTCATTAACAAGAGAAAGGTCAAAGGAACTATACCACATCCATTCAAGGGAATCCAGTCCTGACCCCACACAAAGATGCCCCGTGAAGTGTGAAACAATGACAAGCAGAGCATGTGACACACCACTCACACACACACACACCACTCACACACACACACCACACACACACATAACCACTCACACACTACTCACATACACACACCACACACACACACCACACACACCACTCACACACACACACCACACACACCACTCACACACCACTCACATACACACACCATTCACACACACACCACTCACACACACTACTCACACACACTGCTCACACACACCACACACACCACGCACACACACCACTCACACACACACCACACACACCCACACCCTTCACACACACACACCACACACACCACACACACACCACTCACACACACCACTCACACACACACCACACACCACACACACCCACACCCTTCACACACACACCACACACACACCACTCACACACACCACTCACACACACACACACCACACACCCACACCCTTCACACACACACACCACTCACACACCACACACACACACCACTCACACACACACCACACACACCATTCACACACACACACCACACACATCTGCACGCACACCATGCACATTCGGGCACACACAGAAGTGGGACCCTTTTCCACTGATATTTTCTCCTGGGGAAGGCTCGAGACTGCTATTGACCAAGCCTCTGCCGCCCTCTGGTGGTCTCTCTGCTCCCTGCCAACATGAAGTCTCCACACCCCACAGGCAGGAGCTGCCTGGACCTGGGACCTCGGGATGGCCCACTCTGTGGGCATCGGAATGCACTTAGTGACTCTGCACCTGCTCCCATGGGGAGTGAGAGCCACTTGCACGCTGCTAGCCTCCCTTCCACAATCAAGATGTTGTTTCTGAGGCCTTTGGAGTCTTTGCTAGATTTCAGGGAAACCCAATGTACAAATCAGAAGACAGTGAGGGTGTTAGATGAGGGCTGGGATAGGGATTGCTGGCTCTCCCCTCCTTAATGTTCTCCCTGATGTCCTTGAGGGGACCCACTGGAACCCCAGGGCTCCTGGGAACCCCATTTGACAACCACTGACCTAGATAACAAACAGCTGACTCCATTTATATGGCAGTCCTGTTATTGTTATTACCTCCAAGGCAGCCACAGGACAGAGTAAATCAACAGCCCTGCAGAGGGGCACAAGTCACAGGTTTATTGTTTAGTTTTGAGACAAGGTCTCACTCTCCCAGGCTGAGCGCAGTGGTGCAATCACAGCTCACTGCAGCCTCAACCTCCTGGGCTCAAGCAATCCTCCCACCTAAAGCCTCCCAAGTAGCTGGGACTACAGGTGCACAGTACTATGCTCGGTTAATATTTTCAGATTTTTGTAGGCTGGGTGTGGTGGCTCACGCTTGTAATCCCAGCACTTTAGGAGGACGAGGTGGGCGGATCACCTGAGGTCAGGAGTTCAAGACCAGCCTGACCAAGATGGTGAAACCCCATTTCTACTAAAAATACAAAAATTAGCCAGATGTGGTGGTGGGCGCCTGTAATTTCAGCTACTTTGGAGGCTGAAGCAGGAGAATCACTTGAACCTGGGAGGCAGGGATTGCAGTGAGCCAAGATTGGGCCATTGCAATTCAGTTTGGGGGACAGAGTGAGAATTCACCTAAAAAAAAAAGCCAAAAAAAAAACCAAAACAGATTTTTGTAGAGTAGAGGTCTCACTATATTGCCCAGGCTGATGCTGATCTCGAACTCCTGGCCTCAAGCAATCCTCCCGCTCAGTCTCCCAAAGTGCTAGGCTAACAAGCATGAGCCACCACACCTGGCCACAAATAACAGGCCTTTTTTCCTTCTTTTGGGTAAACCGGAAAGAAAGCCCCAGGAGCCCAGCACCAGCACAGGCTCTAAGGGTCCAGTGCTCACTCTGGTGAACAAAAAGAGGACCCCACCAAGCACGCGCAGGCCTTACGTTTTTCCAGGGGATTCCTTCAGCCAGAAGATGTCATCACTTGTGATTCCATATTCCAAGGCACCTTCGATCTGTCAAGACAGAAATGACCCCTTGGACAAGAGCTCCATTTGGCCTGTCCTAGGGCTTCCTTAAAGAGGATGCCAGCTTTGCAGAATCAAGCAGAGCTTTCCCAGGGCACACATGCACAGGGCTTCCCTGCTGCCAGTCCTTGTCTGCAGGCTGTGGCCTCTTTGGGGCTGCAGGTGGCCTGTCTGCATCTAAGCTGCTGCACTCCAGGTCCCGGTGCCCTCGCAGGGTACCTTTCCCCTCTGTTCCCCAGGACCCTCCCCTTGACCCTGGTTCAGAGCAGGATACAGGGCCTGAGGTGGGTACAGCAACTGCAGGGGCCATACAGGCAGACAGCTGGGACCCCTCAAGTCTGCCCGGGTTCTGGACAGACACATCAAACAGACAGGGGCATGCAGCCCCAGGGAGCAACACCTGGGTTCTGGGGGATCCAAACTCAGAGAGAGGAAGTGGGGAGAGAACAGGTCAGCAAATCAGGGCCAGCAGAGCTCAGGTGTGTCTGCGCGGCAGGGGTGGCCTACAAGGCCAGCCAGAGGAGAGGAGGCACAGGGGGTAAGTGCCACAGGCTGAGGTGGGCAGGGACTGAGGGGCAGCTCTGAGGGCACCTGGCTGAAGCCAGGACGGACTTCACACTCTCGAGGGCTGGCCCGGGTGGGCTCTGAGCCCAGAAATCATACAGGTCACCTGAAGAGGGGCGGCCAAGCAGGTGGGAGGCCCAGGGTGAACGTCCCCTTAGCGGCCATGAGAACAAGATGTGCTGGTGGAGGAAGCGGATCTCAAACAGTTTATGCTTCCAACTGGCAAAAAAAAATAAAGTCAGGAATTTCTCAGGTTTACTCAAGGAAAACCGAAAGGTCTGGCAATCAAAGGGACTAAAACGCAAGCAAGCCTTGGCAGACACCCTGGGAGGGCGTGGCAGGGAGAGCGAAGCAGCCCTGAGCTGCCTGCCTCCTAAGGACCAGGAGCGCCTGCTGGATCCCCTGTGAGCCCAAAGAGCCGTCAGCAGCTGCCCGTGAGGTGCAGAGCAGGGCCGGGCCAGGCCAGGGCCCCTGTGCAGTGCTCCCTGGTGCGGATGCACGTGCAGCTCTGCCTGGGGCCTCAGAGAAACCCAATGACCGCTGGGCTGCTGGAAGCTGGCTGTGGCCTTCTTTAAGCAGAACCACCATGAGCCCAGCTGCCAGGAGAGGGGATCACTGGGACCCTGTCTGCAGCAGCTGCCTTGAACAACTGCACAGTGTCATCCTACAAAGTCACGCAGCCCTGAGCCCCACCTCTGTGCATAAGCAACCTGCCCCCTCTAGAGGCTGCTGTGGCTGCCTGGCGGCCAGACAAGTCCCACGGCCTCTAAGGACTGGGGGTGCTTGTGCTCCTCGGGGCCGCTCCTTTCCCTGTTTCCACAGTAAGCACAGGACGAAGTGGAGGCTGGGGTCACATCCAAGAAGTGGCAGAACCTCCCCTTGCTCTGCCTCCACCGGACTGCCCCTGGGTCTAAGTCAGAGGTGGTGTGGCCTCCAGGCCGAGAGAGCCGTGGTCTTCAAGAGCTTGGCTGCAGCCTACTTAGAGGCTTGGAGCAGGCGGCACACGGTTCCCTGGGAGACCCGTGGGGACTGGTCTCAGCCAAACCTCTCTGCTCACCCCCAGCCCATTTGCTTTCCCTGCTGCAGCTGCCCCCCAACCCCTCACCCCGGGGCCCCTTCCTCAACTCTGCCCCCACAACCCACAAGACTGGGCCAGGAGTTATTCACCTCTCTGTTAAAAACAGCGATAAAACTGGCAAGAACTGGGAGATTCAGAATTATGGAAATTAACCACAGGCTTGCAGCAACACAGGGAACATTTAAAGTCAGGAAAAACAGCTGAAGCTGAGTGAGAATGGGAACTCCAGGGTGTTTTAACTCACTCTGGTCCCACTCCCACCTCAGCGGCAGCCCTGAACAGTGATGTGTCAGAGAGAGCAGAACTCAGCTGGGGTCTTTCAAAGCCCCCCCACAAAGAAGAGTCAGAGTCAGCAACTATAGGGTCATCTTCATCCAACTTCACCGGAGCTCAGCCAGGGCTAAAAGCCTTTCTCTGGGGGCATTTGTCTGAGGTTTTCTTCTCACAGCTGCCTGAGGGGATAGGTAACAGTTAGAGCCAACAACAGACTGCCCAAAAAGCTTCAAAGGAAAAGCCAAAGTATGAGATGTCTGCTGGAGCTTTGAAAGGTTCCAGCATATTCCTGGGAACCTAGGCCAGGCGCATGCACAGCACTGTGCACACATCAGGAAGGACCAACGAGGCCCTGAACCCTCACCTCCAGCTGACCTTGATCTCTGCAGAAGCAGGAAGTGAAGGCTAGGGCAGAGCTGTCTGCTGCCTGTTGAGTGTGGAAGGCATCCCCTCCAAACGCACACAGAGCCCTCAGCAAAGACCGGGAGAGTTCTTAGTTTAGGGAAATCTCCATGCAGTTCTTAGCTGACCACTAAGCTAACCAAGTAAAGACTTCAGTGGCCACATACATCAAAGAATAAGAGTCTACAAAGTCAGTTCCGAAAAGTCACCAAATAAGCAGCTGTAACAACAGAATCCTGGGGCAGAGGGAGAATCTGGTTTCCAAAGTTATCGCATTAAATTATTTGAAATGTTCAGCTTTCAATAAAAAAATTACAAGATACGTGAAGAAACAAGAAACCATGACCCTTACACCCCACTGGAAGGAATGTAAAACACAGTCATTGTGGAAAACAGTCTGAGGTTCCTTGAAACGTTCCTTGAAAGATTCAACATAAAGTTACCACATGACCCAGCAGTTCTGCTCCTAAGTGTAACCCAAGAGAAGTGAAAACTGAAGTCCACCAAAAAACTTCTTTGCAGATGTTCACAGCGGCACTATTCATAATAGCTAAAAAGTGGAAATAACACATGTGTTTATCCAAGCAAGTAGATAAACAAAGTGTGGTCTATCCATACAATGGAATAGTATCTAGCCATAAAAAGGAATGATACTGACACACACTACAATGTAGGTGAACCTGGAGGATGTTATGCTCAGTGAAGTAAGCCAGTCACTAAGGGACACACACATACGAGTCACTAAGGGACACACACGTACCAGTTACATGAGAAGGACTTACATGTACGATTTCACTTACACGAGGTGCCTAGTGTTGTCACATTCATAGAGACAGAAAGTAGGTGGTGGTTTCTAGGGGCTGGGGGAGGAGGCGCTGGGGAGTAGGGTTTAATGGGAATAGTTTCAGTTCAGGGATGATGGAAGGAGTTCTGGCAATGGATGGTGGTGACTGATGGCCGCACAGCTCTGTGAATGTACTAAAAACCACTGAATTGTACCCTAAAAAAGGCTAAATTTTATAGCGTGTGAATTTTATTTCAAACTTTTTTTAAACTGGGGGACGTGAAGGAGGAAGATGAAGAATGAGGCTTATATCCTGAATGTTCCAACATTCTGAGGCTGAAGGGAAAAGGGGGAATCAGCAATGGAGACTTAGGAAGCAGGATCCTGGTGTGGAAGGGGACAGATCCAGCGGGGCAGGGGGAGAGCAGAACGAGAGCTGTCCTGAGGATCTGGCAGCGTGGAGGCCACTGGGGACCCCACATTTCAGCAGTGTGGATTCAAGAGAATTGGAAAGCAGAAAGTGATGATAGTGAGTATAGGGGGAAAGGGTGTGCAAGCTGCTGCTGTGGGAAGCACGTGTGTAAAAACGTATCCCTCAAAGAGGCCGGGAATGGGCCACGGCAGCAGGGACGCTATGCTCTGGGGACACTCACGTGCGTGGGGTATCTCGGCCGCCCTCCAGTAGCAATGATGATGTGATCGGCTGACAGCAGAATCTGAGGAGAAAAAGAGAAAGCCGTGGGTCAGACAGGTGCATGGTGATCACCCCACCGGAGGGCCTGAGCACCACAGACCTTGGCCAGCAGTTCCCACGGCCCCTGCCCTGTAGCGTGGACCCTTGGCCAGCAGTTCAGAGGCCCTATGGAGCTGGAATCCCATCAACCATCAGCCTGGCAGGAGGGGGACAGGCAGAAAGCACAGGGAGATGTTCTAACTCCAAGCACTTCAAGGCACCCTCAAATCCCCAAAAAATCCTGCAAAAAGGGTGTGGTCACCAACCCTGTTGCCATGCCACTCCGAGCAGCAGGGCAGCAAATTATTTGATCACGTTAAAGACAAGTGCCCAGCCTCAAAAGAAGCCACCTTTTTGATTCCAGCAGCACGTGTTACTAAGAACAGCACCCAGGCCAAACACAGCTGCAGTTGGTGCCCAAGGTCTGCAGAAGGGTCCACAAGGAGCCACGCGAGTAAGTCAGATGCTCACCTCTTTCCCACCTTTGGCAACGCCGCAAACCGTGTGCTCGTCAACAAAGCTGGCTTTGATGTTAAAGTACTTGACTTTTCTGAAAGATAAAGATAAGATTTTCAAACACTTCCTCTGCAAATTAAACCTCACCAACTGGATCAATAGGGAACACTGGTAAAAGGGAGCTCCAGCCCCCAGCAGGGCCTGGTGCTGTGGCTCAGATGGACCAAGAGGTAAGCGGCAACCATGCTGAGAAGCATGGAGGGGATGTGGGGGCACCTCGCCTGTCCCCCAGGGATCCCAGGGACATGTTAACCACAGGTGTCAAAGCAGGGACGGAAGCCAGCTCAGCACGGTCCTAAGAGGCCACGTACAGCCCTGGTGTGCAGCAAGAGGTGGCTGGACCTCTCTTGGGGACAGTCCTCATCACCCGGACATGTTCCAGCAGGGAGCTGTGGTGCCCACCAGATGGTGTCACCTTCTGATTTCAGGGGTGTGGTAACACCAAGAGAACGGGCATGACAAGGCTGGCAAAACAGTGGCTGGGAGCATAGTGCACAGAAACAAATGACCCACGCTTTCTTTTCTTTTTTTTTTTTCTGAGTCAAAGTCTCACTCTGTCGCCCAGGCTGGAGTTCAGTGGCACGATCTTGGCTCACTGCAATCTCCACCTCCCAGGTTCAAGCCATTCTCTTGCCTCAGCTCTTGCCTCAGCCTCCTGAGAAGCTGGGATTACAGGCTTGCGCCACCACGCCTGGCTAATTTTTGTATTTTTAGTAGAGACGGGGTTTCGCCATGTTGGCCAGGCTGGTCTTGAACTCCTGACCTCAAGTGATCCACCCACCTCAGCCTCCCAAAGTGCTAGGATTACAGGCATGAGCCACCGCGCCCCACCCTTTTTTTTTTTTTTAAAGACATCTTCTCACTCTGTCACCCAGGCTGGAGTGCAGTGGCATGATCATAGCTCACGGAAGCCTTGTTTCAAGTAACTGGAACTATAGGCATGGGCAACCATACCTGGCTAGTTCATTTTATTTTTTGTAGGGATGTAGCAATAAAACTATGTTGCTCAGGCTGGTCTCCAACTCCTGGGCTCAAGTGATCCTCCCACCTCAGCCTCCCAAAGTGCTAGGATTACAGGCATGAGCCACTGCACCCGACCAACACTTTCTAATGACAAAAGGACCGTGCTGCAGCAAGGGTTCTGGGAAGGCTCTGCCTCCTGCTTGAGCCTGCCTTCTCCCCACTGGCAAGCCTGTGCCTCTATGGGCTGTCTGAGCTGCGTGAAGTTCCTACAGCAAGAGCCCTTCAATCACCTCGACAGCCAGGAAGCTGCCACGGGACACAGCCGGGCAATGCTCATGGCAGCACTTTTCAGAAGAGTGAAAAAGCAGAAACAGCCCAGGTGCGCCCCAGCCTCCTTCTGCAGGTGGCTCCGGAGCAGGCAGTGGGCTGGGCCTGTTTGGTGCCCGTCCAGGAGCTGCCCAGGGCAGGGAGGAGGGAGGGCAGAGCCTGCTGTCCCCAGGAAACTGTACCAGGGGATACAGAGCCCCACAGAGAAACACAGAAATGCCACAGCACAATGTGGCTTAGCTCCCTGGATAGGGGAGAGCTTGTGAGGTCCAGGTGGAGGGCAAGCAGTTGGCTTCCTGGCTCCACTTTCCTGGATTTAGTGAGCACAAAACTGCTGCCTGCTGTGAAGCCCCAGGAAGACCCGCCCTGGGGCCAAGCAAATGGTGCATGAGGAGAGCCACCAGACCTCTGCGGGACCACTGTCCCCTCCACAGCCCCGGGAGAAAGGCTGGGCCAGAGGCGGTACCAGTTTCAGGCATCTGCTGTGCTGGCAGCTGAGCCCCAGGAGAAGGTTGTAGGCCAGGGGAGCATAGGCCTCTGTGCTGGAGATCCCCAGGGGCTGACAGGAACGGTGACCAAGTAGGGACATTTGCTCCAGCGGAAAGCACCAAGCTCCTGCACCCACACCCAAGGAGCTGGAGGTGTGCAGTAAGAAGGGGGTTCACGGGGTGGGGGCTTGCCACTGGGATGACCCTCACCACATATTAGCCCCAGGCCTAGCTATGTCCACGCTCTCTGGCCTGAGGCCTTCCAGCCCCAAGCGCCTCCTCCCTGTGCAGCCCTGGGCTCTGGCCATTCTGCCAATGTGGCCTCACTCATTCCTTGGCAGCACCTCCAGGCTCTGCTCAGCAGCAAAGGGCAGTCTCCCCTTCCCCTACAGTCACTCCCATCTGCTCCTTGTCCTCATCCCCACCCATGAGCAGGACATGAACCCCCAGAGCCTGCCAGAGCATGCTCTGCACAGTAAGTAAGTGTGTGTCCAGGCACAGAACGCCCAAGAGAAGGCCCAGAGGGCGGCCCATTCCCGGAGAGAGCTTCAGTACCTGTCCTGAAGCTGGACACGGTGGCCCCAGTTCAAGGATTTCACGTGATTTTGAACAGCTTCTGCCATCTTCCTCCTGTGAAGATACGAAACAAAATGTAAAATCCACAACACAGGTGTTAGCTGCAGGGCCTCACGATGGACTATTAGATTCAAATGGTACATTCATAGAAATATCAAAAAACAAGAGTGCTTTTAAAGGTGGCAAAACGTGACATCCATCCCTACGTGCAACCGCCTGTCCCAGGCTCAGGGCTGCAGACCTTTGGACTCACAGAAAACAGGGGCTCTGACCCACGGCTCTCCAGATGCAGCTGCTCTGTGCCCCAAAGGCTACCCACTGCAGGCAGAGGCCTATCTGAGCCAATGTGGGTGTGGCTGGGCCACGTGGTCCCCTTCCCAGAAGAGCTCAGCTGAAGCGGCCTCCCACCCGCACTCCTGGCCTTGGAGATGCACTGTTCTTGGTGGGGCTGTGCTGTGCATGGCTGTAGCATCCCTGGGCTCCCCGCAAAGGGGAGCAAACCCTTCCCCAGTGACAACCAAAACTGTCTCCAGACATTCCCAAATGTCTGAGGCAGACAGCGCAGAGTCGCCCCTGGCTGAGAAACCCATCCTACGGCCCACTCCCCATGAGGGCTCATCGAGGATAAGCCTCCTCTTCCTCTTCCACCCAAGAGTAGAAGAAAAGCACTGGAATGCCACGGCGCCAGATCCTTACCAGTCATGCGGCACGGGCTGGGCCACCTCCCAGCCATAGTTGGGGGCATCTTGGATCAGGCCTCCCAGCAGTGCCGCCTGGTGCATCAGCTTCTTGGGGATGCAGCCCACGTTGACGCAGGTGCCGCCGAGGCCCCACCGGGTGCCTGGGACGTGGGAAGAGCACATTTGAATTTATGTTCAGGTGACTGCTGGAGGCTTCCCTGTTCTTCTAGAGTGTTTGGAATTCCTTAAAGTTGCTTTGTAACTCTAACACAGACCAGCTGACATGCCACACGAATCTGCTCTCTATAACTGTACTCGAAAATAAAAACAGTTGTTTTTACTTTTTAATATTTATTAATTTATTTATTTGAGATGGAGTTTTGCTCTTGTTACCCAGGCTGGAGTGCAGTAGTGCAATCATAGCTCACTATAGCCTCGAACTCCTGGGCTCAAGTGATCAAGGCCTGCCTTGGCTTCCCAAAGTGCTGTGAGTACAGGCGTGAGCAACTGCACCTGGCCAGAGTTGTTTTCGATAATGGTCAAGAACTTTAAAGTAATGATGAGTGAAACAGGACACTGTCCAGAAACCATGGACAGCAGGGCTGAAGGACTTTGGTGTCAGCTGCCCTCTGTACAGGAACTGGGCCCACCTCCCACCTCCTTCCCCAGGACACCCGGCTCCCATAGGGTGCTGCCTACCTTGGGGAGAAGGTTCCACGTAGTCCACCACGGCCACCTTCCTTCCCAGCTGGGCGGCTGGAAGGATAAGGAGAGCAGCAGGTGAGCATGGGGAGCTGGCTCAGGACTCAAGAACAGGCACTCCTCAGGGCTTGTGAGGTCCAGAAGAGTGTGGGCAGGGCCTGGGCCTGCGGCTGCCCACACAGTGGCTGAGCTGCGCAATGCTAGGGACCCCTGATCTGCCTCTGCGCTCTGGCCTGCTGAGCTGCGCTGCCTGCTGGCTCTGCATTGAGTCTTCCAGTCTCTTTCTGGCACTGCCCACCCAGCTGCGCTGCCCACAGGCAGGAGCCCTCAGACCTCTCAGGGCCCGCAGCCTTTGTACCATCCACCCCTCACAGTGCTGGCATCAGCCCCACCTGCCCCTGCATGTTCACGTTCACCATAAGCCCAGTGCCCACCCAAGCATCCCTGGGTGGCATCCCCCAGGTAGCCACTCACCGGGAATGGCTCCTGACTCAGAGGCTCTCCCTTGCCCCTTCCCATCCCAGCCAGAGCCCCCTAGGTGGGCATTCGCTGCCTCACTCTCAGGACCAGGACACCAAAGCTCAGGAGAAGTGACGCAGCAGCCCCAGGGTGGACCAGCCCCAGAGCAGGAGCCGAGACCTGACTCCAAACCACACTTCCCGCTGCAGAGCCACCCAGTTGCCCTCCCAGCCAGCAGTGTGGCCACCCAGGGCCACAGGTTCTGGGGCCAACTCAGAAACCATTAGCCAGGACCGGGCATGGTGGCTCACACCTGTTATCCCAGCACTTTGGGAGGCTGAGGAAGGTGTATCACTTGTGGTCAGGAGTTCAAGACCAGCCTGGCCAACATGGTAAAACGTGTCTCCACTAAAAATAAAAATTAAAAAATTGGCCAGGTGTGGTGGTGCAAGCCTGTAGCCCCAGCTACCCGGGAGGCTGAGGCAAGAGAATCGTTTGAGCCCAAGAGGCAGAGGCTGCAGTGAGCAGAGATCACACCACTGTACTCCAGCCTGGGCGACAGAGCAAGACTCTGTCTCAAAAAAGAAAGAAAGAAAAAAAAAAAAAAACATTAGCTAGGGCTAATTTCAAGCTTCCATTTGCCCGGGCTTGGGCACTGCATCAGCAAACTTCAGGCCTTGGACTTGACTGCCTCCCAAGGCACACACAAATCTCATGAACCCTAAAATGCCAAGGAAAGTGTTTGATTCGTGGCTATTAGAAAGCAAGATTAGAACAAAGTTTTGTAAGAGTTCATTTTTAAAATCCATTTTGCTTGGCTGGGTGCAGCGGCTCATGCCTGTAATCCCAGCACTTTGGGAGGCCAAGGTGGGCAGATCACGAGGGCAGGAGATCGAGAACATCCTGGCTAACACGGTGAAACCCTGTCTCTACTAAAAAATACAAAAACAAAATTAGTTGGGCGTGGTGGCAGGTGCCTATAGTCCCAGTTACTCGGGAGGCTGAGGCGGGAGAACGGTGTGAACCCAGGAAGCGGAGCTTGCAGTGAGCCGAGATTGTGCCACTGTACTCCAGACTGGGTGACAGAGCGAGACTCTGTCTCAAAAAAAAAAAAAAAAAGCTAATGTCCACAAGGCACAGTGGCTCACGCCTATAATCTCAACACTTTGGGAGGCCGCAGCAGGCAGATTGCTTGAGCCCAGGAGTTTGAGACCAGCCTGGGCAATATAGCAAAACCCTGTCTCTACAAAAAATACAAAAATTAGCTGGGTGTGGTGGCATGCGCCTGTGGTCCCAGCTGCTCGGGAGGCTAAGGTGGGGGGATGGCTTGAGCTTAGCAGGTGGAGGATGCAGTGAGTCAAGATTGTGCCACTGCACTCCAGCCTAGGTGACAGAGCAAGACCCTGTCTCAAAAAAAAAAAAAAAAAAAGCCAGTGTGCCAGTGTGTAACTCCCACATCTGACCACGATGGAGCAGCAGGGCCCAGATTTACCCTCCCCCTGAAGCAACCCAAAACCCAGGTAAAATGCATGAAACAACGGGCTTTCAGGTACTCCATGTCAGGTAACAAAGGACCTGAGAGAGAGGAAACAAACATGGTGAGCCCTGGGGAGTCTCCAGGACCCAGCACTGCAGGCTGGGGAAGATGGGGAGAATCCAGCACAGGAGAGGGCTGAGAACTGGGGGAGACTGAGGCAGCCAGAGGTCATGCACAGAAGACAGTGAGGAGGGGGCTGCCCAGAGAATCTGAGAGATCTGATCGGCGCATGTGTCTTGGGAAACTACCTGAGACCAGACAGAACCACCTGGAAGGACTGGAGGGGACAGAGCCCACACAGGGCAGGGGACAGTGCCTGTTCCCAGAATCTGGACTGGGAAAAGCATATAATTCCTGGGGCGTTGGGTCATGCCCCAGTAGTTGAGAATCATTAGCCCTAGACTGGGCACTGCTCCATACCCACCTAACAAATCTTTTGCAGAAGACCCAAAAGGATCAAACTGACTCTTAATAACTGCATCCCAGAACAGAGCTCAATAATAGTATTTCTAGAAATACAAAAATGCCCAGAACCCAACAAGGTAAATTCAAGTGTCTGGCATTCAACCAAAAATTACCAGTCACACAAAGAAGCAGGAAAATACACCTATAAAGGGGACAAAAAAAAATCAGTCAATGGAGACTGACTTGGAACAGACACAGATGTCAGAATTAGCAGAAAAGATCAATAAAACAGGTATTCTAACTATTCCATACTTTTTTATTTTTATTTCCTTGCTTAGATGCCTCACTTGTGTGCCCTAACTCCACCTTATCACATATGATGAACTATCTGTTCATGTGTCTGTCTCGGTAACTAAACTGCAGAACTCCGTCAGTCAGGGGCTTTGGTCCTGGTTTGTCTTTGTTGTTCCGGGTCCTGGCCCAGAGCTTGGACCACATTAAGTATTCAAATGGTTTGTTGAAGAAATTAACATGTTAAAAACAAACCTTTCTCACAGAACACTGTTCCTCCTTCAGTGTTCAAGATCCCAGACCTTTGGGTCCCTTTTTACCTACTTACTCCCTACCAAAAGTTCTCTCTCCTTCGACTCCAGGGTGGTTTTATAAACCTCTTATGCATCTCAACTTGCACTATATGGTAGCTACTTTTCACAGCTACAGACTTTTGGTGTGGGAAGGATCTTTTTTTCTCTTTTTTTGAGATGGAGTCTAGCTCTGTCACCCAGGCTGGAGTGCAGTGGCGTGATCTTGGCTCACTGCAACCTCCACCTCCTGGGTTCAAGCGATTCTCCTGCCTAAGCCTCCTGAATAGCTGGGATTACAGGTGCGCACCACCATGCCCGGCCAATTTTTTTGTATTTTTAGTAGAGATGGGGTTTCACCATGTTGGTCAGGCTGGTCTTAAACTCCTGATCTCATGATCCGCCCACCTCGGCCTCCCAAAGTGCTGGGATTACAGGCGTGAGCCACCATGCCCGGCCAGGAAGGATATTATATGCAATTTGTTCTACCTGCTTACCTGAAGTTTGAGTCTCCTTCATAACATCCTCACCAAGTGTTCACCTATGCCTGGTGCCTTTGTCTGGGAATGTATTGCCTTCCCAAGTGGCCATTTAATTTTGGGAACTCTCCCAATATAAAATTTCTCCTCATATTAATTGGAAATGTTTTCCTATAACTCTTAACTATCTCCACCCCCTCTCCCACATGCCCACTCTTTAAAATTTAAAACTATTTTTTTCCTTTCCCTTAAGTTTTCTCTTTTTGAATTCCTTCAATGATGACTTTCAAGGATAGATTCCTTCAACTAGGATAGTTTAGGTCACTTCTCTCCAAATGACCCACCTTCTCCAAACCTCTGTTCAGAAGGGGCTGCGATGCTCCCAGTAGGAAGTCTGAGGCCCTAAAAATGGGCAGCTCTCGACCTGTCCTGGCTCTGGGCTGTATCAGCCTTGAACTCGGTCACATCAAACATCTGACTTATAGAAGTTAACAAGCAGACTGGGCGTGGTAACTGACGCCTGTAATCCCAGCATTTTGGGAGGCCGAGGCGGGCAGATCACCTGAGGTCAGGAGTTCGAGACCAGCCTGACCAACTGTAGTTTCACGACCAGTAGTGAAAGCTCGTCTCTACTAAAAATACAAAATTAGCCAGGTGTGGTGGTGGGCGCCTGTAATCCCAGCTACTCGGGAGGCTGAGGCAGAAGAACTGCTTGAACCCGGGAGGCAGAGGTTGCAGTGAGCCGAGATGGCACCACTGCACTCAAGCCTGGGCAACAAGAGTGAAACTATGTCTCAAAAAAAAAAGTTAACACAGCATTCACTGAAACCCCTGAGGCTTTTTTTTTTTTTTTTTTTTTTCAAATCTTGTGGACTTCTGACTGGTACAACTGCAGCTGCCTTGCCTGGTAACTTGGGTACCTGGTTTGTGGGTCCAACTGCAGGCCATTCAGGTAGACTTGATTTTTTTTTTAATTTAAAAAAAGGCTTTTTTTTCTTTTTTCTTTTAAAGAGACAGAGTCTCACTTTGTTGCCCAGGCACTGGTGTGCAGCGGTGCGATCACAGCTTGCTTACGCCTTGACCTCCTGGGCTCAAGCAATCCTCCCAGCTCAGCCTCCCAAAGTGCTGGGACCACAGGCACACACCAACGCCCAGCCCTCAGTGGTTTTGATGGATTAGTGTATCCCCAGACCCTCCGAAGGGGAGGACAGTGCCTTATCTCTCTCTTTCTTCCACCAAGAAGGCCACAACCGGCCTTTTAACCTTGATCCAAGCGAGGCTGAAAAGCAAACAGGGCGTTCATCTTCATCCTTTATAGCCACATAGCCACATCTCCCGCCCACAAGCAGATTCCACCACCCCCCGCACCCTAAGGCCCAGCCTCATCAGCTGCAGCATCTTCACCTGGCCTTTCACACTGAAGCAGAAGGGGTGACGGTTTACTTTCAGCTGCATGGTCTCCATCATACCCGTAGACCCAACAGCTGAGCTTCCCCTCTGTCCCTTCTCCTCAGCTCACTGCCCCACTAGCCATTCTGCATGTTCAAACAGTGCAGGAGCAACATGGAAGATATAACCAAAGGCTCAAGCTGGATTGTAGAGATGAAAACTACAATACAGGAGATGAAAAATACACTGGACGGGATTAATGGCAGGTCAGATGTTGCAGAATCTTTTATTGGTGGGTTTGAAAACATAGGAATAGAAACTATCCAAAATGAAACGCAGAGTAAGAAATGTTTCTAATGAAAAGAGCATCAGTAGGTTGTGGGGAAGCTTCATGCAGCCTAATATACATGGAATTAAAAGTCCCCACATGTGAGGGGAAGAAGGAGGGACTCAAGGCCAATGAAAAGAGAAAATCCTAAAAGCAACCAAGACACACTACAGAGACACTAAGATAAAAATAGTAGCAGATTTCTCACTGGAAACAATGCAAGCCAGAAGTCAGAGGGGCAAAATTTTTAAAGTACTGAAAAAAAAAAAAAAAGCGGGGGGCCAGGCATGGTGGCTCACGCCTGTAATCCCAGCACTTTGGGAGGCCAAGGGGGGCGGATCACAAGGTCAGGAGATCGAGACCATCCTGGCTAACACGGCGAAGCCCCGTTTCTACTAAAATCACAAAAAATTAGACGGGCATGGTGGCATGCGCCTGTAGTCCCAGCTACTCAGGAGGCTGAGGCAGGAGAATGGCGCAAACCCGGGAGGCAGAGCTTGCAGTGAGCTGAGATCGCACCACTGCACTCCAGCCTGGGCGACAGAGCAAGACTCCATCTCAAAAAACAAAACAAAACAAAACAACAACAACAAAAAAGAAGGCAAAATAAAGACGTTTTCAGACATACAAAAGCTGAGAGAATTCATTACCCCCAGAGCCATATTACAAGAAATGCTAAAGGATGCCCTTAAGGTAGAAGAAAAATACCAGATGGAAATGTGGATCCTCACAAAGGAATGAAGAGCACAGAAATACAATGGGTGAGTATGTGAGATTTTCTCACACGATTTAAGTATATTTTAAACAAAAATAATAATGATGTATCATGGATTTATAACATGTAACAGTAAACACATGATATAATAACATAGAATGAAGGTTAGGAGGGGTGGAATAGATGTATGCTTTTTTAAGGGTAGACTGGCAAGTTAAGGTACATGCCATAAACCCTAAAGCAACTCAAAATAAATCAAAGACCTAACTGTAAGAGCTTGAACTATAAAATGCTTAGAAGAAAACACAGGTGTAAATCTTTGTGATCTTGGATTTCTTAGCTATGATACCAAAATCATAAGCAACAAAGGAAAAAAATAGATAAATTAGGACTTCACCAAAATTTAAAACTTTTGTGGCACAAAGGATACCATCAAGAAAGTGCAGGGCCGGGCATGGTGGCTCACGCCTGTAATCCCAGCACTTTGGGAGGCCGAGGCGGGTGGATCACCTGAGGTCAGGAGTTCAAGACCAGCCTCAACATGGAGAAACCCTTTCTCTACTAAAAATACAAAATTAGCCAGGCGTGGTGGTGCATGCCTGTAATCCCAGCTACTCAGGAGGCTGAGGCAGGAGAATTGCTTGAACCTGGGAGGCGGAGGTTGCGGTGAGCCGAGATTGTGCCATGGTACTCCAGCCTGGGCAACAAGAGCGAAACTCCGTCTCAAAAAAAAAAAAAAAGAAAGAAAAAGAAAAAGAAAATGCGAAGAGGCCAGGCACGGTGGCTCATGCCTGTAATACCGGCACTCTGGGAGGCCGAGGTGGGCGGATCACCTGAGGTCAAGAGTTCAAGACCAGCCTGGCCAACATGGTGAAACCCCATCTCTACTAAAAGTACAAAAATTAGTCGGGTATAGTGGTGTGTGCCTGTGGTCCCAGCTACTTGGGAGGCTGAGGCAGGAGAATCATTTGAGCCCAGGAGGCACAGGTTGCAGTGAGCCAAGATCACACCACTGCACTCCAGTCAGGGTGACAGAGCGAGACTCCATCTCAAAAAACAAAACAACGGCGGCTCACACCTGTTAATCCCAACCCTTTGGGAGGCCAAGGTGGGTGGAACACTTGAGAGGTCAAGAGTTCAAGACCAGCCTGGCCAGTATGGTGAAACCCCGTCTCTACTAAAAATACAAAAAATTAGCTGGATGTGGTGGTGCACACCTGTAATCCCAGCTACTCGGGAGGCTGAGGTGGGAGAATTGCTTGAGCCCGAGAGGCCGAGGTTGCAGTGAGCCGAGATGGTGCCACTGCACCCCAGCCTGGGCAACAGAGTCAGACCCTGTCTGAAAACAAACAACCAACCAACCAAAAAACAGCTGAAATGTCCAGAACAGACACATCCACGGATATAGGAAGTAGATTAGTGGTTGCCAGGGGCTGGGGAGAGGGGGGAAGAGACTGACTGCCAATGGGTACAGGGTATTTTGGGGAGAAACTAAAATGTTCTTGAATAACACAGGTTTGAACTGCACAGGTCCACTCATACATGGATTTTTTTTCAATAAATATAATCCCTTGACCGGGCACAGTGGCTCCCACCTGTAATCCCAACACTTTGGAAGGCCAAGGTGGGCGGATCACCTGAGGTCAGGAGTTCGAGACCAGCCTGGCCAACATGGTGAAACCCCGTCTCTACTAAAAATACAAAAATTAGCTGGGCGTGGTGGCAGGCACCTGTAATCCCAGCTACTCGGGAGGCTGAGGCAAGAGAACTGCTTGAATCCAGGAGGTGGAGAGTGCAGTGAGCTGAGATTGTGCCATTGCACTCCAGCCTGGGTGACAAGAGCGAAACTCGGTCTCAAAAAAATATATATATTATCTCTCCATATCAGCAAGTTCCAAATCTGTAACCAAACTCGGATTGGAAATACAGTACTCCACTGGACATGGTGGCTCATGCCTGTAATCCAGCACTTTGGGAGGCTGAGGCAGACGGATCACTTGAGCTCAGGAATTCAACACCAGCCTGGGCAACATAGCGAAACCCACCTTCTCCACCAAAAAAATACAAAAAGTAGCTGGGCATGGTGGCGCCTGTGGTCCCAGCCACTCGGGAGGCTGAGGTGGGAAAATCGCTTGAACCCGGGAGGTGGAGGTTGCAGTGAGCCGAGATTGCACCATTTACTGCAGCCTGGGCAACACATGAGACCTTGTCTCAAAAAAAAAAAAAAAAAAAAGAAAAGAAAGAAAGAAAGAAAAGAAAGAAAAAGAAAAAAACAGTATTCATAGGATGCAAAACTATATATACAGAGGGCTGACTCTGTATCTGTGGGTGCTTCAGGGCCAACTGCCTGACTCCAGTATGCACAAATTTCAGTGTCCATGGATTCTGCTAACAGCGGGAGTTCCTGAACCCAGTCGTCCTCGGGTACCAAGGGACAAATGCATACGTAATGTGAGGTATATCTCAATAAAACTATTCTAAAAATATGAAACACTTAGGGATGTATCTGATAAAATATGTGAAAGACGTAGACATTGAAAACCACAGGCCAGGCACCGTGGCTCATTCCTGTAATCCCAACGTTTTGGGAGGCCAAGGTGGGAGGATCATTTGAGCCCAGGATTTTGAGACCAGCCTGGGCAACACAGAGAGACCCTCATCTTTCTTTTTTTTAATAAAAAAAAAAAACTTGAGTAAAAAAGAAACTACAAAATGCTGCTAAAAGAAATGAAAAAATACCTAAATAAGAGATATACCACACGATCCAGTTGGTCCATTTTTAGGCACTTACCCAAAATAATTTAAAACATATATCCACACAAACACACAGACAGACGTTCACAGCAATACTGTCCACAATGGCCAAAAGGTGGAAACAATTCAAGTGTCCAGCTACAGGGGAACACGTACACGAAACGGCACAGCCATAAACAGAACACTACTCAGCAATGAAAAGCAAGAAACCATCGACACTCGCGCCAACGAAGATGAGTCTCAAGGTCATTACCCTGAGTGAAAGAAGCCAGAAGAGGAAGATGACATACAGCAGCATTCCGTTTATACGCAATTATAGAAAATGCAAACTATAGTGACAGACAGCACATGCCTGGTTGCCTAGGATGCAGAAGTGGGGGAAGCCGGAAGGAACTGCCAAGGTTTCAGAAAATGTTGGGGTGTTATGGGCTGAGCCATATCCCCTCAAAATCCCTATGTGGAAGCCCTAAACCCTAGCACTTCAGAATGTGACTGTATTTAGAGATAGGGTCTTCAAAAAGGTAATTAAGTTGGCTGGACACGGTGACTCATGCCTGTAATCCCAGAACTTTGGGAGGCCGAGGCAGGCGGATCCCTTGAGGCCAGAAGTTCGAGACCAGCTTGACAAACATGGTGAAACCCCGTCTCTACTAAAATACAAAAATTAGCCAGGTGTGGTGGCAGGCGCCTGTAATCCTAGCTACTCAGGAGGCTGTGGCAGGAGAATCGCTTGAACCCAGAAGGCACAGGTTGCAGTGAGCCAAGATCTCACCACTGCACTCCAGCCTGGGTGACAAAGCAAGACTCGCTTGCAAAAAAAAAAAAGAGGTAGTTAAGTTAAAATGAGGCCATAGGCCGGGCGCGGTGGCTCACGCCTGTAATCCCAGCACTTTGGGAGGCCGAGGTGGGTGGATCATGAGGTCAGGAGATTGAGACCATCCTGGTTAACACAGTGAAACCCCGTCTCTACTAAAAATAAAAAAAATTAGCCGGGCGTGGTGGTGGGCGCCTGTAGTCCCAGCTACTCGGGAGGCTGAGACAGGAGAATGGCGTGAACCCGGGAGGCAGAGGTTGCAGTGAGCTGAGATCACACCACTGCACTCCAGCCTGGGCAACAGAGCGAGACTCCATCTCAAAAAAAAAAAAAAAAAAATTAGGCCATATACAGGTACAGTGGCCACACTTGTAATAGCATTTTGGGAGGCTAAGGCAGGAGGATGGCTTGAACCCAGGAGTTTGAGGTTGCAGTGAGCTGAGATCACGCCACTGCACTCCAGCCTGGGAGGCAGAACAAGACCCTGTCTCCAATAAAAAGCCAACAAAATAAGAGGGCATCCACCTGATCCATTAGGACAGGTACAGGTAGAGATTAGGACATAGACATGCACAGAGGGACGACAACTGCCATCTACAGCCCAACGGAGAGGCCTCAGAAGAAATCAGCCCTGCCCGCACCTGGATGATTTCTAGCCTCCAGAACTGAGAGACAATAAGCATGTGTTGTTTCAGCCGCCCAGTCTGTTATGGCAGTCTGTTTATTACGGCAGCCCTGGCAGACTAACGGGGTGGAGGACACACTCGCCAATCTTGACTGCGGTACTGGCTGCATGGACACATGCACACATAAGAATGATCAGGTTGCCCATTTTGATAGGTACAGTTCATCTCAAAAAAGCCACAAAACCACGTCATCCTCTGCAGGGAAATGCCACTCTCATGAAAGGCGGAGACATACCCAGGAGCTGTCCACATTCCGGATTAAAGGGGACTCAGGTCTCTGCAGCTGGTCACTCCCAGCATGGGAGTGAACGCACAGCCCAGGTGCCCGGTCTGCTAAAAGGAACAGCACTAGGCCTCGTGGCTGCCTGCGCCATCGTTTCTGGGAGTGGTTCTGAGAGTACAGTGTGGCACTGATCCTGGGTGCCTCTGCGGATCCCCAATAGGCCAGGAGACTTCCCAGGTTCCTACACACTCCCCGGCCCCCACAGAGCAAGAGTAGTGGATTTCTTTTACACCATGTATGCTTCTAGAGCCCAATACTGGACATCAGAGAAGCACAGCTTCAGGGCCAAAGTGCCCAGTTAACTCCCTCTCATTTCAGCCCCACCTCCCTCTCATCCCCTTCCCTCCCCATTCACCACAACTGCCCTCTTATCATTGTGTAGACATGGCCAGAGCAGACCAGGAACTCCTACAGCAGGGCACAGAGTCTGGCAAAGTGCTGGTGGCCTGTGCATCACGTGGGTTAGCAGAGAACTGCAAAGTGTCATCTCTGGACACCTCTGGGTCCAGCCCGTTCGCCCAACATCTTTACTCAATGGGTGCCAGGCCAAGTACAAGACTCACCCAGCAGAACTGACCATGGACCCTGGGGGAAGGCACCAGCACTAAGAACAAGGACAGGGACAAGCAGGAGGGTGCAGCTCCAGCCTCGCAGCTAGCCGGGCAGGGGCAGAGAGCAGGCAGGCAGGGTGACAGCCACAGTAAGGTGAAGGAGAGGACTGTCCAGAAGCACGTGAAGGAAAGTGGGGAGCCCACGGAGGGTGTGAGTGGTGGGAGCTGAGACTAGTCGGATTGGGGCTGTCACTGTGAGTAAAGCAGAAGAGCTGGAGGGCTGGAGCTGAGGAAGGCAGTTCAGCCATGAAGTGCCACGGCGGCCGCTGGGTACAGCAGACAGCTGGAGAGTGGCAGGGAACAAGCCACAACACAGAGGCCACTGGGGTGACCCCAGCAGGGAGGCAACGCATTTTGCTCATGGACGTTTTCTGGACAGCACCACCCTCTCTAGGGGCCCTAAAAGCTTCGAGGCCTTGCCACGAAGTATACAGAATACATACCCTCCTTGGCACAAGCCAGGCCACCAGATCCCCCGCCGACCACCAGGAGATCATAGTCCCGCTGACCTGCTGAGAGAAGGGATGAGAGGTGGGACGGACTGTCTGTCTGGTTAAACGTGGTACAGGATCAATTTTATCAGGATTGGACACTCCATTCTGTGATGGTCAGGGGTGACAAGACACCACACAACAGAGCAGAAAGAGTGACTCGATACACATAGTCTGTGCAAATCCAGAGACCAAGCCATATGGTGGTGAGGTTGGCCGTGGGCGTGTGTGATCATCTTTGCAAATCACACGCACACCATACCAACCACTCTGAACTCAAACCTCACCCAGTGTTCTCAGCCAGACACAGAACTAAGATATTTTCTTTTTTATTCTATTTATTTTTGAGACAGGATCTCACTCTGTCACCCAGAAGATTGTAGTCCACTGCCCTGCTTGGGGGAGGGATGAAAGGTGAGAAGGAACACGGTCAGCACAGGGCTGGGACATAGACCCGGAAGGGCCCCCACGACAGGGGCACAGTGGCACAATCACAGCTCACTGCAGCCTCTACCTCTTGGGCTCAAGTGATCCTCTAGCCTCAGCCTCCAGAATAGCTGGGACTACAAGCACCGATCACCACGTCCAGCTAAATTTTTTTGTTTTGTAGAGATGGGGTCTGGCTATGTTGCCCAGGCTGGTCTCAAACACCTGGCCTCAAGCAATCCTTCCACCTTGGCCTCCCAAGGTGCTAGAATTACAAGCATGAGCCACCAAGGTGGACTAAAACATTCTCAAGTCCACGTGCCTTTCAGTTGTGAAGGCTGCCCTCCGTCACAAGTGAGCAAGAATAAAAGCACAGGCTAGGGGCGGTAGCTCACGCCTGTAATCCCAGCACTTTTGGAGGCCAAGGCGGGTGGATCACAAGGTTAGGAGATCGAGACCATCCTGGCTAACACAGTGAAACCCCGTCTCTACTAAAAATACAAAAAAATTAGCCGGGCATGGTGGTGGGCGCCTGTAGTCCCAGCTACTCGGGAGGCTGAGGCAGGAGAATGGCGTGAACCCGGGAGGCGGAGCTTGCAGTGAGCGGATACCACGCCACTGCACTCCAGCCTGGGAGACAGAGTGAGACTCCGTCTCAAAAAAAAAAAAAAAAAAAAGAATAAAAGCACAAGCAGCCCCTGTCCCTCACAGCTGGCCAGTGCACACAGCCAGGGTCTTGGTGTGCCCAGCTGCAGTCAGCTAGGAGGGAAGCCACCCTGGGCACAGGGAGAGCTGCCTGGGCTCAGGTTTCATCCCTGGAATTCCTTTTGGGCTGGTTGTGGTGTCGCCTCACCTTGGTCCTCCATGGTGGCTCACTGCACATAGTGCCACTCTCAGCCTTTTTAGCCTGCAAAAGGTGTCATCGTGTCTACTCTGCAAGCTACTGGCGAGGAAGGCAGGCAAGGGGCAGCCAAAAAAGGGAGGGATGGAGAAGGGACTGGAGGGAGGAAGTAGAGAGGGGAAGTACACTGAACTGGGCCTGAGGTCCGGGACACCCAGCACCAGGCACCAGCCAACTCCCTGCTGAAGGAAGGAAGAAATAATAGCAAGTCATCAGTCTGCTGGGGTGAGGGCAGGGTGGGGACTGATGACAAGACTCTAGGGTATAAAACAAGTAGTGCCCTCAGCCCCTCTGCAGACACGAGCCTGCCCAGATGAGAAGCACCACCCTCCCAGAGCATCTGGAGCCGGTCGCTGCTTCAGACAAGGCCAAGAGGTTCCATGATCAGAGCAGGGTCTGTCATACAAGGCTGGGCAACCTGCCCAACACCTCCATCAGAGCCTAGCGTCTGCCATGAGAAGGCTGCACTTATCTTTGCAGCCACCTCCACCTTCCTAGGCAGGCAAGGCTGCAGAGAGTGTACTTGGAGTGTCATGTCTCTCCACACCCTGGCCCTGCAGATGCCCCACAGACAGGTCTAGAACATGCACTCCTAAAGGATACAAGAGCTGGAGCCTAGAGGAGCCCTGGCTCACAGCTGAGAAAGCTTGGGAAGCTGCATCCAGGCACTCAGGCCATGGCCTGCAGCGAGCCTGCCCCACAACCAAACCCACCCACTCTTTCACCTGGCAGCCAGCCTCTGAGTGCACGTGAGATGTGTGCGCACCTGCGGGAACTGACAGAGCCACAACTCGGTTCCAACAGCCAGTCCAAAGCACACTCAATTCCTAATTCAACTCAAGGGCTCTGGAAAGGCCTAAATTGTTGTAAATTATTCTAATGGCTTTAATATAAGTCTAGAGAACCAAGGACTGCTGGTCAGGGAGAAAATGCCACCAGGTCCCCCGGGGAGCATGAACCTGCTGATGGAGAAGCATCTCTCTCCTCCAGCTGCCTGGTAGCCGGAAGCTTTGCTCAGAACGTCCCTACCTTCCATGGCAGGTGCCTGTCCTTCTTGTTGCCATAGCAGGGCCCTTGTTAGGTCATCCTGCCCTGCAGCCTCGCACTGTGCCCCCTCTGTCTGCTATCAGGCAGGGTGAGCAGCTGTCTGTATGGATGTGCTTATCTTGGGCAGCTTGCTCGCCCCCTGTGCACACCCAGGAGCCCTCTCGGGCTGATAAACACTGGCATAGGGCAGTCGTTTGCAAGCATAGGAAATCTGCCTTTAAGCACTTGGAAGGGCTTGGGTAGCCTGCTGGGAAGGAAGGACCCCAAAGTACCTCAAAGGTGGGTAGGGCAGATGCTGTTCTGTGGGAGGAAGGGCTGGGTGGCAGGCGTTACCTGGGGACACACCACCTGTGCACTCCAGTGTCCTGGAGAACCTCATAACCTTGCCTTTCACCCACTTTAGCCAGGCATACCCTCTCCACCTGCAGGGCTTGGCCCCAGCAAGTGTCTGTCTTGCCTCTGCCTTCTGACATATTGTCCATTAATTTTCTGCTCCTCTTTGAACCCACTGCCTGGTACAGGCCAGCAAAGAGCAGGAGCCCAGAGCTCATAGCAAGGCCCAAGAGAATGCAGCACTGCACCAGTGAGGGCAAGTGGAAGGGTCCCCCAAAATGTGCACCCACAGGCAGGCTGGCCACCTCAGGGTGCCACCTCAGGGGCCCTCCTGTATGGCTGCTCTATCTAGAGCTCTTTCCTGGCAGCAGGTGTTGTCATTCTGGCTCCTGTTCAGGGGCTGCATCGCCCACCCACTCCAAGCCTGGGACAGTTCAGGTCTTCCTACTCTAAAAGGAGAAACTGCAGGGCCCACAGTCCCAGCTACTAGGGAGGCTGAGGCTGGAGGGTGAGTTGAACCCAGGAGTTCAAGGCTGCAGTGAGCTATGATAGCACCACTGCACTCCAGCCTGGTTAACAGAGTGAGACTCTGTCTCAGAAAAAAAAAAAAAAAAAAACTGCACCCCTAGTCTGGGTACAGTGGCTCACACCTGTGTTGCAGGAAGTCAGGAACCCCGAATGGAGGGACTGGCTGGAGCCGTGGCAGAGGAACATAAATAGTGAAGATTTCATTTCAATATGAACATTTATCAATTCCCAAGTAATACTTTTATACTTTTTTCTTTTTTTTTTTTTTGAGGCAGATTCTCTCTCTGTCGCCCAGGCTGGGGTGCAGTGGCACAATCTCAGCTCACTGCAAGCTCCGCCTCCTGGGTTCACACCATTCTCCTGTCTCAGCCTCCTGAGTAGCTGGGACTACAGGCACCCGCCACCACACCTGGCTAATTTTTTGTACTTTCAGGAGAGACAGGGTTTCACCATGTTAGCCAGGATGGTCTTGATCTCCTCACCTTGTGATATGGCTGCCTCGGCCTCTCAAAGTGCTAGGATTACAGGCATGAGCCACCGCGCCTGGGCCCCCAAGTAATACTTTTATAATTTCTTATGCCTGTCTTTATCTCTTAATCCTGTTATCTTCATAAGCTGATAATATACATCACCTCAGGACCACTGTGATAATTGTGTTAACTGTAGAAATTGATTGTAAAACGTGTGTTTGAACAATATGAAATCAGCGCACCTTGAAAAAGAACAGAATAACAGTGATTTTTAGGGAACGAAGACAACCATAAGGTCTGACTGCCTGTGGGGTCAGGCAAAAAGAGCCATATTTTTCTTCTTGCAGAGAGCTTATAAATGGACGTGCAAGTAGGAGAGATATCGCTAAATTCTTTTCCTAGCAAGGAATATTACTATTAAGACCCTGGAAAAGGAATGCATTCCTGGGGGGAGGTCTGTAAACGGCCACTCTGGGAGTGTCTGTCTTATGCGGTTGAGATAAGGACTGAAATACGCCCTGGTCTCCTGCAGTACCCTCAGGCTTATTAGGGTGGGGAAAAAACTCCGTCCTGGTAAATTTGTGGTCAGACTGGTTCTCTGCTCTTAAACCATGTTTTCCGTTGTTTAAGATGTTTATCAAGACAATATGTGCACAGCTGAACATAGACCCTTATCAGGAGTTCTGATTTTGCCCTTGTCCTGTTTCCTCAGAAGCATGTGATCTTTGCTCTGCCTTTTGCCCTTTGAAGCATGTGATCTTTGTGACCTACTCCCTATTGGCACAACCCCTCCCCTTTTAAAATCCTTAATAAAAACTTGCTGGTTTTGCGGCTCAGGTGGGCATCATGGTCCTACCGATACGTGATGTCACCCCCAGCAGCCCAGCTGTAAAATTCCTCTTTGTACTCTTTCTCTTCATTTCTCAGCCGGCTGACACTTACAGAAAATAGAAAGAACGTACGTTGAAATATTAGGGGCAGGTTCCCCCAATATCTGGCGCCCAACGTGGTTTTCTTTTTCCTAAGTGCATGTGGGAACCCGATTCCCTTTGGTAGGTGCGGAGAAATGTTCATCGGTCCAGTCCACAGAAATGCTTGTTTGGCTCCCCAACGATTGGTGAGTTGTCTGTGTATTCTCCGGGGTAACTATGGGTCACGCAGAGTCTAAACATTATGCTTATCTCTGCTATATTAAATTCCTGTTAAAATGGGGGAGTTCGGGTTCCCATGGAAAATATGGTCACCCTATTCAGGGCAGTGGAAGAACACTGTCCTTGGTTTCCTGAAAAGGGAACGTTAGATGTGGAACTATGGGATCATGTTGGTGCAAAATTCCGAGAACTGGTCCCAACAGGAAATTATGTTCCTGTCACTGTTTGGGGTGATTGGGCCTTGGTACGTGCCATCCTAATGACATACCAATCCCGTGACACCCTGCAGTTACCACAGTTTTCTGAATCTGGCCACCCTCTACCTCTTCCTCAGCTTTCCTCTCCCACTCGGCCTTCATTATCTGCTCAGCCCCTCCCTTTGCCTACTCCTCCCCCACCTGACGATACTGAGGATTCAATATCTAACTCCAGTGACTTTGGCTTAACATCACCCCCTGATGATCTTATTTCTTTTCACGAAGAGCCGACACTTGTAGCTCCTGCGGCCCCAACTCAGACAGCCCAGGACCATATCTATGCTAACTCTTCCCTCTCCAAACCTTTACAGTCTTTGCCTCCGGAGCCATCCAAACTACAATTTACCTGTAATTCTGCAGGCCCTCCCCCATCCACCACAGCCCCTCACCCTCCTATCATTTTGGTCCCTCAACCGGTCACTTTGCCATCCACTCAACCTGCTTCTCTGTACCCTTCTTCATGCAGGGACACCCCTGCCACTCTGGTTGTGCAGGACTGGGCCAGTAATCACCAGTATGCTTCTGCCTCTTCTGCTCCCCCAATGCCCCTTTCTCACACTCTTATACCAGTCCGACCCCGTCAATCTCAGTTTCTCTTATCTATACATACTTTTCCTGTCACTTCTATGCCGACTCTATCTCATGTGCCTGCTCTTGAAACTTTCATGCAATGCTTATTACGCCAAAACAAACAAGTAGATTAGAGGCGTGGGCTTATTCGGTCATGCTGGAACCTCCTAATGCTCAAGGGGTACAAGTGTGTCGATATACGCCGCTCAATCTTACCTTTTTAAAAGAATTCAAGGATGCTTGTACTCAGTATGTTCCTACTTCTCCATATGTTAAAACGGTATTACAGACTCTTTGTACCGAGGTCATTTTGCTTCCTATAGACTGCGACCTTTTGGCAAAAGCTGTTCTAACTCCATCTCAGCATTTACAATTCCATACCTGGTGGTCAGAGGAGGCCCGCCTGCAGGCTCAGCTAAATCGGGCTGATGGCATTCCAATTACTCAGGCTCAGCTCACAGGCTCCGATAATTACTCTGATACTACTGCTCATTTAGGCTTTGATGCTCTCACCACGGAACAAGTAACAAAGGTGTGTATGAGAGCTTGGGATAAATTACGCACCCCAGGCCAAGCTTCTGTTTCTTTTACTATTGTTAAACAGGGTCACAATGAATTATATCTTGATTTTTTAGCTAAATTACAAGATGCTGTTGAAAAATCTGTCTCTGATGAGCACACTCAAGGTATTCTTCTTCATATGTTAGCTTTTCAAAATGCGAACCATGAGTGTAAAATGGCCGTGCATTCCATCCTACGTCAAAATTTACCTGATCATGAGGTGTTGCCTGCATATATTAAAGCTTGTGAAGGCGTTGGATCGGAGACCCACAGAGCTATTCTGTGGGCACCGGCCATGAAGCACGGCAACCAAACTGGCTCGACTGATTCTTTTCTTGGAGCCTGCTATAATTGTGGCCAACTTGGTCATACCCAAAAAAACTACACTGTTAAAAACTTAAAAGCGGCCAAGCCGGCTCAACAAACACGGCCAAATGCTCCTGCTACTGTTTGCCTGCGTTGTCGTAAGGGTAAACATTGGGCAAGTACTTGCCACTCAGTCTGATATAGATGAAAATCCCTTGCCACAGAACCAGGGAAACAGGAAGCAAGGCCAGTCCCAGGCCCCAATATCAAATGGGACACCTCGGACTCAGACCAATGTTGTGTTTTTGCGTCAAGCAGTCCCAACGCAGCCCCCAGCACAAACAAATTTACCTACAGCCAATCCAGATGGGTCCCAGCCTCTTCTTCTGTCTCAGTACAATGCTTGTCTACCTCCACAGTAGGCAGCAGGGCGGTCGATCTCTGTAGTACCATTCCTCTAAATTTACTACCTAATTCTTTGCCTTTAATTGTCCCCATGGGGGTCACTGGCCCTTTACCTCAAGGTTCGGTGGGCCTGGTGTTAGGCAGGGCATCCACCTCATGATACTAAAGGTATCATAGTTCATACTAGTCTCATTAATTCTGATTCCTCTGATGAGATTAAACTTATGTAAACTTATGGTGTCTGCCAAAGTTCCTGTTTCCATTCCGGCCAGTGAGTCAATTGCTCAATTACTTTTACTACCTAACATTGTTTTAAACAAAGGAGATAAGACATGGGGCCCTGGGATGGGCTCCAGCGGTGAAAAAGCCGCTTATTGGATTAATGTAATTTCTAAACAATGGCCTACCTGCACCATACACATTCAAGGAAAAAAGGTTGAGGGCCTAGTTGATACTGGGGCTGATGTTTCTATTATTTCCTCTAATTTATGGCCTTCCTCCTGGCTTAAACATCCCACTAACATGAAACTAGAAGGTGTTAGAAAAGCTGAAGAAGTTCACCAGAGCACATTTATCTTGGCTTGCACTGGCCCTGATGGTCAAAAGGGAACAATTCAGCCTTATATCATGCCCATCCCCATTAATCTTCGGGGCAGAGATTTGCTGGCACAAATTGGGGCTGAAATTAATATTCCACATAACTTTTACAGTGCTCCCAGTCAACATATAATGGAAAACATGGGGTTTGTTTCCAGACTCGGTCTCGGTCCAAAACGTGAAAAAATTACTAAACCTCTTCAAGTTACTGTAAAAGAAGACAAGGCTGGTTTAAAAGCATAATTTAACTACTCCCCACTCCCAATTATATTTAGCATTGTTTAAGCTTTCTAAATGTTCCTAAAAACAATACTCTGACTGCAGCTAAATGCCATTATACAGGCAAAAAATTCTCCCTAAACGAAGGCAAGCCAGTGTCATGGAAAAACTCCCAAACCAATACCTGGGAACCTGGAACAATTATAACGTGGGGAAGAGGGTATGCTTGTGTTTTACCAGGAGATCGTCAATCCCGTCTGGGTGCCCACTAGGAGACTTAAACTTCGTGTGAATACTGACAATAAAAACCACGAGGAAGAGACGTTCGCGTCAGAGACTGCCCTCATACCTGATGAGATCTGTACCGACTCCTCAGAAACTGGCATGCCAAATCAAAATGGGTCTGGTTCAATCCTCCCTAATGGCAATGTAAACCCCTCTAACTAATCCCACTTCTCCTAATTATCTTTTTCTCCTTACGAACCTAAAAATCTCACCATTTCTATTAGCCTGAAAATAACATCCCTCTGTTCTTCTCTTCCTCCTTCAGCACTGGATCTCACTTACAATAGGTTTTATTTAATAATTATCTTCCTTACACTTTCTGTCTCACCAGTTTCCCCTTAAACTGATTTACCTGCTACACAAAATTATTCTTATTGGGCTTATGTGCCTTTTCCTCCACTTATTCGACCTCTCACCTGGATGGATGCTCCTGCAGAAATCTATACTAACGATAGTGTGTGGATGCCTGGAACTACAGATGACCGTTGCACCGCTCAGCCAGGAGAAGGCACTGCATTTAATGTTACTATGGGTTATAAATACCCTCCTCTGTGCCTTGGACATGCACCTGGTTGTATCCATCTAGAAGCTCAAGTCTGGGCTGCTTGTCTTCCAGAGAGATTAGCTATAGGGAAATGGGGACATTTGGTCTCTGGCCTCTCCCTTTCTCCTTTAAGACAAATAAAAAGAGGAGTAATAGGAGATACCCCATACTTTCAATATAAACCTGTAGGAAAACCATATCCTAAAAATTTTGAGGGCCCATCTAAAACTTCAATTTGGGAATGATTGTGTTAACTCACATGCAGTAGTATTAAAAAATGACTCGGCTGGGCGCAGTGGCTCATGCCTGTAATCCCAGCACTTTGGGAGGCCAAGGCAGGTGGATCATGAGGTCAGGAGATTGAGACCATCCTGGCTAATACAGTGAAATCCCGTCTCTACTAAAAATACAAAAAAAATTAGCCAGGCGTGGTGGCAGATGCCTGTAGTCCCAGCTACTCGGGAGGCTGAGGCAGGAGAATGGCGTGAACCCGGGAGGCGGAGCTTGCAGTGAGCTGAGATCGCACCACTGTACTCCAGCTTGGGCGACAGAGCAAGACACTGTCTCAAAAAAAAAAAAAAAAAAAAAACCCCAAAAAAACAACTCATATGGTTTAGTAACAGACTGGGCACGAAAGGGCTATTTAAAAAACAGTTGCTCCTCTGGCGGAAAGGAATGCCTGGAGACTACTTATTTTATTTCTTACTGGGAGGACCAGGATCATCATCCTATTTTGCATAGAAGGTTCAGTTTGTTCTTTCCCTTAAAATAGGAAGATAAGGGCATTATCCCCCTAAGTCTCGTATGATATTCCCCATTCTGAGTCCAGAATACCTAGAAATTTGGAATTTGGCTATTGCCGTGTCTGGACTGTGAGTATGGGAAGGGGAAGCTTTTCTGTCTGTTGTCCCCACTACCGCCCCTCACATCCGTGATTCTGAACCCCATGATAAATGCCCTTTGAACCTTTTTCCTCCTTTTGATGCCGAATCCCCTTTTATGGGACTCCGCCAGCACGGGTGCATTTAACCTTCCTGAGCTTGCCCACCTGACGCATGCAGCCAAGAAGCTTTGAAAGATGGAGTGCCCTGGCTGAGGGTTCCAGGTCTCAGCAAGGCCACGAGGTGGTGACTGCCTCCCAGAACTCTGTTGGGCCACCCTCCGTCCTGGAGACCCCCAAAACCTCCATAGCACCAACTCTGCCCATTCACACACACAGTCAGCCCTCCCTCCCGAGTCCACCGCGGGCAGAGGGCCAGCCACCATGCCTCCCATAGCCGCCATCCCTGGGAAGGAGCCCTGACCCCGTCCTTACACCCCTCTACACTCACTGCCTGTGGGGAGAGCTGCTCGCTGTCACAAGCATCCAGGGGGCTGGGTCGAGGGGCCCCCTGCATGGTGGGGGACCATGTTGTCGTGCATGGAATGAAACTGGCCACACATAACAGATATGGTGGCGCTCTGGTCGGATCTAGGGGAGTCTGTCCTACAGGATGAGGCTTGAACTGTCCTGAGTGACCAGACACCCAGCCTCTGCTTCGAGTGCTCAGTTATGATTATTGTCCTGATTTAGTTAACTGTTCTTCAGGGGCTCCAGGAGGACGAGTGTGTATCCTCCCATTGCTCTGTGCAGCCTCTAACCTCTAGAGTCTAGGGGTCTGGGGAGAAGTTGGGAAGTCTGGCCAGTGGGGCCGGTGCCTGGTGACCTCGGGAGGTGGGATATCATCATCTTCAGAACTGTAGTTGTTACTGGGATACCAGCTCTGGGAGACCACAGGTGCAGTCAGCACAGCAGGACCTTAGACAAGGCACCCAGCCCCAGTTTCCCCACCTGGGAAGGGGGCTACTTGTGGCTAGAAGCAGCCCGGACTCCTGAGCAAGACTAGACCAAGAGGCCGGTATGTGGACACCCCCGCGTGGGCACCCCCACGGGGACACCCTGGCCACCGCCGCGCGGACACCCTCACGAGGACACCCCGGCCGCGCGGACACCTACCGCGGGGACGCCCCGACCCCATCCTACCTGCTGCGCCCCGCGCCGCGCCCCGCACCCCGCCCGCCACGGCCTGCGTCCGCCACCGGAAGCGCCCTCCTAATCCCCGCAGCGCCACCGCCATTGCCGCCATCGTCGTGGGGCTTCTGGGGCAGCTAGGGCTGCCCGCCGCGCTGCCTGCGCCGGACCGGGGCGGGTCCAGTCCCGGGCGGGCCGTCGCGGGAGAGGTGAGAGCGCTGGCTAGACCGGGGCCGAATGCGGCCGGATTCGGGGCGGGGGCCTTCAGACCTAGGGTGGAACACTGGGATAGGGTGTGGGGAATTCGGACCGCTGTGAAGTGATCTGACGTTGGGTGGGAGTCTCCGGACTTGGGGTGGGGAATCTGGATGGGAACTGGGGAATTCGGACCTTGGGTGGGGATCTTTGGACCGGGGTGGGGTCCCCAGACTCCTTGTGGAAAGCTGAGGTTGAAGATCTGTGCTGTGATGAGGGGCTCCAGATAGCGGTGAGAGATCCCGCTTCAAGACTGGGTTGGGGGTCCAGACCAGGAGGATAAGCCTCTCCCTGGAGTAGGGCTTGACCTGGTGAGGGTGTGGTAGAGTCACAGGGGAGGGTCCCACTTGGTCCTTGGGCTGGGATCAGACTCTCAGAGCTGGAGAGTTGCAGGAGGCCTGGGGGAGGGTCTGTGGAGCCCCAGACTCAGAGGGCCTTGGTGACTTCTCCAACAGGCTCCCTGTTGGAGGCCTTGGGGTACCCCAGGGCCTTTCCCTGCAAGAGAGAGGCTGCTCCACCAGGAAGGGGCCCAGGACTCCCCAGGGTCGGGGGGATGTGTGGTGTGCAGGACCACGTGGGAATGTTAGAGAAAGGGGAAGTCACTCCGGGCCTGCCCTGCTAACAGACCTGCTTTTTGGATTTTTCCAGCCAGGGATTTTTGTGTCCTGTTGCTTTTTATTGTTTAAAGTGACCCTCCAAGCCTGAGGGACCGTAGGAGCTGCCCTGCAGAGCCCAGTGAGACACTAGTTAATGCAGAAAAAACAGATTTTACTTGGTAACTACTGACAACATGAGAAAAAGCTGGCTCCATGCTGATTTGTCTAGATGTGCCTGGAGTTTAAAGGGAGAGTGAGGGAGTGGGAAGGGGTGGGGACTCAGTAGAGTTAGGGAAACAGAAAATCACCAAAACTGGGAAGGGAGGGTTGGCCCCTGTGAAACCAACTGATCTGGGTTTGCCACTGGGGCTTACCGAAGTCAGGCCCCCAACCTCCCACAGAGACTGGGAGACAGGGGCCCCATCCTCAGGTGTTGGCTGGAACACACAGGAAATTCTTGTGGCAGCCTTGAACTTCTCAGGCAGGCACTTTAGAGGGGGCTAGGATCGTTCTGGGAATGTGGCCTTGAGCTGTTAGGAGCTATGTTAGTGTTCGTTCCAGCCTAGATAGGCCAGGGTGAGGCCCAGTGGAGAAGGGGACTCTAAGGAGCCTGGCTGGAGTGTGGGGAGGGAGGGTCTTTGTCAGCACTCCCCCTGTGCAAGAAGAGCAGAGACCTGCTTCTTTCCTCTCAACAGTCCCCGTCCATTTTCTGTTCTGTGTTGTGTTCATAAACTACCAGCGGGACCATCTGTTGAGACTTGGTAGCAAAGGATTTTTGCTGGATGATGCAAGCAGTCAAGCATTTAATGAGGAAACAAAAATAACAGGCCAGGCACAGTGGCTCATGTCTGTAATCCCAGCACTTTTGGAGGCCGAGGAGGATCACTTGAGGCCAGGAGTTTGAAACAAGCCTGGGCAACATAAAGACCCCATCTCTACAAAAAATTTAAAAATTAGCCCGGCGTGGTGGCATGGGCCTATAGTTCCAGCTACTTGGGAGGCTGAGGTGAAAAGATCGTTTGAGCCTGGGAGGCGGAGGCTGCCATGAGCCATGATCTTGCCTCTATACTCCAGCCTGAGCAACAGAGAGCCCCTATCTTTAAAAAAAAAAAATAATAATAAAATAAAAAAATAAAAAGAAAGAAAGAAATAAAAACAAAGATGAATGGAGCTGTTGATAAACCCAGTTTTTGAGCCTACAGGGCAGCAGTTGAGGTTTCTGGCCGTTGGGCCCTAACAAGGCCAGCAGGGGCACTCAGGGACTTCCTGGTGTGTGGTGTGAAGTCTGTGATGATGGCATAGGCATTGGTATCCCAGTTGTGGTTACTTTCTGGAGAGAGCATGTGGCATGCAGGAGCTGGAGGGGGGGTCTTCCTGGGCGGCCTGTGTAGCAGCAGCTCCAGGCACAAAGGCTGCCCCTGGAGAATCTGTTGTGGTTCTGAGTTCTTTCAAGTTTATATCAAGTTTTCCGGCTTCAGTCTGCAGGGCTGTTTTTTTCAGATCCTGGGGGCAAAGGGCAGCTACAAGACCACCTGAGTCCCAATAGGGATTTGAGTTCTTGGTGACACCAAGTCAGGGAGGAGACAAATTAGAAATGTCAGTCTGAAGAGAGTGGTAGGTAGCCAGATACTGAAGGAAAGTAGATGGGAGGATTTGGTAAGGGCTGACGTGTAGGAAGGCAGTGACAGTCCAAGTGACAGGCAGATCATAAAACCTCAAGGATAGGCCGGGCCCGGTGGCTCATGCCTGTAATCCCAAGCACTTCGGGAGGCCGAGGTGGGCAAATCACCCGAGTCCAGAAGTTCGAGACCAGCCTGGCTAACATGGCAAAACCCTGTCTCTACTAAAAATACAAAACATTAGCCGGGCGTGGTGGTGCACTCAGGAGGCTGAGGCGGGATAATCGCTTGAACTGGGAGGTGGGGGGCTGCAGTAAGCCGAGATCGCACCACTGCACTCCAGCCTGGGCAACAAGAGCGAAACTCCATCTCAAAAAAGAATTAGGCCGGGAGCGGTGGCTCACGCCTGTAATCCCAGCACTTTGGGAGGCCGAGGCGGGTGGATCACGAGGTCAGGAGATCGAGACCATCCTGGCTAACACGGTGAAACCCCATCTCTACTAAAAATACAAAATTAGCCAGGCGTGGTGGCGGGCACCTGTAGTCCCAGCTACTTGGGAGGCTGAGGCAGGAGAATGGTGTGAACCCGGGAGGTGGAGCTTGCAATGAGCCGAGATCACACCACTGCACTCCAGCCTGGGCGACACAGCAAGACTGCGTCTCAAAAACAAAACAAAACAAAACAAAACACCTACAAAAGACAGTGAACTAGACTAGGATCTGATAACTCCCAAGGGGGTGTTATATTTCTCCACTGAAGCATAGCATTTCTCTTTACAAACCCTTCCCTTTTGATTGAAGATAATCAAAGTGAGATTATTCTTATTTACCAAATAATTCTGGTCTCATTAAATTTGGCCTGATTATTTACATAAATGCAGCACGAACAGTAATTGACCACACAGGCCTTTTTAAGTTTGCTGAAACTTTTAATAGGGAATCTTAGATTGAGCTTTTTAAAGCCTTTCGAGGTTAGGAAGCCAAGCCAAGAACTTCCAACCAGACTTCACCTGCAGTGTCTATAGATTTGGGTGAATTCCTCTCTTCTCGAGGTCCCTGAAATATCCCAAGGTTCCTGGGCCTTAGAACCTTGGGATATTTGGAAGTGACTTTCCTTACTCACATGTAAGACCAAGAACCCCGTAAGCCACATACCAGGCCAAATTTTTCAAGAGCTCTTTGTAAGCAATGGCTCCACAAAGTCAACCTGAAAGCCATCTGGTCATAGCTGATTCTATGTGCATCATCCTCAAACAGGACATTCCAGTCCAAACCTTGGTAATAGAACCAGTGTTTCCAATTGTGTCCTGTTACAAGGAGAACAGATTCTTATTGAAGTTATTCAATAACTATATTGCCATGAAAATAGAATACTCAATAATAGTTTCTGATTTTTGGAGGGGTCAGGCCGGAAGAAAAAGATAATTGCTTCAATTTTGTTTAGAGAAGTATCATTTACTATAATATTACGAGTCATTGATAGGTTAAGAGAAAAGGGAAAGGTTTCTTTCTTTTTTTCTTTTTTGAGGCAGAGTCTCACTCTGTTCCCCAGGCTGGAGTGCAGTGGCGTGATCTCAGCTCACTGCAAGCTCCGCCTCCTGGGTTTACACCATTCTCCTGCCTCAGCCTCCCGAGTAGCTGGGACTACAGGTGCCTGCCACCACGCCCGGCTAATTTTTTGTGTTTTTAGTAGAGATGGGGTTTCACTGTGTTAGCAAGGATGGTCTCGCTCTCCAGACCTCGTGATCCACCCGCCTCGGCCTCCCAAAGTACTGGGATTACAGGCGTGAGCCACCGTGCCCAGCCGGGGAAAGGTTTCTTTTTTTAATATTCAGAAAATAAAACATAAAGAGCCAACAATATTCTGAACAAAAGTCATAAAAAGACTGTAATCATCCTTCAGCAGTTTACTCAGTTGCATGCAGGTACTGAATTCTTGTTCTGCTTGATCTTGGGCTAGCAGGTACATGAACCCATCTTTTCTCAACCAGTGGAGATCCTGGCTCAGTGCAGTCATGTGATCTCAAAGTTAAGAAATGCTGTCACGCCCAGGTGCAGTGGCTCAGGCCTGTAATCCCAACACTTTGGGAGGCCAACGTGGCTATATCACTTGAAGTCAGGAGTTCGAGACCAGCTTGGCCAACATGGTGAAACCCTGTCTCTACCAAAAAATACAAAAATTAGCCAGTTGTGGTAGCAGACGCCTGTAATCCCAACTACTCGGGAGGCTGAAGTGGGAGAATCGCTTGAACCCGGGACATGGAGGTTGCAGTGAGCCAAGATCACGCCACTGCACTCCAGCCTGGGCAACACAGTGAGACTCCATCTCAAAAAAAGAAATAAAGAAATGCTGTCAGAAGCCTACCCCATGGTACCTGTCATGGGCCTTTTCATTGGTCCCTTTTTGTTGAAGATGAAGCACTTTGCCCTGTAGCTGATTGCAAGAGATTTCAGGAAAGCATCAGAGTAAAACTCTAATGACAAAAGACTTAAAATAGTGTAGTTAAATATCTAATGAGAGATCATTACAAAATCAAACGATTTACAAGGAATGTTGGTTGTTTATGACACATAGCATTTTAAATAATAACCAGAATGATGATTGCTGTTATATGAGGACATGTCATTGGCAGAAGGGTATTCACCAGTTTGTGGGAACTTTATACAATATCTGGAATCCTTATATTAACATTTACCAATATGCATGTAACTCAAGGAAGTTTAAATAGCATTAAAAAAAATTTTTTTTTAGTTTTTTTTTTTTTTTTTTTTTTTGAGACAGAGTCCCACTGTGTTGCTCAGGCTGGAGTGCAGTGGCACGATCTCGGCTCACTGCAACCTCCGCCTCCTGGGCTCAAGCGATTCTCCTGCCTCAGCCCCCCAAGTAGCTGGGATTACAGGTGTGCACCATCACACCCAGCTAATTTTTGTATTTTTAGTAGAGATGGGGTTTCGCCACACTGGCCAGGCTGGTCTTGAACTCCTGACCCCAGGTGACCTGCCCACCTTGGCCTTCCAAAGTGTTGGGATTACAGGCGTGAGTCACCGCGTCCGGCCCTAAATAACATTTTTTATTTGACAGCACCTTGCATGAAATTCTGTAGGGTCCAGCCCTACAGGGTCTGTGGGTTTTTCTCCCCGTGTGCAGAGATGAGAGATCGTAGAAATAAAGACACAAGACAAAGAGATAGAAGAAAAGACAGCTGGGCCCGGGGACCACTACCACCAAGATGCGGAGACCAGTAGTGGCCCCGAATGCCAGGCTGCGCTGTTATTTATTGGATACAAGACAAGGGGGCAGGGTAAGGAGTGTGAGCTATCTCCAGTGACAGGTAAGGTCACATGGGTCACGTGTCCACTGGACGGGGGCCCTTCCCTGTTTGGCAGCCGAGGCGGACAGCGAGAGGAGACAGCTTATGTCATTATTTCTGTATTTCAGAGACCTTTAGTACTTTCACTAATTTTGTTACTGCTAGTTAGAAGGCATAGCCAGGTACAGGGTGGAACATGAAAGCGGACCAGGAGCGTGACTGCTTAAGCACAGCATCACAGGGAGACGGTTAGGCCTCCGGATAACTGTGGGCAAACCTGACACTCCACAAGAGGTGGTTGAGCAGAGTCTTCTCTAACTCCCACAGGGAAAGGGAGACTTCCTTTCCCGGTCTGCTAAGTAACGGGTGCTTTTTCTAGGCACTGACGCAACTGCTAGACCAAGGTCCGCTAAGTAACAGGCGTCTTCCCAGGCGCTGACGTTACCACTAGACCAAGGAGCCCTCTAGTGGCCCTGTCCGGGCATAACAGAAGGCTCACACGCTTGTCTTCTGGTCACTTCTCACCGTGTCCCTTCAGCTCTTATCACTGTATGGCCTGGTTTCTCCTAGGTTATAATTGTAGAGCGAAGATTATTATAATATTGGAATAAAGAGTAATTGCTACAAACTAATGATTAACAATATTCATATATAATCATATCTATGATCTATATCTAATGTAACTATTCTTATTTTATATATTTTCTTTATTATACTGGAACAGCTCGTGCCCTCGGTCTCTTGCCTCGGCACCTGGGCGACTTGCTGCCCACAAAATTCACCATTGAAATAAACCTAATTAGTTTAACATCTCTCTTATAAGGTCACAGGACAGATCCTTTGAGGTCTTCCAGGGGCCCTCCAGGAAATCTCAAGTCAGTCTGAGATCAAGACAATGTCACAGGCCACATGCAGTGGTTCACGCCTATAATCCCAACACTTTGGGAGTCCGAGGAGGGAGGACTCCTTGAGCCCAGGAGTTTGAGACCAGCCTGAGAAACATGCTGAGGCCCTGTCTCTACAAAACAAAAAGTTGAAAAATTAGCTGGGCATGGTGGTACATGTCTGTAGTCCCATGTACTCTGAAGACTGAGGCGGGAGGATCACTTGAGCCCAGGAGTTCAAGGTTGCAGTGAGCTGTAATTGCACCACTGCACTCCAGCCTCAGTAACAGAGTGAGACTCTGTCACTAAAAAAAATTTAGGCTGGGTGCAGCGGCTCACGCCTATAATCCCAGCATTTTGGGAGGTCAAGGTGGACAGATCACCTGAGATCAGGAGTTCAAGACCAGGCTGGCCAACATGGCAAAACCCCACCTGTACTAAAAATACAAAAATTAGCTGGGCGTGGTGCCATGTGCCTGTGGTCCCAGCTACTTGGGAGGCTGAGACAGCAGAATTGCTTAAGCCTGGGAGGCAGAGGTTACAGTGAGCCCAGATCACACCATGGCACTCCAGCCTGGGTAACAGAGCGAGACTCTGTCTCAAAAAAAAAAAAAAAAAAAAAAAAATTTAAAGAAACTTTATACATAAATCCATTCAATGATTATGAGGTCAATTCTAGCCAGCTTTGACCTCATAACATAAAATTTCTTTTCTGCAGACTTTCTTGAGGCCAGGAGTTCAAGACCAGCCTGGGAAACATAGGGATAACTTTCTGTATCCATTCACAGTTGCTTTTGTTTTGAGACAGAATCTCAGTCTGTCACCCAGGATGGAGTGCAGTGGTGAGATCTCAGCTTACTGCAGCCTTGACCTCCTGGGCTCAAGCGATCCTCCTGCCTCACCCTCCCAAGTAGCTGGGACTACAGGCATGTACCACCATGCCAGGCTAATAATTTTTGAGTTTTTTTATAGAAACAGGGTTTCATCATGTTTCCCAGGCTTGTCTCGAATTCCTGGGCCATTCAGGCTTTGTCCCATATTTTTCCTCTTTTTGTAATTTTACTTCAGGACAAAATTACATCCCTTTCTTTAACAAAAACACTCTACATTCTTTGCATACTTTTCATATAAAAACACATCCTATCTTCCTCCCATACTTTGTATAGGAAATTGTTTCCCTCATTCTTATTGTTTCTAGGAGTTTTGTTTTCATATATTGATTATAATTTTTAACCATTAGTAACCGGTATTTTTTTTTTAAAGAGACAGCGTCTTGCTCTTTTGCCCAGGCTGGAGTGCAGTGGCACAATCAGGACTCACTGCACCCTTGAACTCCCGGGCTCAAGTAATTCTCCAACCTCAGCCCCCTAAAGCACTGAGATTACAGGCATGAGTCACCACGCCCGGCCATAACTTGTATTTTACAAGTAAAACTGGGAAGAAGACAATTGGAAATTGTCTGTCATTTACCAGTTTGTTGGCAAATTTTATGAATATACCATCTTATAATCTCTAGAGGTATATCCTTTTTATAGTACAATGTTTTTAAGTGCCAAGTACATGTTTATTAACAGACCAGAATACCTTTAGCCAGTCTGTACCATATAAAAATAAGAAGCCAAAAAGTACAAAAAGTTACGCTTAATAATGAATGTTTCAGCACTTTCTTCTCTTCAGGTATTATTTAGATATTCAATGAATGTCTATTATTTAACTTCACTTAGTATGACTCTGAGGTTGAAAGTTACTGAAAACATCTTGTAAGCTTTTTTAGGCCAATATATTATCAAACGCAATTAACAAAACACAACTCACTAGTTTATATAAGAGCTAGTTCTCACTTTTTTTTTTACTCTATTTTATATATTTTTTCTTTTCTTTTCTTTTCTTTTTTTTTTTTTTTTTTTTTTCTGTAGAGACAAGGTCTTGCTGTGTTGCCCAGGCTGGTCTTGAACTCCTAGCCTCAAGTGATCCACTTACCTTGGCCTCCCAAAGTGCTGGGATTACAGGTGTGAGCCACCACCCAGCCCTATTTTATATTTTTATCTGAACTGTGTTTCTGGCAAATTGGACAAGTTAAGGGTCACTTGCTCCATGTGAGGGGAAGGCTTTCTACCTGTATTTGTGGATAAGACCTTTACGACTTGTTTTGCCCTGATGGATGACTACATGTTTCCAGTGAGCTCAGCTGGTTGCTTTTGTGGGTCCCTGAGGCACTGCGAGCCCCTGATGGGGCAGGAAGCCTAAAGTTCCAGGGACCGTGGGGAGTTGAGGGGCTGGAGGGGGAAGAGAGAGGCCTGCAGCGGGGATCCACAGGTGGAGGAGGCCAGACTTGAAGGGGGTGTCTCCTTCAAGAGAAAGTAGGGAAGTATGGAGGTGATAGGAAGGGAGAGGCCTGAGAGGAGCTAGTTTGGGGAGATCTCAAGTATCCCAAAGGAGCCACTGATGTTCCAAATTATCCTTGGTAAAGTCACATCAACAAGGAAGGAAGCAGACAGAGGCGCACTTGTTCCTTGCAGTTTTGTTTTGATGTGCTGATTAAAGTAGCGCAGAGGGCATGATCAGCAGGGCTCCAGTAAGACGCTCCCACGGGAGGAGCAAGAACACAGAACAGAGGGGGCAAGACAGCTCCACCAGGAGTCAGGAGTGAATCCCCTCTGGGAACGAGGCACTAGGAAGAAGAACTTCCAGCCCAGGAGGTAGGTAGCGTTCAGAAGAAGCCTGGGGCGGGCGCGGTGGCGCACGCCTGTAATCCCAGCACTTTGGGAGGCCGAGGCGGGCGAATCACGAGGTCAGGAGATCAAGACCATCCTGGCTAACACGGTGAAACCCCATCTCTACTAAAAATACAAAAAATTAGCCGGGCGTTGTGGTGGGCACCTATAGTCCCAGCTACTTGGGAGGCTGAGGCAGGAGAATGGCATGAACCCGGGGGACGGAGCTTGCAATGAGCCGAGATTATGCCACTGCACTCCAGCCTGGGCGACAGAGCAAGACTCTGTCCCAAAAAAAAAAAAAAAAAAAGCCTGGGACTCTTAGCGCCTCAGAGCCTTACTCAGAATCATAAAATCATTAGAAGCAATGTCTGTCCTCACTGCTGCATCCGATATTCTTCCGGACCACTGGATCACAAATCAAACCATGTGACTCCCGCATGAGCAGGCAGAGTGGAGATAACACGGATCGCTGTGTACACTGTGTGCTCCGGTTGTTGCATCCGAGGGTTGATCGGATGGTGGTTCCCATCCAGATCCAAGTCCTGGCCCCTGATCACAGAGAAACACAGCTGGACATTAAAGTGGTGAGGACGGAAATTATAATATTTGGTGACCAGTGACAGGAGGGGAGAGAGCCGAGCTCCGCTCCGAGTTGTGCAAAGAAGTGGGGAGTGGGGAGGAAGAACAGTGGGGACTCAGTGGAGTGAGGAAAGTGGAAAATTACCAAAAGCAGGAAGGGAGGGTTAGCCTTGGGAAACCAATCTGGGTTTGCCACGGGGGCTTACTGAAGTCAGGCCCCCAGTCCCACAGAGGCTGGGAGACAGGGGCCCCATCTTCAGGTGTTGGCCAGAACACAGGAAATTCTCTTGGTAGCCATGACTTTCTCAGGCAGGCGCTTTGAAGGGGGCTGGGATCATTTTAGGAATGTGGCCTTGAGCTGTTAGAAGCCATGTGCAGTATGGCTTACACCTGTAATCCCAGCACTTTGGGAGGCTGAGGCTGGAGAATCACTTGAGGCCAGGAGTTTAAGACCAGCCTGGGCAACATAGCAAGACGCTGTCTCTACAAAAATAATTTTTAAAAAATTAGCCAGGCACTGCGGCATGCCCCTGTGTAGTCCCAGTTACTCAGGAGGCTGAAGCAGGAGGACTGCTGGAGCCCAAGAGTTCAAGGTTGCAGCAAGCTGATTGCACCACTGCACTCCAGCCTGGGCGGCAGAGGTGATCACGCCACTGCACTCCCGCCTGGGCGACAGAGCAAGACCCTGTCTTTAAAAACAAAAAGGCCAGGCAGGTGCGGTGGCTCATGCCTGTAATCCCAGCACTTTGGGAGGCCAAGGCGGGCGGATCATGAGGTCAGGAGATCGAGACCATCCTGGCTAACATGGTGAAACCCCGTCTCTACCAAAAACACAAAAAAGTTAGCCGGGCGTGGTGGCGGGCGCCTGTAGTCCCAGCTACTGGGAGGCTGAGGCAGGAGAATGCCATGAACCCGGGGGATGGAGCTTGCAGTGAGCCGAGATTGCGCCACTGCACTCTAGCCTGGGAGACAGAGCAAGACTCCGTCTCAAAACAAAACAAAACAACAACAAAAAAAAAACAGCCGAGCGCAGTGGCTCACGCCTGTAATCCCAGCACTTTGGGAGGCCGAGGTGGGCAGATCACAAGGTCAGGAGTTCAAGACCAGCCTGACCAACATGGTGAAACCTTGTCTCTACTAAAAATACAAAAATTAGCTAGGCGTGGTGGTGTGAGCCTATAATCCCAGCTACTCAGGAGGCTGAGGCAGGAGAATCGCTTGAACCCAGGAGGCGGAGGTTGCAGTGAGCCGAGATCGCGCCACTGCACTCCAGTCTGTGTGACAGAGTGACAGCCCGTCTCAAAAAATAAATAAATAAATAAATAAATAAATAAATAAATAAATAAATAAATAAATAAAATGAAGCAGCAGCAGCTTTGTTAGTGTTTGTTCAAGGCCTGATAGGCCAAGGTGAGGCTCAGCCGAGAAACGTGCTCAGAGGAGCCTGGCCGGAGTGTGATGGGGGAGTCTTTGTCCAGGCTGCTGCCACGGTGGGCCTCAGGACTCATGGCCTGGGCGCTGGGGGTGGGGCTGCCACTCAGCCTTGAGGAGAGCAATGAGGAGGTCAGATTCCACTCACATCCAGTGCGGTCTGGATGCAGGCCTGGCCCAGAGCCTGGTCCAGATGCTGGGGCTTTGTTTTTTTGTTGTTGTTTTTTTGAGACAGAGTCTCGCTCTGTTGCCCAGGCTGGAGTGCAGTGGCACTATCTCCACTCACTGCAACAACCTCCACCTCCACGGTTCAAGCGATTCTCCTGCCTCAGCCTCCCGAGTAGCTGGGACTACAGGCACCCGCCACCATGCCCGGCTCATTTTTTGCATTTTTAGTGGAAACAGAGTTTCACCATGTTGGCCAGGATGGTCTCCAACTCCAGACCTTGTGATCTGCCTGCCTCAGCCTCCCAAAGTGCTGGGATTACAGGCGTGAGCCACTGCACCCAGCCGGCTTTGTTTACAGTACTCAGCAGCTGCCAAAATAGTCCCCATTCCCAGGCAGGGCAGGCTCCCGGGCTCAGTCCAGCGGGGCAGATGGCCAGCCTGCACGTCACCCCACTAGGCATGTCCAGGCCCTTTCTGCCCCTCCCTAAAGGCACCCCTGTCCTTTCTGTCCCCTCCACACTGAGCCAAGCCAGCCTCCACTCTTGCCCCAGGCCTGCCCTCTGCTGGGAGCCGGGACACTGAGCTCCTGCCACATGAGCAGGTTGACCTGCAGGGGGCCTCCAAGCAGGTGCCAAGGCAGAATCGGATGTGACCAGGAGAACACCCTTGAAGGATAAAGCGAATGTGCGACCACCATGCAGGTCTGGCCCATGGAAGGGAGGGGAGGGGGCCCCGACGGGGCCACAGTAAAGGAGTGGAGGGGCCCCACAGGCAGGGATGGCCCAGCTGGCCCCCTGGGGCTGTGAATCTGCAGGTGCAGTGCAGCCTCTTGCCTCTCTCAGCCCAGCCCTTGCATCTGCCTCTTGGTGTGTCTGTGAAGACAAAGTCACCGTGGTCCCTGCAGCACCTGGCTTGAAGCAGGTGTGCAGTCCGTGTGAAAGCCTTCCCTTTAGCTATTAGGTATTGAGTCAAAAAAAAAAAAAGCCTTCCCCTGAGCCTGGGGGCCTGGCCCCACTGAGGATACCAGGCGGGGGAGGCTACAGGAGGCTGCCCTCTGCCTGGCCATCTGACCTTCCATTCTGACCCCTTCCCTTCCACACCAGCCCCTTTCCCTATGTAGGGTGCAGTCTTTGTTGCAACTGCTCACCTCTGCCATGGTCGGATGAGAGCAGCCACGGACAATGTCTGTGCAATTGTGCGTTTTTTGTTTTGTTTTGTTTTGAGATGGAGTCCCACTCTTGTTGCCCAGGCTGGAGTGTAATGGCACCATCTCGGCTCACTGCAACCTCCACCTCCCGAGTTCTAGCGATTCTCCTGCCTCAGCCTCCCAAGTAGCTGGGATTACAGGCATGCATCACCATGTCTGGCTAATTGTGTATTTTTAATAGAGACTGGGGTTTCACCATGTTGGTCAGGCTGTTCTTGAACTCCTGACCTCAGGTGATCCACCCGCCTCAGCCTCCCAAAATGCTGGGATTACAGACGTGAGCCACCGTGCCTGGTTGATTGTGCGTTCTGATAAAGCTTCATTTACAGAAATAGCAGGTAGGCCCCTCGCAGGGTGCCCAGAGCAGGTGCACTGTCTCACCTCTTCTCAGGTGTCACCGGGGTGAGAGGCTAGTCCTCTGCCTCCTCCTTCCTCTCTGCAGGTTGGAGAAATGACAGCTTCTTGTACTGGGGGTTATGAGACAGTGGCAGGAGGGGGACACTCCCAGAGTGCTGCCAGAAAGAGGCGAGGCCCCATCTGGATTTGATGGCATTTTTATTGTGGTGTTGTTTTAGAGACAGTGTCTGTCGCCCAGGATGGACGACATGGTGCAATCATGGCTCACTCCAGCCTCCAACTCCTGGGCCCAAGCAATCCTCCCACTTCAGCCTCCTGAGTAGCTGCAGCTATAGGCACACCACCATGCCTGGCTCAATGGGTATTTTGTGGCCATTAAACTTCTGGTCATTCCTTTAGATTCCCAGAGGCTGGATGGAGGTGAGTGGCCAGCCCCTGGGTCCAGAGATGAGCGCGGGGCCTGGCTGCAGCCTGTGGGGTCTCCCAGGCTGGCCTCCAGGTGTCCTCTCAGCCTGTCCACAGGCGCTGCCCAAGCGTGTGGCCTACCTGGTGCTGCCTGGCCTGTCTCTACGCACCTGTACTGGCTCTCCCTGGATTACTGGATCGCAGTCGAATCCCCTGCCAGAATCCTGGTCCCCCTTTATCACACCGGATCAGCCCCAAAGGGCAGGGCTTCTTGCAGCAGTTCCAGCCTTTGCTGGGGGTTTCCAGCCCTGTTGAGCAAGCCCCAGGTAGGGCCCTCTGCAGCCCCCGTGGGGGACCTGTGTGCCGAGCAGAGCTGCCCCGTGTGTAAACGCTTAGAACTGGCCTCCTTCCTGCCATCTGTGTCCTGTTTGTCATCACGCCTGTGGCTCTATGCTTGTCTCCCCGACTGGGCCACCAGCCCTGTGAGGGCAGGATGAGGCACGTCCAAGCCACAGTGGCTCTCAGTGTGCAGGGTGCTGTTAGCATTGGTTCTGTGTTCTGGAATAGTGAGAACAGTGTGCCCCAAATGGCCAGTGGCCTTTCCGAGGGTCACTGCAGCCGCATGTTGGCCCTCTGTGGAGAACGGAGGATGCACAGCCATTTCAGAGCACAACCTGAGGTCTCCTGAGCTTGCTGTGCAGCCCAGTCTTTCTCTCCGTGGCCCCTGGTAGCTGTCTTTCTCCCAGGAGGAGGAGAAAGACACCTTCCTGAGCAGGAGGATGTGGGTGAATAGAGACCAAAGTGTCAATCACTCTTCTGACAGAGGTGATAGCAGAATGAAAAACTGATGGACCCCAGATCTTTGCAAAGAGAACAAAGTCAGTTTCTAGTTATCTTTCTTTCTTTTTTTTCTTTTTTTCTTTTTTTTTTTTTTTTTTTTTTTTTGAGATGGAGTCTCGCTCTGCTGCCCAGGCTGGAGTGCAGTGGTGTGATCTCAGCTCACTGCAACCGCCTCCCGGGTTCAAGTGATTCTCCTGCCTCAGCCTCCTGAGTAACCAGGACTACAGGCACACACCACCACGCCCAGCTAATTTTTGTTATTTTTAGCAGAGACAGGGTTTCACCATGTTGGCCAGGATGGTCTTGAGCTCTCTTTTTTTTTTTTTTTTTTTTTTTTGAGACGGAGTCTCGCTCTGTCACCCAGGCTGGAGTGCAATGGAGTGATCTTAGCTCCCTGCAACCTCTGCCTCCCAGGTTCAGGCTATTCTCCTGCCTCAGCCTCCTGAGTAGCTGGGACTAACAGGTGCTTGCCACCAAGCCTGGCTAATTTTTGTATTTTTAGTAGAGACAGGGTTTCACCATATTGGCCAGGCTGATCTCGAAATCCTGACCTTGTGGTCTGCCCGCCTTGGCCTCCCAAAGTGCTGGGATTACAGGCGTAAGCCACCACACCAGGCCCATTTTCTAGTTATCTTTTACGGATTTTTTAAAATGAGCCTAGAAACCAGGTCATATAATTAGTTTATTTTTTAATTTCTTATAGAGACAGGGTCTTACTATGTTGCCCAGAGTGGTCCTGAACGCCTGGGCTCAAGTGATCCTCCTGCCTCAGCCTCCCAAAGTATTGGGATTACAGGTGTGGCCACTGTTCCAGCCATAGTTCATATTTTAAAGGATTTTTAAGAGTCTCATTTCACTGATGTTACTTGCAGTATATTTATGGAAAACATTCCTGTCTTTTTTTTTTTTTTGAGACGGAGTCTCACTCTGTTACCCAGGCTGGAGTGCAGTGGCGTGATCTCGGCTCACTGCAAGCTCCGCCTCTGGGGTTCACGCCATTCTCCTGCCTCAGCCTCCCGAGTAGCTGGGACTACAGGTGCCTGCCACCACACCCGGCCAATTTTTTGTATTTTTAGTAGAGACAGGGTTTCACTGTGTTAGCCAGGATGGTCTCGATCTCCTGACCTCGTGATCTGCCCGCCCCGGCCTCCCAAAGTGCTGGGATTACAGGCATGAGCCACCGCGCCCGGCCAGCATTCCTGTCTTTTAAAGAAAGATGAGACCAGATGCAGTGGTGTGCACCTGTGGTCCCAGCTACTCAGGAGGATGCCTTGAGCCTGGGAGTTCAAGGCTGCAGCTGCAGTGAGCCTTGATCACGCCACTGCACTCCAGCCTGGGCAATTGAACAGGACCCTGTCTCTAAAGAAATAAAATAAAGGCAGATGAATGTCATCTAGGGTGTGTCCAATGTGAGAGAGAATACTGACCAGGTGACAGAGGTGATGGACTCTCTAGCTCTGCAGCAGACTGCTGGGCAGAGAAGCTTGGGCAGGCCTGGCACTGAGGCCCAGAAGCTTCATGCTCTTTAGAGCCAGAGGTGTCAAGCCCAGCTGCCTGTGTCCTGGCCGCACTGTGAGGCACTGAGGATGCCCTCACACGTGCATCTGCATGTGGCGTGCATGTGGCAAGCATGTGCAGGTGCTGTGTGGGCACGATCATGCCTGCCCTCTACTGTGCTGGAGAGGTAAGACCATCAGCCGTTTCACAGAGGAGGGAATGTGGACCTCACGGGGGTCTCATGAGCTTGCGAGCCGATGGCCAGGCAGCCGGTGCAGAAGGTTCATCCATTTTGATGAACCGTGAATTCATCTGTACTTTATTCATTTTAATAACTGAATCATACCTCATTGTATGGCTCTACCATGTTTTATTATCCATTCAGGTGCTAACGGATGGAAGGGTTGTTTCTACCTGTTGGCCATTGTGGATGATGTTGCTATGCATATTGGGGTACGAGTATCTGGTTTAGTCCCTGTTTTCAATTCTTGGTATACACCTAGGAGTAGAATTGCTGGGTCATATGGTAGTTCTATTTTAACTTTTTTTTATTTTTAATTTTTGTGGGTTTTTAAGAATTTTTTAATATTTGTGGGTGCATAGCATGTTTAATTTTTTTTTTTTTTTTGAGACGGGGTCTTGCTCTGTTGCCCAGGCTGGAGTGCAGTGGCAGGATCACAGCCCTGTGCAGCCTCAACCTCCTGGGCTCAGGTGATCCTCCCGCCTCAGCCTCCCAAGTATCTGGGACTACACGTGCGGACCACCACGCCTGGCTAATTTTTAAGTTTTTTGTAGAGATGGGGTCTTGCCATGTTTCCCAGACTGGTATGGGACTCCTGGGCTCAAGCAATCCTCCCATCCCAACCTCCCAAAGTGCTGGAATTACAGTCATGAGCCACCAGGTCTGACCACATGTTTAACTTTTTGAAGAACTACCAAACTGTTTTCCACGGCATTCACACCAGCAATGCAAGAGGGTTCCCATTTCATCACATCCTTGCTAACACTTGTTATTTTCCTTAAAAAAAAAAAAAAAAAAAAGCCAGCTGGGCACGGTGGCTCATGCATGTAATCCCAGCACTTTGGAAGGCCAAGGGGGTGGAGCACTTGAGCTCAGGAGACTAGCCTGGGCAAAATATCGAGACCCCACCTCCACTCCATCTCTACCAAAAAAAAAAAAAAAAAAAAGCTGGGTGTGCGGTGGTGCACATCTGTCGTCCCAGCTACTTGGGGGGGCTGAGGCAGGAGGATCCCTTGAGCCCAGGAGGTCGAGACTGCAGTGAGCTGCGACCGCGCCACTGCACTCCAGGCTGAGCGACAGAGTGAGACCCTGTTTCAAAAAAACAAAAAAAAAGCACATTTCAAACATACACAAAAGCAGAGAGAATTCCCCTCGGTCCTCCGGCCTGCACCCCACCGCCCCCCACCACAGGGGCATTCAAAACTGTCTTTTTGCCTCTCTGTAAGGTAAGGGGGGACTCTTGACGCTCCCCAGACCACACAGCCAAAGTAGGGCGATCGGATCATAGGGGGTCCCGAGTCGGACACTGAGCTGGCGTGCCCACTCTCGAGTCCTGGGACCCCAAACTAAAGGAGCTGTTCCTTTTCCCCATGGAGGGCTGACGGGGCAAAATCCCAGGGCTGGGAACATCCGAGCAGCTTTGAGTAGCACAGGTGGGTTTCTACGTGGCTTTCTTTAAAGGGAGGCCTGATTCTCGGCTTTTCAGGACCCGCCCTCCATTTTCTCACTTGCCTGCTCTTTCGTCCTGCGAAACTGGGCAGTGGCCGGTGACAGCGCAGGGTCAGCCCTCGGATGGCCAGGTGGGCGTGATCCCACCCTCCTCCGTGGCTGGGTGGGCGTGGTCCCAAAGTCAATTGGATGTGGTCCCGCGTCCCTCCCGGCCCAGTGGGCGGGGCCTCCCCTTCTGGGGCCTCCCATCCCACACCAGCGAGCAGAGAGGAGGGTGGGCGGGGAGGCCCTACGGGGCTGGGGCGGGGCGGAGCGGAGGT